>NC_000003.12:36260000-37510000 GCF_000001405.40 Homo sapiens | reverse complement strand
AAACCCAGGTACATTTGAAGGGAAGAGGGAGATTGTTTCCATGCTAGATACATTCACCCATTTGTTATCTTCTGCAGAAGATCTAAAATGTTAGCCTTAATTCCACTCATACCCTACTTGCTCTTTGAAACTCTCTTTTGTAAATCACAAGTAGCACAGAGTTATTTCTTTTCTAACTTTAAGGGTGCTTGGAAAACCCTTTTGCAGAATGGCTCACAGTCATTTTCCAGTGCTGTTGCTTTGGGGTTTTGGAAATGTTAAAATAACACAAGCCAGCAGAGTTCTCGGGAAGGCAGAGCCATTCTGAGGAAAAATGCAAAACCAAGTTTGGTGATGCATTTTTTATTCAAAAGATAATGACAATTATACACTAAGTGTACCTATTCGGATAGTTAAAATTGCAAAAAGGTCTACTTGAATGGGAGAACAACATGGAAGGATCCTAGGCTGGCGTACAGCAGTTCTAACTCGGCAGGAACAGAATTGAGGAGGCACATGGCCTCCTCCCATGTCCCAGACATCCTATGCTTCTTCCCAGATCCCACTAAGGCCTCCACCAAGACCTCCAAATTACCCCCACAGCTCCCAGCCTAAACTTGTGTCCCTTAGAGTAGCCAAGCTCAGCCAAACAGTCCTGCTGATCTAAGCCACACAAGAAGTGCATGACTGATAAGCTCATGAAAACTGTTGCTTATTAATAGCAGGACTCTCTAATTGGCTTAATTTTAGACAACAGGGCAGTATAATGGAAACTTTCAGAAAGCAGAGAGAGGATTAGGGACAGGGTGGGGAGGACCCAGGCAGAGTAATCTCACCCAGGCTAACTTTAGGGCAGCACCCTGAGCTATTTCTGCTTCAAGGTTCTAAGAGGAATCAGGCAACCTGTGTTTGGATTTTCTTTGTGTGGCAACAGTCACCTTGGCAATGACAGTTGAGGGCTGAGGATTAGGGAAGGGGGTAATGTTGGGCTGGTGAAACAGGCTCAGTGAGAAGCATTTATTGCTACCTGTACTCAGAAAGATCTGCTCTCTCTGGAGGTGGAGATTCGTTGAGAAAGGATGGAGGCAGAGAGACAGGGCATGCAGTCACTTTGATGACAGTCTGAACTACGGACAATCTCTTAAAACTCTGTGCTGTAACTTGGCCCCATATAACTCATCTTGCTACAGAATGTCTCCTAAAGCGAGTATGAATCCCATGAATGTACAGATTACACATACCGCTGAGAAGGTAAAGACACCAACAAGCAGACAGCACTGCCATATAAACACAGGGCACAGGTAGGGCCTTCAAACCAATTTTCTAAAAAGTACTGACTCCCACATGATCACATCTCTCAAATAAAAAATAGTCACTTATACCAAGAACCTCACCTTTTTACCTGATGCTTGAAAGATCTTAATTAAGGTGCCTGATCTTCGGTCAGCTCTGAAAATATAAACCTATGGAATGAAAAAAAAAAAATCTAGTTAGGATGAAATCAATGATCAAAGATATTTATCAGCACTCTCCTGGGAGTCCTATTTAAAAGCTTAAGAGCCAGGTGCACAGCAGATGTGCTTATGCTAGCTGATGATCATGAAGAAGTCAGCTGTCATTTTACCAGCCCTGCAAAAAAAAGGGTCCTTCAATCCTGAGGCAGACATCACCTCCACTGCTCCTGAACCACAATACTTATAAAAGCCACACACAATAAGACCCAAGAAGCTTCCAAATTACAAGTAAACAATTCAACTCTGAGAAAAAGCTAGTATTTTGTTTCTTGAAATATTTCCTTTATTCCTGTTTTTAAAATTAGTTGGTGGTATGGATTGGACTTTATTCCCAGTAAGACTTTACCAGGCATTACAACAGAAGATAAAGGGATAGGTGGAGATGAGTACTGTAGACAAAGCAGTTTCCCAAAGTGATTTCACGTAATATTAGAGTCATGTGATCTGCCTGGGTAAAAATGAGTTTCATTTGGGAAATGTGGAGTTAAACATTAAGTAAATTCTTTGACTGTGGAACTTTTTAGAGCCTTTAGCATGTTCATGTGAACTATGCATCGCCACTGCAAAGACGATCACTGACATTTAACTTCCTAAATGTACTTGACTATGGAAGTTCTTTTTTTTGGATTACATCTCGTGGGAAGAGTGTCTCATGAGAACCAGTGTAAATAACCTTCCCATGAGATAAGGAACTGCCATCTTAGTGTGAGTGCTTTTGTGCCCTGACACTAGAATATCCAGCAAAATCCTGAAGGCCAGGGGTCCTTGGGAATCAAGTCTGTACTAGCCCCAATCCCTGGGAATGTGGAATTGTCAGCAACTTTGTCACTATGACCAGTTTCCCCATGCCTCTCAGGTGGTCTAATTGAAAGAAGCATTTTTATGTACTTTATAAACTGGGTCCAGGAGTCCCGCTGTCTGGCTCTATCAATTATAAGTACCATTCTCAACTTTTTAACTTTATACCTTGCACCCCCCAGATAGCCAGTGAGAGGGGTTTGCGGAGGGGTCATCTTAAGACTTGACAGGGACTATGAAGTTCATCACAATCATCTGAAGGAAAAACTATAAAACTGGATCATGTTTTCTGCAATTAGGGAGAAAAGAAAGCTGCTATCATTAGCATAGAGGCACCCGCATCACTGTGAACTAGACGTAGGCATTTTTACCATTTCTACAGAGATGCCCGGTAGCCCGCAGCCCCTCCCCAAGAAGACAACATCAATGTGAACAGCTCTCAGTGCTTCTTTCTCTACTTAGATAAATTCATGCAACTCAGAAAGAACCACCTCTTTCTTGAGGTGATCGAAGGTCACCTGCTTGATCCCTCCTCCCTGCCAGCTCAGGGCCCTGGTTTATCTGGTTTCAGTTTTGAAGAACCTCTTTCCACAGCATCAGTGTTAGGGAGGAGGGAGGCACATGCTCCAGAAACGTGAGCAGCAGCTCCTAACCTCTGCCCAGGAGGATCCACAGAAATTATCCTTAGTCAAGCCTAGTCAACTGGAAAGTTCGTCAGCTCCCTGATCATCCTGACCTCCTGGCTGAAGGCTCCAATTACCAGTGGTCTCAGCTCATCTGGGCTAATCCAGAATCCAGATTCCACTTCTCCAAGCCCTGGGAGATATGACCAGACTCTATCACAGGTCTACCCCTAAAGGTCCAGATCCAAAGTTCATTCCTCTGTTCACTCAGTCTTTCCCATCAGACAACCTATGGAGCTTCTTAAAAATGTGGGTTCCTGATCCATCTGTACCTACTCAATCTGGATTTCCTGTACCTTCATGATAAAGAACCAACAAGCGTAGTTCACAATTCAGGCCCCTCAGAGGTCATGTTTCCCAAAGGAATTCAGGCAGCCCTAGATCCAGGGGGTGGGTTTTTTGGCAGATACTATAGTTTAGGGAAAGCCAGACCCACATATTTCCAGTCCAGCCTTTGGGCTGAACCAGTCTTGGGAACCCAATGTTCCTTCTCAAACACTGGGGAAATAAATACGAGAATAATTTGGGGCATGAATAAAGCCTCAAAGATATCTGAGACTGGACCTAGCTCCATTAAATCAAAGCCAAACTTGGGAAGGGTTTGGGATTTGAAGTTGGACAGCACTAAATGCCATTCTTTTGAAGGACACCATAAGGCCAGGGCTCAGTCTTATAAATTACACACACACACATGGTCAGCTGTGAAAAACCTCAGATGAGAGTGTGCAGGAAATCGAGAGTGTGAGTATACTCACACTCTAATTGAGCTTTCAAGGGAAACTTTCCAATGGAGTGGGGCAGTCAGGGGGTTCCTCATCACCTCCCCACCAGCCACCCAGTAGAATGTTCAGGTCAATGTCAGCTGGCAAACCTCTGCACCAGGGACAGCATGCTCCCCTCTTCTGTCTGACCCCAGCTATTCCACAGATGTTTCTCCTCACCTTGCCGATGCCTTTGTCCTGTGGGGCACCTCCTACCACATCAATGGTGGACGGGTGAGAGAAGTGGCCAGCGGTCACTGCGTAGCCTGAACAGGATGGGCGGAAACCAAGCACACGGTTGAAAAAGAAGGGAAGGGAAAAAAAAACATCCATCAGAGGAAAATGTTTCTCAAGCATGCTCCCTACTCTTGGAACATAAACTACCAGGAAAAAAATGGCAGCTGTCAACCTTCTCATGCTGAAATGGCTCTCATCTCACAAAAAGTCATGTTCACAAGGATATCAGGGCAGGAAAGAGGGCTTTCTGAGTGTCTTCTTTCGGACAAGTACTGTATGAAATACTATATATCTGTTTTCTTCTTTTCAAGGCATAGTTTTCATACGGTAAGGTCATATATCTGACGTGTAAAACTCAATGAATGCACACATGAGCGTAGCCATGCAACCACCACCCAGATCAAGGAAGTGACTATAACCACAGAACCATAACCCCAGAGGGTTCCCTCATGCCCTTTCCCAGTCAATATGCCCCACACAGGTAGCCACTATTCTGATTTCTATCACCATATATTAGGTTTGCCTTTTCTTGAACTTCACTCAACATAACATCTGTGACATTCATCCACATCGTTGAGTACAGTAGTAGTTTCTTTTTATTATTGAGTAATATCCGTTATATAAATATGTCATATGTTTATTCTGTTGCTGGGCATTTAGGTTGTTTCCAGGCTGGGGTTAATATGAACAAGGTTGCTACCAACATTTTTATGCATGTCTTTAGGTATCTCTTTCAGTCTAAAAACTTTATGAAGAAGGCATGACTGTTTCTTCCATTTTACAGATACAGAATTAGAAAAACCTGTTAAACAACATGCCAAAGATCACACAGCAAGACTCAAATCTAATCTGTGCCTCTAAAGCCCCTGCTGTTAACCACACTCCCTCCTACAAGAAGGCAAAAGAAGCTGTCAGTGGGTGGGTGGGTAGATGCATGGTTGGGTAGATGGATGGGTGGATGGGTGGGAGGGTGGTCAGTGAAAAAATATGGATGCAAAAGGAACCTAGAAACAAAGGAAAAGATTGCCTAGGCTTAGCCTCAACGTCTCCTGCTTTCTGAGAGCCTTGCTAGCAGGCTGAAAGCTCTCCTCTGGCCAGCATAAATCCTGTACAGGCTGCCATATAATCCCCAAACTTGTCATCACCCTCTAACCCTAAAGTGATTGTAAGTTGTTTGAGTTTCGCGATGACATCATATCATGATCAATTCTTCCTCACCATGTGGCTGATTTCTCTCAGACTGGCGACTGATAGTACCTAAGAGTATTCTGAGTGAGATCAAAGCCTGAACGGATCCTTGATAATCCCTGCAGCTGATAAGAGCCTCTAATGTGTATACAAAGAGAAACCACAGGCTCGAAGCTTCAAAGGAGCTGTTCTAGACCCCAAACCCATCATCCAAACTGGGCTTTCTTCTGCTCTCTCTTCATTCCCTGATTCAATAAATATGTGTTGAGTTACTACTATACACCAGGCACTATACCAAATGTGAGACACAATCCCACATTTTGTCTTCAAGGTGCTCCCAGCCCAGTGAGAAGTACAGTACCAGTGATAGGTGCTCTCTCAGACGCACCCACAGGGAAGGCAGCTCAGCATTTAGACTCTGCACTCAGAAACCACAAGCTCATACCCTAATTTTGCTACTTAGGAGCCATGTGACCTTGGCAAGATGTATAATTTCTTTGCTCCTCAGTTTATCTATAAAATGTAGATAATAATAGCTACTTCATAAGGTTGTTTCAGAAATTAAAAAGAAATAATACATACAGCCTGGCATAGGGTAAATGCTTAATAAGCAACAGCACTAGGCAGCTGGGTGCCTACAGGAGCAAACACCCCAGAGTAGAAGGATTGTTGGGTCTATGCTACCAGGCAAAAAACTTGTAGTTAGAAGGGAAAAGGCAAGTCAACGACTCCCTAACCCCATTTAACAAGAAGTTCCCAGTGACGCTATGCAAAAAGGGAGTCAGGGCCTTTCCCTGTAAGTTATGTATCATGAGTGCGAAAGAGCATTGTGTGTCATCATTAGGCCTTCCTAAATTTAGCTTCGCTTTCAATCCAGAATTATAGCATTTAGGGCATAAATTAAAGAAAAGAGTCTTGTAATTGTCATCTACACAAGCAAAGACAGCCTATGTCTGTTCTTAAATTGGCATGGACCTTGTCCCAGTGTCATTCTGCCTGATAGCTACATTAAATTGTGTCTATCTTCTTTCCAGAAGATTAAAAGAGTTAAGAAAGCAAGAGAAATTTTTCTGAGCCTTTAATTAACCTTCAGCATTAGGTTGCCATCTGTCATGATAATTTCTAGTTCTTATCTTTCTATTTGCTACCAGTTTTGTGATCAGAAAGCAAGGACTCCATCCAAAGGGACGCCCGTGGAAAATCAAGACTCCATCACACTCATTTCTACCTGACCATCTGAACTTCAACAATTGATAAAATGAGAAAATAAAATGTTTATTTCCCTGGAGGTTCAACTGTCAGCTTTTTAATTAAAGCATACAGTTTTAATTCAGTTCCCTCCTTGGTTTTCCTCTCTACCTTGTGTTTGTGGAGCTAGATGTGAAGATGCCCTGGCTAAAGATGTAAGTCATTAGAACAACAGGCGTCAAAGCCAACTAACTCCTCTTTCCAACAATGAAGCAATAATTTGTGAATCTGGTGGGAATCACTCCCATTTCCCCTTTCTTACCTGTTCTCTCCCTGAGTACTCACCCAGGTAGGTGTACCGCCTGTTCATGATCACTTCGTCGTTCAGTTTTAAATAGGTGTTGTCCGTAAGGTTCAGCACTTTGATGGTTCCAGCCCAATAAAATGACCCTGGAGCACCCATCACCACCAGCTCCTACCAAAAAGAAATCCAACGGTAAGCAGAGAAGGAAGTGAGGAGGGGAGGAGGGGAATGCAATGAGAACCACAGTCACAACAAAGGAGAAATTCCTCACACCAAGAACTTTTTTTTCCCCAGCTAAGCAACAAAAACAGATTTCACCAGATTCATCAGCATTATGGAATCTATTATACAGACGGGATTATCAGGACTAAAGATGTGAAGAGACTGAGCAAGGTGACAGAATTCACGACAGGCCAGGCCCCTATTCTATCCACGATGAGACCACACACGTTTCCTCAACTTTACATCAGGCTCTAACAAGGAAATGACAAACAGCTGACATTGACCTCAACCACAGATTCTGGGGAACACCACTCATGAAAAGCAGTAAGCAATACCGCACCCTGCCTGGACTCCAGGCTCACCATTCAACTCCCCCGACCTGATGCGTAGCGAGAGGAAACTGTGCACTAGTACTCCAGGGAATCCCCTCCAGACCACACTCAAGACCCTCTCAGGGACGTTCTAGAACATGGTTTTCCGATCATTACAGTCCACTGCAAACATGGAAGAACAAAACCAAGAGACCAGCAAGGTCAACTAAGGAAAAACACAAACTGGAAGAGGGGACCACAAGGCAGCAATAGACGGTATCACTGTTAAAAACAGACTCAAGGCCGGGCGCAGTGGCTCATGCCTGTAATCCCAGCACTTTGGGAGGCCGAGGCGGGTGGATCACTTGAGGTCAGGAGTTTGAAACCAGCCTGGCCAACATGGTGAAACCCTGTCTCTACTAAAAATACAAAAATTAGCCAGGTGTAGTGGCACATGCCTGTAATCCCAGCTACTCAGGAGGCTGAGGCAGGAAAATCGCTTGAACCCGGGACGCAGAGGTCTCAGTGAGCCAAGACCATGCCACTGCATTCCAGCCTGGGTGACATAGCAAGACTCTGCCAAAAAAAAAAAAAAAAAAAAAGACTCAAGAACATAAGAGGCACAGCTGTCTTCAGCATTTAGATCAGGGGGAAATGGTCAACAGGGCTGAGAGCATGTTTGTGCCCCAGAACCATCACCAATGCTGACAACAACCCTAAGTTCCCAGAAATGATTTGGTCACCCAAGGAAGTCAGCACAGATATCTGCTGGGGTTTTCCCCTGGGTGATACGATAATGGAAATCAATCAACATCCCCTGTTCTCTCACTCCCAAAGTTTATTTCCTTTGCATTTTTCAAAATTCTAGACCACACTGTTTTCCAAGAGTACAGGGCTCAGGTAAAATTCAACACTGTCCACTATTTCAACCACATTAGGCTCTTCTCCTGCCACTGCCCCCTCAGACTGCATGCCTAGGACACTCTAAACTAATTCTGGTCTTCGGAACTCCCTCTGATCTTTTTATCTCCATCTGTGCAATGCCCTCACACTTCCTCTGCTTGTGTAACCCTTTCGCAGTATTCAAAACTCAGTTGAAATATGGGTGAATCCTAGACCAAATGTTGATGAGAAAAAAATGACTCCATTCATAGGAAGTTCTAGAATCAGCAAAACCAATCCACACTGATGGAAGTCAGATCAGTGGGTACCTGGAGTAAAGAGGAGGAACACTGTCTGCAAAGGGGCATGAGGAACTTCCCAAAGTGATGGAAATGTTCTCATCTTCATTCAGACAGAGACGACATGGTATACACATTTGTCAAAACTCATCGAACTCTGCATTTAAAATAGTGTATTTTATTATATGTATTAATTTTTTTAATTAATAATCTTGACTTTTTAAAATTCCAGAACAGTGATTAAACACTAACAAGGAAGTCATCACATAAAAACACAAAACATGCTAATGAGATGACATTTTACAAGCATTAAGACGAAGCTCCCATTGTGCAGAGGCTGTGCTGGAGCTAGGAGGCAGGCTGTGCTTGTATCCATCAGAGGTCCCTGGCTTTCAGTCCTTCCTTTCCCCAACAGGGAATCCCTACTTTTGGATTACCTTTATTTTCTAAAGTTTCGACACTGCAATAAGAAATAATCAGAATTATTTTTCTAATGAAATCAGTAATTTTTCACTCAACAATGTTTATTGGGCACCTACTATTATATCTCAGAGTTCACACTAGATATAAAGATAAATAAAGTCCCTTCGTAGATCATTCTTGGGGTAAGACAGCATGGTAATGTGCAAAGTATTTCAGAAAAAAATTCTATGCAAACAGGTTAAAATCAACAAAATTTCTAGAGGAAATCTTTCAGCTATAGACAAAACTCCAAAGATACTGGTCATGAAGGCTCATGGGGATAACAGATGCTGTGCAGGTCAAGTCTCTCACTGCTGAAACCCACCTGACCTTCCCCTGAGCCTTCAGAATTCCCCTGCACCCCGTCCCTTGGTCACCCACATATATTTCAGAAACAGATCTTTTCAGGTTGATCTCCCTCTGCAGAGACGAGCCCACGCACTGGCAGAAGCTGCTGGCTCTGACAAGTCCCTGGAGGCTAGATCCTGCCGCAGAGATTTAGAATTTCTGAGGACAATTCATAAAGTCACCACTGAATTCTCAGGGAGCAAGTGTCTGCAAAAGCCAGAAGTACCTAAAGAAAAAAAATAGAGAGAGGAGGATAGAGCCTGCAGGCAAGAGGGCAATGCCTTAAACAATACGTGTTATGGTTAATTTGGGGAAGAGCCTTAACAAAGGATAGGGCAGGAACACAGATGGAAGAAAAGCCACTAGATTCTCGCCGGAAAGGCTTGCTTTTTGATAATTCAGGAGGGTGTAGACAAGAAATGACTGTTGATGAGCACTTCATTTTAAAGTTTTGAGATCCTACCCCCCTTGAAGGAAGCTGTTGATGATAAGCCAGATGTTCCCAGGGGTATCTCACTGTTTTATAAAAATAGATAGCTTTCTGCAGTCAGGACGCTCCACTGGGAAACACAGCAGAGCATCCATCCACTCATTCTTTTTACACTCATCTGTCCTGCATAAGAGACCACGCTAGTTCTAGAAAGAGTACAAAAAACAGAAATAAGTTCATCAGAGGAGAGACTTTTTCTCCTGGCCTTGAGCTTGGAAAGGAATTTGTAATCAGTGTCCAAATATAATACAAAGGGCACTGAAGAACCTAATGAGCAACCTCCTCAGCCCCAGATGTATCCTCAGTGCAGAGCTTTCTCCACCTGCAGCTTTGCACAGGCCAAAGCTTTGAGCATCAGCACAGGCCTGCAAAGGCTCTTCGGAACATTGGGGGCAGGGATGGGATATGTTGCTTTCTGATGATTTAGACTAACCCAGGATAAAAGTTGAAAAATGTATGCCTACCATACCACTGCATCCCCTCTCAAACATTATAAACAGGGTAAGATAAAGTAATTCCTGTCTTCAAAAACCTTTAAAACCAACAGCTCTTGTTTTTACCGCACCACGCCACTCCGCCCCCAGTGCTCACACCCCTCTCCCTTCAGCCCATACTACATAAAACAGGGCCAAGCCTGCGACCCTCAGGGCTGAGGCTGAAGGGAGGGACAGTGCCTTCCTGGAAATCCCTCATAGTTGTTTTTTCTGTTCCCTATGGATGATGCTTGTGACCTTTCTGGTGCTGTTCACAAGTGCTAGGAAAAAGTGACTAATACTTAGCTCCCCACCATGCAGGAACAGCCAGTGTCAATGTCACACACACAAATGAAAGCTTCTCTAAGCAAAGGCCACCACTACCTAAATCACATTTGTGGAATCCCATCAATAAGCAATGCAGCTTTTTCCCAAGATGCATTTATTAGCAGAACACCTAGAGGAACCGGGGTATGTAGGTGGGCCTGGGAGAAGCCATATATTTCCTCTGTGTACTGCAAGTTGGCATGAGCAGCTGGGCAGGAGTGCCCGGGATCTACAACAGAAGTCCGTGCTGAACAAACTCCCACCCAAGTGCCTCTAGGCTTCTACAGCAGGCGTGAACGCCAGCCCAGCTGGTCCAAATCCTCTCTTGCTGCTAAGCAGTATCTACTACCTCTGTTAGCCTCATCTACAAAAATAAATAAACCTCCCAGGAAATTCTCTCTAATCCTCAATGTCAGGCTAAAATTCAGGTGGTATCCATAGCTCCGAAGGCTTTGTTAAGCTCAGGGTCACTGACCTGTAGGTCAAGCAGGCACCTTAGGCCAAAATATTTTGGGGCAACATAGCTATGACCAGAAGGCCACAGATCCATGTCCAGCTTGGGAGGGGACAACAGCTCACAGAAAAGGCAAGCCCAAGTGGCGAGGTCAGCAAGAGGGCAGAGGAGGGGAGTCGCGCTGGCCTGGACCCTTCAACCACATTTCCTGCTCAGCCACAAACAGCTGAACTTCCAGAAACAAGGCAGGCAGTGAGTTCAAAGACCTCCTGTTTAAGGAGGCCAAAAGCCTGGGAACTGAAGCGGAGGCCAAAGTCCAAAGTAGCCAGGAGACAGCAGGCCGGGGTCAGAGGACAGAGTGGCGCCCAGAGGGGCTGCCTTCCCACTCACCACTGCCCACCCTCCCCGGACACTCTGTACACCCACCATGTCCCCACTTTGCTGTACCATGAGCACAGCCAGCACATGCTGACACCCCATGTTTCCCTCAGGTTCTAAATCCCAAAGCCTGGATTTCAGCAGGTCTTCTGTTCTTCTGGTCACCCTGAGCTTGCACAGCTACCTGGACTTCCCCTCCACACTCCTGCCCCGCCGGTTCCTCCTACCACTCCCTGCCTCCACTCAGCCCAATGCCTGACTTGCCAGCTGCTGCGGCAAACATAATGACACTTCCCTCCTGGGAACACTTTCTCCTCGGCTCTCTGTCAACATCTCCGTTGAGTTCTGATGTCTCCCATCAATCTAGCTTCTCCTCCCATCTAAAGGGAGGTGTCTCCCCCATGCCCTACACTAAGCACACTCATCCCCTAAGAGAGTCATGAGCAAGGGCCAAATCTAAGTTTCTGCCCCAGGCAGGACTCCAGTCCCTAAGTCCAAACGTCCTCTAAAAACATCGCACACTCCCTGTGTCTGAAAGCAGACTTGGCAGTTTATATCTCCCAATGGGTTCTTTCTCAGGCAACCCCTTTTCACCAGAGGCACCACCATTCTCCAGAAGCCTGGCTCAAACCCTCCTTCCTCTACCCCACAGCTCCCTGGCCACCCAGCCCCTTGACATTTCCTTCATATTCTCTGCCTCCCCCAATCATTTTTATTCCTTAAGCCTCCCTCTACACTGTCCTGTTGCTTCACGGCCTCCTACCACATCACGGCCTCCTACCAGGCCTCCCTTCAGGCCCTTCCACTCCCAAAGTTCTGGGCAAACCCAGCTCAAATAGCCTTTCTTTCAACACTGCCATCTGCCAGTGTGTCACCTGCTTGTGAACTTACAGTGGTTCCCACTGCCTATTGACTCAAGTCATACAATACTAGACAGGCCTGTTGGAGGAACAACAGCCATAGTTGTCACACAATCTAAATGTTTGCTGAGATGGAAGAAGAGAGTGAAGTCGCCACACGGCAGGATGGCATTTCAATGGGGAGAGGAAAAGTTGTTTAACAAACCAGTATCAGAACAACCAACTATATATTTAGAAAAATAACGTAGTTAGTTTCTATCACACAATGTATACAACACAAATTCCAGAAAGATTAAAGATCGAAATCTTTTTTAAAAACAACCTATGAAAGTGCTATTAAAAATACAAGTATATTGAAAATATAAGTATAAAATATGGGAGTTTGTTCAGCCCAGACATGTGTTGTAGATCCCGGGCACTCTCCTGCCCAGCTGTTCATGCCAACTTGCAGTATACATAAGGAATAACCTTCTTAAGAGATAAGTTTAGAATCTAGAGGGAAAAAAAAAAAAAGACTGATAGATTTGGCCAAATGTGCATGTTTATTGCCAGGATGATAAAGACATCATAGGCAAACTTAAAACATAAGAAAAAGGCTGATGAAAAAATTTGCAACACATAGATCAGGTAAGAGATTACTGTTGAAAATATGTAACAAGTTCCTAAAAACCAGGAAAACAACAACAACAACAAAACAGAATAATGTACTGAGAACATAAACAGGCAACTTCCAGGAAAACAAATACAAATGGTCAATATTTTAAAAGGATATTAAATGACATTAATAATCAGGGAAAGTGACATTAAAACGAGATGTTTTTTCATAACAAAAATTTAAAGTCTGAGTGAGAGAAGATAGAGACAGAAGCAATGCAGGGGAGTGTCAACTGGTAAACATGTCTGAAGTGCAATTTGCCAACATGTATCAAAATTCAAATCTGAGTGCCTTTGGACCCAGCAGTTCCTCCATTAGTGTCTCTTCTAAAGAAACACTTGTGTACAAGGAGCCACGTGAATGGATCTCCAGTGCAATGCCACCAGTGGGAGTCCGGCATGTCCTAGCAGCAGCTGAAAATACCATGTAGTGGGTGAGGTAGGAGATGAGCCTGGAAAGGTATGAAGGCTGGGAGGCCAAGGGAAGGCATTTGCATTTCATTCTAAGTAGGATGAGAAGACACCAGAAAGTCCTGAGCAAGGGAGCACCATGATATTTTTCCTGTTTGTAAAAGGTGGTTCTGGCTGCTACATGGGGACCAGTCTGTCCAGAGGCAAGGGTGGAAGCAAGACGGCAGAAGGATTCCGCAGTGGGTTGGAAGCAAGACAACTATGGCTTAGATTTGTAGGGTGGCAGAGGATGTGGAGGGCAATGGATGTCATTGTTAGAGGTTTTGAGGGCATAGGAGGTGGTGGGACTTGCAAGGTGGCTTAGAAGTAGGAGAGTGAGGTGAGAGAACAATCTTTAAATTCGGCCTCAATGGTTAGGATGATTGGCGGTGCCATTCCCAGGGCATAGAACTCTGTCGACTGTCATAAAAATGATTCTCCAGCGAGGTAAGAATCACTGAGGGTGCGGAATGGGGGTTGGAGGGTAGCATCTCCTATTTATTGGTTTGAGAGTGAAAATAAAACTTCAGACTTTCTGCCTTTTCTTTCTTGCTTTCTGGATCAGACACTATATTGCCAACTGTCTATGTTCTCTTTGGATTTAAACAGCAGTTTCTGAAAGGAAGGTAGGCAGTCTTGCTCCTGACTCAGGAGGGGCCCTCACTTTGGAAGCCAGAGAGCACCCTTCATCCTCCCTCCACCCCCCATGTCCCATGCCCTTCCCCAGCTCTCTGCTCTCCTGGAGTGAGGAAAAGAGAGAGGTGGCCTCAGGGAGCCAAGTCCAGGGGCCAGGATGAGGAGCTTTACATTGTAATCCTCCATGGACTGGGAAGCCTCGGAGTCAGAAGGATGGGTTTCATTTGAAGGACCCTGGGGCTAGTATGCAGAAAGCACACTTCACAGGTCAGAATGGATGCAGGCTGGGTGATAAAGTGTTCTAACCTAGCCCATGGTGATGGGTGCACAACACTGTGAATGCACTAATGCCACTGAATCACACTTTAAAGTGGTGACTTTTATATTATGCATCTTTTACCACAATTTTTAAAAAAGCATAATAGACATAAGAAGACCAATCAGGGCCAGTGTACCTCCAGGTGATGGTGGTGGCCTTTCTAGAAGCATGATGGTGATAATGGAGGCGATTGTAATAGTAATAAAAGCTGTCATATTTGGGATGTGTTTTGGAGGCTAAAACAACAGGACTGCAGATGAATTAGAAGTAAAAAGTACTCTTTTTTTGGCCTGAGCAACCACATGGATAGACAGTGCCAGCAGGCAGTCATGAAAGTGTTTGAGAGAGGAGGAACTGATACGAAGGGCAAACTTACAGTAAGTAAGAATGACACAAGAAAACAGTCCCTAAAAATGTACTACCAGCCAAAAGTCATGCTACTACCACACGGGCACATAAGCATGCAGGTGTCCTGTCCTTCTGAATCTGGGAAAAGGAATGGTTAGAGTTGTGTGTAAAACCAAGTCTCTCAGGCCGGGTGTGGTGGCTCAGCCTGTAATCCTAGCACTTTGGGAAGCCGAGACTGGCAGATCACCTGAGGTCAGGTGTTCAAGACCAGCCTGGCCAACATGGCGAAACCCCGTCTCTACTAAAAATACAGGTGTGGCGGTGGGCGCCTATAACCGGGAGGCTAAGGCAAGAGAATTGCTTGAACCCAGGAGGCGGAGATTGCAGTGAGCCGAGATCATGCCACTGCACTCCAGCTTGAGTGACATAGCAAGACTCTGTCTCGAAAAACAAACAAGTCTCTCCACTAAGGAGAGAAGGCTGCTAGGAGGGGATGCTCACACGCTTCATGTATCTGCACAGCCGCCAATGATGGGGCACAACCTGACTGAATGTCATCTCACTCACACATCCCCAAATCGACTCCTTCCCCAGGTCTCAGAGTCAAGCAGACTCCTACAGAAATCATCAAATAGGGGTAGCCTCGAGATGAGCCACCCCACCTCCTCTGCCCAGTGGTCTCTGGCCAGCTGGTGCCCTCCGGGCAGGTAGAAATAGCCTCCTCTGGTGTGAGGACCAGAATCTGCTCCCTCGAGGCTCAAGTATCTGGGACTCCAGAAGTCCCACCTCTAAGGGTTGCCAAAATCATATAAGCAAGGAAATGAACACCCACAAGAGAACAGAAATGCCCAGACAGCAGACACCCACCTCGGTGAAGAAGCCCGCTATCCCAGCCTGGCAGGAGCCGTGTTCCTCTCCGTACTTCTTCTTATACTCTAGGGGGAAGGAAGGAGAGAGAAGCAAACCACAGCCATGTCAGTGTATGCCAGCTGTGCGTGGAGCCAGCAGAGCCAGCCAGCCACTTCCCACGAGTGCCGCGGCAGGCTGGGCCCAGGGATGCCATCCAGACTGGGGTGAGGAAGGAAAGTCTCAGGAATCCACCAGACCTCAAAAATCCAGGCTCTGGTGCCATCGGGAAGGGAGGCTGCCCAGTGCCCCAGCAGACTTCCTCCCCTCGTGTGCGAGAAAGAGGAGCAATAGCCACAGTCATTAAGTGGGAGGCTAGTGACAATTATTTCATTTACTCCAGAAGGGACAGAGATCCCTTGCAGGCCCAAGGAGCTGAAAACGTGACCCAGAAATGGAATGATGTGGCCATCCCAGTGTGGAGTCTCCTGGAAGAAGACCAATCTTCCCTAAAAGAGGCTTTGGATGCCTCCTACCATCCAAAAAGAAACAAGCCGTCCACAGAGGACCGCAAGAAGAAGGGACTGCTCTGGCATTCGGTTACACTATTGCTGTGTGGAAGGAAAGGGGGAAGATCTCTCCAGGTGGAAAGAAAACTAACAGATAAGCTTTTCTCCTCCACCCCCTCAGCTCACAACACTGCTACCCAACAAATGGGGGCGTTCTGCTGCTGCAGTTATAATTTTAAGCTGGCAAGGAAGAGGGGTAGGAAACTTTTGACAAGTGCTTAGCATTTTCCAGGCATTGTGTTAGCTGTCTCCAGGCATATCATTTCACCGGTCCCTCATCCCTGGGAACCCATATCCCCACTTGTTAACAGGTAAGAATATTGAGGCTCAGAGAGGTTAAGTGAATTGTCTAAGGTCACACAGCTCTAGTAAATGGCAATGCCAGGATTCTACCTCAGCTTGGACTTAGAAACCCATTCCTTCACTTCTGTAGACCATCAAAGGTTCTGCAAAGTGAGTGACTAAAAATACCCAGGAAAGTGACTGGATGTTGGAAATCATTTCATGGGTAAAGTCAAGGAGGTGGAGAGATGTTCACAGTGACTCAAATTAATCACATGTGAGGCTGACATTGCTGGAGACCTTCCACAGACCACTCCTGGGCACCCTCAGGCTGGGGCTACCCCAGTGACCCTGTACCACCCCCTGGGCTCCTGGCAAGTCTCTGGTACCATTAAAAGCAATATCATTATTTTTGAAATGCAAAATACAAAGGAACAATGAAACTATGATTGCAACACAGTGCCACTTCCTGCCGTTCTGAGTGTCTACTCCAGGCAAGGGGAAAAAGGGCCCTGGGGAAATATACAGAGTAATTCAGTTTCTAACAACACTCACCACAGAGCCTAGTAACATTTTCCAGTAAGTGGCCATTAACTGACTGCTAAATGACAAAGAATGTCAATTGAGTTACTCCTCTTCCATGCAGGATAAAATCAGTTCTCCCGCCTTGTCCGGTTATTATAAGGACAACTGCTAGACCTGCCAGAAAGCAGTCCAGTGACAAAAGGAACTTGTTTGTTCCCTGCAGAATCTTGCACCAGGGCTGCGAGTGAGACTAGTGCAAAGCAATGAACAAATCCTGCATCAAATTTCATAATAGCAAGAAATAATACAAATTAATAATAAATCCTGCATCAAATAGCACAACGGCAAAAAGGATCAAAATGTCTCAACCTAAACAAACAGTTACATATTAAATGTGAAAAGTCTGGCAAAAAGCATATCCATCCCACTGACTCTAGAGACTAAACACCCAATTGTAACTCTTGAAAAAATGAAACATAAAAAGGAAATTCAGACCCCATGAGCTGAATGAAACTATAGTGCAAGACACACCACCAGTTCAGCCTCATAAATTTCTGACATGAATAGGAATTGTGTGGGACTCTTTCATCTTTTAAAGCAGTCTCAAGGTCTCTTTATGACAAGGTCTCCAAAAAATGGGAGATTTGAGAACTTCAGTGCCTCCTCCCCAAACTGTACTTGGTGTGGTCTATGTTGGGAGCAGGACCTCGGGTTTCCGAGGTGGTGACAGCCTCACTGGGAGCTAAGAATACCCCACTTCTGGCCCAGGCTGAAGGCCAGCAAGGGGAAGCCCTTAAAGGCACCCCTGTTTCAGGCAGCATGAAGCACTGTTTTCAGGCCAGCCTCCGCCTTCCCAAGCTGGGACTGCCCCACCAGAGGTCTGAGGGCCTGGGACACACATGGAAGTCGGTACCATCACTGACTTTCATGTTTCTGAAACCCAAAGTCTAAGCTGCCTTCTCAGGATGCTCTAGGGCAAGGAATCAAACAATGGGGGCCCCTGACTGGCTCCTATAATCAAATCTAGATCAGAGAGCAGGCCATGTCCCAGCCTCCCAGAAACTTCTGTGACTGTCATTAATCCCTTCAAGGTAGAGTAGAATCCAGTTCTAATCCTTCTACCACCTATCCGATCCCTGCCACACACACTTTGGGGGCAGTTGTGGGGCCTGGCAACTCTAGTCTAGGAAAGTTAGTGGGTGTTATTGGATTAGACAGTTTCACATTCCACACCTTCCACAGCCTAGGCCACAAGCATGCTTTCCATTGTTTTCACTCCTTTGAATGCTATTTCTGTGAGTTAAGGGCACTACTATTATTTTAACCTGATTCCTTCATATATATGTCAAGAGGGCAGGTTTAGGTTTCTCCCTAATCCATCTTCTAAATGTTCATGTACGAGCCTTTCTTCCCCAAAGAGTATGTACATAGGGTTATTCTACCATACTCGTATCTAAAAAACTTAAAAATACAACTTGATTTTGCTTGTCTAGACCTGAGATGGCAGGACAGCCTATATCACAAAGCTATGGGAAGTGAGGTAGGCGCAGAGAGAGGCAAGGGGCTGCCCCACAAACAACATCCCCAACAAGCCTGGGTCACACACCCTCCCTCCATTGACAAGTCCAGGAAGTGCAGGGTGGAGGGACCTGGGAAGGGGTGGGGGTGACCTCCAGTCTCCTGTGTTCCCAGGAAGAACTTTTCCTGCACAAACACAAAGGCCGTGGGGCCCAGCAGTTGGCTGCTCCTGGGCATGTCTACTTGGTCTCCAAATGCCCCCAGGGACATGGCCCTGCAGAGAGGACTACAATAGCTAGTGCCCTCTCCACTACTGAACAAAACATTTATCCACCTCAAAGAAGCAGGGGAAAAGCAGGCTTTGCCTGACAGCAGCTCACAGGCACTGTAACAAACCTAACCCTTACATTTGGGGAAGCTGGCCAGCACGGTGGCTGACACCTGTAATCCCAGCACTTTGGGAGGCCGAGGCAGGCAGATCACTTGAGTCCAGGAGTTGAAAATCAGCCTGGGGAACAAAGTGAGACCCCCATCTCTACAAAAATACAAAAATTAGCTGGATGCGGTGGTGCACACCTGTAGTCCCAGCTACTCAGGAGGCTGAGGTGGGAGGATGGCTTGAGTCTGGGAGGCAGAGGTTGCAGTGAGCCACGATCATGCCGCTGCACTCCAGCCTGGGCAACAGAGCCAGATTCGGTCTCAAAAAAAAAAAAAAAAAAAGCGGGGGGGAAGCCAAATCTGAGACCCAAAAGATAGGGTTGAACAAGGGGACTTAGAAGTCACTTAGAGGAGCTGGAACCAGGTTGTGGAACTCTTCCTGCCATGGGTGGGTTTGAATTACTTGGCCTGCATTACATGCTTTAATTCATTAAGTCGTATGGCTCCTCCATTCTAAAAATGGGAGTATTTTCCTTGGTTTAGCTGCTGGTTTTATTAAGCCCTGTCTAAACAGAAGGCAATTCAGAGAGGAAAAAAAATACTGGTTTCCAAATGTTCACAATCCGCAACTCAATGCATGGAGCCTACATTAATGAATGTAATTCAAGCAGACCACCAATCGGGTGGGGTCACTTCCTGTACCCTTTCCAAAAGACCAGGATAAAACCATTCCACAGAAAGATCAAGATTCACATACAGCATAACATATATTCTTCCTAATAATCTCCCTTCATATTACCCATTTGAGAAAGTTCTGTCTTTCAAAGCTTTTTAACACATCAATTTTACAATTATTTTTCTGTAGTTCCTTAGCTTAGCTCTGAAATAAAATACTGGGGGAAAAATAGCTTGCCAGTCTTTATTCTGAATTTCACCAAGGAGTTGTTATAGCGAATTCCAAGTTTCTCTTCAAAGAATCAGTATGTCAATATGTTCAGCTCTCTTATTCTTTGATTTTCCATTTTAAAGTTTAACTTCCTGGTTCTCTTTGGCCCCCTTGCCTCTAGTTTCAGTAAACAACTTTCCCGCCAGTTCTAATCAGTAGTTCAGATCTGTTCCCCTGGTCACCTGCTTTAACCTAAGTCACCCTGGTTACCTGCTCCATCTTGAGTCACCCCTGGTCACTTGCTCTGACCCAAATCATCCTGAGTCACCTGTTCTGTAACCACCCTTCCCACCAAACTACTCACCCCGCCACTCAGGATCGTAGTCTGCTCTCTTTAAAACAGCCAGTTGGAATTAGCTCAGACTATGCAGTTGAACCCCAGGAAATAGGGGAACGACACAGCAGTAGGGGCTACCTGCAACAGGAATAAGAACCCCTGCCCCTCCCCTGTCCAGGTGTGCTCTCACCATTACTCCATCCACAAGTCGCACGCTTCAGTAGAAGTAAAAATTGCCTTGCTGAGAAAATTAAATTTATGTTCAAGTGCTATTTCATTGTGGCACTGAGGAACAAGCATTTTGTTTCTAACAGAGTGGCAAATCTAAATAACTGATAATTGTACAATACAGGAAACAATGCATTTGGGCAGACACAGCTCTAGTAAAAAAAAAAAAAAAAAAGGGCAATTATACAGAAAAATGAAGAGAGAATAAAACTACCCTCAGTTTACAAGGGACCACCATATAAATGGGGGAAAAAATGTAAATAAATTAAACAGCTAGGTTAAAGAGGAAGCGAGAACATTTTATGAAAATAACTGATGACTAAGCTATGGTGTGCATGAAACACAAAGTGCATAAAGCCAGAAACTTAGAATTAAATGAAAGAAAGATTTTAAAAGGGGAAAAGATCTTTAGGGAATGCCTAATAACTCTAACTCTGTCCATTTATTTACAAATGGAATATTTTTGCTCAGAAAGAGCAAGTGGTTTGTTTAAAGCTACACTGCTGATTAGCCTCAGCATCAGGACCCAAGAGCAAGGCTCCCAACTTCTGATCTGCTTCTGCCACTCCCTTATGCTTCACAAAGCACATTTCCAGTGAAAACATTCTTATCATCCAAAGAAAATGTTTTATAAACAGATGAATAGATAAATGTGGGGCACACACATACAATGGAATATTATTAAATATTCCTTCCTTTAAAAAGGAAGAAAATTCTGACAGATGCTACAATATGGATACACCTTGAGGACATTATGCTAAGTGAAACAAGCCAGTCACAAAAGGGCACATACTGTATGATTCAACTTACATGAGGTGTCTAGAGTATCCAAATTCAGAGACAAAGTAGAATGGCAGTTGCCAGGGACTAGGGGAAGCAGGGAATGAGGAGTTCATGTTTAATGGGTACAGAGCTTTAGTTTGGGATGATGCAAAAGTTCTGGGGATGGATGGTGGTGATAATGGCATGGCAGTGTGAATGTACATAATGCTACAGAACTGTACACTTAAAAATGGTTAAAATGGTAATTTTTATGTTATTTATTTTTTACAATATTTTTTTTTTTTTTGAGACAGAGTCTCATTCTGTCACCCAGACTGGAGTGCAGTGATGCAATCCTGGCTCACCACAACCGCCGCCTCCCAGGTTCCAGTGATTCTCGTGCCTCACCCTCCCAAGTAGCTGGGATTACAGATGCACCCCACCATGCCCAGGTAATTTTTGTATTTTTTAGTAGAGGCAGGGTTTCACCATGTTGGTCAGGCTGGTCTCGAACTCCTGACTTCAGGTGATCTGCCAGTCTCAGCCTCCCAAAGTGCTGGGATTACAGGTATGAGCCACCACGCCTGGCCAATAATTTTTTAATATTACCAAAAAAGGAGTTTTGTAATCTTTAAAGCGTTCCCTTTACCTAGAACTTAGCAACCCATTTTGCCAACTCCCTACTTCAGCAGCAAGTAATAATACAGGCACATAATAATGTATATATAGACATGCAACTTACTATGCATTATGTCATGCTCTACTCTCAGAAAAAAAAAAGTGACCCTGAACATGGGACAGTCACATTTCAGTGAGAACCCCAGCTCAGAACTGAGCAGAATTCAATTTTGGGACCAAAGCTAAAAGACTCATGAAATAGGGAGCTGCAGTGGCTCAGGCCTGTTGTCCTGGCGCATAAGAAGGCGAGGCTAGACGTTCGAGGCCAGCCTGGGCAACACGGAAACCTCTGATCTATATAACCAAAAAATAAAAATAAAAAGACTCATGAAATAACTGGCACCAAAGCATGGACAGACAAACTGCTGTGCAGATACTGAAACCAAATGTTCCCAGTAAGCAGCCACTCCAGACTAGAGCAGATTGGTCTCCTGGCTACATTTTATCAGTCTGAGGACCCACGTCTGCCCTCTGTACCTACTGGGACTTGTCTACAGAGTGTATCTATAATTGCAAAACTGAAACATAGCTTAACAAGTCTATAGTGTAGTGTCCCAAAAATTCATAAAATTATGCCATTGAAAAAAAATATGACTTTTTTTTCTGTGATAGGCCACAGCACTCAGTAATCACCAAGAAAACCAGGATCCCAACAGAACAGGTAGCTACAAAGAAACCTACTACACACTTAAAAGCCGTCAACCCCTCCTCTGACTAATAAGCCTGTGACCTTCATCAAGCTCCCTGGGCCTCAGTTTTCTCATCTGTATAACAAGGATAAGAATACTTATCTGAGAATGATGTGATTACTCAGTAAGATCAAAAATGTTAAGTACCTAGCACAACCCCTGGCACCAGGTAGGTGCTCAATAAATATTAGGTGAATCTGAATCTGTGAATTTTTCTGAGAGAAACAAAAGATGCAGTTTAGGTAGTCTATAATTCCACGTAATACATGGAAACACGTTTGAAGTATAGGAGACAGGTTTGCCCAAGATTAAAATTCTTGGCTCCAAGGAAACCTGGAAAGCCCCAGAGAGGCCCTGCTGGAGACCTCTGGCCTCCTCCTTACAGCCATGGCTGTCCTCTGGGGCCTCCCTCCCTTCCTCCCCCTCAGAATCCCTCTCTGTTTAACTGGCCATAATGTACAACTGCATCCTCTTCTCTTTAATTTGCTCTATTTATTTAAATAAGATATGTTTATTAAAGCTCCTTGGAAACCATAAAATCCTATGTAAATGTAGAGGTCTTTATTTAATAAAAATTTATGAGGCTTGTTCTTGAATTTTTAAATGGATCAACTTAGCCTTTTATGGTTCTCTCCAAAACAAAAACAAAACAAAAATACAACAAAACCCCAATTCCTTTTCATTTGTAAATGGACCTTCGTTGATTTTTATCCCTTGTGGAGACCACTTTTAACATTAAAGGGGAAAAAAATCTTCACCTTTGAATGGGTAATCTATTTCCTTCCCTGGAAATGATCACTGTCCTAGGAAATGCAAACACACACTAGAAATAAAAGCCAGTCATTCCCTGATAATAGAGTGGTACAGAAATCTTTGGAATCCATAGGAAGTTTTTCCATCACAATTTTAAAGCACAGTAAAATTCAGACTTCAACAATCCCAAATTTAAGAACATTTAAACATGGCATGAGTTAAAGTTTTAGGTCATCTACAAAAAGAGGGAAGGAACACTTACCAACCAAATTGTGCCAATATGATCTTCAACAGTATTTGAGAAATTATAACTTGCCAAGGGCTCTTAAAATCATTTTAGGAATATCCAGCTTTCTACCCTTCATTATCTAGTCACTAAAACAGGATATGTTAGACACCTTCTGAGAATATTTAAGAATACTATTATGTTGCTTGAAAATTAATTAGAAAATTTACATTTTCTAATTGAAGGCAATGAGCAGCATTCACTCTCGACTGAGCACTGTGGTAGGCACTTTATACCTCACATACCTCTTAAGTAGATCTTAATCTCCCCATTTTATAGATGAGGGCACCAGGCTCATGGAGCTTGCCTAAGGTCACTAAGTCAGAAAGTAGGAGCATATAGGTTTAATCATAGCAATAAGTGAGTAGTAAAGCCAGATTCCACAATTTAGGTCTAACATACCATGGCATCATAATTACCTCTTGCATTTCTTTCTCAGAGTTTAATCTTGAACAGGCTTTGTTAATTTGCCATGCTGCTCCCAAACTATTCCACACTCATCAGGTTTTTCGGTCACAATAAAAAGACAACTTGTTTGCAGTCTCACTCCTGCTAAGTTCCGGCTTCTTGCCTCAGTGGTCTCAAGGGCAAAGGATGAAAGAAATCTCTGTACTTGATTTTATCACATGCATTGACTTAACATTTCGGAGTCCTAAAATATCATAGCTTGGTTAATAGTAATTAATGTTTTATAGTGCTTGCCCTTTAATTTACAAGTAGTTTTCCCTATACATCGTCCCACCAAAGCTCTCGTTTTCTCACACATTCTGATAAAACCAAAGAACATATGGTAGGTAATGATGTTCTCACATCAGACAAACACAAACTAAACTGACTGAAGGATATGCTCCATGAGTTTATGTCCTAAATTCATTTTTATTTCCCATTTCCTCTGTTTTTCCTGGTTCCAACAGGATATTCTGGTAGCTTTTCCCATCCAACCAGAAACAGGAAGCACCTGAGAAGCCATGTCCTAGTGCCAAACCAGAGACCAATTTTTTAAGAATTCAAAAGCTTGAGACATTTTGGAGAGATCCCCACATATTTAGAGTCTCTGCAACCAAACCGACCTTCCAATGTTGTAAAGGAGCACAGCTGGCCCATATGGAGACTTACCATGAGGCCACAGTTATAGAACAATGGGTGGCCTTGCTGAGCACTTTCACCTGAGTTTTCTCGGGAGCTCCTCACCATAACCCAAAGCGGTAAATGCAGTGGAGGCATCACAGCATCGACTCCCACTGAGAGGCCAAGTGACAGGCCTGAGGCTAAAGGGGCAGAAGTGCAGCAGAGCCGTCCTCAACCCACAGCCCCTCCCACGGTCTTTCCACCATCCCACAAGAAGTGGGTTTAGAGGCAGCCGTCCCCCTCCTCCCTTGCCCTGTTCCCACCACCATGACCAGTCTCGAATTTCCACCATCCCTCTCTTCCATAGTCTCAACAGCCTGCAGACTTTAAGTGGGTTTCAGTTTTTCCAATTGTAAAATGAAATAATGCCACCTTGCACTTGGATGCAGCTCAAGCCCTTGGGGACGGGCTCCAGCAGTACACACTGGCAGGAAATTCTCTCTCCACACGGCCCTCCCACTTTTAAAACACCCTGTCCCCTCTCTGTTTTCCCCTGTAGATGGGGAGCTTCTTGGTAGCTGGAACTGTGTCACTTGGGTTTTGTCTATCTGGCAACTAACAAGTACTTAAGATTAAGTGGATTCTATTCCCGGTACACAAGTCAGTCACCCTATGATGATTAACAAACACTTGCTCAGAATACAGTATGTTGTACATGGCATATTAGTATATATATGCTTAGCATATATTAGCAAGTATATGCCAGACACTGTTCTAAGGACTTAGAAGCATTAACTCAGTCCTCTTCATAGACCCTTGAGGTTGGTTAGGCACAGAGAACTTAAATAACCCATCTGAGATTACACTGTTAATAAGAGGAAGTAGCAGAGCCGGGACTTGAACTCCGGCAGTCTGTGTCCAGAATCTGTGCATTGGCCACCAAGCTACTCTGCCTCTCCATTGTGTGGCATGTGAATAACAGATTAGAAAGAAAAACTCAGGCCATCACCTCTCTGGACCTCATGAAAGACAGGAGGCTGTTCTAGGTGGTATCTGAAAGGTCCTGTCAAACTCTAAAATCTTCCCATTGTCTTTAACCATAATGTGACCCCTAACGTGGAACAGAGAACTTGCATTACTGAGTTTCTCCACATTGAGGAAATAATGGTGGCCTTAAAAGCCATAGTAGGTCTAGTTTAAACCACAAAACAGGGAGGTGGAGATGCCTAAAGCCAACAGAGCACAGACAAGAGCCCTCTCACTACGGCCGGCATCCTCCCAGCCCCACCCGTCCAGTCCAGTCTTCTAGAAAAATACTCAGCATCTTCTACCCCTCTCCTCTTACAGGGCCAAGAACTACAGAAACTTTCAATTTAGTCCCCCATTTTTCTAAGGGGCTGCTCTTACACCCCAATACTCCACATGCCAGCCCCATCCATCCCTTATTTCCCACCCTGGGCCAATGAATGGGTTAGCATATAAAAGTGTGTGTGCGCCCATGGGAAGGAAGATTGGGCAGGGGCATAATCATTTTGCTAATTTCTTCACCAGTTCCATTTAACCATCATTAAGTCCATTGTATTTTTGGGATAGTTCAGTCACCCTTTCTTGCTTTGTGAGGGTTGTTGACTGGCTTTTACTTCTCATTTAAATTAGAAACCCTAAAAAACAAACTAACAGAAATTACCATTAATTACCAGGACACAAAATGGTTTGCTGAGTCAGACAGAGGCCAGCTTCAAAATCCTGCTCCACCATTTATTGTTTGAGTGACCTGGGGCAATTCACATACACTCTGAGTCTCCACTTACTCCTGTCACAGGAGAATGACAACACAGAAGCTGGCCTTTGGGCATCCCACCTGTCTCCCCCCAGCTCCTACCACCGTTCCTATGATGTGGCCTGACTGCCACCTGCCAGCACCTCTGTCCTGGAGGCTTTCCCAGCCCACACACATGGCAGGACAGGATGCCAGGTGGAGGAAGCCCCTTCCCCTCAGCCCTCAGGCAGGAGGACTCTAGATGTGTGCTCCACACTGGCCCCAGCACCCACCCCAGAGACTGCACCCACTCGCCCAGGTAACGTGCTGAGGAGTACATCTTCCATGGGCTGCCTTCCCTTCCCATTCTTACTTCCCCCTGCCTCACTGGTGTCTTCTAGAACAATTTCCAAAATAAAATACCTGTAATCAGACCCAAGAAAAAAAAGAAACAAACATTTTTCACAGCTTCTGGGAAGATTAGATGAGAGAATGTGTAAAGACCTCAGATCAACACTGGCCTACTGATGATCCACAGCTACTTAATAGAAAGTAATGCAGAATTATGAGCCTCGTGGACCTGCGTACACATGGACATTGAACTCCACCTCCCTCTTCAGAGGGCTGTCCTTGTGCTTGTGGTATATATAGAGGAATCATCAGGGACCATCATGTGTCCCTGTCACAACATGTCATCTTCTGGGAAAACCAAAGTACTGGTCCTATGCATAACTAGTATGGTTCAACAATCACTGCCTCCATCACCCTGCTGAGCCCATCGCTCCTTCTCAGCCTGAAGAGCTGCCCCACCGGTTGTTCCAGAGGCTTTTCCTTTTTCTTCCTTAGGAAAAAGGAGGAGTAAACTGGGGCAGTGGAAACCCAGGCTTGACACATGCTTTGCGTTTCTGAAACCAACGATCCCTCCACTCTTGATTGATTATATCATCCTCTATTTTTAAGATGAAGTTTGTTCTTCTTCTGTTTGGGACAATACAGATATAAACAGGGCCAGAGTTTCATTTCCCTACATGGCCCAGCCAGAGCTGATCAAATGCTGATACAGAGGAGAAAGAAAAACCAAAGGAAGGCTCACTCTATAGGGGAGAGGGTTTGTGCCTCCTGCAGAGATCTTGCTGGCTCTTCTGTGGGGGACGTTTCCCAGAGCACCCTACCTGTGTCACCTCAGTACCCAGAAGGGTCCCAGTGTCCATATAGTGTTTCTCATGAATCCTTTTTAGTGTCCACAAAATTTGAAACCTAGGAAAACCCAGGGAGGCCCAAAGGCAATGTGGACATAAGCCAGTGAGACTTCTGTCCAAATAAAGTAGGAGGGGAATTAAGAAATAAATAGTCCAGCACTTACAGAAGGAGCAGGTTCCAGCTTACCCAAAATTAGGCTGAGAAAACTTGAAACTACGAGCTATCAAACTGAAGAAAATAACCGTGTTTTCTGAACGCTTAAAGCTCAGATTCGACTGGGCTAAATAGTGACTGACTCAATCACTATTAGTGACTGTCCTCGATGCCCAGGCATTTGAAGGTTCTAAGTCTGAGAGGATACATTTTCCTTCCAAGTGCCCCTTGGCGAGGAGCTCTTAAAACCACATTCAGGATGCGCCCAATTCTCCAGCATCTGCCTGGGCTGCAGGACCACATGGGAAGGAAAGTCAGACCTCAAATGTCATGAAATGCTGAAAGTTCAGAGTGTCAGGTTTCTGTCCAGCTGTTGCTTTATGAATCCTGGGTCTCCTCTCCCCCCAGCCTCAGGACATCTGTCCACAGTGCAGCCAGAAGCTGTGTGGGAGCCTAATGACTGACTTGGAGCTGCCTGGGGCTGTAGAGATCATCTGGGCCAACCACTGAATATTCGGACAAGGAAACTGAGGTCCAGAGAGAGAAGGTAAGTTTCCCAAGGCAACACAGCACCTGGCATTACCAGAAAACCAAGGCAGCTGTTAGGTCACTTGGCTGAGGCTTGGTGAATTTCGGTCCCTGAGACTTCATAATGCTTGGTAAGCACCGTGGGCTCTGCAGCCAAGTCAGGTGAGGGTTGGAAAGGCCTGGGACTGCTGCCCCCTCTGTACCTGCCTCTTCTCTGGGCAGGGCCTTGGGGACCAAGAGACCATCTGGGAGCAAACAGTGCTGCCCTATCATGAGCATGTGGAAAGCTGGGGAAATGTTCAGCTGGTGGTGCATAGAGGTGGGAAGGCGGGCTTAGGGCATGAGGTGGGTAGGGGGATGAGGAAAAATCAATCCATGCTCACCTTCATAGCAAGGGATCAGCGTCCTGCCTTTGGCCTGGAGGTTGGAGGGGATGATGTAGCAGAAGCCATGGGGTAGGATGTGGTCGGCTTCATAGTAGATGTTCTTCCAGCGATGAGCACAGGCCTAAAGGGATAGAGAGCAGTTGAGAGCAGGAAAGTTGGCCCCAAAAGATCACAAAGCAGACTCCTGTCAGTGCCAGATGTTTCTTTCTGTGGGAGAAGAGAGGAGCAGAGGGACCAGAAAGCCACACCTTCATAACAGGCACTTTTCTGGGCATCAGAAAACTGCATGAACAGGAACAAGCCACTGGGAGCCTACTAGGAGACAGGAAATAAATATATCAACAAATGAGAATTGTAGCTAGTCCTGAGCATTGGGAAGGAAAGAAACAAGGTTATAGAATAGAGAATCTGGGAGTGGGAAGGATAGTTTCCACCAGAGGTCGGGAAGGCCTGAAGCATGAGGGGAAGAGGGTTCTGGGAGGATTCAAAGGATAGCAGAATGTAAAGGATACATCGTGAGAAAGGCTCAGAGGCTCAAGAGAAAGAAAGGCCGGTCTGGAGTGACCATGGTGGGAAGGAGATAAGATCAAAGAGGCGGCCAAGGTTGGACCACAGGGGGACGTAGGAATGGCTGTGACTTCAGCAGATCTGCAATGGGAAGTGGTGGAGAGTCTTACACAGTTGAGAAGCATGATCCAAGTGACAGTTTGGAAAGACCATTTGGCTGCTTGGTGGAGACTGCAGGAGGGCAAAAGTGCAAATGAACACCAGGTGAGAGATGATGCAGGTCTGGACCAGGAGGGGCAGTGGAGATGGGCGACGGGGGTGGCTTCAGAGCTGACAGGCCCAAGGGACTGAACCGATGTGGAGACAGCAGGGAAGGGAGGAATGGCTGATATTCAACCATGTTTCTACCCACAGAAACACTTCAGCATGCATCTCATTAACTAGAAGTAAATGTGTGTGGAGAGTTGTTTTTTTATGGAAACTTACATACAGCAAAATGCACAAATGAGCTTTGACAAATGTACACACTCATGTCACCAAGGCCCTAGCAAGACACAGAACATCTCCATCTCACCAGAAAGTTCCCTCATGCCAGGGAGTGGCTGGTTTTGCCAGGCAGGTCAAGGAAGGCCTCTCTGAGGAGAAAGCTGAAGGAAGGTTCATGGCCAAGGGTCTTGGGGTGCATGAGAGCTCCGCATACTGGCGAAGAAGATGGACAGATGCATTGGCCAGCTCTCCAGAGGAGCCTCTCAGCACTAGGGTCGAAGCCACGCAAGACACCATGAGGCAGGGCAGCTCTGCTAACAGACACTGGAGCAGTGCCAGCAGCCAGGATGCAGGCCTGGATCGTCCTTCTGCCACACTAAACATGCCCCTGCCTTCTGCTTGGACATGACAGTGGCCCCAGTTCCCGTGCATGTCTCTGCACATCCAGATGTCACTGCTGTGCTGATGAAGAGCCGAGCTGCTTACTCAGAGGCACACACTCTACCCTGCCCAGCCCGTTCCACTTCTCCTGGGCATTCACTACTCACTTCTGATATCAGTTCACTTCACCCCAGCCAGTGAATGCATTTTCTTAAAATATTGCTTTTGAAAATAATCAGTTTTTAACATCTTGGTTTGCCTCCCTCAAACGCATTGTTTTCGTAAGTGATAACATTTAGCGTTCTTATGGCCTACCTCTGACCTCTTCTGCAATCCTGGAAGGTGAGCAGAGGTGTCTTTAGAATTCCCATTTTCTGTACAAGAGCACCATGTATCAAAGAGTGCTTTGCCTAAGTGGCAGAGCTAGTAAGTGCTGCAAACAGCACTGGAATCCAGGAATTCTGAGTCTTCCTTGTTTCACTATGAAGCATTTTCCATCTTAAAACTTCTCATTCCTACCTGAGAGGCCATCAAAACCCACCCCCTGGGGCAGGCCTGGTGACTTTATCCTCTTTACAGCCCCCCTGCCACATGTCCCAGGACATGTGAAATAACCACTCTGGGGTCGAATGGAATGCCCCACGTCACCGAGTGAGTGAGGGGGCTCTTGGGGCCTGGTTCTCCCTGACATCATTCTATGATAAGATCACAGCCTTCTAAGCTCTCTGCTCTTCATCCTTCAAGCCACTGCCACCAAGGCCCTGGACAAGGCCACTCTCTGCCCAATGGCAAAAGAGGACACACTCAGAATGACTCTCAAAACCTGAGCTTGCCCACATTCTGCCTCTTGTCGTATGACATTAAACTACAGAAAACAATCTATTGTTATTTTTTCTGCTGCAAACCACATTCACTCCTCTCCTTGATATTGTTTTGTGCTAAAATAGCAGGTTTCTAAATAGACTGAAATGATATGAGGCAGAGAACTATAAAAAATATATCACTAAGTAAATAATCACTCCATACTGCTAAATAATTGATTTTTAAAGTTCTGACTCAATTCTTATGGCTCGCAAACTTGAATCACTTATTGTTATCTAATTTGTGGGTAAATCAGTTATGTTTTGGTTTTGCTAAGTTTTTGGACTTAGCAAAGCCCTTGGCTTCAAGGGTTGACCATGTTTTATTGTATTTCTGAGTTGGAGGGGCTGTGAAAAGAGGCGGATGTTTATCATGGTGCTGTCTGATAGCCAGCTGCACACTGACACTTATAGGAAGGCTTTGCTGTACTTAATGTCTGGTGTATTGTCTCATTTTTTAAGTGCCATAAACTATTTAAGGGGTGATCTTGGAAAATTCCTAGAAGATCCAAATATTGCATTTCATACTAAACTAAAAGCATTCTGGGAGGTCAGAGATCAAAGTGTCAAAGGAAGGATTCATGTAGGAAAACAATGCAAAGTGTCTCTGAATATAAATTACAGAAAGAGAAGACTGTGTTTAGCCTTGATTATCATTATATATACACACATGTCAATCTGACCACTACATTTTAAAAAAATTCCTAGGGACTGTCTCCAAAGCATTAGTAACTCCATCAATCTCTCCAAATGAGTTCGGCTGTGAGGGAAGAACAGGAGAAGGAGAGCATTCTCTGAAAACAGCAAGACTTGCTCAAACTCAGATTTCAACTAATCATAAGAAAGGGGAAGGAGGGCCTTGTCCCACTCCAAATATTAGAATCTGACACATTTCAAGGTATAAGGATTGCTCTTCCTCCCAAAAGAGGAAAAAGAGAAAGAAAATAAACACTTTATTTCAAAGGCCTTTTTTGTTGTATGGAAACAACACATCCCTCCTAGAGGTGGGTAATGGCACTTTCCGGGTGCTTCGGCCACAAAGGCACATCAGTCCCTGCCAACCCTCCTACATTCGCACCTGCCATAGAGATGGCCAAAGCCTTTGTCATGCATCCAGGTCCACAGTGCACGGCCACAACTGGGCCTGGCTGCTAAGAATGGTGTGTGGTGGGGAGCAGGATCACAGAGAGGCTGAGATGCCATGAGACTCCCCTAAGAAGCTCCCCAACCGAGGAGGAAGTGGCCAGGAGGGGCATTGGGAAGGGGCTGCTGGGGTGTGAAAATGTTATTCTGAGGACGTTCACCTAATGAAAATTTATTGAGGTATACATTGATGATTTATACCTTTTTCTGCATGTGTGTTACAGCTCAATAAAAAGTTCACTTTAAAAAAAATCAGGAAACAGAGCAACAGAAGTAAATGCAAAAATGTACCCTGTGGCTTTGAAAAAAAAAAATGGACAGATGGGAAGCACTGAACAGATAAGGACAGCCCTGATAATTAGAAAGGAAATGACAAAGAGAACCAGAGAATACTGCTTCTGCACAAAAATAATCTAGAAGCTTAAATTATTTGTTGTCTGAGCCTTGGCAAGTCTGATGAAAAGGGGCGACATTAGACTTGAACATTTTGAGTTGTCCTCCAAAGTCTGAGCAGCAGTCAGTGCCTATACAGAGTTTGTTCAGTGGTTATTTCAAGAAGTGATTCCCCTCCCCGCTCATTTCTTAAAATGTCGTCTGCACACAGGAAGCTCAGGATGAGAGAGTGAGAAGGGAAGGGGCTTGCCTCTAATCCTGATGCTATCTTTACATCCAGTATCATTTGTTTCTGGGGAAAACCTGGGAGGTGCAACAGTGTCCATGGAGCTGAGATGGGCAGGCACTAAGCCAAGGTCAACCTGCCAGACCAGCCTGACAATCTGGTCCTTGCCAGAGCTGGTTGCTGGGTCCATGGTCCACATAATGCCTTTGGTCACTGAGACATTTCACGCCCCATTGCAGCTTTCAAATTCTCCATTTGTTCTTAGGTTTTCTATCAGCACCAGACACCACTTTCAAAAGAGCTAGCCCACCTCTCCCTCTTCAAACCCAACCTTGGAATCCAATATTGTGCTCCTTGGGGATACTGGTCTCTTGCCTACACCCCCAGGCACTTCTCAAGTTCTCAAAATGCACCTGAACAACACATATCCTTCCCATTTTTAATTTAAAAGTAAATACTTGCCTCCCAGAAAGCTCTGACAGGTAGGGTTGAAACATTAAAGAAAAAAGCAAATGGCTATGAGACCTCCAAATGTAAATAGGGACACTCACTGTATCTTGTTTTTGCCTGCCATTTCCAAGGAACATTTTACAGAATGTTTCCTGGTGTTTCCTTCAGCCACTTAGAATCAGCCACCAAGAAAAGATGGCAACTAATTTGGTTTCTAATTGTTTTAACATTGACCCTCAGTCCCTGTATTATTCAAACACACTTTCAGATGCCATTCCTTAGAGAGATGTCCTCCAGATGCTGAGAATGAAAGTGGGTAGATTTGGTCTCTATCCCCAAGTGGCTTCCATAAAAGGGGACATATGGCCACAAAATAAATTATACACACAATATAAGTAATAAGATGATGTTGAGTTCCTAATGACACAAAAGATGCTCAGCTTGTTCCAGAAAACCCTTAACAGGCTTCACGAAGGAGGCAGAGCCCATACAGGGGAAGAAAGAGAAGTGCCGAGGACAGAGTGGGGCAGGGGCAGAGGGGACTTAGGACAAGCCTTTCCTAGCAAGACTGCCCATGTGCAAAATGCCATGAGGATAACTCAACAACAATAAAAACCAAACAATCCAATTTAAAATTGGGCAAAGGACCTAAACATTTCTCCAAAAAAGATATAAAATGACCAACAAGCAGATGATGAAACAATGCTCAATGTTACTAATCATCAGGGAGATGCAAACCAAAATCACAATAAAATATTATCTCACACCCATTAGGAGGGCCACTATTTAAAAAAAAAAAGGAAAACAATAAATGTTGGCAAGGACGTGGAGCCATTGAAACCCTTGTGCACTGTTGGTGAGAACTTAAAATGCTGCAGCCATTTGGGAAAATAGTATGGAGGTTTCTTAAAAATTAAAAATAGAAGTACCATTTGATCCAGTAATCCCACTTCCGGGTGTATACCCCAAAGAACTGAAAACAAGATCTCAAAGAGATATTGGTACACATTTATAGCAGCATTCATCACGGCAGCCAGGAGATAGAACCAACCTAAATGTCCGTCAATAGATGAATAAAGAAAACATGGTGAATTCATACAATGAAATATTATTCTGCCTTTAAAAAGGAAGGAGATCCGGTCACATGCTACAACATGATGAACCTTGAGGACATTATGCTAAATGAAGTAAGTTCGTCACAAAAGGACGAACACCACACTCCACTCACATAAGATCTAAAGTAGTCAAACTCTTAATAGAAATACAATGTTGCCAGGAACCACGGGAAGGAGAAAAAGGAGAGTGTTGTTCAATGGATGTAAGTTTTGCAAGATAAAGTTTAAAGGTTTGTTGTACAACAATGTGCCATACATTTACCACTACTGTACACTCAAAATGGTTAAGGTGGTAAGTTTTATGTCATGTGTTTGGCCACAATTAGAAAAACAAACAAAAGGCACAAGGAAAGCAGATGGTGTCAGATGCTCCTCTTTGCCCAGCACCCATATACAGTGGCTTACTGAGTGGATGATGCAATAACTTCATAAAACATTAAAAAAATAGTCCTGCATGCAATTAATTAGACAGGACTATCCATGGCACCATTATCCACAAATGCTCTAGTGCTGCCTTCTTGGCTCCCTTTGCTAAATCTTCCCTGTGGTCCTCATTGCTGTTCACTGTCCCCAGAAATGACTCCTTTGTGATACTGATCTGTGGTAACACAGAATTCTGTCTTGCCCCTCTGGAAACAAGCCCTCAGCCACAGAGAGGTTATCCTTCCTTGCAGAGAGGAAATATTTTCACAGGAGCAAACTCTGACTCTAGGCTCGATGCCCTTAAGAGCATCTTGTGTTATGCTGCCACGGGGCCACCACCTCCTTTTTGTTCTGAATCAGGACCTTGGGCTACCCTTTGATTTACAGATGAGTCAGCTTCTTCCCTTTCTTTCCCCAGAATGGCAGACAAGGGTTCAGCCCCTCTGGGGCCCATTTGTCCAGTCAGGGTCAGGCCACCATGCCTGGAGGAATGTGGAAGTTTGGAGAGGGTCCAGGGCCAGCCATGACAGTGATGAAAGGACTGGAAACCAAGGCAAACAGCGGGCTCAGGGAGCCTGTGCAGGACCTACAACGGCTTCCAGGAGGGAGGCCCCCACCATGCTGGCGACAGCATCCAGCTGCTTCCTCCTCTCCCAAGGGGCCCGACAAGGGGGAGATGCTTAATTGTGCTGAGGACGGAATTCAGATTAACAGCTTATGCCATGAAGAAGTTTAACACAAAAGTGGGCTCCTTAGAGAGGGGACAAAAACACTTTGCCTAGTGCCTTAAGGAAAACCTGTTTCCCTGGGATAAAATACACACGAAACCCTCAGCTTTGCAGCATGTGACCCAAATGAAGCCCTCCATAAGCGGCAGCTAGTATTACTTTCCCCTCTTGAGCTTACGCTTTTATAACAAAAATCTTCGTACAGCTTCTGATAAAAGTCAAGGGCAAGAGAAAGCCTATGTCAGAATAGTTGTTCACTCACCAAGGGCAGAGGAACTGACTGGGAAAGGGTGCAGGGGTTCTTCCGGAGTACTGGCAATGGGGATGCATAAGTGTACATGCGTGAAAACCCATCGGGCTGTGCACTCACAGCTGGGTGTGTTAAGTGCTTTAGTATTATACCTCATAGAAAAGCTTAAAGGAAAAATTGACAAAAACAAAACCTCTGCAGTGTTAGAAATTCCTTTCGTGTTGAGTCTAATAAAACTTTCTGTGATGATGAAAATATTCTCTCTCTCTGCTTTCCAATAGAGTAGCCAGTAACCATTTGTGATTATTGAGCCACTTAAATGTGGCTAATATGACTAAAAACCTGAATTTCTAGTTTAATTTGGATAAATTTAAGTTTAAATAAGGACACAGGGCTGGTGGCCACCTTACTGCACAGCACAACTCCAGGATCTCAGGAGTCTCAAATGCAAAGACTTTTCTTTCTATCTCCCTCAAAGCACCTACGGATCAAAATACAGCATAGGTGCTTTGGAGGTCCGATAAATAACTAGTTAAAAATAACATTTATTTCATAAAATGTAATATTATGTAGAGATAAACAGGAATGAACTACTGATACGTACAATGGGGATTAATTTCAGAAAATATTATTTTGAGTGAAAGAAGTCTTATATAAAAGAGCACATACTGTAGGATTCCATTTATATGAAATTCTAGAAAAAGCAAAAGTAATGTATTATACAAATCACAGCTGTGGTTTGTCTCAGGTGAGAGGAGTTGGCTGGAAAGGGACATCGGAGACTTTTGGGACGATGGAAATATTCTATATCTCAGTGGGCATATGGTTACACAGGTGTGTACAATTGTGAAAATCAAGACTGTAATCTTAAGATTTGTGTACTGTAAATTATACCTCAATTTAAGACACACACACACAAATACCTATGTAATGAATGAGATGTACAAAGCACTTTTCACATATGTTTTATTTTTCAATAGTCACATCTCAGCACCTTGGGACAGACATTATTCACATTTGACAGATAAAGAAAATAAGAAGATAAGTCATTTGTCTAAGCAGTAGTCCAGAATAAGCAACCTCAAAGCCATGCACTTGTCACCATGCCATCCAGCCTTCCTAACAGATCATTCATTCTCAGAGTGCCACCCCCTTCCCACAGCACCCCCAGGAGGGACTTACCAACACACGGCCATCAGCCTTGGGCTGTCGGGCCAGGCTCACCCCCATCCACTCATCATCGCGGTCTTCCCGGCAGGTCTTTCCGCAGGACGTGCCCCGATTCTTCCCTGGAGAAAGAGGAGAAGAGCCAGACTTGGGTTGAGGAGTGATGTTCTGCTGGCTGCTTTCAAAGGGTGGTCCACAGCCCTATGAGGAAATAAGGAACTTTCCACAAAATGTAAATCAACTCCATCACTATGTACTATACTGTTTAATCCAGACAACTGTTTTTTTACATAGCAAGGCTTTCTTTTTCTTTCTTTTTTTTTTTTTTTTTTTTTTTTTGAGACAGTCTCTCTCTGTCGTCCAGGCTGGAGTGCAGTGGCACGATCTCAGCTCATTGCAACCTCTGCCTCCCAGGTTCAAGCGATTGCCCTGCCTCAGCCTCCCAAGTAGCTGGGATTACAGGTGTGCGCCACCACATCCCACTAATGTTCATATTTTTAGCAGAGATGGGTTTTCACCATGTTGTCCAGGCTGGTCTCAAACTCCTAACCTCAAGTGATCCGCCCACCCCAACCTCCCGAAGTGCTGGGGTTATAGGCATAAGCCACTGCACCCAACCACATGGCAAGACTTTCTCATGGAAAGAGGCAGGGCCTTGATTTATGTTCTGAAGTAAGCTCCTTAATTTGTTATGCACCAGTAACAAACAGTTCACAAACCTCTTTTTCTGCTAAAGAAAATCACAATAACTCTTTATTTAAAAAATAATTAGAAGATCTTGGCCAGGCATGGTGGCTCACACCTGTAATCCCAGCACTTTGGGAGGCTGAGGTGGGCGGTTCACTTGAGGCCAGAAGTTCGAGACCAGCCTGGCCAACATGGCGAAACCCCGTCTCCACTAAAAACACAAAAATTAGCCGAAGATGGTCATACACTGTAATCCCAGCTACTCGGGAGGCTGAGGCAGGAGAATCGCTTGAACCTGGGAGGCAGAGGTTGCAGTGAGCAGAGATTGTACCATTGCACTCTAGCCTGGGTGACACAGCAAGACTCTGTCTCAAAAACAAACAAACAAACAAAAAACAACAAAAAAATTAGAAAATCTTTATGCAAAAAGACTTTGGAGAAAGAAATGCTTGCAGTCATGATTATAACAAAATACCTCCTTTGTACTGATGTGCCAAGCACAGTTCTGTGTACTCACCTGTATTATCTCACTTAATCTTCTCAAGACCATCCTTGCGAGGTAGGTATATTAGTCTTGATCTTGAAGGTGAGGGAACTGAGGCCCAAGAAGCTATAGGACATTCCCAATCAGTCCCAGCTGGGCTTTGAATGCAGTCAGAACCATCTGATTCCAAAGATCTTATATTTTCTGCTAGATCAAAGTGAGCTTTTATTTTATTTTTTTATCTTTTTGGAGACAAGAGTCTCAGTTCTGTCACCCAGGCTGGAGTGCAGTGGCACAATCTCAGCTCACTGCACCCTTGACCTCCTGGGTTCAAGTGATCCTCCTGCCTCGGCCTCCTGAGTAGCTGGGACTACAGGCATGCATCACCACGTTCAGCTAATATTTGTATTTTTAGTAGAGATAGGCTTTCACCATGTTGCACAGGCTGGTCTTGAACTTCTGGGCTCAAGCAATGTGCCCACCTCAGCCTCCCAAAGTGATGGGATTACAGTCATGAGCCACCATGCCCAGCGCAAAGTGAGCTTTTAAAAACATCCATCTGATCATATCTTTCCCTAGTTAAAATGTAATACCCAAAATTGATTTCAGTGGCCTCCCCACTCACACACAGAATAAAATTCCAGCACATTGCCCTGGCCTGCTAGGCCCCACGTGGCCTGGCCCCAGCCTGCCTTGCTGCCCTCCTGTGCTCCACTCTCCTGGCTCCCTCTCCAGCTGCACAACCTCGCTCTGTGCTTCCAAATGGCACCTCTGCTTGAAGGCTGTGCTTCCTGCACCTGCCCAGCTAACGACTACGCATCCTTCTAATCATGTCGAAAGGTCCCAGACCTTTCTTGACCCTCCTATCTAGATTAAATCAAATACTCACCTTCCCTCTGGTCTTTTCTCTCTCAATTACTTGTCTTAATATCTCTTTTGCCCACTAATTTATGGGACTAGGGATGGCAGCATCCTTGTTTTTTTTGTTCACTGGTGTATCCCAGTGCTTAATAACTATTACGTACTCAATACATGCTTGTTGGAGAGAAGGAGGGAGGGAAGGAGGGAAGGATGGATGGGTGAGTGAATGATCAGGCCATCCTGGGAAGAAGAAGAGCAAGGTATAAGGGTACAGAACCCATTTCCACCACAGCAGTAATGGTCACCCACCTCGAGCCATGTCCAGTTCGGTGCATCTCCGGTCAGGGTTGGTGTGAACACGGCACTTAAACACAGCCCCAGGAGACTTCACTGAAGGGCTGTATTTGGAATCTGCCTTTGGTGCGCCCACAAGGACCCTGCAGCAAGAGAAAAAGGCATTCTGTCACAACCTACGATAAGAAAATAGGAGGCAGATGGCTAAGTATTCACCCAACCACGGGTGGGCTCTCTGAGTGCTCACTTTGAAAATCATATTATTATACTTTTCTGTGTGGGCTTGGGGGAGAGGTCCTAAAGTGAAACCTGTTAGATCTTTCCCAGGCATATTAAAGCTTAAGGAGGCTGAATGTGGTGGCTCATGCCTGTAATCCTAGCATTTTGAGAGGCCGAGGCGGGTGGATCGCTTGAGCCCAGGAATTCCAGGCCAGCCTGGGTGACATGGCAAATCCCATCTTCACAAAAAAAAATGGCCAGGCAAGGCAGCGCACGCTTTTAGTCCCACCTACCCAGGAGACTGCGATGGATGGGTGGGAACACGTACAACCAACAAAAGGTTCCTATCCAAAATCTATTTTAAAAACTCCTCATTGATTAATAAGAAAAGACAAGTCAACAGAATAGGCCAAAGACAAGCATAGATACTTCACAAAAGAAGATAGCCAAATGGCCAATAAATGCATGAAAAGGTGCTCAACTATGTTAGTTATCAGAGAAACTCAACTTCATACCAACCAGAAGGCTCAAACCAAAAAGACTGAAAATCCCAAGTGCTGGCAAGGATATAGAGTAACTAGAACCTTCATACACTGCTAGTGGCAGTATAAACCATTAAAACCACTGGGAAAACTATTCAACAGTTCCTAATAAAGCTGAACATGCACCTACCCTTTGACCCAGTAATTCCATTTCTAGGACTATACCTAATAGAGATGCATACATTTCTACCAGGAGACATGCAAAATGTTCAAAGCTGCATATGTAATATCAAAAAAAAAAAAAAAAACAAGAAGAAACCTAAAGGCCCATCAGTGCTAGAGTGGACAGGTAAATCATGGTACAGCAATACAACAGAATTCTATGCAGCACTGGGAGGCCGAGGTGGGCAGACTGCCTGAGCTTAGGAGTTCAAGACCAGTCTGGGCAACATGGTGAAACCCTGTCTCTACTAAAAATACAAAAAATTAGCTGGGCATGGTGGCAGGTGCCTGTAATCCCAGCTGCTTGAGAGGCTGAGGCAGGAGAATCGCTTGAACCCAAGAGGCAGAGGTTACAGTGAGCTGAGATCATGCCACTGCACTCCAGTCTGGGCAACAGAGTGAGACTCTGTCTCAAAAACAAAACAAAACAAAAAAAGAGTTCTATGCAGCAATGAAAACAAATGAACAGCATTCAACTGCAACCACAGAGATGAACTGCACAAATACAATACTGAACAAAAGATGCCAGATACAATAGCATACTCACAGTCTGATTCCATTTATCTAAAGTTCAAAAGCAGGTGAAATTTAACTATAGTGTTAGAAGGCAGGATAATGGTTACCTCTGGAGAGGAGAAAGCAGGGTTGCAATTAGGGAGGGGAATTGCTGGGGGTGCGGATAATGTTGTCATTCAACCTCAGTGACATTATACAAATTTGTGATAACTGTATATGATATGGACACTTTCCTGGATGTGTTACATTTCAGTAACAAATAGAAAATTTAGAAACGCTATTTCTCTTCTGTCTCCCTCTCCTCCTCCTACCACCCACCACACACACAGCATGGACATTTAGGGGCAAATAGGAAAAAAAATAGCAGCAGTGCGGAATTATAAACCGTATCCTCTCTCCCACTGCAAAACAGAAATAGAACAGTTTGCATGCAAACAGGAGCAAGAATGAACCTCTGTATCCTCCATCTTGAACTGAAAAGCTGCCTAGGGTGGGCCATCCCCAGCAGGAGCATCCCCCGGCTACAGGAAAGGGGCAAGACCCACCCAGAAGACAGAAGAGGCAGGTTTGGGCCTGTGTGAGTGCAGAACACGGGGGAAATGGCAGTAAGCTCCCCTCCAGATGTTACAAAAATAATTCTGACCTACAGTTTTATGCATTGTTTCCGGAAAGCAGTCAACAGAAGATCTATAGCAAAGAATACCAAACAACACTAATCAGGCACGGTTTGTGCTGAGCTACGAGCCATTTGGAAAAGGTCTTGGACAATGAGACTTCAAACAAAATCCACACTGATGTTCAAAGAGTAGAAAATGCCAAGCCACTTCTTAGTGAGAACAGGCGTTGTTCCTTATCTCCAGCAGCCTAGAAAAGAGAGGGAATTCACCTCACAAGGGTTTCTTCTGTATCATGAAATAGATCATCTCCCACATGCCTTGGAATAGAGTGCATTACATATTATGTATTTGTGGAAAAGGTGTTTAGCAGAGGTTAGGATGACCCTGGACAGCTTTCCTGGGGATGTAGAAAGCTGACCCAGGCTCCCTTCCCTCTGCCCTGAAAGCCACCTTCATCTTGGGATCTCAGTCATTCACTGCACCCTGGTCTTGGAATGCTGCTGCTCCTCCTGCAACACTCCAGCTAGGCAAAGGGGCAGACAAACAAGGCCTCTACATCATACAACAGAAGTCTGAGGCCCTCAAAGGGGACTCCAGCAAAGGCTGGCAGATATCACAAAGGACATCGTCACTAACCTGGCTCAGAGACATGGTGTTAAGGTTCATGGGAATGTGTGTGGGTCCCATCTTAATTCCCACTGCCCTGAGCTCAACACCTAGAACCTGAAGAATTGGAGGGTACAAAGAGCCAGGGAGACCCACCCCTCACTGGAGTGTCTCCTTCCAGGTCAGTCTTGGAGGGTCTGTATCTGATTCCATGAGGAAGATGCCCTGCTGGGGAGTGAGAGAAGCAAGACTCCCAATGGTGCAGGTACCCAGGCTGCCCTGCGGCTCCTCAATAATGCCCTGGGATGCACCTCCCCAGGTGTTTGCTGGGCACAACTGCAGAATTCCCAAGCAGAAGCAGGGCTGGAACCCACAGCCCTTTGGAAATCAAAGCAAGCACTTTCCCAAACAGATCACATTGCCTCCCTCACCCACACAAGAGCAGTTTGGCTGGCCCTTGTCTGCTGTAACTCAAATGCACAATGACGTACAAAACAAAACTCCAGTGAGAAGAAAGCCACATTAAGGGATCAATTTTCCCCCTTGCTGTAGCGGCTGAGCTTTAGAGCCACTGGGGTAAGTCACATATTGCGCTTCATAAGACCAGCTGTTTTCACAGGTGAGAAGAATTAGCAGTTTGCCCTGTCTAAACTGCTGAAACATCCTCAGCCTTTCCACAGGTCAGGTTCTAAGACCTGGGGAGCATAAAATACCTCTTCCACTCAAAAACCCCAGGGCCACACAGCAGAGTCCAAAAATTCCCACCAACTCCAAATTTACATCAGCACAGTGACTAATTGCCACTTGTAATTTATTTTACAAAAATCACAAAAAAATTCACAAGAGTGAGAATTCATCACGTCCGAGGGAAGGGAAAAGGCTGCAAGAAACAACAGGTTCTTCCTCCACTGTGTCTCCCAAACTGGCATTGGAACCCTGGAAATTTCAGATAATGCCATGGCTCCAAATTCACAGACACAGATTCATAGGTTATCTAAGCAGGAGGGGACCCTGGAGAGCTTATTCCCAGGCACTGCTTCCTCCAGCCTAGAGCCAAGACTGACAGGGACAAAGTTTACACCAAAATCTAAAGTGGAAAGGAACCTGCTGAATTATTATTTCCTTCCAAGCCCAAGGTACTCAATGGTTCTAACAACAATAGCTGATTCAAACCCTGATAACAACCTTTCAGTTCAAAACTTCTGATCAGCTGGTCAGATGAAAGGTTTTTCCCAAATCCTGTGCAATGGAAAATCAGGCTAGAGATAAGGGGGCATGCACACACATGCATGACACTCACGAGGTGGCACGCGGGAATGTGCTTGTATCTATGTGTTTACAGAACATCGTGGCTTCCTCCGCAGCCCAGCACTGCTCTGTACCTAGGCCACCATCCAGCAAGACTACCGCAGGCCAGCCCATGAGTGAGTCTTTTCTGAAGTTAATTCAGCTGGCTGTTTACCAGGCTGATCCCAAGGGATACAGAGATTACCATGGCCCAGAGTTCAGAACAAGCCACTGAAAAGATGCCATCTGCTAAGTTATAAAAAGACATCCTAGCCACTTCAAACATCGCCCCAACTCTCCTGGTACTCTCAACAAGACTATGTTCCTTTCTGCTATGGTTACCACATAAAAGGGCCTGAGTGTCCCCACCAACAGGCTGCCATCAACAAAGCATCAAGCTACTTCTCTGCTTTGCTTGCTACTTCAAGTGTGGTCCTCAGACCAGCAGCATGGGGAACACCTGGCACTTGTCGGAAATGCAGAATCTTAGGCCCCAGCCCATTAAATCAGAATGCATTTTAACAAGCTCTCCAGGTGATTGATAGTTTAAGAAGTACTATGTAACTATCTAAACTGATTACAAATAATTATGTTCATTTGGAGCCAGTAGAAGAGATTGCCCTTGAGAAGCAAGGCTCTCTCCTCCTATCCCATCCCCAGTTAAAGATGCCACAAACTCAAAGGCCCTTTTTTTTTTTTTTTTTTTTTTTTTTTTTTGAGATGGTGTCTTGCTCTGTTACCCAGGCTGGAGTGCAGTGCGGCGATCTCCGCTCACTGCAACCTCCACCTCCCGGGTTCAAGCAATTCTCTTGTCTCAGCCTCCCTAGTAGCTGGGTACCACAGGCACACGCCACCACGCCCCGCTAATTTTTATATTTTTAGTAGAGATGGGGTTTCACCATATTGGTAAGGCCGGTCTTGAACTTCTGACCTCAGGTGATCCACCTGCCTCAGCCTCCCAAAGTGTTGGGATTACAAGCCTGAGCCACTATGCCTGGCCTCATAAGCCTTTTAGGTCCTCTCATCAATGCAGGACTCTAAACTTCTAATTAGGGCAACCAGCATGTAGCAGGCACATAGAGTGTGCAGGTGCTGGGTTAGGCTCATTGCGGGCAGGATCAAATTTACTCTTCACAGCAACCCTACGGGAGGTACTAATATTATCCCCATTTTACAGATAGGGAAGCAGGTGGCCAGAGGAGGTTAAGATGGTTATTCATGTTAAGATGCCAAGCTGTAGCACGCACCCCAGTAGTCAAATACATCACCCGTGCCCTATTCTACCCACCCCACATCAGCCTGAAAGGAGGAAAAGGGAACCAACAGGTACCCAGTGCCCCCTCTGGTGCCAGCTACTCACATATGTAATCCCCACCTGAGCAAGCCCCAGTGAGCCTTTGAGGGCAGCTCTGAAGTGAGAACTCTGATGTGAAAGCTCCGTCATGTCAAAGGGCATGCTGGGGTTTGGAAGAGAAAAGACCTTCCCCTCCCCATCAGGCTCAGGTGACTCAAAAGGTGAACTTCAATCACCTTGCTTTTCCAAAGCATTGACACTGCTGTCATGGTGTTAACCAGAGGTTTGCCTCTCTTAATAAGCAGTGTGGGTGCATCGGTTCATGCACCAACACTGGTTATGCTCACAAGGGTGCTTTCTTGCTCATGGCCATCCTGTCAGGCAGCCTCTCATGTGTTTTCCATTCAGAGATGTTGGGTCACACCACCAGTAAGTGGCAGAGCTGGGATTTGAACCCAGAGTGTCTGTGTCCAATGGCATGCTCTTTCCAGCCTCTCCAAACCCCCTCCTGGTGTGGCAGTTTAAGTGCCCTGCATTTTTCCAACAAAGCTGCTTCCTGAGCTCCCTGTGTGTGGTCAAGCTGTCTGTGAAGGCTCCATTCCAGCCGCCCACCTCGCTCTGAACCTGTCTCATGTTTTGAGGGTAATCTGCAGGTAAATTCTCTGGAGAGCGGGTGACAGAGAAGGACTGAGCCGCAGCTGCCTCCCTGGGCAGGACTGAGAACTGACAGTGTCTCAAAGATTCCCTCCCTCCCCACAAACACCACAGCAGCGATTCCACAGGCAAAATTATAGCCAGATCAAGGACAGCAACTGGGGATTAAAAACTTTAAACCCATTAGGTTTGCTTTCAGCATTTGATCCCAAAGCCAAAGCTTCCCCAGGGACCCACGTTTTGGTTACATGAGTCAAATTCTTCACTGTGTGTCCACCACGGGGAAACCCCAGGAATTGTCCGCATCCCTTACTGGGCAGAAAGCAGCCCAGGCTTGAGTAAAGGAAGAGCTGGTGCCAGGATAGCCACCTCTGACCACACCAAACCCTTCATTTCCAGAGGGAGGGGACTCACTAGGGACCAATGCTTGCCCAATGGAGCCATGGGACCTGAAAGGCCTCATAAGCTCTTCTTATATTTGGGGAAACTGAGGCTCCTGGTATTTAAGCAGTGGATACTGACTGCTTTCTAGGGTTTTAAGCCAGTAGTTCTACCTGGCTTCTAAGCTTTATGGGAAAGTTATGCATGGTGATAAAGTGTAAGAAGCACAGGCAGTAACATAGGGTTTAAGTCCTGCCTCTACTGCTGACAAGCTGTGTCTCTTAGACAAGTGTCTTAAACACTCCAAGCCTCAGTTTTCCTCTTCTGTAAAACAGGAGGAATAAAAGTGTACCTAAGAAGGTTTCTTGTAAGGTTTAAGCAAAAGAATGTTTATAAAACACCCATCATAGTGCCTGCTACAAAGTAGGTGTTCAAAGAAATGTTAGACTGCTGGGCAGTAGTAGGTCAAACACCTTGACACTCAACTCATCCCAGTTCTAACTCCTGGCAGCACCCAAGAGCTCATAGATCCTTAGAATTGCAAAAGTTGTCAGAATCAAAATGGAGTCACTTATGTTTAAAAAAAAAAAAAAAACCCTGACAAATAGAGCTGTGGGACGCCATGAAGGAAAGGTTTTCATGCATAAACAACTGATAACAAGAACTAGCACAAAAAAATCTGCAAAAACACAATCTTGCACAAAGGCCATCACAACCTTACACACACACACACACACACACACACACACACACACTCACACCTTCTGTGAGGAAATCTACCTAGCAACTCTCTATCCAACCTCAAACTGGTGCCACCCTTGTCACTGATCCTTGTATCCAAAGATAATTATCTCAAAACAATTAAGTAATCCTCATTTTTCCTTTAAAAGCCTTTGTTTTCCTTTACCTCCCTGAATATTCATGCAGATTACTGTGACACATGTATTCCCACTGCAATGCCCTATTCCTGAGTAAACATTTTCTTTTAGAGAGCCTCTCTCTGTGTTTGCTATTTAGGTTAATAGAACCTTGTTCCCTTTTCTGGTGCGCTGGGCAGGAATTTATTCAGACTGTCACAGTAATTCAGGGACAGCCAGGATGCTTTCACCACCAGTAATATATTACAAAGTGGCCACAATTCCCCATCCTTCCTGTATCCCTGCTCTTTTCAGTGTGACTTTGCAGCTTCTCTTGTCAAGAGATGAAATGTGTTTCTGCCTCCTCTTGATGTAGTCTGGACCTGTGACTTACATTGGCCAAAAGAATGTGGCAGAGGGGCATGGTTTGACTTCTGAGCTTAGGCTTCAAGAAATCATGCAAGCCTCTGATTGTTCTGTTGGTACCCTACCCAACCACCATGTGTACAAGCCCAGGCTAGCCTGCAAGAGGATGAAATACATATGGAGCAAAAATAAGCCCTCCCAGCTGAAGCCATCCTTTGCCAGCCAGCCAACCAGCTAACCCAGAAGTTGACCACAGATGCATGAGTGAGTCCTGGAGAGAACAGAAGAACCACCCAGCTGAACCCAACCTAAGCTGCCAACCAGAGAATAAGCTACAGGTGGTGGTTGATTTAAGCCACTAAGTTTTGGGGTGGTTTGTTAGGGATGCAGCAATATTGTGGTGATAGAAAACAGATACGTCATCAAGCTAAGGCATGCCACTTCTGACGGAATCTGGACCGTGGTAATTCCATCGCCCACTAATTCCCGCTAAGTCCAAACCAATTATCCAACTATGCAGCTGACAACTATTGCTATGGCTCCTCTAGCTACCTGGTCTCCTTTCCCTCCCTCAAAGGAATCTCATCACCAACCAGGACCACAGACTTTTACTGAAGGCCCTGAGATGGGACAGGCATGGTGGAGTAGTAGAATAGGCCCTAAAGAGTGTATCCGAAGTCACACCCAGGAGTGTGCCAGCTACAGCTATGTGACTTTAGACAAGTCCCCTGGCCACTCTGACCCTTCCTTTCCTTTTCTGTAAAACAAGGATAATAACAAATGCATGATCCCCCTCCCAAGGCAGTGATGAGGCACAAAAGGAAAAGGCAGATGAAAGTGTTTGGGGGACCATGCACCCCAGGATGGCCTGATTTGCAAGAGTAGATTATGGTATTTTATCTGCAAGGCCAAGAGCAGACACAAATGCCCTCCGAAGAAGCCCTTTTCCTTTCAGGGCCCTTCTCCTTTTTCCTTAGAAACCTGATACCTTGGACAGGGCCTTGATGGAGGTGGAGGTAGGGAGGGTAGCATGGCTAACCCTGAGAACAGTCAGTTTAGCATTAAATCAGTCCCACCTTGGTTCAAAGCACAACTCTGTAATTTACTTACTTGCTGGGTAACCTTGGACAAGTGACTTGGCTTCTCTGTGCTTCGGGAGTGGTAGCCTGCTCTGCATAAAGGGAACTATGAACACAGTGGTTCTGGCATATAGAAAGTATTCATAAAAGGTTGGCAATAATAATTTTTATCCTGGAGAGCCTAGGTTACAGTAAATGGAGGGAGAGCAGTACAATCCACACCACATAACGCTAAGTCAGAGAATGAAATTGGTGGAGTCCATGCCCAACTGGGAAAAGCAGAGGCACGGGGGCAGGGTCCAACCTTGGAGTGACATTGGTCCCCAGCTTGTGTGTTAGGGAGTGAAAGGTCAGAGGCTGCTGCCCTGGCCTGGGGCTCAGGTCTTGGCAGACACACTGAGGGGAGGCAACTGGAGAAGGAGGCAAGGCAAAAGGACTGAGGTTTTCCTTCCACATCTGAAAGCAGCAAGTGAACACTAAAATCCAAGGGATAGAGCAAATTACAGACTTCTGGCAGATCTAAGAAAAAGCCTTGATATCTTCTTGTTGGTTTCTTGTGATAATTTTTTTTCAAGAGAAATATGGCAATACATTTACATTTACTTTTTAAAAAAGTATCCCATCCTGGAACTGTAGATCTACCTCCCAGACTTATCTGGAGCCTGGGGTGGGAGCTGGAGCTCCCCATAACAAGGGTGGCCTCCCATCTGCTCCTTGGCTTTCCAAGAGCACAGAGAAGAAACAGGCAGGCAAAATTCTAGGATTTACAATCCCAAAGATCTCCATTTAAAGTAGCCATCTCAGATCCTTTTTGGAAGCAGACAGGGTGTAAATGAATGCACAAAAATGCAGATTTATGTAGAGCATAACAAAAATGTTAGAGGCCACACATAATGAAGAGTGTGTCTATGTTAGAATATCTCATTCATTTCAGTGTTGAGTGTCAACACTCAAAGTCTGATGAATAAATGAATGAATCAACAAAAATACTGAAAGAAAACTCAGCATCTCAAGTCAGGATGAAAAAGACCATTGGTTTCATAAATCAGATCAAGTAACAAGAGAAATAACTACGAGCATCTATCAAGGGCTTACTGTGTGCCGTGTTGTGCTCTGGGCTTTGCAGATATCATCTCATTTAATGCCCCCACCAACCTAATGAGGGATGTACCCTTATTACTCTTTACAGAAAAGGAAACTGAGGTTCAAACAGCTGAAGTAATTGGTCAAGATCACACAGCTCCTAAGCAGAGAGCTGAGTAAGGCAGGCTGAGGGCAGGGCTAATGCTGGAGCCCACTCTCTTGGCCACCAGGCACTTGTGCATCTCAGCAGTGCCCCCTTTTATGGCACAAAAATCGTGGATCTGGTTGTTGCTGTGGAACCAGGGATTCAATGAAGGTAGAGACAGGAACACTACTCAGCTGAATCTGGAACATCCACCCTCTAGGACCCATCCTGGTGCAAAAGAGGTGCCAAGACCCTCTGCAATGCTGCCTACTGGTGTGTACTGCACAACACCAAGTTTACTCTGGGATCCACATACATCACAGCACTTGGACACTAGATAGGAAGGGGTAGGAAAGGCCATCTCCCAGGTGGCCTTAACACACCAACAGATCAGCTAAGATGGAGGAAATTTGTTCCGTGATTTTTTATTTTTCTTAAAAATTTGGGCACATAGTCCGGGTGCGGTGGCTCACGCCTGTAATCCCAGCACTTCGGGAGGCCAAAGTGGGCAGATCACGAGGTCAGGAGATCGAGACTATTCTGCCCAACACAGTGAAACCCACTCTCTACTAAAAATACAAAAAATTAGCCGGGTGTGGTGGGGGGCACCTGTAGTCCCAGCTACTCGGGAGGCTGAGGCAGGAGAATGGCGTGAACCCAGAAGGTGGAGCTCGCAGTGAGCCGAGATCGCACCACTGCACTCCAGCCTGGGTGACAGAGCAAGACTCCATCTCAAAAAAAAAAAAAAAAAAAAGATTTGGGCACACAGTAGGTACATATTTATGAGGTACATGAGATATTTTGTTACAGGCATGTAATATGTAATAACCACAGCAGGGTAAATGGGGTATCCATCACCTGAAGCGTTTATCCTTTATGTTACAAGTGATTCAATTATACTCTTTTAGTTATTTTTAAACTACAATCAAATTATTGTTGACTATTGTCATTTTGTTGTGCTATCAAATACTAGTTCTTACTCATTCTTACTCATTCTTTCTAATTTTTTGTACCCATTCATGCCTTTTATTAAGTGTTCAAATATTTGAGGATACAAATCATCCTCTCACATATTGTTGGTCACTGGTGCAGAAGTTTGACTCTGTGTGGGTTTCTTTAATAAAGTTACAAACCCAGGAGTGATTCTGAAACACTGGCCACCATGGCTACCTTCCCCAATTCAGAGATTCCTAAATAAGTGGTGGGAGCCAGTAGAACTCAGAGTGGATGGGGGGATAGTAACAAAGCAGCCCCAGGAGGTTAGAGGGATACATGGAATATTGCAGAGTACTCCATCTTTCCTGGGACACTTCTGTCTTAATGCTAGACAGCCTTGGTGTGAGAAGAGGCCCTTCAAATGTCCCTGGCAGAATCATTGGGTCCCTGTTCACTCAGTGATCAAACATCTCCAGAAAACAGAACCCTAGCATCCCCCCAAGAGTAGCCAGTGGGTCATGAATAAGCATCCCCAAAGGGTGCCGCAGAGAAGCTACTGCTATTGCAATTCAATAACTTTTCCAGGAAAGCAGGCAGAACAGAACTTCACAAGACAGATGTTTGAGCGCCCTGAAGCCCCCAAACTCGGATTCTTGACTTCCTGACAGGCAGTCAGCCTGGGTGGGCAAAGGCACAGGCCTGTGCTCGACAACTCATTAGCCATGTAACTTGGGCAATAATGCCTCTGTACCTCAGCTTCCCCTCCATGAATGGGGATAAAATGATAGCCAGCTGCTACAGACTGAATGCTTGTGTTCCCTCAAAATGTATATGTTGAAATCTTCACCCCAAGGTAATGTTATTTGGAGGTGGGGACTTTGGGAGGTGATTAGGTCATGAGGATATAACCTATGAATGAGTTAGTGCCCTTATAAATGTGGCCCCAGAGAGCTCCCTCATCCCTTTCACTGTGTGAGCTTAGAGTGAGAACACCACTATCTATGAACCAAGAAACAGGTGCTTACCAGACAGCAAATCTGCTGGGGCCCTGATCTTGGACTTCCAAGGCTCTAGATCTGTGAGAAATAAATTCTGTCATTTATAAGCAACCCAACCTATAACAGTTTGTTATGGCAGCCCAAATGGCTACCAGCTGAAAGGACTGTTGGGAACATTAAATGAGCTGGTATGAGTACCAATGTAGATAGCACTTGACATCTACTGAATATTCAGATACACTGTTGCTGCTTTTGGTGTTATTGTTGCTACTGTTGCTAATTTAAACTCAACACAGAAGTCCTTTTTGGTCAGAACAGACATTGGTGGACCAAGTGAGCCCGTGGTTTCAAAGACTGTAGATTTTTCCCAATCTTGGACTTACATCGGCTTCCTAGGACTCCTTCTGGCAAAAAGGAAGGTTGGGATAAAACATTTTATTCTGCTTTGGTTGATCGCCAAATCCACTTGGCTAAAAGGATTTGCAGTTCAGAGAACTCGGTGGCTCAGCGTAAAGCAGAGCTCCTTTCTTCTGAAATCCATCACCTGTGACTTCTCTGACATCAGAAAGAGGCACCTTGTGAGTCAGCTGGTGGCAAGATTGCTCAGGATTCTGTTTCTGGGCCAGTCCCAATGGCCCTACTGTCAGTCCTGACGCTCCACACACTGATTACAGAGGTATGAGCAAAGATGATCCCCAGCCACACTGCAGGCCAAGGAGCACATCTCACACCCTCCCAACACAGTGATTCACGCGTGGCAGGCTCCAGGGCAGCCACAGAGGTGTGGGTCACTTCATGCTGTTCAGCTGCAAGGCGGAATGTCAGCTGACAGCCTCCAGCTGCAGCTTTCTTGGGATCTGCTGCAGGATTCCAGCTGAGGCTGTGCTCTTCCCAGACAGCTCCAGCCAATACCTGACCCTGGCAGAGGACAGCTATTTCTGCCCAGTGATCTCTGTTGAGTTGACTGAGACTTTAATCAGATCTGCATAGAGTCAGAGGCTCTCTCTGTCCCATCCAACTTCCCCATTTGTCTTTCACAGGCAATACCCGCCCCCAACAATTCTCTCACACTCCTATCTCTGTCCTAGCATCTGCTTCCTAAAGGATGCAAACTGACACAAGCCCCCAGTGAATGTGCATTGATCTCTCAGGCTGGGGTGGGCCTTGAACAAGGCGTGTAACTCTGTAAGCCTCAGTTCCCCAAATAGCAAACTGGAAACCACTCACCAGGATGTTACAAAGACTCAACTAAAGAATATTATGCCTGTGAAAGCATCTGACTTCTTGTAGATACTATCTGACGAAATTCATTTTGGTTGTTAAAATTCCATGCAACCCCTTGAAAGCAAGGAATTTCAGAGAACACCATGGCTGCTTTTAACAAATGTAAAAACAACATTTTCCCTGAACAAATCACAATAGAAGTTATCAGGAGACCATTTCCTGAACAGCAGCATGTCACCAGGGAATCAGAGCTGGCTGGGGCCCGGCCCTTCACACTCTCACACTCAGGGCCGTTAATGACTGGTTGAGACAAGACTGTCTTCTTGCCCTGGAAGGTTCTCCACTGGGCAAGACAGCTGTCTCTGCCCCCAGCCAGCATTCAGCACTAGCTCAGAAAACAGCACCCTTGCCAGCTTCTCCAGATCTTCAGAGAAATTTCCCAGAAACCCCGAGAAGATGCTTTTTGGATCCCCTTGGAACTCAGGCCTCATATATGTGTTGTTCCTTCTTGAGAGCTTGAGAAAGCAGGCTCTGTAGGGTGAGTGAGGACCAGGAACAATGTCTGAAAATGCCATTTCCCTAGAAAAATTCAAATGAGGAAGCGGACCTACACCTTCCCCTAGAGTCTGGCACAGGACAGAGGAACTCTGCAAAGATGCTCACCACTGAGGTTATGAGAAGGCAGGGCTCCCACCACCATTTCTGGGTGTTTCCTCAGCAAGACGGGCAGGGCCAGGGGCAGCAGGTCCTATGATCCCAGGGCTCCCCTTCTAAATGTTTTCCCTTCACAGGAGTTTCTCTTCTGCCCCTCTGAACAACTCATGCCTGCCTGAGGACAAGCCTCTCCCCCATCAGAGCCTAGATCTTAAATTTCATTTGAGACACACAACTAGAACCCCACAATTTTCTCACCTGTCAGATTGTGAGCAAAAAGTTTTCATTGTTGAACCCCCAGCCCTAAATATAGATCAGGCCCTGCGGTGTTTTATGAGTAGAAAGACAATTCAACCTCTTCAGCAGGCAATAATTTTTAGTTAGATGTAAGCACCCGTTTCGGTTTTAGTACTCACATATGCTATGGGTTGATTTTTTTTCTTTTTCTTTTTCTTACCTCTCCTTTTGATCCTTGTCTAGCCCTTTAAGACTTACATCATTGCTCTAAACCCACACTGCCCAGTAGAACTTTCCGTGATGATGAAAATGTTCTCTCTGTGTTGTGTCCAATGCAGTAGCTACTAGCCCCATGTGGCTACTGAGTACTTGAAATGTGGCAAGTGCAACTGAGAAGCTGCATTTTAAATTTTATTTTTAGTTAATTTACATACCAATATATCTGGCTAGTGGTGACTACATCAGACAGCTCACCAGAACTATCTAGCTTGTTCTTTTAATTCTCAACCTTCATGCAAATCAAGGATATGTTCTCCTTGGCTTGGAATTGCCTCCTATTCCTCACTGAACAACACTCTGACAACTTTAACAAAGCAAAAAGCCCAGCACATCTTCCATTTCCGAGCACTCGCTCTGTGCCTAAGCACAGCCGTCTTGATGTGTCCCAGGAGAGGGAGCAGGAAGCACGTCTCCAGAAAGGAAGCCAGTGCACCCAACCACTTTGGACTCCAGGGCGTCTGGGGCAGAGAAGGAGGAGGGGACGGGGTGGGGTGTGAAAGACGTCCGCTCTGGAGGCTGCACGCCAGCCAGGCAGCATTTATTTATATCACAGGGTGTTACAGTTGTCAGCCCTGCAGCTGAGTAACCGGTCCATGTCTAAAGGAAGGGGACAGAAATCGGCTTTGTCCATGTTCCCTGGCACTTACTGTTGTTGTTCAAAGGACGCCAGAAGACTCAGGGAGTGGGAGCTATAGGAGAGGAAGCTGGCTCTGGGCAGGCAGACACTCTGGGTGTTATTAGAAAAAAAGAAAATTGAGTCCCTTGCATGTTTGTATCCTAGCTGATACAAACGTCATCTGGAACATTGTCCAGGATATTCTGGTCCATCTAGCCATGGGGACAGTTCTCACTGCCCAGAGCACAGTGACAGCGGGACCACTCAAGCAAGTACTCTGAGAGAAGCTGGGTCTGGGGCTCTGTGCTCAGTGTGATATGGCTACAGAGCTGGGTTCAGTCACCAGGGCTGGGAAAAGCAAGATCACCCCCACACTTACACAGGGATCTAGGATCCTCCGATTAGTGACAATTTTGGTCTACAAAATAATTGAGAGAAATGCTCAGTTATGGGATTAGAGAAGTGCTAGTTCCACCAACAGAGCACATTCACATGCTTTGAGATGTACACCCGCAGGTCCCTCAACATGGGAACGCTCTACTCTGCCGCCTGCAGAGTCCGTGCTGACTTTGGGGTCTGTGCTCTCCCCCTACCACTTCCAGCACATTCTTCTCCCTCCCTTTCCCTAGAGACAACACATCTTTTCACCTGTAAAACAGGTAGTTAATTAGCATGAAGCAAATATCTTAGACTGCAAAATATTGAATTAAGTAACAAAGAATAATTTCTTCGAGAAGAGAGACGTAAGATACAAGGCTTAATTAACATGTCTTCTTTTCCTTTCAAAGTTTTGCTATACTGCTTTTCCCTTTCATGTCTATATTTTACCTTCCTCACTCATTTTGACGAGTATTTGTGATCCTTTTAAGTCACCCCCATGTAGGTTCTATACTCTTTCAGTGCACTAGAGCAGCCCTTTGCAAAACTACTCCCAAGCCTCCAGTGTCTGAATAAATTAATGTATTTTTCTAAAGTACACACACTTCACTGGCACTTTGGTAATACATAAAGAATGCCTTGAAGCTTCCATCCTCTCTGACCCAGCAATTCTAAGCCCAGGAATTTATTCAAAGGAAATAATTAAGATTGTCCTCAAGGGTTTCGTTAAAGGTTGTTTACCCCTGCTGCTGTTTGCAATCACGAATAATTGAAAATGACTGACATGTCCCTCAAGCAGGACTAGAAGATCCAGGGCTCAGGTACTGCTTAGGAGTAAGCGACCAACAATCAGTTACCAAGTCAATCAACCAACCCCACAGTTGAAGTTAAGGTACAGACTTAGGACAGATCCAGAATTCACAGGACCTGATCTTACAAATTTAGGGTGACTAACTTTAAGAAAATTAACATAAAATTATAAAATTGGGGACAAGGCATTAATAGGGGCCTATGCAAGCAAGAATCCTTTGGCTTAAGTTTCAGCAGCCTTGCACAATAAGTCTAGCCTCTAGAGGAAAGAAAAAGGAGAAAGAAGATGTTGGAAGTCACTTGCTCCAAAGGCCATAGTTTACCAAGCCTGGGTAAAAAACACATTCAAGCATACATACAGCAAAAAATACATTCAAGGTCTAAGACAAAGAATACTGGGAAAAAGGGAAAGAGAAAAAAGGATGGGGAGGAAAATACTTGAAAACAACAGCATGAGAACAGAAATCAAGGGGAGAACACAATCTAAGAAAAAATTAAGTCAATATGGTGGGTGAGGGAGGAAAAAGAAGCATTATTTTAAAAAGATTTCAGTAGAGTTAAGTTGGTGCCTGAACAGCTATGGGGACAAGCACTCCAATACAAAGAGTAGCCAGCTTGTATCAGAACAAGAGAGGGCACTTTTGAGCTCAGCAGCCCAGACACATGGGTTCCCATGGACCCCTGAAATACCAGTCCCACATCTCAACTGGCAACAAGAATATGCACAGCATTACTGCTCCACACCCACTCCCTACCATTTACCCTGGGTACCAAGCTGAAGGCCAGACTGTCTTTTCCCACACTGGCCAAATCTGCTCATGTCACACAGCTTTTCTTCATCCCCGTTTTAAATCCAAGTAGGCTGAACACCTTTTCTCTGTCAGATCTGCTCTCGTCTCTACCCATTCCTTTCCCAGGCAGTGTGGCTTTGACCTGTGGCCCATGCAAATCCACAGTGACAGTGGCCTGGCCTCTCTCCCTCTAGCTGTCAAAGAGCTCCAAGGCAGTTGAGCCAGCCTCAGCCTGCAGATCACACACAATGCTCCGGCTGGCTTGGCTGCCTGCTCAGCTGCCCGCCCTTTCTCAGCAGCCCGCTGTCCACAGCAGCCCTCCCATTTTTGACAGTGCTTCCCGCGTGCCTGGTGCCTAGTGTGGGGATCTGGGATGTGTTCTTCAACCTCAGACCCTGAGTCTGCAGGACACAGAAAAATGTTCAGCCTGCTCCGCTTTAAAAGGGGAATTTGACAAGTGTTAAGAACAGACACACTCGGTCTTATACCCAGCAACTGGAGTAAGTGAGAGAGGGAGATGTGGAGCTGGGCGAGAGCTATGTGAGGGCTTTGAAAACTGGTTCTCTTGAAGGCTGATCTCCTGAACAGCATGATTCTTAGTGGGCTGGTCTCAGAGTCCCCTTTTCCAGGAATGCTTGAGTACTGCGATCCACAAACCACCCTTTTCCATCAGCCTCTGTCCAATACAGAGCAGTGACTCTCCTGCATAACTACATGCTGAGAGCACCAGCATCAGTGACCTCGACCTCCCTGCCTGCCACCCCTAAGGACGCTCAGGCTGGTGAATACACAATAAAATCAACCCCGGCCTGGCTGTCACCTGGGCCCCCATGAGGCACGACCTTGAACGGGGGAACTTCCCGCAGCCTAACTCTCTCTCCTATCAAGAAGTGACCACTGTGTGGCTGTTTATACCCTCTGGTCCAGAGGATGTGGCCAAGGAGGGCACCAACCCCCCCTTAGTGCTTCTCTGCTGGGGTTGGGCACAAGCTCTGTACCACTCGGCTTATGGTGCTTAATGGGGGAGAGCTGCCCCCTTCTTAGGCCCACCCCTCCGGACTCAGGGGACAACTGGACCCCTTGGCCACTATAGAAACACGTCTCTCTCTTAAGGCTTCTGGTGAAGGTCTCCGGGTCGAATGGCCCATATGAGATGAGACTCAGGCTCTCCCAAGAGATAACTACCTGCCCCACCGGCGGTGTCACTGGGAAGTGCTCCCTCACCTTCCTCTTCCCTATATCCTAGGAGCTTCTCCGCTCCACTTCCACCCAGGGTCTTGTAGGAGCTGGGGGGGGGGGGGGGCGCCGGGGCTCTGGGCTCCAGTGCGCCCCAGTGGATCCCAGACACCCTGCCCCTGGGGAGCCCCACCCCGCGCAGCGGCGCTGGAGAGGCTATACTCCTTCCTCAGGGGTTCCCCAAAACCGGGGAGGGGTGCAGCTCCAGTGCCCCGACTCCTCCAGGCCCTGCGAGGTTCAGGAGGCTCGCTGGGCCAGCGGCGGCCGCCCGGAGGCAGAGGAGCCAAGTTACTTTTCGATTCAGAGAGTGAAGCCGAGTCTAGCTGGGCGGCGGAGGAGACAACTCTAGCGGCTCTCCCCCCACGCTCTGGGCTGGGACCCCAGGGAGGCACCCGGACGCCCCCGCCCGCCTCCAGGCGCCGACCCCGACCTTAGCGGGCCCCGGACGGCGTCCTCCCTTCTCCCGCCGTCCCCCGGCGGCCGAGCCGCGCGCAACGGAGACATTTAAATCGCCCCCTCGGGACGGCGGCGTGGAAGAGACCGGAAAGGCGGCGGCGGCGCTGGCCTGGGGGCCGGGGCGGTGGCCGCGCGGGCCAGGGTCGCGGAGTCGGGCGGGCACTCACCAGCGCGTGTTGTCGTGGAAATGCTCCAGAACTGCGTAGCCGAAGAACGAGTCAGCGGGGCCCTGGAAGTGCACGGGGCGCTGCGGGTCGAGGTTGTAGGCGCCCGCGGGGATCCCCGCGACCACCAGCGCCAGCAGCAGCGCGCGGAGCCTCCCGGCGCCCCTCGGCGCAGCCGGGCCGCCCATCCCCAGCCGGCCGCCGCCTTCCCCTCTGCCCGGCGAGCAGGGCGCCGAGCGCGCGGGCCGCGGGGCCCGCCGACGGCCAGGAAGCTCCCCGGGGCGGGAGCTCTGCGCCTGGACACGGGCGGAATGCGGGCGTCGGGCCCGCCACCGGGGCGCGGACGGCGGGCTGAGCGGGCGCTGAAGGCGAGCACAGGGGCGGCCCCGAGCGGCGGCGTCCTCAGTCCGCCCGAGAAGTCTGCGCGAGCGGGTCCCGGGCCGGGCGGCGCTGGTCTGCGGAGGGGCGCGCCCGCGAGGTGGGCGGCCCGGGCGGCGGCGGCTGGACGGCGCGGCAGCGCCCCCTGCGGGCCGTGAGCCCTGCGCGCACTTCCCGGGCGGGAGTCAGCCCCTGGGACCCGCCGGGGCGCCCCGAACTGCCCCCTCCCCGCCGCGCACGGGGCGCTCGGGTTCCCGGAGATAAGGCTGCTCCCCTCCGTCACTACAGGCTCTGCCGGCCCTGCTGGGCCTGTCTCCCTGCCTTTGTCTCTCTTTCCCTCCCTGTCTCACAACCAGTAAGATCCAGAGCAACCCGGGTGAAGGACGAGTTTAGACTCCAGGTTCTAGCCCTGCGCATCCTCTGCTCCTTCACCCAGTTGTGAGATAAGCTGTAGGAGCAGTGCTCAGTAAACGCCGGCTGTTGTTGTTCATAACAATAGTAGCCACGTGGAAGCGAGCAGAGCACCCCTCCATATTCTAGTCACTTGGTCTCGTACACCAGTGATTCCCGAAGTGTGGTCTCCGGACCAGCAGCATCAACGTCATCTGGGAACTTGTCAGAAAATGCAAATCCTCAGGTCCCACTCAGCCCTGCTAAATCGGAAGCTCTGAAGGTTGGAGTCCAGCAGGGTTTGCGTGCACTGAAGGGTGTGTGTGTGTGTGTGTGTGTAATTGTAAATATGCATAACAGAAAGTTTACCATCTTAACCATTTGTAACTGTGCAGTTCGGGGGATTAAGTATATGCATGTTATGCAACCTTCACCACCATCCATCTCCACAACTCTTCATCTTGGAAAACAAACTTTATACCCTAAACAATAACTCCTCTTTCCCCCTAACCCTACCCCCATCCCCACCCCCAGCCTCTGGCAACCACCTTCCTACCTTCTGTCTCTATGAACTTGACTACTCAAATTCAAGATTCCTACTGAATTGACTGCTATCATGTTGAAGTCTGACCACACTATTATGGTTTCCCTGCCTGTGTTCTCTTCTTTCCACTTTTTAATTCTACAACAGAGTTTGGATAATGGTTGAAAACTTCCCGTTGCCCCCCACCACCTACTCCTGCCTATAGGATGGAGCCCGATCTCCTTAGCATAACTTCACATGGAGGCTCCATCTCTCTTTCCAGCCCCATTTTATGCCCCTTTCCTGACTCACTTCCCACAAACCCTACAATGTATCCACACACAACTTCTAGCTGTCCCCTGAACGTGTCCAACAGGGGTTTTCACACACATCTGTGCCTTCTCCAACGCTGTTCTTTCTTCCTGAAATGTGCCTACCCCTCTTCAACTGGCAAAATCCTATCCATCCTAGACTTCCAGGCCAGTTCTTGCCTCACCCTTTCTGTGCCATTTCCTCTTCCCCTTTCTTTTCTGGGCTGCCAAAGAGTGTTCACATGCCTCTATCTCAACACTTAGAACATGTTCATCATTTTGGGGGCTCTCTGTCCCTCTCCATAGACGGTATAGCTCTCTAAGGAGAAAAAAGTCTTAGATATCTTTGTAGCCCCCAAGGCCCAGCTCAGTGCCAGGCTTAGGTAGATGCTTAAACATTGTTGAAAGAATGAACTGGCTGGGCGCAGTGGCTCACTCCTGTAATCACAGCACTTTGGGGAGGCTGAGGTGGGTGGATTGAGGTCAGGAGTTCAAGACCAGCCTGGCCAACACAGTGAAACCTTGTTTCTACTAAAAATACAAAAAATTAGCCAAGCATGGTGGCACATGCCTGTAATTCCAGCTACTTGGGAGGCTGAGGCAGGAGAATCGCTTGAAGCTGAGGGGTCGAGCTTGCAGTGAGCCGACAGTGCGCCACTGCATTCCAACCTGGGTGACTGAGCAAGACTCCATCTGAAAAAAAAAAAAAAAAGAAAAGAAAGAAAAAGAATAGCTGGGCACGGTGGCTCATGCCTTTAATCCCAGCACTTTGGGAGGCCAAAGCGGGCAGATCACCTGAGGTCAGGAGTTCGAGACCAGCCTGGCCAACCATGGTCAACATGGTGAAACCCCATCTCTATTAAAAATAAGAAGATTAGCCAGACGAGATGCCGCACGCCTGTTATCTCAGCTACTTGGGAGGTTGAGGCAGGAGAACTGCTTTTACCTGTGAGGCGGAGGTTACAGTGAGCCGAGATCGTGCCACTGCACTCCAGCCTGGGTGACAGAGTAAGAATCCATCTCAAGAAAAATGAAAAAAAAAAAGAATGACCTGCTTAAAGAAAAGCAAGCTTAGTAAGAGGATGAGGCACTATGGGGGAGATTTTGAAGGAGACTTTTAACTTTCTTCATGTTTTGGTTGTGTGAGAGTGAAAAATGATCAATTCTCGTTGTAGAACACAAAACACAAGGTTTTCTTTTGTTTTTCTTTTTTTGGTTTTGTTGTTGTTTTTGAGACAGTGTCTCGCTCCTGTCCCCCAGGTTGGAGTGCAGTGGTGCAATCACTGTTCACTGCAGCCTCGACCTCCCAGGCTCCAGCAATCCTCCCACCTCAGCCTCCCAAGTAGCTGGGACCACAGACATGTACCACCATGCCCGGCTAATTTTTATACTTTTGGTAGAAACGAGGTTTTGCCATGTTGTCTAGGCTGGTGTCAAACTCCTGAGCTCAAGTGATCCACCTGCCTTGGCCTCCCAAAGTGCTGGGATTACAGCCATGAGCCACTGTGCCTGGCTGAAGTTTTCATCTGTGGTAGAGAGCACTAGTATCTTCCCAATATTTATACTTCCCATTTTCCTTACTAACAAAGCCCAGAGTTAGTGGAGTGTTAATATGCCTAGCTTTAAAAATAAATAAAACTATGTTTCCCAGTCTCTTTTGCAGACAGAGTGGCCATGTGCAGTGTCTGGCCAATGAGATATGAGCATGTTATTTGGGTGGTAGGCTTCTCAGGAGGTTTCTTAAAGGAGAGGCAACTCAGCTGACTTATGGCTTTTGTCCTGTGCCCTTGCCCCTCTTGCATGAAGCACAGAGGTCATGGCTGGAGATGCAGCAGCTGTTTTGAGGGCCACCTCAAAGGAAAGGCCAGGAGAATTGCAGAGACTTCAGCTGTCACATGCTAGAACTGCTGCACCTGACATGGGATGCCTTCCTGGGGACTTCTTACTACCTGAAAAAAAGTAAACACCTAATTTATAAGAGCCACTGCTTTTAGGGATTCTGTTATTTGTAGGCAAGCAGAATTTCTTGTTGATTTAACATCTAGAATGAATGGAATCTAGAACAGATGCTCCTAACCTAGAGTTCACTCATTTTCCATGTTGCTTCAGAGGTCCTAAGATCCCCTGTGGTTGGTAGACTAATAGTCCCCCTCCTAATCCCTGGAACCTGTGAATATGTCACCTTATATGGCAAAAAAGGACTGAAAATGTGATTAAGGTTAAGGGTCTTGAGATGGAAAGATTTTCCAGGATTATCTGGCTGGGCACAGTCTAATTATGTGAATCCTTAAAAGCAGAGAACCTTTCCTTGGCTGTAGCACGAGAAAGAGATGTGAAGTGGAAGTGGGGTCAGAGAGATGCCACATTGTTGGCTTTGGAGATAAAAGAAGGGACCCATGAGCCAAGTAATACAGGCAGCTTCTAGAAGATGGAAGAGACAATAAAATGGATTATCTCCTAGAGCCTCCAGAAAGGCAACACCTTGAGTTTAATCCAGTGAGACTCCTGTCCCACTTCTGACATCCAGAACTGTAAGATAATAAATGTTGTTGTTTTAAGCCGCTATGCTTGTGACCATTTGTTATAGCAGAAGCAGGAAACTAATATAGCCCTCTAGAATTATATATAAAAGTGTGTATGTGTGTGTTTGTGTGTTTCTTAGGGAAAGATCCACAGATTTCAACAGATTCTTTAAAGGTAAGGTAGGTTTTAGAAGACAGGAAACCACTGATCTAAAACACACTGATTTCCAACTTTGGAAACCAAACCCTAAAAATGATATCGGTTAAAAATTATAGCATTGGTGTTTGATTTAACTAAACAGTAGCTGTCAATCCTGACTGTATATTAGACCACCAGGCAACTATTTAAAAATACAGATTTACTAATAACACTCTAGGTCAGAATCTAGGGGCAAGGCCCAGGAATCTGCATTTCCAACACCTCTTGGGAGATTTGTCAAGTAGCCAGGCTTGGGAAGCACTGTCCTACAGGAGAGAGATTCAGAACCCTGCACTGTATTCCTTAACCTGTGGCACCATGATGTGGTAAGAAAAACGTAGGATTTGGCATCTGGTGAAGAGAATTTAACTCCCAGGCCCGAACAACTGTGTAATTTTAGTAAATCAATAAAACAAGGATACCAATAACTAATAAACCTATTGATGAGCTTCTCAGGACAGCATTTCCTAACCATAAAACGCTAAACATGTATTAGTTATTCGTATAATCTGAGCTCAAGAGTGAGCTCAATTTCCTAGTTGCCAGAATAAGCTGTTTTACAGAGACTTGACCTGAAGGGCGTGTCTCCAGGGTCACCAGCTGGAGGGGAGAGGCATACTATTTCAAACCTGGCCATGCAAAATGTAGATTTGCTTTATGGAATGGAGACTTTTGAAAAACTGAACCTCTTGTCCAATTTCCCAACGGAAATGGCAACCAAATGCCCTCCATTCCTTTATGCTCTCACTTCAAGAAGGAATCTGAAGGTTTTCCATTAGCCTTAGTGGCTGCAAACTGAACAGCATGCTCTATCAGCTCACCTAGCATTGGCGTTTTCTATAAGCTGTGCAAAATTGCTCTCCACAGTTACTTTGTTAAACAGTTACATTGTTAAACAATTAAACAGTTACATACATACTTTGTTGAATTGTTACTGCTACTGTAACAATGCAAAAGAAGTGATGGTTATACTGCTCTGCTCCCTCCTGCCTCACTGCAGAGAGGAATATTGGAATGATTAAATGTTGGGGTGAAAACAACATTGGCTTTTCAGAAGCCTCAAAAAAGTCTTGGAGGCCAGACACAGTTGCTCATGCCTGTAATCCCAACTTCTGGAAAGCCAAGATGGGAAGATTGCTTGAGGCCAGAGTTTGAGACAACATAGTGAGACCTCATCTCTAGGGCGAAAAAAGTGACCGGACATGGTGGTATGCACCTGTAGTCCTAACTTCTTGGGAGGCTGAGATGGGAGGATCACTTGAGCCCAGGAGATGGAGGCTACAGTGAGCTATGATTCCACCACTATGCTCTAGCCTGGATGACACAGTGAGACCTTGTCTCTAGAAAGAAAAGAAAAAGGAAAAACTCTTAAGATTAATTAGTCTTTTTAATCCTTCCTTTCTCTAATATCTTTTTTTTTCTTTTTGCTTATACATTTGTAGATTTTTATCTGCCTCTCATTATTTCCTAAATGCTTAACTACTAGGTCAAAGCTAGGTAGATATCTAAGGCTCTTAATACAAGCCAATTGGCTTAGTAATCTTTAGGTTTAGAATACAATTTTTCATTACAAATACTATGCTATATTACTATAGCAGGAAATACACATAGTTCCTCCAGGTGAGTATTTCTGGACCCTGTATTGAGCCATACTTTTTCCTGTGCTCTTTTTTCTAGAGTGCCCTTCCCATGGTCTCCGATGGGAAATGCTAATTTCTCCCTGACAAAGCTTCCCAACCATAACTCTCTAACATCCTCCTTGTCTCCCCCAAGGGACTGCTTGCATTTCTGGGGTCTGTGTGAGTGTACCGTAGGAGGACCCTAAATGGAGGTTTAGACACTCCCCACTGATTATGAGAGCCCGGTTTGCAGAGACCTGACGGGTACAGACACTCGAGCAGAGCAGATGCTGCTGTAAGGTGATAGGACTGCTAGCAGCAAGGAAGGCTCACTCACTATGTGTCTCACACTGCACTAAGCATGTTATAGATCACTTTATCTTATGTAAACCTCACAGTGATCCAGTTGGGAAGATGCAGTCTGAGATTTTATCTCAGTTACCATAGAACCATGTGAAATGAGGACTGACCATATGATGGGTTCACAATCCTTGTCCAAAACTCTTAGGGCCAAATGTGTTTCTGCAATCAAGTTTTTTCAGTTTAGAAGAGAAGACAGCATCACACCCCATATATTACAAGATAATATACCGTTTATTACATAACCAGCCCATGAACACTGCACTCCCCCCAAAAGTGATCTCTGTAGTTCTAATCCCTCCAAAAGAGCAAGGCCCATAAAGTCAGTTCATCCTCTCTCATTCTTGGGGCACATGGCATCTAATGCCAACTGTCGGGTTTTCTTTGGAGTTAGCCCTAAAGAACTTAGCCACTTGGTTCTTAACAATGCACAATCCAGCCTATACTATCCACTATTTGGTTGAATCAGCACCTTACACAGCCTGTTACAAAAGGTTGGCATGCAACTTTACACACTGACAAGGAACAATCCCTGCAGCATAACAAGGGTAATAACTCAAGTTCCTTAAGGACATGCCTACTATAATCTGGTATATGTAAATTTCTATGCATCTGTATGTATATATGCACAAAGAAAGAGATTTGGAAGTTTACCCTAAATGTTAATAATGATTATGGTTGAGATTATGGGCTATTCTTGCCTATCTATCTATCTATCTATCTATCTATCTATCTATCTATCTATCTATCGTCTATCTATCACTCCTTTAGTACTGCTTGAATTGTCTACAGAGACACAGTGGATGTCTACATCCAGCAGTGGATGTAGAAGATGCTACCTCCGTAAAGCCAAAGTCACTAATCAAAGTTAGAAATAGGGAAGTGGATCAAGAGCTGTGCACACACAGCTATCTGATCTCCAAATGAGGAGACAACTTGACCTTCACACAACAGAGAAAGAAAGAGGAGCCAAGGGCAGCTCTCATTCCCATCTATTAACAAGCCCTGCCCTCTGGCCCTGGCCTCTGTTGAGGGGACTTTGCCAACTGAGGTAGGTAGACCAGCCATCATGTGGAAGGAAGAAGTGGTCAATAGCCAGATGGCTCCTCACAGTATTTTCAAAAGAGGCAGAAAAAAATAAAAAGGGTTTGGATCATTCACATACCAGATAATCGTTGTCTAAATGATTGACACAGCTAAATGCACCTCTTAACGGCAATTCTTCAAAAGTTGCCTTGCCCTGTTTTTCATACATAAGACAAGCTATACTTCCACGTGGCTTTGATATCCAGAAAGTTCAGAGGAAGGGCAAATACTATCGCCAAGCCTTCAACTATAATAGCAGGCAGAGATTTGAGCAAATACTTTCCCACTGAAGTATTTCATAAGCCAAAAGTTAAACTGTTATTATTGGGTGCAATATTTCCAACCTGTTTCCATGCTCAAACAAATTTTTTTCCAGAGATCTAAATTTAGTGAAACGGCTTTAAGCAACAACCATCAGTGTTAGAATACAGCTGTACAACATAATGCCAAGTTTTAAAAACACTTCTCACTTCAATTGAAATATTAAAGCTAGCCTATGGCTTAGCAAAACATAAAATATTAAAATGATGATATTTGTTGGAGGCAGTTTAGGGTGATGAGTAACAGTGAGGGCTGTGGTGCTCGTAATCCCAATGTAGTGGCTTGTCAGATATATTAGTCTTCTAGGGCTGCCATAAAAAAATACCACAGACTGGGTGGCTTAAATAACATAAATTTATTTTCTCACAGTTCTGGAGACTGAAAGTCCAAGATCAAGGGCAGCAGAGTTGGTGTCTGGTGAGGGCTCTTCCTTTGGGTTGCAGATGGTCCCCTTCTTGCTATGGACTCACATGACCTCTTCGTGCTTGCAGAGAGGCGGAGGGAGGGGAGAGCGAGAGCAAGAGAGAGGACACTAATTCTATCAGATCAGAACCCCACCCTTATGACCTCAATTACTTTCATATTCCAAATACAGGCGAATTGGGGGTTAGGGCTTCAACATAAGAATTTTGGAGGATACATGCATTCAGTCCACAGCATCAGGTATGTGGCCCTGAGAAGTTATTTGAGCTCTCCCCATTTGTTACAGGGAATCATACCCAAAGGTTTGTTGTGAGGATTAAATGTAATGAGCCACTCTGCACATCGCAGCATGAGGGAAGCAACTGGTACATGTTAGCAATTTAGTGCCATTATTATTATGTCATTTATTCCACTCTTTTAAAATAGCTATTTTTATTTGGAGTAAAAGAAAAACTCAAAACACTTTTCTCAAGGTGTCTGCATGTTTCAGTGGGCCATTTTAGAGCCTTCCTTTGTCTAAGTGTTCAAGCCCTCAAACCCCCAGGTGCTTCAGGTGCCCTGTGAAGGGCTGGAGAGGTGAGTCACAACCCAAGCACCCATGACCTCACTCTCACATCAGCGGCCGGCTAGCCAGCTCCTTTTTCAGGGCCCTCTCTACCTTAGCTTTCGTAAATTGTCAAATCCACATCTCTCCAGGGCTTCCCAGATGTGGGCCATCAGAGGGAGACTCCTGAAACATCTTTGGTGATTTCCTCAAGGTCCCACCCACTCATGGTTTAAATGCAGTGGGATTTTAAGGTGTTGACCTTGGGTGCATGTGTGTGTGTGTATGTGTACATGTGCGTGTGTGCATGTGTATGCACATGCGTGCGTGTGTGCATGTGCGTGTGTGTGCGCATGTGCATGTGAGCGCACGTGTGTGTGTGTGCGTGCGTGTGTGTGCGTGTGTGTGTGCACACACATGCAGGTAAGAGAAGTTCACTTCAATATCATTCAGATGCAATGGAACATTCACCAAAAAATGAGTACCTGGAATTGAATGTATCAGAAGTTGTCTGCCATAGAGGAGTGTGTCTAAAGGAGAGTTACGAGTAGGGGAGTGGGGCAGGAGATGAAATTTTGCAGGAAATGGAAGGGCAGTTCTAGCTTCTTCCCTGTCTTCTTTCAGGCAGCCTCAGTGTACTCCAAACTCTAAGCAAATGTCTTTAGGGAAGGGTAAACACTAAACACGTTTTGGGACCCCTTCTGCTGCTTAACACGCTCCCACAAGAAAAGCCTTCTTATGCCTTCCCCCAGAAAGTTTTTAAGTTGAAGCCTAGGACCTCTTGTACTTGAAGCTGCAAGATATACATGTTATACCTTCTGGGTGCATCAATTTTATTCAAAGACATGAAGGGGGGAATAAATAATATGTTGTGAGATTGGGATGACTCCGAATCAAATCCAGTGACAGGGAAGGCCCCAAGGTCCCTGACATAAAAAACAGGTGAACTAGCTCCTGCAGGAAGTTGGGGTTGAGGAGGTAATAGTGATTCTGAGTCCAGGAGCTGAGACAGCCAGCCTGGGTGCAGTCATCCTTCCTGAAGGCAGGCTTGCACCCTGGGCAAGGGCTGGGTGCGTGTGTCTGAGTCAGTGATACTGGAAGGTGGCCACATCTGCTGAGTGCAATGGGGAGTCGAAGATGGGTCCTCCCTCCACATGCCCCAGGGTCTGCTGCAACTATGAAAAGGTCTGTGCCAGCAGTTGCGGAGGTGGCAGAAGCAGGACACTAAGCCCTGATCACACTGCCTGGGATGCCAGTGGGGTAGATAGAGTGCACATGACATTGGGGCATCCTCTGGCCTTGGGTGGAGGTTCTGACTGCAAAGGCAAGGTGGAAAGGACAGGGATTGACATTTTGGATATGACTAAGCATCCTGGGGGTCTTTCCTTGGAGGAAGGCCTGAGGCGTTTCTCAAGGTGATAAGGGGAGGGCTCAAGCTGTTTTACTGAGACATTAAAAGATATGACCTTGTTTTTTTTGTGTGCCTCAAGACAGAAAAGTGACTACATAAGTATGTTAAGAATGGACTGCCTTCCTGCCCCGCCTCCCTCTCAGAGTCCTGTGCTGGACTCAGCCCACTGTCCATGATCTCTAATGACAGGTTGACTTTTCTTTTCCCAGAATCCTCTTCTGACCTAATCTGCCTGTGGGATCCACACACAGGGTCTCACACATGGGAAACGACACAGAATACTCACAGCCCTGGCGGGGCAAGAAGGGGTGAGGGGAGCCCCAATGCTATGCTGGGATGTGTACGCAAATGGCAGGAAATGTCACCCTGTGGTGGTTTTAAAATATATCCACACATTCTCTTGACACTCCTTCCTCCAAAAGGTGAAGACTAATTCCCCTTCCCTCAAACAGGAGCTGATCTTAGTGCCTTCCTTCTAACAAATAGGATATTGTGGGACTGCTGTGATAGGCCACGAAAAGCATTGTCCCTTCCACCTTACTGTCTCGGGTTGCTCAATCCCGGGAAAGCCACACCAGCCGCCATGTCGTGAGGACACTCAAGCAGCCTGTGGAGAGGCCCATGTGGAGAGGAAGTAAAGCCTCCTGCTAACCTCAAGCACCAATTTGCCAGCCATGTCAGGAGCCGCCTCAGAGGCGGACCCTACAGGTCCAGTCAAACCTTCAGCCTCAGCCAATAGCTTAACTGCCATTTATGAGAGACCCTGAGCCAGAAGCACCCAGATAAGCCACTTCGGGATTCCTGACTAACAAAAACTGTAGTATAATTGATATTGTTTTAAGCCGTTATGCTTTGAGGTAATTTGTTACATAGCAATAGAAAACCAGTACAAATTTGGGGGTAATTTATGACCCAGTAATAGATAACAAACACATACCTCTTCGCCTCAGTGGTGAGCTGATGGGGATGGTAGTTAGAGCCACATAACAGATCCGCATTGCCACAGCTGCCTTTCTGAGTCAGGACACAAGGAAATCCTGCCTAGTGTGGGATGGCTCTGTGGTGGAACAATTGACCTAGCTATGGTCCGAGACTTAAGACCTGAGTCCAAATCTTGATCTGCCACTTACCAGCTGCCAGACACAGGGTTAGTTGCTACACCTTATAGGGACTCCATATCTCATCTGATAATAGTATCCACCTAGTAAGGAGGACAGATTAAATGGAAATAAGTGCACCAAAGTAACAACCAGATGGGGGGTCAGTTGAACCCAGTGGAAGTTATTCAGTCATGCGTCACATAGTGATGGGAATACATTCTGAGAATGTATTGTTAGGGCCGGGCGCGGTGGCTCAGGCCTGTAATCTCAGCACTTTGAGAGGCTGAGGCACCCTGAGGTCAGGAGTTCGAGACCAGCCTGGCCAATATGGCAAAACCCTGTCTCCACTAAAAATACAAAAATTCACCGGGCATGGTGGCATGCACCTGTAATACCAGCTGCTCAGGAGGCTGAGGCAGGAGAATCACCTGAACCTGGGAGGCAGAGGTTGCCGTGAGCTGAGATCATGCCACTGCACTTCAGCCTGGGCGACAAGTGAGACTCCGTCAATGTGTTGTTAGGCAATATTGTTGTGCAAACCTCTTGGAACATACTTACACAAACCTAGATGGTATAGACTACTATATGCCCAGGCTACACGGTGTAGCCTATTGCTCCTAAGCTACAAACCTGCATAGCACATTACTGTACTGAATACTGTAGGCAATTGTAACACAAAGGTAAGGTAAGCAATTGTAACACAAAGATTTAGATACACAAAGATACTTTTGTATCTAAACAAAGAAAACGTACAGTAAAATATATACTATAAAAGATTAAAAATGGTACACCAGTGTGGGGCACTTACCATGAATGGAGCTTGTAGGCCTGGAAGATTGCTCTGGGTGAGTCAGTGAGTAAGTGAATGTGAAGGCCTAGGACATTCGTGTACACTAATGTAGACTTTATAAACACGGAAAACTTAGGCTACACTAAATTTTTTTTCTTTAATTTTCTTTCTTCAGCAATAAACTAAGCTTACTATAACTTTTTTATTTTGCAAATGTTTAAATTTTTCTAACTTTTTGGCTCTTCTATAATAACAGCTTAAAACACAAACATGTTATATAGCTGTAGAAATATTTTCTTTCTTTATAGCCTTATTCTGCACGTTTTTTTCTATTAAAATTTATTTTTACTTTTTAAACATTTTGTTAAAAGTGAAGACATAAACACACACATTAGCATAGGCCGACACAGGCTCAGGGCCATCAATATCAGTCTTCCACCTCCACATCTTGTCCCACTGATAGTCTTCAGAGCAGTAACGCATATGGAGCTGTCATCTCTGATGATAACAATGTCTTCTTCTGGAACACCTCCTAGAGGACCTGCCTGAGGCTGTTCTACAGTCAACTTTTTTTAATAAGTAGAAGTACACTCTAAAATATGAATAAAAATATAGTATAGTAAACACATAAACCAATAACATAGTCATTTATTATCATTATCAAGTATTATGTTCAGCACATAATTGTATATACTATGCTTTTTTATGTGGCAGCATAGTAAGTTGGATTTTTTTGTTATTTTGTAGAGACCGGGTCTCATTGTGTTGCCCAGGCTGGTCTCCAACTCCTGGCCTCAAGCAACCTACCACCTCAGCCTCCCAAAGTGCTGGGATTACAGACAAGAGCCACCTTTCCCAGCCTCACACATGAGCATCACCACAAACATGTGAGTAACATGTTATGCTACAACATTATGACAGCTACGTCACTAGGCAATGGGAATTTTTCAGCTCCGTTATGATCTATGGGACCAGCATCTTATCATCCATCATTGACAAAAATGTTATTATGTGGTGCATGACTGCATTTTAAAAGACATTTTATTTTTACTTTTATTTTTTGAGACAGGGTATCACTCTGTTGCTCAGGCTGGAGTGCAGTGACATGATCTCGGCTCACTGCAACCTCCATTTCCAGGGCTCAAGAGAACCTCCAACCTCAGTCTCCAGAGTAATTGGGACTACAGGTGTGTGCCACCACTTCCAGCTCATTTTTTTGGTTTTTGGGTTTTTTCGTTTTTGTTTTTGTTTTTTTGCAGAGACAGGGTTTCGCCATGTTGCCCAGGCTGGTCTCAAAGTCCTAGGATCAACCAATCCACCTGCTTCAGCATCTCAAAGTGCTGGGACTACAGGCGTTAGCCACTGCACCCAGTCTAAAATGACATTTTAAACATGAATAGCTGGCACTATAGCTATGTGTCCAATCTGCTGCCCAATTCAACCTCATACCATCAGGAGTCATTAAATCGGACCCACACAGGCCTGACAGACAAGGCAATGCGGTCTTCTCTTTTGGTTCTCAGCTTATCTAAATTACATTCTAGATTGTGACATTCTAAGATTATTTACATATTCCAAATGTGCTTAAGAGACAAACTTGGAATTAACGTGGAACTGAAAGCATTTTGTGGGAAGTATCTAGATAGGCCAATTCATTTTGTTTTTCTGTCTGAGCCTGTGAGCATCCATTCCTTCCCACAATCATAACAATTCATCAGGCTCCAGCTCTTTAACATAGACCTCTCCTCAAACCAATTAACAGAGAGGAGGGAGAGTGGAGAGTCAGTGGATTCAGTGTCCTTGACTGTCCTGAGGCAGCCTCCAACAAGTCTGACTCCCTGGGTTGGGTCCCTGTTCCAACAGTCCCCACCTGCCCTCCTTTCCTTCCCCTCTTCCCCCAAACCTCCTATTCTCTAAAAGCTCTGTCCCCTACAAAGTACGTGAGCAAGAGCAGACATTACCCATACCAGAGGTGACAGAGCAGAAGGAAAGAACACAGCAGGAGCTGGGCCATCAGACCACTTGGGTTCAAATCCTAGTTCTGCTCTTGACCAGTTGTGGAACATGCGGCATTTCTCTACCTCCTTGAGGCTCTGTTTCCTCATCTTTAAAACAACCTATTGTGGTGGGTGTTTGATAGTCTTGTTGGCTGTCCGAACCACTCCTCACTTAAGTCCACCCACTCGTAAATGGGATTAGTGCCCTTATGAAAGAAGCCCAAGGGAGCTTGTTTGCCCCTTCCAACACGTGAAGACACAGCAAGAAGGCACCATTTACGAACCAGAAAGTGAGCCCTCACCAGACACTGAATCTGTCAGCACCTTGATCTTGGACTTCCCAGCCTCCAGAACTGAGAGATAAATTTCCGCTGTTTCTAAGCTACCTGGTCTGTGGCAATTTGCTGTGGCAGCCCAAAGGGATTAAGATACAGATGATGTAAAACTTGAGGCATGTTTTCAAACAACTGCAATACATCATGCATCAGCACTTATTTTTCCCTAGGAAAACAACAGTACAGTGAATTTAGTGACTAACAGGTTAGCTTCCTGAGTAACTAGGACCTAATGGCCAGGTGTCCCAGTTGGAGGCTCATCACAAAAGGTGGCAAATGACCATAGGCAACACCAAGTAGCCACTCCCTCAGTGCATTGTAGGCCGTCACAGTATTTACATGGGCAACCCCAAGGGTTCAGGGCTTTCTGTTCTGGTTTCCATCCATCTCACTATATAAGAGGGAATATATTTTTACCTCTCTCTCAAATTTGGATGCTGTTAAAATAGTATGTATTTTGCCGCTGAAGTTATTTTTTAAAAACCAGGTATGTTATCTTATTCTGTGTGTGGTATGGATATTAAGCAATTTGATATATTTTGACTATAAACATGGATACCTAAACAGAATATAAATGAGATCAGTCGTCTATGATCACCTAAGATCAAGTGAAACTCTTTGCTTACCTTGCAGTCTCCACGCACTGATTAGAAGGCAGGCAAATTTCATGAGCTGTGCAAAGAAGGAAAGAAACTTGTAGCAGATGCTGTGGATGCTCCACGCAGATGCCACCAGCATGTGATATTTCTGTGCATGTGGCCTGACTTCCAACAGCCAGCATCTAAGACTCTTTGTCGAAGGCTTCCTGATTACTGGAGCCCTCTCTGCCCACACACATGGCAGGCCAGAAATGCTAGAGAATGAACACTTCCCTGGAGCAACACTCAACCAATGACTCCCTTTGCTCCAATGAAAAAACTCTGAGCTGTATATTCTACACTGGCTCCCAGAGTTCCCCAGAGGCATTGAGCTCCAGTTGCCCACAGTGGTAACTTGCTCAATAACGCACTCTCCATTGGCTTCCTTCCTTCCCTGTCTTACTTCTCCAGTCCCTGAATGGTGATCCCTGAATGACTGTTTCTCAATTAAGCCACTTGCACTTGAATCCTTGTCTCAGGTACTGCTTCTGGAGGATGCAAACTAAGACAGCGATGTGTGAAATTCAAATATCAAAAGGTCATTGAAAAAGCAAAGAAATAAATCAACATGGACCTTTAGTAGTTGTGGACAATGCTATCCTGATTCCTCATTTCCTGGTACCTAGTCCTTTTACTTCTGACATCCCTCTCACCAGACTTTTGCCATCTTCCACCAACATGACATTTTGGACCTTGGCCATGAAGGTTTGTCATTCTCAAGTCCACTTATTAATTAGCCCAGCTTACCCAAGTTGAAGTACAAAGGAAACTCACTAATTGAGCAGCCGTTGGGAGCTGTCCCCTAGTTTCATCCAGGGCCAGATCTCCCGGCTCTGTGTGACATGCAAACTTCAGTCTCCTCAGAGGACCAGGCTTTCAGGGGACAGAGTCAGTCTACCCAAGAACCAAGAGGAAGAAGGCCCAGGCAGATGCACAGGGACAGTGGGAAGTGCAGCCTGCACAGGACACAACTTTCCCGGTGAGGGAGCCATGCCTAAGACTAACTTGCAGCTCAGGAAGTTGCTTATTTAAAAAGAAAAGAACATTTCCGAGCAAACATCTCACTGCAAACCAAGTTTGCTGTAGTTGCTGTTTAATGGTCAGCACATTCACCTCTTTCATGAAAACCCTGGTTCAAAACAGGGCGGCGAGCCAGGCGTGGTAGCTCACACTTGTAATCCCAGCACTTTGGGAGGCCAAGGCAGGTGGATCACCTGAGGTCAGGAGTTCGACACCAGCCTGGCCAACATGGTGAAACCCCGCCTCTACTAAAAATACAAAAATTAGCCAGGCGTGGTGGCATGCACCTGTAATCCCAGCTACTCGAGAGGCTGAGACAGGAGAATCGCTTGAACCCAGGAGGCAGTTGCAGTGAGCCGAGAGCCCACCACTGCACTCCAGCCTGGGCAACAAAGCAAGACCCCATCTCAAAAAATAAAATAAAATACAAAACAGGGCAGGGGCACACACCTCTATGCACTGCATGCTCCTTTAGGCGAGATCATCTGTATCCTCTTAAATATGTTTGGTTAAAAAATGTATACATATATTTAGGTATCAGATGACATGTATAAAATAATCAGAAGTCCCTCTAACTCAGCTGACTCTGAACAATGAAGCAGAAGAGTTTACTAGAAGGATACTGGGTGGTTCACAGAATGTGAGAGGGAAGCTCCAGGCCAGGCTTCCAAGAGTAAGACCCCAAAGTTGACCAGTGTGCTGGTGTGTTTGAAGCTGCCTCTGCCACCGTTAAGCACTACAGTACATAACCACTGCATGCTACAGTAGGAAACAGCACCACTTCTGTCAGGAACTTGACCTTGCAGCCCCCTCTGCCAGATAGAGGAAACGCCCTGTCCCCTCCCACCCAAGGTGATTTAACAGTCTTTGTCATGGCCTGTGCTGCAAAGGAGGCAGGAAAGTAAGTACAGCAGTCTCAGATCTGAGAGGCGGGGGTCTCTGGCCCCCATCCAAATTGAATGGCCAAAGTCTGCCTCAAGCCCCAACTCTCCTCCCCGGATGTAACCAGTATTAAGACTGTGGATGTATCCTTCCAGCCCTTTTACACACACAGTTTTAGAAAACGGTTTTTGTAAGAATGAAATTATACTATAAATATCGTTCTGCAACTTAATTTTTCTACTTAAGTCATGTACACCTTTCCATGTTCACACATATAGATCTAACTTGTTCTTTTTGACTACAAAAAAAGATTCTGCAGAATGAAGTGCCATCATTTAGCCAGTCCTCTGTTGATGATATATAAGCTGTAGCCGCTATCTTACTATAACAAACCACAGAGGGAAAGCATCCCAGGGTATGTTTGTCATTGTTGCTGTTTGCACACGCATGTTGTCATTTCTGTAGGAATGGGTTCCTAGAAATGGGCAGCTGGGTCATACAGGCCATAGGGTCTGTGGTCTTTATCCTCATTGCAATATAAGGATGTTGGATTGAACTGAACTTCTCCACTCTGGGGACATTTCTATCCCAGGAACCAAGATAATTCTAGAATCAGGATGGCCCCCGGCCCAGCCAGTGCCAGAGCAATGCTGACCCAGGGCTCTCCTAATTTTGTTTTCCAGGCATCCCCACGCACCAGGTGTGCTGCTCCATTGCAGCCTCTTCCTCTTTTCAGTCCATCCAATGCTGTGATTCCACGTGAGAAGAGACACCTGTGTGGAGCAATGGAAGGCTGGTTTGCAGTCCCAGATCTGCCAGCAGCTGGGATTGAGTCAGTCCCCTCCCTTTTCTGAACTTCAGTTTTCTTACCTTTAAAATAACAGACATGGGCTAAATTAATGGTTTTCTAACTGTGTTCTGCCAAGACCAGCATTCCACAGAGGCATCAGGAACTGCTTCAGAACTTGGGGGATGGAGGGCAAGAGAGCAGGTCCTGGTCCTCGTGAGCTCTGCTATTAACATTGCTGTGTAATGGGATTCTGTGTGAACATTCATTTGAAAAAGGCGTTTTGCTCCTAAAGGGAAATTGAAAACTATTCAGTGTGAGTGGACAGTTTATGCTCCACATCACAGAAATCCCACTCCATAGTGGTTTGAGGGGAAAAAATAAGGGGGAGGATGGTTATTGGTTCACATAATTGAAATCCAGGGGATACTGACTTCAGGCACAGCTCAATCCAGGGGGCTCAAATATTATCAGAACCCACTCTTGTTTCTTCTCATTACGTTGCTATTCACAATGTTGGCTTCATTCTCAGGCTCAGTGTGGCGCCAAAATGGCTGCCAACAGAGTCAGGCCTATATCCTCCCAGGTTCAGGTCCAGCAGAAAACGCCATGTGCCTCTGTTGTGACAGTCACAGCAAAAGACTCACCACATCTTATTGGCTTGGGCTGAGTCATGTTCCATCCCCAGGCCAACCACTGTAGCCAAGTGAATGTAATAACTTGATTGGCCTGGCTGAACTCATGCGGTCAGTGGAGCTAGGTGTGAAATAAACCTTACCCAACATACATTGACTAAATGTGGGACAGGGATGATTCTCCAGAAAATTGTATTATTATTTCCCAATGCTGAGTAGCCAAAAATCAATGCATATAAAACCATGCACATGTGTTTATTCAATGACCAATTAAGATACTGATAAGACAGGATCTGCACCATACACTGGAGATGCAATGATAAATTAATTACAGTCCCCATGCATCTTGTGATGGGCCAGGACCACTGCAGGTCAACAAGGTCATCAGCCAGGAGGAATACCAGGCCACAGAGAGGAGGACAGCAAGGATAAATGGAACCCGCCAGCACCTCTGCATCTGTCTGTCACATCCAACCCTGAGAATCTTCAGAGAATAATGGTGGCTGCTTCACTTCTACCTTCCAAACGTTGTGCAAATTATTCTCTGGACCAATTCTAACTTGAGACCACTCAGAGAAGGGGATTCTGGGAAACATAACTCCAGCCTAAGCAAGTTGATGTAGTTCAAACCACAACAGAATCCATTTGCTGCTATCGCCAGAGTTGAACCATCCAATACTCTGAATAAAGTATGTTTGTCAACTTAGCATCTGGCAAACACTTAATGTTTTGTATGAAATCACAACATAATTTTAGGGTCCTCTTCTATCTAAATACTCAGAATAATTTTAGATAGCCACCAAACACTTGTTGTCATTTGCAACCACCTGTAATTATGAATTAGGATCTACAAAAATAAAAAGTGTGAAAACCACTTAAAAATGACTTGTTGTGAAACAGATGTATCCAATAGACCCAGATATAGAAGTTGTAAATGATTAACTTCAAATAATATTTTCTCATTACTGATATTAAAATGATTAATAAGTTTAAGATATTATGCTTTATTTTTATTTCTAAAAATTTGATAAGTCTTTTGAAACATGTACCTAAAATTGGCTATCTTCTTGCCCACCTAACATCCATTCAGTTGCCTGTGGATGCTGAACTCAAGAAATACTAGTCTAAAGTTCCTATAAAAGACTCAAGAAACGTGGCCACATCTTTGTTCCAGAATTCTAAGATGTAGGCAAACTGTTTGTCTTCCAGCAACTTGCCATCCTTCTTCTGTATATAATTGTTTTTTGTATTTTCTTTCCTTTCTTTCTTTCTTCTATTTCCTTTGGCTGTGGTTGTTTACCATGGTTTGACTTTGTAATGGAATGTCTCCTTTTGCCCTATTCCATTACAGCTCTCTGATTCAGACGGGGTCAATCCCATCAGGAGCCTCAGCTCTCCATCCATGAAGCCACGAGAACCGAAACTTCAGGAACGCATGATCTGCTATGATGCCGTACGACTGCTTGGAATACACCTCTCCCCGCCCAGTGCTGATTTTTCACTGTAGGATGCTGTGGGTGTCTTTCATGAGCAAAGGTGATAAGGAGGGATAGTGTGTTTGGTATAATAAAGAAGATGCATTTTGAACCCAGGACATCCATGCGGGGAGCTGGAGGCACTTCTAGGCCACAAGACACCAACAGTCACATTTAGGAAAGAGAGCATAGGGAAGCAGGGCAAATTGCATATACAAAGCTCATTCATTGTTAAAAAGCAATAAAGGACAATGTGTTTCAAAGCCCAAAGCCAATACCAGAGGTGAAATGTTTCCCAAAAGGGCTTCATTGACCCAGGAGTCAGCTTCCTGGGTTTGAACCTCAGCTCCAATATTGACCAGTAGTAAAACAAAACAAAACAACTTACTTAACCTCTCCAAGATTGTTTCCTCAACCGTAGGATGGGGATAAGAATACCTACTCATATGATGAGTTAATGGGTGCAGCACACCAACATGGCACATGTATACATATGTAACAAACCTGCACGTTGTGCACATGTACCCTAAAACTTAAAGTATAATAATAAAAAAAAAGAATACCTATTCATAGAGTTATTGGCAAGATTCAAGTAACGTGACTAGAACAATTTGTGGCATATAGAAAGCTTTAACCAATGGTGGTGGTGGTAGTATCAGAAAATGTTGTTGTTGTTTTTGTTGTTGTCAGCCAATGAGGAAGGAGAGTTGCAAAGATCTGTGTGCCAGTACCCAAGAGGGCTAACTGCTTGATCTATTGTAACGAATATGGCATGCCCTTGCAGAGGGCAGTCTAGCAATGGAAGCTGATGATTAACCAGTTAATCACAGTATGAAAGGGGTTGAAATGGGGAAGAGGGTCAGTAAGAGTGCTGTAAGACTATAGAGGAAGGGTACTGTGTAGGGTGGTAGGAGGTCTCTAAAGACTTCCTTGGGCTGGGCGCGATGGCTCACACCTGTAATCCCAGCACTTTGGGAGGCCGAGGCAGGTGGATCATTTGAGGTCAGAAGTTCAAGACCAGCCTGGCCAACATGGTGAAACCCTGTCTTTACTAAAAATATAAAAATTAGCAGGGCATGGTGGCACACGCCTGTAATCCCAGCTACTCAGGAGGCTGAGGCAGGAGAATTGCTTGAGCCTGGGAGGTGGAGGTTGCGATGAGCTGAGATCGGGCCACTGCACTCCAGTCTGAGCGAGAGAGTGAGATGCTGTCTCCAAAAAAAAAAAAAAAAAGACTTCCTTGAAGTGGCAACATCTCAGCTGAGCCCTGAAGGGTTAAGAGTTTGCCAGTTAGGGAGGCTTCTAAGATGGCCAAATAGGAACAGCTCTGGTCTGCAGCTCCCAGCAAGATCGACGCAGAAGATGGGTGATTTCTGCATTTCCAACTGAGGTATCTGGTTCATCTCATTGGGACTGGTTGGACAGTGGGTGCAGCCCACAGAGGGCGAGCCGAAGCAGGGCAGGGCATTGCCTCACCCAGGAAGCGCAAAGGGTCAGGGGATTTCCCTTTCCTAGCCAAGGGAAGCCGTGACAGTCTGTACCTGGAGGAACAGTACACTCCTGCTCAAATACTGTGCTTTTCCCATGGTCTTCACAACTGGCAGAACCAGGAAATTCCCTCCTGTGCCTGGCTTGGTGGGTCCCATGCCCACAGAGCCTTGCTCATTGCTAGCACAGCAGTCTGAGATCGACTTGAGATGCTGCAGCTTGGCGGGGGGTGGGGTGTCACCATTGCTAAGGCTTAAGTAGGTGGCTTTGTGCTCACAGTGTAACCAAAGAGGCCAGGAAGCTCGAACTGGGCGGAGCCCACTGCAGCTCAGCAAGGCCTACTGCCTCTCTAGATTCCACCTCTGTGGGCAGGGCATATCAGAACAAAAGGCAGCAGACAGCTTCGGCAGACCTAGACATCCCTGTCTGACAGCTCTGAAGAGAGCAGTAGTTCTTCCAGCATGGCATTTGAGCTCTGAGAATGGACAGACTGCTTCCTCAAGTGGGTCCCTGACCCCCGTGTAGCCTGACTGGGAGACACCTCCCAGTAGGGGCCGACAGACACCTCATACAGGCAGGAGGCCCCTCTGGGATGAAGCTTCCAAAAGAAGGATCAGGCAGCAATATTTGCTGTTCTGTAGCCTCCGCTGGTGATACCCAGGCAGACAGGGTCTGGAGTAGACCTCCAGCAAACTCCAACAGACCTGCAGCTGAGGGGCCCGACTGTTAGAAGGAAAACTAACAAACAGAAAGAAATAGCATCAACATCAACAAAAAGCACATCCACACCAAAACCCCATCTGTAGGTCACCAACAATGAAGACCAAAGGTAGATAAAACCACAAAGATGGAGAAAAACCAGAGCAGAAAAGCTGAAAATTCCAAAAACCAAAGCACTTCTCCTCCAAAGGATCACAGCTCCTCAGCAGCAATGAAACAAAACTGGTCAGAGAATGAGTTTGACAAGTTGACAGAAGTAGGCTTCAGAAAGTCAGTAATAACAAACTTCTTCGAGCTAAAGGAGCATGTTCTAACCCATTGCAAGGAAGCTAAAAACCTTGAAAAAAGGTTAGACAAATGGCTAACTAGAATAAACAGTGTAGAGAAGACCTTAAATGACCCGATGGAGCTGAAAACCACAGCATGAGAACTTCGTGACACATGAGCAAGCTTCAACAGCCGATTCAATCAAGTGAAAGAAAGGATATCAGTGATTGAAGATCAAATTAATTAAATAAAGCGAGAAGACAATATTAGAGAAAAAAAAGTGAAAAGAAATGAACAAAGCCTCCAAGAAATATAGGACTATGTGAAAAAAACAAATCTACATTTAATTGGTGTTCCTGAAAGTGACAGGGAGAATAAAACCAAGTTGGAAAACACTCTTCAGGATATTATCCAGGAGAACTTCCCCAACCTGGCAAGGCAAGCCAACATTCAAATTCAGGAAATACAGAGAACACCCATAGATACTCCTCGAGAAGAGCAACCCCAAGATACATAATTGTCAGATTCACCAAGGTTGAAATGAAGGAAAAAATGTTAAGGGCAGCCAGAGAGAAAGGTCAGGTTACCCACAAAGGGAAGCCCATCAGACTAACAGCGGAACTCTCGGCAGAAACCCTACAAGCCAGAAGAGAGTGGGGGCCAACATTCAACATTCTTAAAGAAAAGATTTTTCAACCCAGAATTTCACATCCAGCCAAACTAAGCTTCATAAGTGAAGGAGAAATAAAATCCTTTACAGACAAACTGAGAGATTTAGTCACCACCAGGCCTGCCTTACAAGAGTTACGGAAGGAAGAACTAAACATGGAAAGGAGCAACTGGTACCAGACACTGCAAAAACATGACAAATTGTAAAGACCATTGATGCTATGAAGAAAATGCATCAATTAATGGGCAAAATAACCAGCTAACATCATAATGACAGGATCAAATTCACACATAACAATATTAACCTTAAATGTAAGTGGGCTAAATGCCCCGATTAAGAAACACAGACTGGCAAATTGGATAAAGAGTCAAGACCAATTGGTGTGCTGTATTCAGGAGACCCATCTCACGTGCAAAGACACACATAGGCTCAAAATAAAGGGACGGAGGAAGATCTACCACGCAAGTGGAAAGCAAAAAAACAGCAGGGGTTGCAATCCTGGTCTCTGATAAAACAGACTTTAAACTCACAAAGATCAAAAGAGACAAAGAAGGCCTTTACATTACATAATGGTAAAATGATCAATTCAACAAGAAGAGCTAACTATCTTAAATAAAAATGCACCCAATACAGGAGCACCTGGATTCATAAAGCAAGTCTTTAGAGACCTACAAAGAGACTTAGACTCCTGCACAATAATAATGGGAGATTTTTAACACCCCACTGTAAATATTAGACAGATCAACGAGACAGAAGGTTAACAAGGATATCCAGGACTTGAACTCAACTCTGCACCAAGTAGACCTAATAGACATCTACAGAACTCTCCAACCCAAATCAACAGAATATACATTCTTCTGAGCACCACATCACACTTATTCCAAAATTGACCACATAATTGGAAGTAAAACACTTCTCAGCAAGTGCAAAACAAGAGAAATCACAACAAACTGTCTCTCGGACCACAGTGCAATCAAACTAGAACTCAGGATTAAGAAACTCACTCAAAACCACACAACTACATGGAAACTGGACAACCTGCTCCTGAATGACTACTGGGTACATAATGAAGTGAAGGCAGAAATAAAGATGTTCTTTGAAACGAATGAGAACAAAGACACAATGTACCAGAATCTCTGGGACACATTTAAAGCAGTGTGTAGAGGGAAATGTATAGCACTAAATACCCACAAGAGAAAGCAGGAAAGATCTAAAATTGACACCCTAACAACACAATTAAAAGAACTAGAGAAGCAAGAGCAAACAAATTCAAAAGCTAGCAGAAAGCAAGAAATAACTAAGATCAGAGCAGAATTGAAGGAGATAGAGACACAAAAAAAACCTTTCAAAAAATCAATGAATCCAGGAGCTGATTGTTTGAAAAGATAAACAAAATAGACCGCTAGCAAGACTAATAAAAAAGAAAAGAGAGAAGAATCAAATAGACACAATAAAAAATGATAAAGGGGATATAACCACTGATCCCACAGAAATACAAACTACCATCAGAGAATACTATAAACACCTCTTTGCAAATAAACTAGAAAATCTAGAAGAAATGGATAAATTCCTGGACACATACACCCTCCCAAGAATAAACCAGGAAGAAGTTGAATCTCTGAATAGACCAATAACAGGTTCTGAAATTGAGGCAATAATTAATAGCCTACCAACCAAAAAACATCTAGGACCAGACAGATTCACAGCCAAATTCTATCAGAGGTACAAGGAGGAGCTGCTACCAGTCCTTCTGAAGCTATTTCAATCAATAGAAGAAGAGGGAATCCTCCCTAACTCATTATGTAAGGCCAGCATCATCCTGATACCAAAGCCTGACAGAGACACAACAAAAAAAGAGAATTTTAGGCTAATATCCCTGATGAACATCGATGCAAAAATCCTCAATAAAATACTGGCAAACTGAATCCAGACACACATCAAAAAGCTTATCCACCACGATCAAGTCAGCTTCATCCCTAGGATGCAAGGCTGGCTCAATATATGCAAATCAATAAACGTAATCCATCACGTAAACAGAACCAAGGACAAAAACCACATGATTATCTCAACAGATGCAGAAAAGGCCTTTGACCAAATTCAACAGCCCTTCATGCTAAAAACTCTCAATAAACTAGGTATTGATGGAACATACCTCAAAATAATAACAGCTATTTATGACAAACCCACAGCCAATATCATACTGAGTGGGCAAAAACTGGAAGCATTCCCTTTGAAAACTGGCACAAGACAAGGATGCCCTCGCTCACCATTCCTATTCAATGTAGTTTTGGAAGTTCTGGCCAGGGCAATCAGGCAAGAGAAGGAAATAAAGCGTATTCAATCGGGAAAAGAGGAAGTCAAATTGTCTCTGTTTGCAAATGACATGATTGTATATTTAGAAAACCCCAACGTCTCAGCCCCAAATCTCCTTAAGCTGGTAAGCAACTTCAGCAAAGTCTCAGGATACAAAATCAATGTGCGAAAATCACAAGCATTCCTATACACCAACAACACACAAACAGAGAGCCAAATCATGAGTGAACTCCCATTCACAATTGCTGTAAAGAGAATAAAATACCTAGGAATCCAGCTTACAAGGGAAGTGAAGGTCCTCTTCAAGGAGAACTACAAACCACTGCTCAATGCAATAAAAGAGGACACAAACAAATGGAAGAACATTCCATGCTCATGAATAGGAAGACTCAATATTGTGAAAATGGCCATACTGCCCAAGGTAATTTACAGATTCAATGCCATCCCCATCAAGCTACCAATGACTTTCTTCACAGAATTGGAAAAAACTACTTTAAAGTTCATATGGAACCAAAAAAGAGCCCACATAGCCAAGACAATCCTAGGCAAAAAGAACAAAGCTGGAAGCATCACGCTACCTGACTTCAAACTATACTACAAGGCTACAGTAACCAAAACAGCATGGTACTGGTACCAAAACAGAGATATAGACCAATGGAAGAGAACAGAGGCCTCAAAAATAACACTACACATCTACAACCACCTATCTTTGACAAATCTGACAAAAACAAGCAATGGGGAAAGGATTCCCTATTTAATAAATGGTGTTGGGAAACGTGGCTAGCCATATGTAGAAAGCTGAAACTGGATCCCTTCCTTACATCTTATACAAAAATTAACTCAAGATGGATTAAAGACTTAAATGTAAGACCTAAAACCATAAAAACCCTAGAAGAAAACGTAGGAAATACCATTCAGGACATAGGCATGGGCAAAGACTTCATGACTAAAACACCAAAAGCAATGGCAACAAAAGCCAAAATTGACAAATGGGACCTAATTAAACTAAAGAGCTTCTGCACAGCAAAAGAAACTATAATCAGAATGAACAGGCAACCTACAGAATGGGAGAAAATTTTTGCAATCTACCTGTCTGACAAAGGGCTAATATCCAGAATCTACAAAGAACTTAGACAAATGTACAAGAAAAAAACAAACAACCCCATCCAAAAGTGGGCAAAGGATATGAACAGACACTTCTCAAACAAGACATTGATGCAGCCAACAGACATGAAAAAATGCTTCTCATCACTGGTCATCAGAGAAATGCAAATCAAAACCACAATGAGATACCATCTCATGTCAGTTAGAATGGTGATCATTAAGAAGTCAGGAAACAACAGATGCTGGAGAGGATCTGCAGAAATGGGAACACTTTTACACTGTTGGTGGGAGTGTAAATTAGTTCAACCATTGTGGAAGACCGTGTGGTGATTCCTCAAGGATCTAGAACCAGAATTACCATTTGACTCAGCGATTCCATTACTGGGTATATACTCAAAGGATTATAAATCATGCTACTATAAAGACACATGGATAGGTATGTTTATTGTGGCACTACTCACAATAGCAAAGACTTGGAACCAACCCAAATGTCCATCAATGTTAGACTGGATTAAGAAAATATGGCACATATACACCATGGAATACTATGCAGCCATAAAAAAAGGATGAGTTCATGTCCTTTGCAGAGACGTGGATGAAGCTGGAAACTATCATTCCCAGCAAACTATCACAAGGACAGAAAACCAAACACCACATGTTCTCACTCATACATGGGAGTTGAACAATGACAACACATGGACACAGGGTGGGGAACATCACACACTGGGGCCTGTCGGGGGGTGGGAGGCTGGGGGAGGGATAGCATTAGGAGAAATACCTAATGTAAATGACAAGTTGATGGGTGCAGCAAACCAACATGGCACATGTATACCTATGTAACAAACCTGTACATTGTGCACATGTACCCTAGAACTTAAAGTATAATTTTAAAAAAAAAAGAGTTTGCCAGTTAAAGAGCAGCATGGTGGAAGTAAGAAATGAGGATAAATCAGATGGTGATTGGAGGTTTATATGAGGTCAAGGAAGAGTTTTTCTTTATGCAAGTGACATTGGGCTTACCAATGGGGGAAAAGCTTAAACAATGGATGAAGAAAGAAAAGAAATACCAAAAAGTTGAAGGTTGCAAAGGAGCAGAGGGTGAAGTAGGGGAAACATGCTATGTACCTACATCAGAAACAGGATGTGCCCCTGGCACATTTTAAAATGGAGGCTGGACACGGTGGCTCACATCTGTGATCCCAGCACTTTGGGAGGCCAAGGCGGGCAGATCACTTGAGGCCAGGAGTTCAAGACCAGCCTGGCCAACACAGCGAAACTCCACTCTACCAAAAATACAAAAATTAGCCAGGCATGGTGGTGCGTGCCTGTAATCCCAGCTATTCAGGAGGCTGAGGCAGGAGGATCACTTGAACCTGGGAGGCGGAAGTTGCAGTGAGCTGAGATCATGCCACTGCCCTCCAGCCTGGGTGACAGAGTGAGACCCCGTTTTGAAAAACTCAATAAATAAAATAAAATAAAAATAAAAATAAAAATGGAGAAATGGGGCCAGAAGGTAGATCCAAGGTTATCCATGGAGATGATGGCAGAGGTAGAATTAGAAATGGTTTGGGCCAGATGTGGCGGCTCACACCTATAATTCCAGCATTTTGGGAGGCAAAGGCAAGAGGATTGCTTGAGCCCAGGAATTCAAGACCAGCTTGGACAACACAGTGAGACCGCATGTCTACAAAAAATTAAACAATTAGCTAGGCATGGTGGCACATGCCTATGGTTCCAGCTGCACAGGAGGTGGAAGTGAGAGGATTACTTGAGCCCAGGAGGTCAAGGCTGCAGTGAGCTATGATCACACCACTGCACTCCAGCCTGGGTGACAGAGCAAGACTCTGTCTCAAAAAAAAAGTAGTCCGGGGGCTGTTTGGTGTGGTGTCCTTTATGCAGAAGGCAGATGGTTAACAAGGACTTATGAGGTTTTTAGCAGATGAAGGCACACTGTGCACCAGATGGAAAAATAAGTCCCAGCATTGCTAGAATCCCAGGGGTAGAGACAGAGGAGGTCATAGAAGGTGGGATCAGGGCAGTAATCTCTCAAACTTGGATACTCTTACATACTGATCATGGGTAATGAAATTTGACATCAAAATGCTCTGACCTGTATCTATTAAGCATTTATTATATGCCAAGTGTTTCAGTTATCTATTGCCGCATAACAAACTGCCCCAGAACTTAGTGGCTTAAAACAACTACTTTAATATTATTTATTTATTTATTTATTTATTTATTTATTTATTTATTTATTTATTTTTAGAGAGAAATTCTTGCTGCACTGCTCAGGCTGGACTAGAACTTCTGGGCTCAAGCAATCCTCCCACCTCAGTCCTACTTTATTATATCTTACACTTCTGTGGGCAGTAATGTGGGCAGGGCTTGGCTGGGCAATTCAGTTCTGTTTCATGTGGCATCAGCTGAGGTTACTCAGTGGTAGCCAGCTGGTGGCTGGGCTTTTTTGGAGGGCCTAAGCCAGCCTCATTCACATGTCTGGTACCTTGGAGGGAATGGTTGAATGGCTGCATTCAGCTGGGACTGTTGATCATGGCACCTACACGGGGCCTTTCCCACATGGTGCTCTCAGGTGAGTCAGACTTCTTACGTGGTGGGGTAGGGCTCCCAGAGACCATGTGCCAAGACACCTCGGTGAAAGCTGTGAGGTTTCTTAGGACCCAGCTTCAGAAGTCCCAGAATGTCATTTCTGCTTTACTCTACTCACCAGTCAAGCCACCCAGGCTGGTCCAGGCCCAAGGAGAGGGGAGCTAGACTCTAACTCTCAAGCAGAAGAGTAGCAAAGAATTTGCATCATCTTTAATCCACCACATCAAATAAGTGCTGTGCATGTGTGACCTTGCATAGTCCTCTCAACAGGACTATGATAAGTGCTTTTATCACCCCCATTTAAGAGATGAGGGAATTAAGATACAATGAGGTTTGGAAACCTGGCTAAGCTCATGCAGCTATGAGAACTGGATTCAACCCAAGCAGCCTGACTCCTGGGTATGTTATGTATCAGTATTCTATGGCAAGCAAGATAGAAACTGCCTGTATCCTACCATCAAGTTTGAAAAGAACTGTCTCTTTAGAATGTTACAGCAGGAGGTACCTTAGCAGTCTCCTAAGGCAAGGCCTTCATTTACAAGATGAAGAAATGCATGCCCTGGCTGTCTAAGTAACCACTCTTTTGTGCAGCATCCTGTCCTGGTGGAGATCCTTTGAGTAACGAGAGCATCTGTTGGTTTATCTCATTTTGGCAAATGAAGAAATGGCCTCAGAAATTTTAAATGATTTCTGCTAGACTACACAGCGAGAGTACAACTGAGCCAGAATCTGAAGACCCATTCCAAATTCCATGTTCTTCCCACTACTCTGGGCTGCCTCAACATAACAGAGATTAGAAGAGGCACTAGGATGTCCAGAAATGAGGATGAAAGCTTGGATTTTTCCTAGGATCCAAATATGCACCTCCTACCAGATAGTTGCTACCTGGTGTAGGGTTCACTGAGATCTTCTTTCCAGATCTAAAATTAGCATTTTTGCCCCCTGGAAAACCACAGGGCTCTAATCCAGACTATAAATGGCTTAGCTTGAGTTCCTCCCACCCCCTGAAAGTAGAGCCTAAGACAAGGAATCAGGTATAGATGGTTCATCTGGGATCTGATCCCAGGAAGCAAGACACTCAGGAGTGCGAGAGAAGGAGGAATAGGCAAATAAGGACCCATCAACAAGGTCACAAGTGTGGGTGTCGGGGCAGATCCCATCAGAACCTTCTGCAAAGTGGATAGCATGACTCAGAGTGGTCCACTAAAGTACAGCAGCCACGGCCACAACTGGAATCAGAGGTGAGGCTCTGTGGATGTGAGTCAGGACCCCAGAGGTGTCTGAGCCCACTGAGAAAGGAACCTTTAATCCGAGATCAGAAGGATGAATCAGAATCAGAGGAAAGGAAGCAGGGAGAGAAAGGCGAATGTTCTGTTCAGAAAAAATAGGATGTTCAAGGGTAGGAGAGCAGGGCCCTTTTGTAGAACTAGGGGAAAAAATTACCTGAGGCTGGAATAGAGACAGCAAGAGAGGAGGTGAACAAATGGTGGGAAATGGAGCTTGGGGGGCCTATAAAGCAAGTTGAAGCTTCATCTGAAGGGCAACAGGAGCCACTGAAAAGTTTTTAATAGGGGAGAGAATGCTCAGATTTTCATTTCTAAAAATGGTTATACTGTCCCCTCCGCAGGTGGACCCCCTGCTGCTTTTCCAAAGAAAATGCAAGCATCAAAGTAGCAAACCAAACTTTTATGGCAACATATAGCATATATGGTCTGCACACATGGGGCCTTCAAATACCAAGAGATTCTTCTACTGATGCAAATATTGCCTACAGATCCTGTTCAGGTTGGAGGACCTGAGCCCAAGGCCCCTCCCAACACAGGTGTCTAGAAATGAGACAAATGTGGTTTTGATCCATGACAATGTTAGGAAACTGAAAGGAGTTTCCTTATGAATAAGAAATCTTGAAAATTCCCTGAAATATGCCAGGCAGTCAAATCAGAGTTTAAAAGGATCCCTATACTGAAGCTCACGTGGGCAAACACTCTTGCATAAAAATGGGAGATGGGAGGTGGCTCCAAGAATAGTCAAAGCCTTGAAGTAGGCCAGACATGGTGGCTCACACCTGTAATCCCAGCACTCTGGGAAGCCGATGTGGGTGGATCACTTGAGGTCAGAAGTTCAAGACTAGCCTAGCCAACATGGTGAAACCCCATCTCTACTGAAAATACAAAAATTAGCTGGGCATGGTACGACACGCCTGTAATCCCAGCTACTCAAGAGGCTGAGGCAGGAGAATCACTTGAACCCAGGGGGGTGGAGGCTGCAGTGAGCCAAGATCACACCACTGCACTCCAACCTGGGCAACAGACTGAGACTCCTTCTCAAAAACAAAAAACAAAAAACAAAAAAACCCATGGATTGCTGGGGCCCACCCCATGAGCTTCTGATTCATTTGGTCTGGGTTTTCATTTCTCACAAGATCCCAAGAGAGGTTGATGCTGCTGGCTCAGGGATCACACTTGAAGAAGCACTGCTCTACTGATGACATTTGCAATTTTAAGTAATAAACAGCTATTTCTCGTTTCATCAAGTTTTGCAATCTCTTGACCCACCAATTTAAAAGATTAAGATACTAAGAAAACTCCTCTTATTCTACTTTTACTTTTATGTAATCAAATTTAATGACATTTGCATTTTATGCTATCACCATAGTTCTGATTTTGGCTCAGTCGTAAATACTGAAAATCAATAAATAGTGCTAATTTTATTATGGCTTCATGATTATTGCTCACAGTTGGGCCAAAACATGTGTCATGATTATATATCCTCCTCTATAGTTGCAAAGTTAAAGTCCAGGAATATGCAACTTCTACTTCAGATAGAATATTTCTAGGATCAACATTCTTTTCTTCTTTATGCTCTTCTACTTACTCAAAACCCTACCATTTTAAGTTTTGGTATGCTGTGTTTCCATTTTCATTTGCCTTAAGAAATTTTTAAATTTCCCTTTGAATTATTTCATTGACCCATTGAAGGTCTCACACTGAAGGTCTCACACCATTAAGTAAAAGTTCAGTCCTAAAACTATACACATCATAAGTTCTCAAAACTCATTGTCTAAAACTGGTCATGTAACCAGGCACAGTGGCTCATGCCTGTAACCCCAGCACTTTGGGAGGCTAAGGTGGGCAGATCACCTGAGGCCAGGAGTTCAAGACCAGCCTGGCCAAAATGGTGAAACCCTGTCTCTACTAACAATATAAAAATTATCCGGATGTGGTGATGGGTGCCTGTAATCACAGCTACTCGGGAGGCTGAGGCAGGAGAATCACTTGAACCTGGGAGGCAGAGGTTGCAGTGAGCTGAAATCACGCCACTGCACTCCAGCAGCAACAGAGTGAGACTCCATCTCCAAAAAACAAAAATCAAAAAGCCTTGAGGTAGAAGAGCCTGGGAGCAGTAGTAGCTCTGCATACCTGAAGGGAGATGAGCTGGGGCACCAACGTAGCAACTGTGAGGTCAACATTGCCCTTTGGACTAAGCAGCAACAGAGCAATAGAGGTGTCTGCCCCCATGTAGAAGCCAGGAGTATGAGCCTTTAGGACCCAGAGCTAAAATAGTGTTCCAGGGGACTGGTAACATCAAGAAAGAATGAGGAGCTCCCTCCCCATGAAATGCCTCCCTGGCTGCTCTATGTCTGACTCTCACCCTGTCTCCTGGAGGTAGACTGCAATAAACAATCAAAGACAGGCTAACGGGGATCCCCCAAAACAAAGATCATTCTTCAGTTAAGACTCACTAAGCAATTGTGGAAATCTATCTCTGTGTAACAGACATCATCCTCTTACCAAATACAGAACTTGCACCTGAGGAAATAGAGCTGATAGCTGAGCTGGGCTGAATAATTAAATTATCAGGGAGAGGTAAGATTACCATATGCAAACATTGTGAATGATTATTTATTTATTTATTAAAACAGGGTCTCACTCTGTCACCTAGGCTAGAGTACATTGATGTGATCACAGCTCACTGAAGCCTCAACCTCCATGGCTCAAGCAACTCTCCTGCTTCAGCCTCCCAAGTAGCTGGGACTACAGGTATGCACTACCACACCCAGATAATTTTTGTATTTTTTGCAGACATGGGGCTTTGCCATGTTGCCCAGGCTGATCATGAACTCCTGGGCTCAAGCAATCTGCCTGCTTCAGCCTCCCAAAGTGCTGGGACTACAAGCGTGAGCTGCTGCAGCTAGCCATGAATGATTTCTATTTGGGAAGTTAATTTAAAATTTGATAATTTAAAACATTCAACATATAAGCTGAGTAGTAATAGAATGGACTGCCAAAGAGAAAATGTGTGAGTTGTAAAATCAAGCCAAGGAAACTTTCAGAATATAACTAAGATTTTTATTTTTTCAGATTTTTATTTATTTATTTATTTATTTAGAGATGAAGCCTCACGCTGTCGCCCAGGCTGGAGTACAGTGACATGAACTTGACTCACTGCAACCTCCACCTCCTGGGTTCAAGAGAGTCTCATGCCTCAGCCTCCCGGGTACCTGGGATTACAGGCGCCTGCCACCATGCCCAACTAATTTTTATATTTTTAGTAGAGATGGGGTTTCACCATGTTGGCCAGGCTGGTCTCGAACTCCTAACCTCAAGTCATCCACTTGCCTCAGCCTCCCAAAGTGCTGGGATTACAGGCACGACCCACCACACCTGGTCAGATTTTTAAAATGTAAAACAGAAGTTAAAGTGATGTATAATATAAATTGGACTTAGCCAGAATTTAAATCTTCTGCTCTTCAAAAGACACTGTTAAGAAAATAAAAATACTAGCCTAGACTTGGAGAAAATGTTTGCAAAACATGTATCTATTAAAAGACTTGTACTCAGAATATGTAAAGAACTCTCAAAACTCAATGATAAGAAAAGAAAAAGAGGCAACTCAATAAAAATATGCAAAAGATATGAATAAACACTTAACTAATAAAGACATATAGATGGCAAACAAAAACATGAAAATATACTCAATATTATTAGTTATTAGGGAAATACAAATTAAAACCATAAGAGACTTAATACCACTACAGGCCTATTAGTATGACAAAAATTAAAAAGACTGACCATACCAAGTACTGGTGAAGATGTTGGGGAACTGGAACTCTCATACACTACTGGTAGGAAGGTAAAATGGTGCAACCACTTTGGAAAACAGCTTAATGGTTTCTTTAAAAGTTAGACATGTACCTACAATATAATTTAGTCATTTCATTCTTAGGTTTTTATCCAAAAGAAAAGAAAATACATGTCATACAGAGACTTGTCTACAAACATTCACATCAACTTGATTTTTAATAGCCCAAAAGTGCAAACATCTATAGATGTCCATATGTAGATGAACAGATAAACAAATTGTGGCATATTCATACAATGGAATAACTACTCAACAATATAAAGGAATAAACAAGCAATAACATGAATGAATCTCAAAATAATTTTGCTGAGTGAAAGAAACACAGAAAAATAGTACATATTGTATTATTTCATTTATATAAAATTCTAGAAAATGTAACTAATCTATAGTGACAGAAAGCAGATCAGTGGTTGCCTGGGATCAGGAGTGGGAGGGACAGGTGGGATGGCAGAATGGAATTACAAAAGGCAAGAGGAAACTTTTGAGAGTATTAGATATGCTCACCATCATGATTGTAGTGATGGTTTCCCAGGTACAGACATATGTCAAAACTTATCAAATAGTATCCTTTAAATATGTACACCTTATTGTACATTAGTTGTACCTTAATAAGGCTGTTACCGTGTAAATGTGTGTGTGTGTGTGTGTGTGTGTGTGTGTGTATCGGTATGTCTCAATTTTATTTGGCCATGACTCTTCTCCCTGCTCACCTATTGCCCCAGTTTGCAGAGCCATGACATATGCAATGAGACAGACCTGGGGTGATCCTGGCTCCGCTGTCATCCTGGCCGTGTGCCCTTCAGTAAGCGATTTACACTTTCAGAGCCTTCATTTTTTTCCTTCAAAATGGAGTAGTAGTTGGGATTAAATTAGTGAATGTCAAATGCCTTTCACATAGTAGGTTCTTGAAAACTTTAGACCACCAATCACCCCAGAAACTGAAGCAGCCATATTTATGATTGCCCCAAAGACATTAACTTTATTTTTAGCTAAAGACACCAGCATGCAATCACCTTGGGTCCAAAGGTCCAGGGGAAAGATGTTGAAATGCTGAGCACTGCCCTGCAGGCCCATCTGCTCTGCATTAGCCCGCCTTCCTCTGTTTATTATTCCATGTGTTAAATCTCCTCCAATTCTTGTGTGAAAAGTTCGGGCGCACAATAACCTCTTTATCACATTTTCAAATTCTGGGCCTGTTCTGGAAAGTTTACACCTTTTTCTTGTTGCCATTGTTTTCATGTGGATTCAGATTTCTGAAAAAGGCATTTGGAGCACTTTGCTGAAAATATTTATGTGTAAAGCTTGATGAGACCAAATATTGCCAAAAAGTGAAAATTAGATGTCAGAGGAATTAGCACCATACCACGTGGGCCATGTGGTACAGCTGTGGCTGTGTGAGGAGAATCTGAGGCTCGGGTTGGTGGTTGAGAGCCTGTGGCTGGGCAATACTCTTAGCCGCTCTCCTTCGGGGAATAAATTCAATAATACTGAAAAGAATAACAGAAACATGCCAATGTTGGAGTAGAGAATAAAAAGGTCACATAACGCTGTAAAAATAAATGCATCATAACAATATTGCTTACCATTCATTGAGTATTATTTGTGTACCTTGCTTCACTAAGTGCTATTTTACTTAAACCTCACAACAAGCCTGTGAGTTAGGTATAGAATAAGCAAGGGTTCTCTTAGCCATAAGTGACAGGAAATCCACCTCAAACTGGCTTACAACATAAAGAACTTTTTATTGGATATGTAAATTTAAAGTGCAGATTTAGTTCTACCTTCAAGTGATACTTGATCCAGCAGCTCCAAAAGATATTTCCAAAGACCAAGACTCTTCCTCTTCTCTCTGCCTTCTTATTAGCTTTCTCTTCAGGCTTCATGGAGTCAGTTCAGATGTCCCAGGTTTCCCATGGTGGCAAAATGGCTGCAGCTGTTCCAGACCTCACATCCTTATAGAGAAAGAGAGAATAAATCCTGAAATTCACTCTCATTGGTCACAGATGGGTCATGTGTCCATTCCTAAACAGATCACCGTGGTGGGGAAGGGGAGGTGAGTAAGAAAGGTTGATTATATTAAGTCTTTGGGGTAGGGGCTGGGGAGGTAGTCCATACCCAGTAACTAGACGTCGGTCCAATCCCAAGCAAAGCCGCAGGCTAAGAAATGGGGAGAGGTAGCATCCCAAGGGAAAAAAGGGAAAGGGCTAATTACAAAAGGGAACTGGATGCTGGGGACACATCCAGTAAATGCCCACTTTAGTGTACTCATTCATTCATTCATTATTTAGAAATTGTCAAACACTATTTAGGAGCTGAGGACACATCAGGAAATAAAAAGCAAAAATCTCTACGGTAGATTCTGTTGATGCCCCCACTGCATGTCCCCTTGACACACCTGCAACTGTGTTGGACAGTTCCTATGCACAGGAACCGTGTCTAGCTCTCTGCTTCTTCGCCAGAAGGCTTTCTCTGCAGTGGGCAAGCTTGCTCAGCCCATGCACAAGTCAGTCTGGATGTACCAGAGGTTTAAGCCTCCCTACATTCAACAATGGGCAGGAGTTGGGGACAATACTCCAGTTTTTCTATCTCTAGGTAGGAAATGTATGAGAATTTCAGTTCAACAGGGCTTCTCAGAGGATCTCCAAAAATTGTTCACAGCACTAATAAGTTTACTAATGCCTCCTTTATTGATTTTACTTTCTTCTGTGGTTTTTCCCCCAGTTCCCTTTCTTATACCCTTCAGGATCATGTCCCAAATGAACAGCCAACACCATATCCCCTGTCTCAAGGGTCAGGTTTCAGTGGTCAGCTTTCAGATGGTCTCAAACTCAGACCATCGCTGCCTTCATGGGCTTACATTCTGGTGGCAGGAGGAGATGAATAATAAAATAAACAAGCAAACTATGTGATGTTATATTAAGATAGGTATTGTAGAGGAATATAAAGTAGAGAAGGGGATAGAGTGATGGGGTGGGTATGGGTGCAATCTTAAGGCCTTGAGGAAAACATTAGAGGTAAGTCAAGACCTAAAGAAGATGTAAGATTAAGCTGTGTTAACAGTCAGGTTAGGCTGTATTATGCTAAGATAACAAGCAACTCCCAGACAATAACGGCTTAAATGACAGAGGTATATTTCTCACTGAAACCACATGTTCATTGCAGGTCAGCTGGAACATTGCTCCACATGCATTCATTTAGTAACCACCTGAAGAAACATAGCTAGTTATCATGGCAGACAGAAAAAAAGAATTCTAGAAGGTCTCACTTTATCAAGTAAAAGTTCAGCCCTAAAGTTATACATATTATAAGTTCTCAAAACTCATTGTCTAAAACTGGTCATGTGGCCACGCACAGTGGCTCATGCCTATAATCTCAGCACTTTGGGAGGCTGAGGTGGGCGGATCACCTGCGGTAAGGAGTTCGAGACAAGCCTGGCCAACATGGTGAAACCCCATCTCTACTAAAAATGCAAAAATTAGCCAGGTGTGCTGGTACACGTCTATAATACCAGCTACTTGGGAGGCTGAGGCACAAGAATTGCTTGAACCCAGGAGGCAGAGGTTGCAGTGAGCTGAGATCGTGCCACTGTACTCTAGCCTAGGCGACAAAGTGAGACGCTGTCTCAAAAAAAAAAAGTAAAAAATAAAATAAAACCCACCAATCACAAGTGAAGGAGGTACAATTTACCAAGTGTCTGGTTGGCAGAGAGCTGAAAATAATCTGTGGACAGACCTACTAACACCACAGTCCACCCTTCTGGATCACCAAATATTCTGACAAAATATACACACCATTTCCCTAAGTGGAGAAAAACAATCATATCAAATTCAAAGTCCATGAAGGATACTTTGTCTCCACATCAGGTTCGATTATGATTTATCTTGATCCAGAGACCTATAAACTAAAAAGACAAGTTGTCTGAACCCAACATGCAAGACATGATATCTGGGTTTCAAAAAACAAACAAACAAACAAACAAACAAACATGACAAGCCATACTAAAATGCAAAAACGCAGTTTGAGGAAATAGAATAAGCATTAGAACCAGACAAACATCGCATACTCTCACTCATATGTGGGAGCTTAAAAAGTGTATTTCATGAAGATAGAGAGTAGATTGGTAGTTATCAGAGGCTGGGAAGGAGAGAGGGGGAATAGGGAGAGGTTGATTAATAGGTACAAATATACACTTTGATAAAAGAAATAAGACCCAATGTTTAATAGATAATTACGGTGACTATAGTTTACAATAATCTATTGTATATTTCAAAATAGCTAGAAAAGGCCAGGTGTGGTGGCTCATGCCTGTAATCCCAACATTTTGGGAGGATAAGGCAGAAGGATTGCTTGAGCCTGGGAGTTTGAGACCAGCCTGGGAAACATAGTGAAACTCTGTCTCTACAAAAAAAAAAAAAAAAAATTGTAAAAAGTAGCCAGGCATGGTGGTATGCACCTGTAGTCTCAGCTACTCAGGAGGCTAGGTGGGAGGATCACTTGAACCTGGGAGTTTGAGACTGTAGTGAGATATGTTCCACCATTGCACTCTAACCTGGGTGACAGAGTGAGACACCATCTATAAAAAAATGTTTAATTTTTTAAAAAAATTGCTAGAGAGAATAAGTGCTTCTAGCATACAGACAAAACAAATATTTAAGATGACAAATGTCTTAATTAGACTGATTTGATCATTACAAATTATATGAATGTATTAAATTATCACATATATCCCCAAAATATGTACATTTATGTATATTTTTTTTAATCTTTTTCTAAAAAGTGAAGGACAAGGGGTGCCCTGCATGCCAGCAGGGCACCCACCACTGAAGCCTGGGATACACCATCTGCCTACTCACCCATTCCCTCCACAGTACATGCCAGGTGCCCTGAGCCAACTACCCTCCTCCCCTCAAGATGTAGCACAATATTGGGCTAACCTGCTTGTGTTCATGGCTACACTGTTGATCATCCTGCTGCTGATGGTATGTGATGAGTGGGGCATCCATCGTATTTTGTATGGCATCTTTTTAAAATCTAAATTCAAGTTTCTGCAAGAACTGATGGGAGAAACAGAACCCCAAGAGGGAGATCAAGAGCCTTCGGGGTCTGAAACTGAAGAAGACACTTCATTCTCTCCACATCTGAATGATCAGATTCATTCACCAAAGGAGGGCACCTGCTGATGAAGGCCACTGACCCCAGACATAGTCTGTTATTGGTGAATGATGAAAGAAAATTGCTAGCCTCTGTCTTTAGTGACTTGGCTTTGAAATTTAATAAATGACTGAAGAACATTTGTACTTGGATTTTAAGTCCAAAAAAAGAAAAAAGAAAGACAAATAAAGACTCAAAGACTTTCTAAAACAAAAATTGAGAGAGTTTGTTACCAGTAGACCTACCTTGCAAGAAATTTTAAAAGAAGCTCTTCTGACAGAAGAAAATAATATAGGTCAGAAATTCAGATCTTCATAAAGAAAGGAAGGGCATTAGAGAAGGAATAAGTGAAGGTAAAATACAAAGTTTTCTTTTTCTTTTTCTTTTTTTTAGACAGAGTCTCGCTCTGTTGCCCAGGCTGCAGTGCAGTGGTGCAATCTTGGCTCACTGCAACCTCCGCCTCCCAGGTTCAAGTGATTCTTCTGCCTCAGCCTCCCAAGTAGCTGGGACTACAGGTGCACGCCACCACGCCTGGCTAATTTTTTTATTTTTAGTAGAGACAGGGTTTCACCATATTGGCCAGGCTGGTCTCGAACTCCTGACCTTGTGATCCACCCGCCTCAGCCTCCCAAAGTGCTGGGATTACAGGTGTGAGCCACCGCGCCTGGCCTATTTTTCTTATTCTGAATTGATCTGACAGATAACAGTTTGTTCAAAATAATAATAGCAAGGAGGTGGAGCAAGATGGCCAAATAGAAGCCTCCACCAATTGTCCTCAACGCAAGAATATAAAATTGAACAACTATCCACATACAAAAAAAATGCACCTCCATAAGAACCAAAAACCAGGTGAGTGATTATAGTACCTGGTTTTAACTTCATATCACTGAAAGAGACACTGAAGACAGTAGAAAAGACAGTCTTGAGTTGGCTATGCCATTCATCCCCCATTCTCAGCTCCAGCCACGAGGTATGGAGAGATAATCTGCACTTGAGGAAGGAACAGCACAGTGATTGTGGGACTTTGCATTGGAAATCAGTGCTTGCCTGTCACAGCAGAAAACAACACCAGGCAGAACTCAGGCAGCGACCACAGAGGGAGCATTTAGACCAGCCCCAGCCAGAGGGGAATCACCCATCCCAGCAGTCAGAACTTGGGTTCTGGCAAGTCTTGCCACCATGGGCTAAAGTGCTCTGTGATTCTAAATAAACTTGAGAGGCAGTCTACACCACAAGGCCTGCAATTTCTAGGCACGTCCTGGTGCTGTCTTGGACTTGGAGGCAGAGCAGTTGGGGGCCACATGACGCAGTGAAACACTAGCTAAGGGTGTCCAAGGGAGTGCTTACGCCAACCCTCCCTCAACCACAGGTAGTATAGCTGGCAGCTCTGGGAAAGACTCCTTCCTTCTGCTTTAGGAGCAGAGAGAGAAGAATAAAGAGGACTTTGCCTTGCAGTGTGGATGCCAGCGTAGCCACAGCAGGATAGGGCACAGGCAGAGTTCCCATTCCCTGAGGCTCCCATTCCAGGCCCTAGCTCCTGGATAATATTCCTAGATACTCCCTGGACCAGAAGGAAACCCACTGCCTTGAAGGGAAGGACCCAGTCCTGGCATCTCTCATCACCTGCTGAATAAAAAGCCCTTGGGGTCTGAAAAATCACCAGTGGCAGCCAGGCAGTACTCACCATGGGCCTTAAGGTGAGACTCAGAGATGTGCTGGCTTCAGGTATAACCCAGCACATTTGAAACTATAGCGGCTATGGGGAGAGATTCCTTCTGCTTGAGAAAAGGAGAGGTAAGAATAAAGGGGACTTTGTTTGCAGCTTACATACCACTTTGGCCACAGTTTGGTAGAGCACCAGGTAGGCTCATGGGGTTCCTGATTCCAGGCCTTGGCTTTTGGATGATATTTCTGGACCTGCTCTGGGCCAGAGGGGAGACCACTGCCCTGAAGGGAGAGTCCTAGGTCTAGAAGCATTCACTACAAGCTGACTGAAGAGCCCTTGGGTCTTGAGTGAATATCAGGGGTAGCCAGGCAGTACTCACCTGGGACAATGGTGGCCATGAGAAGAGACTCCTCTACTTGTAGAAAGGTGAGGGAAGAGTAGGATGTCATCTTGTAGCTTGGGTGCAAGCTCAGCCACAGTAACAGAACTCCAGGCCCTGGCTCCCAGGCGACATCTCTGGACCCACCTGGGAACAGGGGGAATGTGCTGCCCTGCAGAGAAGAACGCAAGCCTGGCTGGCTTTGCCACCTGCTAATGGTAGAGCCCTTAGGGCCTTGCACAAACATAGGTGGCAGCCAGGCAGAGGTTACTGAGGGCCTTGATTGAGACCCATTGCTGAGCTGGCTTCAGGCCTGACCAGCATAGTCCCAGTAGTTGTAATCATAGGGGTGCATATGTCACCCCACCCCCAGCTCCAGGCAGCTCAGCAGAGAGAGACTCCATTTGTTTGGGAGAAAGTAATGGAAGAGAACAAGAGTCTCTGCCTGGTAATCCAGTGAATCTTTCCAGATCTTATCTAAGAACACCAAGGCAGTACCTCTACAAGTCTGCAAAAGCCACAGCATTACTGGGCTTGGGGTGCCCCCTCATACAGATATGGCTGCTATGACCAAAAATTTAGATCACAATGCCCAAGTCCCTCTGAATACCTGGAAAGTCTTCTGAAGAAGGATGAGTACAAACAAGCCTAGATTTCGAAGACTACAATAAATACCCAACTCTTCAATGCCCAGATACCAACAAACTCCACAAGCATCAAGACCATCCAAGAAAACATTACTTCACCAATTGAGCTAAATAAGGCACCAGTGACCAATCAAGAAGAGACAGAAATATGTGACCTTTCAGACAAGAGAATTTAGAATTTTTGAGTAAACTCAATGAAATTCAAAATAACACAGGAAAGGAATTCAAAATCCTATCAGATAAAGTTAACAAAGAAATTGAAATAATTAAAAAGAATCAAGCAGAAATTCTAGAGTTAAAAAGGGCAAGGAACATACTGAAGAATAATATATCAGAGTCTCTCTTTTTTTTTTTTTTTTTTGAGATGGGGTCTCATTCTGTCACCCAGGTTGGAATGCAGTGGTGCAATCTTGGCTCACTGCAACCTTTACCTCCTGGGATCAAGTGACCCTCCCACTTCAGCCTCCTGAATAGTTGGGACCACAGGCACACACCACTATGCTTGGTTAATTTTTTGTATTTTTGGTAGAGACAGGATTTCACCATGTTGCCCAGGCTGGTCTTGAACTCATAAATTCAAGTGATCTACCTGCCTTGGCTTCCCAAAGTGCTGGGATTACAGATATGAGCCACAGTACCCAGCCTATCAGAGTCTCTTAACAGCAGAATTGATCAAGCAGAAGAAAGAATTAATGAGCTTGAAGACAGGCTATTTAAAAATGCACAGTTACAGGAGACAAAGTAAAAAATAATAAAAAAGAATGAAGCATGCTTAGAAGATCTAGAAAATAGCCTCCAAAAGGCAAATCTAAGATTTATTGGCCTTAAAGAGGCAGTAGAGAGGGAGAGATAGGGATAGAAAGTTTATTCAAGGGGATAATAACAGAGAACTTCCCAAACCTAGAGAAAGATACCAATATTCAAGTACAAGAATGTTACAGAACACCAAGCAGATTTAATCCAAATAAGACTACCTCAAGACATTTAATAATCAAACTCCAAAAGGTCAAGGAGAAAGAAAGGATTCTAAAAGCAGCAATAAATAAAAAAGAAATAACATACAATGGAGGCTGGGCACTGCGGCTCACGCCTGTAATCCCAGCACACTGGGAGGCTGAGGCAGGTGGATCACTTGAGGTCAGGAGTTCTAGACCAGCCTGGCCAACATGGTGAAACCCCATCTCCACTAAAAACACAAAAATTAGCTGGCAGTGGTGGCGGGCACCCGTAATCCCAGCTACTCGGGAGGCTGAGACAGGAGAATCGCTTGAACCCTAGGGGCGGAGGTTGCTGTGAGCCGAGATCATGCCACCTCACTCCAGCCTGGGCGACAGAGTGAAACTCCATCTCAAAAAAAAACAAGGCTAGGCGCAGTGGCTCACACCTGTAATCCCAGCACTTTGGGAGGCTGAGGCGGGTGGATCACAAAGTCAGGAGATCGAGACCATCCTGGCTAACACTAACCATCTCTACTAAAAATACAAAAAATTAGCCAGGCATGGTGGCAGGCGACTGTAGTCCCAGCTACTCAGGAGGCTGAGGCAGGAGAATGGCGTGAACCCAGGAGGTGAAGCTTGCAGTGAGCCAAGATTGCACCACTGCACTCCAGCCTGGGCGACAGAGCAAGACTCCATCTCCAAAAAAAAAAAAAACAAAACAAAACAAAAAAAACCATACAATGGAGCTCCAATATGTCTGGCAGCAGACTTCTCAGTGGAAATCTTACAGGCCAGAAGAGAGTGACGTGACATATTTAAAGTGTGGATGGAAAAAACTTTTCTCTCAAAATAGTGTATCCAGTGAAAGTATCCTTCAAACATAAAGGAGAAATAATTTCCCAGACAAACAAAAACTGAGGGATTTCATCAACACCAGACCTGTTCTACAAGAAATGCTAAAGGGAGTTCTTCAATCTGAAAGAAAAGAATGTTAATAAGCAATAAGAAATCAGCTGAAGGTACAAAACTCACTGAGAGTAGTAACTACATAGAAAAGCACAGAATAGGCCAGGTGCGGTGGCTCACACCTGTAATCCTAGCACTTTGGGAGGCCAAGGCAGGTGAATCACTTGAGGTCAGGAGTTTGAGACCAACCTGGCCAACATGGCAAAACCCCAACTCTACTAAAAATATAAAATTAGCCAGATGTGGTGGCATGTGCCTGTAGTCCCAGCTACTTGGGAGGCTGAGGCAGGAGAATTGCTTGAATCTGGGAGATGGAAGTTGCAGTGAGCCAAGATCATGCCACTACACTCCAGCCTGGGCAACAGAGCAAGACTCCATCTCAAAAAACAGAAAAGAAAAGAATATTATAACACTGTAATTGTGATGGGTAAACTACTTACATCTTGAGTAGAAAGACTAAACAATGAGCCAATCAAAAATAATAACTACAATGACTTTTCAAGACCTAGACAGCACAATAAGATATAAATAGAAACAACAAAAATTTAAAAAGTAGGGGGATGAAGATAAAACTGCTGAGTTTTTATTAGTTTTCTCTTTGCTTGTTTGTTAGTTTGTTTCCTTGTTTATGAAATCAGTGTTAAGTTGTCATCAGGTTAAAATAATAGGTTATAAGATATTATTTGCAAGCCTCATGGTATCAAATCAAAAAACATACCACATATACAAAAGCAAGAAATTAAACATATCACCAGAGAAAGTCACCTTCACTTAAAGGAAGACAGAATCAAGGAAAGAAGGAAAAGAAGACCACAAAACAACCAGAAAACAAGTAACAAAATGGCAGGAGTAAGTCCTTACCTACCAATAATCACACTGAATGTAAATGGGCTAAACTCTCCAATCAAAAGAGAGAGTGGCTGAATGAATTTAAAAAAAAGAAAAAAACAAGATCTATTGCTTACAAGAAACACATTTCACCTATAAAGACTCACATACACTGAAAATAAAGGGATGGAAAAAGATACTCCACACCAATGGAAATGAAAAGACAGCAGGAGTAGCTACACTTATATCAGACAACATAGATTTCAAGAGAAAAACTGGCCAGGCACAGTGGATCATGACTGTGATCCCAAGCATTTTGGGTGGCCAAGGTGGGTGGATCACCTGAGGTCAGGAGTTTGAGACCAGCCTCACCAGCATGGCAAAACCCCATCTCTACTAAAAATACAAAAATTAGCCAGGCATGATGGCACATTCCTGTAGTCACAGCTACTTGGGAGGCTGAGGCAGGAGAATCACTTGAACCCAGGAGGCAGAGGTTGCAGTGAGCCAAGAGGGCACCACTGCACTCCAGTCTGGGTGACAGAGCAAGACCTCATCTAAAAAAAAAAAAAAAAAAGATTTCAAGACAAAAGCTATAAAAAGAGACAAGGAAGGTTATTATATAATAATAAAGGGGTCAATTCAGCAAGAGGATATAACAATTGTAAACATATATGCACCCAACACTGGAGCGCCCAGATATATACAGCAAATATTAAAGCTAAAGAGAGAGATACACCTCAATACAAAAATAGCTGGAGACTTCAACACCCCACTTTCAGCACTGTACAGATCATCAGACAGAAAATCACCAAGGAAACACTGGACTTCATCTGCACTATAGACCAAATGGACCTAATGCATATTTACAGAACATTTCCTCCAATGGGTGCAGAATGCTCATTCTTCTCCTCAGTACATAAATTATTCTCAAGGATAGACCATATACTAGACCACAAAACAAGCCTTTAAAATTAAAAAAAAAAAAGAATCTTCCCAGACCACAATGGAATAAAACTAGAAATAATAACAAGAGTTATTTTGGAAACTATACAAACACATGAAAATTAAACAATATTCTCTTGAATGACCAGTGGATCAATGAAGAAATTAAGAAGAAAATTTAAAAAGTCTCCCAGCCAGGGAAAGCCAGGGACCCAATGGCTTCCCTACTGAAGTTTATCAAATATTTAAAGAAAACTAATACCAATTCTACTCAAACCATTCTGAAAAATAGAGAAGGAGGGAATACTTACAAACTCATTCTATGAAGCCAGTATTAACCTGATACCAAACCAGAAAAAGACACATCAAAAAAAGAAAACTACAAGCTAATATCCCCAATGAACAAGGATGCAAAAATCTTCAACAAAATACTAGCAAACTGAATTCAACAACACATTAAATTCATCACTGATCATTCATCATGACCAAATAGGCAAGGATGGTACAAGATATGCAAATAAATTAATGCAATACATTATATCAACAGAATAAAGGAAACCCCATATGATTGTTTCAATTGATGCTGAAAAAGCACTTTATGAAATTCAATATTCCTTCATGATAAAATCTCTCAAAAAAACTGGGCATAGAAGGAACATACCTCAACAAATAAAAGCTATATATGACAGATCCACAGCTAGTATCATACCAAATGGGGAAAAATGGAAAGCCTTTCCTCTAAGATCTGGAACACAACAAGAATGTCCACTTTCACCACTGTTATTCAACATAGTTCTGGAAATCCTAGCTAGAGCAATCAGACAAGAGAAAGAATGGGCATCCAAATTGGAAAAGAAGGCCGGGCATGGTGGCTCACACCTGTAATCCCGGCACTTTGGGAGGCTGAGGCAGGCAGATCACTTGAGGTCAGGAGTTTGAGACCAGCCTGGCCAACATGGTGAAAACCCATCTCTACTAAAAATACAAAAATTAGCTGGGCATGGTGGTGGAAGCCTGAAATACCAGCTACTCAGATGGCTGAGGCTGGAGAATCGCTTGAATGCAGTGAGCCAAGATCATGCCACTGCACTCCAGCCTGGGTGACAGAGCAAGACTCTGTCTCAAAAAAAAAAAAGGAAAGGAAGAAGTCAAATTATCATTGTTCATAGATGGTATGATCTTATATTTGGAAAAACATAAAGAATCCACCAAAAAACTATTAGAACTGATAAATTCAGTAAAGTTGCAGGATACAAAATCAACATACAAAAATCAGTAGCATTTCTATATGCCAACAGCAGATAATCTGAAAAAGAAATCAAGAAAGTAATCCCACTTATAATAGCTACAAATAAAATTAAATACCTAGGAATTAACTTAACCAAAGAAGTGAATGACCTCTACAATGAAAACTATAAAACACTCATGAAAGAAATTGAGGAAGACACCAAAAAATGGAAAGATATTTCACGTTCATGAACTAAAAGAATCAATATTGTGAAAATGTTCATATTGCCCAAAGCAGTCTGTAGATTCAACGTAATCCCTATCAAAATACCAATGACATTTTTCACAGAGATAGAAAAAACAGGCTGGGCAAGGTGGCTCATGCCTATAATCCCAGTACTTTAAGAAGCCAAGGTAGGTGGACTGTCTGAGCCCAAGAGTTTCAAACCAGCCAGGGCAAGATGGTGAGACCACATCTATACAAAAAAAATTTTTTTAATTAAAATTAGAAAAAAAATGCTAAAATTATATGTAACCACAAAAGATCCAGAATAGCCAAGCTATATTGAGCAAAAAGGACAAAACTGAAGAATCACATTACTTGACTTCAAATTATACTACACAGTATATAGTACAGCATGGTACTGGCATAAAAACAGACACATAGACCAATGGAACCAACAGGCAGGATGAGATCACCAAGGAGACATACATGAGAAAGAGGAAAGGCCTGGAGCCTGAATCTTAGGGCCCTCCAATATTCAGTGGTCAGGGAAATGAGGATGAACCAGCCAGCAACAAATCTACATCTGCAGTAAACTCATTTTTTACAAAAGTGCCAAGAACATACATTGGGGGAAAAAAGTCTCTTCAATAAATAGTGCTGGGAAAACTGGATATCCGTATGCTGAAGAATAAAACTAGACCCCTATCTCTCACCATATACAAAAATAAAATTAAAATAGATTGAAGACTTAAATCTAAGACGTCAGGCTGGGCATGATGTCTCATGCCTGTAATTCCAGTACTTTGGGAGGCCAAGGCAGGCAGATCATTTGAGGTCAGGAGTTTGAGACCAGCTTGGGAAACATGGTGAAACCCTGTCTCTACTAAAAATACAAAAACTAGCTGGGCGTGGTGGCAAGCATCCGTAATCCCAGCTACTTGGAAAGCTGAGGCAGCAGAATCGCTTGAACCTGGGAGGCAGAGGTTGCAATGAGCCAAGATCGTGCCACTGCACTCCATCCTGGGTGACAGAATGAGAGACCATCTCAAAAATAAAATAAAATAATATATATATATATATATATATATATATATATACATATGTGTGTGTGTGTGTGTGTGTATGTGTGTATATCCTCAAACTATGGAAGTGTAGAAAGGAAACATTGGGGAAACTCTCCACGACATTAGGCCGGACAAAGATTTCTTAAGTCATACTCCACAAGCACAGGCAAGCAAAGTAAAAAATGGACAAATGGGATCACATCAAGTTAAAAAGCATCTGCAGAATGAAGCAAACAGTCAACAAAGTGAAAAGACAACCCACAGAATAGGAGAAAATATATACAAACTATCCATTTGACAAGGGATTAATAACCAGAATATATGAGGAGCTCAAACAACTTTATAGGAAAAAATCTAATAATCCAATTAAAAATGGCCAAAACATCTGAACAGACATTTCTCAAAGGAAGACATACAAATAGCAAATAGGTATATGAAAAGGTGCTCAGTATCACTGATCATTAGAGAAATGCAAATCAAAATTATAATAAGATATCATCTCATCACAGCTAAAATGGCTTTTATGCAAAAGATAGGCAATCATGAATGCTGGTGAGCATGTGAAGAAAAGGGAACCATCACACACTGATGATGGGAATGTAAATTAGTACAACCACTATGGAGAACTGTTTGGAGGTTCCCCAAAAAACTAAAAATAGAACTATCATGTAATCCAGCAATCCCCCTGCTGGGTATATACCCAAAATACGAAGAAATCAGTGTATCAAAGAGATATTTGCATTCCCATTTATTGCAGCACTATTCACAATAGCTGAGATTTGGAAGCAACCTAAGTGTCCATCAACAGACAAATGGATAAGGAAGATGTGGTACTTATACATAATGGAGTACTATTCGGCCATAACAAAAGAAGGAGACCCTGTCATTTGTAACAACATGGATAGAACTGGAGGTCATTATGTTAAGTAGGCCAGGCACAGAAAGACAAACTTCACATGGTCTCACTTATTTGTGGGAGCTAAAAATTAAAACAATCCAATTCATAGAGATAGAAAGTAGAATGACGGTTACCAGAGGCTGGGAAGGATAGTGGGAGAAATAGGAGAGGGGATGGGTAATGGGTACAAAATATAATTAAATAGAAAGAATAAGCTACTATCTGATAGCACAACAGGGTGACTACAGTCAACAATAATGTATTGTACATTTTTAAATAACTAAAAGAATGTAATTGGATTGTTTGTAACACAAAGACAGAATAAATGCTTGAGGTGATGGATACATTTACCCTTATGTGATTATTACACATGGTATGCCTGTATCAAAATATCTCATGTACCCTATAAATATATATACCTACTATGTACCCACAAAATTGAAAATTTTTAAAAAAGCTGGAGTAGTTATATTAATTTCAGACATAGCAGACTTCAAAGCAATGAAAATTATCAAGAATAAAGAGGACGGTTACATAATAATAAAGGGGTCAATCCTATAAGCAGCCATAACATTTCTTAACGTGTATACAACTAACAACAGAGCATCAAAATACACATGGCAGAAACTGATAGAACTGCAAGGAAAAATAGATGAATCCACTATTATAGTTGGAGACTTCAATACCCCTCTATTACACATTGACAGATACAGCAGATAGAAAAATCAATAAAGATATAGTTGAACTCAAAAGAGCCAAGAGGCCAATTCCAAAAGGGAAAAATAAAAACAGAACAGGCACTACTCTAGCAATTTGGAAATCCTGATAAGCAGCTATTGCAAGGCTTTCCCACCCTAGAGATGGGAACTGTTTCATGATTAGGTCCAGATCTGCTCCCTGGGTGGTGGCCTGTGGGGTGGGGGTGCTTCCTGAGTATTGTTTTTAGGCTCTTGGCCCTGTGCTCTGGGAGATTCTTCCTTCTCCTTATGCTTTCTCACCATATCTAAATTGAGCATTGGAGAATATGCCCTCCCTTGCAGCTGCATTGGGACACAAACCTTGTGCAACTGCTCAGATTCCTTTGACAGCTTCCTCCAATCACAATTCCGGGAACCTGCCCTGAAGACATCCTTCCAAAGTACAAAACAACATATATACAAGGACATTAATTGCAGCCTTATTTGTAATATCAAAAGACTGGAAACAACTCAAATGTTCATCAAGTATGAAAGTATTACTCTGGTTGGTTGAATACATTATAGTACATTTATATAATGAAATACTGATGCAGCTGTAAAAAGAATGAGGAAGATCTCTCTGAACTGAAGTGACCTCCTGAATATATTGTTAAGTGAGAAAAGCAAGATACAGAACAATGCAAATAGTATGCCAACTTTTGTGTAAGAAAAAAGTTATATGTGTGTGTGTGTGTGTGTGTGTGTGTGTGTGTGTATACACAGAGAGAGAGAGAGAGAGAGAGGATTGCAGGCAAGAACTTGCAAGATGACCTTGCCTTTAACCAACATGGGGGCAACAGTGAGAGGAGCAGGTTGGGGGCACACCGGGATTCAGACTTGAACATGCTAAACTCAAGATGCCAGTTACGCATCCATCCAATCGGAGATGTTGAACAATCCCTTGGTTTTGTGAGTCTGACGACCAGAAAGGGTCTAAATTGGAGACATAATTATGAGAGTCATTGGCATACAGCTGGTGTTTAAACCCATGAAGCAGGATGAGATCACCAAGGAGACATACATAAGAGGAAAGGCCTGGAGCCTGAACCTTGGGGCCCTCCAATATTCAGTGGTCAGGGAAATGAGGATGAACCAGCCAGCAAGAAGGGAGGAGAGGGCCAAGTGAGCGGAAAGTTTCTCAAGGAGAAAATGACCACCTGTGCAGAATCAGATAGGGACAGAGAATCACCACTGGCCTTAGCAACTGACCTTGCCAAGAGAAGTTTCAGAGGAGGTGAGGAAGAGTCCTGATCAGAGAGGCTTTAAGGGGAAATGGAAGCCTACATATTGGGATAGTGAGTATAGTTATATTTTTAAAGAGTTCATCACTGAAGAGTAGTGGGAAAAGAGACATGGAGTCAAGAGAAGATCAACATTTTATGATAGGAACAATGATAGCATGTTTGTATGCTGATGGTCCAGTAGCGGGACAAACTGACGATAGCAAAAGGGAGTCTTATCATATAATTTATAAATATGAGGGAAATGACACTTTGGGAGGCAGTTAGAAAAAGTTAAAACTGTTGGCCAAGGTCATAGAGCAGGATGTGACCCATACCTCCATCCCCACCACGTCCCAGAATGAGCACAGCAGGTCTCTGGCTCTGACCATCAATAGCCACAGACCTGTGAGCAGCTTCTGTCCCAGCCACTGGGGAGACAGGCTGCCATAGAGGGACAATAAAAGTGAAACCACCTCCATTAATCAGTGCACAGGATTACATATGAATGGCTGAAGCCTTGCCAAAAAGCTCCAGCTATGACAACTGACCAAGAAAATCAAAAGGCTCTTAAGCAAAAACATGTCTCTGAGAGCTTCTATAAAGCCTGTCTGAAAAAAATGGTCACAGAGCTCACAGACACAGCTGTCTAGTCCAAGGGCAGAAGACAGAGGTCTCCATAGAACCCACTACTGCTGGGAATGAGAGGAGCAGACTGAGGGCCTATAAAAAACAGGCCCCTGGATGAAGAAATATCTCTCTCCTTTCTCATTCATAGTTGTGAGGTTCATACACTAGCCCTTGTGACGACTTGCTTTGACCAACAGAATGTAATAGATGTGATGGAGTTTGGGATCTGAGCTTAGGCCTCAATAAGCCATGCATGCTCTTATTTGCTCCCTCAGAGCCCTGTGGGGCTGCCATGTAAGCAAGCCTGTGCTAGCCTGCCAACTATGAGGGACCACACAAAGTAGAGATAAGCCATCCTAGCCCTAGACCAGCCAGCCTCAGCCAAAACAGAAGTTGGCTGCAGTTGAATGTGTGAGCCCAACTGAGAGCAGAAGAACCACCCCACTGATCCCAGTCCAAATTGCAAACCCACAGAATTGTGAGCCCATAAACAGTTGCTATTTTAAGCAGCAAACACTAACTTACATACCCAACTAATATCCACAGGTGAGCAAGTAGAATTCAGTGACTATTGGTTTACAATATATCTTTGGTTAAGAATTACTCAGTGAGACTTTAAACCTCAATTTTTGGCATTGGTACAATAGAGTATGGGCTGAGGCCAGGCTTGGGGATGAAAGGCAAAGCCTCAAGGACAGAAACAGCAAGGGCGGGAGTATGCTCAGAGGTGAACATGAAGAACGGCACGCTGCTATGGTTTGAATGTTCCCTCCAAAACTCATGTTGAAATTTAATTGCCATTGTAACAGTACTAAGAGATGGGTCTCTGGAGAGGTAATTAGGCCATGATGACTCTGACTTCATGAATGAATTAATGCCATGATTGTGGAAGTATGTTAATTATCATGGGAATGGGTTCACTATAGAGGAACACATTTGTTCTTCTCTCTCTTGTGTGCACTTTACCTCTTTCCCTCTCACCTTCTGCCATGTAATGATGCAGCAAGAAGGCCTCACAAGATGCCAAACCTTGATTCTGGACTTAGACTCCAGGACCATAAAAAATAAATTTCTGTTCATTATAAATTACCTAATCTCAGCTATTCTGTTATAGCAGCACAAAATAGACTAAGATACACACCCAGCACAATTCCATGCCACACTCCGGAAATCAGGCCTATGATCCCCATATCTCTACCCACCAGCTCCAGTGCACAAAGCCCAGTCTTCCCAGGGGTCTGTGCGACCCTCTTTCTTGAGACAGGACCTCCCATAACCTCATACAACAAATGTTTACCCCTCTTCAATGCTTATGTTTCCTTACCTTGTCCACTAGATTCTAGCCAGCATGATCCTGCCTCTGTCCACAAAGACTCACAGCAAGCACAGGCACTTCCTGCATTCTGAGGATGTGTACCAAGAAGGAGAGTGTAGAACTCGACCTGATTCCCTTACATGTTGGGGAACATGCTGAGCTGCTTATCCAACATCCTCATCCCTTTCTCCCCTGCAAAGAGAACAGATAGAAATGTGCCCAGATAGACTACATATCCCAAACTTCCTTACAGTGAGAGGAGTCATTCATTCATCCCTCCAGAACTTATTGAACACCTACTGGGTTTCAGGCAAGTTCTGGAGATGCCCCAGTGAACATAACAGATTAAGTATTTGCCCTCATGGAGCCACATGCTAGTGAGAAGAAAAGGTGACAATAGGCAAATGCCCAAGAAAATAATCTAGAGAGAGTATACCATATGGCGATGACTGCTTCGAAAATACGTAGAGTAGGATACAGGAAATTGAGTTTGCACAGCAAGAGTGGGAGCACTATTTTTTGTAAGATAGTCAAAGAGCACCTCTCTGAAAATGTCATTTTTTTTTTTTTTTTGAGATGGAGTCTCGCTCTGTTGCCCAGGCTGGTGTACAGTGGCATGATCTCAGCTCACTGCAACTTCTGCCTCCCGGATTCAAACGATTCTTCTGCCTTAGCCTCCCGAGTAGCTGGGATCGCAGGTGCCTGCCACCATGCCTGGCTAATTTTTGTATTTTTAGTAGAGACGGGGTTTTGCCACGTCCAGGCTGGTCTCAAACTCCTGACCTCAGGTGATCCACCCGCCTCGGCCTCCCAAAGTGCTCGGATTACAGGCATGACCCACCACGCCTGGCTGAAAATGTCATATTTGAGCAGATATCTGACAAAGATGATGGAAACACAACACATAATATCCAGTGCAAGAGCATTTCAGCTGGAGGGAACAGCAAATGCAAAGGCCCTGAGGTAAGAACGTGCCTCAAGGTACTGCAAGGAGAGTAGTGTGGCTGAGTAGTGGGAGCAAGCCGCAAAATGCTAGGCAATCAGAGAAGTGTCCTACAGGGCTTTTCTGGTCACTAAAAGAATGAGATGGGATCTCCTGTGGCAGGGGGTTGAACAGAAAGTGGCATGGCCTGACTTCTGTTTTAGAAGGATTACTCTTACTGGCACATTGATAAAAGATTTTAAAGGCCAAAGGCAGAAACAGGAGACAGTGCAAGAGGCCATTTTCTTAATACAGTTTTAAAATGATGATGGTTTGGATCAGGGTGATGGCAGTGAAAGCAGAAAGCAGCAGTTAGAATCCACGTACATTTTTAAAGCAGAGACAACAGGATTTGCTGGTGGATTGAAATGTGCAGCAAGCGAGAAAGAGGGGCGTCTAGGATTTCAGCCTGAGCACCTAGAAGGAGGGAACTGCCATTCACCAAGAAGACAAGGTGCCCACTGGACATCCGTTTCAGATGGAATTGTGCCCTCACCAAATTTTTATGTTGAGGTCCTAGCTCCCAATGTGACTGTATTTGGAGATAGGGCCTTATCAAGGTAATTAAGATTAAATTAAGGCCAAGTACAGTGGCTCATGCCTATAATCCCAGCACTTTGGGAGACCAAGGCAGGAGGATTGCTTTATACCAGGAGTTTAAGACCAGCCTGGGCAACATAAAGAGACTCTATTTCTACAAAAAAAATTTAAAATGTAACTGGGTGTGGTGGCATGCACCTGTAGTCCTCACTACTCAGGAGACTAAGGCAGGAGGATCGCTTGAGCCCAGGAGTTCAAGGATGCATTAAGTTGTGATTATATCATGCCACTGCAGTCCAGCCAGGGCGACAGAGCTAAAGTCTGTCTCAAAAAAAAAAAAAAATTGGTCATGAGGGTGGGGTCCTAATCCAATATGAAAGAAAAGGCCACGCAGACACATGGAAGTGGCCATGAGCAAGTCAGAAAAAGAGGCCTCAGGAGAAAGCAAGACTGCCTAAAACCTGATCACAGACTTCCAGCCTCCAGAACTGTGAGAAAATAAGTTTCTGTTGTTCATCCAGTCGTGGTTTTTTTGTTATGGCAACTTGAGCTGACTGATAAAAACATTCAAGTGGAGATGTGAACTCAGCAGTTACATAGACACGGCTGGAGTTTGGTGGCGAACTCTGAGCTGGAGATGTATAGCTGGGAGTTGTCAGCCCTTCAGTGGTCTCTGAAGCCGTGAGACTGAATGAGTTCGTCTAGGGAGTATGGGGAGAGGCTTCAGCAGTGATCCTCAGGGCACTTTACAGAGGTTGGGGAATGAGTGTTGGCAGCAAAGGAGACTGCGAAAGGAGCGGCCAGTGGGGAGAGGTGAGAAAGAACACCCAGAAGGCAAGAGGAGGGAGTGGCAAACTGTCACATGCTGATGAGAGTTTGAGCAAGATGAACACTGAGAACCAATCAGTGGATGTGGCAAGATGGAGGTCACTGGTGATCTGGAAAAGAGTCGTCTTAGTGTAATTGTGGGGTGAACCCCTGACTTAAGTGGTTCAGAAAGAAAGGTGGCAAGAGTCTGGAGACAGAGAGTGCAGGCAACTCTTTCAAGAAAGGTCTAATACAGAGTAAATCAATGGAGCAGATGTTGAAAGGGATGTGGGGACAAGGCAGAAATGTGTTATTGTTCATTTTGTTTCGTGTTTGAGTGGGAGCAATTACAGCATGTTTATAGGTGAGAGAACGCAGACTCCGTAGAAAAGTGAGGCGCTGGCTTCAGATAACAGCATTGGATTCAACTACAGAAACAGGAGGGATGGTAGAGTTTATGGGACTAATAAAATAAGTTTGAAGGCCGGGCACGGTGCCTCAAGCCTGTAATCCCAGCACTTTGGGAGGCCAAGGTAGGCGGATCACAAGGTCAGGCGATCAAGACCATCCTGGCCAACATGGTGAAACCCTGTCTCTACTAAAATATAAAAAATTACCCGGGCGTGGTGGCACATACCTGTAGTCCCAGCTACTCTGGAGGCTGAGGCAGGAGAATGGCATGAACCTGGGAGGCAGAGCTTGCAGTAAGCTGAGATGGTACCACTGCACTCCAGCCTGGTGACAGAGCAAGACTCCATCTCAAAAAAAAAAAGAAAAAGAAAAAGAAAAGAAGTTTGAAGAAGTGGTGGGGAAATAGCCCTCCTCTTCTCCAATTGCTTCTATCTTCTCAGTGCAGTAGGAAGCTTGGACTTCAGAGGAGTGAGAAATGAGGAGGAGGTGGTGGAGGTGTGAGGAAAGACATGCATCATGTATGCACTGTGAGAGTGCAGGGACAAGGGAACATGGAAAGTTTCAGGCACACATGTAGGGCCCCATTTGAAGTCAGTGGTTGTGAATCTCAAGTGGGCAAGTGAGCACAATCCAGCAGATTCTCCAGCCTCCTCCAGCTACCAGGCAAGGAGTGAGTGGAGGTTGGATGGAACCAGGGTAAGGGTTTTGCCAGATGAGTTCCATGGTGGGAGACAGGCATGGCAGCTAAAGATGTGTGACAGTAATGCTGGGCTATGGAATCTAGGATGGCCAAGGAGAAGTGTGAGGAAACAAGCAATAGAGATGTGGCTGGTGGAAGGACAGGAGTAGGAACAATATATCTTAAATTTGTCCTTCAGTGTTGAAAAATGTTGAGTCGTGCCAAAAGAGGAAAGTAGTTGGTTGCAGAACAGGACGCACAAAAATTACAGACATACCTTGGAGACATTGCTGGTTCTATTCCAGACCACTCCAGTAAGGTGAATATCACAATAAAGTGAGTCACACAAATGTTTTCATTTCCCAGTGCATATAAAAGTTGTGTTCACATTTTACTATAGACTATTAAGTGTGCAGTAGCAATATATCTAAAAACAGCAATGTGCAAACATTAATGTAAAAATACTTTATTGCTAAGAAACACTAACGATCATCTGTGCCTTCAGCTAGTCATAGTGTTTTTGCTGGTGAAGGGTCTTGCCTTGATGTTGATGGCTGCTGACTGATCACGGTGGTGGTTGTGAAGGCTGGGGTGGCTGTGGCAATTTCTTAAAATAAGACACCAGTGAAGTTTGCCACATCGATTGACTCTTCCTTTCACAAAAGGTTTCTCAGTAGCATGTAATGCTCTTTGACAGCCTTTTACTCACCATAGAACTTCTTTCAAAATTGGAGTCAATCTTCTCCAACCCTGCTGCTGCTTTCCCAACTAAGTTTGTGTAACATTCTAAACTGTTGTTATTTCAACAGTGTTCACAGCATCTTCACCAGAAGGAAATTCCAGCTCAAGAAACCACTTCTTTGTTCATCCATAAGAAGCAACTCCTCATTCATTTAAAATTTGTCATGAGATTGCAGCAATCCAGTCACATCTTCAGGCTCCACTTCTAGTTCTCTTGCTATTTCTACTACATCTGCAGCTACTTCCTCCACTGAAGTCTTGAACCCTTCCAAGTCATTCGTGAGGGCTAGAATCAACTTCTTCCAAACTCCTATTAATGTTGATCTTTTGACCTCTTCCCATGAACCACAAATGTTCTTAATGGCATCTAGAATGGTGAATACTTTCCAAAAGGTTTTCAATTTACTTTGCCCAGATCATTCAAGGGAATTACTATCTATGGCCACTATAGCCTTATGAAATATATTCCTTAACTATTGAGACTTGAAAGTCAAAATTACTCCTTGATCCATGGGCTGCAAAATGGATGTTGTGTTAGCAGGCATAAAACAACTTAATCACTTTGTACATCTCTATCAGGGCTCTTGAGTGACCAGGTACATTGTCAGTATTTGAAAGGAATCTTTTTTTTCTGAGCAATAGGTCTCAACAATGGGTTTCACATATTCAGTAAACCATGTTGTAAACAGATGTGCTGTCATCCAGGCCTTGTTTCATTTCTAGAGCATGGAATAGAGTTAGCATAATTCTGAAGGGCCCTAGGATTTTTGGAATGGTAAATGAGCATTGGCTTCAACTGAGAGTCACAGGCTGCACTAGCCCCTAATGAGAGAGTCAGCCTGTGTTTTAAAGCTTTAAAGCCCTGCGTTGACTTCTCCTCTCTAGCTATGAAAGTCCTAGATGACATCTTCTTCAAATAGAAGGCTGTTTCATCTACATTTAACAACCCCTTCAAAAAGTGGGTGAAGGATATGAACAGACACTTCTCAAAAGAAGGCATTTATGCAGCCAACAGACACATGAAAAAATGCTCATCATCACTGGCCATCAGAGAAATGCAAATCAAAACCACAATGAGATACCATCTCACACCAGTTAGAATGGCGAGCATTAAAAAGTCAGGAAACAACAGATGCTGGAGAAGATGTGGAGAAATAGGAACACTTTTACACTGTTGGTGGGACTGTAAACTAGTTCAACCATTGTGGAAGACAGTGTGGCAATTCCTCAAGAATCTAGAACTAGAAATACCATTTGACCCAGCCATCCCCTTATTGGGTATATACCCAAAGGATTATAAATCATGCTGCTATAAAGACACATGCACACGTATGTTTATTGCAGCACTATTCACAATAGCAAAGACTTGGAACCAACCCAAATGTCCAACAATGATAGACTGCATTAAGAAAATGTGGCACATGTACACCATGGAATACTATGCAGCCATAAAAAAGGATGAGTTCATGTCCTTTGCAGGGACATGGATGAAGCTGGAAACCATCATTCTCAGCAAACTATCACAGGGACAAAAAACCAAACACCACATGTTCTCACCCATAGGTGGGAATTGAACAATGAGAACACTTGGTCACAGGAAGGTGAACATCACACACTGGGGCCTGTTGTGGGGTGGGGGGAGGGATAGCATTAGGAGATATACCTAATGTAAATGACGAGTTAATGGGTGCAGCACACCAACATGGCACATGTATACATATGTAACAAACCTGCACATTGTGCACATGTACCCTAGAACTTAACATATAATAATAAAAAAAAAATCTGTTGTTTAGTGCAGCCACCTTCATCAATGATCTTAGCTAACTTTTCTGGATAACTTGCTACAGCTCCTACATCAGCACTTGCTGCTTCACTTTGTACTTTAATGTTATAGAGATGGCTTCTGTCCTTAAACCTCATGAACCAACCTGTGCTAGCTTCCAACTTTTCTCCTGCAGCTTCCTTACCCCTCTTAGCCTTCATAGAATTGAAGCAAGTTAGGGCCTTGCTCTGGATTAGGCTTTGGTTTAAGGGAATGTTATGGCTGGTTTGATCTTTCATCCAGACCACTAAAACTTCCTCCATTTCAGCAATAAGGCTGCTTCACTTGCTTATCATTCATGTGTTCACTGGAGTAGCATTTTTAATTTCTTTCAAGAACTTTTCCTTTGCATTTACACCTTGGCTAACTGTTTGGCACAAGAGGCCTAGCTTTCAGCCTATCTCAGTTTTTTTACATGCCCTCCTCACTAAGCTTAATCATTTCTAACTTTTGATTCAAAGTGAGAGGGATGCAAGTCTTCCTTTCACTTACAGGCCACTGTGGGGTTATTAATTGGCCTAATTTCAACATTGCTTGCATCTCAAGGAATAGGGAGGGCTGAGGAGAGGGAGAGAGACTGGGGAACCACAGGTCAGTGGAGCTGTTAGCACACACACAACATGTATCAATTCAGTTTGCTTTCTCATATGGGTGCAGTTCGTGGCAGCCTAAAATAATTACAGTAGTAACATCAAAAATCACTGATTACAGATGATGATAACAGATATAATAATAATAATAATAATAATAATGAAAAGTTTGAAATATTGTGAGAAATACCAAAATGTGACAGAGCACATGATATTGGAAATATGACACCAATAGACTTGCTCAATGCAAGGTTGCCACAAACCTTCAATTTGTAAAAAAACACAGTATCTGCAAAATTCAATAAAGCAAAATGCAATAAACCAAGATGTGTCTGTACATTGTGGAGGGATGCAGATGCCAAGAGTTGCAGAGCTCAGAGATTTTAGGAAAGGAGGAGACAGCAGCCTGGAAACTGCAAGGTGGACATTGGCTCCATCTTCAGTTGCTTTGATCCAAGAGGGATGGGAATAAAAGCACAACCCCCTTTCCTCTCCCTGACATACCTCCTGGAAAAAGCTGCAGGAATATTGGAGTCTCAGAGGCATAAGATTTTCCATTAAATCAAGAAAAAAAAAGAAAGTTTAGAGGTGGAGGATTGGAGAGATTTTGCTTGTGATTTGGCATGAATTTGAGAAGGCCCAGTGGAAACTTTTGGAATCACTAAGTCTAGGACTCAAATCCTACCTTTCCAGTTATTGGCCATGTAGCTTTTGGCACACTTATTGACCTCTGGGATGACCCAGGTTCCTTGCCTATGGCTGTTGTGAAAGTTAAAGAAAATAAGGCATGCAGAGTGCCCAGTATAAAGTGGCCGTCAGCCAGGGCCACACTTCTGATGCTCAAACATGTTTCAACGACCATCTTATCAGTTGCCTTCAAAGCAAAAGTTCTTTCTTCCTCCTGGCTGCTCATGCTTGCACTCTTTTGCCCTCTCTCTCCCAACTACCTCCTCCTCCTCTCCACACCCCAACCATAGTTAAGCAATTCTAACATATCCCATTCTCCCAAGGAAAGAATCCAGTTGTATATTATCACAAGATCACAATGCACCTGAAGTTTTCTGATCTTTAGGGATTTTCTTGAAGCATCTATACTTAATATGGCTCAACAAAACTCAGTTTCAACCTTTTTTTTTTTTTTTTTTTTTTGGAGACAGGGTCTTGCTCTGTCACCCAGGCTGGAGTGCAGTGGCGGGATCATGACTCACTGCAACCTTGACCTCTCAGGCTCAAGTGATCTTCCCAACTCAGCCTCCAGAGTAGCAGGAATTACAGGCTCATGCCACCATGCCTGGTTAATTTCTTTTTATTTTTCTTTCTTTTCTTTCTTTCTTCCTTTTTTTGGGGGGTTTTTGTTTATTTGTTTTTTGGTGGTGGAGATGGGGTCTTATCATGTTGCCCAAGCTGGTCTTGAACTCCTGGATTCAAGCCATCCTCCCACCTTGGCCTCCCAAAGTGCAGACATTCTAGGCATGAGCCACCACTCCCTGCCTCAAATTTTAAAATAGCTATTGAATGTGGTTAAAGGGGAATCCTAATTAGTAAAATGAGGATGACAATACCTCCATCCTGGGAGGACTTAAATTAGCCTGTGTAAGAAGAGTTCTTTATGCTGAACCCAAAAGGAGCAGATGCTCCATAAATGCCCCTTTCTCCTCCTTCTCCTTTCTTCTTAAAAGAGATGCCCAAGGTGCACAAGGAAGCTGTGTCTTTGATATGTTTCAGGTTGCCCCTGTAACGTGAATTGGGAAAAAGGCAATAGCTATTTCATCCTCAAAATGCATCTAATGTCTCCTCCCTGTGTCCCTGCTCCCTGGCTGTGTGTCCATTACTGGCTCTGTAGGGAGTGCCTAGGGCTGCCTTGACTCCTTGTTCGTGACCTCACCTTCCAGGTGAGTTAAACCTCAAGAGTTTAACTTCCAGCTGATATTTGGTAAAGTAAATCTTCCCTCTCACCACTCCTATTCAACATGGTATTGGAAGTCCTAGTCAGAGTAATCAGGCAAGAGAAAGAAATAAAGGGCATCCAAACAGGAAAAGAGGAAGTCAAACCCTCCCTGTTTGCAGAGGACATGATTCTATGTCTAGAAAACCCTACAGTCTCAGCCCCAAAGCTCCTTCAGCTGATAAACAACTTCAGCAAAGTTTCAGGATACAAAATCAATGTACAAAAATCACTAGCTTTCCTATACATCAACAACAGCCAAGCCAAGAGTCAAATCAGGAAGGCAATCCCATTCACAATGCCACAAAAAGAATAAAATACCTAGGAATACAGCTCACCAGGGAGATGAAAGATCCCTACAGTGAAAATTCCAAAACACTGCTCAAAGAAATCAGAGAAGACACAAACAAATGGAAAAAGAGCCCATGTTCATGGATAGAAAGATTCAATATCATTAAAATGACCACACTGCCCAAAGAATTTATTTACAGACTGAATGCTATTCTTATCAAACTACCAACGACATTCTTCAGAGAACTAGAAAAAACTATTTTAAATTTCAAATGGAACCCAAAAAGAGCCCAAATAGTCCAGGCAATCCTAAGCAAAAAGAACAAAGCTGGAAGCATCATGTTACCCGATTTCAAACTATGCTATAGGGCTATAGTAACAACAACAACAACAACAAAAAACCATAATACTGGTACAAAAACAGATACATAAGCCAATGGAACAGAATAGCCCAGAAATAAGGCTGCATACCTATGACCATCTGATCTTTGACAAAGCTGACAAAAACAAGCAATGGGGAAAAGACTCCCTATTCAATAAATGGTACTTGAATAACTGGCTGGCCATATGCAGCAGACTGAAGCTGGATTCCTTCCTTACATCATATTCAACAATCAACTCAAGATGGATTAAAGACTTAAATGTAAAACTCAAAACTATAAAAACCCAGAAGGCAACCTGGCCAATACCATCCTGGACATAGGCACGGGCAAAGATTTCATGACAAGATACCAAAAAGCAATCTCGACAAAAACAAAAATTGACAAATGGGATCTAATTAAACTAAAGAACTTCTGCACAGCAAAAGAAACTATCAACAGAATAAACAGACAACCTACAGAATGGGAGAAAATATTTGCAAACTATGCATCAGACAAAGGTCTAATATCCAGCATCTATAAGGAACTTAAACAAATTTACAAGAGAAATACAAACAACCCCATTAAAGGATGGGCAAAGGACATAAACAGACACTTTTCAAAAGAAGACATACATGTGGCCAACAAGCATATGAAAAAAAGCTCACTATCAGTGATCATTAGAGAAATGCAAATCAAAACCACAATGAGGTACTATCACTTACTAACCAAAATGGCTATTATTAAAAAGTCAAAAAATAACAGATGCTGGTGAGGTTGCAGAGAAAAGGGAACACTTATACACTGTTGGTGGGAGTGCAAATTAGCTCAACCATTGTGGAAAGCAGTGTGGCAATTCCTCAAAGAGCTAAAGGCAGAACTTCCATTCAACCCAGCAATCCCATTATTAGGTATATACCCAGAGAAATATAAATCATTCTACCATAAAGACATATGCACACGAATGTTTATTGTAATGCTATTCACAATCACAAAGACATGGATGACTATTGGGTACTGGGCTTAATACCTGGGTGATGAAATCATCTGTACAACAAATCCCTGTGACACGAGTTCACCTATGAAACAAACATGCACATGTACCCCTGAACCTAAAATAAAAGTTTAAAAAAGAAGTTGCTAGCCTAGATATATGCCCAAGAGAACTGAAAACATATGTTCACATAAAAGCTTATACAGCAATGCTCATAGGAACATTATTCACGAATAGCCAAAAAAAGGAAGCAATTGAATGTCCATCAATTGAAGAATGGATGGATAAAATGTGATCTATCCATACAAAGGGATATTACTGACAGTAAAAAGAAATGAAGTTCTTATACATGCTACAACATGGATGACCCTTGAAAACATGGTGCTAGTTTAAAAAGCCAGTCACAAAAGGCCATATATGATTGATTCCATTTCTATGAAAGCAATGGGGGAAAAGACTCCCTATTGTCCAGAATAGGCAAATCTACATAGATAGAAAGTAGATTAATGGTTGCCCCAGGGTGAAGGGGTTAGGGAAGGAGGGAAATGAGAAGTGACGGCTAGAGGTTGCAGGATTTCTTTGGGGGTGATGAAAGTGTTCTAAAATTAGATTGTAGTGATGATTGTAAAACTGTGAATATATTATACTAAAAACAATTGAATTGTACACTTTAAATTGGGAAACTGTGTGGTATTGAATTACATCCCAATAAAAAAATTTTTATAATACCTTATTAATGTCTCTCATGCCCCTGTGGATTGACTGGGCTCAGCTGAGTGATTGTCACTTGGGATTTCTCATACAGTTTGGTCAGATGGTGGCTGGGGCTGGGTCTTGGGAAGGCTTTATACTTCCTAGGCTGAGAGAGCTACAACCTCTCAGGACTGACCAGGCATCTGTCTCCACATGGCTAGCTTGAGTTTTCTTACAAGTATGGCAGTCTGAGAGTAGTCAGACTACTTATATATATATGATGGGTAGCTCCTCTCAAAGTGAACCTTCCAGGAAAAGGAAGTAGAGTTTGAGACCAGCCTGGCCAACATGGTGAAAACCTGTCTCTACAAAAAATACAAAAACTAGCCAGGCCCCATTTGAATTTAGGTTAGTAATTGATTACTTTGACCAATAGAATGTGGCAGAGTGACAGTGAGCCAGTTTCTGGTTGCAGGATCTAAAAGACTGAGGCTTTTAGATTTATAAATAAATAAAACAAGTAAGAGTGGATGAGCTCTAAGTGAGCAGGAGAACCCAGAACCCTGCCTTTTATCCTCCACCTCCTTCCATCACCCCAGTCCCTGCAGAGTTCCCTGAAGCACTCTTTTGGAACTGCAGGGCTACACAAAACCTAGCTTGAAAATTGTGTATTTAGAGTTGTAATGGCAAACAGCTTTTATGTCGTGTCTGAACTCAATCGATTGGTAGCAGTTGTGGAGGACTGAGCTGAAAAGTGTTTTGGTAAACTGATTAAGTGCCCCAAATCTTCACCCCTCACTGTATTCGCACCCTTATAATGTGACTTTTGGGCTCCTCCCATCGAGAGTGGTGTGAATCTCCCCCTTCATTCTGAGTTTGGTCAAGGTTGTGACATGACAGAAGCTTCAAAAATGCCGGCAGGTTGCCACTTCTGTTCTTGCACCTCCAAGTTTGCCATAAGAACGTGCCCGGACAGCCTCTGGAAGGATGGCAGAGTTTTCCAGAAAGTTTTCCCTGCACAGCCAAGGCTCCCCAGCTAAGCCCCAGACAGGTGACCCCCAATTGACAGCCTGCCACCCTGCAGGTCACGTGAGGAAGCCTAGCCAAGACCAGTCATCCAGCCTGAATCACTGACCCAAAGACTCTCTTGGGCTAAACAGACATTTGTTATAAGCCACTGAATTCTGGGTGGCTTGCATTGATTGTGGCAATAGATCACTGAGACGTGTTGATAGTTATGTCTGCCATGGGCACAGGAAGGCAGCCAGCTGCATCCCTGCCAGGCATTCTGGGAGAATTGACGGACTGCCTGAGCTTCAAAGCATTCTCCATGTCCCACCATCCCTGGCTTTTTCACACATTACACACCACAGGCAAAAGCCCCGTTTCAGAGATTCGCCCAAGATCACCTTCCCTGTGGTAGAGCCTGGGGATGGGTCCAGTCATGAACCTCCTAAGAGACGCTTGGGAAGTCAGTGGGCAGAAGTGAGGCTGGATTTGGCACCTGTTACTCAGCCATCATTCCACAATCCAAAACTGGGCAGAGGGAGAAAGGGGGAGCTGACACATCCTTGAAAGGCATAGATAATACCCTCCCTCCCTTAAGATCAGTCTCCAATCATTTAGTTGGCTTGACTGCAGTCATTCACACCTTCAGCTGGACGTGGAACAGACTTCCCAACTCGTGCCTGGGATCCATGTGTGGATCTGCTCAGTAAGAACTGAGCAGTGGGCCAAGGGGCCTGGGGGCTGGTCCAAATCCTTGCCTGTGAAGCTGTTTAGACTGTGGCACTTGGTGGCAAAGGCCAGCTGGCTGTAACCTCATTCTCCTGGGCCCAAAGAGTGAGCAACAGGGTGCACACAGCTCTAAAAAACAAACTTGACTTCAGGCAGCTCCTTCTTTTCCCTTCCTCTGAGAGGCCCAGATTACTTTGTGCATTGCATTCAGCTTGAGCAATGGAACACCCCACATGCATTTCCTTTTTCAGAGTCCACACTGGCAAAAGCTGCTGTTGCAAGAGTTTGGTTGCAAAACTGGCCCTAAACTTTCATGGAAGGAGATAAATGGCTTTCAGCTGAAAAACATCAAAGACTATTTTGGAGTTGTTTCTTGTTACAGTTTAGGATGAGGTCTAAGAAATTAAGCCAGACATGGTGGCGTGCACCTATGGTCCCAGACACTAAGGTGGCTGGGGCAGAAAGATCGAGGCTGAGGCAGGAGGATCACTTGAGCTCAAGAGTTCAAGGCCAGCCTCAGCAACATAGCAAGACTCCATGTCTTACCAAAAAAAAAAGAAAAGAAAGAAATTAGCAAAATGTACTGGCTTTCAACTTCTGGCCCCTATCTGCCTCTAGCCTCGCCTCCCGCACTTGCCTCACACTTCGTCAGCAGCTCTCACTTGCTGTGGGCTCACATTCACACAAACTGGACTATTTCTTACCTTTTGCTGGTCCTTTTGCCTTGGAAGCCTTCCCTGACTTCACTGGCTCTCTTCTACTCCTCTTCTAAGCCTAAGACCAGGTGTCACTCTCTCAATGATCAGTTAGGTGCTCCTCCTCTTGGCTCTCATGACACCAGCACTTTCTTCTGTGTACCTATGTTAAGGTTTCTTCCAGATTGTTTTATCATCTCTCCTTCTTGGGATGCAATCTTATTTGTGTGTCTGTGGCTGCTCCCTCTCACGAATTCATTTCTTCTCATGGCTTGGAATCTTTCCCGCTAGCTCGTCTTCAGCAGGGTGATTCTCCATGGAAGTTCCAGCACCCTGGGATATGCAGGCATCTTTTAGCTTCTCATCAGCTTATGCTGGGATTCTGAGGGCTTCAGGGCAGTGTTTATGTTCCACTCCTTGCCTGGAGTTCCTGCATGACTTTATGTTCCTGCATCACTCACGTGGTGTGAATCTGAACTTCACACACGCACACAGTTCAGGCTCAGCCTCGAATTGCTCACAGGCAACTCTTCTTCTATCCACTGACCGGGGCAAAGTGCAGCTTCTTCTGCTTTCCCAGACTGGATAGCAGAGGGTTTTGGTCTTTGGTTTTTGTTTTTTTTACTTCTGGTTTAATGGATGGACCAGTCTTCAGTGCCTCCTGGGTTTATGTAAGAAGCTCAAGTCTAGCTCCCCACCTACAGGGGTCTGAAAGTTTCTATCAGACTCATCTGGTGCTCCACTCACAAACTCTTGGCCTCCCCTCTGATTCAGCCATGGCTGGGGTGGACAGTGCCATGTGGGCTTAGGTTCATTATATATGACAGTGTCAGCCTCAAGCATACAACCAGGCCCCATGAACCAGTTCCATTCCCTCCCCAACCAGCCTCAAGAGCCTGTGATGGGGCAGGATCCAGGGGTCAGGTCTGGACCAAACAGGATGATTCCTTGGGACAGCTGGGATCAGGCTTCGTCCAAGGGTTGGTTGTGAATAATAGTTACGGAGCCCTGGAGGCCAGAATTAGGGTTAACTCTGAGAGAATATAATCAAAGGTCAGGAATGAAGGGCAAGTTCGAGACTGAGCAGAGTTGAGGTAAAAGGAAAAGGCCAAGAAGGTTAGACCCAGTGGTTAAGACTGCGAAGCTGCTACGGTTGACACAGGCAGGAACAAAGTGAGCATGTGTATTCTCATTGAATACTGGCAGTAGGATTACTGGGCAGCCATTCACCTCACAGACCTAGGGTAGAGCAAAACAAGCCTGGATTATCCCAGGGTAATGCAGCAAGGTGGTCACCAACAGACTAATAGAACACAAATAGGACTAATAGAGAACCTGATGGCAATTCTGGCTTTAGGCTCAGGAAATCCTGAGTTTTCTCCAACAGACTTAGAGCCAAGGTTAAAGCAGGGGCCCCCTCCTGAGCTTTCCTTCGGGCCTGCCCCAGAGAAGCCCTGGCTGCTCCAAGTGATCATTAGCTTTGCAAACACTAGAGTTCAGCTTGACACAGCATCTCAAGGATCCCTGCAGGATGAGGGCACAGAGAGATGAAATAGACCCACTTAGAGTGGGGTGCCTCTGAGGTCAGAGGGAAAGGAAGGAAATCCTGCTCTCAAGGCAGGACAGTGTGTGAGAAAACAACAAGGGCTGGAAAGGACAGCCAGATTGGTGAAGCCCCTCCCTGCAGTCTTTGCTTGTCTTTTTTAATGAGTCTTCCCTTTGCCAACCTCCAGGCGAACGTGGGCACCTCTTTTGGCTTAGGCTCTTCTCTGTAAGGTCTTCCTGGCATTGGCAGGGGTTGGTTCTGGGCAGTTGGTGACCATAGTCATTAGCATCTTGCCTATTGTGGCCAACCACAAAAGTGCCTGGCTTTAGTTTTGTTCAACCTGCATTTTACCTGGCACTCTTGCATGTTAATAGTTAATAATTAATAATTTCAATCTTATAAGCTATTAACAAGAGGCTGGCAATAGACAATTTTAATTGAGCTCTTACTGTGTTTCAGACACCATTCTAAGCATTTTATAAGTAGTAATTCAATCTACAGCCACGCTTAGAGGTAGATGCTATTATTATTCCCATTTTATAGATGGGAAAAATGAGGCTTACAGATTAGTTCCCTTGCCTAGTGAGCAAATGGTCAAGCCAGAACTTGAACACTGACAGACTGGCTTTCTTAGTCTGTTCTGTGCTGCTATGACAGAATATCAGAGACTGAGTAATTAATAAAGAACAGAAATTTATTTCTCACAGTTCTGAAGCCTGGGGAGTCCAAGATCAAGATGCCAGCATCTGGTGTGGAACTTCTTTTTGTGTCCTCACATGGTGGAAGGCAGAAGGGCAAGAGAGAGAAAATCCACTCCCACAAGCCCTTTTTATAGTGGCATTAATCCATTTATGAGGGCGAAGCCCTTAGGATCTAAACACCTCCCCAAAGGCCTCACTACCCAACACTGTTGTGCTGGGGATTAAGTTTCCAACACACAAATTTTGGGAGACACATTCACTCCATAGCATTGGCCCCAGGGGCTGTACTCTTAGCTAGTAGCCAATGCTGCCTCTCCAGGAGATTAGGAAAAATTAAACTCAGAGGACAGAGTCTTCTTCTGGGCCTATGCTAAATTTCAAATCAAAGAGGCTCAAATCCCAAAAGAAAAACTTATCTAGAAAAGAAGGAATGCCCCAGGGTCTGTTGTTCCCCTTTTTGTGTTCATGAGTTCTCATTATGTGGCTGCTACTTGTATGTGAGAACATGTGATATTTGGTTTTCTGTTCCTGTAGTTGTTTGCTAGGGAAAATGGCCTCCAGTTCCATCCATTTTTCTGCAAAAGACATGATCTCATTCTTTTTTACAGCTGCATAGTATTCCATGGTGCATCTGTACCACATTTTCTTTACCCAATCTGTCATTGATGAGCATTTAGGTTGATTCCATGTCTTTGGTATTGTGAATAGTGCTTCAGTAAACATTCAGGTGCATATGTCTTTATGTTCCTTTGCGTATATACCTGGTAATGGGATTGCTGGGTCAAATAGTAGTTCTGTTTTTAGCTCTTTGAGGAATCACCACACTGCTTTCCACAATGGTTGAACTAATTTACACTCCCATCAACAGTGTATAAGTGTTCCCTTTGCTCCGCAACCTTGCCAGCATCTGGAGAGGATCAGAAAAAATAACTATTGAGTACTAGGCTTAGTACCTGGGTGATAAAATAATCTCTACGACAAACCCCTATGACACGAGTTTACCTATATAACAAAGCTGCACATGTACCTCTGAACCTAAAAGTTGTTTAAAAAATTTAAAAAAACAATAATAATAAAGTAGGAATTAAAACAATAGAGAGCTTTTTCCAGCTGTACTCATTCCCACTGGTGTGTCTTGATCAGTTGTGAGTTGTGTTACAAGTAATTGGTTCCTTAAAATAGCAGTATTTGTGATTAATTGACTTATAAAATAAGAGTCCATATTCTGCCCATAACTGTGTTTCTCATACTCCCTTGCATTTCCATGTGCCTTCTCATTGGAGAAAGAGGTGATATTCTCAGTCTTTTCAAAATGTTTTGTTTTTAATTACAGAGAAAGTACTGATACATTTTATCCCCTTTCTTACTCACTTTTTCATTAATTTATTCACTCAGTACATGCTTATTGAGTGCTTACTACATATTCTAAGTGTTAAGGATGCAACAGTGAGCAGGATGGATAATGTTCCTGCCCTCTTGGAGTTTTCATTCTAGTATGAGGAAAAAGACAATAAACAAATAAACACACAACATGAGGGCAGACAATACTAGATGCCATAAGAAAAAACTAAAGAAGTGTGAGGAAACAGAGATTGGGTGGTAGTGATCAGGGAAGATCAGTTATAAACACCATGGTGAATTAACTATATATCCTTCCAGTTTATATATGCATACATTTATTAAAAGTATGTATATCTGTGACAATACATACAACTTTTAAAATTTACATAAATAAAATCACATTGTATTGGAGACTTCTGCTTCTGGGAAGATAGACATACTTCTCCCTATGCCTCCCACAGAATGCAACTAGAAACACTGGACATTATATATAAAACAAATATAACACTCTAAAAGACGAAGCGAAGCCAGACCAGCTAGAGACCTTGGGACCTAAGGAATGCCATGGTGGTGAGTTCCCTGGGTTTTCTCTTTGCTTCATAGATCCCTGACTTGGAGCTGAAGAAGCCAGCTACCTGGAAATGCTGAATTCAGACCAAAAAAAAAAAATAATCTCCAAAAAAGAACTCCTCTCTCTAGCCAAGGAACCAGGACAGAGGCAGCCTAGCAAGACAGAAAGCTTTCAGACAACTGTCTACTCCAGCCAAACACCACAGAAAATACTGCAGGCCCACCCCCATTCATGCCAGCAAATGTCGAGTGGACAGCCTAGACCTCTAACATCTGCCAAGCTGTAAAGGAAGCACACTCTGTCCAGGGTGATGTCAGAAAAGGCCACGTAGGAAGCATCCCTGGTGGGAGGCAGTGAGACCTTCCCACCATATCATGTCCCCATGTCAGTGGAGACCATATGGGAAGTCTGGACTTCCACCCCTGTGAAGGGTAAAACAACTTCATCTTGGATGCTAATTAACCCCAGTTGCGGGAATTCTTCTGAGATTTCTTTCACATACTTACTAAATCCTGCCCTTAGGTCAAACAACCTTAATGTTATCCTGTACTATCATATTTGGGATTAAGATAAGATGTGTGTGTGTGTGTGTGTGTGTGTGTGTGTGTGTGTGTATATGTGTATACATATATGTAATTAGTGGAGGCCTACTGGGTATCAGAGGAGGCCTACTGGGGAACCCTAACTCTACACCTCCACCCAACAGTAATAAGGAGACCCTCCCCAACTCCAGGTGTTAATGAGGGCCAAGTGGAAAACCTAGACTTCTGCCCTCACCTGGCAGTAATGGTGTGCCCCCAACTAGGTGCCCTTCCCCGTCAAAGTGTGTCAAAAAGGGCCAGCTAAAACAGAAGATCCAGAGTTTCATAATATCCAAAAGGTTCAGGTTTCAGTTGAAAGTCACTAGACATACCAAGAACCAGGAAAATCTCTACTTGAGTGGAAATAGATAATCAGTAGATACCAACACCAAGATGACAGAGATGTTAGAAATATCTGGCAAAGATTTTTTAAAGCAGCTATCCTACCAACACTTCAATGAGCAATTACAAACATGCTTGAAACAAACAAACAATTCTCATCAAAGAAACGGAAGCTATAGAGAGCCAAGTGGGAATTTTAGAACTAAAATATACAATACCAGGAAAAAAAAAAAAAACCCTCAATGATGGGTTCAATAGCAGAATGGAGGGTTCCAAAGGAAAGAATCAGTGAACTGGAAGACAGAACAATAAATTACACAACGTGAACAACACAGAGAAAATAGGCTGAAAAAATAAATGATCAGCGCCTCAGAGACCTGTGGGACTACAAAAAAAGATCCAACATTGTGTCACTAGAATCTCAGAAGTAGGGTAGGGCTGAAAAAACACCTAAAGAAATAATGGCTGAAAATAACCCAAATCTGGCAAAAGACTAAAACCTACAGGTTAAAAAGGCTGAGCAAATTCTTAACAGGATAAACCTAAAGAAATTCATAGCAAGACATATCATTGTCACACTTTTAAAAACTCAAGACATTATCCTGAAATTTATTTTGGTTGTTCTTGTTGTTGTTTTGGTTTGTGTGTTTATTTACACAACATAGTAGTCATCTTTCACTCAGATGTGGCGTATGTTCTATCCACCCAAAACTCACACACCCAAACCCAATGCCAGGAGAGAAATGGACTCCATCTATTCTAACAGGAGATACCGCAAAGTCATATAACAAAGTATGTAGCTGTGAAATCCAAACACAGGGAGAGAGTGAAGAATTGAAAACAATAATCCAATCTACCATGATCTGCACACTGGATCATAAATATTCATTTCCTTCCTGGCTGCTGGGAAAAATATACTCATCCTCTTCCCCAAGATATCCCAAAAGACTTGTCCAATGATTGCATTGACATTATGTCCAGGATCTCATGATCAATGCCAGATCTTGATTCAACTTCTCTTGGAGACCTGTGAATTTTAAAGACAAATTATCTGTCCCACCCACTCCCAACATACAGTAGTGGAAGAGAAACAGGAACAGAGATAGGGAAACACACTGAATACTCCTGTTTAAATGGGAAAGAGTGCCTAATCTGGGTGTGGGGCAACCAAGAAGTCTTCCAGAAGCAGGGGAGTAAGCCACTGTAAAATTATAAGGAATAAAACCATATCTGCATTTTAGGCTAATCTGGAGGAAAATCTTTAAATTTTTAAATGGTGGCATTGTTTACAAAGTGTCATTAAGACAATGTTCACATGCTTGGAGTGTGAACATATCTAAAGAATATAACAACAACAACCACCACCACCTAACCAAAGAGGATCCCAAATTAAGGTGAGAGAAAATTGATGGTTGTAATAGAAACAAGTGGCTCAAGGATGGAAGGCATGCTGCGCTGCCCTTCCTGCACCCTCACCTATCACCCACGTACTCTGGCCATAGAAAGTATGCTTTAGTCATTGCTATTTCCCCTCATCTTTGACACATCAAATTGAGCAGAGCCCAGTGTTGAAAGGTGTTGTTCTAAAAGCATACCAACTCAGAATATTGACCCGTGCACTGCGACTTAGAGTGTTAGGGGATATGGCACCAGACAAACCTGCCACATGATAATCTGAAATGTATCCACTTGTTTGGCACCAAAGGCTACTTACGGAAAGACAGGTTGGTCCTGATTGTTTTTTCAAGTGCTTCTACCTACAGAAAAGTAAGAGCATTATGGAGTACTGAATGAAAGTGACTGCACATAACCAAAATGTTCAACAGCAGAAAAATGAGTTAAACAACGGTATATTCATAGGATAAAATATTATGCAATTAAAGACGGTTTCAAAGAAATTTTAATGACTCAATATAAATAGACATATAAATTTATGTACATACACACAGCCTGTTGTTCCGTCCATCCACTCACATATTAGAAAAATACTGTATGGGCTGGGCTCATGCCTGTAATCCCAATAGTTTGGGAGGCTGAGGTAAGAGGATTGCTTGAGCTAGAAGTTCAAGACCAGCCTGGGCAACAAAGACTCTGTCTCTTCAAAAAAATTTTAAAAATTAGCCAGGTGGGTGGTGCATACCTGTAGTTCCAGCTACTCAGGAGGCTGAAGTGGGAGGATCACTTGAATCCAGAAGATTGAGGCTGCAGTGGGCCATGATTGCATCATTGCACTCTAGCCTGGATGACAGTGAGACCCTTTCAAGAAAGAAAAGAAGAGAAGAGAAAAGAAAAGAAAAGCTATTACTGAATGTACCAAAGTGTAACCAAAATGCAGCTGCTTGCAGAGTCCAATTAACAAGAGTGAGGCCTGGTATAAAGAAAGTGACTTTTTATTCCAAAGCTAACTTAGGAGAACATATGCAGACTTCCTGCCTTAGGGGCACCACCTCACTTTTTGAGCAGAAAGTGAGTGCTTTTATTTATTTTTTATTTATTTATTTTGAGATGGAGTCTTGCTCTGTCACCAGGCTGGAGTGCAGTGGTGCGATCTTGGCTCACTGCAAGCTCCGCCTCCTGGGTTCACACCATTCTCCTGCCTCAGCCTCCCGAGTAGCTGGGACTACAGGCGCCCACCACCACGCCCAGCTCATTTTTTTTTTATTTTTAGTAGAGACGGGGTTTCACCATGTTAGCCAGGATGGTCTCGAACTCCTGACCTCGCGATCCTCCCACCTCAGCCTCCCAAAGTGCTGGGATTACAGGCATGAGCCACCACGCCCGGCCGAAAGTTAGTGCTTTTAAAAGGGGGCTTTGCATGAATGGCATACAGGAGAGGAAGTGAGCAGCTAGGGGTCCACATAACTTGCTTCGGGGCTTTATCTAGTGGGTAGCTGAGCTGGTGACTACTGGTGCCTTTGTGGGCAGAACTATATTGTAAAGGTGGCCAAAACGCTCCAGGTGGGACAGAGTTTTGTAGTGGACGTACTTTGGGATGTAAATTAACTGTTTTCTCTTAAGACAACCTCCTGGTTGGAGAGAGCTTCCCAGCAGAGCTTCTTAGGACAAAGTTAGATGCGCTTGCCCTGTAGGGAGTGTCTGGTGAAGGGAAGGTAAAAGGTTATAATTGCATTTCCAAAGAGCTAAGTAGGAATCGGGGAAAAGGGGGAAAGAGAAAAATTTTTTTTTAATTATTCATTTTATCTCTTAGAAAAATGGATGTACTCTGTTACAATTCCTCACTGCCAAGTTCCATTCCATTTCTATGGGATTTGGGCACTGTATTCATTCTAGCTAAGTACTTACTGCTAATGGAGACATAGTCACTGAGCATCAGAAGGGAACTAATCTACTTGGGGCTGGAAATATTCATGAGTACCTGGACTTACAGATAATATTTGTTGGAGCATTATGATGCAAGGTCTAGAAAGTTTCTGGGAAAGCCTGCCTTGCATTCCTTTTCAGAGGGTGCAACGACAGTAAAATCCACAACGTGGAAGTCTGCTTATTCTTGCACAAGGACCAAAGTCATAAGTAGCTTCTGCCACCAAAATAGTCCTGACCTGAATCAGGATGATCTAGCAACAATGTCGGATCAGACATAACTTTGATTTGTTGGTTCATGTCTTGGAGGGTGATATGGTTTGGCTCTATGTCCCAACCCAAATCTCACGTTGAATTGTAATCCTCAATGTTGGAGGAGGGGCCTGGTGGGAGGTGACTGGATCATGAAGGTGGACTTCCCCCCTTGCTGTTCTCGACAGTGAGTTTTCATGAGATCTGATTCTTTGAAAGTGTGTAGAACTTCTCCCTTCTGTCTGTCTCTTTCTCCTGCTGCCCATGTGAAGATGTGCCTACTTTGCCCTCGCCTTCTACTATGACTGTAAGTTTCCTGAGGCTTCCCCAAAAGCAGAAGCCTGTACAGCCCACAGAACCATGAGATGATTAAACCCCTTTTCTTTATAAATTACCCAGTCTCAGGTATGTCTTTATAGCAGTGTGAGAACTAATATACAGGGTTATCAAGACATCTCCTGAATTATCTGGGATATATATGCAGAATTTAGTCTTAATAATTAAGCCAATTGTAATGGATATGATGACAGGTTGGCTAAATATATATTTAACAAGTTACAGGAAGAGCTATGAATATTCATGACAGTGGTCATAAGCCCTGTCTAGTTCTTGAGAATAGGTCAGTTTAATTAGCTGTGTCCCATCCAGGAGGTGGCATTGCAGATGGGCTAGACCTCTGTATGTGATGAAGGCAGATTTTCAATAAGAGCCATTTCTACAAAAACAGAAGAAAAACAAAGGTTAACGTTGGGCACACTTTATCCAGATGTTGGATTCAAAGCACCTTTAGTTACAGAGGAGGAAGGTGATAGCAGTCTGACATGTTTTTCTTGCCTATATTACAAGGAATAATATAGTAGTAATTTCATTGAGCCCAGATTTTAAAAATGGAAGAAAAATTTGAAAGCATTAGCTTTGGGATCTGTAGCCTGGAAAGAATTCATGATCTAGTCCAAACTGCAGAAAGAAAAAAGATTTGCCAGATTCTGAAAAACAAATGAATTAGCAATGTTTTAAACAAGTCTTAAAAAGATTATTTCAGTCTTCCATCAGTTCAGTCTATGTAATTAACTTATGTTCTGCTCAATATTCATGAACACATTAGCTCTCTATGGGAATCTTGAAAGTTTTCCCCTCTATTATAATGTCACAATCTCCAAAGTTATCAGAAACCTGCATTCAAGATCATCTGTCAGAGTGCTAGAGCTGATTATAACACTGCCTTTGAAAAACATTAAAGTAAAATAACAGTTATGGAAGACAAGTCTCAAAACAGTCACAGTTAAAGTCTGGTCATCTCTGTGGGACACAATAATTTAACAGCATAGCTCTCTCTTGCTTGCTCCTGCTTTTGCCTTGTGAAGTGCCTTCTTCCACTTCACCTTCTGCCATGATTGTAAGCTTCCTCCTCAGAAGCTGATGCTGGAGCTATACTTCCTGTAAAGCCTACAGAATTATAAGCCAATTAAATCTTTTTTCTTTATAAATTACCCAGCTTCAGGTATCATCTTTACAGCAGTGTAAGGGTGGCCTAATACAGAAAATTGGTACTGAGGAGTGGGGCATTGTTATAAAGATACCAAAAATGGGGAAGCAGCTTTGGAACTGGGTAAAGGGCAGAGGCTGGAAGAGTTTGGAGTGCTCAGAAGACAGAAAGATGAGGGAAAGTTTGGAACTTCTTAGAGAATGGTTAAAGGGCTGTGACCAAAATGCTGATAGTGATATGGACAGTGAAATCCAGGCTGCTGAGGTCTCAGCTGAAAATGAGGAACTTATTGGGAACTGGAGCAAAGGTCATACATGTTGTAGCCTTAGCAAAGAGACTGGCTGCATTCTGTTCATGGCCTAGGGATCTGTGGAAGTTTAAACTAAAGAGTGAAGACCTAGGGTATCTGGCAGAGAAATTTCTAAGCAGCAAAGCTTTTAAGATAGGGCCTGGCTGCTTCTAACAGCCTATGTTCAGATACAGGAGCAAAGGTATGATTTAAAGTTGGAATTTATATTTAAAAGGAAAGCAGAGTATAAAAGTTTGGAAAATTTGTATCCTGGCCATTTGGCAGAGAAAGAAAAAGGTTTCTGGGGGAGAATAATTCAAGCAGGCCATGAAGCAACCACTTGCTAGAGAAATTTGCATAACTAAAAGGGAGCCAAGTGCTGCTAGCCAAGCAAAGGGTAAAAGGCCTTGAAGGCATGTCAGACACCTTTTTGGCAGCCCCTCCCATCACAGGCCTGGAAGCCTAGGAGGGAAGAATGGCTTCTTGTGGGTCAGGCCCAGAGCCCCATTACCCTGTGCAGCATTGGGACACTACTCCTTGCATCCTGGAAGCTCCAGCTCCAGCCTTGGCTTAAAGGGCTTCAGATACTGTTCATGCCACTGCTTCAGAGAGCACAAGCCACTGTAAGCCTTGGTGGCTTCCATGTGTATTAAGCCTGCAGGTGCACAGTGCAAGAGGGAATGAGGCCTGGCACCCTCCACCTAGATTTCAGAGAATCCAAGAGAAAGCTTGGGTGCCCAGGCAGAAGCCTGCTGCAGGGAGCCCCCACAGAGAACCTCTACTAGGATGGTGCAGAGGGCAAATGTGGGGTTGGAGGCCCCATACAGAGTCCTCACTGGGGCACTGCCTAGTGGATCTGTGGGAAAGGGGGCCGCCATCCTCCAGGTCCCAAAATAGTAGATCCATTGGTAGCTTGCACTCTGCATTTGGAAAAGCTGCAAGCACTCAACAACTTGTGAGAGAAGCAACAGGGCTGAACCCCGCAAAGCCACAAGGGTGGAGTTGCCCAAGGCCTTGGGTGCCCACCCCTTGCACCAGTGTGCCCTGGATATAGGACATGGAGTCAAAGGAGATTATTTTGGCACCTTAAGACTCAATGACTTCCCTGCTGGGTTTTTAACCTGCATGGGGCCTGGAGCCCCTTTCTATTGGCTGATTTCTGCCTTTGGGAATGGGAATGTTTACCCAATGCCTCTACCCCACCTTGTATCTTGGAACTAAATAACTTGTTTTGATTTTACAGGCCCATAGTGGGAAGGAGATGAGTCTCAAATGAGACTCTGGATTGGACTTGGGACTTCTGAGTTACTGCTAGAATGAATTAAGACTTTGAGGGGACTATTGAGAAGGAACAATTTTATTTTGAAATGTGAAAAGGACATGAGATTTGGGAGGGACCAGGGGTGGAATGATATAGTTTGGATATTTGTCCCCATCCAAATCCCATGTTGAATTGTAATCTCCAGTGTTGGAGGTGGGACATGGTGGGAGGTGACTGGGTCAAGGGGGCAGATTTCTCATGAATGGTTTAACACCATCCCCTTGGTGCTGTTGTCATGATAGTGAGATCTGGTCGATTAAAAGTGTCTGACACCTCCCCCTCCACTCTCTGTCACTTCCTTTTGTTTTTGCCATATGAAGTGCCTGCTCCCACTTCACTTTCTGCCATGATTGTAAGCTTCTTGAGGCCTCTCCAGAAGCTCATGCCAGAGCTATGCTTCCTGTACAGCCTGCAGAACCATCAGCCAATTAAACCTCTTTTCTTTATGTGTTAAAAAGTAAATAATTTAACATAATCATATTACTGAAAACATATACTGAGACATACCAGAATTATAGGAATCTTATACAATTTTGGAACACATGTTAGTAACATATTTACATGATTACAACACAAAGAAAGTCAAACACCATTTATATTTGACAACTTTTCCTGTATGGTTTTAATACACCAAATAAGACAAATATGTCTCTTTTGGACTATAGGGTACCTAATATCTAAAAGAGTTAACCAGATTTTTTAAAAGGCTTAATTTAGAATTTGACTTTAAGATGCTTGTCAAATATCAGAGTTTTAAACATTTAATATTTTAAAATAGAATCCCAGGTCCACTGTAAGTCATTTATTTAGCCAAAATGATAATTCGAAAAATTTTTAAAGGCAAAAATCTTTACTTGTTGATAAAAGAGAGATTCAGCCTTCTAAACAAGACCCAATAAAGACAGCATGAGACCAACTGAATCTCTTTTCTTTCCCGTCACTTATCTAAAAAGCAAAGAAAAATCTTTCATTATCTTTCAATATTACACAGAAATCTTGTTGAAAAAAGAAAGCAAAATTTCACCTTTGCATTAGTGTCCTACTAATGTTAAACCCAATTCTTGATAAAACCTCATTAATAAATCTATCCAATCTTAATTTGACCATAAGGTAAAATTTCCATAAATGTTTTATAACCCTTTTGCAATTTTCTTTTAAAGAACAGATCAATGCTCTAAGAAAATCTGTTATCCAGACAGATGGGCCAAGATTCTGGCACTGCATCATTGTGCTTTTAATGTTTAATTTACAGAAAAACTAAATAATCCCCTTCAAATTTTAGCCAACTGGCTCATACTCACAGAACTTCTTTTACAAGATCAATCTTTCACAAATATTTTTAAACTTGTTTAAACCTTCAGTTTTGTCCTATTACTCTTCTAGGTTAAGACAATCCTTAAAAACTTCTGAACTAAACAAAATTACATTCCCTTTAATGAAAACCATGCTTCCATGCCTTCTTATAACATTTTATCAAAAACACATTCGACTTTCCTTATACACCTTGCATGTAAAACTGTCTCACCAGTAGCCTCAGTTACATGTTACAATGTCAACTCTCAGCAACTTTTATTTTTGGTGAAAAACCTGGTAAGTAAGCAAATTTAACCATGCACCAGATTGTAAAGTCCAGGACAAGGACAGAGCTGCAGGCAGTGTGTGACTCTTCCCAGACTAGGCTGAGGGGCTAACTCTGTATGTCCCTAGGCTTTATTTAGAATCTCTTGGCCATAAAAGAGACAAGTCAAATAATTAAGTCATGTAAGCAATTTATGACCCTAAAGCATCTAGCAAACAGTATCTGACCTGCCTAATTTAGACCAAATGTCTAAATTTTGAAGACTTTTTTACTTTATTGATAATCTTCAAACTGTATTTACCAAAGATTAAAGTCACATGAGCATTAAATTTGCTATTTTTCTGACAACATATTTGAGTTAAGCTCTTATTATTTTTAAGCCCATTAATTAAAACAGAATGGGAGAAAATTTTTGCAATCTACTCATCTGACGAAGGGCTAATATCCAGAATCTACAATGAACTCAAACAAATTTACAAGAAAAAAACAACCCCATCAAAAAGTGGGCAAAGGATATAAACAGACACTTCTCAAAAGAAGGCATTTATGCAGCCAACAGACACATGAAAAAATGCTCATCATCACTGGCCATCAGAGAAATGCAAATCAAAACCACAATGAGATACCATCTCACACCAGTTAGAATGGCGAGCATTAAAAAGTCAGGAAACAACAGGTGCTGGAGAAGATGTGGAGAAATAGGAAAACTTTTACACTGTTGGTGGGACTGTAAACTAGTTCAACCATTGTGGAAGACAGTGTGGCGATTCCTCAAGGATCTAGAACTAGAAATACCATTTGACCCAGCCATCCCATTACTGGTTATATACCTAAAGGATTATAAATCATGCTGCTATAAAGACACATGCACACGTATGTTCACTGCAGCACTATTCACAATAGCAAAGACTTGGAACCAACACAAATGTCCATCAATGATAGACTGGATTAAGAAAATGTGGCATATATACACCACGGAATACTATGTAGCCATAAAAAAGGATGAGTTCATGTCCTTTGTAGGGCATGGATGAAGCTGGAAACCATCATTCTCAGCAAACTATCACAAGGACAAAAAACCAAACACCGCATGTTCTTACTCATAGGTGGGAATTGAATAATGAGAACATTTGGTCACAGGAAGGGGAACATCACACACCGGGGCCAGTTATGGGGGAGGGACAGCATCAGGAGATATACCTAATGTAAATGACAAGTTAATGGGTGCAGCACACCAACATGGCACATGTGTATGTATGTAACAAACCTGCACGTTATGCACATGTACCCTAGAACTTAAAGTATAAAAAAAAAAAACCCTTTCATAAGTTTTGGTAGTGAAACATTGCACATGACACATAATGAATAGACACACATAGACATACAGAAGCAGATCTGGTAGGGTGATAAAAGGTTAGATACAAGACCAGACAAGAGTAAATAAAGAATCAGACAGAATTCTGTTGACTAAGAAGTTTTTAGAGGGAAAGCAGGGGCCTTAAGACATTATCCGTACACATAAAACGCAAACACCAGTCTAAATTAAGTTTATTTCTAACTACGGAACTCTCAAAAGAAAAATATTTTAAAAACCTCGGCAGGGCGTGTTGGCTCACGCCTGTAATCCCAACACTTAGAGAGGCTGAGGTGGGCAGATCACTTGAGGTCAGGAGTTTGAGACCAGCCTGGCCAACATGGCAAATCTCCGTCTCTACAAAAAATACAAAAATTAGCCAGGCATGGTGGTGGACATCTGTAGTCCCAGTCACTCAGGAGGCTGAGGTGGGAGGATCATGTGAGCCCAGGAGGTTGAGGCTGTGGTATGCCATGATTATGCCACTGCACTCCAACCTGGGTGACAGAGTGAGATCCTGTCTCAAAAAAAGAAAAAAAAAAAGAAAAAGAAATCTATTATTACCAGATTTTAGCCAGGACAAACAGCTGATATTTCTGGCTTTTGAAAATATATGTACTTGCCTTTTTTTTTTTTTTTTTAACTTAACTAAAGGTAACCTCCTATGTGAAATCAATAAGCCTTGAGGGTACAACAACCACAGGTGCACAAGGTATTTTCAAAGGGATGGCAAATGGTTTTTACCTGGAACTGCCCCCGAAATATAGCTCAAAGAAAGGAAAATTTTAAGACAGGAAATCAGAAGCTGTTCATGGAGAGAAAAAGTATTAATAAATGGCAAATGGTCACAGAAATAACAAAGCAGAAAGGACTCATTCCCTAAGCCAGAAGTTGAACCCAAGCCTCCACTGTAAAAAAGCAAAGCCTTGGCCAGGCGCAGTGGCTCACGCCTGTAATCCCAGCACTTTGGGAGGCCAAGGTAGGTGGATCACAAGGTCAGGAGATCGAGACCATCCTGGCTAACAGGGTGAAACCTTGTCTCTACTAAAAATACAAAAATTAGCCGGGCGTGGCGGCAGGCGCCTGCAGTCCCAGCTACTTGAGAGGCTGAGGCAGGAGAATGGCGTGAACCCGGAAGGCTGAGCTTGCAATGAGCTGAGATCGCGCCACTGCACTCCAGCGTGGGTGACAGAGTGAGACTGTCTCGAAAAAAAAAAAAAATAGCAAAGCCTCAGCTACTGAGCTACAGCATGGGACAGGTGCCACTGCTCTTCCCATAAGGTCCTAGAGCAGTCACTGTTGAACTTACAAAGAATTTTAACTGCTCACAAGAATTAAGGCTAGACACAGCATTATCATGTGATCTTTTTAGACCCAAGAGTCAAAGCTGTGTAATTTTTTTTTTTTTTTTTTTGAGATGGAGTCTCACTCTGCCGCCTAGGCTGGAGTGCAATGGCACCATCTCGGCTCACTGTAACCTCCGCCTCCCAAGTTCATGCAATCCTCTTGCCTCAGCCTCCCAAATTGCTGGGATTACAAGAGTGTGCCACCAAGCCCGGCTAATTTTTGTATTTTCAGTAGAGACAGGGTTTCACCAGGCTGGTCTTGAACTCCTGACATCAGGTGATCTGCCCACCTGACATCAGGTGATCTGCCCACCTTGGCCTTCCAAAGTGCTGGGATTACAGGTGTGAGCCACCGCACCCAGCCCAAAGCCTTGTAACTCAGCAGCACAAGGAGTTTAAAAGCAATATAGAAAGTTATGTGGAAGCAATAGCCTTTTCAAGTCCATAATTTGAATTAACTTCTAGATAACTTTAGAATTAGACAAAATTATTCTTTTTCTCAATAAGAACACATCTTCTTTGGCACATTTTATATAAACCTAGGAAGCAAGAAATTCTGAACTGCCTATCAGATATTAGCATTTTATGTATGAGAACCATTCTACAATTTCTGGAACATGCTTCCCATATAATAACCCCTACTCTTCATGAAAATGACCCACACATCAAACAAGAACCAAAATGATTTTAAGATTTTAAATCATACAAAGTTTACTTACAAGCATTTATCTCATTTATATGTACCCAATTTTCCCATTTTTGGCAGTTTATTTAGATTACTTCTGAAAATGGAAATATTACAGAACTTTATTTCCCTACTAACCATTATTAAAGCCTGTGCTTATTAAGTGTTTAAGAACACATATGCGCATTTTGTTGATAGCTCAGAAGATTTAGCTGTTTTCATTGAACTAATAAGTCTCATTCATATATATATATATATACTCACCACTTTATGAAAGATGGCTGGATCCACACTATTCTTTGGTGAAACTGGAACCTGTTTACATGGCTAAACTTTCTTAGCTCCAATATATAATCCAACAAAAGCTATGAATTAAAATTTGGGTAAAGCAGTCTCTATGGTGGTATGGTTTTTGTTTTTTAAATCACAGAATGGGTTAAAAAAAAAAAAAAAACTCTTCTACTCTTTTCTTCTTCAGTTTCAAATGAGTTTCCAACGTCTACATTCTAGTTAGACCACAAATAAGGAATCCTATCTTAGCACCAGCAACTTAGTAACAGCAGATGTAAAGCAGGCAGAAAAGAAGAGAAAGGAAGACGTAGCCTGGTAGGCCTCTGCCTAGGAGCCAGGTTTTACAAGTAGGGTGTGAGAAAGAAAGAAGGAGAACAAAAAAAAGGTAAAGCGGGAGCCTTCCAGCCACTACACATGGTACAGTCGCCACCTCCACCATTCTAGTTTATCTTCCCTCAGGCAGAGCCTCAGTAGCCCGGGTGGGCAGCCCACATGGGCCACCAAAATTGGAACCAAAATACAGGTTCAGTCGCTTGCTGTTAAGAAAGTGACTTTTTATTCCAAAGTTAGCTTAGGGAAAAAAATATAGGCTTCCTCCCTTAAGGGTACCACTTCACTTTTGAAGCAGAAAGCAGGCACTTTTGAAAGGGAGCTTGGCATGAATGGCACGCAGGGAAGTGGGCAGCTCGGGGGTCACATAACTTGCTTTGGTACCTTATCTACTGGGTGGTCAAGCTGGCGACTGCTGGTCACTTCATGGGAAGAACTAGGATGTAAAAGTGGCCGAAACTCTCCATATGGGACAGAGTTTCATAGAAATTTAGTCTAAAATTAGCCTAAATTTCTTTCATAATCAGAAAAAAAAAAAAAAAAAGGCAGTAAATCTTCCCTGTTTTGCTTTTTCAGACATAAGGAAAAGATTCAGTCTGGGCACAGTATTTTAGCCTATACCTTTGTGGCTCTAGTTTGCTGCAGAGGATAAGGAAGCTCCAACTGAGCCATGTCCATTTTCTGGGCATGCAGCAGGTAAAATGCATGAGCACCCTAATAGCCTATGTGTGTTACTTACTCTACAGACATGAGTTTTTATAGCCAATGGATTTTTGAAAGAAAAAAAGTCAACACTTATATGTCGGAAAATCAGAAATAATGTTCCACTCCTTTAATTCAGGAACACCTAATTCAACAATTTTCAATGACAGTCAACACTAAGGTCGTTCTACTAAGGTAGTTCTACGACTAAGGTCGTACATGCACATGACCTGAACAAAGTGGCTATGAATTCTAGCAACTTCAAGTGAATTTTCTGCCAAAAATTCTTGCTAAAGTAATATCTGAACACCTTTCAAAGTGAAATGCTTGTTTTTTGGCAATATATTTACAGCATCAATCTTTTTGTGTGCTGCAGTCATGAGGTCTTGGAGACAGCCTTAGTTTCTGAACCTCAGGGTCTGGATTTATGTGCTCACTGGAACAAGTAACATTGAAAGAATGTCACCATTATTCTTAATCAAGGTGAAGTGAGTTTACTGCACCCCTTTCTGAAACAAGGGCTGCATAGCTGTACTAAAGAAAAATGAGCAACTCCTATATATTAAATGATCGCCACCCCTGCCCCCTAAATAAATATTTAAAATCCAGCTTGTTTGCTTTCTAAGGGGTTGGCAAACTACAGCCTGCAAGCCAAATCTAGCCTGAGACTTGCTTTTATAAAGTTTTGTTGGAACAAAGCTATGCTTTCATGCATTATCTATGGCTGCTTTTGCACTATGAGAGCTGAGAGTTGAAAGGTTGCAACAGAAACTATATAGCCTATAATATGTACTTTCTGGCCTTTATAGAAAAAGTTTGCTACTCTGTTTGCTCCTTCCTCTTTTAGACATGTGTGTCTCTATAAAAGGGTTAAAGAGAGAAAGTTGCATATGCATTTCACTGAGAGTCCACCATTTCTACCCTAGAAAAAGATAAGGATAAGAAGTCATATCTGTTGTCAGAAACCCTTCGGTGGGACAAAATTTTGCCAATTTAAGTAAACCATGATTTTAAAAACGAGGCTGGGGGAGTGGGGTGGGTGTGTGCTAAGAAGACCCTCTTCTCTTACTGGAACAGTAAATGAGTCAGCTGTGGGTTATGGGCAGACCCCTTGTTTATCTATCCCCCAGAACTCCCCACTCTATCACAATGTAAGATACATCAGGAGCTAAGGTCCAGACTGGCTGGAAAACTGAGATTCTACCTTGAGGCAGAGATTAGATAATACCTAGATATTGAGTATTGTATTTCCTAGAATATGAAGGGTGTGTGAAGCCCTCTGAACAGTACCCATCTCTCAGTGTGCAGAAATTTCTCTTTCACCAAGTTAAAAAATAATTCAAGTATGGTCTATTCCAGAGAGAGGAGGCATTCCCAAGTTGTCAGAATCCTAAAGCAGACATCATGGAGTATTTATTTCCATGCTCCTTCTAACTTGGTCATACCAAATTTGAACGTGAAAATTCTTTTCAAATGCTCAGCATTTAGTTATATTGACAAATAATTCCTCACTAAATTCATCCAAATAGAATATGCATTCTTAAACATTTTAAAATAGATTTCAACTGAGGAACAAGTACAATAAACAAATGTTATATAGTAAATAAACTTTATTTATCTGTTTCTCAGAGATGACACTGCCAACAATCACAGATTTGCATACAATACAGTTATGTATTGGCTATTCACAATTTACAGTAGTGTTTTTTCCTCTGAAAAATATAAGTACAAAAGCTAAGTAAACAATGAGGTACTGCCATTTGGGATTTTTTACATGTCTTAGCTTAAAGAACTGGTCTTTAGCAAATATTCAACAGATCAACCTGAATAAAATAGTCAATTAAATGCTCTAATTTATCAGAAAAAATCCACTAAGTTTCACCTCAAAATGTATTGCACAAGTCTTTTTAAAAAATCACCCTAAAAATAAATAGGAAAGGTAAGCCGTTCTTTAAAAAGAATGGATGAAAGGAATATTATGTAAGCCCATAAAGCAGGTTAAGTTATCAAAATATCTTTTAAACAACATAAAACTCTTCCCAAGAGAAAACTGAAGAAAAAACTATCACCATTTCTCCACTGATAAAATCTATTTTAAAGGCAGTCTGCAACTTATCTGTGGGCCAGATTTTTCTTGGTCTTTTGGCTACATGAGGGGCCCTGAATGACAACTTCATTCTCAAAGAGTAGCAAGTGTGGACAGTTTTCCAAGCAGCAGTCACCCAATGTCACTCTTCTTCAAGATGAAGATCGGAGCCATGACTGGAAAAGAAAAAGGAAAAGAGAATAAAGAAAGGGGGCAAAAAAATCCAAAACATTTAGGTTGACTTTTTGGGATATTTGTTTTTTCAAGTTTGAAATAAAATTCTATTCCATGGTCTAGAGACTGCAGTAAAGAGGCAGAAATAAGGCTGGGTGTGGTAGCTCATGACTGTAATCCCAGCACTTTGAGAGGCCAAGATGGGAGAATCACTTGAGGCCAGGAGTTCGAGACCAGCCTGGTCAACACAGCAAGACCCCATTCTGAAAAAAAAAAAAAAAAGTAGAAATTGTCTAAACACTAAATCTTAAAGGTATCTTCTAAAAATTAACATTCTTGCAATGATGCAAACCAACCTATAGTCAGCAATCCTGGAAAATGGCATTTCTAAGTGAAATTTGGAACTGCAACCATTTACCATATATCGAATGCTACCAGTTTATACAGTAACCCAGGAGTAAACACGCTGACTTGGCTGAATCTCACAAATATTGGACTGGAATTAAAGATGACAGGCTGGACCCAGTGGCTCATGCCTATAATCCTAGCACTTTGGAAGGCCAAGGTGGAAAGATCACTTGAGGCCAGGAGTTTGAGACCAGCCTGGCCAACATGGCAAAACCCTGTCTCTACTAAAAATACAAAAAAATTAGCCGGCCGTGGTGGTGCTTGTAACCCCAGCTACTCGGGAGGCTGAGGCAGGAGAAATCACTTGAACTCAGGAGGCGGAGGTTGCAGTAAGCCGAGATCATGCCATCGCTCTCCAGCCTGGGCAACAGAGTGAGAGACTGCCTCAAAAAAACAATAAAAAATAAAGATGAGAAAGAGCTCTTTCCTCTTATCCAGTGTGCTGATTATTCTACAAATTGCAATTCTCCCAGCATGACATAATAGCAAAAGACAAACAGCATTTTGGTGTGGAAATTTATGTCTCATCTGGAATTAAGAAATTTAATTTAAAAATTAAAAACAGCCTGGGCAACATAGTGAGATCCCATTGCTACAAAAAATAGAAAAAATTAGACAGGCATGATGGTGTGTGTCTGTAGTCCCAGCTACTCAGGAGGTTGAGGCAGGAGGATCGCTTGAGCCTGGGAAGTCAAGGCTGCAGTGAGCTGACTGTACCACTGCACTCCAGGCTTGGCGACAGTGACACCTTGTCTCAAAAAATAAATTAATTAGAAATGCTGGCTGGGCATGGTGGCTTATGCCTATAATCCCAGCACTTTTGGGAGACCAGGGTCAGAGGACTGCTTGAGCCCAGGAGTTCAAGACCAGCCTGGGCAACATGGCAAGACCCTGTATCTACAAACTTTTTTTTAAAAAAAATAGCTAGGTGTGGTGGCATGTGTCTGTGGTCCCAGCTACTCAGAAGGCTGAGGCGGGAGGATTCCTTGAGCCCAGGAGGTCAAGGCTGCAGTGAACTGTGTTCACGCCACTGCACTCTAGGCTGGTGTGACCATGCTGGGGGGCAAAAAAAAAAAAAAAAGCTATGACATAGCCAAAGTCTTCCTCATAATGTTTCTCAAATGAAAATGCTGGCCAGGAGCAGTGGCTCACGCCTGTAATCCCAGCACTATGGGAGGCCAAGGCAGGTGGATCACCTGAGGTCAGGAGTTCGAGACCAGCCTGGCCAACATGGTGAAACCCGGTCTCTACTAAAAATACAAAAAATAAGCTGGGTGTGGTGGCGGGCACCTGTAACCCCAGCTACTCAGGAGGCTGAGGCAGGAGAATCACTTGAGCCTGGGAGGTGGAGGTTGCAGTGAGCCGAGATTGCGCCACTGCACTCTAGCCTGGGCAACAAGAGTGAAACTCCGTCTCAAATATAAAAAAAAGAAAAGGAAAAGAAAATGCTAAAACCAGTAGTCACATCAAGATATGAGTTTAAAATCCCATAAAAATAAATTACCAAGTAAGATTAATAGAGGCAAACTTTCCATATATATTAAGTGGATAGGGGGAGTTTTAGTCTTCTGAATTTGTAAATGAACAAATATTTCACTACTCATAATGTACTACTAATAGTATATTATTTATAAAACTAGTTCAATAATCATGTTGGTCCTAGGAACCTAAAGAAGACACCAACAAGATCTTCTGTTATACGTAAATTCCTTGTCAGTTTTTATTTTGAAACCGTAGCTTGATCTGTTGTGGGAAACAAAATTCAAGATCAGTTCAACAATGCTGCATCATTAAAAACAAAAAAGCTAGACGTTTTCTAGTTTAAAAAAGACTAGGAAAATATGACCACTAAATGCAATGTGAAATCTCAAGTGGATCCTGGATTCTAAAAAATTATGGGAGACATTATTTGGAAAACTGTAAAAAACTGAGTATTATGTACTATATATTAGTATTAGCTAATATTAAACTTCCTGAGTGTAATAACTGTACTGTATGTAGAAAAATGTCCTTGTTCTTAAAGATACATGCTAAAGTACTTAGTTTATGTTTACAATTGTCAAATGCTTGCAAGCATGTCGGCAAGTAATTGCCAAATGTTACAAATGGGGAATAATATAAATGGAGAGAGAACAAGAGTGACAGCAAGTCAGAAAATCTGGCCAAACATTACTAGGTGAAGGGTATATGGGTGTTCATTGTACTATTTTTGCAAATCTTATGTCTGAAATGTTTCAAACTAAAAGTTGAGGAGACAATCAATTAATCAATTAATAGAAATGCTGCACAATATACATTTCCAGTGATAATTGATATTCAGCTGCAATAATAACAAGTACAATGCAGTATTATTTTAAAAGGAAAACATTAAGACTTAATGGGTTAGCTATAGAATTTACAGTTTTTCAATGTTCACATTTATTATCAAAGTAACCTAATAAAACCATGCATTGTACTGCCAGCCATTGTAATGTGGATGACAAAAATAAGACAGTTCTGGATAATCGCTAAGGCAAATCAAATAATATATATTAAAATCAAAAGGAGGCTCAAATGAAGGCACAGAAGATTTTTAAAGATAAAAGCTTAGAGGGCCAGGCACAGTGGCTCACGCCTGTAATCCCAGCACTTTGGGAGGCCAAGGTGGGCAGATCATGAGGTCAGGAGATCGAGACTATCCTGAATAACACGGTGAAACCCTGTCTCTACTAAAAATACAAAAAATTAGCTGGGCATGGTGGCGGGTACCTGTAGTCCCAGCTACTCAGGAGGCTGAGGGAGGAGAATGGTGTGAACCCAGGAGGCGGGGCTTGCAGTGAGCCAAAAACACGCCACTGCACTCTAGCCTGGGTGACAGAGCGAGACTCCGTCTCAAAAAAAAAAAAAAAAAAAAGCTTAGAGGCTGAGGTAGGAAGATCGCTTGAGCCCAGGAGTTCGAGACCAGCCTATGCAAGACCATCACTACAAAATAAAATAAAATAAAAAAATAGGTGCCTTAGAGTCCCAGTTATTTGGGAGGCTGAGGTGGGAGGATCCCTTGAGCCCAGGAGCTGACACAGGAATGAACTATGATCACACTACTGCCCTCCAGCCAGGGTGATAAAGGCTTTACTTATTTTTTAAAAAAAAATAAATAAGGCCGGGCGCGGCTCACGCCTGTAATCCCAGCACTTTGGGAGGCCGAGGCGGGCGGATCACGAGGTCAGGAGATCGAGACCATCCTGGCTAAAACGGTGAAACCCCGTCTCTACTAAAAAAAAATACAAAAAATTAGCCGGGCGTAGTGGCGGGCGCCTGTAGTCCCAGCTACTTGGGAGGCTGAGGCAGGAGAATGGCGTGAACCCGGGAGGCGGAGCTTGCAGTGAGCCGAGATCCCGCCACTGCACTCCAGCCTGGGCGACAGAGCGAGACTCCGTCTCAAAAAAAAAAAAAATAATAAATAAATAAATAAATAAATAAATAAATAAATAAATAAAAGCTTAAAAGAACGGAGAAATGTTGTATCTTGCCATTTTAAACCTTGATACTATTATTAGCTGGATATTAACAATCACTGAGAGTATTTATTTTAATTATAGTGAAGCCCTACTAATTGTGATCTGTTTTTGATTTTGTGAAAATTCTAGCAAAGGCTGAGGTAAAGATGTATGGTACATTTTCAGAGGGTGCTAAATCAACCTAATAGCATGAAAAATACATAGAGATGAGGGGAGAGGGTTTAAATGATGAAGACAGTCAACTGCGTTGAAACATTTCATATGCCTGCATTTCACTGTAATATGTTAATCAGGAAGAATCACATTCAATTAAAGTAGGCTGCCTAACGGTCTCCTCAGGACAAATGTGTTGTCTTGTGTTAAACTGTCTGATTTCAGGAAGTAATGAAGCTATATTTTAAAATTGATCTTACTAGTTTTCATTATTTCTGACTGGCCTTGACTCAGGCTTTACAGGATTTTGAATTCTCACGGAATATACCACTTCATTTTTATCTAGAAAATGATTTTTCATTTCTCTCTCACAATCATAATTTCAAAGATCATTCTTGGAAAATTAAAAACAAAAGGGAAAATAAGTTACATAAATACTTTTTTGGATTCTTTAACAAAATTTCAAAGAGCAATTTTCAAACTTTCAATTACTCTTTAAAGAAATGAAATTTCCTAAAATTATATAACTCTTACTGGTGGTAGTAATTTTTAACTATTATCGATCCATATAACAGAATGAACAGAAAATACTTATATTAACCCATAGCATAATCATATATTTATTAAACAAGAGCAAAAGAATTCCAGCAAAATGGTTAGTATCAGGCAACACATTTGATTTTTGCACAAAAGACACAAGACATTGTTCTTCACTCACCACATGTTAACTAAGCACAGACTGATGGTTTACTCAGAAGATACCACTGCGAGGTGAAGTAAACTACAAAGCCAGGAAGAAAAAAAGCTTATTGGGTTAGTTTTAAGACTTAATATAACACATAGATTGTATGTGTATATGAAGTTCATAGGATTACAGACTGTACTTAAATTTTTCTCAAATCTCCCCAAATCAAGGGTGTACAGGCAAGGAATAAGGAATCTGTAATACCTCCCCCCATATCCTAGGTAAATATAATATTATGTAGCTGAGATTTTACTTGCAACTTTCATTTGAAGACTTAAACAACGTAATGAAAGGTGTACTGCATATTTTAAGTACATATTTACCAGCTGAATTACGGGGCAATTATTTGCTTTACAAAAGGATCTCTTTCATAATTCCATGAAAGTACACATTAAAATTTGATTTACATAATCTCAATTTACCCTAAAAAGTTTTCGGGAAAATGATGATGAATTTGAAGAGCCATGTGTCTATATGTTGAATTCTCATTCCTAATGTGTCAATTTGATCACTGAATAACTCTCTTGTAATTCAACAATGTATCAGAAATGGTTTCAGGAATGGTGACCCAAACTGAAATTTCAATTTAAGGAAACTCAATCTCAAATATAGTTTTTACTGTGACAAACCTTAAATAAATTCTATGCCCCATTTTAAGATGGTCATTGTCCAAAATCATTAATTACCTTCACGGTGATTTAAAATGGCAGCATTAAAAACAAAGATTGCTTATAAAATCTGAGTCTATTCTTGGATAGTGTGGCCAACCTCAGAAACATCATTTTATTTATCTTTCATATTTAAAGTTAGTAAAAAGCAGCAAAACCAAAAGACAAGCTAGAAAATAATATGTGCAACACACACAACACAATGAGGTTAATATCCTCTCTGGCAGAAGTATACAAAATCCATGTATATGGATGTTCCCTATGTCTATGCTTGTAAAGTACTGAAAATCTTGAAAACATAAGTAAATGGAATGAGGAGGAAACTGGTGAACTAAACTGTAGGACATCCATATAATCATACAATCAGCCATTGAAAAGAATGAGACCAATTTGTAATAAGGTGGAATAATATAAAAATATATTAAGTGAAAAAAGCAAGCCATTGCATACTCTCATTTTTATAAAATAAAATGAATGATAAAGGAGTAACTATAAATATGTAATTACATGGCTTAGAAAACATGGAGATATTCCCCAAACTGTTCACAGAGATGATACTGGCATAGCAGAAGTAGTCTGGAGGCTGAAGATCATGAGGGACTCCCTTTCTATGTTTCTGGCTTATAATATTTTTTCCAGTGATCACGTATTACCTTATTCTACCAACACCAGAATCAAAACCAATCTCAAGAAAACAAATATGTATTTGACATGTGCAATATTTTCTATAATGTGTCAGTTTTATTTGTATGTGTTTCCTGAACCCACCTTGCATGCATCTTCTGAGCCCATGCAGAGGGAAAGGGTAAACCTCGTGTGGGAATGGAAAACTTTTGTACCTAGCAATGCTGAAAAGTTCTGATTTTATTAATTCGGAGGAAATTTTGAAAATTCCAACAGGGGAAGAAAATGAGACGTTAAGAGAACACAAGACTGGTCCAGGGCAAGGACTGATGAAGAACTATATACACCACCAAGAATCAGTGTGAAAGCAAAGTTGAAGGAGAGTCAACAGAAGAGCAATTGAAAAAGATGACTAGAATGGACAGAGAACACAAACAAGCCAACCTTCTCCATCAAAGAGAAATTTTCTTTAATGGAGTCATCAAGAAAACAGTGATGTCCATTTATGTCATTACATTTTGCTAGCACTCTAAAGAGAAAAATGTCTAAGAAAACTTTTAAAGAGGGGTTTCCATATAACAAAGGAATCTCAATTCTGAGATGCTTGTTACCCAATTACAATAAACTTTCCTAATGAAATTATCTTAAATAATGTAATAATACTCTCATTTTAAAAAAAATCAGGGTGTACTTCTAGGGCAGTTTTATTCAATAAAAACACTAACAATTAGATGAGCCAAGAACTTATGTATTCACTCTTGCCCATATTGTGCTACTCGAATATCCAGTCTACTCTGGCCATCTAAGCTACCTAAACCATCATAAAATGAAGTAGCAAGGTATAGTAAACTAAAAATTGAGAGGAGGGAAAAAAAGCTGTTCTAGGAAAAACAGAGATATGTGCATTTGGTATGTGCATTTTGTTTTAACTTCTGCCTGCTGTTTAGAAGGCAATTCTTTTTCCTACTTGAAACAAATATAAAACAAGATTTTATACTTTGTGGGGAAAGAAACCTTAGAGATAGTATAATCCAACAATCTCATTTTACCAATGAGGGTCAAAAATATGAAAACAGTTTGCGCTAAGTTATACAGCAGTCAAACCATTGAGATCTAGGCTCTCATCCCAGCAATGTCGCATGTCGCTGGCACTCTAAGGTACCGAAGTTGGAGATGGGGGCATTTTGTGGGCTGGTATCACCGTGTGACTTGACCCTCCTACTGAGGTCTTTAATGGTTTTTCTTATACACATCAATGATTTACCTTTCCAGTCTCTTTTTCCAGAAAAGACTAGTTCTACACATTGCTAAAAGGAGGCTAAATAATTATCACCACCATCCCTACATTATCACTCAGCGCAGGCAACTGTACTCTGGTTCCTGGACAATCCTAACAAGATTATGTTAGTCTTGTGAAGAAAAGAGGCTCTGAGAATTGCCTGAGTTTCCACAGCAAGTCAACAAAGGACTAAGATTCCTTCCCTATACACCAAGACCCTCAAATAAACCAGACTGTAATTATGCTCTGTAATTTAACCTTACTTAACAGATAGTGATTTCTCATCTATAAAATCTACTCGAGACTAGGTTAAACTCTGAAAACAGTAATAACTTGTATCCTGTAATGAGGTTTTTTAAATAAAGAGTATAAAACTCACTGAAGAGAGAGAAGTATAGTAAAGATAAGATATATTGAAAAGTACCTCACCAGCAGTCATAGAAAGCTTTTGATTAGTGCTACAAAGTAAATGTATAATCATCATGGTCAAAAAGCAAAAATTTTAGAATGTATTCCTCTGATAATACCCAATAAATAATGTAAAAACTAACATGGGCTGCACGCTGTCAACACAAAGTACAATCCACACTCTTGCAAGCATCCCAAATACTAATTTGAAGAGGGGGCAGCTCGGCAAAATGTTTTAGGTTTGTTTTGGTTTTCTTATACCAGCTTTTCAGTCCTTAGGCAAAAATAACAAAACACTTAGGGTTGCTGATTTTAATAGAAGTGAAACCATAGCTGCACAGTTACAAAAACTTACAGAAAAGATCCATTTGAAGCATACATTTAAAATTAATGTGATTAAATCATTTAAAAATGATTATTTAATAAACTCCTAAAGTTTTGTTTTCTACACATTTCATCATGTGCACTTTCTATTGGAAAAAGAAAAATCATTTTCATACCTGTGTTTTGTTCTAGCGAGCTACAGCTCAATGGACAGGGATATGAAATTAGCTGAAATTTCTTCAAGAGACTTGTTCAAAGACAGTGATTCTTATTGCTCATTTTATGAATGATGGAAATCTCTGACAAAGGTAACTCTTGCTTCAACTTTCTTATACTCGTGAAACAATCATGAGTCACATTATCAAGTATCAAGAATCTCCTTAAATTGACAAAAGTTGACTCAAATTGATTAATTCATGTCATCTCATATCGTATTTTGGGGACTTCCTCATTTCATGTTCATCATAAAATTTCATATTTCCTAAGCACCATTTTTATTATTTGAATCATATTACTTAAGCATATCTTTTTATTCATGTATGAATGGATATTACCCCTTCCCCCTAAAATTAAAAGTTCCACAAGGTCAACAACCAATGTCTTCCATATCTTCTATTTTCCTATATTTCCCATAACAACTAGAAGAGTAGATGACTGTTGACTGAACTTATTCATTAAGCAAGAGATAATGATGGATGAGACTTTGCTTAAAGGAATAGTAGAAAAGTAGAACATTGTTTCTGGGCAGGTCAACCTCTGGGATAAAGGAAGATTCTTTCAGGAAGAATAAATCAGCTACCATTTCATCCCTACCTAGAATGAATACCACTGTATTCAGGAAGAAAACAGTCTGTTTTTCAAAGACTCTTTTTTTTTAAGTTAAACTTAACAAAAACAAACCTTTTTTGTCTGCTTTAAGAGTTTTATCGATTCACTACCTACATTTACCAATTCGATTTGTTTTTCATCAAAGCAAATCAACCAAAGACTACATGTGTATATGGAATGAAGGGGAATGTTTCCTACCACATTTGCTAGAGCAGCGACTTAGGATGAGCCTACACTATATAGCAAATCCTGAGAAAATGCAGTAGAAGTAAAGTTTGCCATATTCCAACATCAAGATGTTTATCAAGATGATAAAGCAGCTATGAAAGAATGAATAAAGATAACTAAATAAAAGCCCTTTTATATCATTTAAAATTATTTTCTTAAACTGGACCATAATGACAAAATTATGTCAACAGGCTCAAACTGCATTAGAAATTTTTATCTTCATAAAGATATTTTACTCAGTAAAGGAAAAATTTCTACTCATGAATACAAAATTTCATGCTTGTAGAATTAGATGTTCATTATAATTTAAAACAACATTCTCTCTGTTGATGAATGGTATACATTATAGTGACATATTTCTTTATCAAAAATATTTATAAGCAGAAATAACTAAAGCACTGCTTTTCAGGTTACTAAATGCCAGGGAGTGGCAGAGGAGGGATTTTTACAAAAAACAATTAAATGCTAACCAAAATAATAGCAAATGCCTCAGAAAATAGGCAATAAGTATATAATACAATACAATATACAATGAAGCATTGGGACAAAGGTCAGGGAATGCTAGGATGAGCTTAGAGGAGACCAAGAAGAAGTGGTCAGAATGTGCCTGAGATATTGGGGTCCCTTCAGGGCTGACCTTGTGCAGAGAGTCAGAGGAACTTCATAAAAGGCTGTAAGTGCAAGAGGTATTATTTAGCCGGGAGGAGGAAAACCCCTCCATCTAGGCCATCCCCAGATTTTTGGTTGAATTCTATGAGTTAGAACCAGAACAAATAGGTGATCATGTAGAGAAGGAGATGTGGGCTCAAGAGAATCAAGAACTTTTGTAAGAAAACAATCTGTTAGGATACGATGAGATACTTTGGGACTTACTGGCTTATGCTCTTTATTGGAGATGCTCAGACACACGCTAACCCACCATTAAGGAAAAGATGTTGGCTTGCTTTAGTGAGGAGAGAGAGAATAAAACCAGTGCTGGTATGATGAAATAGGTAAAGAGATTGGGAGGAGAAGGGTATTCACGGAGGGCTCTACAGGCTACTATCAAGACAAGGAAAAGAAGCAGAAAGAGAGAGCTGAAGGCAGGACCCAAATTTTTCAAGTTTCATACTCTGCCTAGAATGGATCTTATTAAATTACTGGCCCAGGGCAAAAATAACTTTGGCATGGAGAATTTTTTATAATTTACAAAGTGTGTGTTTCTTTCATTTTTCAATTACAGCTGACTTCACACTATGTTTTTAAAAATAATTCATTGTTTGTCTGATTGCCCCCATAAGGTATCAAAAGCTCAAGAATGCTTAAATTCTTTCACCCAGAATTAATGTATTTGGAAATCAACTGGAATGCAATAAAGAACTGTAATATATAAATCATCTAACATGATGATATAATTTGGTTTAAAAAATTATTACTGGATATACCAGAACAAATGTCTTTTCCATCCTTTCCATAAACAGCCCAAGTTCTGGAAATGTCATATAGCATACATACGGGTGTCAAGCTCTTATATGGTATTAAATTAGACTCTTCCTTCCCTTGAGGGCATCCATTCACATTTACCCTTGGTTAAATTTCTTAGTGTAAATTCACTCTCATTTTTCAGGCTGTGATATAATAAAGATTTGAAATCTTAAAATTTATTTTACCAACTCAAAAGTCCTTATAAATGAGACAGAATATAAACAGATGGGAAATCATCTTCTATCTAGAGCCCACTTCCAGAACTTACCATCAGCCGAGCATCTTCTCTTTCCAAAATTTTCTGAGTCTGATCATCAGGGAACTTCAGTACGGTGGTTATAACTTTTGCCATGGTCTACAAGAAAAACAAGAGATGATCACTAACAGACAGTGAAGCATATAAAGTCTCAACCCATTCTGACATGTTCTGCTGGTGGGATTCTTTAGTGCTCTCAATGAAAGCCACGAACAAAGAAGTATGATGTGAAGGTATTAGTCAAGGAAATAACAACACTAGAATTTCAATTTAAAAGGACTCCTTACAATGTCTACACATATTATTTTAACAAGATGCATTTACAATAGCATGAAGCTATATAAAATTCTAATGCTCTTGGCCCCTTTATTTAAATAAAACTTTATTACATATTCATTTTAAAAGGCTTATTTGCAGAAATCTATCTAGTAAGTGATGTATTGCCAAAACATATGTTCTAAATAATCAGATTTTAAATACCCCCCATGTTCAGCTTTAACTAAATCACATCATATATCTCATAAACACGGCTACTGCATGAACATGAACATGCTCAGTAGGTATTTTTCAAGACATGCAGCACATCAACCTAATAGAAATACAAATTACATTTTAAATAAACACAAGATGTTTTATTTGGTAGAAAACATGATGAATCGAAACATTACACATGGCTTGCAAAACAAGATCATAAATTGTGCACATCTAAATAAATATACCGTAAGTCAGACTGTCACCCATAAGCTCCTGGAAAATTCTCCTCAAAGGTTGAAACTCCCTATTTTGTATCAAGATGAGATGTTTTGAGGGAGACAGAGAGGAAAGAAGATACCACTTATGAAATAAGTAGGATAACAACTTCAGTGCTTACATACAAAATCAGGTGGTAGTATTCTAAAGATTCCTACCGTGGATGGGAGGGTAGCCCAGAAAACTGACTCTAACATTCCTTGATCATAGTTACATAGACTTTGCATATGGGGGAAGGGAGAAGAGTGGAAGTGATCTGGGGAAGGTCATTAAGGAAAAGATAATATAGTTAACCAAAAATTTTGGAGACTCACGTCATTAGGAAAAAAAGTATCACAATTATTTCCAGGAAGGAAAGGAACTAACTTTTTTAAAGCTCCTATTATATACACTAAGTCTAGGCAAGACACTTCACATATTTCCAATACTTATTTCTACTAACAGATAAACTAATACTGCTCCCCACTCACAAATCCCACACATGGCAAGACTTTAGTTTCAGACCTCTTCTTCCGTTTATCTTTCATCTTCTGCTATTTTGGTAGTAAAAAAAGTTCAGTCGGGCATGGTGGCTAACAACTGTAATCCCAACACTTTGGGAGACTGAGGTGGGAGGATCGCTTGAGTCCTAAAGTTTAGAGACTAGCCTGGGAAACATAGTGAGACCCCCATCTCTACAAAAAATTTTAAAAATTAGCCAGGATTATGGCTATTTTATTTATGGCCGTCTCTACAAAAAATCTTAAAAATTAGTCAGGTGTTATGGCTCATGTCTGTATTACAAGCTACTTGGGAGAGGTGGGAGAATTGCTTGAATCCAGGAATTTGAGGTTGCAGTGAACTACGATCGCACCGCTATCACTCAGGTGACAGAGTAAGACCCTGTTGTTAAAAATACAACAACAATAACATACATAAGACAACTCAGCTCTTGGAAAATTCCAAAGGCATTTTACAAAAACCCTCATCATTTAAACTGTACTGCCTAGACAGAACAGAATCTGTGTGTTAAACTGAAGTCTAGAAACCAAGTACAGGCAAACCTCATTCTATTGCGCTTCACTTTACTGAGCTTCACAGAAACTGTTTCTTGGTTTTTGGCTTTGTTTTTATTTTGCAGATTGAAGGTGTGTGGGAATTCTTTGTCAAGCAAGTCTATTGGTGCCATTTTTCTAACATGTGATCACTTTATATCTCTGTGTCACATTTTGATAATACTTGCAGTATTTCAAACCTTTTCATTATTATAATATCTGTTACTGTACTCTGTGACCTTTGATGTTATGATGGTCACTGTATTGGGGCACCACAAACCATGCCCATATAAGATAGTGGACTTAATCCAAAAATGTTGCTTGTGTTCTGCTGAGCCCCCATCTCTTTCCTTTTCCTTGGGATTCTCTATTCCCTGAGTCACAGTAATGTTGAAATTAGGCCAATTAATAACCCTACAATGGTCTGTAAGTATGCAAGTAAAAGGAAGACTCGCATGCCTCTCACTCTGAATCAAAAGATAGAAACAATTAAGTTTAGTGAGAAAGGCATTTTGACAGCCAAGAGAGACTGAAAGCTAGGCCTTGTATGCCAGTTAGCCAAGTTGTAAACGTAAAACAAGTTCTTGAAAGGAAATTAAAAGTGCTACTTCAGTGAACACACGAATCAGAATGAAATAGCCTTATTTCATTTAGTGGTCTGGATAGAAGTTTGGAGAAAGTTTTAGTGGTCTGAAGAACAAACCAGTAACAACATTCCCTTAGCCAAACCCTAATCCAGAGCAAGGCCCTAATTCCCTTCAATTCTATGAAGGCTGAGGGAAGTGACAAAGCCGTAGAAGAAAAGTTTAAAGCTAAAAGACCGGTTCATGAGATTTAAGGAGAGAAGACATCTCCATATCATAAAATTGCAAGGTAAAGCAGCGACATGATTTGGCTCTGTCCCCACCTCAAATCTCATCTTGAATTGTAGTTCCCACAATCCCCATGTGTTGTGGGAAGGACCCAATGGGAGGTAACTGAATCATGGGCGCAGTTACCCCCATGCTGCTGTTCTTGTGATAGTGAGTGAATTCTCATGAGATCTGATGGTTTTATAATGGGCTTTTCTCCCTTTTGCTGGGCACTTCTTTCTGCCATCATGTGAAGAAGGATGTGTTTACATCCCCTTCCACCATGATTATAAGTTTCCTGAGGCCTTCCTCATGTCATTAGTTCAGCCCTGCAGAACTGTGAGTCAATTAAACCTCTTGCCTTTATAAATTACCCATTCTCAGGTATGTCTTTATTAGCAGCCGTGAGAAGGGACTAATACAAGCAGTAAGTGCTGATGGAGAAGGTACAGCAAATTACCCAGAAGATCTAGCTAAGAAAACTGATGAAGATGTTTACACTAAACAACAGATTTTCTGTGTAGATGAAACAGCCTTCTATTTGAAGAAAATGCCACCTAGGACTTACATAGCTAGAGAGGAGAAGTTCAAAAGCTTCAAAGCTTTAATACATAGGCTGGCTCTCTTGTTAGAGGCTAGTGCAGCCTGTGACTCTCAGTTGAAGGCAATGCTCATTTACCATCCCAAAGATCCTAGGGCCCTTCAGAGTTATGCTAACTCTACTCTGCCTGTGCTCTAGAAATGAAACAAGGCCTGGATGATAGCACACCTGTTAACAGCATGGTTTTCTGAATATCTGAAGCCCACTGTTGAGACCTACTGCTCAGAAAAAAAGATTCCCTTCAAATATTACTGCTCATTGATAATACACCTGGTCACCCAGAAACTCTGATGGAGATAGCAAGATTAAATTGTTTTATGCCTAACACAACATCCATTTTGCAGTCCATGGATCAAGAAGTAATTCCAACTTTCAAGTTTTCTTATTTAAGGAATATATTTTATAAGGCTATAGTGGCCATAGGTAATGATTCCTCTCATGACAGTGGGCAAAGTGAAGAACTTCTGAAAAGGATTCCCTGTTCGAGATGCCACTAAGAACATTGGTAATTCATGGGAAGAGATCAAAATGTCAACATTAACAGGGGTTTGGAAGAAGATTCCAACTTTCATGGATGATTTGGAGGGATTCAAGACCTCAGTGGAGGAAGTAGCTGTAGATATAGTGCAGCTATCAAGAGAACCAGAATTAGAAGCAGAGCCTGAAGACATGACTGGATTGCTGCAATCTCATGATAAAACTTTAATGGATGAGGAGTTGCTTCGTATGGATGAACAAAGAAGTGGTTTCTTGAGATGGAATCTACTCCTGGTGAAGATGCTGTGAACATTGTTGAAATGACATCAAAGTATTTAGAATATTAAATAAACTTAGTTGATAAAGCCACAGCAGAGAACTGACTGCAATTTTGAGAGAACTGACCGCAATTTTGAAAGAAGTTCTATGGTGGGTAAAATACTATCAAACATGCTCATGAAAGGAAGTGTCAACTGATATGGCAAATGTCATTGCTGTCTTAGGAAAATGCCACAGACACCCCAACCTTCAGCAACCACCACTCTGATTAGTCAAGAGCCATCAACATAGAGGTAATATCCTCCACTAGCAAAAATATTATGACTTGCTGAAGGCTCAGATGAATGTTAGCATTTTTTTTTAGCAATAAAGTATTTTTAAATTAAGGTATATACTTTTTTGAGACAAAATGCCTATTGAACACTTAATAGGCTACAGTATAGTATAAATGTAACTTTATATGCACTGGGAAACCAAAATAATTTGTGTGATTTGCTTTATTGTGATATTCATTTATTGCAGTGGTCTAGAACTGAACCCGTAATACCTCCAAGGTATGCCTGTAAACATGTGGCATGAAATGGAAAGAGAAATATGAAGTAGTAACCATTTCAGTTTTTTCTTTTTAATAATAACCTGAAGCAGTTTCTGGTATACTATCTATAAAGGTTTTTTTATAAGTACCAAAAAATCTAAAATTCAGGGATTCAGAATTATAGGAAGCATTTCTCTAATATCAACACCACATAAAGCTCCAAGTACCAAAAAGTCCATTTATATTTACTAAGAAACAACATATACATGCATGCACAAGCATGTTTGGGGAAAAAATATAGCTGTGGCTAGTTGTCTCTTCGTGTTTCTAGACAACATTAAATGGTAAACCCACCTCTAAATTCATCAGTGAATCTGCAGCTCATTACCCAGTGAAGAGTTAAAGCTCATCCCTGGCTTGCCAGAAAACACTTTAATGGAGAAGCCCAGGCTCTTTGCCACACCTTGGAAAAGATATCAGACTGTCTACTCTACATACAATATCCTCAGGCCCTGGGAAGTAAGGAAAAGTTCAAATGAGCCACCTGATTTACAAGTGATCTCTCCTGCCAGGTATTCCTTAGGGAGAGGCATCTTCAATAAAGCTTAGGATGAGAAACACTTTATGTTGAAAAGGAGAACAGGCTGAATTTCAGGTTCAGCATTAGCATGGAGGATCAAAACCCAAGAAAAAGAAAGTATACGGACAGAAGGAAGGAAGGGAACTTACTTAACTCCATACTACAAGAACGTATGTACTATATATAGTCTTCTTTTAAAAAGTCATCTGCCTCATAAAATAAAGAACACTGTGTACAAAAGCAGACGAAGAAACACAGGTGAGAAGACATATGAATCCTGCTAGACAAGAAACAACTGCAGATGGTAATCAAATCACAAAGAGCACAACATACTCCGACTTATTCTAAAACCGCAACCTGGTCTCCATTTCAAATTCTTTGTTAATGTATAGAAATTGGGCAAACCCACAAAAGACATGTCTAAAAACAGCTCTGATCTTGTAAATCCCTACTTGAAAATTTTCAGGGCTACCCCCTCCCAATACCTACAGGTAAAACTCTGAAAACATTCAAGGCCCTGCATTCTCTGTGCAGCCTTAAGTTAAATTACTTCCCCTTCATCAATCCAGCGTTTTAGTTGGACCAGGCTACTTGTGATTTCAAAAACCCACACTATGTTTCCTGCCTGAAACCTGTCTGGGCTACCCCTCCACCATCTGGGCTTATCTATCAAAATCTAACATCTCCTCTTAAATCCCAGTATACACACCACCTCCTCCATGATGTTCTCCTTGATCTTCTCACAGGTAAATATGAGGACTCTGTTTCTGTCTTACAGCACTTACTGCATTCATCATCACATTATGGTTAATGAGAACAGTTCCCTTCCTTACTGCACAGTGAACGCCTTAAAGTTAGAGATGGTATCAAATGTCATCTTGCTATCTACCATGGTGATAAAGGGCCATGCTCAATAAATGTGCAGCAACTTAAAAGTAAATACCTAGTACCAATTTTCTATTTGCCTATAAAATGTGATGGCAGAATGATAGACTACTCTTCATTTTTAGAGCCAGAAAAGGAGAATCGACGCTGAAGATAAAGAGGAGAGAGAGCACTACTCCTCAACACAAATTCCCAGCCAGCTTATTAGATGGGGCTGCTTGTGCCATGGGACATCCCTTTCAGCTACTTCCCAAGTCACACTCTAAGATTAACTGCAGAGCCCTGAAGCACAAGCTTAGACTTGGATGAACTGGTACTGCCCCATAAGCCTCTTATGCTTATGCTTATGCTAGGTCTTTCTTCAGGGTAGTTAAGCTCCGTAGCTATCTCATCTCACATACATTCATAACCTTCAGAAGAAACAGGTTAAGGCAGTCTGTCTCTCCATTTTACAGATCAAGAAAAAGCTAAATAAATTATTTAGTAACAACCTTGCATCATAGCTTTAGATTCACTAATGAGCCAAGGTAGCTAAAGTTCTGAGAAGCTTTTTGTTTTTTAAAGATATGCCTCTCCTCCCCACCCCCAATACAATAACAAGGTAACTTTAAACTATCTATCCCACCTCAAATATCCCCCCACAGGGACATAATATACCCTGTATTTGAGGTGAGATAGTGTATGTCCCATAGGGACATAATAAGAGAAAGCTGTATTTCGTTAGTTTTGTTTTTAAAAGATAAGGAGAAAATTAGTTTTAGCTACCCTTGAACTTTTTGAAAAATGGCATTGAGGAAAAAAAAAGACACTGAATTGCTGTGATTTAATATCTCCCTTCTGTGATACCTGTTCACAATATTAGATATTACTTTAACTTGATATAATGAAATGTGATTTCTACAGATATTAAGGATTCAAATGACTTCTAACCCACTCCTGGTATTTAGCTGAATCTCCAATCTATACATTTATCATATTCTTTTAAGATATTTCCTTTTATAATATTATTTTAAGATATTTGCTTTTTAGGTTTTAAATATATTTGCCAAATCAGTGCTTGAACCTGCTTAGTATCCTATGACTCAGCAACTCCCACACACCCATACATTAAAACACTGATTGCTTTCGAGCATAGAAAATTCATTATCCCATTCTCAGCCACGGCACACAGACAATTAAAATTCCATGAAGGTAAAAAATGTCAAAAAAACAGAAACTGCTTTAAATGAAAAATTTTGTTTGAAGAAAGGCTCATGAATTTCCCTAGAAGCATTTAACTCAATTCAATATATATTTACCAAATGTCCAATAAGGCTCTTTTTAAAACACTGCAAGGGATACAAATAAGAATAAGACAAGACTCTACATTTAAGAACCTTACAATAAATGCAACATTCTAGAAAACAAATTAGCCAAGCATTATTACTTACATGGGGTAATTTTTAAATGATCGATATTCCACAAGTGCAGAAGGATTTTCTTACAGTAACTATAAAGCATAATGTTTCTAAATCTCTCTAGGTAGCTAATAATTATGACTATTTCCAATATTATCCATAATATCCTAAAGTCTCCTTGAAAATGAAATCTATTCTTCTAACTTAAAGATATGAAGAAGAAAAAAAGCCACATGGTTCACAAATTATTCTTATGTTAATGAAATTTTAATGTTTAGCGTTCAGTGTTACCCAATAGTATTTTCAAAATTAATGTTTTATAAATGTAATAAATATAAGCAAGATCCACCAATTCACTTTGTAAACTAAGAGCAATAAAATAATTATCTATTACCTACTATTAGCATGTCTGATTTGCTAATAGTAAACATATGGCATTCACATGTGTATTAAAAGTGGAACATATTTCTTTTAAAATTAAGCCACACACCAAATCACGAGACATGATTTATACCTTAGTCTCACGACCCATCATATACTCAAAAAGCACTTTTCGCAAATACTCAAATTCGGTAGGTTCTCCAAAGAGTGAGACATCCGTATGGTACAAATTGCCACCTGCCAAATAAAAAAATAGATCAAACTGTAAAGACAAAACCAGGTAAACTACTTATTACTTATAAAAATAGATTTAAAAAACAACCAATGGAACAAAGAGAGGCATGCTTTTATATTGTATCATATTGCATTGTATACACACATGCACACTAAACATTCCAATTACTATTTTATGCTTGGAAGCGAAAACAAGAATTACTATAACAATTTTATTTCTCACATCTTTTTCCTTCCTCCTCTTTCTTCTGGCCTTTTATTGTAATTGTACATTACTTTGGGTTTAGAATTTAAATAACCATTTGTTCTGTGAAAACAAACTGTGTTATGTGTCATTTACATATGTCTGATGAGCAGAATCTTAAAAGTCAGACAATACAAAGCACTGGTGAGGATGTGAAACAATGGAGACTCGTGTACTACTAGGAGAGGAAACTGAAAACAAGCACTACAGATGACAATTTGGCACTGCTTTTAAAACTTTGTAACATAGAAAACAAGCATATTATATGACACAGAAATTCAATTATTAGCAATATAACCTAGAGAAACACTTCATATGTACAGTAGGAGTCGATGTTTACTTACACTGTTTATAAAAGCAAAATCGCAACAACTAAAATGCCCACCAACAAGAGAATATACTGTGACATAAAGATATAATGTATTATTATTAAATTCAGCATTGAAAATGGTCAAATTATAGCTTCACACATTAGAATGAATCTCAAAATAATATTAGATAAAAAAAGTAATTTACATAGGACACATACAGTATGATGTCATTTCTATACAGCCCAAAACATATAAAACATTAAAATCGATTTTTTTTAAAGGAACTAGTTATGTTGTAATATAATAACAGCAGTTACTACTGGGAAACAACAGAGATATAAGGACTACAGAGCAGCACAAGAAGCCTCAAAAGAAATGGCAATGTTCTGGATGGTGGATTCTGAGGTGTTAAATAGCCTCCATACATTACATGTACATTACATGCACTCACATTTGGAATATTTTTTTAAGTGCATACTTTTAGAAGACTCAACTCACTCAAATTATACTTTGCAAGTATAGAGTTCTTAAGAACTAAATAATGAAAACACATTATTTCCCCTGAGTAATATATCCTTCTATATATCATATTTGAGTATTTTATTCCTCTAGATCTATACAAAACGCACCTCTTTTTCACTTTTCAGAAAATAAGCAATTTTATTAAATAGGCAGATTACTTTTTTTTTTTTTTGAGATGGAGTCTCGCTCTGTCGCCCAGGCTGGAGTGCAGTGGCGCGATGGTGGCTCACTGCAACCCCCGCCTCCCAGGTTCAAGTGATTGTCCTGCCTCAGCCTACCGAGCAGCTGAGATTACAGGTGTGCACCACCATGCCTGGCTAATTTTTGTATTTTTAGTAGAGACAGGGTTCCACCATGTTGGTCAGGCTGGTCTTGAACTCCGGACCTCATGATTCGCCTGCCTTGGCCTCCCAAAGTGCTGGGATAGCTATTTTCCAGGAGACAGAATTAATATTATTTTTCAATACTTGTGTCTCTTCTTGACTTCTCCCAAACAGTGGGTACAGAAGACTTTATAGCTCTTATTTCTGGTTTTAAGCAATTATGCGAGGAAATTAGCTATTGTTCAAATAAAGAGGCTTTCCAAATTGTCTACTCGTTGCCTCTAATGGGTCTTCCCAAATAACTTCGTCTAGGTATCACTCAGCATTTTAAAACCCACACTTTATCTGGGCCAAATTCCAAAGTGTATAACTGAAAAATCCACTTGACATTTAACACAATTTTAATTGTGTGTTACAGATAATTTTATAACATAAGCTTGCTTGGAGTTTCCTCAAATAATGCATAATGCCTTTAAAATATGCATTTAGTTAGAAAATAAATATTACATTTACAATCACATCTAAGAATAAACGTAATAAAAGGGGTGCAAGATTACTACTGAGAACAATCAACATTATTATTATTTTGAGACAGGGTCTCACTGTCACCCAGGATAGAATGCAATGGTGCAATCACAGCTCACTGCAGCTTCAACCTCCTGGATTCAAGTGATCCTCCCACCTCAGCCTCCCAAGTAGCTGGGACTACAGGTACATGTCACCATGCCTAGCTAACGTTTTTGTCTAGAGACAGGGTCCCACTACATTGTCCAGGTTAGTCTCAAACTCCTGGGCTCAAGTGATCCTCCCACCTTGGCCTCCCAAAGTGTTCAGACTATTGGCATGAGTCACTGTGCCCAGCCAAGAAACATTACTGACAGACATTAAATACCTACATAAATGTTGAGGTATATTGTGATTATGGGTTGGAGAATCAATACCATATAAATGCCAATTCTCTTTTTCTATAAATTAAATGCAAGCCTAATCAAAATCCTCCCAGGAATGTGTATGTATGCATTAAGTAACTTAACAAGATGACTTTAAAATTTCTATGGACATTCAAAGAGTTAAGAATAAACAATTCTTAAAGAAAAAGTGGGACAGCTTCCCCAGCCAGACATCAAGACTTATTATGAAGTGACAGTTATTAAGATAGTGAAGGTTAGGCATGGTGGCTCACTCCTGAAATCTCAGCACTTTGGGAAGCCAAGGCAGGAGGATCACTTGAGGCCAGGAGTTCAAGACTAGACTGGGCAACATAGAAAGACCTCATCTCTACCAAAAAAAAAAAAAAAAAAAAGACAGTGAGGTATTAGAGCAGGCATAGACAAACGGATCAATGAAACACACTAGAGGTAGCAGAAACAGATCTTCAAAAATACAGACTAACTGGCCAGGCACAGTGGCTCATGCCTATAGACCCAGCACTTTGGGAGGCCAAGGCGGGTGGATCACATGAGGTCAGGAGTTCGAGACCAGCCTGGCCAACATGGCGAAACCCCATCTCTACTAAAAATACAAAAATTAGCCAGGTGTGATGGTGTGCGCCTGTAATCCCAGCTACTTTAGAGGCTGAAACATGACAATCGCTTGAACCCAGGAGGCAGAGGTCCCAGTGAGCCAAGGCTACGCCACTACACTCCAGCCTGAATGACAGAGTGAGACACTGACCAGTTTCAGTTAGTCTGAAATGGGTAAACAGACAGAATTTATCCTGCTTTTCTTGTTTGAGTTGTACCTCAAGGTAACCATATAGATAATGTGGAAAAGTTCCTATTTATAGAAGAATTCCAATTAATATATGCACAAGAAATGGTGGAATTTTACTAACACCATTATGCAATCACTACTGAAGTAACAGATCAGGGAATTTACCAATGGATGCTAAAATCTGGCGAAAAGTGATGGATCACACCTGGAACTGGGTGACAGATCTTAAAATCGTAAATATGTCATGAACGTTTGATGTAAGACAAGAATTACACAACTTCCTTTATGAAGTACTATTGTCCATGCAAAGCTAAATCTAATCAAACCTAACTCTGCTCAAGCCTCTAGTTCTACCTACCAGGGAACAGAGGACTCCAGGGAGACAGAATCCAGAAAATTAAGAATGTGGTCCACTCTATATGACAAGTAAGTTGGTTTTCTCATCAAATAAATGATAAAAGCAAAGGTGGAGAAGGACCTGGAGTTCAAAAGAGACTTAAGTAATTTATCAATCAAATGCAATGTATGGGCACTGTTTGGCTCAGGAGTTCAAAACCAGCCTGGCCAGGCCGCGCGCAGCAGCTAACGTCTGTAATCCCAGCACTTTGGGAGGCCGAGGTGGGCAGATACCTGAGTTCAGGAGTTCAAAACCAGCCTGGCCAGGCTGGGCACGGTGGCTCACGTCTGTAATCCCAGCACTTTGGGAGGCCGAGGCAGGCGGATCACCCGAGGTCAGGAGTTTGAGACCAGCCTGACCAACATGGAGAAACCCCATCTCTACTAGAAATACAAAATTAGCCAGGCGTGGAGGCGCATGCCTATAATCCCAGCTACTCGGGAGGCTGAGGCAGGAGAATTGCTTGAACCCGGGAGGTGGAGGTTGCGGTGAGCTGAGATCGCGCCATTGCGCTCCAGCATGGGCAACAAGAACAAAACTCTGTCTTGAAAACAAACAAACAAACAAACAAAAAACCCAGCCTGGCCAACATGGTGAAACCCCATCTCTCCCAAAAATACAAAAATTAGCTGGGTGTGGAACCCTGTACTCCCAGCTAGTTGGGAAACTGAGGCAGAAGAATCGCTTGAACCCAGGAAGTGGAGGTTGCAGAGAGCTGAGATCATGCCACTGCACTTCAGCCTGGGCAACAGAGCGAGACTTCATCTCAAAAAAGAAAAAAAATTATATATCCAGCACTGATGAGGTGCTAGAGTGGTGAGAAATCTCACCCACTGCTGATGGAAGTGGAAATTACTACAAAAAATATAGCAAACATTTTGGCTTAACCTAATATGGGATATGCACAAAAATATTCATATCCTATGACTTAGCAATTCCATTCTTATATATTCTAGAGAAAAATTTCCACATGTCCTAGGAAAAATGAAAAAGAATGTACAAAATTAATATAATGGAAATGAACAACTACACACAATCTGGATAACTCTCAAACCTTATATTAAGCAAAAGAAACAGGTCATACAAGAATGCTTATGGTATGACTGAATTACATAAATTCACAAAGCAAACAAAATCTAAACAAAATATTGCTTGAAAATATAAATACAGGTGGTAAATGATAAAGAACAAGATAATGATTAAGAAAAGTCAGGGGAAACAGTAAAAATGATGAGAGGGATAAAGATATTGTAAAGGCAGACACACAGGGGCTTCTAAAGAACTAGGAATGTTTTATTTTGTACTGCAAGATAGGTGCTCAATTTACTCTTTATTTATTTTTGAGACAGAGTTGCACTCTGTTGCCCAGGCTGGAGTCCAGTGGTGTGATCTTGGCTCACTGCAACCCCAGCCTCCCAGGTTCAAGCGATTCTCCTGCCTCAGCTTCCCGAGTAGCTGAGATTACAGGTGTACGCCACCATACGCGGCTAATTTTTTGTATTTTTAGTGGAGATGGGGTTTTGCCATGTTGTCCAAGCTGGTCTCAAACTCCCGGCCTCAAGTGATCCACCCACTTTGGCCTCCCAAAGTGCTGGGATTACAGGCATGAGCCACCCCACCCGGCCTCATTTTACTCTTTAAAGAGGCAGCATGACGAAGAGATTAATGTACATACTGCACCACAATGCTTGGGTTTTTAAGAGGATTAAATGAGCAGATAAGCTATATTATCCTTGAGAAATCTGAGAAAAATAATGTTTTAAAAAAGACAAAAACGTGTTTGTAAGTGTTTAGCGCTTAGTATTATGAGTTAGCTATTAAATAAATTGTATATATGTGTTCATAAATATGAGAAAAAATTAATTATGTAGGAAATTCTTACATGGAAAATAACAAAAGGAATTGACACTATTCTCTATGCACTGCTGAGTATTGATTTAGTATAGTTCTCCCATCCAAGTAGTAACCAGGCCTGACCCTGCTTAACTTCTGAGATCAGATGAGATTGGGAGCATTCACGGTGGTATGGCTGTAGGCTGATTCAGTCTAGTTCTATGCTGAGATATTCAGTGACTTAGCTATAGTAAATAATCTTTGCAGCAAGAATCATCTCCGCAGTGAGCATAGGAAATTTCCAGGCTGGTTTTTACTTCTTTTTGAGGAGCTCCAGTTTGGACAGGATCCACAGCAAGTCCTTTAATTTAGTTAAAATTTGTGTAGTATTTTACATTATTTGATAGTAATGAGAGCTTTCAAAAACACAAAAGAAGAGAATGCCAAATGGTTTTTATGTCCTCATGCTTCCCATAGGAAAGCAGAAAGGTTTACAAAACATGTAGCAAAATAAAACTATTCTTAATACAGTGAGGTAATGAAATTGAACTTTAGAGAATGGATAAGTGTTATATAAGATTATTCAATGATCTTGATTATCTCAAGGGAATTACCACATAAAGACTCAAGCTCATCTTTAAAATCCTTTGGGCCAGGTGCAGTAGCTCATGCCTGTAATCCCTGCACTTTGGGAGGCAGGTGGATCATTTTTTTTTTTAGTGCAATGGCATGATCTTGGCTCACTGCAACCTCCACCTCCTGGGTTCAAGAGATTCCCCTGCCTCAGCCTCCCATGTAGCTGGGACTACAGGCGCATGCCACCATGCCCAGATAATGTTTTTTATTTTTAGTAGAGATGGGGTTTCACCATGTTGGCCAGGATGGTCTTGATCTCCTGACCTCATGATCCACCTGCCTCAGCCCCCCAAAGTGCTGGGATTACAGGCGTGAGCCACCACGCCCGCCAGGTTACTATCTTTCTTTCCTTAAAGTCAGCTGTTAAAAGGTAAAATATATTCATTGTAAAAAACAGATTAACCACATGGAATACTATTCAGCCTCCAAACAGAAGAAAACTCTGCCATTGGAACAACATGGATGAACCTGGAGGACATTATATTAAGTGGAATAAGCTAGGTGAAGAAAGGCAAATACCACATAATCTCACTTACATGTGGAATCTAAAAAGCTGAACTCAAGCCGGGTAAACTGGTGGTTATAAGGGACTGTGGGGGGTGGGAGATGCTGTCCAAAGGATACAAAATTTCAGTTCAATAAGGAAGAATAAGTTCAAGAGATCTATTGTAAAATACGGTTGACTACAGTTAATGTATTGTATTATTCCCCACCCAATTTATTGTATTCTTGAAAACTGTGAAAAGAGTAGATTTTAAAGTGTTCTCATCACACACACACAAAAAAGGTAGTATGTCAGGTAATGCACTTAGTTTAACCATTCCACAATGAATCTATAACTCAAAATAGCATGTTGCACACTATACATATATGCATTTGTCAATTAAGAAAAAATAAAATCATTAAAAATTTTAAAATGAGAAAAAAATATAAATTAGCAAAAACAAAAATAAAAATCATGCACAAATCCACCAATAAAAGATAACAGTTAATAACATGACACGAGATCATCCTTACCTTTGTAAGGTGTCCCCACAGTTGTTGCATATACATTCTTTTCATATTTCTTCAAACGGTCTTCTAAATTGTGAATCTAAAAATAACAAATAATCAGACCATATAAGATTCACAGGGAAACTGTATGTAAGAAAAAGAAAGATTGCTGTCACCACAAGGTTTTTTAATGCTGAAGACAGAATATAGGCAAATAAAATTAAGACAAATGGTTTAGAGCAAGAATTGTTTCTGCGAAAAAAAAAACTAAAACTAAAGATTTCTTAGATATGATACCAAAAGAACACAGAATAAAAGAAAAAAATACATAAATTACACTTTGCTAAAATTAGAAACTTTTGTACATCAACAGACACTATCAATGAAGTAAAAAGACAAGCTACAGAATGGGAGAAAATATTTGCAAATCAAATATCTGATAAGGGACTTGTCTCTAGTACATATAAAGAGCATTTACAACTCAACAAGACAATCCAACTAAAAAATGGACAAAGGACTTGAGTAGACATTGCTCTAAAGAAGACATATAAATGGCCAACAAGCCAATGAAAAGATGTTTCACATCACTAGTCACTGGAGAAATGCAAATTAAAACCACAACGAGGTATCACTTCATATTGACTAGGATGGCAATAATCAAAAAACTTGTTGGTGAGGATATGGAGACACTGGAACTCTTATACTTTGTTGATGGTAATGTAAAATAGTACAGCCACTGTAGAAAAGTTTGGCAGTTCCTCAAAAAGTTAAACATAGAATTACTGTATGATCCAGTAATTCCACTCCTGTGTATATACCCAAAAGAACTGGAAACAGGTGTTTAAACAAAAACCTGTATATCAATGTTTTTAGTAGCACTGTTCACTATAGGCAAAAGGAAACAACCCAAATGTCCATTAACTGATGAATGGATAAACAAAATGTAGTATATCCATACGATGGTATATTATTCAGCCATAACAAGAAATTAAATACTGATATATGCTATTAAGATGGATGAATCTTGAAACATCACGCTAAGCTGAAAAAAAGCCCGACACAGGCCGGGCACGGTGGCTCATGCCTGTAATCCCAGCACTTTGGGAGGCTGAGGCAGGCAGATCATGAGGTCAGGAGATCGAAACCATCCTGGCTAACATGGTGAAACCCCGTCTCTACTAAAAATACAAAAAAATTAGCCGGGCGTGGTGGCAGGCACCTGTAGTCCCAGCTACTCAGCAGGCTGAGGCAGGAGAATGGTGTGAATCCGGGAGGCGGAGCTTGCAGTGAGCCTAGATCGTGCCACTACACTCCAGCCTGGATGACAGAGACAGACTCCAACTCAAAAAAAAAAAAAAAAAAGCCTAACATAAAAGGTCAAGTATTGTTATTATTCCATTTATATGAAATACCCAGAATAGGCAAATCCATAGAGACAGGAAGCAGATTAGTGGTTGCTAGGTGTTACGGGGAGGAGGTAATGGGGAGTGACTGCTTAATGGGTATGGAGTTTCCTCTTGGGGTGATGAAATATTCTGGAACTGGGTAACAGTGATGGTTTCACAACACTGTAAATGAACTAAATGTCAATGAACTGTGTACTCTAAAATGATTAAAATGTTAACTTTTAATGTGTATATTCCCACAGTAAAAATAACTAATACAAAAACTGTTATGCTAGGGCAGTTTTCAAGATTTGATCTTAAGAATTTTAAAGCAGTAATCTTGAGAATAGATGGGAAAAGCTAAATCACTAGTGAAACAAAAAAATAAAGTCACATTGGGACCTATCTTTATGAAATTTTAGAAATATTATGAAAAATTTCAAACATATTCCAAGAAAATATAGTACAATTAATGCTCATATACCCATCCATCACTCAGTTCTAACAATTATCAAGATTTTTGTCTGTATGAATTTTAAAAGAACTGGGAAAATCCCAGGAGATTTAGCCTTCAAACTTAGCCTGCTGATTTGAGCCACTATTTCTCCCAGAGTTTAGAAAAAGACTTTACTAAAGATCATATACCACATATCCTGGTATGGGTGTACTGTGCATCCTTGAAGGTGTACACACATGGTCCTATTTAAACTGACTTACATATATTGTCCATCAATAATATATGGGAAAATTAAATTAGGACAATTAAACCACTTGGAAAAAGTACCAAAGATAGATGACTATTTTCTCTCCGATAAAAGCAAAAAATAACTTCTTTGTAGAACATAAATTACTATACATTATACGATCACAAATTGTTATAAAAAATGTTAAGCATTAAAAATAATATGATACAAATGTTCTTGCTTAAATATATATGATCATGAATTTAGAGAGAAAACCTCTAGTACCTTTGGATTTGGAAATAAAATTTCCTGGGTGTAAGACTGAAAAATTTCAAAGCCAACTATTTAAAAAGTAGCTGAGATCCAAGTACATATTAACGAAACTTTAGTTCAAAATAAAAGGTACCAATTAGGCCTGTACCTGTTCTCTGAACTCTTGCTCTTTCAATTTCGAATCACTGATTAAAGTCGTCTTCTGTGCTAGCTGTGTCTGAAAGAACAAAAAGTCAGATCTGAAATGCACATAGGTTTCATTATTGCCCAGACACATTTCTGCACTGCTTGGAAATTTTTGTTAGTCTTTTTAAGTTTTAACTTATAACACTGAATACCCCTAAAATGCATGACTTTCAGACAAATTCAAAGAATAACTAGTCTTGGCTGGGGCCTGTAATCCTAGCACTTTGGAAAGCCGAGGCAGGGGAACTGCCTGAGCTCAGGAGTTTGAGACCAGCCTGGCCAACATGGCAAAACCCCATCTCTACTAAAAATACAAAAATTAAAAAAAAAATTGGCCGGGCGTGGTGGCACATACCTGTAGTCCCAGCTATTTGGGAGACTAAGGCATGAGAATACCTGAACTCAGGAGGCAGAGGTTGCAGTGAGCCAAGATTGCATCACTGCACTCCAGCCTGGGCAACAGCCTGGGCAACAGAGTGAGAATCTGTCTCAAAGAAAAAAAAGAAAAAAAAAAAAAGAAGAACTAGCCTTACCTGTAGCTCCATAATTGTTACCTGAAAAAATGGAAAGAAAAAACATGAGTGTATACAATAATAGCTATAAGAAACAGTAAAACAAAGCAATATAAAGATATAAGGAAAAAGGAAGTCAGGGTTAAGAGTCTCAAGGGAGTGGTCAGACTTGAGGTAAGGCAACTTTAAATATGTGCTTCTAAACAAATGTTCTGTTTTGTTTTACAAAATATTATACTCTAAATACATATTGCAATTTAAGATATACAGAAGCACCAGAAGATGCTCCAGAAGGATACAAATTTATGAAGAATAAAGGAGAAAAAAAAATGTTGAGTAGAAATAAAAATTAAGTTTTCTTTCTCTCTCTTTCTCTCTTTCTTTCTCTTTCTCTTTCTCTCTCTCTCTCTTTCTCTCTTTCTTTTGCTCTTCTTGTTGCCCAGGGTGGAGTGCAATGGCACGATCTCGGCTCACTGCAACCTCCTTCCCGGGTTCAAGCGATTCTCCTGCCTCAGCCTCCCAAGTAGCTGGGACCACAGGCATGCGCCACCATGCCCAGCTAATTTTTTTTTTTTTTTGTATTTTTAGCAGAGATGGGGTTTCTCCATGTTGGTCAGGCTGGTCTCGAACTCCCGACCTCAGGTGATCTGCCCACCTCGGCCTCCCAAAGTGCTGGGATTACAGGCATGAGCTACCTCTCCCGGCCAAATTAAGGCTATTTTCTTACCTTTCTTAGGACACAAGGTAAAGGACTCAGAAGTCCTTCTTATTTCATAATGTTTCAATATTCTATGGCATCCTGACACAAGTTAAAATGTTACTATATGCAATATTAATACTTTGATACTAAGGAAACGCTCATGTTAGACAGTTAAATACATGTATTTTCTCAAAAGAAGTAATATATAATAGCACCTGGAATACTCAAGTCATGACTACATGACTAAATGGCAAAAAAAGAAAAAAAGAAAGTAAAGAAAATTTAAACAGAACTAACTTAGCTATTAAAGAAACAGAAAATGGTCCTCTCAGCTTGCTCAGTGCTTACACCTGACATATGCCTACCAAGTGACACAGAGTAGCAAAGCTCTTTATAGAGGCTCTTTCTCTGCACTGCGGGTAAGTCATCCATGTAACTGGTGGTGTAAAAAATTGTTACCTGGTAACTGACATTCTGTAACGAATCCTCTCCAGGATAAAGTCATAGTGACCACCCACTTTCCCATTACCCCCATGACTGGGCTATGAAAAGACCATCCTGGATGAGTGAGAACATTTTAGGCAGTAGAAACGTACAGTGCCAGCCTTCCCCAACTGTGGGTGTGTGCTGCTGAGGTGCACAGCAGGACAAGAAGCCATGGAGTAAACATGGTCTACCTTTCATAGTGTCAATTTTACTTAAGGATTAGGACTTAAAAAGAAAAAAAAAAAAAAAAGCTTAGATCTTCAGGCCAGTTCTCTTTGAATTCAGTCCAATTTTCCCAAATCATTGCATTGTATTTGCATCTGGTCCACTGGCCAAAACAAAGATAGAAATTGTTTTTCTTAATGATATACAACTAAAAACACCACTTTTATGTGACTACAACTAAGGATGTATTATAGAGTAGGATATAAAATTAACGTGAATTTTTAGCACAAAAATCCAAAAATCTAAAAGTATCACATTTACAATGGACCATTTTTAGCTATGCTCCAGGGTTATAAGATTCACTTTCCTCTGCTATTGTTTCCATGGAAAAGATGGAGAAGCACTGGTAATAACAAAATGCCTAGGCTTTGAGGTCTAGTAGATTTGGCTTAAATCCTCACCACAACACTTATTGTGTGAGCTTGAACATTTTATTTAATCTCTTTGAACATTTAGTTTATCTGTCTATAAAACGGAGGTAAAAATCTCAAAGGGTTTTCATTAGGATTAAATGAGATAAATATGTATGTATGTTAGTAGGCTAGTCAAATCACAGAAATGACAATGTTTTCAAGAAACATGTGCAGCAAACTCAAACTCCTCTCACATTATCATTGCCAGGGTTCTCCTCCTGCTCTAGCTTTTGCTGGTATTTCTTCTGCAGCTCCTCAAGTTGAGTCTGCAGGTCCCTTACTTTTGCAGTCATTTCTTCTTCACGAGCCTTTAGGATTTAAAAAAAAAGAAAAAAAGGAAAAGAAAAAAAAGAAGCATTAGTAAACAAACACATCAAAAAAGCACTCTGGAGAGGCAACATGGTATAGAGAAAACTACCTCTGTAGGGAAATAAACATTTAAGTTTTTGAGACACACACTACTGTTTTTATTTTAATTCATTATTGTGCTCTAAACACTTTCCTTCATGCCTCACTTTAAACTCCAAGCCCTTTCCAATGCTCATTATTCCTAGGATATCATTTTTCTCACCCTCACTCCCTCTCTCCTCATCCCAAAAAGCTCATCAAGCTGTTTATTTCCCCTTAAACTAGGGTTCCCAGGTTTAAGCAACAATTAGATATATAACAGAATTGTGATAGAACTACAATACGTATCCTGTGTTTTAAGACTTCAGCATTTTCTATATTGGAATTTGATTTCTAGAAAATAGTCATTAAAATAAAGTAGTAGGTATTTTTATACAGAGCACTACCCAACCAGATGGCAATTTACTGATCACAGAAGTTACGGGGTTTTCAGTTTTTCTCACCCTCTTTAGTTAGGCTGTGTAAATCAACAGATGGTCCTTTGTCCTAATTTGACAAGGCTGCACATCTCCTATGTATTTACCCCCACCAGTTGTTCTCTGAGGTAAAATGTTCTACTAAAATCTATTTTTGAAAAAAAAAATGAGTTACTGTCCAACGTGCTGGTAATCAATGTAATGACTTCCTTTGTCTCAAACTGCAAAAAACAGACGAGGCTGAATTAGAAAGAGCAATATGTGACTTACTGATCCAATATTCCTACTTATAAAATTTGGCATACAAATTGTCCTCTCTTGTCTTGACTGCCCTGGTAAAAGGCTGTTTTCCATCCTTACATTCCCTCATTTGTCTTGGTCATTGCCATGATTTATTGTACAGGGCAACCCAGACTTCTCTTTATTCTTATAAACCCTGCAATAACCTTTGTGCTAAAATAATATTTGGAATTGGAATATTGATCTGATTTGAGTAATGAGGGCAAGTGTTTGCTGAGCAAGAGACTTAACAGGAAAAATAACCACAAACAGGTATCTGATTTAATAGACATTGACTTACCAAAAACAGAAACACCATTCTCAAAAACAAATGCAAACATAGTTAGGCCCTATGGCACAAAATAAGGCAATGAATCATACGACATTTAGAAAATCTAATTTTAAATACCACTTGTCATGAAATTTTCTTAGACTTAATTGCAAAAACAAATCCCTTTTCTCAACATAAGTACAGCAGAGATCTCTACTAGATATCCTTAGATATCTTAGATATCTTCCCACCGAGGCACACGTGAATTTGGCCTCCACCTCTAAAACACCATCAACCGAAAATTGTTGTAAATGCATCACTGTTCTCTGTCTTGGTTTGTTGACATTTCTTGTATGGCTGTGTCAATGTGGTTTAGCCTTGTTTGAAAGAATAACCTCTATAGCTACTTATTTAGTCAGGCTCAGTTTCTAATATGACAATTAGCTATGTCTGACATTTCCTTTGACATCTGTGGGATACTAATCTAAAGCAAGCCCCCCCAATAATTAGAAAAGAATCTTTGATGTGTCATTTCTAATTTAAGGAACAGTTATGTAATTTCCTTTATAAAAGCCTTCTAGTCTTATTTTAAGATTTAAAAAAAAAGTATATTGTTGCTTTGAAGTAAAAACACTAAGAAAAACTAAGTTGAATCTTTATGTATATACATAACAGGTTATGTTTTGAAGACTAGTTATTATGCCAAAACAAAATCACTAAAATACAGTCAATGTTAAAAAGAAACCAATTTTGTATCTAATATAGCCTTACGAGCTACTCTGCAAGTGAGACTGCTCTGAGATTGGGATTAGGCTATTTGGTAAGCACCCCTACTTGTGAGTCTCCAACTTGCAAGTCACCATGCCCTTCTCCCAAATGAATTCTTCCCTGCCTACCATGTGTTGCCTCCTTCAAATTTATCAAGTGCTCGTATGTGCCAGGCACTGGGCCAGATTCTCACGACTAGAGAAGAACAAAATCTCCAGAGTGATGCTTATAGTCTAAGGGAGAGGACAGATTCATTAATACACTCCTACACGCATGTGTATATGACAAAAATCACATAAGTAACAAATATATATGAGTAACAAGGAACACAGATGCAATTAATTACATTTAAGAGGTTTCAAAAAAAAGAACAAGTGAAAAAACGACATAGAAAAGTATATTCAAAAAGCTACCTTTTGAGTAGGAAAGGGGAAAAAAATAAAAAATAAGAATATATTTCATTTTTGCTTGTTTACATAATGAAACACTGGAGTATAAGAAACTAATGGTTGCCGGTGGAGGGAGAAGAGGGAGAGGACACAGAACACAGGAGGAATGGGTACAATTTTCATTATACATGTATACCGCCTCCAAGAATACTTTTTAATATTATTTTAATCTTTAAGCCATGTGAATACATTTGATTCAAAATTTTTCTAAATAAAAATTAAATTTAAAAATTTTATTTAATTTTTTTTGTTGTTTTTCTTTTGAGACAGGGCCTCACTCTGCCACCCAGGCTGGAATGCAGAGGCACGTTCATAGCTCAGTGCAGCATTGACCTCCCAAGCTCAAGCAATCCTCCTGCCTCAGCCTCCCAAAGTGTTGGGATGACAGGCATAAGCCACTGGGCGTGGCCATGCACCACACCACCCCCGCTGCCCCGATCTTTTTTTAGCCAAAAGAGAGATGGTAACGCTTGCATTAACTTATGAAGCTTGAGAATGTGACTTTAGGCACACAGAAAAGCATGTACAAAGGAAACACACAGTGAAGAACAAGCTATGGTTGAGTTTGGCTGGAACACAGACCAAACTAGACGAGGTATCACTGTGACAATGGGAAACCACTGCACATATTTAGGAGGAGAAGTAATAAATCACACCTTTGTTTCCAGACAGAAAATAACTCTGACAGACAGATGACTATGTTAGGGAAAAAGGACTGCAGTAAGGGGACTAGGTAGGACATTAATACAACAGATCGGGCCAGATGAAAAAATGGTAGCACAGACTGTGGTGGCAGCAGTGGAGTTCAGAGGAGAGGAACAAGCAACATGATTCTCAGGATGTTTCAAACCATATCCTGTGAGCCCGTTATATGTCAGGTAATTGTGCTGGGGAGAGAAGCAGATTTAATGACAAAATAGGTACATTAATATATATGTGTATGGTGTTTAGAGACACAGGAAGTGGGAATTAAAGATGTCAAAAGTTTCCAGCTTCTTCAAATGGAGGAATGGTAAGAATGTCATTCAAGGTAGAAAAATGAAAGTGTCCCTGTGCTCAAACTTGCTATTAACAAATCACATAATTATTTTAATAGGTGACAAAAATGCAGCATTCTACAATGTCATCACTGAGACAAATCATAAATCTGATAATAGCTTTTAAGAAAGGGTAAAAAACACTACTACATAATACATACAAATCCCATATGAAACTCCAATCCCAGAAATTTTTAAATGGGAGAATCATAGAGAATATGGATTTGAATCAAAGCAATATGGTGTTTGCTGAGAATTGCTAATAGCCCTTTTTAGTAGTATTTGCATTTTTTAAAAAATTTCTTTGGGATAAAGTATATCTGGGGATGTCTGGATGGGGACTGGCTATTTAATTACAAAGTCAGCCCTAGTCCTAGCAGTTGAAAGTCTAAGGCTACACTATTCAATACAGCAGGCACTAGCTACCCTAAAACTGTGGCTAGTGAGAACTTGAAATGTTGCTATTCCAAATTGAGATGAAATGTAAAAAACACAGTGAATTTCAAAGAATTTATATGTATGTATATATTTTTAATATTGACTACATGTTGAAATGATAGTATTTTGGTTATATCGCATTGGTAGCATATATTATTAAAATTAAGTTCACCTGTTTCCTTTTTTTTTAAATGTGGCTACTAGAAAACTTTAAATTACAATATGGCTCATATTTGTGGCTTGCATTTTTTTTTTTTTTTTTTTGAGACGGAGTCTCACTCTGTCGCCCAGGCTGGAGTGCAGTGGCACAATCTCGGCTCACTGCAACTTCCACCTTCCAGGTTCAAGCGATTCTCCTGCCTCATCCTCCTCTGAGTAGCTGGGATTACAAGCACATGCCACCACACCTGGCTAATTTTTTTTATTTTTAGTAGAGATGGAGTTTCACCATGTTGGCCAGGCTGGTCTTGAACTCCTGACTTCAGGTGATCCACCCGCCTTGGCCTCCCAAAGTGCTGGAATTACAGGCATGAGCCACCGTGCCTGGCCGGCTTGCATTATATTTCCAGTGGCAGTGCTGGTCCAAGGCACAGGAAGGAACTTGGAAAAGAGTCCATGCCACTCCCTTGCCCACCCTCCACTTCCTGTCCACTTGCTGTACTACTCAAAGCCTGAAGCTTGAAGGACAATTTCATTAACTTCCCTAAAATACAGCAGATTTTTAAGGAGGAACCATGTCAAAGGGTATACGGTAACCTGTCTCTCTGTTCCCTCACCCTTCTACCTAAAAGGTCTGTCATGAGTCTAGAAAAGTCTACCATCTGCTACCCCACACATCCCGAGACAAAGAAATAGTTCACAAAAGGGAATTCTAGAGCTATGGCACAATTTACTCCCTGCAAATGAATCTCCCTGACTTAATTATCCATGATAAATAACTGCCTTCTCTAAGTTCCTTTCTTAGGAAGAAGTCTTTTTTTATAAAATGTGTAAAGCTAATGAAGAATCACTGCTCTACCACTATGTAGTTTTAGGGAAATTACTTAACTACACTGAACTGGCTTTTCCTTCTGAAAAACAAAAACAGAAAAAAAAAAAGTAGAACTAAACTAGCTTTACTGTATCTTCCAACACTCTCTAGGCATTCAAGAAATAATACTTTTTTTTTTTCATTTAGCACATATATCCTCTATGGAAGTATAAGAAAATGTGAAATTATTTAAATCTTTTCATAATGACATATAAAGCTCAAGAATTATAAAAGGTGGCATTTATAGGCATGTGTTATATCTTGGAATTCTAGCCATTTCAATTACATTTAAAATAATTATTAGAATCTGTTCCCGACTCAGACTTCTGCTGACATAGTCAGCTGAGGTATGATTCTTTGATTTATGAATTCTTAATCACCAAAAGATTCTTAGCATATAGTGAAATAAGGCTTAGAGCAACTACAGAATCTGTAACCCAACCAAGAACAATTTATATTGTATTACATTTGAAAACATTTTCAAATGTTAGTCCAAAGTACTAACTAGCATTTATGATTTATCTTCATGGTGTATCTTCATGGCTTATCTTATTTTGCTAATGGCAATGCATTAGTGGCATATTCTGTGAATTGCAACATGGCATTAGTAGAGTAAGTATTTTGAAATAACCTTCCACTAAATATAAAAGATTTGGCTTATGCATTCCATTTTTTCCCAGCTTTCTTCTCTTGAGACCAATCAACCTCCACACACTGGGTAGAGATAAGAGTAAAGTTGATTGTCCCTCCCAGAAAGATTCCAGCTAAGTTAAGCAGCCACATTTAAATACACACTCACTATCCCATTACTTAGACTTCACCGAAGCACAGGGTCTTGATTCTTAGTCTGGTTCCCCTCACAGTTCAGTCAGAATCTGTGAGGCAGATGGGAAAGAATCTATTCTTCCTTTTAGTATCTACTGTTGCTTCAATACTAGCAAGGGGACTGTGCTGCCTAGTTAGCAGAATCTCATCAGGAAACTACAATCCTGGCAGAAATCAACTCAACTTTATAAATCTGCATATAACAGTACTAATTTGAATAATATTGAGTCAAAAAAAAAAACCCTTTTCGTTCAAAAAACACATTTGAAAAGGAAATCTTTGGCACTACCATGAAATCTATTACAGCTAAATTTCAAAAGTGAGAGAGAAGAAATAAGGTACAAACATCAAGGATTTCTTCATATCTTTTGGCTGTTCGTTTTAGATCATCATCTTTCTCAGCAATTTTTTTAAGTAACTGATTTGTCTCTTCTTGATGGCTTTCTAAAAGTTCAGCCTCCACCTCCTGGGCCTTATCTAATAAATAAAAATGAACACACACAAGAAAACACATTAGTCAAGAGTTAATATTTGTATCTCAATTTCAGTAACAACTCTCATTCCAATTAATTTTGATGAAATTTAATTTTATATAAGCATTTTAAGATGTTTAATGAGACATCTAGCTCAACAGTGATCAAATGTATCCTCTCCCTGAGCAAAAGTGTCTTTACAAGGTAATTAATTAGCTAATACTTTCAGATTGTTTTACCTGCTCCCTCTCTCCTTAAGGTAAGTCATTGCCAAGCAGGGCAGGTTCCCATTAGAGAATGTTATTGGGCAAGGATTATTTCTTCCCCAGTTTAATGACTTAATGCACTTACCACCACTGCAAAAATGATAAGCTTAAATTATAGCCTCTGCTGATATAATTGTTCCTTATGGAACTTAATTTTACTTACTGATAGTTTCTTTTATGGTCATTTCCAGCTCTTGTTCCTTTTGTGCCAGCTGTGTATTAAACTCCCTCATCAGCTGTTTTAATGTGGAATTGTGCTTCAGTTCAAGATCTTCCTGCTCCTGTCTGAGTAATAAAAATGTACCGTTAACTGCTGCCACACAAAGAACAAGCTGCAAGGAGCTACCTGGTCTTTAAAACAGTGCATACAGTATGAGTTCATTGTATGAAAACATTTTTGAGAGAGAGAGAGAGAGAGAGTGTGAGAGTGAGTGTGTGTGTGTGTGTGTGTGTGTGTGTGTGTGTGTCCAGGTACATATCAACTATGATTACCTCTAAGTAGTGGTCCTGGGGACCAGAGAATTTTTGTTTTCCACTTTAATTTTTTTTTCAAAACACATCTATGTTATATAATAATAATGCTAATACTAAAAACAACAAAACAAAAAGAAAATAATTACTTGGATATGTCCCTAATAACCAGAATCTTATATGCAAGAAAAGGTTTTTCTCTCCTAAATGGACATGGAATAACACTGCCACTTGCCCTAAATTGTTTTTATTTCTCCTCATATTTAACATATTGGATTTATGTTTAATATTTTGGGTTGGTGAAACTTATCCAAATAATTTAAAATAACTGTATTAGGCACAAAAAAAGGAGACTTAATTAAGAAGGACTGCCATAAAAATATTCAAGCTGAAATAAAACTTACTTGATTTTCTCTTCCCTTTCTTGATCATATTCTTTCTTTAGTATTTCCAATTCTTGCTGATGCTCCTTTCTCAACATTCGAAGGTCTTTCTGCAATCTAACAATCTCCTTGCCCAGTTTCTGTTTCTCCCGTTCTGCCCCGGCTAATTTAAACTCCAGATCATTGTGCTGGGCTTCCATGTTACTAAGCAATTTGGGTTGGACCAAATGTGATTTGGACTTTTCTTCAGTGTTTTCTTCCAAAAGTTCTGTGGGTTTATTTCTTCCATCCATCTGTTGTAAAGCCTGTAATTTTTCATATTTTGAGGTCAACTCTTCCATTTCAACTCTATGTACTTCTTTCTGTCTTACTAAGCAGGAATCCAGCTCTTTTATCTTTTGCTCCAAAATCTGACAGGTTAGTTCCTTCTCCTGGAGGGTTTTCTGGACGTCGTCAAACACATTTTCCAAGTTTTGCTTTGCCTGTATGTTATTTTTACCTCCTTCTTTTTCCACATGCTGGGCTACTATCAAGGAATATTTCTTGTTTTTTTCTTCAAGCTCCTCTTGAAGATGACCTATCATACTTTGATCTTCATGTTGCTTTGCCTCAGCATGTTCTAGCTTTATTAAGCGCTCCTGGTATTGGCATCGCATTTCAAAATGAGAAGAAACTGTCTCTTCTTTTTCCTGCCCTACCCTCTGCAATAGCTTTTCTTTTTCAGTTAAGTTTCTTTGTAAAACACTGATTTTTTCTTCATATGTCTTCTGCACACAGCCTTGGGAATCTGCTTCTTCTTGTTCAGTATATGCTGCCACATTTTTTGCTGATCTGGGTACAATTAATGTTTCTGACTGTGAACTTTCCACTGACTTAAGTTTTTCTTCCAAGATGTGAACTTCCCTTTCTCTTTCCTGCAATTTTGTATTTAGCTCACTCAAATGGCTTTCTGTACCTTTTTTATACTGTTCTTCTTTCTCTTCCATTTGAGATAACAACTGCTTCTTAATGGCAGCAATTTTTTGTTCAGCTTTTCTCTTCAACTCTGCTAATTTTGCAGCACTTTCTGACTCAAGCCTATCTTCCAATGCCTTTAACTCCTCCTCTTTGCTTTTCACACTTAAATTCACATGTTCTAATTCTTTCTTCTTAGTTTCAAGTTCAGCTTTCATGGAATAAACTTGGTTTTCAAGTGTTAAGATTTTTTCTTCAGCTTCTTTAACCCTGTTGTCCTTTTCTTCTCCTAACTCTTGAAAATGTTGAAGTTTCTGAACCAATTCTTTGTGTTCAATATCCTTTTGTTGATTGTAATTTTTAAGAACTTCATTTAAGGACTCTATTTCAATAGTTTTCTGGGTAATATGGTCCTCTAATTCCATAATTCTTGCTGTTTGAGACTTTAACTCTGTTTCTAAATTAGACTCCTTTTTCTCCATCTTGCTCTTGTCGTCTTCCATTTCACCCTTTAAACAATCAAATCTTTTATTTTGCTGATCAAGCTCTTCCTTCAATAAATTTATCTGCTCATCCTTTTCATAAGCTTCCTTTGATTTTAACTCAAGCTGGATCTGCAATTCTTTAACAGTGTTTTGATGCTGTGTAAATCTTGACTGTGCTTTCTTCTTCCATTCTGAGAATTTATTGGACCAGTCATCTACCTGCTCAAGAGCAGAAATTTTCTCTTTACTCAGAGTGTCAACTTTAAAAGATAAATCTTGCACCTGATCCAGCAATTCACATTTTTCTTCATCATACTGCTTTCTTAGTGATGAAATGGCTGCTTCTTTTTCGGATAGGCTGATGCTATTTTGAAGCTGAACATTCAAATCAGTTAGTTGTTTACTAAGACTGCTAATCTCAACTTTTTTTTCTTTAAGCTCTTCTTTCATCAATGTGACAGCATTGATGTTTTCAGATAACTCTTTCTTCAACTGTGTTATACAAGACTCCTTTTCAGAAGCAGCCTGTTGCTGATTGCCTCCTTCCTTCTGTAAGGCTTCTTTTTCTGTTACAAGACTTTCAATATCAGCCTTCATGCTCTTAATTTGATTTTCTTTTTCTTCTAACTGATGAGTAGCCTGTTGAAAAGAAATATTTAGTGTATTTTGCTCCTCTGTCAACTGTCTAAGTTGTGCTTCTAATTCAGAAACTGTGCAAGTTTTAATTAACAGTGCCTCCTTAACTTTAGTTGTACGGTGCTGACAATGAGAAATCCTAGAAAGAATGGCATTAGTTTTACTACTACTAATGTTGATTAGCTCATTTGTTTTAGCTTCTAATAAGGCTTCGGTTTTCTTACAGCAAATATCTAGCTGAATCGCTAGTTCCTCAGACAGTTTTTTAAATTCCAAGCTCTTGTCCTCTAGGCTTTTGTTACTTTTTTCATGTGAAGATTTCAAACTCTGGAATTCTTCATCTGTGGTTTTCAACTTGCTAGTCAACTCAGAAACCTTCCGCTTATCTTCTTCTGCCAGCATCTTCAGTTCAACTAGCTGCTCTTGAAGAAAAGTATTTTCCTTCAGAGACTTATTCAAGTCAACCTCTAGCTTTTCAAGATGAGCTTTCAGTTTAGTTTCATCTTGTGCAAGAGAATTCACATGGGCAGACTTCTGCTTTAACTGTTCCTGTAATTCATTTAATGTTGTATCCTGCTTAACACCTTCTTCCTTCAGCCATGTTATTTCCTTGTTCATCTCTTCTTTTTCACACCCAAATAGGAGGATCTTTTGTTTCAGTTCTGCTACCTCTTGTTCTTTTTCCTGTAATTGGATTTCATGTATTTCCTGAAGTTCTTCAGCTTGCTGATTAAGTTTCTTTTCCCAGATTGATATGACATCATTGAGTTCTCGTCGATGAACCTCAGTAAGACTTTCTATTTGTTCTTTTTGGTTTGTTTCCAGTCTTGACACTGCATCACTGATTCCAGCTGAGTTAGCCTGTGCCATTTCCAGCATTTTGGCATTAAACTGTTTTTCTTTCTGACTAAGCTCTAGAGCAGTATTTTCAAGCTCTTTCTTAAGTTTGGCTTCCTGATCCAGTAATTTTTTCTTTAACGTTTCTTGCATCTCCTTTGCTTTCTGCTTAACTTTTTCCATCTTTTTTTCTTGGTTTTTAAATTTGGTTTCATATTCCTCATTCAAAATATGAATACTGTCCTCCTTGGCTGACAATTTCTGTGTGAGTATCTCAATTTCTTTCTTCTGTCCTTCTCTCATTTGTAAAATCATATTTTCCTTTTCCACCAAGATTTGCTTTGTCTGTTCCTGTTCTTTGTTACCATCTTCAAGTTTGGACTCATAGACTTGGGTTAAAGATTTTACTTTTTGCTCCATTTCACTATTTTGTTTTTCAAGTTGCTGCATTAAGTCCTGCACCTGGATTTTGTGAGCATCTAACTCAGTACAAACATCTTTCTTTTGTGCTTCAACTTCAGCAACCTGTTTGGTAAGAAGAATTCTTTCTGTTTCCAAATCCAACAACTTCTGCTGCAATTGGGCCAACTGTTCCTCATATGCTTTTGTCTGCTCATGTGTGGCACTCTGGTAAGACTGAAAAACGTCCAGCTTAGCAGATGCCTGCTGGAGTTCCCCTTCAGACCTTTTAATATCTGCCTCTAAATTTTCTACATGAGCCTGATGCTCTTTCAAATGCTTGTCCCTTTCCTTCAAGAGAAGCTCAAGTTGATTAATTTGATCTTTTAATGCCTTCTCAGTCCTCTGGATAGATACCTCGTGTTCTTTAATGATACTGTCAACTTGCTGCTGGTGATGATTTTTCTGTTCATCCATCTTGGCCTCTAATTCCTGCTTCATTTTATCTGTTTGATCTTTCAGAACAGAAAGTTCCTCTTCTAGTTTGTGACGGGCTTTTAATACTTCTGACAGTTCAGAAGATAATGATTCTAGTTCTGTTTGCTTCACATCAAGCTTTTCTAAAGTCTTTTCATTCATTTCTTCTATGTGGGCCTGGAAGATAATCTCTTTGTCTTTCAACAATGTTTCTTTTTCTTGTTCACACTTTTCCCTAAGTTTTTCCATTTCAGTCTGATATTGTTGCTTTAAGACTTGGAGTTTTTCAGTCCAAAGGGCATCCTGCTGATGCTTAAGGCTTTCCAATTCTGTCTTGTGTTTTTCAACCATGACTGTAATCTCCTTATTGTGCTTATTTTTTTCAGCTTCCAGATGAACAGCCAAATCTTTTGACTGATTTTTGTTTTCTTGTAAGCTTTTTTCCAAAGAACTTTCCAATTCAAGAATTCTCTGTTAATTAAAAACAGATGCATTTTTATTAAAGTACGTACTTGTCTACTAACAATGATACACAGACATGATGTCTACCACCTACCTGAAGATCAAAATTATCATACCAAACACTAGAAAAGACAAAGAATCTATGCTCAATTACTAAAGGAATCATATAACAAAGAAAAGATTATGGCAAGGCACAGTCCAACAGTTTGGGAGGCCGAGGTGAGCAGATCACTTGAAGCCGGGAGTTTGAGACCCAGCCTGACCAACATGGCAAAGCCCTGTCTCTACCAAAACATACAAAAATTAGCCGGGCATGGTAGCATGCGGCTGTAGTCCCAGCTACTCGGGAGGCTGAGGTTGGGGAATCCCTTGAACCCAGGAGGCAGAGGCTGCAGTGAGCCGAGATCATGCCACTACACTCCAGCCTGGGCAACAAAGCGAGACTCCTCTGTCTTGGAAAAAAAAAAAAAAAAAAAAAAAGACAAAAGGAAAGAAAAGATTACATGTTTAACCCAACTCATACTTTCAGATTCTTTCTATTTACTTGGGGAACCTTTTCAGCTACCTACATTTTCAATAATACTTTAACTGGATAGTAAAAAGAAATAAACCATAAAATTCATAACAGTAACTTCTGGTAGGAAGATTGGGGTTTTTTCCAATTTTTAAGGCCTACATAGTATTTTATTATTCTCATAATTTTAGAAGAAAAAGAATGTATGATTTTTCCACCTTCAAAATTATCATTTGGAAGGTTCTTTTTTTTTTCATAAAGAAGGAACTTATATGAATTTTAACAAAGATTATTATTATCTCATGAAAATGTAATTTTGACTCTGAAGGAGTTAAATAAGGCAGAGCCACAGAATGTCAGAGCTGGAAAGGTCCTAGGGTCCTAAGGAATTACTGAATCTAATCTCTTCATGTGACAGGTGACGAAATTAAAGTACAATTAATTTAAAAATCTAACAAGTGGAAGATCTAGGCCTCCTAAGTGTCCATTTCACCCACCATGGAACCTTTTGCAAGTGTTAGTGATGGAAAAATTAAGCATGGTTTAGAACTATGAGTAAGAAGTATGACTGTTTTACTATCTAAATCAGAGCAAAAAAGCTAACAAGTCTAAACATCAGTTAGTTTTCAAAATAGGTTGTACATTTCAAATACTGCTAAGGAAAGGATCAGACAGGGCCTTTAAAAAAACGTACACTCTGGGACATACACACAAATATGTTCATTACGGGACTATGTTTAGTATGGAAAAACTGGGGAAACCAAATGCAAAAGCCACACACTAGTGTAATTAAACTGTGATATAAGCAGAGGCTGGATTACGTTCAGGACATGGCATAAGATAAACCTGGACAAGCAGAAAGGTGCCAGGGCAAGTATTGCCTACAAAATGAGCCCACTTCCTAGACATCAAGGGTGAGTATGCAATGGAGATGCTGCAGGGTCAGTGAAAAGCAGCAGACTGAGTGGCTGACAGAAATACAGCCAGCTAAAGGCAGAACCAGGAGCACCATGTAATAAACACAGAGCCTAAAGCCAAATCCACTCCCATGCATAGCTCACACTACCTAAAAATGAAGGGCATGTATACATAAATCTAATCCAGTAATCTTCGAAACTTTATACTGACTAGAGACAACAAATTTTCATATGCAAATAATTTCACAACTCCAGAATCTGAATATTATTAAAACTTACAGTTCTGTAAGTCTCTGCTTCTTGCTGAAGGTCCCGAAGTTTATTTTCACTTTCTGTGAGGATTGCTTTTTTCTGCAACTCTAACTCTTCTAGGGCCAAAGATTCTTGCTGTTCTTTTTCTTGGCTGATCTTCAAATATTCTGATTGACTCTTTTCCTGTGCCAAAAATAATTAATACCACCTTAAACGCACATAAATCTTCAGCATTCGCAAAGTACTTCCCCAGGAATCATTCATTTCTTTTGATCTGCACCCAGCCCTGTTGGATAGGTAACGTCATCATCTCTCTCCTCCCATGCTCTAGTCTGCAGAAACAAGGCACTATGGCTTTTCCAGTGGGGTAATTGCCACAATTACTACTGATATGAAAAATTTTGTTCCAATAACCCCACTATGTCTGCTATTTTTCCACTACTTGTTTTACGAAACACTGCTGAATGTGAAAGGTCATACAATTGCTACTACCTCATCTCTACACTCCAGAGTTTGATATTTCTACTCTAAGTCTAGAAACTAGATTTTAAGTTTATACAGTTTGTGAGAATATCTCATTTAGAAAGAGACCCCACAAGGAAAATCAAACTGAAATCAGAAGATTACTTGTTAATATATGGGGAAGATCAAGACAATATCTATAAAACAAAGCTACATTGGCTCTACCACCCCATCAATCCTGAAAAGCTTCTCTGATTGTCCTTTCATGTATCAATATTCAATTTAAAGTGTTTAGTGTTTTAAGAAGAGAAGCTCTAGACAGTACTTCTAACAGTCAATTAACATATTAAATGTTAATTTCTTAATTGAACTCCAATTAAGACAAGTGTACTTATCCATACCTATTGCTTAGAGCAGATATTGCCAACTGCAATACTTTCAGTTCACTATACTCAAGTGCACTACTTAAATTAAGGAAAGATTTTGTACCATGTTATGAGTAGGTTGATAAGAAAATACTAGTTTCCATAGCATTAATTTTAAAATATCCATTTAAATATACTATATTATTTAATGTAAACTATATTTTAAATATATCTCTATATGCCCATAAAGGAGGAAATTTTAATAGTCCACTGAATTAAGAAAAGGGCAGGCACAGGTACCCACGCATGTGTATATTAAGGCTAGCTCAGTGTCCCCAAAGGTCAGTTACCCCAGCATGAAAACTCAGAGTAGGTCCTTATGACAGGCATTTTTAGCACTATTTATTTCCCACTTTGTTCCTTAACTTTCTTGCCCCCATTTTTAATTTATGTTGTACTGTTACAGTTTAAGAATTCTTGTAAAATGCTTTAATTCTTTTCTGGATCAACAAAGAAAACAAATATGTGCCCATATATGTGTAAATTTCATGACCACAGACACCCAATCATACTGTAAATCCATGTGCCCCCACAGAGCTGGGTAGAGAACTTGTTAACTCATTTCAAGAATCACTGCTGCTAGAAATTCTCGGGGCCCCAGATGCAACTAAGAGTGAAAACAACAATACACGTAAGAAAGAAGATTAAAATCTAAAATACTATTTATTATCCTTTTACACGGAAAGCATTTTTGAGTTACACATATTATCTTACGGATAATAATTTCATACAAAAACAAATTACATTTTTGTCACTAACACTTTTTTATGGCAACTTATATAAAAGGCTTTCATAAGTGAAGAAAAATATTTTTTGTTTTAAACTTTCAAATTATGCTATTTTAAAAAATCTTTCAACAAAAATCTCAATCTGCTTTCTGGTTGTTTTTGTTAGCTCAGGAAGTTTTTTAATTTAACTCTTTTTTAAGCCATCGTATGGACTGAAAATTAGTACTGAAATTATTCCACTTAAAATAAAAATTACTTGGCCATTTTTATTTCTTCTTCTGTAAAATGCAAGTCAGCCAAAATTTTCTCAGCCTTGAGCTCTGGGTACACTCAGTCTGATGAGATTTTCGACATTCTTCTTGAATTATGCACTCTCTTCTTGAATTATGCAGTCACTGCTTCAATTAATCTATCTTTTCCTTTTTTTGTCCCTAATCATAGCCTACTGCCAGGTGGGAGGGATGGATAAACAAACTGCTTAATGAAAGTGTGTTGGTTATACTGAACATCAACAATGAAAGAGAAATATAAATATTGAAAGAAATTGTTAAAATTTTTTAAATGTTTTAAAAAGAAAGTGTGGCCAAGCGCGGTGGCTTACGCCTGTAATCCCAACACTTTGGGAGACCAATGTGGGTGGATCACTTGAGGTCAGGAGTTCAAGACCAGCCTGGCCAACATGGTGAAACCCCATCTCTACTAAAAATACAAAAATAAAAAAATAAAAATTAGCCGAGCTTGGTGGTGTGCACCTGTAGTCCCAGCTACTTGGGAAGCTGAGGCAGGGGAATCACTTGAACCGCGGAGATGGAGATTATGGAGGTTACAGCGAGCCAAGATCTCACCACTGCACTCTAGCCTAGGCAACAGAGCGAGACTCTCTCTCATAAAAAAAAGAAAGTGTGTTAGATCAGTAAATTTAATTTTCACACAATACCAAGCTAATAAGCTCTGACAGCTTGCCTACTCTCTATCCTCTCTTTATACCCAAACGTCAAGACTGCCAGTAGTCTGACTTCCAACTGGAATGCAACAGTGAGAGGATGATAACTTTGTAACTCTGAGAAGTATACCTATAGCAGAAAAAAAAAAATAGTCACTTACAAGAGCTACTTTCATTTGTTCCTGAAATTCCCTTTCTCGGGTCTGAAGCTTCTTGGTCAGTTCCTGCTCTTTTCTGGCCAGCTCCTTTTCATGAAGCTTCTGTAGCTTAGCAATTTGTTCTTCTGAGGATTTCTGAAAATGAGCCAAATAGATAATATAAGGACACCCAGAATAAAATATGTAACTCCACAACTAAATAATACTATTATAATTTACTCAAACTAATAAGTTTTTAAGAAGAAAAAATCACATTCCTAAGAGAAAACACATTTCCTGCATAGATCAAAGTCATCAAAGCCATGATAGTTAAAAGAATAACCAGTAGTTTTCTTCTTATTTTAAGACAAGTGCTGCTACTGCTACAATAGACTCCATTTCCACATCTTGCAGGGATGTTCCCTACAAGTCAGGATAGGGGAGCACAGCTGGGGAATAAGGATGCTCTCAGAGAGGGCACTACACTGGTGAAGGTGCGCCCTCGCTGCACCAATCAAATTATGGCCAGCTTTCCAGGCATGTACTATTTATTAAAAGGTACAGGCCTTGTTCTTTTTTTGGATAGGAAACCTCAATCTCATAAAAATGTCAAATCTCATTATATAAATCTAAAAAGTTAATATATATTAAAAAAAAACAGAATGGGGGAGCCCACTGGACAAAATAAACATGCAAGAATAACCAACACTATTTCAAAAAATAAGAGTAATAATAAGAAGCTACCAAACAGCATATTATAAAATTAAACAGCTGCACATGGTCAGACAAAGCAATAGAACAGCACAGAGAATGCAGAAAGAAAAACTCACATTTAATACTTTAATAATTTAGTGTGTATTAAAGATAATATGGGTGGGGCATGGTGGCTTATGCCTGTAATCCCAGCACTTTGGGAGGCCAAGGCAGGAGGATTGCTTGAGCCCAGGAGTTCAAGACTGGCCTGGACAAAACAGGCAGACCCCGTCTCTACAAAAAAAAGATAATATGGCATATCAGAAGGAGAAATGTGGATTACTAAATAAATGATTTGGAGACCATTTGGTAGCCATCTGGGAAAAATTTAAGTTGAATCCTTACCTCACTCCTTACACTAAATAAGTTTCAGTTGGATCAAAGATGTTAACAGTAAAAAAAAAATGAAACCATAAAAGTGCCAGAAGAAAAAATCAAATTTTTAAAAACTGATCTCAGGACCGAACATGTGTTTTTAAATTAAAAAAAAAAATCCACATAGCATTTAAAGAAAAGCCTTATAAATTCAACTACAAGGAAAAAAAAAATTTTCTACGAAAACAAGTTGTAAATAAAGTCAACAAATAACAAACTGAGAAAATTATTTGGCTAAAAGGACGTATGTGCAAAGGCCTAATTCTCACTATAAACAAAGAGCTTCTACAAATCCATAAAAGACCAACAGCCCAATAGAAAAGTGAGTCAAGGATTTCGCCAAATAAATAGAAAAAAATATTTATCATACTGCTAAGAGTTATATATATTAATTTTTTTAACATAAACTTGGAAAGATAAAGTTAGATAATGCCATCTTTATTGGGGGGAAATATATTCTAATACATTGCTTGTCAGGGTATAAATTGTCTTCCACAGACCTCACAGCAACTAGGCAACAATTAAAAATACATGTAATCTTTGCTTGAGTTAATATTCCACTTCTAGGCATCTACCCTAAATAAATACAAATGTGAACAAGTATGGATAAGAATATTCACAGGCCAGGCACAGTGGCTCACGCCTGTAATCCCAACAATTTGGGAGGCCAAGGCAGGTGGATCACCTGAGATCAGGAGTTCAAGACCAGCCTGGCCAACATGGAGAAACCCCATCTCTACTAAAAATACAAAAACTAGCCAGGCGTGATGGCACACGCCTGTAATCCCAGCTACTCAGGAGGCTGAGGCAGGAGAATTGCTTGAACGTGGGGGGCGGAGGATGCAGTGAACCGAGATCACAAGATTGCACTCCAGCCTGGTGACAGAGCAAGACTCTGTCTCAAAAAAAGAAAGAAAAAGAAAAAAAATTCATAACTTGCAATAGCAAAAACTGAAAACAATCTAAATATCTATCAATAGGAAACTGATTAAATTACAGGACATTCATACAATAGAATCTTGAGCAGCCTTTAAAATAAATGGGGTATCACTATGAATTATCAACTACCAATGGCTAAGGAACAATCTCCTAGAAAGATTATTAAGTGGAAAAGCAAAATATAGAACATTCTATATAACATGCTGTCTTTTGTGTTTAAAAAAAGAAAAAACTGAATTTTTAAAAACGATGTCAGGATTGTCCATGTGGTTTTTAAGTTAAAAAAAAAAAATTCAGATACCATTTAAAGGAAAGCCTAATAAATCCATCTATAAGGAAAAGAAAAAAAAATCAGAGAAGAGAAATTATATACACAGGCTATCTCTGGGAAATATACTCAAAAAGGAAAATACCACTTTTCTTTGGGAAAATGGGAATCTTTTCACTACATACTTCATATCTTCTGATTTTTATACCATATGTCTATATTATCACCTTTCAAAATAATACATTATTTTTAAGTTGTTGGAGTCCATGATAACATTACTTATCACATCATATGACTATTTTAAAACTTAAAATATAGTCAGGCAGTTATAGTTAAGGTCTTATATATCCAATAATTGGCCACAAATAATTTCTGCTTTGCAAATTACCTATAGTTCAGCAGGAAGAAGAAAATGAAAGAAATATAATTTGCCCCCCTCAATGCCTGTTATGCACTCATAAGTAAAAGCACAGAAACCTTACCATGAGTTATAGAAATGCATATTGAAACTCTGAAATCCAAGCCTCATCTATTCAGATCTATAATTTATCTTAAGCCATTTTAGTGGCCATAATCAAATATCAAGAATATAAATGGGGAGTCAGTAAAGAAATAGGATAAAATGAGCAAAGTGGCAAGAAAGGCAAACATGACAGGAGGAAAAACAAGCAAAAAAAAAAAAAAGCAGAAAAAAATGGGTGAGGAAGGAAGCTGGGAGCAGGGAGGGGCCATGATGATGACATGTTCATATTTCTGAAAAATTGAAAATCTATGGGATTTTAAAAATTCATTAATTTCTAAGAGATCTTTCCAAAAAGCTAACTTTTAAAGTGAGGTCTATCTATATTAAGAGTAATCAGAACATTAAGTAACAATGATCCTTTAAAACATTTAAACAATCTAGCCCCTCAGTCACTTACTCCCTCATTCCCTCAACACACATTAGGCAAGTACCTTCTTGGCCAAGTTCTCTGGAGGATATACTACTGAAGCAGCTAAGTAGCCTATCTTCAAGGTGCCTAAGAGTCGGGGAGCCACAGAACAGTTAAGGCACATCTCAGTTTATAACATAGTCCACTGGAGAGAAAGCAAAGCTTAAAAGGTTCCAAAGAATTACCTAAGTATTAAATGCATTTATCTATCAAAAATTTTACAACCTGAATATCAGAAAACAGTCAATGTCTAAAATACAAACAAACTCTTCTTTACAGTCAAAGAGTGTAAGGAAAAATACACTTAAATTTCAAATTTGTTGTAGCCCATTTCATTACAGAATTATTCTTACTTTCATTACATCAACAACCTCCTGTTTCACCCGACTTAATTCCTGTTGAAGACTGATGCGTTCCTCCTCACTTGTTTTTTCGATAGTTTTTATTTGTTCATCCATTTCTGCCTTCAGTTTTCTCCGTGCTTCCTCTGTTTTTTGGGCTGTACTCAAAGCTTTTTCAAGTTCCTCAAAAGCTATAATGAAAACAACAGAAAACAAGTATCTCAAGAAATATTATCATTGAGCTAAAGTGTTTTACATTCAATTTTTGAGAACTAAGAGCAGCAGTAGCAGGATAGGTTAAAAAACTCATCACTGTTCTAAGCCAAGAGATACTGGAGTTGTTGAACAAAGCCACAAGAAACGTTCGGTCACCAAAACCAACTTGTCACTGAGTTCTGGATTAGGATATTAAGACTTGTTTATATGAGCCTAAGCTTAGAAGTTTGGAAAAAATAAATTACTGAAGGCTCTCCATTCTCTACCAGTTTCCTTATGGATAGTACATTTAAAGAAATGAAGATATGTCCCTATTTCTGTACTGTATAATTTCAATTGTTTTTCGTTTGCTCTAAAGTTCTTATCATCAATAATTATGTAACACTATTATATACTCACTATGACACTTTTAAGAATGGAAAAACTATTCTTAGGCATATTTTATTTTTAAAAACTTCTTAACTATATAATAAAAGAGCAGAGATTTTTGTTTCTTTTTTAAACATTTACTGGCTGAATATTTTGAAATGAAACTTACTATTTGTATAAGTTTCAAACCAGAGTTGTTTCCAGGTGACCAGAAAGAAATCTTTACCTGATTCAACAGTATTACAGAAAGGCACTACCACAGCAGGGAGTTTTTGGGTAAGATAAGGAAGAATTCAGGCTCTGCAAAAATAATCATCTTGGCTAGAGTAGTAAGGTTTTTTTCGTGTGTGTGTGTGTGTGTGTGTGTGTGTGTGTGTGTGTGTTTGAGACGGAGTCTTGCTCCGTCACCCAGGATGGAGTGCAGTGGTGCGATCTCAGCTCACTGCAACCTCTGCCTCGCGGGTTCAAGCAATACTCCTGCCTCAGCCTCCCAAGTAGCTGGGACCACAGGCATGCACCACCATGCCTGGCTAATTTTTGTATTTTTAGTAGAGATTGGGTTTCACCATATTGTTCAGGCTGGTCTCAAACTCCTGACCTCAAGTGATCCACCCACCTTGTCCTCCCAAAGTTCTGGAATTACAGGCATGAGACACTGCATCTGGCCAGGTCTTTAAGGAAGCCAAACAGCTCAACATTATCAAACAAAATCAGATAGGACGGGTGCAACAGGTGTGTAACTTGGCACCAAAAATACATACATGTGACCCAGCACATTGGCTCATACCTGTAATCCCAGCACTTTTGGAGGCTGAGGTAGGTGAATTACCTGAGGTCAGGAGTTCAAGACCAGCCTGGCCAACATGGTGAAACCCCATCTCTACTAAAAATTAGCCTGGTGTGGTAGCACATGCCTGTAATCCCAGCTACTTGGAAGTCTGAGGCAGTAGAATCACTTGAGTCTGGGAGACAGAGGCTGCAGCAAGCTTCTTAAGATGGTGCCACTGCACTCCAGCCTGGCCGACAGAGCAAGACTTTTGTCTCAAAAAAAAAAAAAAAATACATGTGTGTTTACGTGTATTTGTGTATACAGATGGTCCCTGACTTATGATGGTCTTAGATTTGTCAACTTCACAATGGTGCAAAAGCAATACTCATTCAGTACACTCCTCCACTTAATAATAAAGTTATGTCTGGATAAGCCCTTCACAAGTTGATATTGGTATTTTCAACTTACAATGAATTTATCAAATTCTAACCCCATCATAAGTCAAGGAGGATCTGTATATGCCTGTGTATATGTGTACATATATGTGGGTTGTATATGTATGTATGCATGCACACACACACATGCATTATTTGCATAATGATACCCTAGGAAAATCCTACTGCTACTGTCATCCTAGATTGTTTCCTTTAGTCCTCACAGAAGTCTCCAGCCTTCCCTCTACCATTGAGATAGACTATAAACAAAACTCAGTTTTCAAGATGGGTGTGTAATCCTACCAAGAAACGTATGTCCCAGGGAGACAGTTGTTCACCGACATATATAATATTTTCACTTCCAGTGGTATAAGAAATGTGGGAACTTCAACCTATGGCAGCTCAGAAAAAAAGGTCTTTCATTAACAATTTGGTTTAACACAGTGGTTTGGGCACAGGAATTGCAAACTTGAAGACAAACATCTATTCTAAAGCATTTTATTAAAGGCAAATTGCCAAGAGAAGGGTGAATTCTGGTAACAACAGAGAAATGCAACTTAGTTTGCTCAATAGTTTAAAAAATAATTTATCTGGCAACCATATATCTTTTTTTTTCTTTTGAGATGGAGTCTCATTCTGTCACCCAAGCTAGAGTGCAGTGGCGCGATCTCCCCTCCCTGCAACCTCCGCCTCCCAGGTTCAAGCGATTATCCTGCCTCGGCCTCCAGAGTAGCTGGGACTACAGGTGCCCGCCACCAGACCGGGCTAATTTCTGTATTTTTAGTAGAGACAGGGTTTCACCATATTGGCCAAGCTGGTCTCAAACTCCTGACCTCGTGATCCGTCGCGCTGGCCTCCCAAAGTGATTATCTTTTATATGAAAAGCAAATCTATCCAATTTATTTTATATGTCCAAAGTATAAAACTGATACTCAAATAAGGTCTAAATTTCAAAGGAATATTAATTAGCTGAAATCATTTATAAAGATTCCTATTGCCAGATGCAGTGGGGGGCTCATGCCTATAATTCTAGCACTTCGGGAGGCCAAGGTGGGAGGATTGCCTGAGCCTAGGAGTTCAAGACCAGCCTAGGCAACACAGTGAAATCCCATCTCTACAAAAAAATTAAAAATTAGCCAGGAGCCGTGGCTTGTACCTGTAGTCTGAGCTACTCTGAGCAGCTGAGGTGGGAGGATCACTTAAGTCTGGGAGGTCAAGGCTTCAGTGAGCAGTGATTGTGCCACTGCACTCCAGCCTAGGTGACAAGTGAGACCCTGTCTCTCAAAAAAAAAAAAAAAAGATTCCTATTCTAACTTTACTGGCATTTGCCTGCAAACCCCAAGATGATAATCCTTAGATACAAATATGTTGGAAACAAAAATGGTATCTTTGTTTTACATATTCTTTTACTATAAATTCTAACGTTAAGCATACAGAAAATACGGAAATAATGAACGCTTACTACTAACAAGAAATTAGTTCCCTCACTTAAAAAAATCAGTCAAGTAAAGTGACTAATTATGGGAAAGATTCTGAAACAAAGTGCTTACTGCCTAATTAGTTTGTGTTGAAGGTTTAAACGCTGGAGGAATGAAAAAAGGTTATGACAATGTCTTTTAATGCTTAGGTGTCATCAGCCCCTTTTCATTATTATCCAGCATATAAAATTGCATCTCAGCATTTCTGAGTAATTCACAGAAATATCTTCAATCAGGCTCTGGAGAAACTGAAGACAGTTTTGATACCCTTTCAGCAAAATAAGAGTTTAAATGAAAACCTTTTGTCAATTAAGTAAAATAAAACAAAACTATGTAGTCAATACTAGTGAATTTTCTGTTTTCATTTTTTAAATTCCAGAATCCAGCACAGTATAAAAAAATAAATGTAATGTTCTCACCTTTTCAAACAACAAAAAATCCATGCCACAAGTTCCTGTTTAGATATAATTTTCTGCTAATTAAGTTTTCTAATCTAGTCAGTAAATTTCAGGATATTCTTCTATATACAGTCGAATTTTAGTGTTTAATCCACTAAAAGTTTGTCCAAGTCAATTTATTATCCATCATACAACAATGAAAGTAGGATGGATTTGGTTTCACAGTTCTTTTCATCTAAATTTAACCCTCTCTCCCACTTTCCAGTACCATGTCAGGGAACCAAATAATTTCACACCTAGAAAGAAACCATTGAAATCTTTCATTGACATATGGTAACTGAAGCATCCAAATTTTCCTTCAGATGTTAAATCAACTTGAATATATAAGCCTGATGATAGAACTTTAAAATTGGCTTTAAGCAACGATCCATACCTTGCCATATTTTTAAAAACTAAGAATGCTGAAATGGATCGAGCTCCATTGGGCAATAATGTTTCTTACTAAAGCAGAATTTCTGAGCCAATCAATTACTAATGGCTTTTAACTCTCAACAAAATGCAGTATGTTATACTTCTTTCTGACACAAAACTCACTGCTTTCTGCCTCCCCATCGTGCTTTAAGGAAATGTTAACTGGCCAAAAACAGTGGTGGGGAAAGGCATTTATATTTTATATATTTATAATATCCAAACACAGAAAACGTATTTCAAACCCATTATGGATTCTACACTGTATCACAAATGAAGCCACTTCCTCACAGGAAATCTGCCTCCAACACTGAGTCTCATCACTATGTTTAAAGAGGATATACTGAGAGTTTACTTACTACCCAGAAACATCTCACCTGACCTTGTAACCCCTAGAAATGGTGCCCACAGCCTACTAATATTCTAAAAGTGAATTCCCTACCCTTTCCAAAGTGAAACTAGGATTTTAATGTAAGTACTAAAAAAGTATGTTCAAAATGTCTAGACAATTTATCTTTCAAATTCCCAACAAAAGATAAGTGAGTGGGGAGAAATAAAGCGTGCATCAGTCACAGCTGACAAGTCTTCTGCCAACATGCAAGAGTGCATGGGAAAACCACAGTCACGGCACACATCAATAGGAAGGCTAAGCACGAACTGCCGCAGAATGTTGCAAGAACACACTGTGTTCTTCCAAAGCAAAATTCAATGTATCTCAGGCAATTTTTATTTAAAAAAAAAAACACACACACACACACACTTTAAAAATACTTTTAGGTCAATCTTTAATGAACTGTAAGTATGATCCTCTGTCAGTTAAGTAAAATGCAGGGCAGACCCTTTATTGCTAGCTCCTCACTTTCCAGTTCAGATGAGGTTCACTCACATCCATGGGAATTATAAAAATGGACAAATGCTCTCTATAAGGGTTAAATGAGAAAGGTTGACAATCTGTAGCTCAATAATCCAACCATTCAGTCATCAAATACATACTTAGCAGCTGTTTACCAACTGCCAAGCATATGCTAGGTATTAAGTGACAAAGAAAATATTTCACAAAAAGATAGCTGAAGTAGTAAGAAAAGGGAATAAAATAACTAATCCTTAGATACAGCTAGGAAGAATGTGGCATTGTTTTTGCTACTCCAGCACTTCTTAGGATACTCCTCATCCTGAGTATCCTAATCAATTATAATAAGAAATGCCAGAATTCTGAGGTTTCATGCAGCATTACTATTTTGTTACACTGCCCCAGAGAACACTTCACTATATGGTTAACAAGACCCACTTCTACTCCCAGTGTAGGAAATAAACAAAAATGCAGAAGTGTGAAAAGGCTGTTAACCTCTAGATTAACTGATGATCCTAACAAGCTGGTTAATGACATGAAGAATGAGTAAGTAAGCCAATGCCTGTCTTTATCCCAGCAAAAACAAACAAACAAAATGAGTGAATGAAATGCACTACAAAATGAATGAAATGCAAATTAACAGAAAAAGCAACAAAAAGAATTTTATCAGAATTCCCACTGAATCATCAAGCCTCTTTGGCAAATAAAATCAAAGTCTACAGCAGCAGTTCTCAATATGTGGTCCAAAGATCCTGGGGTCTTGAGACCCTTTCAGAGGATCTGTGAGATTCTCCCTTTTCCAAATACGTGTCTATGTAAGAGTAGATTTTCTTCCCATATTTCAACCAAAATAATACATCACAACGGATTAAATGCAGAAACAGGCATGAAAATCCAGCTGCATTTTATTAAGCCAAGCAATGAGATAACAAAAATGTAAAACAAGGCCATTCTTCACACTAAACCTTATTTTGGAAAATATAGGTAGAATGAAAAAGTATTTATGCTAACATGTAATGGATTTATAACTGGTTTTTTTTGTTTGTTTTTTGTTGTTGTTGTTTGTTTGTTTTGAGACAAGAGTCTCGCTCTGTCAGCCAGGCTGGAGTGCAATGGCACAATCTTGGCTCACTGCAACCTCCGCCTCCCAGGCTCAAGCAATTCTCCTGCCTCAGCCTCCAGAATAGCTGGGATTACAGGCGTGTGCCACCATGCCCAGCTAATTTTTGTATTTTTAGTAGAGACGGGGTTCACCATGTTGGCCAGGCTGGTCTCAAACTCCTGACCTCAGGTAATCCGCCCGCCTCGGCCTCCCAAAGTGCTGGCATTACAGGCATGAGCCATCACGCCCGGCCTATAATTGTTATTTTTATTTTTGAAACAGAGTCTCGCTCTGTCGCCCAGGCTGGAGTGCAGTGGCGTGATCTTGGCTCACTGCAACCTCCACCTCCCAGGTTCAAGCGATTCTCCTGCCTCAACTTCCCGAGTAGCTGGGACTACAAGCACGCGCCACCATATCCAGCTAATTTTTGTATTTTTAGTAGAGACAGGGTTTCACCATGTTGGCCAGGCTATTCTCAAACCCCTGGCTCTCAAGTGATCCACCCACCTCGGCCTCCCAAAGTACTGGGATTACAGGCATGAGCCACCACACCCGGCCTATAATTGTTATTTTAAAAATGAATTAAACAAATATTGTTAAAATTTTTACTTTTAGCCAGGCGCAGTGGCTCACGCCTGAAATCCCAGCCCTTTGGGAGGCCGAGGCGGGCAGATCACGAGGTCAGAGTTTGAGACCATCCTGGCTAACACGGTGAAACTCCGTCTCTACTAAAAATACAAAAAATTAGCTGGGCGTAGTGGCACACGCCTGTAGTCCCAGCTACTTGGCAGGCTGAGGCAGGAGAATTGCTTGAACCCAGGAGGCGGACGTTGCAGTGAGCCGAGATCACACCACTGCACTCCAGCCTGGGCGACAGAGTGAGACTCTGTCTCAAAAAAATATATATATATATTTACTTTTAATTATTAATACAGTAAATATCAATACATATAACCCACATAAATAAAGCTCTTTGGAATCACCAATAAGTTTTAAGAGTGTTAAGAGGTCCCTGAGATCAAAAAGTCTGAAAGCTACTAGTCTAGAGCTTACATAAATGAAAATAAAATACTACCACCCGGTGGCATAAATTAGATAGTGCAATGCTTATCTATAAATTAGGGCCTTCACAGAGATTTAATAAATATCACTTTTGCAATGGAAAACTACATTTTAAGCCATACTACAAAATATATAACAAGATTCATTCTATAAACTGACTATGCTTTGACTTTCAAAAAATTTACCAATTTATCCGAATTTTCTTTTTCTTTTTGTTCGTTTTTTTTTTTTGAGACAGAGTTTCGTTCTTGTCGCCCAGGCTGGAGTGCAATGGCAGGATCTCGGCTCACTGCAACCTCTGCCTCCCAGGTTCAAGTGATTCTCCTGCCTCAGCCTCCAGAGTAGCTGGGATTACAGGCACACGCCACCATGCCCGGCTAATTTTTATATTTTTAGTAGAGATGGGGTTTACCATGTTGGCCAGGCTGGTCTTGAACTCCTGACCTCAGGTAATCCACCCGCCTCAGTCTCCCAAAGTGCTGGGATTTCGGGCGTGAGCCACCGCGCCCAGCCCCAAATTTTCATGTACACTTTACATACATATTTATCTATCAAATACCTTGAAAACATCAGGCTAATGTTGAAAAATATTAAGCTAAAGCTAAGTACATTGATTAAATTAGAAATATAATCCCGCACCAAAGAAACGTGTTTTTAAATTACTGATGGTTTCAAGTAATAGTGACATTGTTGGAGACATAAATAATTGCATTTTAAAAGCCACTTAAAATAAATTTTTCCAGCAGTTATTCATTTAGTGCCAAAATACGTACGTATTATTTATCTAACATGGCATACTTAAAATCTACTTTCATTCATACTTTTTTTTTTTTGCCTGAGAAACATGGAATTTTCTTTGTAAAGCTTATTCTAAGTACCCATGATAAGAAAAAAAATAGCCCTTACCCCAGTCCTGTTCATACAAGGCTTGGGAAAGGCACCATGATTCACTTATTGGCATGTGTGGATGCACAAAAATAAGATGTTTTGTGAGACTTAAGACTCCAAGAAAATTTTGTTACATAAATTATCAGCAACTAACAAAGCAGTTAAATACACATGTGATTTTGGTTTGTTATATAAAAATGCATAAATCTTACACATTATTTAAACAGATAAACTATTTTAAAGAGTCCTTCAAACATCAAATAAATATGTTCTAATGAATTTCTTTTGGTGTATCAGACCTATACTATACAAATGAATAAAAAACATATTTCCTGCACAAACACAACATGACAATAAAAAAGCAAAGAATGTTATGAGTTAGTCCAAGTTTTTAAATGCCACCAATCATATAAAACAAGTAACTTCAGCAAAGACAAGGTACATGAAAGGGAAACGGGGTTTACAAAAGTTACTATACTCTAGAAACTTCCCTAATCTAAGCAAAATACTTTATTCATGTTGCATAATTGTAGGAAAAAACATTTTAATGGGAGGGAGGATTAACATTGTGGCATGGGTTACTTTTTTAATGGCTATATATATTTAAATCACTTAAAAGTAGCTAACAAAAAAGACTAAAAGTCTATGGTTAAGAATTTATCCTAAGATAAAATTCAAAGATCTAATAAGCTATATCTCAAAATTGTCACAATAGTATAACAAAAATATATAATAATCTAGATGATAAACAATAAGGAAATGATAACCAAGTAAATGATGTACATGCACTTTGACACAGCCATTAAAATATATTAACTTTAGCAACACGTAAAAGTGTCAATAACATAATGCTAAATGGGGGAGAAGAACATACAAAATTGAATGTGCCGTATTATTACAATAATTAAAAAAAATTAGAGAAAACACTAAATGGAAATTTACTAAAACAACAGTGATGTGATTTTCTCTATTTTCCAATTTTTTGGTAATACACTGCATTAATAATTAGCTACCCCTATCTCCTATCCTGATACACACACACACACACACACACACACACACACACACACACACAGAGAACAGCCAAGAACTAGTGTGAACTTCGGTAGCATTAACATTCTACACTGGTGCTACACTGAGGATATAATTTCCTGGAGAGTTAAAATACAGCATTATGTACTTAAGCTGAACCACCAAACTTTTCCAAGTTTAAAATCTGGTTAATAGAAGATATGACCATCTGTTCTTAAGTAACAACTAGAAAGAAACACTATCAACAATTACAGAAGCGCTTATAACCAATAAACTTATTTTTTGTTTTCTTTATCCACTAAAATACATATTTTTAACAAAACAAGAATGCTATGCTCTCATACGTCAAAAACTATGCCTAACATTTCTACTAGAGAGGAGACTATTTAAGAACTGCAGGTTGATACACCATCCTGAAATCGGTACACCACTGTATTCACAGTCTCAGTATTTTATAACAGAATTATTCTTTTTATGCCAGCATGCAAAAACAGAAAAATAAAACAAAGAAAATAAACAATCATTCTGTTTAAAATCAAAGACATTCAGATTTCCTCTGTCCTCCAACATATGAAAGGCACCACAATTCATCTAGAAAAAAATATGAGGAGCAGCTTAAGAGACTGTTTCCCAAGAAAAGTAGTGGGGAACGTTCTTGAGCTGATTTTGACATCCAGAATAAGTGAGCCAAAGGAATTAGTGATTTGTCTACTAATATTCACATCAAGAATTACCAGCAATATCAGAATTAAATTTCTTCACAGTTGAAAATGCATTTGGAGAGTTTATTTTCTAGATAAGAGTTTTATGTAGACATATCTACTTCTAAAATCCTAATAGCAAGCTGTAATGATATTAATGTTTCCTTCACATGGCCAGTTCTTATATTTAGCCTTTGAATTTTAAATCTAACAAAGAATAAAACAAATATTTAATAGAGCAATTGAATTTTCCAATAGCCAGACTATTTATAGAAATCCTACTTCCTTTACATTGACCTTTTCTTATGTTTAGTACTTAATTGGAAGTTTTCTTTCAATTGGCATATACCTTTACATTTGAACTAAGAATCACTTCCTACTTGAACAGTTCTGTTTAGACTCAACTAAGACTATTAAATGAAATACAGTTTGTGTGCAAAACTAGCTTTCATTATAGATGTAAAAGGCATTATCTTCAATGTAGAGACAGTTTGTTACAACTTTGCATCATAGCCCTCAATTATTATGACTACAAATATAATTTTTAAGAAATCTATAAAAGCACTTACAACTTTGTTATCTAAAGACTTTCCAAAATAAATGTATCCATTAATAATTTAAATCTGGCAGGGCGCAGTGGCTCACACCTGTCATCCCAGCACTTTGAAAGGCCAAGGAGGGTGGATTACCTGAGGTTGGGAGTTCGAGACCAGCCTGGCCAACACAGTGAAACCCGGTCTCTATTAAAAATACAAAAATTAGCCAAGTGTGGTGGCACACATCTGTAAACCCAGCTACTCAGGAGCCTGAGGCACGAGAATCACTTGGACCCAGGAGGCGGAGGTTGCAGTGAGCCGAGATTGTGCCCAAAAAAAGTAATAATAATTTAAATCTTAATTCTTTTAGTATTTATTTTTTATTTTTGACAGTATTAATAGAAAAAATTTTAAACCTTTACGCTATCAAATATTAAAAAAATATGGTTTATGAAAATCACACTGAAAGACAAAATATACCTGTGTTTTGGAGAAGCAAGCAAGGGAAGGAAAGCTGTTCTACTAAAGGTTTAACTGGAACATATACCAGAAAATTTTATCCGCATGTAAATGAACTATATATTTTGTCTACCTTTTCATCATTTACCCTTTTCAACTTGATATTTATTAATCAGTTTCTATCTCCTCATTAAGTACACTGAATTTTAAAAGAAATGTAATCCCCTGACCAACATTTTCTCTCTACTGGCTACAACAGTCAACAGAAAGCAGTTCTAAAAATGGAAAGGCTTGATATGAGAAGCTGAGGCTATGCATTAGATTTTCTGTTCACTGAAAGCAAACCTGTTGAACCAATGTCTTACAACACTCAAACTGCTTCAAGTCAGTCTTCAAAGATTATATTCTGAAAGATGCCATCTACTCTCTCTAAAGGGAAGTTTTCTTAGGTTTGATGAGAACAAATTCATTAACTAAATTCCCCAGTCACTTTATCCATAAAATAAGTCCAAGAAGATGGGGAGATACTTATGAAATAGTCAACTATTTCTCTGTCTAGAGACCCAGTCCCCTCCTTAACACCTTAAAATCTGGTTTATAAAATCATTTCTCAAAACTGCATCCTCCAAATCAAATCCTTGCCAAATTCAAGGACCTTTTCAAAGTCTTCATCTTACCTTCTCCATTTCTTGAAACATATCTTATATTCCCCCAAAAAACTATCCACAATTCCTATGACTTCATGAGGTAACTTTTTTTTTCTCATTTATGTCTCATTGCCAAACTCAAGACCTCTATATGGTTAAGAGCACAGACTCTGAGTCACAATGCCTGGATTAAATCTTGAGTATATACTTATTCTCTGTGCATAAATGTAGGTAAATTACTTAACTTCTATGTTCTTAGGTTTGCTTATTTGTAAAATGAAGATAATAGTATTATTTCATACACTTGTGAGGATGCAATACAAGTAAATACAAGCAAAGCCCTTAGAGCAGAGCATTACTAAAGTAAGTAATGGCTAGCAGTAGTATTAACAATAGTAGCAGCAGTAGTAGTAGCAGCAACAAGTGCTAAATAAGCGTCAGCAGAAGCAGCTGCTGCTGTTACCACTATGACTATTACTACTACTGTAAAACTTAATCTTTTGTAGAAATCCGCCTCTCCTACAGATTTAACCACAGGCTTCGATCCTAGGCTGATGACTCCTGAAAGATGTTCCAATTTCTTATTTCCAAATTCCTGCAACTCAATTCCATTTGAAAAGCTCATGACTGGGTCAAATTCAGTGTATCTAAAAAACCCATCATTTCACTCCAATTCTCAACTTCCCCATTTAGATTTCCTATTCTAATTCCACACTACTATTCATTAAGTGTCCTAAGCTTAAAACTTTGGAGTCAATTTAGAGTCCTTACTTTTCTTCTGCCTCCCTGAGTTGATCAGATACCAAATTCTACAGATTCTACCTTTCTTCTCCTTCCCAGAACCACCATCCTAGCAAGGCGGCTAAAGCTCACAGTCCCTCAAACTGGATTTCTGTCTTTGCTTCTAAGTTTGACTTCCTATTTCATTTCTTTTCTACATAAAACCCTAGCTCCCATCACATTATGCCTTCCTATTACTGGTTTCCTGTTACTCTGTATATCAAAGTCTAAACTCAGCTACCTACCTTTTAAGATTTCAATAGTCAGTTCCTTTACAATCCAACTGCATTTCCCACTTCAGCAAGAATGGTTTTCAGCTGATTCACACACCCACTATGATCACTGTGCCTGTTTACGGCATTGTAGCATCTGAAATGTGTGCTGCCCACACCTCTCTTGTTAGGCCCATTCTATTGATTATTTGAGGTCCAATTCAAAACTCACATCTTCACTGATGTGAAGGCACAGTTCATCCTGCTCTCTCCTCTTTCAAACATCCCTCCTTTCCTAGCTTTAGTCGATTTTGTACCTTGTTGAATACTATGCTGGTTTCTATACTTTATAGCCCAGCATTTATTGTGTCAAAACATGCTATTAACACTGAAGTGTTCATTATTCTCTTTAAAAGCAGACTATAACTTAGACTTTTTGTTTACCCTAAAGCATCTATAAGGTAGCAATTATTTAATAAGTACCATGCTGTACCTACTGGGAAGTTCTACAATTTTAAATCTGAATTTTGATACTCTGTCAGCACACATTTTCTGTAAGGGGCCAGATGATAAATATTTTAGGTTTTGTAGACCACATATGGTCTCTGTCATATATTTTTCTTTTGTTCAAGTATTTAAAAATGTAAAAATCATCCTTAGCCTAAGGGCTGTACATAAATAGGCTGTGGGCTGGATCTGGCCCACAGGCCACAGTTTGCCAACCTCTGCCTCCTCTAATGAGCAGATGGGTGTCTTATTAGGAGCCTCTATAGTTAAGAATTTTTATCAATATTTAACTCATTTTTAAAAATACTGGTCAAGCACTTTAAATAACTTTTGAGTTCCAACATAAAACAAGTAACCCTCAAGTTCTTACCAGCTCTTTCGGACTTTTCTTTCTGTTCCCGTAATTCCTCTCCCTGGGTAGTCATCTGTTTGATGCGACTACGGAGTTGAGCAATTTCTTCTTCTTTCATTTCCAGGGTTTCATGCATCTGACGTTTTGTCTCTGCGATTACCATTCCCTGAATAGAAGTGAAGACTCTAAAACATTTGCATAACAAAACTGCATCATCAACAGCACAGATAAAACTTAATTTAAAAGGCAGAAAAAGGCCGGGCATGGTGCATGGTGACTCATGTCCATAATCCCAGCACTTTGGGAGGCCAAGGAGGGTGGATCACCTGAGATCAGGAGTTCGAGACCAGCCTGGCCAACATGGCGAAACCCTGTCTCTACTAAAAATACAAAAATTAGCCAGGCATGGTGGTATATGCCTGTAATCCCAGCTACTCAGGAGGCTGAGGCAGGAGAATTGCTTGAACCCAGGGGGCAGAGGTTGAAGTGAGCTGAGATCACGCCATTGCACTCCAGCCTGGGTGACAGAGTGAGACTCCGTCTCAAAAAAAAATTAAAAATTAAAAAACAAAAAATAAAAGGCAGAAAAAATGATATTTCTTGCTAAGTACAGCATAACAATTATTTCAATACTTCACAAACTGAGGTCTGTTTTCTGCTCTAATCCTATTACCTAGCATAACAGTATTTTTTACATTAAAAATTTTAATAGTTTAATCCTTAAAGCATTAAAACATTATTACTTAAAAGATTTATTTTATAGCCTTTCTACAAATGTGCTATCTGTCTTAGTAAACAGTTTATAATGAACAAAATATAGTCTTCTGAACCTGGCTTGGCACTACAATAAACTACAAGTATTGATCTGTACTATAACATGGGGATAACCCCAGACACTTGAGAATGGAAGGTGCCTGCTGCCACACTGGATAAAGCAAAATCCCAGGACACATCTACCTGGTTCTTCTCTTTCTTCCTGTGACTGTCTCTGGTACCACCACTATTCCTTACTTTGTAAGGCATCTCCATTCCTCCAACTTGCTAGTTACTTCTGTTCCCTCTTTCTGGATAATCTACACTAGAAATGGAGGTCGGCAGGGGAAAAAGACAACTAAATGGTATACAGTAAAAAAGTCATTTAGGACTAACAAAAAATGAGGTGGTTCACTTGTCTCTTGAAAAAATGTTCAGACTTTGTGACAACAATTTCATGGTCTTAAGATTAGCACCCTCTCCACAGGGTTTGCCAACCCTTGCTTTAGAATATGACTCTTCCAGATGGCTAATATTAATGGAGAGACAGAGAGATAACAACCACGTAAGTGAGGCACTGCTATATGAAATCTCAAAACAAAATCATGGGCTTTCAGTTTCTTCAAAAACCAAAATATAGTGGAAAGAGAAGGAGAGAAGATAATCAAACCAGTAAATTAAAAGAAATCTTAAGAGTCATATCAACCAATTGCAATGAAAAAACTTTATTTGGACCCTGATTCATAAAAGAGCAAAAAATATATGAGAAACTAGAGAAAATCTGAAACTGACTAGATAGCAGGTCATATTTTAAAATTATTAAATTTTTAGATGTGATCATGATAATGTGGTTATAGTATTGTAAAAATAATGTCTTTTATTTTAAAGATATATTAAAATACTTTTGGAAAAAAATGATAAAATTTCTTGGATTTGCTCTAAAACAATTCTGGGTGAGTAGGACAATGACAGTTGAGAAGGTACAGATGAAACAAGATTAGTCATGAGATGTTAACTGTTGAAGCGGGGTGGTGGGTTCAAAGAAATTCATTTTAGCAGCTTTTCTTTTGTAAATGTTTTAAGTTCTTCATTATAATATTTAAAAAAAAAAACAATTTAAGTAGGCCCTCAAGAAGTGTATAATCTAGCAAAGCAGTATTATCAAAAGGATGAAAAAGATTGCCAATACATTTTAACAGCAGGACAGCTCTGACATGTTCTTAATTACGTGACCACTTAAAATACTCTAGTGATAACCCGGCATATTAAAGAAAATGGTGGATGCTATGGAACAAACTGGGAGCTGCTTAGAAAAAGGACCCAAGAACTTGGAGCTGAAAGACAGGTCAAAACTGTTTACCCATGAATTTTCTGGTTGTCTTTGCTGCGTAGCTTTAGCTGCTGCTCCAACTCCAAACTACCAAAGGTAAGACTCATTCCTTCCTCAATCCTCTAATCTCATCTACACATTCTAAAATTCATTTGTAGACATTTTTATTTATGCTAATATATACATTATCACTTATTTTTGTTTGTTGTTTTTTTAAGAGACAGGGTCTCACCCTGTCACCCAGGCTGCAGTACACTAGTGTGACCATAGCTCACTGTAGCCTCTAACTCCTGGGCTCAAGCAATCCTCCTGCCTCAGCCTCCCGAGTAGCTGGGACCACAGGCATATACCAACATACCCAGCTAATTTTTTTTTTTTTTTGTAGAGAGGAGGTCTTGCTTTACTGCCCAGGTTGATCTTGAACTTCTGGCTTCAAGCAATCCTCCCGCCTCAGCCTCCCAAAGTGCTGAGATTAAAGGCATGAGCCACTGTGCCCAGCCCCTTATTTATTTGTTAGGCAACTTATCTGAGAGATTAATCTGTTTCCATATTATCTGAAAGAACATACTGATATCATTCACATTTATAATGCCTTAACTATAAATAACTTTTCTCTGTAAAGTAGTTATGTACTATAAATATAAACTTCCTTTGCAACAGTTATTCTAGTCTACAAATCATAATGCTGACTGGGATCAAGAAATCAGAGAATCAGTTTTACATGACACAAAACTAATGCTAGTAGTTACAAAAATCTAGAAATTAAAGATTTTTCATGGAAAAAGCTGCAATAATTTTTAGAAAACAGAAACAAGCATGAATGTTTCCAACTGTTTCCAAAAGTAAATGTTGGGGCCTCTTGACAAATTTTAGTATCATAGGTTTTGTTGTTTTACCTTATCTTGTTCAAGCTGTTCAATTAAGTTCTTTGCATCACGCAACTGAGTGATAAGTTTAGTCTTCTCGGCCATATGAAGGTCCTAAAAAAAATTTTTAAATTCATTTCCATCTCTAATAAAGCTTCTTCTCATTTGAGAACTCTAAACATTTATCTAATTTATATACATGTTACAGTGCAGAAGGAAAAAAGTACACAGTAAGTCTCAAGGTTTGGTGTTATGTAGGCCAGGGCAAACAAAAATGCCCTTTCCATCCACTCTCCTCTCCCGGAGGTACAAGCCATGCTGTGGAGCCTGTGGATCTAACTTTATAGATTAAATTAGAACAAAACTCATCTGCTCTTTTACCTTTATCTTTTCTAGTTCTTGAAGTCTTTCATCCAGTTGTTCTTGCAGAGCTTCTTTTTCACTAGTTAATAGTGTACATTGTTCCTTATGTGACTGAATTGTTTCCTTACAACGCTTAAGTAGGTTCTCTTGACGCTTCACTCTTTGCTGGAGTGTTTCCAGTGTTTTTACAGAAGTTCCATCTTCCACTAACAATAAAGCAACATAAGAAGGGCCCATCAGTAAGGAATATGAAACTGCCTTTGGAAAATTATGACTGAGACAGTCAAAGAGATCTAATCTAACCGACTCCATCTTGGTTCTAACCTTTAAGCTGTCATTGTTCGTTCCTGGGTGTAGGCTGAACTAACTTTGGGAGAACTTAGTTTATAGTTTATAGTCTAAAACAAAGACAATAAAAGCCATTTCCCAAACAAACCCCCTTCTTGCCTGGAGACTAGATTGCCTTTGTAGGACTAACAAATTAGCCAAAAGATTAGAAATTATCATTTAGGAGTCATGCAGCTGAAGGCTACAAGATTCTGACCACCACTAAACTGCTCCTAATATCACTGCTTGAGATATTTTGCAGACCCTGCACTTGATGGATCAGCTGGCAACACCCAGATCGATAAATTGGCTCATCTGATCTTGTGGCTCCCACCCAGGAAGTGACTCAGCACAAGAAGACAGCTTTGATTCCCTATGATATCATCTCTGACCTGACCAATCAGCACTCCTGGCTCACTGGCTTCCTCCCACCCACTAAATTGTTCTTAAAAACTCGGATCCGTGAATGCTTGGCGAGACTGATTTGAGTAAAATAAAACTCTGGTCACGTGCACACTCGGCTCTGCGTGAATTACTCTTTCTCTACTGCAATTCCCCTATCTTGATAAATCAGCTCTGTCTAGGCAGTGGGCAAGGTGAACCCTTTGGGCGGTTACAAATATAAGGACACTTCCAGGAACAGTCTGTTACTACACAGGTGTGTATTCCCTCTTTTTTTTTTTGAGACGGAGCCTCGCTTTGCCGCCCAGACTGGAGTGCAGTGGCATGATCTCGGCTCACTGCAACCTCCACCTCCCTGGTTCAAGCAATTCCCCTGCCTCAACCTCCCAAGTAGCTGGGATTACAGGCGCACACCACCACGTCTCGCTAACTTGTTTGTATTTTTAGTAGAGGTGGGGTTTCACCATGTTGGCCAGACTAGTCTCGAACTCCTGACCTCAGGCAATCCGCCTGCTTCAGCCTCCCAAAGTGTTGGGATTACAGGTGAGAGCCACCACGCCCCACCAGGAGTGTATTCTTACACCAATATTCTGCTATACTCTTAGATGAAGAAGGGACAACCCTAGTCAGCTAATAAACTGGCACCCTTCCAAACCTCTACTTAGTATTAGTTGTTTAATCTTTATCTGAAGAAGCTTAGTAGTAATTCACCTCTTTGAGGTTCAACCCCATTCAGAATGGCACAGTAGTTAACTAACATTAACTGAATCCACCCTCCTTAAAATGACAGTTTGATAATCATCTTTTGTTATTCAAAATTATGTGTCTTAGCTCACCTCCCAAAAGGATTAATAAAGTACGGTATTCTTTCCAACCACATTCTAATCTCTTTCTGAGAGGAGTTCTGGTAAGTGCAACTTTCTCCATCTCTTTACATTTATGAGTCTGAAGTTTCCACATGTCTGGGAATTTCGGGACTGGCCCCGCCGCCCCACCACCCCACCATAGTCTGGTTGCTCAGATAGTTAACTGCTCAACTACTTACTCCAAGTTTATCATAAGTCCCTTTGAAAGAAAAAGCTAGGAAATAAAAGACGGGAATTTTATTGCGTATATACCTCAAGCCTCAAAGCAAAGAAGGCTGTAACTGAATTTTAAGACAAAATATAGCTATTTCTTCTTTTTCCAGTTAAAAAGCAATTAATAGGACAAATACAAATATCTATGAATATAGAACTATTTAAGCAATATTTAAAAACTAAAATATCCAAACAATTACAAATAGCCCACTTATTAGCATGTAAGCAGAACTGACCTGTTCATATGAAATCTAGCTACTGCTATTAATAAAACAGTGTAGCATAATAAATGAATTTCAATTACAATGAAAATGTGGTGTTACAGACTATGAAATTTTTGCATATTAAAACAACTTTTTTGGTTGGGCACAGTGACTCACACCTGTAATCCCAATACTTTGGGAGGCTGAGGCAGGTAGATTACTTGAGATTAGGAGTTCGAGACCAGCCTGGCCAACATAGTGAAAGCCCGTCTCTACTGAAAATACAAAAATTAGCCGGGCATGGTGGTGTGTGCCTGTAATCCCAGCTACTCGGGAGGCTGAGGCAGGAGAATCGCTTGAACCCAGGAGATGGAGGTTGCAGTGAGCCGAGATCATGCTACTGCACTCCAGCCTAGGCAATAGAGTGAGACACCATCTCAAACTAACAAGCAAACAAAAAACACTTATTTTCTCCTAAATAACAACAAAGAACCAAAAAAACAAAACAAACCCTTGCATCTTTCTGAAACTATTAGGACCACGGACACTTCTACCTCAGCCCATATCTATCAGCTCACATCCTGGAATCTCTCAAAATCCTCCTCTAGGTTTTCTTGGGGTTTCATTTTTGTTTTTGTTTTTCTTGTGGAGAAGGGTTTTCTCTATGTTGCCCAGGCTGGTCTCAAACTCCTGAACTCAAGCGATCCTCCCACACTGGCCTCCCAAAGTGTTGGGATTAAAGGTGTAAGCCAAGGAGCCTGGCTCTCCTCTAGTTTTTAAATTAACCTTTTGACAAAATGAAGCTTACCTACTGGCTCTCCATCACTTTCTGGATTCTCTTCTTTAGTGAAGACTTCAGCCTGTGGTTCCAGCTGAGGAAGTGGTTTCAGTACATCAACATTCATCGGGCCATTTCGTAATCGTTGTTTCAGTAGAGAAACCTAATATAAATGTGCTTCATTAGAAAAAAGTCAAAAAAAACTATGGGAGTAGTACAATTGTCCCTTGGTATCTGTGGGGGATTGGTTCCAGGATTCCCTGTTAATACCAAAATCCGCAGGAGCTCAAGTCCATTATATAAAATGGTGTAGTATTTGCATATAGCCTACACACATCCTCCAGTATAATTTAAATCATCCCTAGATTACATAAACTACCTAAATAATGAAAATGCTATGCAAGTAGTTGTTGTACTACATATATTTTAGAAAATAATGAGAAGAAAAAAAGTCTACATGTTCACTACACATGGTTTTCACCCCCTAAATATTTCTGATCCAGTTGGTTGAATCCACACATACAAAAACACATCAATGTGGATGGCTTATTGTACTTTATTTAAAACAGAGAGAGGACGGATTAAATGATATTCTTCTTACTAAAGTGGGGGAAAATAATCAAAATAAAAAGTTTACTCCCAATACAGCTGGTTTTTATATTTGCTATTATTATTATGCAGTTAGTCAAAAGATACAATAAATAAAAAAGTATCCTTAACATTAACTGAAGAGCTAGGAGTGGTGGCTCATGCCTATAATCCCAACACTTTGGGAGGCCAAGGCGGAAGGATCGCTTGAGCCCAGGGGTTTGAGACCAGCCTGGGCGACATAGTGAGACCCCATCTCTACAAAAAATTTAAAAATTAGCTGGGCGTGGTGGCATATGCCTGTATTCCCAGCCACTCTGGAGGCAGAGGCTGGAGGATTGCTAGAGCCCAGGAATTTGAGATTGCAGTTAAGCTATGATCACGCCACTGCACTATAGCCAGGGTGAAAGAGCAAGACTCTGTCTCAAAAAAAATTAAAAATAAAAAAAATTGAGGAAAGCAAAAAGTTTTAAAAATAGGTCTTAAAAAAGAAAAAACTTTTGCAACCTTGCAGATATCCAAATCAAACCCCCTCTATTTTTCTTTATCCAAAAAATTCCACACTTTTTCTTTTACTCTTTTACCTGAGTTTGGAGAACACTGATATACTGATCTTTCTCCTCTAAAGATGCATCAAACTCCTCTTGCAGATGTTTCTTTGCCTGCTGGTCCATTTGGAGCTCCTAAAACATAAAATGATTTACAGGTAATTTTCAGTATAAAACAAAAAATACAAAGTTTTCAAAATTTAAAAACATGTTGAATACAGATTTGCATTCCCCTTAAGGTATCAGCAACAATAATTAGAGAATAATTAGTATGTAAAACATTAACATTATTTAAAACATTTGCATCAACAAATGATTTTGTTCCTTAAAGAATATGAAGATCCAAGAAGAAAAAAGTGTACTTTCCAGAGCTGTAATGATGGCTGCACTGATAATAATGTGGAGAAAATAAATAATCACTTAAGACAGGCCGGGTGCGGTGGCTCACACCTGTAATCCCACACTGTGGGAGGCCGAGGAGGGTGGATCACTTGAGGTCAGGAGTTCGAGACCAGCCTGGCCAACAAATGGTGAAACCCCGTCTCTACTAAATATACAAAAATGAGCCAGGCGTGGTGGCAGGCATCTGTGGTCCCAGCTACTTGGGAAGCTGAGGCAGGGGAATCACTTGAACCCGGGAGGAAGAGGTTGCAGTGAGTTGAGGCTTGCCACTGCACTCCAGCCTGGGTAATAGAGTGAGGCTTGGTCTCCCAAAAAAAAAAAAAAAAAAATTACTTAAGATAAAAGAAAAACTTTGAGACTCTTACTACTTGTGTTATATTATATTCATCTGATCTAACACCAAATTATTATATACCAAACAGATAGCCAGTAGTCTTCCTCCTCCCAACATATGAAAGTGTCTGATAGTCGAAACCAAACGCTTTCTCATCTGTAAAATGAAATTTCTAGTTCCTGCAATTAGTTAAAATGCTGCTTTCTTTAGGTCATTAATGAGCCTTCCTAACCAAATCCATTGATTTTTGTCTCTCTGCAAAACCAGCCACCAGTAATTACCCGTTCATTTTAGGTATAGTCACATATCACATAACAATGTTCTGGAAGATGACGGACCACACATATGACGGTGGTTTCATAAGATTATAATAACGTATTTTTACAGGGCTTTTTCTATGTTTAGATAGACTTGGATATGCAAATACTTACCATTGTGTTACAACTGTCTACAGAGTTCAGTACAGTAACATGCTGTACAGGCTTGTAGTGTAGGAACAATAAACAATACAATATTGCCTAGGTATATAGCAGGTTATAGCATCTAGGTTTCTGAAAGAACACTCTGGTATTTGCACAATGACAAAATGACCTATGGAAGCTTTTCTCAGCTATACCTGCTGACCATGGCTTTAGGGCTCCTGGCTACACTCCTGTCAATTACAGTTTCCTCTTTGTCCTTCACTGATTCCTTCTAGCCCTCTTGGGTTCAATCTTGTGTCTTCTGTGTTTCTCCCTTAGAATGCCGGAGGTTAGCACATGGAAGTATTAGACAGCTCTTTATCGTTCTGGGATTCCTATACTTCACTAGTTCCCTAAACTCAAAATATTCAAAGTCACATTTTACTTATCTTTGTTAATCCCTGCATATAATCAATATTTTTTATTACTTTTTCTAGAATGTTTAGATCCTATCTTTTACCACAACTATAACCACAGCCCAGGTCTCTCAAACTTTAGATCAGGGATGTCCAATCTTTTAGCTTCCCTAGTCCACACTGGAAGAAAAAGAATTGTCTTGGGCCACATATAAAATACATTAACAATAGCTGATGAGCATTTAAAAAAAAAAATCACAAGAAAAATCTCACAATGTTTTAAGGAAGTTTAAAAATTTGTGCTGGGCCACATTCAAAGCCGTCCTGGGCTGCATGCAGGCCACGGGCTGCAGGTTAGACAAGCTTGTGACAGTTAATTTCCTTCAATAGCCTTCTAGACAGATTTCTTACCTCAAGTCCTCCTCTAATTTTATCCATCCCTCACACATTTGCTAGAATAATTTTCCTCAAACAATATTTTCAAAGAATTATAAGCAACTCCCTCTTCTTACATTGTTTCAAACTTATTAATTCTCAAAACACTAAGAATTGCCCGAGCAAAACACTGAGGCACTATCTGGTACACTCATAAGTGTCCTCTATTCTGCCCAACACCCACATTGCCCCAACATCTCTGAGCATATTTTTTACTTTTCCTCTCACAAATGTCTCCTGACTTTACATTCCCACAGCAGTGGTCTCCAAATGCTGGTCATGCCCTAAATAATGTTTTCAGAGATCCATCGTGAAATAAGAAACAAAAGCCAATGTGGAGAGATTTTCTTAGATCTAAATTCCTTTCATATAAGTAGCTGTTACTTTATCCTGGGAATATGTCCTTCCTAATTGTTTTGGTACTAAAACCTTTTTTTTTTTTGAGACGGAGTCTCGCTGTCACCAGGCTGAAGTGCAGTGGTGCGATCTAGGCTCACTGCCAAACTCCACCTCCCGGGTTCAAGTGATTCTCCTGCCTCAGCCTACCGAGTAGCTGGGACTACAGGTGCGTGCCACCACACCCAGCTAATTTTTGTATTTTTACTAGAGACGGGGTTTCACCATGTTGGCCAGGATGGTCTCGATCTCTTGACCTCGTGATCTGCCTGCCTCAGCCTCCCAAAGTGCTGGGATTACAGGCGTAGGCATGAGCCACTGTGCCCGGCCACAACTACTTTAATGAAATAATGGCAATAAAAGAATCTGGGTACTTATTCCTGATGTCTTTATTCCGAAATACAACAGTTAGTGGCCCTATGACAACTCCCTTCTCCCCCACTTCTGGAAGGAACTGGAAGGTAAACTTCATTTCTTCCAAATAATTTCCTACAACCTACAACCTTCCATGCTGGACTCTGTTACATAGCAGTCCTAACAGCCCACCAAAACAAAAAAAACAAACCAAAAAACACTCCTCGATTTATACTATAGTTTTCAGATTTTGCAAGTTTTCATTTCCTCATCTAGACAAAAAGTCCTTGGTTACAAGGGAGCATCTTTTAATCATGTACCCTTCTCCCTCTCCCGGCTACCTATACACTATTCTGCCAGCATGTTAGCCCAGTGAGGCTTGTGTCAAACTTCTAAGATAATTATTCGTGTTGTGTTAAGCCATTAAGTTGGTGGTAATTTGTTGCAGCAGCAAGAGAAAACTAATACATGTAGGTGGATTAAAAAAAAAAACCAACAAATTCATCAATCTGTGACTCTGATAAGTATTAATATTTCCTAATAGAGGAAGATAAAGTTAATGCATAAAATTATGGATTTAGGCAGGAAAGTTAAATTAGGCCCTTTAGTTCCATATTCCCTTACCTCTGGTCTTTGCCCCCAACATTTCACCAGCTCCTAAAAAATTTAGGTAGAGTTGCAAATCTAATTGGCAGCATCCAGAGTTTTCACAGAGCTCCACCCTCTTTGAAAGGTCAACACAAATGCATTTTACCACAGACAAGCATGACAAGGCATGCTTTTCAGCCAGTGAGCTCTCTCACAGTTTTCTAAGTCCCTCAACAGCTGCAACTGAGTAGATGAGTAAGGCTGGGGCCTGCTAGCTAAGTCAATTCTTTTTCTTTCCCCATTTGATATTGCCAGGGAATGCTGGTTCTATAATTTAAATTAGAGAATAGATAGATAGGAGGCCTATCTTTACTAACAGCCGGCAATCACATGGGTGCTTACTCATCTATGAGTAAAGTAGATGTGTTTCCCATTCAGCTGTATTTTCTTGAGTATAACTCCCTCAGACAAGGGCTCTTAGTGGAGAAGGGCTGAGCATAGGAAGGAAAAAAAAACAGGTATTCCTGTGTTTCCAGATATAATAACATTATAAAGAGGTATTCCTGTGTCTTTATTCAATGCATATTTAAATAATGCGAATGTTTTAAAGAGGATTCATCAGGTTTTAGGCATTAAAACCTGATGCCTAACCTCTAATGTGCACTCTCTGAATTTTAAACATGCCTGCTCTCCATTACTATGTATATCTAATCATTAACTGTATAAAACATGGGCATTTAATTTCTCACCAGAAATACAAGATACCTATCAACACCCTTCATTTATTCCCAAAACACAAGACAAGTAAAAAAGAAATGTTAAGCAAAAAGATATTAGCTTAACAGAAAAATCTTTTGGGTAGAAATGCCGTATTATTTGCCCCTCTAGCAAAAGCAAAGGTGCTTTTAGCTGCTAAAAGCACTTTCTTTCTATTAATATAAGGCAGGAGAAACAAAAGAGGATACCCTAGCTATCATTCTCTCACTTCCTACAACCCCTTTGTTGCATACGCCTAATCCCCATGCATACTTTTCTGAGTACTAACACATTCCCAGTCCAACTAGGAAAGCAGAATCTTGGGCAGACCAGGAGTTAAGGTTTTGTTCCTTCTCTATAACTTCCAAAGTGGGTATACATTTTTCTACGTTATTAATCCAAAAGAAGTTGTACAAATTTTCATTAATAAAGGACATCTGTAATTATTTGTATTATTGAGGCCAATGCTTGGTCTTGTCAGTATAACAAAAGTAAATTAGCCTGGTTTTCAAAGTCATGTTTAGAAATGTTTTAAAGAATTTATTTGGGAATTGTGGTAAATGATATAATCTTTCTTTCATACCACAAAAATTCAGTAATTTGGCTATATAAAAAAATTGCGAGAGACTAGAAATCAAACATGATAGCAATAAGAATAAAACTTTAGTAATATAATACAGGAAATTCCTATATGATTAATTCTGATTGTTAATTCACGCAATAGTCTGTCATTGACAATAACAACAAAGAATATTCTATGGGACAATACGGCTATATTGATGATATCATCCTAATCTATACTCCCTTGTTTTTCTTCTTTGCCTCCTCCCACAATTATACTAGTTTTTCTCAATTACTATTTATAGATTTATTAATTTACCTGACCCTTTTAAGGCTATCTATACTTTTTAAATCTGTATCTTGGACTGATAAATTACACAGTTAGAATACCTAAAACATTAAACTTACTTTGATTTGTCCTAAAGCTACCTATTTCAAACTTCTCAAAATAACACTAGTTTTGTTAATAAATTAACAGAAAGTAACAAAAACCCATGAAGAACACTCATAACAAAAATAGGTAACAAGATATTCTTCAACAAACAATACAAATGAGTGGAGAGAAAACACCAATAGCAGTAAAATATGCAATTGTTGGGATCTGTATAGGAGAAAGCAGAGGGAAGCGACAAGGTATCAGATGGACCTGACAGCAGGAGAACCCCAAAAGTCAACAGGTACTCATTACAAAATAATTTGAGACAGCAGGTCAAACCAGGAGTGGTCTTGCCTACTCCGATGGCAAGTGGGTACACATGGCCCTCAGGAAGACATAAAGGAATTCAAACAGTCTAAGTGCTATGAAAAATTACCCACCCCCCTCAAAATTACAGTAAACATAATTTATTTTATAAAAAAGACTTAGGGTTAGGAAAAACAAAAAGAAGCCTGAAATACATAACAGAAGAACCCAGTTAACCCTTGGAAGTTGACGCTGACTGTTCATGCAGACAATTGATATTCTGTTGCTAACACCTCATTTCATTAATTCCAACAATGTATCTTAGAAAAACCATACAAATAAAAACTTCAAGAACTGACCCCTGGTCTTGTAGGCTGGACTGGTTAGTTATTAGTATAACTAATGAGATGCATATGAAACTACCCTAGCACATACAACAGTTCTGATAAATATGAGATTTAATTACTATTTTCAAAGTACTCATCACTGAAACTTACCTCTCTTAATTCTGCTATTCTCCGAAGTGATTTATCCTGACTCTGACTTAATATACCCTTTAATTGAGAGAGAAAAAAAAGCTGGTTAAACAGCTAACTGTATGACATAGTAAATACAAAGCAAGTCAAAAATAATTATTTTTAAAATATTACAACCGTTTATCCAAAAATAACCTGAAGATAGAGGACAAGCCTAAAATGTTAAAGATGTGACCATATTGAAAAATCTGTTAAGTTAGATCATGATGTTATAGAACTGTTCTGCATCCTGGCAGTGGCAGTGGTTCAAAATCTATACATTTGTTAAAATGCATGGACATGTAAACCAAACAAAAAGTCAATTTTACTGTCTGTTCAATTTAAAAAATAAAATGTTTTAAAATTAAATCAAATTCCAACTGCAGTTTATTTCATTGAAACTTATAATGTGTGGAACACATCAATTAACAGCCTGTTCTAAAGGTTTTTGTGGCTTAGAAACAAAATAATTGTCTATATTTAAAAAAACAAAACCAGCCGGGCGCAGTGGCTCACACCTGTAATCCCAGCACTTTGGGAGGCCGAGGCAGGTGGATCACGAGGTCAGGAGATCGAGACCATCCTGGCTAATATGGTGAAACCCCTTCTCTACTAAAAATACAAAAAAAATCAGCCAGGCGTGGTGGCAGGCGCCTGTAGTCCCAGCTACTCAGGAGGCTGAGGCAGGAGAATGGCGTGAACCCAGGAGGCAGAGCTTGCAGTGAGCCGAGATCGCACCACTGCACTCCAGCCTGGGCGAAAGAGCAAGACTCCATCTCAAAAAAAAAAAAACCATCCAGAAAAATTCACAAAGAACATCAGATGGCTAAATTAGTAACCATACACTAAAAAAAATCAAGAAGCTGGCCGGGCATGGTGGCTCACGCCTGTAATCCCAGCACTTTGGGAGGCCGAGGCAGGCGGATCACCAGGTCAGGAGTTTGAGACCAGCCTGTTCAACATAGTGAAACCCCATCTCTACTTAAAAAAAAAAAAATTCAAAAATTAGCCGGGCATGGTGATGCGTGCCTGTAGTCCCAGCTACTCAGGAGGCTGAGGCAGGAGAATCGCTTGAACCCGGGAGGTGGAGGTTGCAGTGAGCCAAGATCGCACCACTGCAGTCTAGCTTAGGCAACAAAGCAAGACTTCTCAAAAAAAAAAAAAAAAAAATCAAGAAGCTAATAAAAGAGTAATATTGTGAGATGAAATGACTCACCCTTTCCTGGGGTGGGGTAAGGAAGGTACTTTTCTCTAGTAAAGGAAATTAAACTTGGTAAGTTATGACCTATGGAAACAAAGTAACCACATATTCCTGTACAACATAAATACAGAGGTAAAGGAATAGGGTAATCTGGAGCTTCACTGGTTTGTGTGGACTAACAAGCAAAACAAGGGGATACAGACAGGCAAATGGCTTACCTATGACCAAGGGAGTATGACTGGATTGTATTGTGGGGACTTGTAAGTGAATAAAACAAAAACCAAAGTTCTTTTCCCCAAAAAAGCCATGAACACAGGTTTTGTTTGTTCAGTTTCAAATATAAAATTTTAAATGCAGGAACATGCCATGCTGAGAATGATGAAAAACTGTAGTGCAGTAGTTATAAGCACATGCTCTGCAGTCTAACTGCTAGGAAAAAGACCCTGGCTCTCCTCCTTACCTCTTACAAGCTGTGCAACAATGAACGAGTCACTCTCCCTCAGTTTCTTCACAGGAAAGAGGCTAGAACTAAATATACCAAAATGCCTGGCACACAGTAGGAGCTCAATAAATGTTAGCTAGTATAAGCAGCATAGGTAAGAGTGTTGGCAATACCTACTATTTTAATTTCATTGGCTCTATTGAAAAGATATTTGCCTATTTTAAAAGGTTTCTAGGCAGGTACACATGTAGAAAAGAGAGCAAAGCATTGAATTTTATCTTTTCTTTTTTGAGACGGAGTCTTGCTCTGTCACCCAGGCTGGAGTGCAATGGCACGATCTTGGCTTAATGCAACCTCTGCCTCCCAGGTTCAAGCAATTCTCCTGCCTCAGCCTCCCGAGTAGCTGGGATTACAGGTGCCCGTCACCACACCCGGCTGATTTTTGTATTTTTAGTAGAGACAGGGTTTCATCATGTTGGCCAGGCTCATCTCGAACTCCTGACCTCAGGTGATCCACCCGCCTTGGCCTCCCAAAGTGCTGGGATTACAGGCGTGAGCCACCACGCCTGGCCAACTATATTTTATTTTAAAACACAGCAAACTGATGGCACCATTTGAAAGGGAATGGATATTTCTCCTTAGCTCTGAATTATCACCTGGAATACCTAGTGGGAAATTTCCATAGCCAATGCATAGAAACACAAGCAAACAGGATGACATAGTGGGGCCAAGGTGGGTCACCCTGAATATAATAGTTTCTTATCCCTACATACTTAATCAAAAGCTTCACAAGCAGCAGCCACAGGAAATAGTTATTATAGAAGAGAGGATGCTTGCATTTGGACCCTGATATAATGATAAGAAACAGATGTCTGCAGGTATTTAAAAAGCAGAAGGAAAGCATAGAAGGTTAGATATGTCTTTACCACTAAAACAAGGAAGCAACCTGTAGACTGAGACACTAGAAAACATGCTTGAGAGAGGCATGCTGTAAATCCTAACTTCTTAAACACTACCGAGATCTGTAACTCAAGGAAGCTCATCCTTAACAGAGGTAAAATCTCTGGGATCTCATTCACTTTCTCTTTATCAAAACCTCCAATAATGGTAAAACAAGCTTAATATTTTGTTCATATGCAGAATTATTTAAAAGGAAGGCTTAGAAATATCTTACTATAGGCCGGGCGCGGTGGCTCACGCCTGTAATCCCAGCACTTTGGGAGGCCGAGGCGGGTGGATCATGAGGTCAGGAGATCGAGACCATCCTGGCTAACAAGGTGAAACCCCGTCTCTACTAAAAATACAAAAAATTAGCCGGGCGCGGTGGCGGGCGCCTGTAGTCCCAGCTACTCGGGAGGCTGAGGCAGGAGAATGGCGTGAACCCGGGAGGCGGAGCTTGCAGTGAGCCGAGATTGCGCCACTGCAGTCCGCAGTCCAGCCTGGGCGACAGAGCGAGACTCCGTCTCAAAAAAAAAAAAAAAAAAAAAAAAAAGAAAGAAATATCTTACTATATAAGATCTTTCTGATTTAAAAATTATGACTCAGTAATGCAGTTGACAAATCACTTACTTGTAGCTTTTTCTTCTCTCTCTGAAGCATCTGATAAGCTGTAACAAGCTAAAATATAGTCATCAACAACATTAGTCATTCCTAAATAAATGCAATTATTCTAAAGTCCACTAAAAAATTCTCTTTATGAAAGTCAAAAAATAAATTAGAAGAGTCCTTAATAGGATAACCTAATTAGATGCATGACGGTCAAAACTAACATAGGACATACATTTCTAAAAAATAAAATGTAAATTTGACAGACGTTAAATCTCCATATGACTTCATCTTAGAGATACACCTCTAAATTTCAGTACCTAATTCACAGGTGGGGATTCAAGCCAACTTGCCTAAAGGCAGGAGGCTACTCAAACTATAGTTACAGACTAAATCAGCAACAGCATCACTTGCAAGTTTGCTTGAAACAGAAATTCTTGGGCCCCACCCCAATCTAACTGAATTTGAGACTTGGGAAGGGTGTGGAGAGACAGGAAACTATGTTTTAATGAGCTCACCAGGCAATTTTTCTGCTTTGGACTATAAGAGATCATGTAATTGATTTCTAAAAGTTCCTTCTGGTTATAGGGTCTGTGACTACAGCTCTGCAAAAATCTGAGCAAAGAACCTCATAATCAACAGATGAAAACTGGTAATTCAAGTCCTTAAAGAGATATTTAACCATTTAACCTAAACAGGATATTTAAACATTCTAGCACACCCTAATGAAATTATGGATTAACAAATCTTTTCAGCCTGGAAGTTACATAACATTACTCATCTAGGACCAGGTGCAGTGGCTCATGCCTGTAATCCCAACATTTTGAGAGGCCGAGGTAGAAGGATCACTTGAGCCCAAGAGTTCGAGACCAGCCTGGGCAATTTAGTGAGACCTTGTCTCTATTATAATTTAAAAAAAAAAAAAAAAAAAAGTTACTCATCTGAAGGCTAAGTACATGGCTCCAGTGAATTCTTTGGACCCTACTTTGGAAGTGCTAAAGAGATAAGCTGCAGGTTTAAGAGGAAGCATCCCCTATTTGAGCTTTGCCATTTACCTTAGAAGGCTGCTGTGTCCCAAATGCCACTAGTGATATCCTGAATCAAAAGACAGGCAGCAATACAGCCAGGCATGGTGGCTCACACCTGTAATCCCAGCACTTTGGGAGGCCAGGACAGGAGGATTGCTTGAGCCCAGGAGCTGGAGACCAGCCTGGGCAAAATGGCAACGCCATGTCTACCAAAAATACAAAAAATTAGCCAGGTGTGGTGGTGTGTGCCTGTGGTCCCAGCTACTCAGGAGATTGAGGTGGGAGAATCACCTAAGCCTGGGAACTCAAGGCTACAAGGTGAGCCGTGATGATGCCACTGCACTCCAGCCTGGGTGAGGGAGTAAGACCTTATCTCAAAAAAAAAAAAAAAAAGCAGCAATGGAAGGTGAGTCTAGCAACAAAGAATATAAAAAACGAAATTCTGCCTAAGACCAGGAATCTCCCCTTATTATTATCATAACACCAGATAGAAAAATGGTGTTCACAGCCGGGTGTGGTGGCTCACGCCTGTAATCTCAGCACTCTGGGAGGCCAAGGTGGGCAGATGACAAGGTCAAGAGTTCAAGACCAGCCTGGCCAACATGGTGAAACCCTGTCTCTACTAAAAACGCAAACATTAGCTGAGCATGGTGGCGCATGCCTGTAGAGTGAGGCAGGAGAACTGCTTGGCCCAGGACCCAGTAGGCGGAGGTTGCAGTGAGCCGAGATCACGCCACTGAACTCCACCCTGGGCTACAGAGTGAGACTCCGTCTCACAAAAAAAAGAAAAATGGTGTTCACATTTACCAGTGTAACAACCCTGCACATCCTGAACATGTATCCCTGAACTAAAAATAAAAGAAAAATTGTGCTCAAAAAAGGGGTGGAGGGGGGTTGTGTGTGGAAGAGTAACCCAAGAATCAGAGGTCATTTACAACATTATTTCATCCTAGGTACTAACAATGCCAGAGAGAGGTAGAGACAAAGTCTATGAGTTCTTTTGATCCCGATAAGCTGCCTGACTCTGAGACAGAATACTAGAAACAACCAGAAAGACCTAAAATCAAATCCAGACACTGCAACTACAACCTGTCCAACCATAAGCAAGTTAGTTACCAGGCAACATAAGCAAGTTACTATGAGTCTCCAATCCTTCTTCTACAAAACTGAGCTAATTAACATCTACGGGAATGGTACAATATTACATGACATTATAAATATAAAATACACAGGACAGGTGTAGTGGCTCATGCCTATAAGAACAGCCCTTTGGGAGGCTGAGGTGGGAGGATCACTTGACTTCAGGAGTTCAAGACCAGGCTGGGCAACATAGCAAAACCTCAACTCTACGAAAAAATACAAAAATCAGATGGGTGTGGTGGTGTGCGCCTGTAGTCCCAGCTACTTGAGGGAGCTGGGGCTGAGGCTGAAGGATCGCTTGGGCCCAGGAAGTTGAAGCTCCAATGAGCCATGTTTGAGCCACTGCACTCCAGTCTGGGCAACAAAGTGAGACCCTGTCTCAAAAACAACAACAAAAATTAAATATAAAATACACAGTATCTAGCATACGTAAATACTACTTATACCACTACCCCAGCTTCAAACTTAAAAGCCATGGTTAAGTTAGTGAAGTAACAGACAAAGATTCATAACGATTATTAACTTTGGTAGAAATTTAAAAATAAAAGTTAAAAAAATTTAAAGGAAAAAGGTGCTTGATTCTACAAGTGCCTCATGACATACATGGCTTTAGTGCCTTGTTTATATCTCTGGGTGGGTTCCAGCCAGCCTATATATTTAAGCCTGATAATTGCTTCCTATTTTGTCAGCACTTCACAGTTTAAAAAGATATCTTATCTTGTATATTTCATTTGGGTTGTTTTGTTTTGTTTTTGGTTGTAGGATAAAATTACTCATATTGTAGTCATAATTGGAAACAGAAGTTACAACTATCTTTAATATACTGACTCTGAACTTTAGTATTCATTAATTAAAATTAACTACAATGGTGATTTGCAAACCATAAGACAATAAAACATTACACATTTTAAGATAAACAAACAAAAAAATATGGACAACTTACTCCAAAAAAGCTTTCCTGAGAAAGAACTGTTTTAACTGCATAGGATGCAGAGGGAATTGAGGGAGGGCAACAAATAAAATTTAGCCTGAAAGGAAGGTGCTACATTCCTAAAGGATTGAAAAGTGAAATGGACTAGCATTGACTTCCTTCCTCCCTTAGACCAAACAGGGAGTGTCATTCTCAAGGGTTTAGCAATGAAAAGATTCATCCAAGGCAAAGGTTTAAATGTAGGTACAATGAGAATGAACCAAATCTGTCAAATAATCAGGCTACCTAAAACAATTTTAGAATCAGTAATAATGGGACTCTCACTGGCAGATGAGGTCATTTTGGAGCCGCATCAGTTAGAGAGGAATAAAGGAGAGGATATGAGCCAGAAGATGAACTCCACACTGGGTGTCCAAGTGACCTTGAACAGAGGGACTACGAAAGGAGAGGGGAACAGAATATAAGAACCAGAAGGCTACAGACAACAATCTTCTCCAAAATTTTACTGAGTCTTGCCAAAGGGCCTCTGTCTTTACTTAACTAGATATTGAGAGTCTTTAACTAGATAATGCCACAGACTACATACCATTAGTAACCAGGATATATCCAGAGAATTAACAGTTTAGCCAATCACAGGAGTAAAGCAATACAGTAATATGAATGAGAGAACAAGGGGAAGAAATTTTTGTACAGGCAAAAAGGTCATGCTCCTACCTCAGAATATTTTCCCCTGTAGCTACTTAAGCTTCGTTCCATTCTTCGCAACCGCTGAATCAACTGTTCTTTGTTGAGACTGTCTGAATTCCCTACCAAGTCTTCAGCCTCGCTATCCATATCAGAGGGTGGATCAAAACTGGCAGTAGAACTGTCCAGGTCAAGTCGATTCAGGGATTCTCTGGAAGATGTTCGTACCAAAGACTCTTTAGAAGAAGACCGGAATAGAGATTCCTTTATCGGACTTCGAAACAAAGACTCCACGGAGGGCACCCGGAGCTGGAGCTTCTGTGCAAAAGACTGTGTGTCACCTGACTGCAACCAAAACCCAACAGAATGTGTGGATTAAAATACATACATTTAGACTTCCATTACCCCATCACCAGCAATAATCTAATAAAAGTTCTAACAAGTTGAATTTATATTCCTGACATTTTACATAATACATTGTTTTCTGAAAAACAAAACACTTGGTTATTGCTGAAACAGTGTTGGACCTGGAGTCAGAGGACTGGGGTGCAGGTCCCAGGTCTGTCACCTAGAGGTAGAATGCCCTTCAGTAAGTCACTTTCCTTCAGTTTGCACATCTGGAAGAAAGAAAAACACAGTACTTTCCCAGCCGACCTCACAGGTGTATTGTGAGGATTCATCCACTAAACTGTGAGATCCTTGAAGGTAGTGACCATCTCCATACACCATCTGTAACAGTGCATACCCAGTGTCTAAAATGTAGGTATATACCATGAAATGTGAAGTGTGTAACTGAACTCAAGTGGGCTTTATCTGGAGGGTCTTTATGGACATGGTAATTCTTGATCATTCCCAAGAAAAGAGGGGAATTGGGATGGGGGGAGGGTAATGTGTAATGAACCCACTTTGTTTAATAAGGGAATGTGAGGCAGAGTTGACTAGTAACAGCCAACTCTGCTCTACTTACCATTTGTCTACTAGGAATAAAAATAAGCATTAACAAATCATGGAGGACAGTTGAAAGGTCTGAGTTAGAGTCCCTCTGCACAAATCAGTAACTCCAATGTTAGACAGTGATAAGGAAGACCTGTTCTCCTAATTAATTGGAATAACAAATTAATTTAGTCACAATGAAAAATAATATGACCTAATTCAACTAACTGTTCTAAGCAGTATTATTTTGTTCAGGTCACAGCAGTCAATATTTACTGATGTCTCCTAGAAGCTCATTCTCATTAGTTAACAACCGGGTCACTAAGATCTCAAAGGTGCCAGGAGTGAAATACTCCAGGGAAACTGAGGTCATGTGTAGGCAAAAAATACAGGAAAATAAAAAGATTCTCTTCAGTCTAGAGTTTGAAAAATCAAAACAGAAATGTTTTGCTCACGGATTCTAGAGATTTAATAATATTGGGCAAGGTAGGAGTAAGAGGAGATAATATGTCCCATACCTTCATACACACAAATTTATCACAGGTGGTTTAAAAGAGTAAAAACTGGAAACAACCCAAATGTTTATCACTAGAGGATACAGTTTATAAATTATAGTATATGGAGAGCACTCCCCAAGGCAACTTGAAAAGTATGTCCTGGTCTATAAAGTATTTTCAAAAAAAATTTAAAAATAAACAATAACATATGGAAAGAAGTTCAAGATATACTATTAAATGGGAAAGGTCAAATTATAAAACAATATGTATATTGTGAACTCATTTTGACTAAGTACTCCTTATTCAAAAAGCTTGGAACCAGGTATTTTGGATTTCAGATTTTTTTCAGATTTTGGAGTATCTGCATATAGATAGTGAGACATCATGGGGATGAGACCCAAGTCTAAACACGAAATTCATTTATGTTTCATATACACCTTATACAGATAGCCTGAAGGTAATTTTATATCATATTTTTCACCATTTCTGTACATGAAACAAAGTGTGTACACTGAACCGTCAGAAAGCAAAGGTGTCACAATTTCAGCCACCAATACAATCTATGGTTGTCTGGCACCACCATCATTCCTGACTCTGAACTTACATGCTACTGATAAGCAATAATTTTCTTATGCTTATTCACCCATAAGTACTTCACAGTGAAAGAAATATATATATATGACATACCATTAATACAGTAAAACAAAATGTGTTCAGGGTAACTAAGCAGCACAGTAGTATCACCAGAATATCTGTAATAGCTGTTAAGCAACAGCAACAACAAACAATGGTAAGCTTTCAGTCTCTATCTACGATGCTGTGTTTTGATTGAACGGTTACTCTACACTGTATTTTCTTTTTTTAGGTAAGAAGAAACACCGGAAGCAATTGAGGGACCAGGAAATGGATCCACTAGGAAGGAGGAGGCATTCTGCAGGATGGCTTTTTAATTTTTTTTTTTTTTTGAGACAATAGTCTTTCTCTGTTGCCCAGGCTGCAGTGCAGTGGCGTGATCTCAGCTCACTGCAACCTCCAACTCCCGGGTTCAAGTGATTCCCGTGCCTCAGCCTTCCAAGTAGCTGGGAATACAGGCATGTGCCACCACACCAGACTAATTTTTATATTTTCGGTAGAGAGGAGATTTCACCACGTTGGCCCGGCTGGTCTCGAACTCCTGACCTCAGGTGATCTGCCGACCTCAGCCTCCGAAAGTGCCAGTATTACAGGTGTGAGCCAACACGCTGGGCCTCTGCAGGACTTTTTAACATTTTCAACAAATCTTCATATAACAGAGCAGAAAAGAAGGAAAAAAAACACAGCAAGTAAAGCACATGAGTCTTGGCCCCACGTGGAGCATCATGGGGAACCTGCCCTTGGCGCCATCTGGCCTGCACATGTGCCACTGTATTACGCTTTGTGGGCATGCTCGCATGAGAGAATCTGGGTATGCCTGGAAAAGATCATCTTACAGCTAGAGGGCGGGGGGAAGCTTTCTTCTCTTAGGAACACTGAATAAACTATGTTGTACACCAGTGTTTTGACTCCAACTCATCACGAGGTGAGGTGTGAAGTTTTCCACTTGTGGCATCATATGGGTACTCAAAAAGTTTCAGACTTTGGAGCACATGGATTTCAGATTTCTGGATTAGGGATGTTCAATCTTTATAGGATACTTTGCCCCAGTAATAAGAGGGTCCACAGGCTGCTATGTTTTAAGAACTCTAGGATGTGCTTTTTACCATGTCTTCAACCTTGCTGTCAACTATGGTTTCCTGCTGCTGTCAATATGCTCAAACATAGTAAGCATCCCCCCGTCTTTGTGTATATACATTGTTTTTAATTTGCTAAACTCAACAATCAACTTTTCAGAAATTTGTTTAAAATAAAGGTAAACAAGCCAGACGTGATGGCTGACATCTGTAATCCCAGTCACTTGGAAGGCTGAGGTGGGAGGACTGCTTGAGCCCAGGAGTTTGAGGCTGCAGTAAGCTATGACTGCACCACTGCACTACAGCCTGGGTGACACAGAGAGACTCTGTCTCAAAAAAAAAAAAAAAAAGTAAACAAACTGAGTGAAGGCATCTTTTTGTTATGAGAATTAATGAGATCATATATGTAAAATGTTTCATATATGTCTAATACACAGTACACAATAAATACCATTTTTATCACTTTTTAAGAAAATATCTGTAATATTTAAGAAAGTGCAAAGCCCTCAGTGAGCTTATTTCCTGAATATCACCTACATTCATTCTTTACCTTAATTAAAATTCTGAATTTGTTATAAAGTTGACTCATTCAAGTTTTTGTATCCATAACTATATTTAGTCTTTTTGGACTATTCTGTGACAGAAGAAAATATGGATTTTAGGCCAGGTGTGGTGGCTCATCCCTGTAATCCCAGCACTCTGGGAGGCCAAGGCGGGTGGATCACCTGAGGTCAGGAGTTCAAGACCAGACTGGCCAACATGGTGAAACTCTGTCTCTACTATAAAAATACAAAAAATTAGCCAGGCGTGGTGTCAGGTGCCTGCAATCCCAGCTACTCAGGAGGCTGAGGCATGAAAATCGTTTGAATCTGGGAGGCAGAGGTTGCAGTGAGCTGAGATCACGCCATTACGCTCCAGCCTGGGCAAAAAGAGCAAAACTCTGTCTCAAAAAAAAAAAAGAAAAGAAAATATGCATTTTAAATCATACTCTTTAATAATATTCTTTTTTTTTATGTTTAACAACAAAAAAAACTTTATTGAATTACAAATTTTAAAATGGATCACTTAATTTAAAAGTGAGATTATTTTATTCTGAAACATTATTTCAAAAATGTACTTTGTTTTTGAAATAAAACAAAATCTTCAACTATGAACTGACAAAATAGAGGTGAGTCGGTACCAGTGGGCCAATTCTTAACATGGACATTTAAAAATGCTGCTTTCTGTATTACAACAAAATGATATGCAATAAGAAATTGGAAAAAGGGAGCAAAGGAGAGTGCAAAGCATGTACTGAGGTCTTTCTACGGGTGCCTGACAGAATGCAGATTCAGCATAAAATGTAGACTTTGCAACAGTGGCCTTTAAAGTATGCTAGAGCAAGTGTACCCTAGGGAACCTATGTCAAAACAATTTTTGTCTTACTCCAAACAGAAAAAATGGTACACACTTTAACAAAAGCAAAACTTAATTGTAAGATCTGTACTGTAAAGCTACTTGCTATAGCCCATATATTCAGTTTGTTCAACAATCTCACTCATTGACAGAAAAAGTCAGCAAATAAGACTTGGGACAAAATTATTTTCTATCAGTCTCCACATGGAAAGACCACCGCTTTAATGAATTATACAGTCCTTAAGATTAATCCTTGGTCAGTATAGATTTCCGAATCAAAATCTAGTCATGAACTGTTTACAATAGCTATACTACACTAAGATGCTAAACATTTTCTTTCCAGTATGTCTTCCTAAGAGGGGAAAAAAATAGTGGGAAGTTCTCATCTTTGCCTATGAGGGGATTTATGAAAAGCCTTCTAAACTACAACAGTGTTCTTCTGCAAAACTAAAACACATTATAAAGTCAAACAGGTAAATTAACAGGAAAACCAAACTGATCTCAATAAAGTCTTGTTTCCAAAAATCTATTAAGAACAAGTAATATACATGTACAAGAAATTACAAGAGATGATGATCACGGTTAGTTACAGATGCAAAATAATATCTAATATTCCAAGCTTGTGAACATAATAATTAAAATCAAATTCATAAGCTACCTCAAAATTATGTACATTTTAGATAAGCTGGTCAAGTATTATTTGAATACACACCATATTTGGTAAACCTAAAATTATATTACCTTTTCTCCTCCTTTAATATTTGTAGCTACATGCCAATATGGAAAAAAAAGTATTTTCATTTATGTATTAATAACAGAGAGTAACAGAATTTCTACTGTGTATGTTTCACAGTGTAAAAGAAAAAAAGTTAAGGTGTATTTTCCTTTAAGAAAGAAGAAATATTGCCAAGAGTTTAATTAATATCAACTTACTTATAAAAACAGAAAAAATATGTTTTGAAACAGGTACCATACAATTATTATATGGTCTCCCTACTGATCTGAAACTACAGAAGGCATTTAAGGAAGGGATGTTAGGTCAAAAACAAAGTCTAACTCAAGTTGCTTTAAAAATTTGATTTGCAGGAAAACTAGTTGCTTGGCCTAGTTTAAAGCTAGTTACAAAATCCGTTTTCTTAATGGTCCAGATATTTTGCCAATTCTTCCAACTCAACAGAACTTCCATCGATTTCCACATTCATTACAGACAACAAATGTTGTCACTGGTTCATCAGCACTACGGGTTTGTACCTGTGTGTAAGTGCAATTCTTCTTTTTACATTTGCCACATGTGAACAAGTCAGTCTGGGTCCCACCAGTCTTGGCCATCTGATGCTCTCTGATGGCTTCTTTGGTCAAGTTTTTCCACATCTCTTTCAGCTCATCACTAGCCATTTCCTCTGCTGTCATTCTAGCAAATAAGTCAGGAGGAATATTCCCACAGAGGACATTTTTCCTTAAATTTGGATTTTTTGCATCTTTAAGATTTGATATCCTACTTCGTACTCTATTTTTGTATTTCATGTCTGTATTCCTTATTTCTTGATATATAGCTTCTTCAATTTGAGATCCTAATTCTTCCTCATCAGCTCCAATTGCAATGTAGTCATCCCCTGTTCGAAGAGCTGCAGCAAGCATCTCCCTACACTTCAACTGCACAGAATCAGAAGTGCTTGGTGCCCGAGGAAAGGATGAAACATAAGTATCTCGAGCATTTGTCTCATCCTTTCTGTTGCTTACATTGCCGCTGGAAGTACTTTCTTCTCTTGCCTCAGGGCTGTTCTGCGATGTAATTGCAGGTTCTTTCTTCTTTTCGTCAAGGTCTTTCTCAGTTGATGGCCCATCTAATAATTTTTTCCAGGATTTGATGAGAGACTTTGCCAAAGATGTAACTTCCTCATCTGTACTCTGCTTGCGAATAGCATTAACTGACATTCCGATTCTTGTGGACTGCAGTAATTCCAGGGTCATAGGAATATTCTTAAGCTCCTTTAGCAAATCCAATGCTCCAGCCGCGTTCTTCTTCTGCACCATCTTGTCCATCTTCTTGGCAAAGCGGACCACTTCGTCCTCCATGGCTCCGGCAGGTCTTCTCCGCGCCCACCCCGCTGGCAAGGGGAAGTGGGCGAAGCTGGAGCGGAAGACACAGCAGGAGCGACCCCCGGCGCGCAGCAACCCCCACCACCGCAGGCCCGGGCCTAGGCCCCCTTCCTCACAAACGAAGCCCGCGGCCAATGATATTCTTTAAAGATCACTGGATATGTTCTGTACAGTGCTGTTTAGACTGATGCCTCCCAATATTTTACCCCTACTTCATGGCACTTATAGAAAATTATGTATTTCTAGAGAATTTGGGATTAACTGGAGTGGCTGCTCAAGACTAGAGTCAACAGACCCAGGGACTTGGGCTGTTCCCACAACCTGACCAGCCTCACTGACAGTTATGAGGATCTAAGCTCACAAGACACCTGTCCACAGAGTTTGGGAAGCTCATTTAAACATTTGTTTTTTTGGGGTTTTTTTTTTCTTTTTTTTTTTTTTTTTTTTTTTTTTGAGACGGAGTCTCGCTCTGTCGCCCAGGCTGGAGTGCAGTGGCGTGATCTCGGCCCACTGCAACCTCCGCCTCCCGGGTTCAAGCAATTCTCCTGCCTCAACCTCCTGAGTAGCTGGAATTACAGGTACCCGCCACCACGCCCAGCTAATTTTTTTTTGTATTTTTAGTAGAGACGGGGTTTCACCATGTTGGTTAGGCTGGTCTCGAACCCCTCACCTTGTGATCCACCCACCTCGGCCTCCCAAAGTGCTGGGATTACAGGCATGAGCCACCGCACCCGGCCCTAAACATTTGTTAGACAATACTTCCGAATGTTTTGTCTATGTAATTTAGTTCACAAATCATTCAGCTCATAAATCAACTTGTCTAGACTCATGCCCTGGGTTCACAGAATTAGAAATAATACTATTTTACATTAGGGACTACTAAGAACAACCAGGATGATGATAATAGTCATCACTAAAACCAAAGTCAGCAAATGTTCATCTCCAACACTGCTATCACAATTTTTTTTTTTTCCTTGAGACAGGGTCTCACTCTGTCATCCAAGCTGGAGTGCAGTGGTACAATCTCAGCTCACTGCAGCCTCCACTCCCAGGCTCAAGCAATTCACATGCCTCAGTCCCCTGAATAGCTGGGATTACAGGCACACACCACCACACCCAGCTAATTTTTGTATTTTTTTAGTAGAGACAGGGTTTCACTATGTTGGCTGGGCTGGTCTCGAACTCCTGGTCTCAAGCGATCCACCTACCTCAGCCTCCTAAAGTGCTGGGATAACAGGCATGAGCCACTGCGCCCAGCCTGCTATCATAATGATTTTTTTTTCTTCCTTTTTTGGAGGGGTTCAAACAAAAAATGACTTGAGCCCCTCTTTATAAATAACTTTTTAAAATCAAGGACAACCTAAACTCTAGTAGTAAAATACACTTTAAAGTAGAGAATACTTTAAAAGATCTCATTCCTTCATATTCCCCTTCCACCTTATATAACTCAGTATGTCTCTCAATATGGCTACCTCCATGATCTTTTATAACTATAAACTCAGATCACAGTTTTTCAAAAAGTTTTCACTTTCTCATAATTATTATTATTATCTTTTTTTTTTTTTTTTTGAGACAGAGCCTCACTCTGTTGCTCAGGCTGGAGTGCAGTGGCACAAACTCAGCTCATGACAACGTATGCCTCCTGGGTTCAAGCGATTCTCACGCTTCAGCCAACTAAGTAGCTGGGATTTCAGGCATGCGCCACTCCTGGCTGACTTTTTCTATTTTTAGTAGAGACAGAGTTTTGCCATGTTGGCCAAGCTAGTCTCGAACTCTTGGCCTCAAGCGATCCGCCCACCTCAGCCTCCCAAAGTGCTGGGATTACAGACAGGCGGGAGCCACAGTGCCTGGCCTTGCATTAATTTTTAAAATGAGAAATAATACAGTCTTGCTTTCATTTAAAACTTTTTCCAAGAAACCATGAGCAAACCTGTGTTTACCATATATACTGTACTGAATATTTGGACATCACCATTTCAATGTAAAGTCAGATGCTAATAATTAACACAGACTGACCAACACTCTGAAATGACTTGTTATTTTCTAAAATAACAATTAGTAACAGACCTGAGGAATGCTTGGTTCACTTCCATTAACACTGTCAGGAGATTTCGAGGCATGAGTAGATGCATTCTAAGAAAAAGAAAGAAACATTGTAAAGCAAAAGAACAAAAAACTAAAGGTTTAAAACTGTTAAGAATAAAGCCCATGTGCCAAGACCTATCAGATACATTTATCTATTAAACAAAATTAGTAATTGTTCATTTATTAGAATGTTTTCATGCAAGGCAAAACTATTGTAGTATGGTAAGTATTTTAGAAAATTCATTTTGCTGTAATACACAGAACTCAATAGCAAAGATTAGTATGTAGAAAAACCTATTTCAAGCTAGTCACATACCTCTTCCCATTATGTCCCCAGTTTTTCCCCCATAACAAAAATCAACATCAGGGAATCAATGCACAAATCTCACTCAAACAGAAAACTATCCAGAAAAGGAAGTAATTTCAATTTTTTCCTACAATAAAATAATACTCAAAATTATTTGGGCTAAGCTCTGAAAAATATCTTGATAGCAAGAAACGGTAATGTCTCATTCATTTGAAGTTAGCAATCTAAATGAAATGATAATTTTCAGAAGAACTTAAAAACCTCTTCTTCCACACGCGAAAGATTTTTGTTTTGTTCTGTTCTGTTGGTATGCCAAAGGCTCCCAGTTAAGCAACATTCTACTGATTACATCATACTGGCATAGATTTCATGATACTAGATGAGATTCTTTGAGGTTCAAAATTCTACACTGCATTTATAATACATTGTCTAACTAAAATTAGTTAGAACTATAGAAGTAACTCATGATAAAATAACTTCCATGTTTTAAACAAAAATATTCCACCAAATGCCAACCACTATGTTTCAGTAGTTACATCTTGCATTTCCCCTTGGTCTAGAGCTGACCAAGGAAAGGCAAATATCTGACCTAACTTATTCTTAAGTGAAAAAGGTGCTCAGTTTTGCAAACGTGTTTTCTACTTTTTGAACATTGATTAAGTAGTTTGATGGTAGGAAATTATTAATTTTTAGGTGTGATAAATAATATTGTGGCTAAAATTTTTTAATCCTTTTTTTCTGAGACAGGGTCTTGCTCCATTGCCCAAGATGGAGTGCAATGACATGCTCACAGCTGACTACAGCCTCAAGCTCCCAGTCTCAAGGGATCCTCTCACCTCAGCCTCCTCAGTAGCTGGGACTACAGGTGTGCATTACCAGGTCCAGCTAATTTTTGTACTTTTTGTAGAAACAGGGTTTCCCCATGTTGCCCAGGCTGGTCTCAGGTGATCTGCCCTCCTCAGCTTCCCAAAATGCTGGGATTACAAGTGTGAGCCACCATGCCCAACCATCTTTATCTTTTAGAGTAGTGGTCTCCAACCTTTTTGGCACCAGGGACGGGTTTCATGAAAGACAATTTTTCTACAGACCGGGGGTGCAGGGATGGTTTTGGGATGATTCAAATGCATTACATTTATTGTGCACTTAATTTCTATTATTACACTGTAATATATAATAAATAATTATTCAACTCACCATAATATAGAATCAGTGGGAGCCCTGAGCTTGTTTTCCTACAACTAGACAGTCCCATCTGGGGGTGATGGGAGACAGTGACAGATCATCAGGCATTATATTCTCATAAGGAGCATGCAACCTAGATCCCCCGTATGCACAGTTCTCCACAGGGTTCACGCTCCTATGACAATCTAATGTCACCACTGATCTAACAGGAGGCAGAGCTCAAGTGGTAATGCGGGTGATGGAGACCAGCTGTAAATGCAGATGAAGTTTCACTTGCTTGCCTGCCTCTTACCTCCTGCTGTGCAGCCCAGTTCCTAAAGGGCCACGGACCTGTGCCTGGAGGTTGGGAAGCACTGTTTTAGAGATATATACCAAAATATTTACTGATGGAACAGAACTTCTGAAATTTGCTTCAAATATCCAATGGGGTGGGAGTGGGGAAGCCAGGGGGAGCTGCACAAGTAGGCAAAATGGTAGTGGTACGGTCAGGGAAGTGTAGGGGTAGGCTAATAGATAAAACAAGATGGCCATGAGTTATTAATTATTGGCATTGGGTAATAGATATGGGGAGGGGTTCTTGTACCAATACTACTACTATTTCCACTTTTGTAATATGTTTCAACTTTTCCCTAATAAAGACAAACTTTAAGTACCTCCTCTTCCCTCTAATAAAAAGCTATCAAATTTCATCAGTCTAAGACATTTCCTTAAAGTTAGATGGGGAAGAAAGGTTGGGAGAACATAGGAATTAACTTTTATCTTCCAGTTGCCTACATGGCATCTACCTGTGTGACATTACAATGAATGCCTTCTAGGTCTAAAAATATAATATACTACATACTATAAAGCAAGGGTCACAAATCTCTGGGCCACAGTCCAGTATCAACTCATAGCCTGTTAGGAACGGGGCCACACAGCAGGAGAGCGGTGGGTGAGCAAGCGAAACTTCATGTGCATTTACACCTGCTCCCCGTCACTCGCATTACCACCTGAGCTCTGTCTACTGTCAGATCAGTGGTGACATTAGATATTCATAGAAGTGCGAACTCTGCTGTGAACTGTGCATATGAAGGATCTAGGTTGCGTGGTCTTAATGAGAATGTAATGCCTGATGATCTGTCACTGTCTCCCATCACCCTCAGAAGGGACCATCTAGTTGCAGGAAAACAAGCTCAGGGCTCCCACTGATTCTACATTGTCACGAGTTATATAATTACTTCATTACGTATTACAATGTAATAATAACAGAAATAAAGTACACAGTAAATGTAATGCGCTCGAATCATCCCAAAACCATCCCTGTGCCCCCAGTTCATGGAAAAACTGTCTTCCATGAAACCAGTCCCTGGTCCCAAAAAGGTTGGGGACAATTGCATAAAATACAAAATATACTTTACAGAGATCAACAATTCTCTTGGCCAGTTAATATACTGAAAATTAATAAACAAATTATGGAGAAAGGAAATGAAGGGGCTCCATAAAATATTTAGCTTAAGAGGAAGAACAGCAAGAGTCCATATTCTGTTTTAAGTAAATGACTTGACACATGATTGTGGTCCATACAAAAAAGCTACACTGGGCTGGTGTTGTGGCTCATGCCTGTAATCCCAGCACTTTGGGAGGCCGAAGCAGGTGGATCACCTGAGGTAAGGAGTTCGAGACCAGCCTGGCCAATATGGTGAAACCCCATCTCTACTAAAAATATAAAAATTATATTTTCTATAAAAACGTCGTGGTGGCAGGCACCTGTAGTCCCAGCTACTCGGGAGGCTGAGGCAGGAGAATCGCTTTAATCCTGGAGGCAGAGGCTGCAGTGCGCCAAGATGGTGTCACTGCACTCCAGCCCGGGCAACAAAGTGAGACTCCACCTCAAAAAAAAAAAAAAAAAAAAAGCTACAACTGGCCGGGCTCAGTGGCTCATGCCTATAAACCCAACACTTTGGGAGACCGAGGCAGGCAGATCACCTGAGGTCAGGAGTTCAAGACCAGCCTGGCCAACATGGTGAAACCCCATCTCTACTAAAAATAAAAAAGTTAGCCAGGCATGGTGGCGAGCACCTGTAATACCAGCTGCTTGGGAGCCTGAGGCAGGAGAATCACTGGTACCTGGGAGGCAGAGATTGCAGTGAGCTGAGATCACAACACTGCACTTCAGCCTGGGTGACAGAGCGAGACTCTGCCTCAAAAAAAAAAAAAAAAAAAAAAAAAAGCTACCCTACAATTGTTTGAAATATCACCCCATTAAGCACACAGAGAACAACATTTAAAAACTTCTCCTCATATATATATTTCAATTTATGTACTAAACCACATATCTAAATAAATGCAGGATAGCTTATGAAAAGTACTGGCCTAAGTTGCCCTGTGAATTTACATTACGAATATTTAGAAGTAAAATTAGAGATCTGTCACTATTTGTAATGCCTTCTCCATTTGTGCCAAACTTTTGTACATCTTTCAGCTTTCAAATTTTGTGAAGCTCTGTATGTGAAGTTTTATACGGTTCCTGGAAGGCTAACACATTCCTTATGCCTATTTTTTTTTTCTGTGAAGCCTTAATTCCTTTGTACTTTAAGTGTATGTTGACATGTTTGTCTCCAAAGTAAACTATAAACTCTCAAGAGGACAGAGCCCTACATTTTCTTCTCTTTTTTTCTCCCTTCAACTTTTAAGTTCAGGGGTACATGTTCAGGATGTGCAAGTCTGTTACATAGGTAAACGTGTCCCATGGTGAGAATGCTACCATTTTCATCTTAGTCCCCATGACCTAATATTTTGCCTGACTAGTAGTAAGGGCTCAATAAATGCTTATTAAATCCTTATGCAGTTGCTTCCTCTGAAGGCTTTCCCCTAGCGAGGTGCCTGTAGAACTAGCTCAATACATGTCAATACTCAAAACTCACCAATACTTTCTACAGGGGAAAATTAGATAAAAACTCTTTTAAAGTATATTCAACTTAAAAGCACACACAGGTTCCCTGACAGACTTGTCTTCAATTACATATTGTTTCAATCTTTCAACAACCATTGCATTGACTGCTGAGCACCAAGGTTACGGTAATTTTAGAATTTGGGGTAAACAGCTGCATTTTTCAAAAAACTTAACTAAGCAAAAGTCAGTACCTACTGAACTTGTAATGGATTAGACCCTCACTAAATTTTTATTCTAATATGGGATATGCTATGGTTTCCCTTGTTCCATTGGGAGAAATAAGTTTCTGACTAGGCTGGGCGTAGTGGCTCAGGCCTGTAATTCCAGCACTTCAGGAGGCCGAGGCAGGTGGATCACTTGAGCCTGAGTTCCAGACCAGCCTGGCCAAAATGGCGAAACCCCATCTCTACTAAAAATAGAAAAGTTAGCCAGGTATGGTGGTGCGCATCTGTGGTCCCAGCTACTTGGGAGGCTGAAGTGGGCGGATCACCTGAGCTTAGGAGGTAGAGGTCGCAGTGAGCCGAGATCGTGCCACTGCACTCCAGCCTGGGTATCAAAAGAAAAAAAAAGTTCTCTCTCAAAAGAAAAAAAAGGTTTTAAAGCCCCACTTTAACATTATTAGCATTTTCAACAACAGAATAAGTACTCAATACAAATGACTTTAATGTACTTATGGAAGTGGCCCTAGGAGAACCTTTACGGTTTTTTTTTTAATAGCTTCTATTACTACTACATGAAAATATAAAGCAATATTATTTTATGCTTTTCAAAGTAAATTGGGCCAGACATAGTGGCTCATGTCTGTAATCCAAGCACTTTGTGAGGCTGAGGCAAGAGGATCACCTGAGGCCAGGAATTCAAGATGAGTCTGAGCAATATTCTGAGACTCTCTCTCTAAAAAGACTAAAATAAGATGAGCTGGGCATGGTGGCATATGTCTGTGGTCCCACATACTTGGGAGGCTGAGGAAGAAGGACTGCTTGAGCCCAGGGATTTGAGGGTGTAGTGAGCCGTGATTGTACCACTGCATTCCAGCCTGAACAACAGAATGAGACCCCACTCAAACAAATATAAATAAATAAATAAAAACAGTAAACAAGTCTCTCTAATTGGGACTTCTGATTCCCTCCCAAATCAGTTTTTAAAACAATGAGATATTACTTGTAGCCAGAGCCAAGGAGAGACCACTTTTCCCTGAGACCCAAGCTAAGCCATCACTAGAAATCCCATTATCTCCCTAGCTGCTTTCTTTTCTAAAACTGAGTTTACAATGTAATTTAAGACTGCTACTGGCCATATGCATACCAAGTCTTCACTGGCTACATGGTTCAAGTACCGAAATGTTCTACTTCCATCACCAGCTACCTAATAAGTTAAATCAATTCTTATTGTTTAGAAAAACCTCAATCCAATGGTGTTTGCCACATTTCTCCATTGTAAACTTTTCTTTTGTTTTTGTAATTAATAAATAGATTTGTGGAACAATTTTTTAAAAAAAGAAAGAAAAACCTCAATCCCAGTAGAGTCAGTGTTTAACACCAAAGGCTATCCTTACTGGACAAACATCTCTAAACTTTAATTTGCTAAATTATGAGCTTACCAGATACTTTCAATAGGAAAATGTCCACTTTCCCAAAATGAAATTACATACAAGATTCAAAACCGTATGACGCCAGTCACTTAAAAACAAATGAGACAATTCTCTTTCAGATGTTTAATATATAAAAAACAGGTAACTGCAAAATAAGATGCAATTATCTAATACAGTAGAATCTACCTACCTATTCAATGCTGTTTAATTATGGATTTACATAACAACGAATTTTTCCCCTAAAAATGTAAGTCATATCTCAAAATATTCTTAACCGCCCATCAATAGTAGAACAGAGATTTGTAGCACTGCATACCTTTTTTTAGTTAATGAACAAACATTCCCTAGGAAAAAAAGAGGTTAGAGTAAGCGAAGGTAGCTTCATTACTGAAGTAGCTACATTAGCGAAAACAGTGTTATTTTTGTTGCAGTTACAAAGCTACCAGGAAGCACACCAGCCATCAGAATTCAGCAATTTACTCTCTGATTTTTTTAGAGCAGGGTTAGCAACAGGACACTGAAGATACTTTGAGAGATGGTAAGTGGCAAGTAACATGAGATTTGCTTCTACAATTGCCAAATTACTTTGCTTCCCCACAAAGGGAATGCAGAAAGCGGTGGAAGGACTCACCACACTGTCACTCTGTGTTTTAGGATGTTTGGAGGAATCCAAAGCAAAGATAGTATACTCAGAGAGAAAAGCAGGCTCTGCTATCATCCCGGCTAGTAGCTGTCTCATTCAGTGTAATAAGCAAAAGTACAAAAATAAAACAAATGATGAAAAACAAATCATAATGGCATGTTGCAAAGTGTTCTCACCACGCAGCATGCATAACACTATAATGGCCTTCAGTACCACCATCACCACCACCACCACCACCATCTCACCCACAGAAATAATAAGCTGCTGGAAAATATCAGGAATGGAGATGCGTGATCAGTTTAGGATCTCAAAATCCAATCTATGAACAACTTGCTTATTGGCATACAAATGATATAGGCAATAGGAACCACCGCACACAGAGTGCCTGGCACTCTGTTATAAAAATCAATACCAATTAACAACAATACATGGGCCGGGCGCAGTGGCTCAGGCCTGTAATCCCAGCACTTTGGGAGAGTGAGGTGGGCAGATCACGAGGTCAGGAATTCAAGATCAGCCTGACCAATATGGTGAAACCCTTTATCCACTAAAAATACAAAAATTAGCCAGGCATAGTGGTGCGCACCTGTAGTCCCAGCCACTCAGGAGGCTGAGGCAGGAGAATCGCTTGAACCTGGGAGGCGGAGGTTGCAGTGAGCCGAGATCGTGCCATTGCACTCCAGCCTGGGTGACAGAGTGAGACCATTGCACTCCAGCCTGGGTGACAGAGTGAGACTCTATCTCAAAAAAACAAAACAAAACAAACAATAAAAAAATACATGACAGGACATAGTTTCAGACACGCAAGCTACGTAAGTTATCGAGATCTTCTCTATAGCATAGTGCCTACAGTTAACAATACCGTATTATAACGTTAAAATTTTTTTTTTTTTTTTTTTTTTTGAGACAAGGTCTAGCTCCATCACCCAGGCTGGAGCACAGTAATGCAATCTCGGATCACTGTACCCTCCACCTCCTGGACTCAAGCCATCTTCCACCTCAGCCTCCTGAGTAGCTGGGACTACAGGCGCACATCACTATGCCTGCTAATTTTTGTAGAGACGGGGTTTCACCACATTACCCAGGCTGGTCTCGAACTCCTGAGCTCAAGCGATCCACCTGCCTCAGCCTCCCAAGTACTAGGATTACAGGCATAAGCCAGCACAACCGGCCTAAAATTTTCTAGAAAAGTAGATCTTATGTTACTTCTTACCACAAATAGTAACAGTGGGGGTAGGAGGAAACTTTGGGAGGTAATAGATATGTCTATGGCCTTGATGGTGGTGATGGTTTCACAGGTGTATACTTAACACCAAATTCATCAAATTGTATACATTAAGTATGTACAGCTTTTTACATGTCAATCATACCTCAGTAAAGTGGGCTTAAAAATGCATAGTAAAGAACACAAAGTCTTAAGAATAACATTTATAAATACTGACCCATTTTTACATATTCAAAAAATAGCATGAGAACACATGGAGAAGATAAAACATAAAAAACTTTAATCATTTATTTGTACTTACATACCACATTATTTTTCTCTAAAGTATGTACAGAAGAAACATTTGAAACTCTATAAGTTTAAAGACATTTTCTGTTACACTAGTGCTTCTGGTATATATTATCTTCTGTGCTTTAGTTTTCTTTCAGAAACTGTATACTACACACCAAAATACTGACAAACATTAATTAGATGTACAATAAATTATAATCAGAATGAATTTTTTGATGAGGGAGGTTACACAAATCTACACATAATAAAATTGTATAGAATTATACACACACACACACACACACACACACACACAATATGAGCATGTAAAACTGGTAAAATCTGAATAAGTTCTGTGGATGTCACAGATTACCAATGTCAGTTTCCTTGTTTGGACAGTGTACTATGGTTATATAAGGTGTTACTACTGGGGAGAAATGGGTGATGGGTATATAGGGCCTCCCCCACAAAAGATGTTAGAACCTCCTATGAATCTATAATTATTTCTAAATAAAAACTAAAACCAGCCTGGACAACATAACAAAACCCACTCTACAAAAAATACAAAAAATTTGCCAGGCATGGTGACACAGACCTGTAGTCCCAGCTACCTGGGAGGCTGAGGTAGGAGGCTCGCCTAAGCCCAGCAGTGAGCTGTGATCACACCACAGCACTCCAGCCTGAGCAAAAGAGTGAGATCCTGCCTCCAAAAAAAATTTTTGAAACATGAATTTAGCAGTTAATATATTATCTAACATGGTGATAAATTACATATACCATATATAATAACATCTGAAAAAAAAAGTCTGCAAAAGCTTAAGAATATAAACTTTTCACTCAGTACTGCAGAGTTATGAATACTAACTAGAGCCTTAACTAACTGTTCATTTGGTCCTACATTAGAGACCATCATAATTATAAATAGGAAAAACATTTCAAAGTCTTTTATATTATGTAATAACTAGTACTTCTTAGACAGGATTCAGCAATTAACTTTACACTAAATTCTCAATTTTAGTATTAGTAGTATACTAAAATATGCTAAATGCCTCTTTGGCTCTAGGGTATCATCATATCCAAGTTTCTACTCCTGCTGAAAATCTTACTCTCCCAGGAACTCAGATCATCCTTTGAATGGATGTTAAATTTAAGTTAAAGGCTATAAAAAATTCACTTTTCTTAGACTTCCAAAGTTAATTTTTGTAATGAAGTCGCTCTTGCCCACATTAGAAAATAATTCAAAACTTCAGAGGAGTATATTTGAAATTTTAAAAGAAAAACACAAAGGCTAATGCCCAGCACAGAAAAATGTCCACCATTTCAAGATGTGCTGCCAAACAAAAATGTACACTATGACCTCTAACCCTAGCAAAAGCAAAGTATATCAAAATTAGTGTCCACTGACAGTCATCTCAAAGCCTAAGAAATCTTTGTTGACCTTGTTATTTCCTTCTTATGCCTGAGAAAGTCTCGCAAGCAACAGTTCTCTAATATTCTCACTAAGATTCTGTCTCAACTCCATCACTCAAACTCTGTTCAAATTGAAAACCAATTCTGCTGCAATTCTGCTAAGGATTTAATTCACCTCTTCTGTGTGGTTCCCCAGTGAAGCCATCAGTTGAATCAACACTGAAGTTATATGTGTCTGAACATTCATGAAGACTATTTGAAACTCTCAGCAGATATGCGTCGAAGGCTTTCAATCTATGTCTCATACTCTCATATATATATGCGTGTGTATATCAAAGTATATCAAAATTAGTGTCCATTGGCAGCCACCTTAAAGCCTAAGGAGTCTTTGTTGACCTTGTTATTTCCTTCCTAAATAAACACACATACATATATGAGAGTGTGAGACGTGGAGGATATACAGTCTTGCACTGCTTAACAATAGGGAGGGGATACATGCTGAGAAATGTGTTGTTAGGCCATTTTGTCATGTGAACATCATGGAGGGGTGTCCAAGGGAGAGAATACAGCCATCGGTTCTTAGTTTCTGTTCCTGGTTGGATCAGTAAGGACCCTTCCTCATCCCTCTTTCCCGCTTATCACTAGAGACAGAAACTAAAAACCATGCCTTTAGGCTGCTAAAAGACTAAAACAAAACACAGAACAAGAACAACAGCAAAATAAGCTGGGTTGGACAAGCATACTTACACAAACCTAGATGGCATAGCATACTACATACCTAGGATACATGGTAGAGCCTATTGCTCCTACGCTACAAACTAGTCCATCCTGTTACTGTACTGAACATCGTAGGTGGCTGTAATACAATGGTAAGTATTTATCTATGTAAACATAGAATAAGCATAGTAAAACTACAGAATAAAAGAAAAAATGACACAACTCTATAGGGCACTCATTTATCATGAATGAAGATTGGCAGGACTAGAAATTGTTCTGGGTGAGTCAGTGAGTGAGTGGTGAGTGAAGGTGAAGTCCTAGGACATTACTGTGAGCTTTTATACCACTGGCATCACCACAAACACATTACAACAACTACATGTCACCAGGCAATAGGATTTTTTCAACTCCATTATAATCTTATGGGACTACTGTCATATATGCAGTCCATCACTGAACAAAACATCATTATGAGGCACATCATATATTTTTCCTTAATCTCGGTGGTTTTGGTAGGATTACTCAGTATTTTTTGTCTGTTTGTTTTTGTTTTTTAAATAAAAATAAATAGGGACAGGGTTTTGCCATGTTGCCCAGAATAATCTTGAACTCCTGGGCTCTAGCAATCCACCTGCCTCCGCCTCCCAAACTGCTGGGATTACAGGCATGAGCCATCAGGCCTAGCCACAGTGTTCTTTCTGAATTCTATAATTTTCTCTTTAACTGGCATCAGTCTGAGTTTTATTGTGATTTACATGTTTACATCAATTTTTTTTTCATTTCCAGGATTTTTTTCTTTTTTTTGAGATGGGAGTCTCACTCTGTCACCCAGGAAGTGGTGCCATCTCAGCTCACTGCAACCTCCACCTCCCGCGTTCAACTAATTCTCCTGCCTCATTCAGCCTCCCGAGTAGCTGGGATAACAGGTATGTGCCACCACACCCAGCTAATTTTTGTATTATTAGTAGAGATGGGGTTTTGCCATGTTGGCCAGGCTGGTCTTGAACTCCTGGCCTCAAGTGATCTGCCCGCCTTGGCCTCCCAAAGTGCTGAGATTACAGGCGTGAGCCACCACGCCCGGCCAATTTCCAGGATTTCTAATTAGTTATTTTTCGTATCCATCTAGTCTAGTTTTGTTTTGGCCTCTTTTTCTTCTACAATTTTCTGTTCTTTTTAAGAAAATTATTACTTCCTTTTTCTTATGGAAGAAAGTTGTTTTAAAGTAATTTCCAGACTGTTGTATTACTTTAATTTCATCTGGAGTAAATATGTCTTAATCTCTGTTTTTACTGGTGGCCTTCTTAGCATTTATTTTAGAATTTTCATTTACAGGCTCATCTTGAAAAAGGTATTATCTTTGTCCTTCCTTCTGTGCTCATCCCTCCTTATCCAGCCAATCTGATACCCAAGGCCTTGGTTCAGGTTTCTTACCTTATGGCAATATAGGGGTTATCACAAACTCAATCACTAAGATAATGTGAGGCTGGATTCGATTCTTGGTCATGAGGCCTCCCTAAGGACAGCAGTTTCCCATAATGGACCACTGAGAGCTCTAGGCAGCAGTTAGTGACAGCTTTTTTCAACTTCCTTTCACCAGTGCTAGGAGCCCCACATTAGCTCTCAGCTTGTAACACAAAATCTCCTCTGTATAGAACATTTCCAGTCCTTCTCAACCAGAGTTCAAAGAGAAAATTAAATCCAAATGCCTGTATACAATGAATTAATGTATCTACTGTGTATATATAGCATGGTACTAGTTTCATACCATACTTGGAAGAATTAAAAACTGCAGTTACTCAAATCATTTTCCATAGGGCTTAATTCTCTCACAAAACCCTAGTTGAAAATGGCTGCCTTTGTCCCAACCCCAAACCCTCTAGGACCAAGGATTCATTCCCTCTCAGCCCAAGGAGATGTTTACCTTGTTTGTGAACTCAGATACATGTCTCAATGTTTTTTAAGTTTTATCTACTACTTCCATGACTGAAACAGCAAGGGTGCCTCAAGGGTCAAATCACAGCATGATTTGACCGAAAGTCCTAAAGTCTTCCAGGTGAGGATTTAGCATGTTAGGCAGCATGCCACTGTGACTGATTATTTCCAACAACAACCAGCAGACTTTTTTCTTTTTTTTTTGAGATAGGGTCTTGCTCTGTCACCAAGGGTGGAGTGCGGTGGCGCAGTCATGGCTCACTGCAACCTCGACCTCCTGGGATCAAAAAATCTTCCTACTTAAGCCTCTTAAGTAGCTTGGGACCACAGGTGCACACCACCACACCTGGCTAATTTTTTTTTTTTTTTTGGTAGAGACAGGGTCTCACTATGTTGCCCACACTGGTCTCCAACTCCTGGGTTCAAGCATTCCTCCTGCTGCAGCCTCCCAAATTGCCGGGATTACAGGTGTGAGCCACCACATCCAGCCTAGCAGTCCTTTCCCATGTGAAAAAACTTCTTTGAAATTCCTTGAAAAACTATTATTATTTATTTCAGTGATTTTTAGATTCCTTTTCACTCATAGGCAACAAAGGCTTGATTATCATCTCTCATGTGTAATACTGGGGGAAGGGCCTAAAAAGTTTAGTGCCTTAGCAAAAAACTTTAGTGTCTTAGCAAGGGTGTAAATCCCTCTGCCTCAAAGACAGATGGCCCTGTTTCTTTTTTTTTTTTTGAGACGGAGTTTCACTCTTGTTGCCCAGGCTGGAGTGCAGTGGCATAATCTTGGCTCACTGGAACCTCTCTACCTCCCAGGTTCAAGCGATTCTCCCGCCTCAGCCTCCTGAGTAGCTGGGATTACAGGTGCCCGCCAACATACCTAGCTAAGTTTTTATATTTTTAGTAGAGACAGCGGGGGTGGGGTGGGTTTCACCATGTTGGCCAGGCTGGTCTCGAACTCCTGACCTCAAGTAATCCACCCTACTCGGCCTTCCTAGGTGCTGGGATTACAGGCATGAGCCACCACACCTGGCAGATGGCCCTGTTTCTATCTTCCCAGATACTGTTAAGTACAACTGTTAGTAGAACCCTTATGATTTTGGGTCAATTAAATTCATCCAACCTGTGGCCCAGGATGGCTTCGAATGAGGCCCAACACAAGTTCATAAACTTTCTTAAAACATTATGAGACTTTTTTGCTTTTTTTTTTTTTTTTTAGCTCATCAACTATTATTAGTGTTAGCGTATTTGATGTGTGGCCCAAGACAATTCTTCTTCTTTCAATGTGCCCAGGGAAGCCAAAAGATTAGACACCCCTGTAAAAAGTACCTGTGATAATATACTCTACAGAAGATCCAAGAATAAAATGGTTTACAGTAGCAGCAGGTGAAGAAATATCCAGTACAGAATGTGGTAAATCATGTTGATCAAATTCAAGACCACAACTCAAGGCTCTATTTTGTCTATATAGATAGTTTTACTACATAGAAAGCCTTTAAACAAAATGACAGCATAAAAGGACAAGGTATCTAACTTTCTCTAGTCTTAATCGCCAATGAAAAGACCAAGGGTATATAAGATGGGAAAAAACATGTATCAGCCCAGAAACCAGGAAAGAAGATGCAATTTAGATTCAAGGAGGTTTTGCGAAGTCCATGAACTCCTCAGCCCTAAGTAAAATAAGTAATCAAAGATCAGCTTTCCACTCCAATTATGAGAATACTCAGCATATGCAACAAGAAAGTGGAACCAAAGGTTTGTTCTTCAAAAGATCAACAAAATTGACAAACCATTAGCTAGACTGACAGAGGGGAAAAAAGAAGACTCATATCATGAAAATCAGGAATGAAAAAGAAGAAATTACCCGAGTGTGCAGAAAAGGATTACAAAGCTATACTATGTGTTAAAAGCAAAGGTTTTTGCCTCATTTGAGCATGGGCTGCTTAGTTAGCAGCCTGCAATTGACAGACTTGACTGCTGTGACTGCCTGAGACTCAGGAGCTGTTACAAAAACTACATTCCTAATTTAGGATTTCAGTTTGTTTATGTACAAGTTAGGCTACAGTTCCTTACAGAGGGACTCAAGATATACAGGTAGGCTCAGGCCAAATTTAGTTTAATTTATGCCAACAAATGAGATAAATGAAATGGACAAACTCCTAGAGATACACAAATTACCAAAACTAACTCAGGAAGAAGCAAAATCTGAACAGAGCTATAAAAAGTAGATACTGAATTAGTTATCAGAACACTTCCCTCAAAAAAAAGCCCAGGACACATGATTTCAATGGTAGATTCTACCAAACATTTAAAGAATTAATAGCAATTCTTCACAAACTCTTGAAAAAATACAAGAGAGGTGAACACTTCCCAACTCGTTTCATGGGGGCTGTATTACTGATACAAAAACCAGATTATCACAAAAAAAGAAAACTGCAGACCAGCATCTCTTATGAATATAGACACAAAAATCCTCAACAAAATACTAATGAATCAATCCGGTAATATATAAAAAAGATTATATACAAGAAACAAGTGACATTTATTGCAGGAATACATGGTTAATTTAACCTCTGAAAACCAATTAATACGATATTCAATATAATAAAGGATTTAGGAAGGAATGTTTCTCATGTATTACTTTGAAGATACTTCCCAGTAATCCCTAAAACGATGCCTTTAAGCCATATAAGCCTTGAAACATAAAATAAATCTCTAAAATGTGCTTAAGAATTCTCAACAACTGGGGCCAGGTGTGGTGGTTCATGCCTGTAATCCCAGCACTTTAGGAGTCCAAGGTGGGCAGATCACTTGAGGTCAGGCATTCCAGGCCAGCGTGGCCAACATGGTGAAACCTCATCTCTACTAAAAACACAAGTATTAGCTGGGTGTGGTGGCACATGCCTGTAATCCCAGCTATTCAGGAGGCTGAGGCAGGAGAATCACTTGAACCTGGGAGGTAGAGGTTGCAGTGAGCTGAGATCATGCCACTGCACTCCAGCCTGAGCAACAGAGCATATATATACAGAGCATATATATATACAGACAGCATATATATATGCTCTCTATATATATATATGCTCTATATATATCATATATATGCTCTATATATATGCTCTCTATATATGCTATATATCTCATACATATACAGAGCATATATATATGCTATATATATCATACATATACAGAGCATATATATGCTATATATATAGCATACATATACAGAACATATATATATACAGAGCATATATATATACACACATATATATATACAGAGCATATATATATACACACATATATATATACATATATACATACATATATATATGTATGTATATATACATATATACATACATATATATATGTATGTATATATACATATATACATACATATATATATGTATGTATATATACATATATACATACATATATATGTATGTATATATACATATATACATACATATATATATATATATATATGTATATATATGAAAACACACCTAATTCTGGAATTTAATTTAAAAACAATATGAAAGTTGTTTGTGGATAAGGCCCCAGGATAACAATGGACATGGTTACTATGGCCTCTAATAAATAAGGAAGTGTCTCAGGAAGACAGCAAACCAGAGAGAGCAGGATAGGAGGCAAAATGAAGCTATCAATCCTTCCTTCATAAATTCAATAGGCAAAGTGACACAGAGATAACATCCCTAGGACCCTAATCCACATAATAGTACATCTGTTCCCCTCCCCTCACACAAAGACCTAAAAAGAGGAAGGGGAGCAGCCCCTCCCCTCTTCCAAGCCTGTCCCTAATAACTTAGTTAGCACCTACTACGTGCAAGGTACCACACTAGAGATGTACATGCCTTCTTACTGGTAATCCCCAAAACTTCAAAAATTTCTCATTTTACAAATGAGAAAACCTGAGACTGAAAAGTTAACTTTAATAGATCTTTCAGTCAGCAAACAGCAAAGACAGGATGTAAACTTGGGCTGATCCAGGTAACACCAAAAACCATCCTTTCCTCACCAGTCTATTCCAGGTCTTATTCCAGGTACTAATACAGTACATAGATTTTTACTCCCTTAAAAAAAATCATTAGACTCAGTTATAAAAAGAAAGTAGATACATGCTACAACACAAATGAATCTTGAAAACATTAAGCTAAGTAAAAGTGGTCAGACACAAAAGGTAACATATCGAATGATTCCATTTATATGAAATATCCAGAAAAGGTAAATCCATTAAGACAGAAAGCAAATTAATGGTTGCTAGGGGTTGGAGGAAGGAGTGGGAATGACTGCTTAATCAGCATGGGGTTTCATTTTGGGGTGATGGAAATGTTATGGAACTAGATAGATGTGATGAATGTACAACACTGGGAATGTACTGAACGCTACTTAATTGTTTGCTTTAAATGGTTAATTTATGTTATATGAATTTAAACTCAATTAAAAAAAAAAAATCAGGGTCCCTTGAGCCCAGGAGTTGGAGGCCAGCCAGAGCAACATAGTGATACCCTATCGCTGAAAAAGTCCAGGTCCAATCTGGAGTGGGGCAGAGGATAGGAGGATGTTAGCTTCATTTGCCCTAGTTAATCCCTTACAGGATCCTACATCACATGTTGCTCTAAAGCAACCCAGAACTAGGGAAGCAAAAAAGATTAACCTCAAGCAACAACAAGGACAGGAAGCCCTACTCTGAGGATAGTGGGGCTATGCCTAGGATCACCAGGAGAGAGTGCTATGATCAAATAGACAGATCTGCCATTTGCGCAGGATAGGAGAGTACCCAGAGTAGACTTAATGTAGACTTCAGAGTCAATGCAAATTCAGTCTACTCTCCTCTGCCTTCAATGTTTATAATAATATAGATTTTTTTTATGTCCCTTTTTTTTTTTGAGATGGAGTTTTGCTTTTATTGCCCAGGCTGGAGTGCAATGGCACGACCTCGGCTCACTGCAACCTCCGCCTCCTGGGTTCAAGCGATTCTCCTGCCTTAGCCTCCTGAATAGCTGGGAGTATGGTATTGAATCAAAGACAAAGAGAACAGTGGAACGGAATATATAAAGCTCAGAAACAAAGCCACTCAAATATGGACATGAATATAAAGCATGAATGTAAAACGATACTCATTAAGACAGTGTGGTATCAAAGAGAACAATGGAACAGAATAGAGAACTCAGCCACTCAAATATGGACATATGGACCCAATTAATGAAAAAATGTAGAACAGTAGAGCAGTGTGAAAAAGATGAGACAACCGGATACACATACTGGAGGGGATGAAACTTGATCCCTACTTCACACCATATTGAAAAACCATTTCCTGGGCTCAAGGGATCCTCTTGCCTCAGCCTCCTGAGTAGCTGGGACTACAGGTGCACACCACTGTGACTGGCTTGGATTTATTTTAAGTGTTAAGTGTTTTTTTGTTTGTTTGTTTGTTTGTTTGGCCCTGTGCGGTGACTCATGCCTGTAATCCCAGCACTTTACGAGGCCAAGGTGGATGGATCACTTGAGCTCAGGAGGTTGAAGCTGCGTAGTGCTGAGATTGTGCCACTATGCTTCAACCTGGGCAACAGAGTGAGACCCTGTCTCAAAAAACAAAAAAAAAAAATGCTTTTTTTTAAAAGAAAATGTGGAAATTTAGCTCAAAACATAAATATTTGTCCACCGCAACAGTAGACACAGTAAAGTCTACGTATCTGGAATGCTTAGGTGGTAGAATGGTTTCATTAAGTTAATTTCCTGATTTCATTAAGTTAAAAAAAGGTTTTGCCTTTTTATCTATTGCTGAAAATACTAATATGTCTACTTTCCTGTGTTGGTAAATACTGTATATAAACCCAAATAAATCTGTCTTTGTTTGGAGTGCCTCAGGCTTCTTTATAAAAGGGACATATAAAGGTCAGGCGTGGTGACTCATGCCTGTAATCCCAGCACTTTGGGAGGCCGAGGCGGATGGATCACCTGAGGTCGGGAGTTCAAGACCAGCCTGGCCAACATGGTGAAACTCTGTCTCTACTAAAAATATAAAAAGTTAGCCAGGCATGGTGGTGGGTGCCTGTAATCCCAGTTACTCGGGAGGTTGAGGCAGGGAGAATTGCTTGAACCCGGGAGGTGGAGGTTGCAGTGAGCTGAGATCGCACCACTGCACTCCAGCCTGGGTGACAGAGTGAGACTTTGCCTCAAAAATAATAATAATAATAATAATGATGACAACAAAACAAACCTATAAGGATTTTGACTGGGATTGCACTGAGTCTAAAGATAAGTTTGGAAAAAGCCTTAATATTGCAAATCAAACTTTATCATTTTTTTAGTATTATAAATAGCTTTCTACAGTAAGCCTTGTGGATATACATTTAAAATGCTATTGTTCTATAGGACAGATTTCTAGAAATGGGATTTCTAGATAATAGGGTATAAGTTAATTTAAAATATATATAAGCTATATATATAATATATAAGCTAATTTATATAATGTATATTATATATAATAGCTAATAATAATATAATAAGCTAATATATATAATATATAAGCTAATTTAAAAATTGTAAAAATACGGCCCGGCACAGTGGCTCGCGCCCGTAATCCCAGCACTTTGGGAGGCCGAGGCAGGCAGATCGCGAAGTCAAGAGATTGAGACCATTCTCAGCAACATGGTGAAACTCCGTCTCAAGTAAAAACACAAAAAATTAGCTGGGCATGGTGGCGAATAGTCTCAACTACTAGGGAGGCTGAGGCAGGAGAGCCACTTGAACCCAGGAGGCGGAGGTTGCAGTGAGCCAAGACTGCACCCCTGAACTCCAGCCTGGCGACTTTAAAACAATTAAACAATTGTTTAATTAAAACAATTAATTTTTTAATTAATTAAAACAATCTTTAAAACAAAACAATTAAAAAAACAAAAAACAAACAAAAAAACCTTTATTTAGATGTTGACAGCAAAATAAACAAAAGGTACATAGTACAGTTTTTGCACTCAAAGTTCATGTCATATACACTATATCCTTGATGCATATACTGAAATGATCTGATAAAGTTGCATAAAAGTACAGAGTATATACAGTTTCCTGAGATCTTATTTTCTTAAGTATTATTTACATTATTGCATTTCTTTAACTTTACCATCTCAAATACAATATTGTTGAACTCAGTTTATACATATAACCTATTTGAATGAAAGCTGCAGTACTGAGTTGTAATGTTTTTGCAATCAGTATTAATGGCATCATTTCTATACTCAGTATATTGATTGACATTATAGTATATTAGTTTGCATACAATAAAGTGAAACACTGAAAATAGTGCAGAATTATGTTGATTGCTACCATTTTTTTTTTTTTTTTGAGACTGTGTCTCGCTCTGTCGCCCAGGCTAGAGTGCAGTGGCACGATCTCAGCTCACTACAACCTCCACCTCCTGAGTTCAATTGATTCTCCTGCCTCAGCCTCCCAAATAGCTGGGATTACAGGGACGTGTCACCACGTCTGGCTAATTTTTGTATTTTTTTAGGGTTTCACCATATTGATCAGGCTGGTCTCGAACTCCTGGCCTCAAGTGATCTGCCCACCTCGGCCTCCCAAAGTGCTGGGATTACAGGCGTGAGCCACCATGCCCGGCTGACTGCTACCATTGCTTTTTTAAAATACTTTTTAAAAATCTAGGATGCTTTAAAATAATTTAATTGAATATACCTTTACAAAATAATTATTTCTGAAAGATTTGGTTTTAGCACTCTTTTACAATCGACCAAGTCAGCTAAAGTTTATTTATTTCTTTCTAAATTTTAATATTAACAATCCTAGCTAAGAGATGGTTTCGGATAGAATGACAAAGCATTGTCATCACTTCATCTCCTTGCTTTTTAAGCTTTTTTGACAACTTTAACAGGTACTTTGACCACAGAGTGCAATCTAAACCTTACTTCAACTTATTTTATAATAAATAAAGGATTTTTCAATTATATAATTAAGTTTTTGGTTAAAAGGACATTAAATTAATTTTTTCATCATTTCCCTGTACCCTATGCGGTTTCTCATTTTGTTAAACTTCTAAGATAGAAGGTACTGTCAGGGATGGGAAATGGATGGGAACCAGGCTTTTTTTTTTTTTTGAAAGACAGGGTCTTACTGTGTCACCTAGGCTGGTGCAATCATGGTTCACTGCAGCTTCGACCTCCGAGGCTCAAGTAATGCCCCTGCCTTAGCCTCCTGAGTAGCTGGGACCACACAGGTGCATGCCACCATACCTAGCTAATTTTATTTTATTTTATTTTTGCAGAAACAGGGTCTCACTCTGTTGCCCAGGCTGGTCTCAAACTCCTGGACTCAAGCAATCCTCCTGCCTTGGCCTTCCAAAGCGCTGGGATTACAGGCATGAGCCACCATACTTGGCCTAAAACTAAGAACTTCTGTTCATCAAAGGACATCATTAAAATGAATGGCAAGCCACTGAGTGGAAGATAGCTGCAAGATATATATTCAACAAAAAACTCCTTAGTATTCTATATTTTTTAAAAAACTCCTACAAATCAGTTTTAAAAAAAGATAATCCAATAGAAAATGGGCAAGGGACTTAAGCACTCACAAAAGACATCAAATGGGCAATAAACAGATGTAAATGCTCAATCTCGTTAGTTATCAGAGAATGTAAATTAAAACCAAAATGAAAGACCACCACCAGAACAGCTGAAATGAAAAAGACTGTTTTCCAGCATATTTACACAGAGTAGAAAAATAAAGACTCTCAAAAATATAGGGCAAAAGCAACTTTCATAAGCTCCTGGTGAGAATTTAAATTTCTACAACCACTCTGGAAAACCATCAGCATTATCTTCTTATGTGTTAAAATGGAGCAGTGATTCTACTCCAAAGTACATACCAACAGAAATGCAGGTACATGTACACCAAAAAAAAGTACAATAATGTTGATGGCAACATAATTCATAGTAGCCAAAACCTGTAGACAACCCAAATGTTTAACTACAATGTTTACATTTAGAAAGCATATTTAAGAGGTAAAACTATTAAAAAAAAAAAAAAAAAGGAAGCAAGCAAATACCAAAAATTCAGGATGGTGGTAATCCTTCAGGGGGAAAGGGAGCACGACAGTGCTAACAGTGTTCCTTTGCTTGACCTGGGAGGATTCACTTCATGATAATTTGCTGACCCGTGCATTTATGTTTTACCTTCTTTTTGTATGTGTGTTACACTTCACAGAAAAAAAGTGGGAAATAATGAGTTTTAATGCCAGCTGCTGGTTACATGGAATAAGTTAAATAAGTTACTTCTCAGTTTCCACTCACCAGCTTGAAAAAATGATGCTATGTTGAACAAATTTATCAAATTATTCTGAAAACTTCAACTATTAAATCCAGAACATATTATCCTCTCAAATTAAGGTTCTCAACAACCATACTTTATAAAGCATAATTGGGAGAATCACTTGAGCCCAGGAGTTCAAGACCAGCCTGAGCAACATAGTGGGACCCCGTCTACGAAAAATTTAAACGTTAGCCAGGCAGGTGGCGTGCGCCTATAGTCCCAGCTACTCAGGAGGCTGAAGTTAGAGGATCACTTGAATCCAGAAGGTCAAGGCTGCAATGTGCAGTGATCGTGCCACCACACTCTAGCCTGGGTGACAGAACCAGACCCTGTCTCAAAAACATACATACATACATACAGACAGACAGACAGACATAAATCATAACTGCTATTTGTGAAAAAAAAAAAAAAAAGACCAATTGTGTTACTAATAAAAACTCTACCTAGGAATTAAATAGCTGACCTGTCAAAAGTTTCCCATTTTGTTATCAACAGCATACATTTTAGATTAGTTTCTTTTGAGAGGTATACTAGAAAAGGAATTCCAAACTTACCTCTCTATTGGGTGTACCTTCATCAAGTTGCTCTGTAAATGAAGATGTCCTGCTCCTCATTCTTGTTGGTGTTGAAGAATTGGAGGACGCCTAGATTTAAAAATTATTGCACAAATTAGCAAGACTATATTGACTAGTGAACTATGAACTAGGTAGTCCTTCTCTCAGTCCATGCCCAAAGAATTCAGTGAAAGAAAGGAAAAGAGCAAAAACACGAAAAGCAGAAAAGGATAACAAATATAATCAACTAGAAAACCCAGGCTACCTACTAGGTCCCTGGCCTAACTCTGCCACCAACTAGAACTATGATCTTAGCTACATGAACTTTTTGAGGACTATGTGTCTCCATATATAAAATAAAGTTGCGATACTAGTGTAAGATGATAATATTAGAGAAAACTGAAGCCAGGTGAGGGGTATATAAAAACTCTCTGCACTATCTTTAGAACTTTTCTATAAACCAAAATTATTCCAAAATTAGAAGTTCATTTAAAAAAAAAAGGCTGGCAATTCAATCTTTAAGATCCCTTCTACCTTCTAGCTCTAACATTCAATAGTATGAAATGCACAGATAAACAGCACTTGCCCACCTAATTAATGGCCTTGCTTTGAGCCTACCTTGAATACCACTGCTAAATACTGAGATGCTATTCCATTTAGCTCTGTAATTGACAGCCTGACTCCTATAACCCTCAGCGCAAAAAAACTCAGGAGAAAGGGCTCAAAATTTAAACTAGAGGTCTGGGGTCTACTCTAAGGTGAGCTAAAAACAACCCTAAAAGTATAAAACCAAAATTTTGAAATCCCCCTACACCCACAGCAAAATAGATCTGAACTCAGATCTATTTTGAGAAATGAATGAGTCATGATATCTTACCTCTTTTTGTAGTCTGCACTTTACAAAAGGCAGTTAATAAATATTTGTCAAATAAATGAATGAATGAATAAACAAATGGAACTCTGGTCTGTGGTATCCGTGCACAAACTGCTGTGGTTAGGGTGGAACTGAGAGGTCGTGAGGAATAGTATACAAATATACACATACTCTATATACACATATATACATCCAGACAGACATATACATATTTAGCTTATGATAAAAGTAACATTTTGCATCAGGATAGACATTCAATAAATGTTGGGACAACTGGCCATCCATATGGGGCAAGACACACAAATCAGATCCTTCATACTTAAGCTATATTAAAGATTTAATTTTTTTTATTGAAATACAAAAAATTCAAGAGTCTATTTCTACAATCTCTGAATGGGAAAGAGATTTTTATGTGAAAAACAAATCAAAGCAGCAGTTTAATTGGGAGGTGAGGAAAAGCATCTACAAATATGACAAAAGTTTAATAACCTTTTTTCTATAAACAGCTCTTATAAGTCCGTAAGTTAGAACTCAGAAAACTTACTAACCCAATCTTCTTTTTATCTGAGACAGGGTAACCTGAGCTCCATCAATGAAACACATGAGACTTCGAGTCATAAGTGAGTGATGTGAAAAAACAGACATACAAATAAAGTTCATCATCTGATGACAATGGAGACAGAACTTCATGCATCCACACAAATATAAGCTGTGAAGTGACAGATGCAATGCTGGTGCCAAGCTGAAGCAGCTGCAACACAGAGTAGTCTCCCCAGTATAACTGGACGTAGCAATCAGCTCAGACTTTTGGGACCTCAGGGAAATTCTGTAGGGTAAAGAGTCTTCAATAAATTATTTTTCTGCTTACCTAGATTGACTTTTTGTTGCTTACAACCAAGAACTCCAACACCTTCTAAAAGATGAACCAGAAAAATCAATACAACAGATGAAATTAGCTATGTGCAGAAGTCACCTTAAGGGATGACATATCCTCTCCCACCAAAGACAAAACAGGAAGAATAAGGACTTAAAAACATGAACAAGAGTAGTGTTGTGCGCCTGTAATCCCAGGTACTCAGGAGGCTGAGGCAGGAGAATTGCTTCAACTGCAGAGGTTGCAGTGAGCCAAGATTGCACCACTACACTCCAGCCTGGGTGACAGAGCAAGACTCCGTCTCAAAAAAAAAAGCATATAAACAAGAAAATCAATCAATGTGAAATAAAGTTGAAGCCTTAGCAATGGTTTAAATGTCTAGAAAATATGTGACTAAAAGTCAACATTGTACTTAGAAAATGGCAAGGGAAAGCACAGTCACTGTGTAGTATTAGTCTCAGTCTTGGAATAAGTTTGAGCCTACCTTGAACACCACGTTCAAATTACAAATGTTCAAAGAACATCAGAAATAGCTTTCATTAAAGTTGAGATAAATTCAATAAACCCTTCCCACACCTAGAGCCATAATTTGCAAACCATGCCAGTGCCAGCTTCAAAGGCTGTAGGTGCCTCAAAGGCTGCCACTATGGGGGCAGCCTTTTGTATCTATGTATTTATAAATGATTATATCTAAGAACTCCTTTAATAAAATGGTCACTGGGTGGTAAAAAGTTAGAAAAGTACTACTAGACCACAGGAAATACCTCTTGACTAATCAACTCTCTCTGTTGTGATTCTATCATGTCTAAGAAATCTCTGGGTTATTAATTCAGCTTTCCAAATATCCAGATGCCAGGAAAGGGCTACCTTAGACAGTGACCTTCCAACTGCTTAAAAAGTATACCTCACTGCAAATCTGAAAAATTGGCATTACGTCTTACACCTTGGCCTCATATGGTCTAATCAGTAACTGAGAGCCTCATCAGCTCTGGAGAAACTGACAAAAAAATCAAATAACGGGGTTTACAAAGTTTAACAGATTCTAAAACATACTCTCCCTAGAAAAGTAGTACTATCTGGCAAAACGTGGCCTGATGACTTGTTGATCTTCCTCTGGATCTTCCTCTGGAGTTACAAGAGTAAGAATTATATGAGAAAATGGATGTGAGTATAAAGTATATAACAGTGCATAAAGAACTAACTGTACTTCAGCATTTGTCCCAGGTGCCTGGTTCCTTAATGGGCTATCCTCACTTCAAGATATAAAGGGATTTAGGTTCCTTCAAACCAAACTTGAGCTGATTAATTGCAATAGCCATAAGAAATCTGAGTCAGCTTTCTAAGCTGTTAACCAAAAAACCTGACAGCTACATCCAGACCCACAATTAATATTTTATTGCCCACTGCCTAATTATTAACTGACCACAGTTATACTCAATTTCAGTGTAAGAAAAACCATTTTAGCTGTGCACAGTGGCTCATGCCTGTAATCCCAACACTTTGAGAGGCCAAGGCAAGACGATCACTTGAGGCCAGGAGTTCAAGACTGCCTGAGTAACACAGTAAGACCCTGACTCTACAAAAACTTAAGAAAAACCATTTTAGTCATTGTGATAAGCAAAACTGTAAGATGACCCCAAATGACCCCTGCCCTGTGAATATAATGAGCTATCACTCTCATAATTGTTATATTACAGGGCAAAGGGATTTTAAAGGCATATTTAAGGTTACTAGGTTACTAATCAGTTGACCATGAGTTCATCAAAAGATTACCTGGATGGGTCTAAACTAATTACATAAGCCCTTCAAATATGGGTCTAGAGGGCAGAGGGACGTACTTCTGCTGTCCTGAAAGAAAGCAAAATGCCTACAGGGGCACGTGGCAAGGAGCTGCTGGTAGCCTCTAAGCCGAAAGTGGTCAGCAAGAAATGAAGGCCCCAGTCCTATAACCAGAAAGGACTGAATTCTACCACAACCACATGGGCATACAAAAAGATCCTGAGCTCCAGATGAGAAAGCAGCTTGGACAACATATTGATTTTAGCCTTGCAAGACCCTGAGCAGAGAACCCAGTCATGCCATGCCAGACTTCTGACCTACAGAACTATAAAATAATAACTGGGTTATTAGGCACTAAGGTTGTGGTAACTTGTTATGCAATATTAGAAAACTAATCCAGTCATCCTTAGGAATAAGCCTTGAATCCCTTGTCCCTATACCATGACTTTTCATTATCCATCAAGGCTCTACTCAGATGTCACCCTGATCTTCTCCAGAAATGCCTTATTTTGCACAACTACAACACCCTGTATATATCACTATTACACTGAAAGTACTTGTCTCTCAACTCCATTGTGTAGGGACTACATAGACCCTTCAAAGCAAATGCAACATCCAGCAGAGGACCTAGGCATTCACTGTTCATAACTAACATCTGGTTCATTTCACTCTCCCTACAACACCTATGGATTAGTCACAGCAGAGACACAGCCATTGAATCCTCATCACAGCACTGTTGTAAGTCACTGCCAAATCAATTTGACATCCCAGTTCTAAAAGAGCAGTCAAAGTAACTTGGGGTTAATTCTTCAAATAAACCTTTATATTTTAGGTACCAAACTTATTAAAGCCTTTCATCATGTTCTTAATAAACTACCTTCTGATCTAAATGTTTTCTCTGGGACTCATGCTTTCCCCAATTTCAAGACTGAAACTATTTAGTAAACTTGGATTTACAATAAGGCTATGTCCCTTCAGAAAGGACTCTTTTCCCTGTTATCTGTGGAACTGTTTGCTGGTTTTTTTGTTTTTATTTTTTAAATTTATATCACATAAACTATTATTTTGGGGTCTCACTCTAAAAGAGTGAGGTCAGCTGCCATCTCTGAGCTGAGGGAAAAAAATAAGGGATGATTCTGCAGGCATAAGGAGGGGCGTATATGTTGATTTTTTAAAAATATACATAACATAAAATTTACCATTTTAAACATTTGTAGCTGTACAATTCAGTGGCATGAACTACATTCACACTGTTGTGGAATCACCACCATCCATCACCAGTACGTTTTCATCTTTCCAAACTAAAACTCTGTACCCACTACACAGTAACTCCCCATTCTCTCCTCTCTCCAGCCTTTGGCAACAACCATTCTATTTTGTCTCTAAGAATTTGACTACTCTAGGTACCTCAATTAAGTGGAGTCATGTATTCATCCTTTTGTATCTATACTTCTATAATTTTTAAGTTTTAGAAGTACTTGAAAAGGCTAAAAATGTTTTAAAATATTTGTATTCATGTACTACATATATCCCAAGAAATTACAATGTCTGTATTACTTCTTGATGTTTCTTTTATTGACTTAGTTCTTTAAGGAGTTTAAAAATCCAAAATAGGTATTTGTTGTTAAAACATATTTTTTTTTTTTTTTTTGAGACGGAGTCTCGCTCTGTCTCCCAGGCTGGAGTGCAGTGGCACGATCTCAGTTCATTGCAACCTCTGCCTCCCAGGGTCAAGCAATTCTCCTGCCTCAGCCTCTGGAGTAGCCAGGATTACAGGTGTGCGCCACCACGCCCCACTAATTTTTGTATTTTTAGTAGACCTCAGGTGATCCGCCCGCCTTGGCCTCCCAAAGTGCTGGGATTACAGGCATGAGCCACGGTGCCAGGCCAGAAATGGGATTTTGCCATCTTGGCCAGGCTGGTCTTGAACTACTGAGTTCAAGCGATTCAAAGTGCTGGGATTACAGGCGTAAGGCCACCATACCAGGCCACATTTTTTGTTTCTAAGATCACAACAATTCACAAGCAAGGAGAAAAATATATGGCAGGCAGAAAGAAAGGTTACAAAATAATTATCAAAAGTAGACCACGAATGGCCAGGCGCAGTGGCTCACACCTGTAATCCCAGCATTTTGGGAGGCCGGGGCTGGCGGATCACCAGAGGTCCGGAGTTGGAGACCAGCCTGGCCAACATAGTGAATATACATATAATCCAAAAGGATTATTTTAAACCTTTCGTACACAAAGTGATTTTATTTGATCCAGATGCCCTGTCTCACCAGAAGCATTAAGCTATAGAAACAGAGCTCTTATATCTTAGTTTGTGACTAGCTTATTATTACTAAAAACCTCTTTGTTAATGAACAAAAACAATTCATTTTCACGAAGAAAAGCTAAACACTACAAATAAGAAAAAGCACACTCAATAATTCACCAGCACCTTAAAGTATATTCTTCTTAAACTAGTTTTACTATGTGTGTATATAAATACACTTACATACAGATTCTTTTTCCCAAAACTGGGATCACATTTTACCTGCTGCTTCTGTCTTTTAACACAAATATCCTTCTGTGTTAATACTTTTCTGAAGACTCTAACACTAGCTGCGTAACATTAGGCAAGTTACTTCACCTCTTCGAGCCTCACTCCTTCATCTATAAAAGAGGAATTATAGTATTATCTACCTCACAGGTTTATGTGAGATTAAATAATCTGTGTAAATACTAAGCAAAATGTCTGGTACATACTAATGACACAGTAAATGTTGACTTTTTATGGCTGCATAATAACCTATGAAGCATAACTAATTGCCTGATAAAATTTAACCAATTCTCTATTGTTGGACATTTTTGGCTAGTTTTTAACCTATTAAAACAACATTGACGTGAAAATCCATAGAGCTAAATCTTTAATACAACCTAAATTTTCTTAGAATAAATTTCTAGAAATGGAATCCTGGCTCAATTACATTTTATACATTCCCAAGTGGAAGTGCCTTACATTCACTAACATGCCCATTTCCTCACATTCCTCATCTCTACCTCACTTTTAAAGTTTATCTTTGTTTCTTAATTAACAGTGTTTTGTAAAATTGTAAATGACTGCAATAGATGGTATGAAAAGGACAATCTTTACCATTTAAATTTTAATTACCATTTGCACTTGAGAAAAGAAGCAACCCTTCAGTGTTGTGTTCTGATGTTTTTCTCAAGCACTGTTTTACTACACATGAGCTTTACATTTAAAAAGAACAACTTCAATTTATAGTTTCAGAATAAACCTAATGCAATCGTTGTATGTTAAGAATTTAGAAATGCCTCCAAGTTAGTCAAAACTCAGCTTTTCTTGCAACCGCAAGCAAAGACCAAAAACCCTAAAATTAAGGGACAGATCTGCTCAGTCTGTTGAAATTCAAAAAGGCTGGGAAGAAATTAAGCAGAAACCGACGTCTTCGCTGTTAAGACCCTGTGCTGCCAGCATCGAAACATCTCCAGTGAACGCTTAGGAAATTGTTTCTTTAAATTAATACTACTTAACACGCCTCCTTTTCCCTGGAAACGCATTTCCTAAAGCAACAGCATTCCTGAAAAACAAGCATAACCCTGTCCGCAGAGCAGCAAGACTTAAAAAGCAGAGCAGAGCTCCGGACAGGCAGAGTGTCTGCCCCTCCGCCCGCCAGTCCCGGATTAACCAAGTTATGCGAAGTGACTAACTCGTGACAGCCTCGGGCGCTGGACGCCGGCCACGCCGCCACGTCTTTCAGGTCCCACCGCTCCTACCAGCAGCCTGACCCAGGATGGCTCTACTCCCCAGCCTTCAATCCCTGGACCTGGGTTTGGAATTAGGAGACTTCCGTCGAGGGTCAATTGTGCGGGATCCTGGCCATTCCATACAAAATCTCACGACTGGCAAAAGAGAGGGGGACCCCTCGAGCAGAGGTCAGATATCACAAGGGACCCGGGTTTTTCCACCCCGCCCTCATTCCCAGCGTGGGGTCTCAGATGAGTGGGAAAACCTCAAATATGGATCAGAAATCATGCAAGTTCGGACTCTGGCCTTAGGAGAAAACTCTTAACGGAGATGGAATGTCACGAGGGATCCAGCCACCCCCATCCACTCATTGACTGGATGAAGTTTTGCGATGGGAAAATCCAGGTCAGGAGTTACGGACGACCTGCACCGCCCGGAGCTCCTTCTGGGTCCGGAGTTTGGGAAAAGTGCGGGTTAGGGGTTAAAGGTCACGGAAGAACTTCCCCACTCCCCCCGCCTCTTTCGTCCGCGGGCCGGTTCAAGAGGTATTCGGAACCAGGGGAGGAGAGCGGCGGCCATCGTACCTGAGCAGGAGCCAGCGCCTGCTGGAGCTGCTGCTGCTCCTCGCTGATCTTTTGCTTCAGTTTCTTGAACATGGCGCAGCGTACGTACGGTCCTGAGTGTCAACGAAACCTGAAGGGCGAGAGCCCGGGGAGTCCCGGCCGCGACGGCTACGGCGACTTCTTTACACCAGGGACAGCGGGGGCCGGGCCTCGCCGTCTCCTCCTTGAGGCTGTGGGCAAGTCCGGACACTCGTCCTGAGGGTGTCGGCGTCGCCGCCGCCGCGTCTCTTTCTTCCGGGTGCCACTGGCTGGCCTCGGCCCCCCATCCAGCCCCGGGAGCCGCGGCGGCGACGACAACGGCAGCAGGTGAACTGTGCGCCAAGGGCGCTTGCGCGGCCTACGTGGAGCTCACAGAGGCTAACTACGGAGCACCGGATGGGACAAGCACAATGTCGGGTCCCGCACATGCGCGCTCGGCCGGTCGCTTCCGAACTCGCTGCACTGGAGGACGCAAGGTTCGGTCCTGCCTGATTTCGTTGCGTGCGGAGACCGCCGTCGCGGCTCAGAACCGGAGCGTGGGCTAGTCTGAACACTACCCTGACTCTCACCTGGGCTTTGGCCCTGCGAAATCAGACGGGGAGAGTGCTGCTTCTATCGATGGCAGCAGGGCCGACGGGCCCACCGCAAAGAACACAGGGATGAGCGTCAAGGATGGGAGAAGGGGAGATCCAGAGAACCTGACGCGGGCCCTAATTGATAGTGTTCTTTTCTTTAGTAGCTGTAGCTAGGATTCTGTGTCTTCGGTGCCAGAGGGGCCCGCTTCCCTTCCCTGAACTCTTCCAGCGTCGGGAAGTCCCTGATACCAGGCGCCAGGGGTCCAAATGTTTTATGCCAATACTGTAAAACCTCAAGTGTTTGGACACCTGCTTTATTCTTTTCTTCACCGAAATCGTGTATTTCACGAATTCATTCAAAAACCTTTATCAGGCCTTGGAGATGTTAAAAGAATTTACAGCCTAGTGGAAGACACAGATTCCTAATTAGTCCAAATTTACTCCTAACACCTGCAATCATCCTACAAGATCTTAATGTTTATGTGCCTCATTTATCTAAAACCCTGAACTTTGGCTGCCTGTGAATCCTCAGGTCCATTTCAGCAACCCACTTTTGCATGCTGTACCTTTGATATCATCTGAAACTGCTTACATTGTCTCCGGTATCAGAATCTAACAGTATATGCTGATCTCCACGTTCTAGCAAATTTTGTTTACCAGCAATAATAGGAGCAACCTGCTCTCGAGAGTCCATATTCTGATCCCTAAATGTATTAGAGCCACAGTGGGGCCTGGAACACTGCCTTAACACCTGGGCTAAGTCCTCTTATATCTCGTAGTGAACACCTTATGTATGTAAGGTGTCCCCAGCCCCCGGGCCACAAACGGGTACCAGCCCATGGCCTGTTAGGAACCGGGCTACACAGCAAGAAGTGAATCTCTGGCAAGCCAGGGAAGCTTAATCTGTATTTACAGCTGCTCCCCATGGTTCACATTATCGTCTGAGCTCCACCTCCTGTCAGATCAGCTGTGGCATGAGATTCTCATAGGAGCTGGAACTACTGTGAACTAGGCATGAGAGGGATCTAGGTTATGCTCCTTATGAGAATCTAATGCCTGATGATCTGTCACTGTCTCCCATCACCCCCAGATGGGACCATCTAGTTGCAGGAAAATAAGCTCAGGGCTCCCACCGATTCTACATTATGGTGAGTTGTGTAATTGTTTCATTATATATTACAATGCAATAATAATAGAAATAAAGGGCACAATAAATATAATGCACTTGAATCGTCCAAAACCATCCTTCCCCATCCACCTAGCCCCCACCCCCAGGAAAAAATTGTCTTCCATGAAACAGGTCCCTGGCACCCAAAAGATTGGGGACCACTGCCTTATATAGTTACTGAGAGTTTTTTCTGGGCTTTTTTGTTTTGTTTTGTTTTGTTTTTCAGGAGTACTTAACTCTCAGCCGGGTACAGTGGCTCATATCTGTAATCCCAGCACTTTAGGAGGCCGAGGCGGACAGATCATTTGAGGTCAGGAGTTCGAGACCAGCCTGGCCATCGTGGTGAAACCCGGTCTCCACTAAAAATACAAAAATTAGCTGGGTCTGGTGGTACATGCCTGTAATCCAAGCTAATCGGGAGATTGAGGCAGGAGAATTGCTTGAACCCAGGAGGCGGAGGCTGCAGTGAGCTGAGGTCGTGCCACTACCCTCCAACCTGGGAGACAGAGTGAGACTCCATCTCAAAATAAAAATAAAAAGAGTACTTAACTCTCAACTGACGGAAGTTCAATAGGCCTTCAACTGCTTTCAGCTCCAGATGCCCAATATACATCTTCCCCCCAATTTTCACAATTTTGCATCAAAGTTTGTCAATTTTATATGTATACATATATATGCATATATCTGTGTTTGTACATATATGTGGGCCCTATCAAAGCCAACTATTCTAAATAATAAATAAAAAGGATCCAAGATATCACTTAGAGAAAGACATCAGAAGAGTGCTAATTATGTGAAAAGGGATAGCTTTGCCAGGACACAAAAAAGGAGACAGGGTTGAAACCCTTCATCACATGTAACACAATGTTGTTAAAACATTAAACCTCCTCACAGCCACATTCTGCTTCAGGTCTCTGCAAATTAACATTCTTTCAGTCGGAAAGAGCAGTCTTTCTGACTGCTCTTAAACCTAGAAATTACTCAATTCTTCAGCTCCTCTGGGTGGCACAAATTTGGATGCAAATCACCTTTTGTAGTCTCAGGCTTTGGCCCACTTCTCAGAATTCTGCACCAATCCAGCTGAAGCACACGGCCTGCCCCCGTTTTCTGTTAGTAATTTGAACTCATTTCCTATCTAGCTGCTCAAGGATTAGCACACCTCACCGCAGAGCAGGATATTTAAAACAGGCTTGCATTTCAGTCATAATGATCAAAGGCCTCATGAATTTATTTTCCCAGTGGAACTAGTACCCACCTTTTTCAACACAAAGAAGCAATTCTAGTAGTTATAGACCAACTGTCATTCTTCCACCCCTTCCAATTGCACAAAATGCAAATACTATCTCCATGTTTCAGAAAATTTTCAGAATAACATAATTGCTAGGGGTTCAGATTGCTTTCCAAGCCTTAGATTTAACAAAATAGCATGTCAGAAAATGCTTCTAGTCAAGAACCAATACACATCTGAAACCTTCAACTGATTTCCTACTTTCTGACCAGAAACGTATCATCAGTCCTTTTGCGTCACCACACAATGCATTTTCTTAACCCTTATCAAGAATCCTTGTACCTGCCAACCACAACAGTATAGTATAATGGTTAAGAGCACAGTCTTTGGTTTACACAAAAGTCATCAATTTTTAGGCAGGGTGCGGTGGTTCATGCCTGTAATCCCAACCCTTTGGGAGGCCGAGGCGGGTGGATCACCTGAGGTCAGGAGTTCAAGACCAGCCTGGCCAACATGGCAAAACCCCGTCTCTACTAAAAATACAAAAAAAATTAACAAGGCATGGTGGCAGATGCCTGTAATCCCAGCTACTCAGGAGGCTGAGGCAGGAGAATCGCTTGGACCTGGGAGGCAGAGGTGGCAGTGAGCTGAGATCGTGCCACTGCACTCCAGCCTGGGCAACAAGAGCGAAACTCTGTCTCAAAAAATAAAAAATAAAAAAAGTCATCCATTTTCTAGTTCTTTAACCTTTGGCACTTAAGCAAACCACAGTATACAAAATCAAATGCCTAAAGGGAACAAGAGGTTATGAGTAAAGCACATATACATAGGATTTAAGACAATGGAAAATGTAGGAAGGTAACAAATGACAGTGTGAACACATCTAGAGGCATTTTTAAATCAACGCAACAAAACAACTCTTAGAATAAAATTCAGCCCAAAGGCCAGATTGTGACCTCTGAGTCTTAGCTCTCTGCATTTCATTTTCCTCATCTTTAATAATTTAATACTATTTCATAGGATTGTTGTGAAGTTCAAATGAGATGATATGCGTAAAGCGTACAATTCACAGTAAATGAAACTTATCAATTCTAAGAGTTTAATTCTCACTCATAACGCTCTCCCTCTGTATGTTGAGAACTCCAGCCTACACCTTTCCCCTGAGCTCTAGATCAAGCTTGTCCAACCCACGGCCCCATAGGCTGCATGTGGCACAGGATGGCTTTGAATGTGGCCCAATACAAATTCATAAACTTTCTGAAAACATTATGAGATTTTTTTGTGATTTTTTTGGGGGGGGCTATCAGCTATTGTTAGTGTATTTTATGTGTGGCCCAAGCCAATTCTTCCAGTGTGGTCCAGGGAAGCAAAAAGATTAGACACCCCTGCTCTAGACTATAGCATCTCCACTGGGCTCTCAGGTTGAGCAGGGCCAAGAACTATGTCTGTCATGCATCCCAGTCAGTGCTAGTACAGGGCCTGACACTACATTTCTACAGAGTTAGTATTTTTTGTTTTTTTTTTTAAACAGAGTCTTACTCTGTTGCCCAGGCTGGAGTGCAGTGACGCGATCTCGGCTCACTGCAACCTCCGCCACCTGGGTTCAAGCAATTCTCCTGCCTCAGCCTCATGAGTAGCTGGGACTACAGGCCTGTGCCACCAAGCCAACTAATTTTTGTATTTTTAGTAAAGACGGGATTTCACCACGTTGGCCAGACTGGTCTCAAACTTCTGACCTCAAGTGATTCGTCCACCTCCGCCTCCCAAATTGCTGGGATTACAGGAGTGAGCCACTATGCCAGGGTTTTGTTTTTTTAAATACACTACCAATGGGGGAAAAAAAAACAATTAATCTTAATACATCCACTTGCCTTAATGGCCAACTGGGCAACTTCCCTTAATGGCCCTCCTTAATGGCCCACAGGCATCTCACCTTCAACATCTCCAAAAACAAAATCATCTGCTACTACCCCTCTACCATCACCATCAGGCTTGTCCCTTCTGTGTTTCCTCTTACCCTCTTGCTGCTTCTCCTTTTCATAAGCTTGTTTTTTCATCTATATTTTCTACCTTGGCTGGTGTAATCTCCATCTTCCCAGTTACCAAAGCCAAAAGTTTGGAAGTCAATCAAGACATCTCTCTCTATACATCACCCATATCCAGAGAATCACTAAGTCTTGTGTATTTTCCTCTGAAATACTTCTGAAATCCATCTGCTTTCCTAATTTACCCCGCCACTAGTTTCAGTCTTCATTATAGCTTATCATTTAAATGGCCCCCCAGTTTCCAGTTTTGCTTCTTTCCAATCCATCTTCCACATAGCTGATGTTACTCTCCTGCTGCAACCCCATCAGTGGTCACCTTGTCCTACATAACAGTGTTCGTGCTACCAGGCAGTACAAGAAGCCCTCAGCAGCCTGGCTCCTGCTTTCCCTCTTACTAAACCCTGGCCACTCTTCACACTTCAAAGTTCCAGAAATGTCAAATTAACTCAGGGTTCCCTTGGCACATTCTGCTTTTTCTTTTTTTAAGAGAGAGAGAGAGAGACAGGGTCTCACTGTGTTGCCCAGGCTAGTCTCCAACACCTGGGCTCAGGTGTTCCACATGCCTCAGCCTCCCTGATGTTCTGAGATTACAGGTGTGAGCCGCCACACCTAGCCACATCCTGCTTTTATTTTATTTTATTTTTTTTTGAGATGGTGTCTCAGTCTGTCACTCAGGCCAGAGTGCAGTGACATGATCTCGGCTCACTGCAACCTCTACTTCCTGGATTCAGGCGATTCTCCTGCCTCAGCCTCCCTAGTAGCTGGGATTATAGGCATATGCCACTACGCCCCGCTAATTTTTGTATTTTCAGTAGAGACGGTTTTGCCATGTTGGCCAGGCTGGTCTCGAACTCCTGACCTCAGGTGATCCGCCTGCCTCAGCCTCCCAAAGTGCTGGGATTACAGGCGTGAGCCACCACACCTGGCCCACAACCTGCTTTTATATACGTGCTTGCCTTTCTTTTTTTTGGTCTACAAATTATATAGAGCAGTTGTGAAAATCATGAGTACGGCAGTGTACTCATTGTCCTCCTTGACTGTACCTTTCTTCCTTTTCCACTTTGCCTCTCTACCCTGGACAATGCTGTGCTCATATTTCATAATCTCTTTCAAGCATTCTCTAATACCACTCCCCAAACCACCCCCGACACACACATATCAGTGGAGTTAATCATGCTCTCCTCTATACAGCCTCAGTCTTACATGCTGTTAATGTATGTATCACACTGAATTTTTATCTTCTTTTGTTACAAAAGTAATATGCTCACTGTAACAAATGTAATCTGGTTCCTGCAAATAACCTCTATTAGTAATTCATTTTTCGTTTTTTTAATTTTTCTGTATTTATAAAATATATACATTTAATTATCTATACATAAAATATATGAAATATATACATTTAATTATACATAAATATATTTAGTTTTGTTTTATGAAAAATTGATTATACAAAATCCATATCTTGCTTTCTTCAATTAATATGCCATGAATATCATTTCTAATCAGTATATGTATTTCAATCCCTTTAATGGCTGCATAGTATTTTATACTATGTATGAATTATAATTTAAGATTTCTAATTGGTAGGCATTTAGCTTCTCTCCTGTTTTTTGCTAATAAAAAACTATTAAAGTGAGCAACTTTATAAATAAATGTTTGTATACTAGTGTGTATGTTTCTGTAGAAAATAATGGATTTCTGGCCGGGAGTGGTGGCTCACGTCTGTAATCCTAGCACTTTGGGAGGCCAAGGCAGGTGGATCACGAGGTCAGGAGATTGAGACCCTCCTGGCCAACGTGGTGAAACCCCGTCTGTACTAAAAATACAAAAATTAACCTGGCATGGTGGTGCGCCCCTGTAGTCCCAGCTACTCGGGAGGCTGAGGCTGGAGAATCACCTGAACCAGGGAGTCCAAGGTTTCAGTGAGCCGAGATGGTGCCACTGCACTCCAGCCTGGCGACAGAGCGAGACTCCGTCTCAAAAAAAAAAAAAAAAGAAAAAAGAAAAAAGAAAATAATGGATTTCTAGAAGTATAATTGAGAGTTCCATCCAATGAGCATGATTAATGCCAACTTGATCTCCAAAATGTATAGCAATTTATATTTCTACTGATAGTGTGGGAAATGCCCTTATGAATATGTTTTTAATTTTTTGTCAGTCAAAAAGATGGTGAATCGTATTTTACTTTTGTTGTAGTTTCCATTTATTTAATTATAAGCAATGTTAAAACGTCATCTTAAGTGTGTATGTTATCATAGTTCTTTCACATTGTATTACACAATTCATGTAACCCAGATATTTGCTCTTCCTTTTCCCCTAAGGGACAATTCCCTCTAAGTATATTTAGGGAAGTAAAATAGTCCTTCATCTTCCAAGTTATGTGTTCTTCTCACTGTCTCTTTACTTTTGCTAAATCACCTCTCTGCTATGGGACACTTCTCCATTTGTTACTGGTCTCAGCCTGGACAGCATGACTGCAGTTCCCTGGGGATCTTGATGCTTATGCTTCCAAGGGGTTTTACGGGATGGGAGTTGGGGGAGAGGGGGGAATGAGTTGAATTTAGGGTAGGTGTCACATATTTTATGACCCCAGCTCTTACTTCCTTTCATTACAGTTCTACTCAAGATATGGAGGTGGGAGAAGAGAGACTTTTGTTGTAACAAGTAACAAAGATGTAGAAATTGAAATATTTGTATTACTATATTGTTTTAATATACTTCATTAGAAAGCTTCGAAATGTTATGTTGTTAATATTTACTTTTACAGGAGAATATTGTAAGGCTATGTAAATTTTAATTATAAAACAGTTGGAAAACCTCTCATGGAAGAAAGTTCTACACATCAGAGTCTAAACTTAGACTCTCTGGAATTTAGCCAACTTTTCAGCCTGGTATAACTTATCTTTAGAGGGTTTTTAAAAATGTTTGTTGTTACAGGCTCACGCCTGTAATCCTAGCACTTTGGGAGGCTGAGGTGGGCAGATCATGAGGTCAGAAGTTCAAGACCATCCTGACCAACATGGTGAAACCCCATCTCTACTGAAAATATAAAACTTAGCCGGGCGTGGTGTCACATGCCTGTAATCCCAGCTACTTGGGAGGCTGGGGCAGGGGAATTGCTTGAACCTGGGACACAGAGGTTGCAGTGAGTTGAGATCGCACCACTGCTCTCCAGCCTGGGTGACAGAGCAAGACTCCGTCTCAAAAAAAAATTTTTTTTTAATTTAAAATTTAAAAATTTAAACAAATGTTTGTTGTTAATTTAATGCCCATTACTGGCATAAAGTAAATAAACTATGGAAAAGTGAAGAGCTACTTCTTACTCTTATTGGCTCTGTTTGACAAATAGACACAAAGAACCAAAAAATGACTTGTCCATAGTAATATGATCTCAGTGATAGAACTAGAAAGTGACTCCAGGACTTCTTGCCCTCTTTCCTGGTCTCCAGCTGTGTTTAACACTTCCTTCACTTCTCTGAGTCACAGTTTGCTAATATTTTTAAGCTGTTCAACTTAATTTTTTTTTTTTTTTTTTGAGACGGAGTCTTGCTCTTTCACCCAGGCCGGAGTGCAGTGGCGCGATCTCGGATCACTGCAAGCTCCGCCTCCTGGGTTCTCGCCATTCTCCTGCCTCAGCCTCCCAAGTAGCTGGGACTACAGGCACTGGCCACTGCGCCCGGCTAATTTTTTGTATTTTTAATAGAGACAGGGTTTCATTGTGTTAGCCAGGATGGTCTCGATCTCCTAACCTCGTGATCCGCCCGCCTCGGCCTCCCAAAGTGCTGAGATTACAGGCGTGAGCCACTGCGCCCGGCCCAACTTAATTTTTAACAGTTCTGCATTTGTTTACATGACACGTTCCAGAGATATTTACATGGCTGATGACTCAAAAATGGAATCAGAGCAATCATTTGAAGAGAAAACAACACTGGGCTCAGAAGTAAATCTTATTTCAAGAATGAGGTCCCTTGGTAAGAGACAGAACTGTTCATGAGATAGAAATGAGAAGGTGTCAAATTCCCTACTCCTTACTAAGTAACTACTTGCTAATTAGACTCCTAAGTAACCTAATTCACTCTTGCAAACATTTAAATACTGTGTTTCCGTTGTAGTTTAAAAAAAAAGAGGTGCTTGCCAGTAATGTTGATAATGGTGATGAGTTCCCATGGAAAGGCTGGATAGAGTAATGAATAAGCAGATTAACATTAAAGTCAACTGATTGTGTTCAGATGCCAGCTTTGCCATTTATTATTTGTGATTGGGGAAAATAACTTCTGTATGTTTCAGTGTCTTCATCTCTAAAATTAAGACATGTAATTGTGGGTCCGGAATTGGTGGGTTCTTGGTCTCACTGACTTCAAGAATGAAGCCGCAGACCCTCATGGTGAGTGTTACAGCTCTTAAGGTGGGGCATCTGGAGTTGTTCGTTCCTTCTGATGTTTAGATGTGTTCGGAGTTTCTTCTTTCTGGGGGGTTCCTGGTCTCGCTGGCTCAGGAGTGAAGCTGCAGACCTTCGCGGTGAGTGTTACAGCTCTTAAGGCGGTGCATCTGGAGTTGTTCGTTCCTCCCGGTGGGCTCGTGGGCTCGCTGGCTTCAGGAGTGAAGCTGCAGACCTTCGCTGTGAGTGTTACAGCTCATAAAAGCAGTGTGGACCCAAAGAGTGAGCAGTAGCAAGATTTATTGCAAAGAGCAAAAGAACAACACTTCCACAGTATGGAAGGGGACCCCCGCAGGTTGCCACTGCTGGCTCAGGCAGCCTGCTTTTATTCTCTTATCTGGCCCCACCCACATCCTGCTGATTGGTAGAGTGGAGTGGTCTGTTTTGACAGGGCACTGATTGGTGCGTTTACAATTCCTGAGCTAGACACAAAGGTTCTCCACGTCCCCACTAAATTAGCTAGATACAGACTGTCAACACAAAGGTTCTCCAAGGCCCCACCAGAGTAGCTAGATACAGAGTGTCGATTGGTGCATTCACAAACCCTGAGCTAGACACAGGGTGTTGATTGGTGTGTTTACAAACCTTGAGCTAGATACAAAGTGCCGATTGGTGTATTTACAATCCCTGAGCTAGACATAAAGATTCTCCACGTCCCCACCAGACTCAGGAGCCCAGCTGACTTCACCCAGTGGGTCCCGCACTGGGGCTGCAGGTGGAGCTGCCTGCCAGTCCCTCGCCTTGCGCCCGCACTCCTCAGCCCTTGGGTGGTCGATGGGACTGGGCGCCGTGGAGCAGGGGGCGGCGCTCATCGGGGAGGCGCTCATCGGGGAGGCTCGGGCCGCACAGGAGCCCATGGAGAGGGTGGGAGGCTCAGGCAGGGCAGGCTGCAGGTCCCAAGCCCTGCCCCGCGAGAAGGCAGCTAAGGCCCGGTGAGAAATCGAGCGCAGCGCTCTTGAGCTGGCACTGCTGGGGGACCCAGTATACCCTCCGCAGCTGCTGGCCCGGGTGCTAAGCCCCTTATTGCCCGGGGCCGGCAGGGCCGGCAGGCTGCTCCGAGTGCGGGGCCGCCAAGCCCACGCCCACCCGGAACTCCGGCTGACCCGCAAGCACGGCGCGGAGCCCCGGTTCCCGCTCGCGCCTCTCCCTCCACACCTCCCTGCAAGCTGAGGGAGCCGGCTCCGGCCTTGGCCAGACCAGAAAGGGGCTCCCACAGTGCAGCAGTGGGCTGAAGGGCTCCTCAAGTGCCACCAAAGTGGGAGCCCAGGCAGAGGAGGTGCCAAGAGCGAGCGAGGGCTGTGAGGACTGCCAGCACGCTGTCACCTCTCAATTGTATCCACTATAATTCCTGTAAGGATTAAATGAGTATTTGGGTAATAGGTTGATATCTTTTGGTGGCGGGGTAGGGGTGGGAATTAAGTTTGAAAAAAATGAAATTATTGGCTGGGCGCAGTGGCTCACGCCTGTAATCCCAGCACATTGAGAGGCCAAGGAGGGCGGATCACAAGGTCACTAGATCGAGACCATCCTGGCTAACACGGTGAAATCCCGTCTCTACTAAATATACAAAAAATGAGCCGGGCATGATGGCGGGAGCCTGTAGTCCCAGCTACTCGGGAAGCTGAGGCGAGAGAATGGCGTGAACCCGGGAGGCGGAGCTTGCAGTGAGCCGAGATCGCGCCACTGCACTCCAGCCTGGGCGACAGAGTGAGACTGTCTCAAAAAAGAAAGAAAGAAAGAAAGAAAGAAATTATTAAAGTACTAGGAGAAAATGTAAGAGAATTTTATAATCTTGGAGTGCTAAAGGCCTAAGTGTAACACAAGATCCAGAAACCATAAATAAAAATAGTTTGTCAATCTATGCAAAAGTTTATTTTGAATTCTGCTTATCAAAAATACTATAATATAATGAAATATGGTGCAATTCATTGCTCTATAGTAATCATAAGACAATATAGATAAATCTTACATCATGGTGAACAGAAAAAAGACAAACGAAAGGATGTTTTAGTGTACATGATTCCCTATACAATTCCATATAAGCCAGAATTAATTTATTGTGTTAGAAGTAAAGGAAAATATTGTCTTGGGGTATAGGAAAGGCATAGCAATGGAGATGAGGGTTTCAGAGGAGATTTTCGAGCACTGATAATATTTTGTTTTGGTCATTGTTGGAGGTTACACTGATATATTTGACTTATTTCTGTTTCCCGATTGTAATGGGTACACAAATTTATGCATGCATTACAACTCATAGAGCTGTAAATCAAAAATGGAGCTCAATTTTTCTGCATGTAAATTTTAGAATAACAATATTTAGCCAAGAAAACTAATAAATAGGCACAAAATAAAAAAAAGAATGAGGCAGCTCTATATATATTGATATGGGGAGATCTCAGGATTAATTGTTAAGTGAGAAATCTATTGTGTATATAGCATGCTATCATCAGTGTGATTAAAAATTATGTGCATAAGCATATGCTATACACATATGTTAGATTGAATCTCATGGAATTGCTGATTTTTTTTAACTTCAAAAATGGCAATTTTGGTCAGACGCGGTAGCTCACACCTGTAATTCCAGCACTTTGGGCAGCCAAAATGGGTGGATCACTGGAGCCCAAGAGTTTGAGCCTGGCCAATGTAGCAGAACCTTGTCTCTGCAAAAAAATATTTAATTTAGCTGGGTTTGTGGTGTGCACCTGTAGTCACAGCTATTCTGGAGGCCGAGATAGGAGGATCGTTGCTCCAGAGAGGTAGAGGCTGCAGTGAGCTGAGATCACGCCACTGCACCCTATCCTGGGTGACAGAGTGAGACCCTGTCTCAAAAAAAAAAAAAAAAAAAAAGTCTGGGCATAGTGGCGCACGCCTGTAATCCCAGCACTTTGGGAGGCCGAGGTGGGCGGATCACGAGGTCAGGAGCTCGAGACCAGCCTGGCCAACATGGTGAAACCCCGTCTCTACTAAAAATACAAAAATTAGCTGGGTGTGGTGGCGCATGCCTGTAGCCCCAACCCCTCGGGAGGCTGAGGCAGGAGAATTGCTTGAACCTCGGAGGTGGAGGTTTCAGTGAGCGAAGATCATACCACTGCACTCCAGCCTGGGCGACAGAGCAAGACGCAGTCTCATTAAAAAAAAAAAAAAGAAAGAAAAAGAAAAGAAAAGAAAAGAAAAAGAAACCAGTAACAGTAGTTACAACCAGTGATGGAACTAAGCAGATGGCAGGATCAGTGGTGAAGAGACTTATTTTATATACTTTTTACCTTTTGAATTCATAGCCCAAGCATGTAATTCAAAAATTAATTTTAACATGCTAAAGAAGAACTAGGCAATGGACCGATACCATCAAAACTTTAAAGGAAAATTATTTTCAACCTTGAATACTTTTTGAGCCAAATATTCAATCATACATGTCCATAAATGCTTAGGAAAAACATTAAAGCACCAAATGATTAGTTGTGGATAGGTTAACTCTGAACAATGTAATTAATCAGAATCGGGGGGCAGGGGGGAGTGAAAATTTCACTTTTCACTTTGTGTGTTTTTGTATGTTTTGAAAATTTACCTTGGCTGGGCACGGTGGCTCACGCCTGTAATCCCAGCACTTTGGGAGGCTGAGGCGGGTGGATCACGAGGTCAGGAGATCGAGACCATCCTGGCTAACGGTGAAACCCCCGTCTCTACTAAAAATACAAAAAATTAGCCGGGCGTGGTGGTGGGCACCTGTAGTCCCAGCTACTCGGGAGGCTGAGGCAGGAGAATGGTGTGAACCTGGGAGATGGAGCTGGCAGTGAGCTGAGATCGCACCACTGCACTCTAGCCTAGGCGACAGAGCAAGACTCTGTCTCAAAAAAAAAAAAAAAAAAAAAAAAAGAAGAAAATTTACCATGAGAATTTAATACTTTTGTGTAGCCAACATGTAGCTGAGCCCCAAGGGCAGGAGCTATACCCTTCTTGTCGCAATCTTCGAATGAAATCTCCAAAAGAAAACAGACTCTTCCACACACTATTAAAAAATAGATATTTTACTCTTGAATGTAGAATTTCTACAGTCTAGGTTTTCTATAAGGAACAAAGGGCATAGTCTACATTGTATAGTGCACAGTATTTACTGCAAATAATCTTATTAAAAGTATCTTTTCTCCCCGAACAACTCTCCCTGCTGCCCTCTGGGTTGCTGTCTTAATCTTCCCCATGCAGACTTTGGCCTTGTTTGGCTCAGCTTTCTCTACCCAGTACAGGGACTTTGGCCATCTTTATCTCTCCCTTCCTGAAGCAGAGTTTTCTCCGCCCTACCTCTCCTGCGTTCCTGCACTTATCACTGAACCCTGTCCTCATGTTCAGGAAAGGCAATTGTTATGAGGAAGTTACAAGGAAGATTTTGCACTTAGAAAAAAAGGAAAAAAAAATCCTCTTATTACTAACTAGGAATTGCCTCCTGAGGAAGAAGGAAGGAATTTTTTTTTTCTGTCATCAATAATTTTTAAAGGGTAGCACTTAAAATTTAAGAAAATTAAATCTTAAAAAATAAAGTCCTTTTACTGACATTTTCCTAACCATGGAACTTTATTTTCAACACTAAGGATTTTTACAATACTCTTTCTTTTTTTTCTTTCTTTCTTTCCTTCTTTCTTTCTCTTCCCTCTTTATCTCTCTCTCTTACTTTCTTTCTTTCTTCTTTTCTTTCTTTCTTGAGATGGGATCTCATTATATTGCCCAGGCTGGTCTTGAATCCCTGGCCTCAAGTGATCCTCCCACCTCTGCCTCCCAAAGTGCTGGGATTACAGGCATTAGCCGCAAAATCCAGCTGAGGATTATTTGTCTTAAGCAGAGTTTCTGGGGTGCTAGGTTTCCTTCTGCTGGGGTGCTAAGCTCTTATAGGAATGGATGAAGTTCAAGGCATTGGGGCATTATTAAAAGAATTAGGCTTGACTTTTCAACCCAGGTGCGAAAGGACAAGTGTTTCACATTTGAGAGACTGGGATGTTTATGGCTGCACTTTACAGACCTTCAGAGGAGAATCAGCATTTATGCCCTCCTTCAATCAGGGGTAATTCCTCAACAGCTGCCTCCACAGTTCCTGTGGCAGCAGGAAGAGTGTAGGGTCAACCTCTCCTCACACTGGGAGGAGAGTTGGGCCTTTAGTCTCAGCTGAAAGCTCCACCCATGCCATCCCCAAGCCAAACTGTCTTTTCAGCCTGGGAAAGGTGGAGGAGAGGCTTTTCTTCTCATGGGTAGTGATTTCACCCCAGATAGCTCCTGCACCAGTTAGCTCCTCAACAGGGCACACCCAAGAACTGTTCATTCCAGATTCAACCTCCAGAAAACTCCAGAGACACCTCGATTGATAGACATTGTTACATGTGGAACTTCACGTCTGCCCAACACTCTCAGACTCAGTATTGTCTATACTTCAAGCACAATATAATTCTCATCTCCTGTCTTGATCATGGGGCACTTTAAGGGTAATAGATTTTAATACATATACACAAACACTCATGCATTTTCTGAATAAATACATTTTACTTATTTCAGACTTTGAGGATTACATTTCATTACAGAATCATCTTGCAAAAGTCACGCTCAGTAAACTGGTGTCTCTAATGGTCCCAGAAGTGTGTGATTTCAGAATTATATTCTTTCTCCATTTGAAAGGGCATTATTCAGAGTACAATGACCTGCTACTGGCTTGAACAGTCTTTGAGAGAAAAAGACAGTCTCTCTTCTATCTTTTCCTATTATGTATGAAAGAATTGCCTGTCCTCCCAAGGCCAAGGGACAAATGCCATAGCATAGCAGTGTGGGATGACTGTGAAAATATTGACATTTAACAATAGGTGCCAACCACAAACTGTGACAACTCAGCAGCTGGGCCAACCCAGGACAGGTTACAGATGCAGCCAAAAGAAGCTGTGCCCAACTAGTTCCCAGATGAAGAGGTTTCTGCTGTGGGGCAAGTCCTCTGACCCCCACCCCAGGCAACTAGAGGACAGCACTGACTTATTTGTGACTTACTGACAACCAGAGATAATCGCTCATATACAGGGAGATGGGCTGTCCTCTGTAACCTGCCCTTTTCTCTACTCATACAATTTCCCCACAACCCCTAGTGTGGAGGACATCTGCTTTCACAGGAAACTGAATGATGCCTAGGTAAGAGCTCATAGACATCAATCTACTGCCATTGCCTCCCGGTCTCCTCTACTTTCCCCGAGCTACCTTGACTTCAAGGTAATCCACCAAGTCAAGTAGAATTTGCCTGTTTCTCAAATGCTCTCCTTCCCCCTGTTCCCTATTTTCTGATATTTCCATGTATCATCATCAGTTAGGGTCAAATCAGGAAAACATAACTCATACCAGGTAAGGGGAACTAATTAAATTGGTATTGGAAAATCAAACGGATGATTAGCAAGAGCAGGGAGCTGCTACCACCCCTAGGATGAGGAGGGAGAAAGAATACTTGAGAAATAGAAGATTCCTAGGAATGGAGGGAAAGGAAAATAGAGTCCTAGGTATAGATGGAGAGATTGGCCTTAGGTGGAAAGAGACAGATCCTCTATGAAAACAGGAGGGAATAAGAGAAGATATATGCAGAAACAGGAAGTTTAAGGTCCAATAATTTTGCTAAATCCTTTTGATCAACGTTAAACAGATTTTACTTCATATAGCTTTCTTCTGCTGATGCTTTTTTTTTAAAAGACAGCATCTTGGCTGGGCGCAGTGGCTCACGCCTGTAATCCCAGCACTTTGGGAGGCCAAGGTGGGTGGATCACGAGGTCAGGAGATCGAGACCATCCTGGCTAACATTGGTGAAACCCCATCTCTACTAAAAATACAAAAAATTAGCCGGGCGTGGTGGTGGGCACCTGTAGTCCCAGCTACTCGGGAGGCTGAGGGAGGAGAATGGCATGAACCCGGGAAGTGGAGCTTGCAGTGAGCCAAGATTGCGGCACTGCACTCCAGCCTGGGTGACAGAGCGAGACTCCATCTCAAAAAAAAAAAAAAAAAAAAAAAAAAAAAGACAGCATCTCGCTCTGTTGCCCAGGCTGGAGTGCAGTAACGTGATCTTGGCTCACTGCAGCCTTGAATTTTGGGCTCAGGTGATCCTCCCACTTCAGCCTCCTGAGTAGCTGGGACTATAGGTGCGCACCACCATGCCCAACCAACATTTTAATTTTTGTAGAGACCAGGTCTCTACAAGCCCAGGCTGGCCTTGAACTTCTGGGCTCAGGTGATCCTCCCACCTGGGCCTCCAAAAGTGCTGGGATTATAGGCATGAGCCACTGCACCTGCCCCTTATAGAGTTCTTAACTGCTTCCTTCAGAATCTTTAGTATACTAACATATATTGGAAATCATTCAGAGTCTTCCCAATCATAACTGACCACAGAACCCCTTTTCATGAATCACCTAGGGGTCTTGTTTTCTGGAAGACATTCCTTGAAAAACACTGACTTACCCAATATATGCCTGGACTTTCCTAGCTATTAAATGGAGACAATAAGATCTTATCTGACTATAATTACTTCATTGTGATGTTGTAAACATAAGTTTGAAAAACATATACATTTCATTAATAAGTTCTCAGTGTAGAGATTCAAGTAAGGAAAAGCAATTTCCATCAACATTTATAGTCTAGGTGGTCATCTAGAACAGACTGTTATCTGGGAAACCTCCAAGGGTGGCATTTAATCACCTTCTGAATTTACCAAAGCTTGCAGACTCAGAAGCTGTTTCCTCAAAACACTGACAGCAGACATCTCTCAGAAGTAAGTGCACATGGACCAGCATCTCCAGATAGAGACATAAACTAAAATTTATTAATTTACAACAATGAGAGCTACCTCTGTCACATTATTTATGGTAGCCTTACTCATGCATTCAGGAGTATTTATTGATTGTCAATTACATGCTGGGCCATGAAATGGGTATAAGATGCAGGCAGCACTAATCAGTGTCCTCCAGGGATGCGATACACAAATCTCTTCCTGCTGGCATTCCCCTCCCATCACCCCCCAGGACCAAACCAGTGATGGAACGGGGCAGTGAGGACCTGACCTGAGCTGCCCGAGCTGCATGATAGCATGTGACTCAGGCTGCTAGGGAAATTAAAGGTGGTGTAAAGTTCTGTCTGCAGTAAGAGAAGAAAAGGTGAATATACCAAAAAAAAGTTGTGACAAACTGGTTTGGGAACTGAATGGAGAGAGAGTCTGGTTGACCATGAGTCCAGAGTTCAAGTCTCTGAGACCCTAGATTCTTGGGCTCTTCCTTCCACCCTCTAAACTAGCCCAGGATCCTTCCCAGTTATCTGAATCAAAAAAATCTCTTTCTGCGTAAGCTGGTTTTACTCAGGTTTCTGTCGTTTGTAACTGACAAAGTCCCAACTTCTATACCTGACATGCAACTTGTTTGGATCAAGCAAATTTGAAGTCATTTAGAGCAGCTGGTATTTCCTCATGATGCGTGAACCTCAACAAAGAAGATGAAAGAGACAGGTTAGGCAGGGAGGCTTTTAAGTCTAACGTCTGCAAAATCTGAGAAAAAGGACTAAAGAATGGCATTTTCCTTTGTGGCTTTATAAAGCACAGTGTTGCCCCTTTACAAATAGAAGAATAAGGCTGGGCACGTTGGCTCATGCCTGTAAACCCAGCACTTTGGGAGACTGAGGCAGGGGGATCACCTGAGGTCAGGAGTTCAAGACCAGCCTGGTCAACATGGTGAAACCCCATCTCTACTAAAAAATACAAAAATTAGCTGGGCATGGTGGCGGGTGCCTATAATCCCAGCTACTTGGGAGGCTGAGGCAGGGAGAATTGCTTGAACCCAGGAGGCAGAGGTTGCAGTGAGCCAAGATCGTGCCACTGCACTCCAGACTGGGCGACAGAGCGAGACTCCGTTTCAAAAATAAAACAAATAAGAAGGATAGAATTGTGCCAGTCTTTTAAACGTTTGATTGCAGAACCAGTTAGTACCAGCCTGCCAGCCTGTTTCCTCAGTGTCTGTCCACACCTGGGTTTACCATGTTCTCAGCTGCGCCCCAGCCTCCCACCCCCAGGCCCAATCATAGCCTGTTAAGAAAGCATTTGACTAGCTCTTACCTCACAAGCTATGCATCAGCATGGATTACTCTATTCTAGTTGCAGTGACCCAGTTCTGATAATTGAGCTCTAGTCTCAACAGGATCACATCCAGCATCCCCATGTGTTCCAATTACTTGGCTTCTGCCTTCTCTTTATTTCTAAATTCTTATTCTCATACTCTGCCTAGTACCTCATTCTGCCTCCTCCTTTATGGACTATAGATTTGCTCCTTCCCTCAGGCCAGGGGCCAGCATCTAGCCACCCTCTTTCCAATCTCCCTGGATTGTGCTCATCCTGAAGTCCTATCTTTCTACCATGCTTATTTATTTATTATTTTTTTTTTGATACGGAGTCTTGCTCTGTCGCCCAGGCTAGAGTGCAATGGCATGTTCTCGGCTCACTGCAACCTCCGCCTCCTGGGTTCAAGCAATTCTCCTGCCTCAGCCTCCCTAGTAGCTGGGATTATAGGCATGCGTCACCACACCCAGATAAATTTTGTATTTTTAGTAGAGACAGGGTTTCACCATATTGGTCAAGCTGGTCCCGAACTCCTGACCTCATGATTCGCCCACTTCAGCCTCCCAAAGTGCTGGGATTACGGTCGTGAGCCACCATACCCAGCCTAACCATGCTTATTTTTAACAGTTTCAGGAGGCTCAATTAATGACCTTCTACTTTCAAGTTCTGAACCAATTGAGAGAGAAACACAGAAGTCAAACAGATGGCGAACAAAGTAACAGTTTTAGAACTGACAAGAATTATATGGAAGGCCAGGCGCAGTGGTTCACACCTGTAATCCCAGCACTTTGGGAGGCTGAGGTGGGAGAATCACTTGGGCTCAGTAATTCAAGACCAGCCTGGGCAACATGACAAAACCCCATCTCTACAAAAAATACAAAAATCAGCCGGGCATGGTGGCATGCACCTGTAATCCCAGCTACTTGGGGGCTGAGGCAGGAGGATCACTTGAACCTGGGAGATCAAGGCTGCAGTGAGCCGAGATCATACCACTGCACGCCAGCCTGGGTAACAAAGTGAGACCCTGTCTCAAAAAAATAAAAATTAAAAAATAAATAAATAAGTAAGAATGATGTGGGAGTAAGCAGCTTGTTGTATGGTCCATATATTTGCTAGTAATCTTCATTCCAGACTTAAACTAACCATGCAGAAGATGTGGAGGCAGAGTGTGCTGTCCCAGTATCTGTGTCCTGATGATGGTCCTCGGGCTTAGGCTAAGCAGCAGGCTGCCAGCACTATGTCCAAATCACCCAGCCCCCAGTGACAACTGCCCTTGTGGTCATCTAATGCCTTAGTTGGGTAACCCCAGAAGCAGATGCTGAGAGTGCAAGGAGTTCATTTGAGAGACAAAGAAGGAGGGGAATTGAGAAAGTATAGGAAAGGCAGCCAAATAAAGGAGGCATGGGCATTACCCAGCCAATCACCATGAGGACAAATGGAGCTCAATCATGATAGGAAACTCTGGGAGCCAGTGTAGACTCGTGCTCAGGTATCCCACCCAAGGAATGAGGAGCTTTGGTATTTATACACTAACTTCCATTAATCATTAGCTGAAGTCTACTGGGAGCTGTGGGGAGGAACAGTAATTCCTGGACATCTGCAGCTTGCCACACAGGTGAGCAAAGTGGGCTTCAGTGACCAGAGAACAGCCCTTAGCCAAAGTTGCAGGTGTCAGCAGTTGGAAGTTGGGCTGGTGTGCCCTGAGGGGTTATGTGGTTTAGCCTCTGGATTCTATCTTTGACCTCAAGGAGAAGAATCTGAATGAGAAGCTCCTCTGCTTCCTGCTCAAGGGTGACTATGACTCAGGCTCATAGTTACTTCTCCTGCACCCCCAACCCCCTCCTGCTTACCCCCCAGGACCAAACCAGTGATGGAACAGGGCAGTGAGGACCTGACCTGAGCTGAACCAGCAGCTGTTGCTCTGGTAGCAGCTACTGGGAGGCCATGGCTATGAAATCTGAGGACTTCCCTCCAGACAAGAAGGGACTGAGGGAAGTCCTGATCAAAGGACTGAGAAGGAAGGTAAAGATTAGGCATTTCCCATAGTAAGTTGTGAAGCAAAAGGAAATATTTCTAAAGTAGCAATAATAGACAGGGCGCAGTGGCTCAAGCCTGTAATCCCAGCACTTTGGAAGGCAAAGTGGGAGGATCAGTTGAACCCAGGAGTTTGAGACCAGCCTGGGCAACAAAGCGAGACCCCATCTCTACAAAAAATAAAAAAATTAGATGGCCGTGATGGTGCACACTTGTAGTCCCAGCTACTTGGAAGGCTGAGGCAAGAGGATCACTTGAGCCCAGGAGGTCAAGGTTGCACCTATGATTGCATCACTGCACTCTAGCCTGGGCAACAGAGCAAGACCCTGTCTCAAAAAAATAAAAATAAATACTATTGATAGCACAATAAGGTGACTATAGTCAATAATAACTTAATTGTATATTTTAAGACTATAATTGGATTGTTTGTAACTCAAAGGATAAATGCTTGAGGGAATGGATACCCCATTCCCCATGATGTGCTTATTTCACATCGCACGCCTGTATCAAAACATCTCATGTACCCCATAAATATATACAGCTACGATGTACCCACAAAAATTTTTTGAAGTCATAAAAAAATAAATAAAATTAAAATAAAGTAGCAATAACCAAAAACAAATTGTGGTCAACCATGTAAGAGGAAAGACTGAATTACCTTCTATTCTCTTTCTAGAAGATGGCGTTACAAAGTTGGTGTCATATGAAGAGATAACCAAAGAGTAGACAGACATAAAACATAGGAAAACATATTATAGAAGTGAGATGGGCAAGGTGGTTGGATTTCAAACCGTGCCAGATTACAGGCCACCCCGGGCACAGTGGTTCACGCCTGTAATCCCAGCACTTTGGGAGGCCAAGGCAAGTAGACCACTTGAGTCCAGGAGTTTGAGACCACCCTGGGCAACATGGTGAGACGCCCCCCCTCTACAAAAAATACAAAAAATTAGCCTGGTGTGGTGGTACGTGTCTGTGGTTCTAGCTACTCGGGAGGCTGAGGCAGGAGAATCGCTTGAGCCTGGGATAGGGAGGTTGCAGCGATCTGGATTCTGAGACTGCACCACTGCACTCCAGCCTGGGTGACAGAGTAAGACCTTGACTCAAAAAAAAAAAAAAAAAAAAGTGAGATGAACGTAGTGAAAAAGTGAAAATATAAACCCTCTTCTTTCTTTTTTGTATGACACAGTGGCTGGATGAGACAGTTCCAGTGGCAGCTTCAAGTTCTGTCCAGAGTCAGACCTCTGTCCCCACCAGTTCTCTTTGACATTCAGGCACTTTTTTCTAGTTCTTACTCATTGCACCAAGTCCCTTTCTCCCTTTGAGCCTGCTCTCTGAGCCTCCATTGTCTGCAATCTGAGCATCACTGGAGTGACTCACCTATCAGATATGTTTATATAGTTGGTATGTGTCTGAACTCTAGGGATTGTTAAGAAATAAAGGTGCTCCTTAGGAGCAATCTCAGGAGATTCTAAATTCCCAACGTGGATTAGCAAAAAAGGAGTGTTATCTAACCTCTCTGCCAATAGCATTGCATGCAGCTCATGTCTACTTACATACCATGGGTAGTAGTCACAATTGGTACTCTCTCCAGATACCTTTACCTGATGGTGAGTTTGGGGCTGCTATGACTGATGTGGCTAACGACTTTACCTATGAGCTTCTGTAGTCACTGAGCACTTGGCATGTGACTAAAGAACTGAGCTTTAAATTTTAACTCCTTTTAATTAATTTAAATTTAAATAGCTACATGTGGCTAATGGCTGCCATACTGAACAATACAGCTCCAGAACCGCCCATGGATCAGTCCAAAGCTAGACTTTGCATGCAACCACATCCTTGCTCATCTCTTTCCTTTTTCCTTCTCTATTTCACCTCCTGCTTTACTAATCTCCTGAGAGCATGACCTCAATAAATCATGTGCACTCAAATCCCTGTCTCAGACTCAACTTCTAGGGAACCCACCTGAGACACTGTGTTACAATTATTTAACAGTGAATTACAGAAAGCTTAAACCTTGAATCAAAAGTGCACATAAAAATTCAATGCCAGTCAGAATGTTTTTAGCAGAAGGTATAAAAGAGTCCCAAGCCCAACTGTCTTAAACAAAGAAATGTGTTATTCTGCACCTACGAGTCCAAGAATAGGACAGCTCCAGGGTTGGGTAATTCCATGGCTCAATGACACTTTCAAGAACCAAGTTCTTTCCATCTTGCTGCTCTGTCATTCTGCTGGGCAGGCTTCATTTGGGGGCTAGCTTTCCCCTTCTTGTTGCAAGGTGACTGCCCTAGTGCCAGCCTTCATATCTGGATACAACCATACTCAGAATAAGAAAAGACCATCTTTTCTTGTATGTCTTTTATTAGGAGCAAGAAAATCTTTCCCAGAAACCCCCTGCAGATTTATCCTCCATTTACTGGTCAGAGCTGCATCGCATGGCCTTGTCTAAACCAGTCCCTGCAAAGGGAAATGGGAAGACCATGATTGCCTTTGAACAATCAGGATCTACTCCCTGGGTCTGTGGCCAGCCTCTCCTGAAGCACATGGTTGAGCAGAGAAGGGTGGGTACCTAAACACAACATACCATCTGTTGTAGGGGTTGGGAAGCTGGATAAAATGAGTGTTTGGTAACCACAGTATCGGCTGGTCACAGTTTCTCATGCCTGTAATCCCAGCACTTTGGGAGGCTAAGGCGGGCGGATTGCTTGAACCCAGGAGTTCAAGACCATCCTGGGCAGTATGGTAAAACCTCACCTCTATTTTATAAAAAAAGAAAATTAAAAAAAAATTAAAAGATAACCACAGTATCAATTACACGTTTCTTTAGGCCAGCTTGTACAATGTGTTCTTTGAACCACCTACCCGAAGATCATTTAGGGGGCTTGTTAACATGCAGATTCTGAGGCCCAAAGCATTGTCTGATACATGTCAGGAGCTTAAAAGATACTTGTTGGTGAAATACTTTCTGGGAAGCCAAAAATAAAAATAAAAATAAAAATAAAAGAGATTTTTCGGAAGGAAGGAAGGGAAGGAAAGAGAGAGACCTTTTGAGTTAGAATCACCTGGCCAGGCACATTGGCTCATGCCTGTAATCCTAGCACTTGGGAGGCCAAGGTGAGCAGATCCCTTGAGGTCAGGGGTTCGAGACCAGCCTGGCCAATATGGCGAAACCCTATCTCTACTAAAAGTATAAAAAAATTAGCTGGGTGTGGGTGCACGCCTGTAATCCAGCTACTCAGGAGGCTGATGAAAGAGAATTGCTTGAACCCAGGAGGCAGAGGTTGCAGTGAGCCAAGATCACGCTCCTGCACTCTAGCCTGAGACTCTGTCTCAAAAAAAAAAAAAAAAAAAAAAAAGAATCACCTGCAGATGGTTTTTCTACTCAGTAATGCTGGAGAACCACTCACTTAAGCTGAAAACTAAAAATTCACCTTCAGTCCCTTCATTACCAGTCTCTTGGCAGAAGGGATGAAGAATGTGATCATGTTGCCACACGTATGCTGCTTTGCTCTAAAACTCTCAGTGATGTCAAGATGACAAGGGTGCTTATCAGTTGTACTTAACATACATTATTTATATGGCTTTCAGCTTTACTTGCTGAATCCAGGATTCCTGTTACAGCACCTCATGAAAAATAAATGAATGTGATAATGGCTTCCACTTTGTGGAGTAATATATTGAAAAACCATCTAAGAAGTTTGTGAAAAGCAGCATCTGGGATCATTTTTTTTTAATGCAATAAAAGATCTTGGAGGTGATTTTGGCATATAAAAAGCAGCTGTCACCAACAGGAAAGCCTAGCTGTTTATCTTCTGGACTCTAAATGGAGTCTGATAGAATGCTCACTCTCCAGTTAACTAACATTAATTGCCAGGGGAAAGGGAGCTTGAGAAGGGAGGAACTAGCTTTTTTTGTTTTGTTTTGTTTTGTTTTGAGGCAGAGTCTCACTCTGTCACCGAGGTTGGAGTACAGGGGTGCCATCTCGTCTCACCGCAACTTCTGCCTCCTGGGTTCAAGTGATTCTCATGCCTCAGCCTCCCAAGTAGCTGGGATTACAGCCATGTGCTAACATGTCCAGCTAATTTTTTGTATTTATAGTATCATGGGATTCTTTTTTTTTCTTTTTTTCTTTTTTTTTTTTTTTTTTGAGACGGAGTCTCACTCTGTCCCCCAGGCTGGAGTGCAATGGCACGATCTTGGCTCACTGCAACCTCCTGGGTTCAAGAGATTCTCCTGCCTCAGTAGCTGGGATTACAGGCGCATGCCACCACACCTGGCTAATTTTTGTATCTGCAGTAGAGATGGGGTTTCACCATATTGGTCAGGCTGGTCTCGACCTCCTGTCTTCGTGATCCACTTGCCTCGGCCTCCCAATGTGCTGGGATTACAGGCGTGAGTCACCACACCCGGCCTGTATCATGGGATTCTTGGGGTGTCACTTCACCAGCTGGAAACTTCTGAGGCCAGTGGCTTTTTTTGCCTGAGTTTTGCTCAGGCCCACTGGGCTTATTCTGGCTGCTCAGCCTGGCAGGCTGTACTCATATTGCACTATTGGCCTGGAGCCCACTGCCTGCCAATGGCAAGCCAGGCATGGAGCAGCAAGGGGTGTGTGAGCAACTGTAGGGTCTGGCCATTGCGCACAATCAGGCACACCAGCTATGGCAGAGTGGGCAGCTCCAGGTGCTGGCATGGGTCCCAGCTCCCTGGGAGGCTGCAGCTGGGCCAGGCATACTGCAAGCAGCTTCCATGGCTGGCACCAGGGAACACAGTGGTGCCCTGAAGCTTGGAGATGCCAGGAACCCCAGAGTTCCAAAGAGGGTGTCACAGCCCTGGCTCAGGGAGCTCCTAGGTCTGGGCTCCCCAATGGGCCACAGCTCTTCTCTCCCTCTCTCTTCTCTCCTTCTTGTCACCTGCAATGTGGCAAGCAAGAGGCATGTTTCAGCCCTGTTTGTGTTACAGCTCTTTTAGCCCTGCCATTTGGTGGGTCCCAAGTTCTTGTCCTGTGTCCAGAAAGAATGAGGTATGCAGACAAATGGAGGGTGAGCAAGGCAAAAAGGAGCTTTATTGAGTGACAGTATAGCTCAGAGGAGACCGGCATTGGGTAGCTCCTCTCCACAGGCAAGATGTCCTGATGAGCATTCAGCTCACAGCAGAGAGGAGAACCTGGAGTGGGTAGCTCCTCTCTGCAGCTAGTCGTCCCATTGTATCTTCAGCTCTCAGCCAACAGGAGTCCCTGGGGTCGGTAGCTCCTCTCCACCACTGGTAGTCCTGTCATCTCCCCAAGTCTGCCTGAGTCTGGGGTTTTTATGGGCTTCAGAGCAGAGGACGTGCATGCTGATTGGTCCATGGGCAGCCATGGGCAGGCCCAGGAAAAGCACCACAAGTTTCCACTCTGGTCCATGGGACCAACAGCCTGGCCATCAGGCTTCAGGCTCTCCCCAGCTTGAAGGTGGAGCTTCACTGGAGACCTGCCCTCTTCCGCCCAGGAGCCTCTCTGCCTCTTGCTGCAGCTCATGGCATGCCAGGCTGTTTGTGCGGAAGGGCGCCTGCAGACCAGCAATGAGCTGCCCTCAGCCCCCACCTCAGCCTCCCTCTCGTACTGATCAGTGCCCAAAGTCCAGAGGGGGCCAAGGCAGCAGGGGGCTGCTGTGTCACAACCTGGCTGGGCTGTGACAGCACCCAGGCTTGACCCCAACCTTGCTCCAAGATCGGAGTGGGTGCCAGGAGCAGAGAGAGTCCAGGAAGTGGGAACAGACACCTCTGAGTCTGCAGGGGCAGGGGGGCCCTTCCTGGCCCCAGAGAGTGCAGAGATGCCTGGGTCTGCAGCTGCAGTTTGGGCAGCTGCGGCTGCGCCCAGGAGGGTGGGGCTCTTGCCTGCTTCCTGCAGAGACAAGAACTTAACTTTTCACTGTGACTTTTTGTAACCTGAATGCTTTGGCCTAGTTAAAAGATAATTATCTATTTTAAATGTAGACAGATATAGTGACTCTAAAATCAAGACAGGTTAGTTAAGCCATCCCAGTATGAAATTCGCCTTGTGCCTGCATTTGGGGGAGTAAATTCCAAAACAGGCTGTTCTTCAGCACTGGAATCTTTCCTTGATATCATAACTGCAATTCGTTTAAGTTGCTTTGTAAAGAGAATCCAATCATGTAGAGACTTATTGAACTTAGTGGGCAGGGTAACAAATGAGAGAACACTTGTCATATGTAAAGCTCCATGCCTCTAACTAGGAAAGAAAAAAATCTACTTTGTGGTTCAGAGGTGACAAATGCAATAAGTTTCTAATGTGGTTTCCACTATGCAGTCTTACTGCTCTCATGATTTTTAGGTCTTTGGTCTGGGAGGATAGGGATGGGAGGACGGAATAATTAGATGATTCTCCACTCCAGAATAGATGCTGCAAGTTGGTGTGTCCCAAATGTCAGTGGGACATACATATCTCTGGGGTTACATAAGGGGATTTTAGGTGCTCCTTGGCATTTCCTAAGTATGATCTGCCTTTCATGGTGACCCTTTTCCTCTACTGCCCTTTAGGGGAAAGGGCTTGCCAGTTCTGGACAAGGCCAGCAGAGAGAAACATGCTTGCAGGACTACTCAGAATGGTGGCTTCTTCTGCTAATGGAGGCCTGGTGAGAAAAGACTGTCTCAACACCTCAGTCAGGGTCAGCGGAGGAGTGACCTTCCCTGCCCCAGGGCCAGTTCGATGTGTGAGCCTTGGAGCTGATGGAGGGAGGGAGAAGGCATCATGCTACCTGCCTCCTCTGGGTCTGATGCTGCAAGTGATGGTGCAGTTGGATATGTGGAAAATGTTATCCTAGATGATGTATAATTCTCTGCAAATTATAAAGCTTAAGGTAATCATATACCACTCTACAACTCATTTAAATGAGTTGAATATTGGTTGAATACATTTCTTTTTCTCTTTTTTTTTTTGAGACAGAGTTTTGCTCTGTCACCCAGGCTGGAGTGCAGTGGCACGATCTCAGCTCACTGTAACCTCCGCCTCCTGGGTTCAAGCGATTCTCCTGCCTCAGCCTCCCAAGTAGCTGGGACTACAGGCATGTGCCACCACTCCTGGCTAATTTTTGTATTTTTAGTAGAGACAGGGTTTCATTATGTTGGCCAGGCTGGTCTCAAACTCCTGACTTCAGGTGATCCATCCGCCTCAGTCTCCCAAAGTGCTGCGATTACAGGCGTGAGCCACCGCGTCTGGCCAGAATACATTTCTTAAATTATTTTCAGATACCTTCCCAGAACCTGTCAAGTTATGAGAAGGCTCAGGGCTACTGAGCTGATAGTCTCAAGTTTTCTATATTGGTCACATAACATTAACTACTTAACCACCTAGGTTCCGGGCTGTCTACTTATTTCAGACTCATGTTTCTGAAATAAACATGGCTCTCTTTCTATGGCCCTGGCCTCAGGCTTGCTGCTGGCCATTTTCAACCAAAGTTCCCTCTGTAGTGCTGTTCTGCGGACAGCAACAGAACAGATATCATCAGGCAGGGGCAGTGACAGCCAGATATTAAGAGATGACCAGCCCTGGCTGGGCGCTGTGGCTCACACCTGGAATCCTAACATTTTGGGAGGCCAAGGCAGGTGGATCACCTGAGGTCAGGAGTTCGAGACCAGCCTGGCCAACATGGTGAAACACCATCCCTACTAAAAATACAAAAATTAGCCAGATGTGGTGGCATGCACCTGTAGTCCCAGCTGCTCAGAAGGCTGAGGCAGGAGAATTGCTTGAACCTGGAAGGCGGAGGTTGCAGTGAGCTGAGATTGTGTCACTGCACTCCAGCCTAGGCAAGAGAACGAGGCTCCATCTTAAAAAACAAACAAACAAACAAACAAACAAACAGAGATGACCAGCCCAAAGGTAATGAACAGACAAGGGAGTTGAAAGTTACCAAAGAGACACACGGATCAAGTCTGCAGAAGACAGAGCGTAGAGTCCTGGATTAGATGATAGAATCCAGATTCAATGAGGGCTCAGTTAGCTAGAATGTGAGTCCAAACTGACAAGAGGAAAATTTAAAGGAATACAATTTTACCTGCTTTTGCTTTTGGTATCACCATGCCATAGGCATTGATGGAAGACACTTGGCCTGGGAGCAATTTTATGTGAAAAATATCTTGGGGTTTCGATCAGACAACCCAAATGTAAGCCTGGACTGTTAATACAGGACTAAGGAGAATGGGATATAATGAATCTCTTGAACTCTTTTTTGTTTTTTTTTCCAGACAGGGTCTCACTCTGTTACCCAGGCTGGAGTGCAGTGGCCCGATCTTGGCTCACTGCAGCCTTGACTTCCCAGGCTCAAGGGATCTGCCTGCCTCGGCCTCCCAAAGTGCTGGGATTATAAGCATGAGCCACTGTGCTCGGCCTGGATTCCTTGAATACTACACTTCAGACTACACCTGGGATATTTGGGTCCTGGTCTGACTATAATGACTGAGATGAGATATGAGCAGAAGGTATACAGATCCTCTTTCCTGGTCACCCATTTCCCACATGCTGTTGAGCGTCAGCTGCTAACCCTCCTGAGAACTGCCCTTGCCCAAATGGGAACCACTTCACTCAGGAAGGTTTCCTCGAACACCCCTCACCCCCAGAGCCAATGACTGAGTGTCACAGTATACAAGACTGAACCCCTTGCCTCAAGGTGAGACTCACTCTGTAGCACCACTCAGGATCCAGAGCTCCCCGTGGCATCAGGCTGGGCTGGTCTCTGGCTAAACTGCATCCTTGCTTAGCTCCGCCCTCTTGCCCATCCTGTTTCCCTGGCTTCCCTACAGGTTTCCCCTGTGGCCACTCCCCAGTAAATCACTTGCACCAGCATCCCTGTCTCAGATCCTGGATGATGAATGAAGGCTCTGGGAATCATTCAGGGAGAGATAAAGAAGCTAAAATATTTAGGAAAAAAGATTTAGGGAAATATGATAAGCAGCTGCCTTCAATTTTTTTTTTTTTTTTAGAATTAGAGGGCTGGGTGCAGTGGCTCACACCAGTAATCCCAACACTTTGGGAGACCAAGGCAGGAGGATTGCTTGAGCCCAGGAGTTTAAGACCAGTTTGGGCAACATAGCTAGACCCTCTCTCTACAAAAAATAATTTTAAAAATCAGCCAGGCAGGACAGGTATGGTGGCTTACATCTGCAATCCCAGCACTTTGGAAGACTGAGGCAGATGGATTACTTAAGGTCAGGAGTTCAAGAATAGCCTGGGCAACATGGCGAAACCTCATCTCTACTAAAAATACGAAAATTAGCCAGCGTGTTGGTGCACGCTTGTAATCGCAGCTGCTTGGGAAGCTGAGACAGGAGAATCACTTGAACCTGGGAGCTGGAGGTTGCAGTGAGCCAATATTGTGCCACTGTACTCTAGCCTGGGTGACAGAGTGAGACTCTGTCTCAAAAATAATAATAATAATAATAAATTAGCCAGGCGTGGTGGCACACACCCATGGTCCTAACTACTTGAGAGGCTAGCTAGGAGCTAGCCCAGGAGTTTGAAGCTGCAGTGAACTATGATCACGCCATTGCACTCCAGCCTAGGCAACAGACCAAGATCCTGTCCCCACCCCCCCCCAAAAAAAATTAGAAAGTAGAAAAAGAATTGTATAGAAATGGAATAAAAGCAGAATTTGACTCAGTTTCAGAAAGAACTTTCTAATAAGCAAAGCTTTACACCATAGGTATAGCCTGTCTTGTAGAATAATTGGAAACCTGTCATCGGAAATATTTACACAGAATCCAGAGGACCTTCCTACATCATCTGGTGAGTCACTGGACTGACCAAAGGCACACTGTGAATGTTATTACTCCAAGTGGCCACAAGATGGCAGCAGCAGAGAACGTCCCACAGGTGATTAAGTAGAAAATTCTAGTTTCCAGAATTTTTTTTTTTTTTTTTTTTTTGAGACAGAGTCTCACTCTGTTGCCCAGGCTGGAGTGCAGTGGCACAGCCTCGGCTCACTGCAACCTCCACCTCCTGGGTTCAAGCGATTCTCCTGCCTCAGCCTCCCGAGTGGCTGGGATTACAGGCGCCCACGACCATGCCCCGCTAATTTTTGTATTTTTAGTAGAGATGGGGTTTCACTATGTTGGCCAGGCTGGCCTCGAACTCCTGGCCTCAGGTGATCCACCCGCCTCAGCTTCCCAAAGTGCTGGGATTACAGGCATGAGCCACTACGCCCAGCCGTTTCCACAAATTTGATTCCAAACTCTAACCATGATGATAGGTGTTATGTCCATTATTATAAGCCCTTATAGATTTATGATACACAAAACTGAGAAAGTAAAAACATTTCCCCCAAATTTGTATCTTACTATTAGAAAAAAAGGAAACTGAAGGCCGGGTGAGGTGGATCATGCCTGTAATCCCATCACTTTGGGAGGCTGAGGCAGGTGGATCACCTGAGGTCAGGAGTTCCAGACCAGCCTGGGCAACATGGCAAAACCGTCTCTCTACTAAAAATACAAAAATTAGCCAGGCATGGTGGTGCACACCTGTAATCCCAGCTACTCAGGGGGCTGAGGCAGGAAAATCGCTTGAACCCAGGAGGCGGAGGTTGCAGTGAGCCAATATTATACCACTGCACTTGGGCAACAGAGCAAGACTCTGTCTCAAAAAAAAAAAAAAAAAAAAAAAGAATCTCAGAGGTAGAAAGAGGTAAGCCCTGATCAGTGAGGTTTATCCTGATTCAGAGAAAATGTGCTTCTTACATTCTGATCATGATGCTACTTCCATCTGACTGCACAATTTCCAGGCCCAATCATTGTGTACCTTCCAAGAGAGGGAGTCTGTATTTGAAATAGCCTCAATAATGAGGCCACACATTAGGCTCAGCCTATGTTGGCTTATGGTTCTCACAGAAAAAATTATCCACACTGCTAGTCTTCTTCCTGCACCAACCTCAAAGTCTACAGAAAGATGTCCCAGCACTGGGAGCTTGAATAACACCTCTACTGGGGAACCGAAATATACCAGTGATTCAATGAAGCAGATTAATATCAGAGTTCTGTTTGCAACCCTGAGGCCAGTCAATCCTACCAGCCCTTGCCTCCATCTGTGGTAGCCAGCCTCCAAGATGGCCCCCTATGATCTTTTCCTCCTGATATCTATGCCCTTGTATCATCCCCATCACACTGAATCATGGCTAGTCTGTGTGAATGACAAGATATGTAGAAGTAATGGTGCATTTCTTCTAAGACTAGGCCATTAAAGACACTTGCAGCTTCTTCTGCCATTCTCTCTTGGATCATTCACTGTGGAGGAAACCAGCTGCCATATTGTGAGGACACTCAAGCAGCCCTATGGAGAGGTCCTCATGGGGAAGAACTGAGGCTTCCTGCCAATGGCCAGCAGTTTGCCAACCACATGAGGTCCTCTAGCCCCATTCAAGCCTTCAGATGGCCACAGCCCCAAGTAACATCATAAGAGACCCCAGGTCTAAACTGCCCAGATCTGCTTCTCCTGAATTCCTGACGCACTGAATCTGAGTTAATGTTTATTTTTGTTTTAAGCTACTATGTTGTTTTGTTTTGTTTGTTTTTGAGACAGGGTCTTGCTCCAGGCTAGAGTGCAGTGGCACAGTCTCGGCTCACTGCAACCTCCACCTCCTGGGTTCAAGTGATTCTCATGCCTCAGCCTCCCAGTGAGCTGGGATTACAGGCACTTGTCACCACACACAGCTAAATTTTTTGTATTTTTAATAGAGATGTGGTTTTGCTATGTTGGCCAGGCTGGTCTTGAACTCCTGCCCTCAAGTCATCTATCTGCCTCGGCCTCCCAAAGTACTGGGATTTACAGGTGTGAGCCACTGGGCCCGGCTTAAGCTACTAAGTTTTAAAGTAATTTGATATGCAGCAATAGGTAACTAATACAACACCCAAAATGCCACCATCCCTGACCATATACACTCTCTTCTCACTTTCCTCTCTATACTCTGGCCACTCTCCTTACTATTCTGGTTAAGTAATAATAACCTGCTAACTTTGAAACTTAATAGATATTTTCCAGACCTTGCATTACTGCATCTCTCTGCATAATTTTTACGATGGGAAGAATCTTCTTGAAAATTCCTATTCTCTGACTTCCTTGACACTGTTCTGACCTGGCTCTCCTGATTTTCTCATTCAGGTCTTCCTGTCTGAATGAGAAAATCATTCAGGTTTTCTCCTGAATTGTTCTCCTGAATGATTTTTTCATTCACGTCTTTCTCCTTCAAAGATGCTCCTCTTCCACATGCTACCTAAAATGTTGGCCTTGCATCAAATTCGATTCCTGTTCTCTCCTTTTGACCCTGAACCAACTCCTTGGGTTATCTTGCTGTTCCCCTAGCTCCAATGACCATCACTTCGAAGATGACCACCAAATCCATCTCTCCAGCCCACATTGCACTCCTGAACCTCATACCCTTAAATCCACCTACCCACAGGCAGTGGTGTGCTGGAGCCTGCTCACACCAACTTGTGAGAGCCAACAGTGCACATCTCTTCTCAACTCTATATTTAGCAATGCCACATTGGCAGCTTGAATACCAACGGTGGGAGTGTTGATGTTGTGGAATTCAACAAATGCTGCAAATCGGAACTTTTTCCACTGAGAGCCAGTTGATAAACATTTACCAGCACACCACTGCTCTTACCAGATGCTTCTGCCTTCTGTGTCCCATAAATACCTCAATTCAACATGTCCCAAGCATGTCCCAAAATGTATTTTCTCATTCATTCAAAAATACTGGCTGAGCGTGTTGGCTCACGCCTGTAATCCCAACACTTTAGGAGGCTGAGGCAGGTGAATCACCTGAGGTCAGGACTTCAAGACCAGCCTGGCCAACACGGTGAAATCTTGTCTCTACAAAAATACAAAAATCAGCCGGGCATGAAGGCAGGTGCCTGTAATCCAAGATATTTGGGAGGCTGAGGCAGGAAAATTGCTTGAATCCGGGAGGCAGAGGTTGCAGTGAGCTGAGGTGGTGCCATTGCACTCCAGCCTGGGCAACAGAGCAAGACTCTGTCTCAAAAAATAAAAAATTATAACTGTTTTTTCAAGTTCTGCGTGAAGGATAAATATTCTCTGCCTTCAATAAACTTATTCTCTGTTGGAGGAGGCAGAAAGGTTCAACAGGCAATCTCAATAGCATAGTAAATGCTGTCTCATGCGTCCTTGCGAAGAGACCACCAAACAGGCTTTGTGTGAGCAACAAGGCTGTTTATTTCACCTGGGTACAGGTGGGCTGAGTCAGAAAAAAGAGTCATCAAAGGGCGCTGGGATTATCATTAGTTCTTATAGGTTTGGGATAGGCATACAAAGTACCTTCTTAAGGGCGGGGGAGAATATATCTTCTCAGTTAGGGTAGGGCAGATGACAATGGTGGAATGTCATCAGTTAAGGCTATTTTTACTTCTTTTGTGGATCTTCATTTGCTTCAGGCCATCTGGATGTATAAATGCAGGTCACAGGGGATATGATGGCTTAGCTTGGGTTCAGAGGCCTGACATTCCTGTCTTCATGTATTAATAAGAAAAACAAAACAAAATAGTGGTGAAGTGTTGGTGTGGCAAAAATTTTTGGGGTGGTATGGAGAGATAATGGGCAATGTTTCTCAGGGCTGCTCCAAGTGGGATTGGGGTGGTGTGAGAACCTAGAGTGGGAGAGATTAAACTGAAGAAATATTTTGGGGTAAGGGGTGATATTGTGGAGTTGTTAGAAGGAGCATTTGTCATATAGAATTATTGGTGATGGCCTGAATGTGGTTTTGTATGAATTGAGAAACTAAATGACAGACACAACTTCTGAATAAGAGAAGGAGAAAAACAAGTATTAAAGGACTAAGAATTGGGAGAACCCAGGACATCCAATTAGAGAGTGCCCAAGGGGGTTCAGCATAATTATATTCTTAGTTGACGAGTTTTGGGGCTCTATCCTTGAGTTTTTTTATGTTGTCATATACCAGGCCAGATTGATTAAGGTAAAAACAACACTCTTCATTTAAAAATATACAGAGTCCTCCCTTTTCAGCAGTGAGTAAATTGAGGCCTTGGTGATTTTGGAGGAAAGAGAAATGCAAAGCCAGCAATTGTTTGTTAAAGAAGGATTAGAAATAGCTAGGAGAGAGTGAGTGAAATTGATAGTGTGGTGGAGATAGCTGGGGAGAGGTAGAGGGTGGCAATAAGAATGGGAACAAGAATAAGAGTGAGTATAAAAGTAAAGAATAGGACTTCATCAGGGTGAAAGTGTTGGAATGTGTCCTGTCAGCAAAGATCATCTATCCACTCCAAGAGGGAGTCAAGAGTGGAGGACTGGGGATAGATATTCACGATGGAAAGGAAATGAGAGGTTTGAAGAGGCAGACTAACGGCTTGTAACCTACCGTGGAAGAGGTTATGAAATGACAACAGAATAGAATGGGCATGTGAGGCTGGAAGGAGATATTTTCCTTGGTCCAAGAACAATTTGCCTTGTGCGGGAAGAGATTGATAGGTGGAAACTTCAGTAGGAGAGTAAATAGGAGTGACCAATTAGAAGGAGAAAAACTGGCCATGAGGGACAGAAGTTGGAACACTAGGTGCTTCTTTAGCTACCTTATCAGCATAAGCGTTGCCCTGAGCAATGGGATCTGATGTCTTTTAGTGGCCCTTGCAGTGTATGACTCCAGCTTTCTTGGGAAGTAAAGCGGCCTTGAGAAGAGTTTTTATTAAAGAGGCATTAATGATGGAGGACCCTTGCATAGTGAGGAAACCTCTTTCAGCCCATATAACAGCATGGTGGTGCAGGATATGGAAGGCATATTTACAGTCTGTATAAATATTGATGCATAATTCCTTTGCAAGAGTGAGTGTTCGAGTTAAGGCAATGAATTTGGCTTGCTGAGAGGTAGTGGAGGAGGGCAGAGTGGTAGCCTCAGTGATAGATATGGAAGATACTATAGCATAGCCTGCCTTTGCTGGTGAGTGGCGGTTAGGCCTGGTGGAACTGCCATCAATAAACCAAGTGTGATCAGGGTGAGGAACATGAAAGAAGGAAATACGGGGAAATGGAGTGAATGTCAGGTGGATCAGAGAGATACAGTCATGGGGGTGGGGGCCAGCCAAAAAGAGTAAGGTCAAGTTGTTTGGACAGAAAGGCTACAGGGTGCAGTCCCAGCTCTTGTGTAAGAATTTTGACTGCACAGCCCTGTACTTTGGCTGTGTGTAATGAAAAGGGTTGGGATGAGTTAGGGAGAGCTAGTGTGGGGGCAGCTTCTAGGGCTGTTTTTAAGGAACAGAAAGAGGAGTGGTGAAAGGATTTAGGATCTATGGGGTCAGCTAGGTTTGGTTTTGTGAGTTTATATAATGGTTTTATTAGGATGGCAAAACCAGGTATCTAAAGGTGAAAGTATCCAACCATGCCTAGGAAGGAAAGGAGTTGTTGTTTTGTAGAAGGGGTTGGGGTTTGGGAGATTAGCCAGACACAATCAGCAGGGAGAGCACGTGTGTTTTCATGAAGAACTATGTCGAGATAGGTAATGGATGAGGAAGAAATTTGGGCTTGACTGAAGTAATGGGGGCTGTCCGTGAAGCCTTGTGGCAGTACAGCCCAGGTAATTTGCTGAGCCTGATGGGTGTCAGGGTCAGTCCAAGTGAAAGCAAAGAGAGGCTGGGATGAAGGGTGCAAGGAATAGTAAAGAAAGCATGTTTGAGATCCAGAACAGAATAATGGGTTATGGAGGGGTTGTGGAGGGAGGTACTGAGGATAGGAGAGTATATGGCTTTGGCACCATGGGGTGGATAGGCAAGACAATTTGGTTGATAAACGCAGATCCTGAACTAACCTGTGAGACTTGTCCAGTTTTTGGACAGGTAAAATGGGGGAATTGTAAGGAGAGTTTATAGGCTTTAAAAGGCCATGCTGTAACAGGCAAGTGATAACAGGCTTTAATCCTTTTAAAGCGTGCTGTGGGATGGGATATTGGCACTGAGCAGGGTAAGGGTGATTAGATTTTAATAGGATGGTAAGGGGTGCATCATCCATCGCCAAGGAGGGAGTAGAGGTGTCCTACACTTGTGGATTAAGGTGGGGAGATACAAGGAGAGGATGTGCAGGAGGCATTGAACTGGGGCAAAAGGCAGTAGTGAGGTGTGGCTTTAACCCAGGAATAGTCAGGGAAGCAGATAATTTAGTTACAATGTTTTGAACTAATAAGCGAGCTGGGCAGGTGGGATAACTAAAAAGGAGTTCATTAAAGAATGTTGTCCAAGTTGGCACCAGAGTTGGGGAGTTTTAAGAGGTTTAGAAGCCTGGCTGTCAATACTCACAACAGTTATGGAGGCAAGGGAAACAGGCCCTTGAAAAGAAGGTGCTTGCCCCCGCAGGAAAGTGGAAATGGGGTGGGAGGTGCTTGCCCCCCAGGAAAGTGGAAAAGGGGTGGGAGGTGCTTGCCCCCCAGGAAAGTGGAAAAGGGGCAGAGACATGGAGAGAAGGGGTGGGGGGTACTTGCCCCCCTAGGAAAATGGAAAAGGGGCAGAGACACGGAGAGAAGGGGTGGGAGGTTCTTGCCCCCCAGGAAAGTGGAAAAGGGGCAGAGACACAGAGAGAAGGGGTGGGGGGTGCTTGCCCCCCAGGAAAGTGGAGAGAAAAGAGAGGGTAGAGACACGGAGAGAAGGGGTGACATGAGCAGCCCTGGGCTGCAATGTGGGTGAGCAGCCAAAGCAATTGTCCCTACAATTAACTTGCCACCAAGGGAATGTGGGTGAATGACCAAGTTAGGCATCCCCACGGAGATCAGACACCAACGGAATGTGGGTGAATAATCAGGCAGGCATCCCCACAATGATTAAACACCAAGGGAAGGCTGTGTTCCTGAGTCTGTGACCTGTGCCGGAGTTTTGGGTCCACAGATAAAATGTGTCTCCTTTGTCTCTACCAGAAAATGAAAGGAATTGAAATTAAGAGAAGGGAGAGACTGAAGGGTGGTGCCAAGATTGAAAGGAAAAGAGGTTGAGGGATAGTGAGAGAGGTTGGAGAAGAGAGTAGAAAGAGGCCGCTTACCCGATTTAAAATAGGTGAGATGTTCCTTAGGCTGGTTGGTCTGAGGACCCAAGGTCGTAGGTGGATCTCTTCACAGAGTGAGGGTGAGGATGGGGGACTGGTCTCCCAAAGGAGTCCCGCTGACCCAGGTCTTCGGCACCAAATGTCTCATGCGTCCCTATGAAGAGACCACCAAACAGGCTTTGTGTGAGCAACAAGGCTGTTTATTTTACCTGGGTGTAGGCGGGCTGAGTCCAAAAAAGGAGTCAGCAAAGGGTGGTGGGATTAGCATTAGTGCTTTTTTTTTTTTTTTTTTTTGGGACAGAGTCTTGCTCTGTCACCCAGGCTGGAGTGCAGTGGCACAATCTCGGCTCACTGCAAGCTCTGCCTCCCAGGTTCTCCTGCCATTCTCCTGCCTCAGCCTCCAGAGTAGCTGGGACTACAGGCGCCTGCCACCACACCTGGCTAATTTTTTGTATTTTTTTAGTGGAGATGGGTTTTTACCCTGTTAGCCAGGATGGTCTCGATCTCCTGACCTCACGATCCACCCGCCTCGGGGCCTCCCAAAGTGCTGAGATTAGAGGTGTGAACCACCGCACCCGGCCGGGATTATCATTAGTTCTTATAGGTTTGGGATAGGCATACAAAGTACCTTCTTAAGGGCAGGGGGAAAATATTACAAAGTACCTTCTTAAGGGTGTGGGAGAATATTACAAAGTACCTTCTTAAAGGTGGGGGAGAATATATCTTTTCAGTTAGCTCCAGCTGGAGTAAGCACTAGATGTTCCAGCTGTAGATGCACTAGATGCTCCAGCTGGAGTAAGCACTAGATGTTCATGGAGCACAGAGCAGGGGAAGACTTGAAAGGGGGTGTCTCATCTCAGCCAAGACCTGAAGGATTGACAGGAAGTTTCCAGGCAAAGGAAGAACTACAGAAAGGCTCAGTGTTAAGAACAAGCACCCCATGTTTGGGGAGCTGCAAATGCTTCAGGTAGAGATGCGCTTGGTATGAGACAAGCAAGGTCAGCTCAGAAAGGCTTGACAAGTCCTGATAATTGCTTCGGGCTATTCCTGAGGGTAGTAGGAAGTTTTTCAAGGATTTTAAAGGACTTGATATGCTTTGTGGAACACTCACTGCAGTTGTAGTCTTGGAAGGGGGCTAAATAGACCCACTCCCTCCTTTGAGAGACTTTCGTCATTTTGGCTTCCAGGAAAACATACACTACAGTTTTTGTCCTACTACCTGTGTTCATTCCTTTGCTGGCCTCTTGTCTTCTCCCCGATTGTTCATGATGGTGGGTCCCAGGGCTTCCACTTTTTTTTCCTCCAATCTACTTCCAATACGGCAGCCAGATTTAAAACATGAGGCAGGTCAGTCCTTTCTCTGCTCAGGACTCTCCAATGGCTTGCTGTTCTACTCAGAGTAAAAGTCAAAGTTCTTACAGTGGTCCCCGAGTCCCTACATGATTGGTCTCACTTTTCTCTCCACCACCAGCTCACTCTGCTGCAGCCACCCTGTCCTGCTTACTGTCTTCTGTACACACCAGGAATGCTTCCACCTCAGGGCCTTTGTGCTGGCTCATCTGTCTGCCCAGAATCCTCTTTGCCCAGATATCCTGTGGTTCCATCCCTGATCTTCAAGTCTCTGTTCAAATGTCGCCTTCTCAATGAGACTTTTCCTGACTGCCCCATTTAAAATTGCAACATTTCCTTCTAGCCTGACACTTCTGATACCCATTTCCCATTCCCTTTTCTTTCTTTCTTTGTAGCCCTTATAACCTTTTAACATCTTATATAATCTCTGTATTTGTTATTTTTATAGCTTATTGACTCTTACTCCCACTAGGTTGTAAATTCCACAGAGATGGAGCTCTTGGTGTCTTGTTCACTGATACGATCCAAATATCTCTTAGGATGTTTCCAGCTACATCCTGAGGCTTTCCCCAAGGATTCCCCTCTACCTGGAGGGGACTGTTCCCAAGTCCCTGAGCCCAGAAGATCCCTCAGAGACCATATAACCTGGAGATCATAAAGTTGCCTAAGACATAGCTGATTATGAAGGAGAGAACCCTGGAATTTAAGCAGATAAGGTGGATGTGGAGTTGACTGAACATTTCCCAGCTTTGTGATCTTGGGCAAGTCACCCCACCTCACTGAGATTCAATTTCTTTGCCTGTGAAATGAGGTTAATATTTGTCCCTCCTACCTTGCAGTGTGTGGTGGAAGTGTGGCCTTTTAGTTTAAATCCCTATGCTTTAGCAGGGCTCGATGGCTCACACCTGTAATCCCAGCGCTTTCAGAGGCCCAGGTGGGTGGATCACCTGAGGTCAGGAGTTTGAGACCAGCCTGGTCAACATGGTGAAACCCTTTTTCTACTAAAATTACAAAAATTAGCCAGGTGTTGTGGTGGGTGCCTGTAATCCCAGCTACTCGGGAGGCTGAGTCAGGAGAATCGCTTGAACCCAGGAGGCAGAGGTTGCAGTGAGCCAAGATCCAGCCACTGCACTCCAGTCTGGGTAACAGAGCAAGACTCCATCCCCAATAAATAAATAAATAAATAAATAAATAAATAAATAAATAAATCCCTATGCTTCAATATCCTAAGGAAAAGACCCACCTGCAGTTTATGATAACACAATGGCTATGTCTATATTTGTGCCAATTGGCCTTGAAGATAAAATGTCAGCTGTGGGGGAGGATATATTTGTGTTTAAAATTCAGAGATCCTGAGAGCATCAGGATGAGGTGGAGAAAGCGTGAGATTATGGTATTACAGACAGAATGGGCAATATTCACAAGGTGGAGGAGGAACGTTCATGCCATGGTCAGGGGCTACTGATAGGGGAAACCCAGGCATTGAGAGGATTAACCACTTTCCAGAAGTCCTAATAGACCCTTGGTGGACTCTAGGATTTTCAAGTCCCAGGCCAGCACTTTCCCCATCACTGTCTTCTCGAAGAGTGATAAATGAAGTTGTTTTCATAATACAGTGACATTTTCAGGTCCATTTCCTCAGACTCACTGGGTACTTCATGGACCATCACACTCCTGTTTGAGCATCTGGGCTGCATCTGCATCCAGTTTCCAAGGGTCTTGTCAGAACAGGAGGTAAACCCAGGTTATTGTCCCAATTTTGCCAGTCACTTGGGTCCCTGACTATTCCACAGCTCTGAGTCATAGATCACCATTTCTCTTTTAACCTAGTGGTAGAAGTTTATGCCTGTTGGATCATTGCTTTTATATCTTGTTAGCTTTGTCTAGGATTTATTAGTCTGTAATTTCAGATTGGGCCCCAGGGGTATTTCTGAATATAACTGTGTGTTTTGTGTGTGGGTGGGTATGCATGCAGGGATAATCTATGGCTTTAAATCTGAAGTTTAACTGGAAATAATAATAATTACTAATTAACAATGTGGATTTATATAAAATGTTATTGATGAAAATAATAGCAGCAGCCATCATTTATTGAGTGCTTATTATGTGCCAGCCACCATATTAATTTGAGGTAGGGACCATTTAAGGGTAAGAAAATCAACCACACAACATCAGTGATGGAGCTAGGATTCAAACCCAGGCTGACCAAAGAGTTCACTCTATTCTTTGCAATTACTGCATCCTCAAACAATCCCCTCCTCCACGGCTCTTGTTTTTCTTCAGTAATGGTTCCCAACTCTTTGCTGCCTGGACACACTAGACAGATGATATTTGGCCAGCATAACCCACTTCTGAGGCCCAGCTCCAATTTTTAGTGCATCCTGCCAACTTGTCTGTTGGCTGGCTCTACCTCCATCTGCAGCTCTCACGACTACGGCCCAGCAGTGTATCCAACAACATTGTGTGAACCTCTGCTCTAGGAGAAAGGCCATACCCTCCAGTCCACTCTGGCTCCACTCCACATCCCCCTCCTAACTTCTCATACCTCCCCCTTTGGAATCTCCCCTTGAGTTAGGCCAAGCAGAGTTCTGGAGAGGCCTTACAGATGATGTTCTCCTGGACTGGGATAAGTTCTGCATCCTTTTCAGCTACTCATGCCAGTTCACGTTCCTACATTTTCCAGGAACCCTTGTTGTACCAAGCAGGGTTCTCAGGTTGCCAATCACAGAAGCAGACCCTTAAAAGACCTTATTGGAATGATATGGGAAAGCTCACAGAATTTACAGAATCTGAGCCGGCAGGCCCCAGGAAGAGCAGTTAGGGGACCTGAGGTGTCCAAGTAGCAGGAGTTAATGGGAGGTCCCTTCAGAGAGCTTCCATCCGGGATAGATTTTCCACCCTTATGTTCCTGTACTCAAGATTCAAATCCCGGCCGGGTGGGGTGGCTCACGCTTGTAATCCCAGCACTTTGGGAGGCCGAGGCAGGAGGATCACGTGAGGTCAGGAGTTTGAAACCAGCCTGGCCAACATGGTAAAACTCAGTCTCTACTAAAAATACAAAAATTAGCCAGGGTCGGGGCGCGCGCCTGTAGTCCCAGCTACTCCGGAGGCTGAGGCAGGAGAATCACGAACCCGGGAGGCGGAGGTTGCAGTGAGCCAAGATCATGCCGCTGCACTCCAGCCCGGACGATGACAGAGCGAGACACCGTCTCAAAAAAAAAAAAAAAAAAAAAGATTCAAATCCTTGGAAGAGAGAGTGTGAATGGCCTAGTTTGGGTCTCTGGGCCACACATACCCATCGACCACAGCACTTTAATTCATAGTCCCGGCCAGGCACGGTGGCTCACGCCTGTAATCCCAGCACTTTGGGAGGCCGAGACGGGTGGATCACAAGGTCAGGAGATCGAGACCATCCTGGCTAACACGGTGAAACCCCGTCTGCACTAAAAATACAAAAAATTAGCCGGGCGTGGTGGCCGGCGCCTGTAGTCCCAGGTACTCTGGAGGCTGAGGCAGGAGAATGGCGTGAACCCGGGAGGCGGAGCTTGCAGTGAGCCGAGATCGCGCACTGCACTCCAGCCTGGAAGACAGCGAGACTCGGTCTCAAAAAAAAAAAAAAAAAAAAAAAAAATGCATAGTTCCGCCAAGTCCACCCACATGCAACTAGTTGGGGACAGTTTCTTAAAGGATAATTACAGTGCTGCAACAAGGCTGGGCGCAGTGGTTCAAACCTGTAATCCCAGCACTTTGGGAGGCCAAGGAGGGCAGATTACTTGATGTCAGGAGTTTGAGACCAGCCTGGCCAATATGGTAAAACCCCGTCTCTACTAAAAATACAAAAATTAGCCAGGAATGGTGGTGCACACCTGTAATCCCAGCTACTTGGGAGGCTGGGACACGAGAATCGCTTGAACCCAGGAGGTGGAGGTTGCAGTCAGCCAAGATCGTGCCACCACACTCCAGCCTGGGTAACAGAGTGAGACCTTCCCTCAAAAAAAAAAAAAAAAAAAAAAGTGCTGCTACCAGAAGAGGGGAGAAGGGATGCTGAGCAGGCTGGACACTAAGGCCACAGCCTTCTCTCCCTTCTCTCAAGCCTTAGATTCACACTGCTATTTTCCCTATTGATGGCCTCTCACTGACCTGCCTCACCTAGGGTTGTTATTTAAACGTGTGCTGCGAAATGCCTGTCATAGCCATCATTGTGCTTGCTTCAGAGCACATATGTTACCTTCCCCCAAAGTTGAGAAACTCCTGGGAGGCAAGAGCTGAGGCTCCTAAGTCCACAGGTTTGCTCGGAGCCAAACTATGGGCCAATTAACAGGTTTTAGGGACTGGCTGAGTGACCAGCTGCATGTTTGTATGTTGGGTGGAAGAGCGGGATACCAAGACAGTGAGGTAAGTGGGAAGCTTTCCCTGGAGAACTTTTTAACCCCCAGAATACACCTATTTTCCAGTGAAAGCAACTAAGTCAAGAGGTTCTGGGAGAATTAGTTAAAAGAATTGCAGCTCAAGACTGGCTCCATTAGGCCAGGTTCTTCTAGACTTCCACCATGGTCATATACACTTCTGAAAACTGTCACTGCCATTAAATCTCCCGTTACGATTCTTTTTTCCCTCTTAGTTTCTTATTAAGAGCCTTTATGGGGGCTGTGTGCCGTGGCTCACACCTGTAATCCCAGTGCTTTGGGAGGCCAAGGTGGGAGGAATACTTGAGGCTAGGAGTTTGAGACCAGCCTGGGCAACATAGTGAGACTCCATTTATATATATTATATATATATATACATATATACACATATATATGTATATATATATATAAATTTTTTTTTAATTTAGCAGCACAAGGATTGCTTGAGCCCGGGAGTTTGAGGCTGCAGTAAGCTATGATCATGCCACTGCACTCCAGCCTGGGCAAAAGAGTGAGACCCTGTCTCTAAAAACAAACAACAAAAACAAACAGAAAAAAAAGAAGGCTCTTATAAAAAAACATTGGCTTTCCCTCTGCTAACCTGCAGTTTGGGAAAGAGCCTGGATAAAGATTGAGGACATGTGGCAACTGGGACCCACTCTGCCCTTAACTGCTTAGCTGCTCATTCAGTCAACAAATAAACACTGAGAACCTACTATGTGTCAGGCATTGTTCAAGACACTGCTAGGGATACAGTGGTGAACCAAAGATACCAAATCTTCTTAATTTCTTTTCTTTCTCGGAGATAGGAGGCCTTTATCAGCTCTCATGGCTTTTTCAGAGCTATCATTCCAGAATTATATGAATGAAGGAAAAACAATTTTCTCTCTCTCATTCAAGGCAAAGGGGTATTCAAGGTGCCTCAGGAGGTAAAGCAAGTGGTGACATTTTCTTGGAAATAGTTCAGAATCTGGATGGATGGAGAGAGAGAGATTACATAATGAAAAGCCCACAAATGTTGGTTCATTGCTGGCACACAGTGAACACAGTGAACTCTTACTAAGTATCTGTTTGGTGGATGAATCATGTGGGAAAAAGAAGGGGACTTAATGGGTGGCTGCAGGGAGAATTTCCTCACTGTGACTCGAGACCCTCACATGTGCCTCTTTGCCTCTATCCTGTCTTGGGAGTACTGCTCCTTCCGTAACTCCCCCATCTCCTCAGGCATTTGGACCCCAGCGTTCCGGGCCTGAGAGTCCAGAATTTCCACTCTCTGTGATACAAAGAAGAGGCCCTGGCTCATTATTGACTATAACCCTAGGGTTTTTCCTCTTAAGAGGGAAACCTTCCCTCTCTTAATCTTCCGGGTCTTCCTAAGAGGAAAGAATGTTTGCTTCCTAGGCACCTAATATAAACTCCCTTAATGGGTTTAAGCCTGGGGTCACAGAATCAAGTGCACACAGAAAGAGGCCAGGCAGGTAATGTCAATTGTGACAGACAATAAGGAATGCTGGGGACTGTGGTGACCTGGAGAGCTGAGCCTCATGTGAACAGCATCATACTTTAAAAAAGTACTGTGTGGGCCAAAACAGTGGCACTCATGTGTGGGTGTTCGAAGATCAGTGAACTATCAGTTTATGGCATCTATTATTAGAAACAAGCCAGAAAAACTTGTCAACTTTTCATTCTTCTCTCTGCGGCATGTCTCCCTGAGACCACATGGCTGCTTGAATGGAGGGAAAGAAGAGGAGGACATGCCAATCGGAGAATGTAGGTTAATATCTTCAATAGTATTCTACCATACCCACATTTGGCTTGGATAGAACGTTTTCTTGGGCTAAACTCCATAAAATTCCTATAGAGGCACAATTACTGACTCAAACAAAAGCTGCCTTTGACTATTGAGAGAGGAGTGTCTAGGTCAGAAGGATCAATTTTCTGATGAATCAGTGAGCAATTCTGAGTGGAACTAATCAGGCTTGTGTTGTGTCACCCTTTATTTATAACCCATGGTTCAGTGATCTGAAATCTGACCACTCCTCCTCTGACTTCCCCCGACCTCCTTCTACTTTCCTAACATGTGTGCAAATGTACCACATGTATACACACACAGAGAAATACAAAGATGAAGAAAAGCATTTTTCAGAAACAAGAAGGCTCAGAGAGATGTTAGAGCCTTCCTGACAGTACTGGAAACAACAAAAGATGCAAGGGTGTGACGGCCAGTGGAAGTAATTTAACTCCTGTGCCTCCAGGGAATCACAAGGTCTCAGGAAAACAGCCATGAGTAACAAATTAGCTCCCCAGCAAGGCAAATTCCTGGAGGATTAAAGACAGGGAGTGATCCCAGCAACATTTCTAGTTACTAATGCCTAGGGATAGGAAGGGCAATCAATTAATTTTTCCCTCAGGATTCCAACTGAGGTTGTCCCATAAAGTATTGGGTCATATTTCCAAAGCCACGTTAGGTCAGGCCTTGGTTACCCATCACATTAGTTAAGGTTATATTGGTTTCAGGGAAGAAAAGGAAACTTTGGCTGACTTAAACAAAAAGGAGGATTATTGGGAAGCTCCTGTGGGCTTTGATGAAATCAAAAAGAAAGCTGGATAACCACAGCTCAGCAAGGGAAGAAACTGAGCACCAGGAGTTCATGGTTGTGTTGCCATTGATATGATTCTGTTTCAGTGTGCCCAGGCTCTCTGGTTCTTTGGGATAAAAGGATCTCATGGGCCCTATGACTTAGCTTGGGTTCCCCAAAGGCAGAGGGATTCTGTTGTGATGTACGGGGAGAGTGCTCTCAGGAGAAATCCATTAAGGGAGTGAGGGAAGCAGGGTGGTACAGGAGACAGAGCTAAGCAAGCCTAGCCTCAGCCTGATCCGGTGGTGGGACCTGGAGAGTGAATGACATGACTGAGTTATCCCACTTTGAAGCAATGGTGTTCCTCTCCCTCGAGGGGGAGAACATACTTTCTCAAGCATTTTTGGGAAGATGATTCAATAGCAAAGCCACCTGTGAGGTGTTCATAGCCAACATTCACAGCAGCTGGGGGATGGTGCACTGCCTAGTCAAGGAGATCTGGGTAGAGCACCAACAGAATCCACTGCTCCTGGCTTGGGTAAGGTGTCCACTCAAGAGCAATTAGCCATTGAGAGAGAGGCAAAACCTTGAAGTCTAGACATGGCAGCAGGGCTATTTCCAGAGGAAAGTGTACAAGAGTGATGGGAAGTTATACCAAATGGTGTCCATAGTACCCACTTGAATAACTTCTACTGAAAATGCTCTCCTGGCCAGTATGTACAACTGGCCAGGTGTTTCTTCCTCAGTAAGAAGAGTATTTCCCAGGCACTTAACATAATCTCCTTTTTTTTTGTTTTTCTCACGTCAGTCAGGTAATATGTCAACATGGTAACAAGGTTCGAGGGTGGCTCATCTCACACGTGGGCAGGAACACCCAATCATCATGCTCATGAACTACAAAAGGATCATCTCTGTTTTTTTAAAAATCTCTCAAACATTGTTTATTATACAAGTAAACCCCAATTCTCATGATGGGCTTATTGGTAGGATTTCTGGTAGCAAGCATGGGTACCAGCGTCTCTTAATTTTTTGGATTAGTGGTGGTGGAGGTCAGCCACCAGCAGGATCTGGTCGTACTGTATGAGGATGTCTTTGATCTTTGTCTTTGATCTCCTCCTTGGAAAACTCATCCATATACTTCTGGTAATAGGACACCAGGGCTTTGAGGCTGGACTGATGGATAGCATATATCTAGGCCATGTGATCACCACCCTTCACATGGACACGTCCATGCCAGCAAATCACTCCTTGTCTGGAAGCAGAACTGGTTCCAGCAGCTCATATATTGGTATGTATAGCTCGATCATCTCCAGGGGCCGCCTGTTCACCTTGATTGCTGCGTTTGCAGTGTGCCACAGCTGTGGCTGTCTTCTTGCATCTGAAGACCTGCACAAAGTGCAATGAGCCCTTGGAAAGAATGGCTACAGGTATAGATAAGAACTCCTCTCTTTTTTTTCTTTTTGAGACAGGGTCTTGCTTTGTTGCCCAGGCTGGAATGCAGTGGGGCAATCTCAGCTCACTACAACCTCTGCCTCCTGTGTTCAACGAATTCTCCTACCTTGGCCCCCGAGTAGCTGGGATTACAGGTGCCTGCCAGGAAGCCCAGCTAATTTTTGTATTTTTGGTAGAGATGGGGTTTCACCATGTTGGCCAGGCTGTCTTTTTTTTTTTTTTTTTTTTAACATAATCTTAATAGGGAGCTCTCCAGTTTAACCACAGTCCTTGACACTCCCTACTGTCTACCACAATTGATCATATGATAGAATCTTTCTGTGTGCATTTGAGTTTGTGGCCCCAGGCCTAAACCCATTAAGGAAGAGTATTTTAGGTGCCTGGGTACATAAGTAGAAGTGGAATTTATGGATTCTGGGGCATGAATGTGTTCAGCTTTAGTGTATATTGCTGAAGAGTTCTCCAACATGGTTGTATCATTTGATACTGCTTTTAACAATGTATGAAAGTAGGCTGGGCACAGTGGCTCATGCCTGTAATCCCAGCACTGTAGGAGGCTGAGGCGGGCAGATCACCTGAAGTCAGGAGTTCAAGACCAGCCTGGTCAACGTGATGAAACCCCATCTCTACTAAAAAAATACAAAAATTAGCCAGGCGTGGTGGTGCATGCCTGTAATCCCAGCTATTTGGGAGGCTGAGGCAGGAGAATTGCTAGATCCTGGGAGACAGAGGTTGCAGTTAGCCAAGATCATGCCACTGCATTCCAGCCTGGGCAACAGAGCAAGAGACTGTCCCAAAACAAACAAACAAACAATGTATGAAATTTCCACTTGCCCCACATCCTTACCAGAACTTGGTATTGTCTGTCTTTTTCATTTTACCTATTCTAGTAGATACGCAGTATTATCTCATGGTGGTTTTAATTTGTATCTCTAGGCCGGGCATGGTGGTTCACACCTGTAATCTCAGCACTCTGGGAGGCTGAGGCAGATGGATCACTAGGAGTTTGAGACCAGCCTGGGCAACATGGCGAAAACCTATCTCTCCTAAAAATAAAAGGAAATTAGCTGGCTACAGTGGCACATGCCTGTAGTTCTAGCTACCTGGGAGGCTGAGGTGGGAGAATCACTTGAGCATGGGAGGTGGAGGCTGCAATGAGCCATGATCTTGCCACTGCACTCCAACTTGGGTGACAGAGTGAGACCCTGTCTCAAAAAAAAAAAAAAAAAAAAAGAAAGAAAAGTATTTGGCATCTGCCTAATAAGTAATGAAGTCAAGCACTATTTGATGTCTTTTCTTGTTGGTTCAGGTAAACTGTTTATGAATTCTGTATATCAGGTGAACTGTTTATGAATTCTGTATATGAATATACAAAGCTCTTGGCCTGGTATGGTGGCTCATGCCTATAATCCCAACACTTTGGGAGGCTGATTCGGGACAATGGCTTGAGGCCAGGAATTCGAGGTTACAGTAAGCTATGATAGTGCTACTGCACTCCAGCCGGTGTGACAGAGCGAGACCTTGTCTCTTAAGAAAAAAAAAAAATTCTTTAACTCAAAAAAACCAAATCCTCTGCACTGTGGCCAATGAATAATTTTATGGCAGATGGGTCTTTTGCCCCTCGTTTTATACTAATATATAATTATTACATATTGAACATAATACTGAAGCCCAGTATATTCACCCGTTTGGTGAAGTTGAGATTATAGCCCATGTTTCCTGACAAGCTGTGCACACATCTGTTGGTTCTCCTCGGCCTGGCATCCCTTAATCCTACTTACCTCTCCTTTCTTCCTTCTCCATTTCAACCATGGGACTCCAGGGAGGTTACCAATCACATTATTCCCTCCCTTTGGCTACGTGGCCATAAACTGGGCCCATCAATTTATTTCTCCATAAAACTTGAAACTCCAATGAAAGCCTCTTGAAGTCTCATAGATGTGCCCTGAGAGCAGGCCCAGGGTCACCTGCTGGTAAGGACCTGGAGCTTCCCAGTTTCCTGTCCTTCCAAAGGTCATGATCTCTATCTCTTCCCTCAGTTCTGGAACTACTCAAGAATCCTTTTTCCAATAAACCCCTTCTTCCCTTAGTCAGAGTCAGTTTCTATTGTGTGTTAGTCAGAGAACTAATATAATCCCAATTCTCTTTTTTTCTGCCACCATCAATGAGCAAAATGGGAAATTTTTAAATTATTTAATTGCATTATACTTATTCATATTTTATTTATTACATTTTGTAAATAAGATTTTCGTGGCCGGGTGCCATGGCTCATGCCTGTAATCCCAGCACTTTGGGAGGCTGAGGTGGGCGGATCATCTGAGGTCAGGAGTTCGAGATCAGCCTGGCCAACATGGTGAAACCCTGTCTCTAAAAAAATATAAAAATTAGCTGGGCATGGTGGTGTGCACCTGTAGTCCTAGAAACCTGGGGGGCTGAGGCAGGAGAATCGCTTGAACCAGGAGATGGAGGTTGCAGTGAACTGAGATTGTGCCACTGCACTCCAGCCTGGGCAATAAAGTGAGACTGTCTCAAAAACAAAATTGGCTTTTAATTTCTTAAAATTGGCTTAGTTGGTCATTGCATGTTAAAACCATATCTGCAGCTACTCAGGAGGCTGAGGCTGGAGTATCCCTTGAGCCCAGGAAGGAGTGGTTGCAGTGAGCCAAGATCGCAGCACTGCACTCTGGTTAACAAGAGTGAGGTCCTGTCTCAAAAAAAAAAAAAAAAAAAAAATTGGCCGGGCACGGTAGCTCATGCCTGTAATCCCAGCGCTTTGGGAGGCTGAGGCGGGTGGATCACCTGAGGTGGGGTGTTTGAGACCAGCCTGGCCAACATGGTGAAACCCCATCTTTACTAAAAATACAAAAATTAGCCAGGTGTAGTGGTGCATGCCTGTAACCCCAGCTACTTGGGAGGCTGAGGCAGGAAAATCCCTTGAACTCAGGAGGCGGAGGTTGCTGTGAGCTGAGATTATGCCACTGCACTCCAGCTTGGCCTGGGAGACAGAGTGAGACTCTATCTCAAAAAAAAAAAAAAAAAAAAAAAAATTAAATGTAATTTCATTTAAAAAACCATAACTGAGTTTTTGAAATATGCGTCATTTGAGTACCTGTATCCCAGGTTTATTTATACTAACAGGGAGCTAGCAACTTAGAAAAACATTTTTATTTCTATCCCTTTGAATCGTCTAGTCTAAGGGGAGGCAAACTTTTCTATAAAGAGCCAGGTAGTAAATATTTTCGTCTTTGTGGACCACATGGTTTCTTTCATAACTACTCAACTGCTGTTGTAGCCACAGATGGTACATAAATGAATGGGTGTGGCCATGTCTTAATAAATAGACACTGCAATTTTTGTTTTTGTTTTTGAGATGGAGTTTTGCTCTTGTTGTCCAGGCTGCGGTGCAATGGTGCGATCTCGGCTTATTGCAACTTCCACCTTGTGGGTTGAAGCGATTCTCCTGCCTCAGCCTCCAGAGTAGCTGGGATTACAGGCATGTGCCACCACATCTGGCTAATTTTGTACTTTTAGTAGATATGGGGTTTCTCCATGTTGGTCAGGCTGGTCTCGAACTCCCGACCTCAGGTGATCCACCGGCCTCGGCCTCCCAAAGTGCTGGGATTACAGGTGTGAGCCACCCGACCCGGCCCTTTTTTTTTTTTTTTTTTTTTTTTCTGAGATAGAGTTTCACTCTTGTTGCCCAGGCTGGAGTGCAATGGCGGGATCTCAGCTCACTGCAACCTCTGCCTCCCAGGTTCAAGCGATTCTCCTGCCTCAGCCTCCTGAGTAGCTGGGATTACAGGCACATGCCACTACGCCTGGCTAATTTTTGTATTTTTAGTAGAGACGGGGTTGGTCAGGCTAGTCTCGAACTCCTGACCTCAGGTGATCCACCTGCCTCGGCCTCCTAAAGTGCTGGGATTACAGGTGTGAGCCACTGCACCTGGCTGATACTGCAATTTGAATTTTACATAATTTTCAGGTGTCATGTCATAATATAGTCTTCTTTGATTTTTTTAAAAAGACCATTTAAAAAATGTCGAAATGATTCTTAGTTTTCAGGCCACAGTGGCCAGATTCATTCTATGGGGCACACTTTACCAACTTCCGCTCTAATCTTCTGATTGATTATACATTATTATTATTGTTATTATTTGAGACGGAGTCTTGCTCTGTTGCCCAGGCTGGAGTGCAGTGTTCGATCTTGCCTCCACCTCCTGGGTTTAAGTGATTCTCCTGCCTCAGCCTCCCAAGTGGCTGGGATTACAGGCACACACCACCACTCCCAGCTAATTTTTGTATGTTTACTTTTGTATTTTATTTATTTATTTATTTATTTATTTATTTTTGAGATGGAATCTTGCTCTGTTGCCCAGACTTGAGTGTAGTGGCACGATCTCGGCTCAGCCTCCTGAGTAGCTGGGACTACAGGCAAGTGCCACCATGCCAGCTAATTTTTGTATTTTTAGTAGAGACGGGGTTTCACCATGTTGGTCAGGCCGGTCTCAAACTCCTCACCTCAAATGATCCACCCGCCTCAGCCTCCCAAAGTGCTAGGATTATAGGCATGAGCCACTGTGCCTGGCCTGATTATACATTATTGAACATAATAAATATTGACTTCTTAAATTGAGATTATAAAATAATTGGCACTATTTATGGAATAAATAAGTAACTTATTTGTCTCCTAAATTGATGAGAATACAGTCAAGGATATAACTATAAAATAGCAACTGGATAAAATTTTTCTTATTCCCAGGAATTCCTATGTAACACTGCAGAACGTAGAAAGATCATACTATACACTAAATTTCTTTGTAGTTGTTTTGGAACTATCTAATTTTATAGCACACCAATTAAACATTTATTGTTAACATAGAATCAAGGAAAATAAGGGGCTTTAAGATGTAAATCACTTAGTCACTTACAATAATAATGATGCCTAGATTTATACAGCTAGTTTACAAAAATTATAGTTTTATATATTATCTCTTATGATCCTCACAACAACCATGGAGGTAGACAGGCAAGGTCTTATTATCTTAATTTAAAGAAGATCAACCTGCCCAAGATGACACAAGTGACAAGGGAGTGGCAGAGATACTCTAGTCACATCTCTGAATCATAGTCAAAAGTTGTTTCCATAAAATATAATACTAAAATCATACAATTCAAGAACAGGTAATGAGTAAATCCTGCTTCATCAGCTGAGGAACATAAGACATCTCACCATAAGGATGCCTTTCATTTGTCAACTCAAGCTGCATGTGCCTAGATTAGTGGAAAATCTAGACCTTTCCTTCTCCCCTCTTAGCTCAACCTCCTTCCCCTGATAAGCTTAGGAGTCACAGTGGTCACAACCACAGCTGATTGCTCTGGAAGGTATCACCCTAGCTGCTGCAGAAGCTGAGAGCCCGGTGTCACTGCTGATTCTGAAATGTTTTAAAGCAATATCTTTGTCAAAGTTATACCCTTGAAAAGCCATGCCTTTTGTCAACTTCCACTGCTGACCACAGGATTTCAGCACAGTATCCTTATGTCTACTAAAGCCCCAGTCAGAAATAATTGCAGCCCATCTCAAACCCAAGTTCCAGCTACCAATACTGTGATCTCTTGCTAACACATAGGCCATCTGAAAGAAATGACTTGGATTGAGATTTGTGTCCTCGCTGGGGCTGATACTGGTACACCTTCCTTCAAGCCTTCCACTAAAAAAGGAAGGGAGATGCCTTTTTCCTCAGGATTACACATTTAGACAAGAGCACTCAAAACCAAGTGGTACAGGGATCCCGATATTACAGTTCTTTGGATTCATTCATTCAGTCTCTTCCCCAGGGCATAAGCCAAGTGCAGACATAAATTGCATTAAAGCCTTTATTTATTTACTTATTTAAAATTTAACTTCTTGTTACGAAAATGTCCAAACATACAAAAAAAAAAAAAAAAAAAAAGGCCAGACACAGTGACTTATGCCTGTAATCCCATGTAATCCCAGCACTTTGGGAGGCTGAAGTGGGCGGATCACTCAGGAGTTTGAGACCAGCCTGGCCAGCGTGGTGAAACCCGTCTCTACTAAAAAATACAAAAAAATTAGCCGGGTGTGGTGGTGCGCACCTGTAATCTCAGCTACTGGGGAGGCTGAGGCAGGAGAATAGCTTGAACCTGGGAGGCAGAGGTTGCAGTGAACCGAGATTGCGCCACTGCACTCCAGCCTGGGCGACAGAGTGAAACTCTGTCTCAAAAAAAAAAAAAAAAAAAAAAAAAAATGGTATTATGCTCCTCCCCTGCTCCCGCGTACCCATCACTAAGCCTTAATATTTATTGACTGGCCGGGCGCGGTGGCTCACGCCTGTAATCCCAGCACTTTGGGAGGCCGAGGCGGGCGGATCACGAGGTCAGGAGACCAAGACCATCCTGGCTAACACAGTGAAACCCTGTCTCTACTAAAAATACAAAAAAATTAGCTGCACGTAGTGGCGTGCGTCTGTAGTCCCAGCTACTTGGGAGGCTGAGGCAGGAGAATGGCGTGAGCCCGGGAGGCGGAACTTGCAGTGAGCCAAGATCGCACCACTGCACTCCAGCCTGGGCGACAGAGCGAGACTCAGTCTCAAAAAAAAATAATAAAAAAAATTTATTGACTCTCTCCTAATCTTCTGTGCTGCCACTTCCTCTCCTCTGAAGTATTTTGAAGGAAATACTGGAGACCGTATAATTTCATCCTTAAATAATTCAGTATATGTCTCTAACAGAAAAAGACTTTTTTTTTTTTTTTCCATTTTCTTGTTTGAGACAGGGACTCACTCTATTGCTCTGTGACTCCATCTGGGCTACTGCAACCTCCACCTCCCAGCCTCAAGAGATCCTCCCATCTCAGGCTTCCGTGTAGCTAAGACTACAGATGTGCACCACCACGACCAGCTAATTTTTGTATTTTTTTGTAGAGATGGGGTTTCGCTATGACACCTAGGCTAGTCTTGAATTCCTCCTGGGCTCAAGCAATCAGCCTGCTTTAGCCTCCCAAATTGCTGGGATATAGGCATGAGCCACCACACCAGGCCAACTGTTTTCAAAAACACAACCACAGTATCATTAAGACACTGACAGAAATATTAATCTGTAATTAATATTAATTCCTTAATATAATTTAATATCCAGCCTATAGTCAAATTTGCCCATTGTCTCAGAAATTTATTTTTAAATAATTGGATTATGAAATAAAGATCCACATACTATATTCAATTGTTATGTTTCTTTCTTTTTTTTTTTTTTTTGAGACAGAGTCTTGCTCTGTCACCCAGGCTGGAGTGTAGTGGCACGATCTCGGCTCACTGCAATCTCCGCCTCCCGGGTTCAAGCAAGTCTCTTGCCTCAGCCTCCCAAGTAGCTGGGACTACAGGCGTGCACCACCATGCCCAGCTAATTTTTGTACTTTTAGTAGAGACGGGGTTTCACCATGTTGGCCAGGATGGTCTCAATCTCTTGACCTCGTGATCTGCCCACCTCAGCCTCCCAAAGTGCTGGGATTACAGGCGTGAGCCACCGCGCCCGGCCTATCATTTCTTTTACATTTATTAGTTGAAAATATTTTATACAAAAGGACTTTTCCTTTAAAACTCATTGGCTACCCTGAAATACAATTTGTACAACAAAGGCAGAACAAATGTTTGGTTATTTCCCTTTTTTATTTTATTTTATTTTATTTTATTTTTTTCAGACTAAGTCTCACTCTTGTCCCCCAGGCTGGAGTGCAAATGGCGCGATCTCGGCTCACTGCAACCTCTGCCTCCTGGGTTCAAGCGATTCTCCTGCCTCAGCCTCCCGAGTAGCTGGGATTACAGGCACCTGCCACCATGCCCAGCTAATTTTTGTATTTTTAGTAGAGACGGGGTTTCACCATGTTGGCCAGGCTGGTCTTGAACTCTTGACCTCAGGCGATCCGCCCGCCTTGGCCTCCCAAAGTGCTGGGATTACAGGCGTGAGCCACCGCGCCTGGCCTATTTCCCTTTATTTACCAATTACCATTACCATATAATTAGCAACTTGCCATGGCAACTTCTATAGGCAAGTAGTGAATTTCTTTCCTTTTTAAAAAATTTTTGTAGAGACAGAGTCTCATTATGTTGCCCAGGTTGGTCTTGAACTCTTGGGCTCAAGCAATCCCCCCACTTTGGCCTCCCAAAGTGCTCAGATTACAGGTGAGCTACCGCACCTGGCCTGAATTTATTTTCTTAGTATCATTATGAACTTGTCAATTTTAACATCATTGGTGTGATAAGTGATTTAAAATACATTCTGTGCTTTGGGAGGCCAACGTGGAAAGATTGCTTGAGCTCAGGAGTACAAGACCAGCCTGGGTAACATGGCAAGACCCAGTCTCTATTAAAAAATTAATAATAAAATAAAAATCTATCAATAGGCCAGGCATGGTGGCTCACATCTGTAATCTCAGCATTTTGGGAGGCCGAGGCACGTGAATCACCTGAGGTCAGGAGTTCAAGACCAGCCTGGCCAACATAATGAAACCCCATCTCTACTAAAAATACAAAAATTAGCTGGGTATTGGCTGGGCACAGTGGCTCACGCCTGTAATCCCAACACTTTGGGAGGCCGAGGTGGGTGGATCACGAGGTCAGGAGATAGACACCATCCTGGCTAACACGGTGAAACCCAGCCTCTACTGAAAATAAAAAAAAATTAGCCGGGCGTGGTGGTGGGCGCCCCTAGTCCCAGCTACTCAGGAGGCTGAGGCAGGAGAATGGCGGGAACCCAGGAGGTGGAGCTTGCAGTGAGCCAAGATCGCGCCACTGTGTTCCAGCCTGGTCAACAGAGCAAGACTCCGTCTTAAAAAAAAAAAAAAAAAATTAGCTGGGTGTGATGGTGCACACCTGCAATCCCAGCTACTTGGGAGGCTGAGGCAGGAGAAAGGAGAATCTATTGAACCCAGGAGGCTGAAGTTGCAGTAAGATCGCGCCTTTGCACTCCATCCTGGGTGACAGAGCAAGGCTCTGCCTCAAAAAAAAAAAAAAAAAAAAAAAAAATTGAACAATAAACTTCCTTTGCTTTAAAGAGAAATATTTTCCTGAAGAACCAAAATGTAAGACCAAAATCTCTAAACATACTTAACAATATTTCCAGGATTTTCTACCTGTTCTCTGATTTTCTCCTTTTCCTTTACTCAGTTTACTGGCTTTTATTTAATGAATTTTTGGTGTCTGATTGAGGCTAAAGATTGACTGCTCTGGCACCCCTACTAGTGATTTCCATTTTTATGTCATTCAGATTACATTTATAAGACCTACTTTTCCTATAACTAGTATTTGCATCTGCATTTTCATAAAATAAGAGCAAATAAATATTCCAATAATTGAACACTACTCAAATAACTGAACACTCCCATACCATGTGGACAACCACAGGGATGCTGCTTAAACTGAAGCAATGACTGACAGTCACTACCACTGCGTGTGAGTTTCACTTGCTTGGTAGCTTAGCTATCAAAGCCAGCATTTGATGTGTAAAAGAAGGTTTAGGTATTTTGATGGAGGATGCATGAAACCCTGTTATTGACTGTGACATACTGGATTGTTTCTGTTAGCTTACTTGTTATATCTCCTCTAGACAGTTAGTTCTGGGGGAACAGTAACCACATCTGTATCTGTATACTTATTTTACTCCTAGCATCTGTACAATCTGTACATGCTGTTGTTTTTTTTTTAAGATGGAGTTTTGCTCTTGTTGCCCAGGCTGGAGTGCAATGGCGCAATCTCGGCTCAATGCAACCTCTGCCTCCTGGGTTCAAGCGATTCTCCTGCCTCAGCCTCCCGAGTAGCTGGAATTATGGGCATGCACCACACCTGGCTAATTTTGTATTTGTAGTAGAGACGGGGTTTCTACTACAGCCTGTTGATCAGGCTGGTCTCAAACTCCTGGCCTCAGGTGATCTGCCCGCCTCAGCTTCCCAAAGTGCTGGGATTACAGGGGTGAGCCACCACACCCAGCCCTGTACATGCTTTTTTTTTTTTAAATGGAAGAATAAATGATGTATGCAAAGGCTGGGCGCCGTGGCTCACGCCTGTAATCCCAGCACTTTGGAAGGTCGAGGGGGGAGGATCATGAGGTCAGGAGATAGAGACCATCCTGCGTAACATGGTGAAACCCCGTCTCTACTAAAAATACAAAATAAAATTAGCCAGGTGTGGTGACAAGCACCTGTAGTCCCAGCTACTCGGGAAGCTGAGGCAGGAGAATGGCGTGAACCCGGGAGGCAGAGGTTGCAGCGAGCCGAGATCGCGCCACTGCACTCCAGCCTGGGCGACAGAGCGACTCCGTCTCAAAAAAAATAAAATAAAATAAAATAAAATGTATGCAAGACAAGAGAGAAATCTACCATGGTTTTGAGCAGTAAGAAGCATAATTAGACTTTTTTTTTTGAGACAGGGTCTTGCTTAGTCACTCAGGCTGGAGTGACACGATCATAGCTTACTGTAATCTCAAATTCCTTAGCTCTAGTGATCCTCCTGCCTCAGCCTCCCAGGTAGCTAGAACTACAGGCACGTGCCACCATACGCGCATAATTTTTAAACATTTTTTTGTAAAAACGAGGTCTCCTTATGTTGCCCAGGCTGATCTCAAATTCCTGGGTTCAAGTGATCCTCCCACTTTGGCCTCCCAAATCATTGGAATTACAGGATTACAGCCCAGCCTAGATTTAATTTTTAGTTTTTTATTTTGATTCTGTCATATTGGTATTTGTCTTAGTCCATTTGGACTGCTATAACAAAATATAGCTTTTGTGGCTTATAAACAACTGAAATTTATTTCTCAAAATTCTGAAGGCTGAGAAGGCCAAGATCAAGGTGCCAGCAGATTCAGTGTCTGGTGAGGATCTGCTTCCTCATAGACAGCTGTTTTCTCATTCTACTATCACATTATGGACCAGGGAGGGGTGTCTCTTAGGCCTGTTTTATAAGGGCACTAATCCTGTTCATGAGTGCTCTGCTGTCATGGCCTAATCACCTCAGGAAGGCCCCACCTTCTAATACCATCACCTTGGGGGTTAGGAGTTCAACATATGAGTTTTGGCAGGACACAACATTCAGACCATAGCAGTAACAGACAATTTTTTTTTTTTTTGGAGACAGACTTTCGTTCTTGTCGCCCAGGCTGGAGTACAATGGCTCGATCTCGGCTCACTGCAACCTCTGCCTCCTTGGTTCAAATGATTCTCCTGTCTCAGCCTCCCAAGTAGCTGGGATTACCGGCGTGCACCACTACGCCTGGCTAATTTTGTATTTTTAGTAGAAACGGCGTTTCACCATGTTGGCCAGGCTAGTCTCAAACTCCTTAACTTGGGTGATCTGCCCGGCTCAGTCTCCGAAAGTGCTGGGATTACAGGCGTGAGCCACCGTGCCCGGCCGCAGATGTGGTATATTTCACGTTTGAGTATTTTTGAAAATAAAAATAAAATAAAATAACTGATAGTTCCATTCCTTAAACTTAACATTTGGGTGTGTTTTCTAGTATTTTTTCTGTATTTGTATTATTATTTGTGAGACGGGGTCTTGCTCTGTCACCCAGGCTGGAGTGCAGTGATGTGATCAAAGCTCACTGTAACCTTGAAATCCTGGGCTCAAGCAAATCCTGCCGTCTCAGCCTCCTGAGTAGCTAGGACTACAGGCGTAGGTCATCACACATGCCTGGCTAATTAAAACAAAAATGTTAAATGTTCATCTAGAACATATTGTTTAGTAACCTACTGTTTTACGTTAAAACATTATCCACTTTCTCCTACAATAGAAATTGTAATGGCTATAATACATGATTATTTCATTATCACATCTATTTTTAAGGAAACCAGGCCTAAATCTAGTTTCCATAATATTCTGATGAGCAGGACCACAGAGCAGTGATTTTGATCAGGATTGTGCCTGTTAAAAGCTGGCTACTCCATGGCATGCACAGCTCCAGGATGGGAGATTAACTTCAACAACCATTCATTTAGTTTGGTTTGATTTTCTGCCAGTCTCATGACCGACTTGAAGCACGTCCTAGAACAGAGAATGTTATGTTTGGTGTCCAAGGAAGCAGCAAACTAGAGGCGCCATCCCAAATTCTAGAATAATAGAGTCAACAATCGTTTCACACCAAAGTCATCCATTTTCTGAAGCAAATTTTGAACTAAAATGTTAAAAATGTTTTGTAAGGTAGATTAAACGTCATGTGGGGAAAATAACTTGTTAGTGCAAAAAGGAAAAGAAACTGAAAACAGACATATCTGTAGATAAATTTTCCTTTCAAGATTCTACAGTATAAATATCCATCTAAAAGATGAATTGGCTTCTTAAGCCAATTCATTGTCACTTGCTTCTGAAGTGTTTCCCAGGCACCTTAGTTATCAGCCACCCTGCCCCTAGGGTATCGAGGACAAATACGTTTCAGGTAGCTTGACAACAGGAAAGAATTTTAAGGACAAGAAACTACCTGCAATACCAGTTGGGAGTGTCCTGAAAAGTGATGTACTGAAATACTGACCCTTCCAGCTGGTTAACTTTCATAATCATGCATTTACTTTTCAATGGCAACTGAATATATGACTGCCTGATGATTCAGGGGAAAAAATGCAGTATTGTGTGTGGAATTGGAAGAGATTCAAAGTGAGTGCCATGGCAGTGACTAACTTCTTTCAAAAGCTTAAGGAAGAAACAATGCATAGGCCTTTGAGTTAGTTGGTGTAGTAAGCATTGTGTTTTCACCATCAGTATCCATTTCTATATTTTGGTGACAGTACTCCATTTTGTTCTTCCGGGAACCACTCCTCTCCTATAGTCCATGATCTTTGGGTGGACCAGAGGTAAAGCATATGACTCAAATTTGGCTAATCATAGCACAAGAGTTTTCCTTGCTACAGTAATTTGTTAAAGGATGGGAAGGTAACTCTCTATCCTTTAACAAATTACTGTAGCAAGGTAATTGGTTCAGTGAATCTAGGAGCTACTGGAAGGGATCTCTTGCTGGACTTGGACTGGAGTGAATATAGAACTAAAGTTTTTGAGAACTGTCTTGTTGCCACATGATGAAGTCTGAGTATAAGCCAATATGGAGAAAAGCTGATTGGGGTTTTTTTTGTTTTGTTTTGTTTTTAAAAGAAACAGGATCTTGCTGTGTTGCCCAGGCTGGAGTGCAGTGGCTATTCACAGGCACAATTGTGGTGCCATATAAGCCTTGGACTCCTGGGCTCAAGCTTCCTGAGGTAGCTGACATTACTACTACAGGCACAAACCTGGGCCTTTTTTTTTTTTTTTTTTTACCCCCCAGAAGGCTCTCTCTTTATTTGTCTGACCTGAAATGGGCATAAGTTGCAACAGATTGAAAATTCTAACTCTACCTTCATTTTCAGAAGTGTCTAAATTAAACATTTATAAGAAAATTGATGTTTTATAAAAACAAAAGACATGAAAAGCTCTGTATTCAAATATTTTTATTCTGTGAACATTGAAAATGCCTTCTAGGAATATGGCATTGCGGGGTGTATACAAAAAAATAGATCTTTTCTCAAAAAGCATGTAATCTGCTTGGGAAGACAAGAACATTATTAAAAAAAACCCTTTAGAACACAAGTGAGTTGTGGACAGTAATACATATAAATAATCTGAATGGCAGTATATAATAACTGATAACTATCTACAACCAAAACCAGCCTAGAACAAAAGCATGAGTAAGAGGCTTTAGGGTACACTTCTGAGCATTTTCTTTTAATTCTCAAGACATTTGTCCTTGTTTTCCTAATCTTTAGGTGGATTCATACATTTGTATTTCCTACCTGGTATTTCCTCTGAATTACTGACTTGTAATTCAAACACCACATCTGCTCCCAACCACTTCCTACCACTTCCACTGCTACCTGAATTATTGTTATAGCCTAACTGGTCTTCCTGCTCTCACCTTTGCTCCCCTAAAGTCTATTCACAATAACCAGTTTAAACTATTATTTTATTAGGAAAAATTTCAAACACACAGCAAAGTTGAAAGAATTTTACAGCAATCACTTCTGCATCCACCACTTATATTCTACCATTAACAGAATACTCCTTTAAATAATGGCAGATGTGTAGTTCCTCTGCTCAAAACCCTCCCACGGCTTAGCTTACTCAAAGAGGAAAAACCAGGCTGGGCGTGATAGCTCACGTCTGTAATCCCAGCATTTTGGAAGACTTTAGGAGGCTGAGGTGGGAGGATCACTTGCGGGCGGGAGTTTAAGACCAGCCTGGGCAACATAATGAAATACCATCTCTTAAAAAAAAAAACTTAGCTGGGCGTGGTGCTGGATGCCTGTAGTCCCAGTTACTAAGGAAGCTAAGGCAGGAAGATCACTTGAGCCCAGAAGTTCAGGACTGCAGTGAGCTATGAGCACGCCATTGCACTCCAGCCTGAGTGACAAAGTGAGACCCTGTCTTAAGGGGGAAAAAAAAAAGGAGAAAAGCCAATTTGTTACCATGGTCACCAGTATGATCTGGCCTCTGTTACCATTCTTCCCACTTGTCCTTTACTCTTCAGCCTTGTTACTGCTCCTTAAACATGGCAGGCACATTTTTGTTTTAGGGCCTTTGCACTTGCTGTTCCTTTGCTTCAAATGCTCTTCTCCCAGGTATTTACATGGCTTGCTTCTCTTTCTTTCGATCACCTCATTAGTTCTGACTCTTCCAAGTATTAAGTTGAACCATATGACCCTAATGTCACACAACTGGATTGAACCATTCAAACCTAAGGTGTAATGTCATTCTCAGGTCAAAAATTATTTTTAAAAATCAGTAATTTCATAGGATTCAAGCTTATAAAATAGCAACTCCACCCTACCCTTTCATTCTCACCCTGTTCCAATATTCTTACAGCACTATTATCTTATTTATGATTTGTATATTGTATGTAAGATCCTCACAGATAGGGAATTTGTCTGTTGTCCACTGCCGTGTGCTCTGTGTGCAGAGTAGGATTTGGTCTATAGCAGGCCTTCAGGATGCATTTATTTAAAGAATGAGTAGCTGAGACTACAGGTGCGCACCACCACACTTGGCTAATGTTTTCATTTTTTTATATTTTGTAGAGATGGGGTCCCACTATATTGCTTAGGCTGGTCTCAAACTCCTGGGCGCAAGCAATCCTCTCACCTTGGCCTCCCAAAGTGCTGGGCTTACAGTTGTGAGCTACCACACCTGGCCAAAAATGAATTCTTTTTAAAAAATTTTTCTTTTTTGAAGCAAAGTCTTACTCTGTGGCCCAGGCTGGAGTGCAGTGCCATGATCTCGACTCACTGCAGCCTACGCCTCCCCGGTTCAAGCGATTCTTGTGCCTCAGCCTCCCGAGTAGCTGGGACCACAGGTGCATGACACTATGCATGAATGAATTCTTAACATTGAAGTCAGAGTGGTCTTTTGAAAATACAAATCTGATCATGTTGCTCTCACTAAAAACTCGATTGGTTTGCAGATTTCGGAACAAAGATTAGAATCTTTACCACAGCCTCTAAGACCCTGAATGGTGGACCCTTAACTCTCCAGACTCATCTCACATTCTCTCATTTCAGTCCCTGGGACTCTGTTGCTTCTATCATGAGGTCTATTTGTGCTTTCTTGCTTTCCCCCACCTCTGCATGTAGTTTATACTCTGAGGCACTTTTAAATCTCGGCTTGAAACATCTATTCCCAGGAGAAGGCATTTCTGATACCTCAGGTTAGGTCAAGTCCCAATGCTTTTATGCCCTCATGGCAGCACATACCTACCCTTTGTAATACCTGTTAGATTTTAAAGGTACTTTTGTGAGATTGTCTAACTTACCAGTTTCATAAGAAAAAGAAACATTTTTGTTTTTGCTTCCCGTCGGATGTCTAGCATTTGCAAATTATCTAGCACATAGTGAGAGCTTAACATTAAAAAAATATATATCAACAGAAACTCTGGAATTCTAGCTCCTTAAGAGCAGAGATTGTTTTGTCCCTGTGTCAAGTACCTAATTGGGTGCTTGATTTATCTGCTGATACACAGCAGATAAATAATAGTTTGTTAAATAAGCTATAATATGAAGGATGTTTTTTACTCATTTATAGTAAGTACATAATGCAGAAAAACCGTCACTTGATAATCAGTGATTAGGTGCTCATAACATAATTGATACCTACACAAAGTCCCAAATTTTCCCCTTTCATCAACCTTTCCTCAAGACTAAGATTGAACAAAGTAATTTAGCCTTCATTTTTTCCCTGTTTATTCTCTGGTGGAGTAAAGGGTGAGTGCCCTGGGTAGGAGAATCCATGTAGAACCAGAATTAGCCATAAGTGAGATTTTGCACACTAACCAACAAACCACAGCATTCTTTTTTTTTTTTTTTTTTTTTTTTTTTGAGGTAGGATCTTGCTCTGTCACCCAGGCTGGCTTGCAGTGGTGTAGTCATGGCTCACTGCAGCTTTGACCTCCAGGACTCAAGTGCTCCACCCACCTCAGCCTCTGGAGTAGCTGGGACTACAGGTGTGGACCACCACAACCAGCTATATTTTTTTTTTTTTGTAGAGACAGGATTTCACCATGTTGCCCAGGTTGGTCTAGAACTCTTGCTCAAGGTATCTGCCCACCTTGGCCCCTCAAAGTGCTGGATTACAAGGCGTTAGCCACCATGCCCACCCAGTATTCTTGTTTTGACAGTTAGATGTTTAGAAACTTTTTTAAAAAATCCAGTCAAATGACGAGTCTTGTATTCCTCTGTTTTCCTTTGATAACAATCTGTGAAAAAACTGCAGTGGTCAGAAGATGTGTTAAAATATACACACACAAGTTGTATAATGTTGCAGGTTTATTAGGGCAGGATGACATGGAACAGTATGACCAGAGAAAGCAACCACCTTACAAATAAATCACTTTCAATTGTGTTGACCCAGATAATTTTAAAAATAAACTTGTAATTCAAGATGAGCACTAGGACAAGCTTATTAACATTTGCTAATTTAGGAGAGGAAGGGCCAAGTCAAATATAATAAAAATGAATTACTGCAAAATGGAAACTTTTTGATATGAAACATAAAAATAAATTAAAAACCTAAAGACTGTAGTATGTCAATTTCCTGGTTTTAATAAGGTATTATAGATATGTAAGATATCAATAGGGTAAACTGGGCAAATACTACACATGCCCGCTATACTATTTTTGCAACTTTTTAATAATTATATCCAAATAAAAAGTAAAAAAGAAAAAAATAACAACATGAAAAAATAAATCTAGATAGGAATTCTTAGAAGGAGAACTTAAAACAAATATACACAGTAAAAGACAATTACATTGCCAGGTTTCCATAGGCTTGTAAGGAGTTAAATAAAATTAGAAAAATGTTTCTAACACACACACAGACACACTTTTTTTTTTGGAGACAGGGTCCTGCTCTGTCATGCAGGCTGGAGGACAGTGGTACGATCACATCTTACTGCAGCCTTGACCTCCTGGGCCCAAGCAATCCTCCCACCTGGGTCTCCCAAGTAGCTGAGACTAACAGGCACATGCCACCATGCCCAGCTAATTTTCTGTAGAGACAAGGTTTCACCATGTTCCCCAGGCTGGTCATGAACTCCTAAGCTTATGCAATTCACCTGTCTTGGCATCCCAAAGTAGTGGGATTACAGGTGTGAGCCATTGTGCCTGGACCAGACACACTTTACCAATACAAATATTAGGCTTTCAAAAGTGGTATCCTACTTTTAATGTTTGAACTAATGATCTTTCACATCTTAGAGATGTGCAGTGTGAAACACAGTATTACCGTGTTTGTGAAAGACAACTTTTGTGAAAACCACAAAAATAAGTATTTGCTCTTAAGAAAGGAAAAAATTTATTGCTTGGCCTCATCAAAGAAAACTGAAGAATTTGCTATGAAAGGAACAAAAATGTACAAATTGTACCACCTCAACCCCCCAAACTGTATAAACAACTGCAAAATTTTCCTTCATCTATTGATACAACCCCAGAGAAGCCAGTCCTCACAGACCTGGGGGCATTCCCATGTCAGAATATTCCATAAAGATCTAGGAACACATACATTTGGCAGAAATAAATCAATTAAGGTGCAGGGAAAGATTGCCCATGAAATAATTTATGGTGATGCATTTAGTAGGGCCAGAGAGATCTGAGTTCAAATTTTGGCTCTTCCAGCTACTAGTTTTGCTACCTTAGGTATGTCACAATCTCTCTGAATCTCAATGTCTTTGTTACTAAAGTGGGTATAATGATACCCATATCTCAAGGTTAGTCCTAATACTGGAAGCACAATGCTGTGTAAATAGAAGGTGATTAAGTGTTAGCTACCTCCCAGTCCCTTTTCCCAGAAACACAATGCAAAATATTTCTGCTGGTTTGCATGAATCAAAACAAGTGGCTAAGGAGAAAAATTAAAAGGGCAAGAGAATCTAATGTATTATCCAGACAATCTATTAATTATGTCGTTAATATTTAATACGTGTTGGGTTTTTGGTATTATTCAGGTACTGCATCTGAATAGATCCTCTCACTTTGTCTTCAACAAATTTGGCAAAAGATGTCATTAATCATTTTATTCAGATCACAACATGCCAACGTAAAAATCATAGTTTTAATGTTTACTCATGACTCTGAGAAATATAGTGACATAGAAACAGTGAAAAGGTAAAGAATTTGTCTCTCAAAGCTGATGGGTATAATTCTCCCTGTCTCTCGAACCTCCCCCATTAGTGCCACAGTGCCAGCCCCCATAAACTGTAAGGGTGATCAAGCCTTCTGAAATTGCAGGGGAAGTGGGCAGCACAGAAACAGCCCTTAGAAGGCTTTAGAGACAGGTGCTCAACATGGAATTAGTGGGCTTATTCAGGGGGTTCTGGAATCTGCAGTCCCTGTATGTAAAGTCGTGGTTAGGTGTATTTCGTGCCTTTTTTGTCAGGAGGCTCCTCAACTATCACTTCCTCCTAGAGGTCTTTTTTAGCCATCCTATCCAGCCAGAGGCTTCGTCTACAAAATCTTTTTCATCACTCTGTGTGTTTCCTGCAAAGCCATACTACACCTGTCATTACCTTGTTTGTTTGCTTCAGCCAGTCTATTCCACTAAGGTAAGCTTTTCAAATGCACGACCCTGGTCCTTCCCCAGTGCCTTGAACCTGGTGGGCCTCGTTAGATATTTCCGGAATAAATAACAAGTCCGTGTCTATCAGATTTTTAACAGACTCTATACTCCTCCCTCCATCCCGCTCCCCGCCCCCCCCCCCACACCTCTCGCGCAAGCATTCTTCTCCAGAAATAATTTTAAGGTCATGCGTCTTCATTTTTGAAACGAGGCTTGGGCATTTCGACCACACCCACCCTCCCTCCCTCGCATACTCGTTTCCTAACAGAGCGCTACTCCAGCCCACTTGCCCAAGCCCACCAGGCCGCAGGGTTTGGGGCAACCAGGGGTGGGGCAGCCCTGAACCGGAACAAGTGTCAATTCACATTACCCGCACTGGTCCTGGTTCGAAGAGCCTGGGCAGGAACCGTGGGACCCAGAGAAGCCACCCGCCCAAGGCCGCCTCCGGCCTCCGCCCCGCCAGCAGCCCAGGGCCCCGCCCTACCGGCAGCCGCGCCTCGCCGCCCTCCCTCCAGCTTGGCCCTAACGGCTCGCAATGGCGGAACAGGGAGCCAGGGGCATCGCCGCTTGGGGAACCTCACCCGCCGGCCCAGGGCTCAGCTCGCCGTGTGACAGCCCCGGGTACTTTGCCCAGCGGGGTGCAAGCCCGGACCGCGGCAAGCGCCACTCCCGGGCAGTCGCGGCCACAACTGCTTCCGGGTGAGTGGGTCGTCGACCCTGTGGCCCCGCCCATCCTTCGCCTCCTCAGTCGGCCGCTCAGGCTGCGGCTCCTCCCGGGGCCGGTTCCCGCTGTCTCAGCCGCGGCGCAGAGGGCACATCGGCCTGACCGACTAGCCGGCTGCCAGTGCCGGGAGCCGCCGCGTCCATCCCCGCCCGCCTGGCCGGGGACCCAGGACTGAGTCGTCCAGCTGCGCCCCTCGCCCATAGCCCCAGCGGGCGCCGGGCGGGCGAGCAGCTCTTCGGCCCTTCCCGGACAGCGACGCAGTCGCAGCGCGCGCCCTAACACAGGTAAGGGCCGCTCCTCCCGCCAGCCCGGTGGGAGCAGGGAGCGGGGAGTTGGGAACCTTTTTCCCGGCCTCCGCAGTCCCGTGGGATCCGCGCCGCCTCCGACCTCGGCTAGGGGGCCGGGCTTCCCTGGGGACTGGCCGGCCCGCGGCGGGCTCCCGGGCTGGGGTCGCCCCCTGCCTGCGGCGTTCTCAGACATCCCGTCTGATTTCTAACGCTCACCCTTCCACCGCGCTGGGGAAAAGGTACGTGTTATTCCCACTGTGGGAGAAATTAAATTGGGCAGCTGTCCCTCCGTTTCGGGTGCCCTAGGCGCCTTCTCTTCCTCCTTAGACGCCACACTACGGTTCTGTCCCAGGACGAGCACCCCCAGGGAACGGTGTCAGGACGGTGTAGGGCGTAGCATTTTTTGGGAATTTTACTTCTTCCTCCTTGACCTGAGCTGGATCGCGCGGGTTTAACAGGCGCTAGCTGGGTTAATACTTGACTAATACGAGGCGTTATTGACACCCAGATTGTTAAGTTACAGAACTCCAGTCAGCCCTGCCTGTGAGTAACCAGCAGCATGCAGGAGGACCTAAGGAAACCCACTTCTTTTTCTTTCTTAGAGGGAAAAAAGTTCAAGTGTTTGCTTTACTTTTTTCACCGTGGGAGATACAAATACAGGCTGCTGAGACATGGCTAGATAAATATTGTATCCTAAACCTTAACTGTTAGTAGCTGGTTTTCTTTGAGTTTCCATTTAGTGACTCAGCGTTTCTACTATAAACAGAAAAATTGTAGAGTGGATTGATTGACTAAAAATGATATGTAAGGATAAAGGTGACTTAATTTTTTTATGTTGTCATAATGGGAAGAGAATGTGGATGTAGTAATGAAACAAGAGAGAAGGAGAGCGGGGTATGGATGTATAAGTTCTTAATCAGTGTTTAAAATAATATTTTTTCAAGATAACATTTTATTTTGAGGATAAATCTATATGAAAAAGTGCAGTTATTGGAGAATGCAGTGTTGCAAATAGAATTAGTTGGCAGGGACTCCACGGTTGTTGTGGTTTGAATATCTTGCAGCACTAACCCTGTTTAACCAACGTCATGCTCTGTTTAACAGATGCAGAGATAATGACCTAGTATTATAATATGTAGAATAAGAATTTCAGAAAGTGTGATTCATTTCGAAGGTAGATCACTCACTTTGTGAATCATTGCTATGAATCTGAAAATTGAAATAGAGGAAACCTAAGTTCGTATCTGCCTAATGAGATGGCATTCTTTACTCATTTTATAGGAAGTGTTGTATTATGTTTTGTTAGGTCTGTTGCTGGATATTTATCATCGTGAAGAATGGTAATGAAATAAAAGTTGAAGTATTTGCAGAATGCTGGAATTTAGAATAGTTTGTTGGTTTATAAGTGATTGCTTTGATTTTACTCCTTCCCCCCCTTTTTTTTTTGCCAGATGTGGGAAGATAAATGAAGGGGTCTAGATGTAAATGTCAGTGGAAAGGAGAGCTACCATCACTAAGGTATGAAAATGTTCACTGAAAGAATTTGCACTATACAAAATAGTCTTTTGAGTGGAAAGCATCACCCATTTTTGTGATTCTGTCTTTAAAAATGTAGAATGAAACTACATGAGTTATTAAGTTCTGTTCTAGAAGAAAGTGTGTATTGAAGTTGTGATTGGAATGGATTCACTTTAAACTAGAAATAGCTTTTTATTGCTGAAATGTAATTTGCTCATTTTTGACTTTAAAAATGTTAAGTAAAATAAGGTTGAAATCACAGAGTTCTTAATACCCTTACCCTTGTTTTTCTTTTCCTTCTGTTAGAGTTCAGCTGATTTTTACCTTGATTTTCATTTATAAAGAACTTTAGTTAAAAAATAATGGCAAGTCTATCCTGTTGGTCTAGCTTACTAAATTCCTTTACTTCTTTCACTAAATTTTGGCATCTTTTTTTTACTTTGGATATCCATTATATTCAGAGTGTTCCCTAATGTTGCTTTTGATTTTTGTCCAGCTAATTTAAATAGTGACTTAAGAGTTTCAGTTCCCTGTGAACACAGATTCCCTTTTGGAAAATCCCTTTTGGAAATCACCGTAACTGACAGTCTTGATAGGTAAATATGCAAGGGAAACCTTCCTAGGTCAGGATTTAAGTATCTCCGTTAACGAAAGGAAAAGGTAATATGGAGAATATATTTGGCAAAGTATCTCTGTCTCTCAAAACAAAAACAAATCTTTATTAGAAATGAATTTAGCAAGAGGGAGGGAGCAATTTCTTGAAGAACTCTTTGTGGATTGTTTACCCTGTTCCTAGTGTGAGAAGCAACAGAGTTGATGATATATAGAAAAAAATAATTCTTGCAGTGTGCTGGGAATGTTGATGAGGATCATTCAGAAGGAAATAAAATTCTTCTGTCTTTATCTTAGGATCATCATCCATTGCACCTGCAAAATACAGGCTGTTTCGTAGCTTTTTCCTTTTAGGTAGTTGCTTTCTATGTGGAACATCTAAATTGAGAGATGGTCCTTTAATAGGGAAAATGTACTACTTTGTTCAGTCTGCAAATAAAGAATATAATCTGTGATCATCATTTAAAACTCAACTTTTGGAAGCCAAGGCAGAAGGATTGCTTGAGCCCAGGAGTTTAAGACCAGTCTGGGCAACATAGTGAGACCCTGTCTCTACAAAAAAATTAGCTGGTGGTGTGTCCCTGCAGTCCCAGCTGCTTGTGAGGCTGAGATGGGAAGACCACATGAGTTCTGCAGTGAGCCCTGAAAACACCACTGCACTCCAGCCAGGGAGACAGGGTGAGACCCTGTCTCAAGAATAAATAAATGAAACTCAACTTTTTTTTTTTTTAGGTGGAGTCTCGCTCTGTCGCCCAGGCTGGAGTGCAGTGGCGCAATCTCGGCTCACTGCAAGCTCCGCCTTCTGGGTTCATGCCATTCTCCTGCCTCAGCCTACCCAGTAGCTTTGACTACAGGCGCCCGCCACCATGCCCAGCTAATTTTTTATTTTTTATTTTTTAGTAGAGACGGGGTTTCACCCTGTTAGCCAGGATGGCTTCGATCTCCTGACCTCGTGATCTGCCCGCCTTGGCCTCCCAAAGTGCTGGGATTACAGGGATGAGCCACCACGCCCGGCCAATAAAACTCAACTTTTAAAACTTCAGAAGGAAGGAATTGAACAAAACTTGCCTTGTGAACTTTTTGGCTTATAATAAATTATGCTGGACTTCAAAGGAGTCAAACAACTAGGCTAAAAACTGGGTTGATCATGTGTTATACTTCTTCATTAGTTCATTATTCATTTATTTTGATGGGGAGGTCAAGAGATAATTCCACTTCATAGGGAACATATGTATGCATTTGTTTTAGCCTAGTGGTAGGGAGAGCAGTAGATAAAAGTAGAGATAATTAGGGAAGGGGAAGAAATGGCATTATAGAAGGAGAATGCTTATTTCATGGGTTCAGTAGATGTTTATGGGACTTTTAAAAATTGATAAAACATTTTAAAAGGTGGTATATGATGAAAAGAAAGTCTGCTTTCCACCACAAACTCCCAGCCTTTCCTTACCCCAACCCCCCAATCCAAGCAACCATATTCAATCACATATGTCTAGGAGAAATATATTGTATCTTTCATTCTTATCTTTGGCATATGAAGATCTTTTTGTATTTAGCACATATTTCTTACTTTTTTAAAAAAGACCGCATGCCTTGCTAGTGTAGATGAACCATAATTTATTCATTTTCCGTAATTTATTTTACCATTTTCTATTGACAGATATTTAGGTTGTTTTTAGCCTTCTACAAACACTGCTGTAATGAACAATACATATATAAGTCTTTGCATTAGTTAGTATCTATACAGAATGTATTTTCAAAGTGTGACTGTAAGATTGAGACTGAAGTTATGAAAAGTTAAAACTATTTCAATCCCATGTTGGCTTTATTTATAATAGAATTTAACTTATTTCTTGGGCTTGTGGAAGGGGAAAGGAGCTCTTAATTACTTTGTATTCTTTATCCATCTCTCCATTTAAAAAATATTGCAAATTATTTTATAAGGTACTTAAAAACATTTGAGTGTCAGGTGATTAATTTTATTTGTATTGGTAAAAGTAGAAATATTGTGGTTTGAAGACTGGTACTGTCATATAGAAGCATTTATATTTGATAATAGTTAAATGGCTACATCTTAAGTAGGTTGATTGTTTCAGAATTTTATGACCAGTATCAATTAAAAGCATTGTGTATAGTTTAAATTCTTGCCCTGCATAAGTCGGCTACTATATTATTAGTCAGGAAAGAAGTAAATAATCTACCTCCTTTTTTCCTTTACCTTCCACATCCTAATCTATACATAATAAAATAAACCTCTATGGAGTTTGAGATCCAAAAATCCTTTTGCAAACTAGAGTGCTATTTGATGGATTACTTTCTCAAGGCAGGAAGGAGGTACAGATTCAATCTTTATTCTGCAAAGTTTTTGTAAACAGAATAAAGGAGGCTTAGGTTTGATGTTATATAGGTTACTTGTGGCCAGGAGGAGGTTCAGGATTCTTTGCCTTTTTGAAATGAGAGAGACACTAGAGAGAAAAAAAAAAAATTACATACTGAAGGGCTATAGTTTGATGAAGTCGGAACTCATGAGTGGCAGCTTCCCTGGCTTGTGCCCAGGGTCTATTTTGAGACCTTGTCAAAGCTTGCCTGACAGAACCTACCACATAACCATAATCTGGCCTGGTCCTCTTGCAAGTCAGGAAGGCCTGCGGTTTAGGATCAGTGGCAAGCACAGAAGGGGGAGTTATAAAGGACATTTTGCCTTCAGAAGATTAAGGCTAGGTTTTGGGGTGAACAACTACTTAGCCCGTATATCCGAGGATCCAAGTTTTTAGTGCTACCTCCTCCTCCCCTGCTTCTTCCTCTTATTAAGGAAAGCTAAGGAATAAAGGTTTTGTTTGTTTGTGTGTTTGTTTTGAGACAGGGTCTCACTCTGATGCCCACGCTGGAGTCCAGTGGTATGAACACAGATCACTGCAGCCTCGACTTCCTGGGCTCGGGTGATTCTCCCACCTCAGCCTCCCAAGTAGCTGAGACTACATGCATACATCATCACACAGGGCCAATTTTTGTATTTTTTGTAGAAACGGGGTGTCCGCATGTTGCCCACGCTGGTCTCTAACTCCTGGGCTCACATCGTTCACCCACCTTGGCCTCCCAAATTGCTGGGATTACAAGCATGAGCCACTGCGCCCGTCCAGGAGGAAAGTTTTTAGAAAAAGGTGCACAAGAAAGAGCATAGGATTGTGCCAGCATTGATGTTATCTTCTGGTTATATGAGAGTGTTTGCCAAGAATCGGTCAAATGTTTTACATTAGGGAAAAAGCATTATTGTTACTGGCATAGGGAGGGCCCCAGTTAAAATAGCAGTCCAATTCAGAGACCTTCGTATTTGTCGTTAAGATCAAAAGGACTCTTGGAATAATGGACTATGCTACAGGATTATTTTAAGTTCAGATAGATAAATTAGCTTCTTCCCAAATTCTCATTCTGCTTTTCCTGTGGTACTATATAGTATCATGAAGTTATATCTTTAAACTCTTAGTTTGTACTATGTGGTGTCTTATGAAAACCTTGATTTGTTTATACTTAGTGAATGAAACACTTGGGTTTAAAGTTCTTTAACTGATGTCACTTCTTAGGCTAGAAAGCTGTTGAAAGAACTTAGTGTTCCACCCTTAGACCAAGGTTCATGTCACCATATTTAACAGCAGCTTTGTATTACGGTCAAGATTGTTTGAAGAATTCAGCATACAAACTTAATTTACAGATGCAAGCCTGCAGATGGACCTCCCCACCCCCACTTTTTTGCTTTAGATTAGGTTGTGACTGGAGGAAATTTAGTTTTCCTTTGCCTTCAGTTATTTGCAGCTGTTCACATTTATGATGATGAGAATGATGATGATGATAATGTATTTAGGATTCAGTGTGAGGAGAAAAAATAAACTAGTTTTTCTTTCTTCCTTATCAGTTTATTCCCATTATCTTATTTTCCCTTCTCTGTCTCTGCCTTCCTTTCCTCCTCGGGAAAAAAAAGAAAAAGAAAAGAAATAAAAAGCAGCAGTGAAAGAAAGTGGTAAAGAGCTGGGAAAAGCCTTGGAATACATACCAGGGTGCTTTCTCAGAGGTGGAATATAAACACCTTCATTAAAGAATCATGGATTATCTTTTTCCATTGTTTTCATTTTGAACCCTGTATATCTTAGTGTTCCTTCATTACCACATTTTAACTACTTTTGATATAACAGATATCTTTACTGCTTTAGGGAAGCAAATTTAATTTTTATGTTACTGTTCTGAGCATGTTGTTCCTTACATGCCCACTTTCCTAAGTAGAAATATATTAACAGCTAGAAGAAATCTTTTGGCTTTCTGTTTTGTAAGTTAGAGTATACCGTACTGTATGCAGAGGATTAGGATGTTAAAATATTTATTTCCCTGTTAAATGGCTTAAATCATGAACAAACTGAATATATAGCATTGCTTTTTTTAAAAAGTGAGTATCCCAGTTAAGTGACCTAAGGATTATAGGACTAAATGTAGAAAAAAATTCAGCTTTAGATTAGATGTTTTTTCCCTTGTCACAGATAATGCTGTATCTAGGTGAACAGTCAAGGAAATGAGAGGGCATTGTTCTTGTCTTGCCAGATTCATCCTTTGCAATCAAATAAAGTTTGTTTTGTTTTTAAAATTGTGGTACAATATAGATAACATAAAATTTACTCTGTTGACCTTTTTTAAAAATATTTTTATTATGGTAAAATACAGTCATTTGTTGCTTAATGACAGGAATATGTTCTGGGAAATGCATCATTAGGTAATTTTGTCAAGCAAACATCATAGAGTATACTTACACTAACCTGGACAGTATAGCCTACTACACACCTAGACTATATGGTATAGTCTGTGGTTCCTGGGCCATAAACTTGTGCAGCATGTCACTGTACTGAATACTATAACTGTAGACAATTATAACACAGTGGTAAATTTTCGTGTATCTAAACATAGAAAAGATACAGTTAAAATATGATATAAAAGATTAGAAAATAGGCCAGGCATGGTGGTGTGCACCTGTAATTCCAGGTACTCAGGCTGAGGTAGGAGGATCACTTGAGATCAGGAGTTCTAGGCTGTAGTGTGCTATGAGCACATCTATGAATAGGCACTGCGTTCCAGCCTGGGCAACATAGTGAGGCCCCATCTCTTAAAAGGGCACACGTGTATAGGACAGCTCCATTATAATCTTATGGGACCACTGTAATATGTGTAATCCATTGTTGACTGGAACATCCTTATGCAGCACATGACTGTGTACATAACTTAAAATTTATCATTTAAACCATTTTTAAGTGTACAATTCGGTGGTATAAAGTACATTTACATTATTGTGTAACTATCACCTCTATCCATCTCCCTAACTTTTTCATCATCCTAAACAAGCTCTGCCCATTAAACAATATCACCTCATGCCCATAGCCCTTGGTAACCATTGTTCTACTTTTTGACTCTATGAATTTGTGTACTCCAGGTACCTCGTATAAATGGAATTATGTAATATTTGTCTTTGTGTCTGGCTCATTTCTCTTAGCATGATGTCTTCAAGATTCATCCATGTCATAGCATGTATCAGAATTTCATTTGTTTTAAGGCTGAAAAATATTCCTTCGTATGTTTATACCATATTGTTTAATCATCTTTTGATAGATGGGTTGTTTCCATCTTTCTGCTTTTGGGAATAGTGCCACCATGAATATGAGTATGCAAATGTCTGTTTGAGTGCCACATTCAATTCTTTTGTGTATGTACCCAGAAGTGGAATTGCTAGTAATTTGATAATTACCAAATTTCATTTGGTAATTCTATGCTTAATATTTTGAGAAACCACCATACTATTTTCCACAGTGGCTATACCATTTTACATTACCACCAGCAATGCACAAGGGTTCCAGTTTCTCCACATCCTTGCCAACATTTACTATTTTCTGTTTTCTTATTGATTGATTTTTATTTATGTTGAGCCAGGGTCTCACTCTGTCACCAAGACTGGAATGCAATGGCCCGACCACAGCTCACTGTAGCCTTGACCTCCCGGGCTTAAGTGTTCCTTCCCACCTCAGTCTCTCGAGTAGCTGGGAGTACAGGTGTGCACTGCCATGCCTGGCTAATTTTTGTATATTTTGTAGAGATGAGGTCTCTCCATTAGCCCAGGAGGGTCTCAAACTCCTGAGCTCCGCCAGCCTTGGCCTCCCAAAGTGCTGGGATTACAGGTGTGAGCCATTGTTCCTGGTCCCGTTTTCTTTTTTTTTTCTTTTTTCTTTCTTTCTTTTTTTTTTTTTTGAGACAGAGTGTTGCTCTGTTGCCTAGGCTAGAGTGCAGTGGCGCGATCTCGGCTCACTGCAACCTCTCCCTCCTGGGTTTAAGCGATTCTCCTGCCTTAGCCTCCCAAGTAGCTGGGACTATGGGCACCCGCCACCACGCCCGGCTAATTTTCGTATTTTCAGTAGAGACGGGGTTTCGCCCTATTGGCCAGGCTGGTCTCGAACTCCTGACTTTGTGATCTGCCCGCCTCGGCCTCCCAAAGTGCTGGGATTACAGGCGTGAGCCACTGCACCCGGCCTGCTTGTGCCTGGCCCTGTTTTCTAACACAAAAAAATCGATTATTTTTAAAATAAAATCTCTAATAGGGTGGTATTTCACTGTGGTTTTGATTTGTATTTCCCTGGTGATGGGTGACATTGTGCATCTTTTCTTTTTCTCTTCTTTTCTTTCTTTCTTTCTTTTTTTTTTTTTTTTGGAGACAAGATTTTGCTTTGGCACCCAGGCTGGAGTGTAGTGTCACAATCATGCCTCACTGCAGCCTCGACCTCCTGGGCTAAAATGATCCTCCCACCTCAGCCTCTCCAGTAGCTGGGACCACAGGCATGTACCACCATGTTCAGCTGATTTTCTTTTCTCCTTCTGTTTCTTTTTTTTTTGAGACAGAGTTTCGCCCTTGTTGCCCAGGCTGGAGTGCAATGGCGCTATCTCTGCTCACTGCAACCTCTGCCTCCCAGGTTGAAGCGATTCTGCCTCAGCCTCCCAAGTAGCTGGGATTACAGGCATGCGCCACCATGTCCAGCTAATTTTGTATTTACAGTAGAGATGGGGTTTCTCCATGTTGACCAGGCTGGTCTCGAACTCCCAACCTCAGGTGATCCGCCCACCTCAGCCTCCCAAAGTGCTGGGATTACAGGCATGAGCCACTGTGCCTTGCCTCTTTTTTTTTATATTTTGTAGAGACATGTTGCCCAGGCTGGTCTCCAACTCTGGGTTCAAGCAACGTCCAGGCTGGTCTCCAACTCCTGGGCTCGAGCAATACTCCTGCCTCAGCCTCCCAAAGTGCTGGGATTACGTATGTTGAGCCATCATGCCCGGCTGAGCATCTTTTCATGTGACCATTTTTGTATCTTCTTTGAAGAAATGTCTACTTATGTCTTTTATCTTTTTAATTGGGTTTTTGTTGTTGCTTAGTTGTAGGAGTTCTTTATATCAATCCTTTATCAGCTATGTGATTTGCAAATTTTTTTTTATTCCGTGGTTTGCCTTTTTACTTTTTGATAGTGTGCTTTGATGTACACAGTTTTGTTTTTATTTTATTTTATTTTATTTTATGTTATGTTATTTTAAGATGGAGTCTTGCTCTGCCCAGGCTGGAGTGCAGTGGCCCAATCTCGGCTCACTGCAACCTCCGCCTCCTGGGTTCAAGCTATTCTCCTGCCTCAGTCTCCTGAATAGCTGGGATTACAGGCATGCGCCACCATGCCTGGCTAATTTTTGTATTTTTAGTAGAGACGGGTTTTCACCATGTTGGCCAGGCTGGCCTTGAACTCCTGACCTCGTGATCTGCCTGCCTTCCAAAGTGCTGGGATTCCAGATGTGAGCCACCGCGCCCTGCCCAGAGTTTTTAATTTTGATGAAATCCAACTTACCTTTTCTTTTGTTGCTTCTGCTTTTGGTATTATGTCCAAGAAATCATTGCCAAATTCAATATCATGAAGTTTTTCCCATATATTTTCTCCTACGAGTTTTATGGTTTTAGCTCATTTGTTTAGGTCTTTGATCCATTTTGAGTTTTTTCTTCTTTCTTTCTTTCTCTTTCTTTCTTTCTTTCTTTCTTTCTTTCTTTCTTTCTTTCTTTCTTTCTTTCTTTCTTTCTCTTTCTTTCTCTTTTCTTTTCTTTTCTTTTCTTTTTTTTGTGACAGAGTTTCTCTCTTGTTGCCCGGGCTAGAGTGCAATGGTGTAATCTCGGGCTCACTGCAACCTCCACCACCTCCTGGGTTCGAGCAATTCTCTGGCCTCAGCCTCCCGAGTAGATGGGATTACAGGCACCTGCCACCACGCCCAGCTAATTTTTGTATTTTTAGTAGAGACAGGGTTTCACTGGTCAGGCTGGTCTTGAACTCTTGACCTCAGGTGATCCGCCTGCCTTGGCCTCCCAAAGTGCTGGGATTATAGGCGTTAGCCACCATGCCTGACCCCTGAGTTAACTTTTCTATATGGTATAAGGCAGTGGTCCCCAACCTTTTTGGCACCAGGATTCAGTTTTGTGGAAAGCAATTTTTCCATGGACGGGGGTGGGGTGGGTGGGGGGGTTGGTTTCGGGATGAAACCATTTCATCTCAGATGATCATCAGGCATTAGATTCTCATAAGGAACGCACAACCTAGATCCCTCACATGCACAGTTCATTTTTTTTTGTTTTTTTGTTTTTTTTTTTGAGACAGAGTCTCGCTCTGTCACCCAGGCTGGAGTGCAGTGGTGCAGTCTCGGCTCACTGGAAGCTCCGCCTCCCAGGTTCACGCCATTCTCCTGCCTCAGCCTCCCAAGTAGCTGGAACTATAGGCGCTCACCACCACGCCTGGCTAATTTTTTGTATTTTTAGTAGAGATGGGGTTTCACCATGTTAGCCAGGATGGTCTCGATCTCCCGACCTCGTGATCTGCCAGCCTCGGCCTCCCAAAGTGCTGGGATTACAGGCGTCAGCCACCGCACCAGGCTGGAAGACAGTCTTATATAATGTAACATAGTTATGGGAGTAGCATCCTGTATAACCTTTGCCATATTCTGTTGGTTAGAAGTAAGTCACAGGACCCACCTACATTCATGGGGGAAGTAATTACACAAAGGTGTGAACAGTAGGAAGGGCGATTAGGGTGGGGAACCACCTTAGAATTTGTCTACCATAACTGATTACAAAATAGCATGTTTTAGGAACTTTTTTTTTTTTTTTTGAGACGGAGTCTTTTTCTGTCATCCAGGCTGGAGTGCAGTGGCATGATCTTGGCTCACTGCAACCTCTGCCTCCCACATTCAAGCAATTTTCCCGCCTCTGCCTCCCATGTGGCTGAGATTACAGGCGCCTGCCACCATGCATGCCTGGCTAATTTTTGTATTTTTAGTAGAGATGGGTTTCACCATGTTGGTCAGGCTGATCTCGAACTCCTGACCTCAGGTGATCTGCCCACTTCAGCCTTCCAAAGTGCTGGAATTACAGGCATGAGCCGCCATGCCCTGCCATATTAACCAATTTTTGTTTAAAAAATAATGTTATTAAAATAGGAGTATCTTCGGATGGTGGGACTTACTGGTGGTTTTATTGTTATTTTGTATTTCTTCACTATTTCATCCCACTTTCCCTCCCTGCAACATTCCAATTTTGAAATTTTAAATCAATAGTTGGTGTTTTCATTATAATGAAATAAATATTGTTTACTGATCAGCCATGTGGTATATCATACTTGTTTCCTTTCTTGTTTAACTTTGTTTTTTCAGGGAGTTAAAATTTGCCTTTTACATTTACATAATTTTCTGTTTACCTGTTGCTTTCCCCCTAAATGCGCCAACAGATTTTTCAAGAGTCTTCATCTATCTATGTATCTATCCATCCATCCATTCTAGCTTATAACATCAATTTATAAGCTATAAAACGAATTTATTTTGCATAAAATTAGTTGTGAACTATAGAGAAATATAAAACAAAAATACAGTTTTAGGAAGAAGAATACATGAACACCTGTGGTCTCACTACCTAGGTCAAGAAATTACATGTTACATTTATCCTAGAAGTTTCCTCAAGATATCCTTTAATGGCACCCCCTCCCTTCCAGGAAATCACAAGCCTATTTTAACATATTAGTCATTCTCTTGGGACCATTCTCTGCTCAAGCCTGCAATATCCTCCATGTCCATACATGTATTTTTGGCCAAAATTTTTAATTTTGAAAAACCAAAAAGCTCTACTACCTCTCTAAGTCTGTTAGTCAGGATAGGCTGAACTACTTTAATGAATAATTACCAAATCAGTGGTTTTTAACACAAAATTTATTTCTCACTCACATCTTTGCTGTGAGTTGAAAAGCAGTGACAGAGTGGTGGTCTGTTCCACAGAGTCATTGAGGGACTCAGGCTGCTTTCAGCTAGTGATTCTGCCACCCACTGGGGCCTCAGAGACTTTGAATTTCCTGCATCTGGCTGGCAGATGCGAGGACAAAGAGAGGGACTGTGGTAGATTGCATGGAAAGTTTGATGGGCCAGGCCAGGATGTGGTATACATCAGTTTTGTCCGCATTCCACTGGCTAGAACTGAGTCAAATGGCTACACTTAACTGCAAGGAAGGAAAGGGAAAACGCCTTGGTCAACAATGAGCCAATCTCTGCCATGGTATGTATCCCTAAGAAATATATCATTTTGTTTTGGAAAACTGAATAGCAAGCATCAACTGAGGCTGTGAAAGGAAAGGTACATACTGCTGCTATTAGATGAAAGCTCTCAGAAGATAAGCTGAAAAGAGTCTTCCTTGATCTTTTTTGGATAAGTCATTGGGAAAGTTTGTTATTGAGTCTGGAGAAACACAGGCTCCCCACAGTCAGGGAATCTGGCAAAACTAAAGTGTTTACAAGATACTACGGTAAATATCTAGAAGAAATGTGATTGGGAGAGTAGATTGCTCTATGTGGTTTTGCTTCTAAGCTAAGCTTATCACGCTTTAGCTCTCAAGAATAAGGAAAAGCAAAACATGTCTGTGCTGTGAAATAAGTCTTCAGCCCATCTAGGCTCCAGGAACTTTATCAACACGGGGTCAAGACAAACTAAATTCCAATGAAAACCTGGACCAGGCACATCTCATGTTAAATGGATGTGCCCCAAAGGCTGTGGGGATTTTGGTAATGACAGTCCTTCATTATGTCTCTTGAGTCATATTGCTCCAATCTGTAGCTTTCTTTCTGAGATACACCTATCATTCTTCTGGAGGTTCCCTTTTGCCCCTCTTCTGTGTTTGATTTATTTCCTGTATGCTAAGTTTCCCTCTCTGTTGGTTTTTCAGTTTTACTTGCTGAAGCCTATCTTCTAGTAGCTTATTGACAAAGAGTGTAAAAGAGGTAAATTTTTGAGACCTTTCATGTCTGAAAATGCCTTTAATAATCAAGTATGAAAAAGAGGGATTTGACTGGTATAGGCTACTTATAGATTGTCTATAATTTTCCTTCAAGAGTTTGAAGGCATCACTCTTATCATCTTCTTGTTTCCAGAATTACTTTTGAAAGTCTTGAAGCCATTCTTAATCTTTTATGTGTGGCCTGACTTTCCTACCCTGTGGAAGCTTGTAAAGTCATCTTTGTTCTCATTGTTTAAAATTCACTAAGATATACCTTGGTGTGAACTCAGGACTTGTGTTGAACACTCTGGGCCCTTTTAGTCTGGCACCTCATGTTCTTAACTTCTGGGAAGTTATTTTATTAATAATTTATTTTTGTTTTCTCTCTCTCTCTCTTCTTTTTTTTTTTTTTTTTTTTTTGAGACAGGGTCTCACTTTGTCACCCAGGCTGGAGTACAGTAGCATCAACATGACTCACTACAACCTCGACCTCCTGGGCTCAAGCGATGCTCCTGCCTCAGTCCCCACCACGCCTAGCTAATATTTGTAGTTTTTGATAGAGATGAGAGGAGGTTTTGCCATGTTGTCCAGGCTCGAACTCCTGAGCTCAAGGGATCCACCTGCCTTGGTCTCCCAAAATGTTGGGATTACAGACATGAACCACCGCACCCAGCCTGTTTTCTCTTTCTCCAGTTATTTGAACGTTAGTCCCTATGGACTGATACTTTAACCTTATATATTTTTCTTTCTTATTTTCTACCTCTCTCTCTTTTTTTTTTTTTTCTGTTTTCTGTAAGACTTCTTGAACTTTATTTCCCAACCTGAGTTTTGTAAAACTAATTTTTTTATTGAGGTACTACTCGTGTGTCATAAAATTTACCCCTTTAAAGTAGTGACCTTTTCAGTGGTTTTTTAGTGTAGTCACAAAGTTGTGCAGCCATCAGCCCTAATTCCAGAAGGTTTTCATTACCCCTACAAGGAAACTTCATACCATAGCAGTCACTCTCCATTTCCTCTTTACCCGAGACTTTGTGGAAAGCACTAGTCTGTTATACTTTCTGTCCCTATGGATTTACCTATTCTGGACATTTTACATAAATGAAGTTATTCAATATGTAATCTTTGTGTCTGGCTTTTATCACTTCTCATGTTTTCATGATTCAACCTTGTTGTATGTAGCACGAGTCAATACTTTATTCCTTTTTTTTTCTTTCTTTCTTGAAACAGTCTTGCTTTTTGCCCAGGCTGGACGGAGTGCAGTGATGCGATCTTGGCTCACTGTAACCTCTGCCTCCTGGGTTCAAGTGATTCTCATGCCTCAGCCTCCAAGTAACTGGGATTACAGATGTGTCCCACCGTGCCTGGCTAATCTTTGCTTTTTTTTTTTTTTTTTTTTAGTAGATGGGGTTTCACCATGTTGACCAGGCTGGTCTCCAATTCTTGACCTCAAGTGATCCACCTGCTTTGGCCTTCCAAAGTGCTGGGATTACAGGCGTGAGCCATCATGTCAGGCCCAATATATTTGTTTTTATGGCTAGGTAATATTCCATTTTATGGATATGCCGCATTTGCTTATCCATTCATCAGCTGATGGACATTGGAATTGTTTTCACTTTTGGCTGTTAGGAGTAGTGCTACTGTGAATATTCCGTTACAAGTTTTTGTGTGGGCATAAGTTTTCAATTCTCTTGAGTATAGAGTGGAATTGATTATTTCTGTTGTGTTTTTAATTTCTACTGTCATGTTTTAATTTCCAAGATCTTGTATTCTCTGAATTTTTTTTTCTTTTTTTTTTTGAGACAGAGTTTCACTCCTGTTGCCCAGGCTTGAGTGCAATGGCGTGATCTCGGCTCACTGTAACCTCTGCCTCCTGGGTTAAAGTGATTCTACTGCCTCAGCCTCCTGAGTAGCTGGGATTACAGGCATGTACCACCACGCCCAGCTAATTTTGTATTTTTAGTAGAGATAGGGTTTCACCATGTTGGTCAGGCTGGTCTTGAACTCCTGACCTCAGGTGATCCGCCTGCGTCAGCCTCCCAAAGTGTTGGGATTACAGGTGTGAGACACTGCGCCCGACCCTGTTCTCTGAATATTTTAATAGCCCCTTGTTCTTGTTTCATGGCTATAATTTGCCTTAATTTTCTGAAGATATTAATGATGGTTATTTTTGAAGTTTTCTTCTCCCTGCGTAGTTTATTTTCACTAAGTTATTCTTCTGAGTTAGTGGGTTTTCACAGACTTCTTGGTTTGAAAGTAGGTGGGGTTGGTCAATTTTGACCTCCCTCGAAAAGGGGTATATATTTTGGTAGCAGGATGGGTGATTTAAAGGGGGCTGAAGCAGTCCCACATTTCAAAATGCATACTTTCACCTAAGCCCACACTTCCTACTCCCTCCCTGTTCCCATTGCTTACCCTTCCCTTCCCCAGAGCCCCTTTGTCTTCTAGAACTTCTGGTATCCTGGAGAATAGGAGATGAAGTTGAAGCTGAGGTAATAGCCTAGCAATGGAAAGGGGACCTGGAGGTCTAACTACTTAATTAAAGACTTTTAAGTGAATTTTTTTTTTTTTTTTTTTTTTTTTTTTTTTGCGCATAGGGCTTACTCATTGGGCTCAAGCAATCCTCCTGCCTCAGCCCTGCAAGTAGCTGGGACTACAGGTGTGAGCCACTATACCTGGCTAATTTTTGTGTCAAAACCCCAGCTGCCTTTTTTTCCTCCCCTTCTTTTTCTTTCCTTTTTTTTTTTTTTCTTCCAGAAATTGAGAAACTCAGGCTGGGTGCAGTGGCTCACGCCTGTAATCCCAGCACTTTGGGAGGTGGAGGCAGGTGGATCACCTGATGTCAGGAGTTTGAGAACAGCCTGGCCAACGTGGTGAAACCCCATCTCTATTAAAAATACAAAAATTAGCCAGGCGTGGTGGCACATGCCTGTAATCCCAGGTATTCAGGAGGCTGAGGTAGGAGAATTGCTTGAGTCAGGGAGAAGGAGGTTACACTGAGCTGAGATCGCACCACTGCACTCCAACCTGGCCAGCAGCGAGACTCTGTCAAAAAAAACAAAAAAGAGAAAGTAACAAACTCATTCTAAAATTTATATGGGAATGTAAAGGGCCCAGAATAGCCAAACAGTGTTAAAGAACAAAAAATTTGGAGGACTCACTTTTTCCAATTAAAAAATTTACTGCAAAGCTATGTGAATCAAGATGGTGTGATACTGGCATAGGATAGACATTTAGCTCAATGAAATAGAATTAAGTATCCAGAAAGTAAACCCTTACTTTTATGGTCAGTTGATTTTTGACAAGGGTGGCAAGGTAATTCAGTGGGAGAAACAATGGTCTTTTCAACAAATGATGCTGGGACAAATAGATATCCATGTGCAAAAGTGTGAAGTTGGATCCCTGTCTTATACCATATATGAAAATGAACTGAAAATGGATCATGGACCTAAATATAAGAGGTAAAACTGAAACTCTTAGAAGAAAATGTAAAAATAAATCTTCATGGCCTTGAGGTAGGTTTCTTGGATATGACATCAAAAGAAGCAACAAAAGAAAAAAATGGATAAATTGGACTTCTTCAAAATAAAAACTTTTGTGCTTCAGAGTACCTTCTCTCTGGTCTCTTTACTTTTATTTTCCCAGTATTCTCTTTTGCCTACTGAGAAGGCAGTGACAGTGCTATATAAATAGTGCCTTGCAAATTCTCAGTAAATATTTGTTGAAAAGGGAAAAATTAAAGGTATGTGATAGGTTTTACTTTATGAAAATTTCTAGCTTTAGAGCCTCCTTCATATTAATTGCATTTTTTTAATATTGAAAAATTATATCCTTGTTACATGTGTTCCCATTTCCCTTACTTTTTGTTTCATCTTGATTCTTTGGTTCTTTGCTACCTAGGCTTATATTGTTCTTTCTAATACTTCTAGTCTTTTCCTGTTTTCTGCTTTATTTCATACTTTTTTTTTTTTTTGAGAGGAGTCTTGCTCTGTTACCCAGGCTGGAGTGCAGTGATGCGACCTTGGCTCACTGCAACCTCTGCCTCCCAGGATCAAGCAATTCTCCTGCCTCAGCCTCCCAAGTAACTGGGATTACAGGCATGTGCCACCATGCCTGGCTATTTTTTGTATTTTTAGTAGAGATGGGGTTCCACCATGTTGGCCAAGCTGGTCTCAAACTCCTGACCTCAAGCGATCCACCTGCCTTGACCTCCCAAAGTGCTGGGATTACAGGCATGAGCCACCGTGCCTGGCCTGTTTCACACTTTTAAGTCTTTCCTACTCTCAGCAATATGTAATTGTTGGTCTCCCTTTCTTTTATACTCTGATTGTATGTCCATACATCTCTGAGATACTTTAAAAGGTATCAAGAAAGGAGGCTATTTGAATGGTACTAGAAAGTGGTTTGCTTCTCAGAAAATACGGATAAGTGAATTGTTTAGTCTATCTTCCTAATTTGGGTTCTGCACAGTTGATGAAATAGTATAAAGATTTATGTCCAACATATAGCCCATTAATGTTCATTTATAGAATAACATAACTACCAAGTAAAGAAATGCAACCACTGGCATGTTATATGAAGGGAGGAAATGGAAAGATTATCAGTTGTGTTGGAGACATGAGGATAGTGGGTAGTCAAAATATGATACTTTAAAAATATTTTTGATAATTCTTAGGACAAATGACTATAAAAGTAGGAGAAATAATTATATAGGTTCTCTTCCTTTGTAAGCATTTCTCTTTATAAAGTATGAGTTGTAAGTTAACCATTATAGTTTCTAATGTTCTTCTGACATTTAGTTTGTGTTTAGCATTTGCCTTTCCTTGTTTTGCCAAGTTCTCCAGTTTTGCCTGTATATATTTTTTTCATTTTGTACTTTGCCTCAATTTCTGAATGTACCTTCTATATTCTTTCTGTAGGTTTTGCTAATGATTTATTCATTTTATGTAACGATCTCATTTAGATATTTGCAGGATTGATGTCTTTAACTGTAATCCCTCCCTCCTTCCTCTTTTCCCCTCTCTCTCCTCCCTCTCCTTCTTAATTGTCTTCCTCTCCCTTTACTTTCCTTGTTTTCCTCTTCTGGTTGGAGCCATTTTCTGCCTGCCCATAATCTTTATTTTATCTTACTTTTTTGAGACAAGGTCTCACTCTGTCATCCAGGCTGGAGTGCAGTGGTGTGATCAAGGCATACTGCATCCTCTACCTCCTGGGTTCAAGCAATCCTTCCACCTCAGCCTTCCAAGTAGTTGGGACTATAGGTGTGTGCCACCATGCCTGGTTAATTTTTGTGTTTTTTGTAGAGACAGGGTTTCTCCATGTTGCCCAGGCTGGTCTTGAACCCTTGGGCTCAAGTGATCCGCCTGCCTCAGCCTCCCAAAGTACTGGGATTACAGGCATGAGCCACAGTGACCTGCCATAATCTTTATTTTGTTTGTTTGTTTGTTTTGAGACGGGGTTGCACTCTTGTTGCCCAGGCTGGAGTCCAATGGTGCAATCTTGGCTCACTGCAACCTCTGCCTTCCAGGTTCCAGGAATTCTCCTGCCTCAGCCTCCCAAGTAGCTGGGATTACAGGCATGTGCCACCACGCCCAGCTAATTTTGTATTTTTAGTAGAGATAGGGTTTCTCCATGTTGGTCAGGCTGGTCTTGAACTCCCAACCTCAGGTGATGCGCCTGCCTTGGCCTCCCAGAGTGCTGGGATTACAGACATGAGCCACCACACCCCGCATAATCTTTATTTTTAATGTGTATGTAACTACTAGGTATTCTTCAGTGCTATGATTACCTCTGCCTTCCTTTTCTTTTCCACTCTAGATTTTTAATTGCAATTCCTAATTCCCATGCCTTTTTTTCACCTAGTCATCCACACTTCTTTTTTTTTTTTTTTTTTTTTTTTTTTTTTGATACTGAGTCTCGCTCTGTCGCCCAGGCTGGAGTGCAGTGGCGCAATCTAGGTTCACTGCAAGCTCCGCCTCCCAGGTTCACGCCATTCTCCTGCCTCAGCCTCCCGAGTAGCTGGGACTACAGGCGCCTGCCACCACGCCCGGCTAATTTTTTGTATTTTTAGTAGAGACGGGGGTTTCACTGTGTTAGCCAGGATGGTCTCGATCTCCTGACCTCATGATCTGCCAGCCTCAGCCTCCCAAAGTGCTGGGATTACAGGCATGAGCCACCGTGCCTGGCCCTAGTCATCCACATTTCTTAAGCAGTTACTCTTTCCCCAACATTTTATTATAAAAAATTAAAAAAAAAATTTTTTTTAAAGATAGAGTTTCACTTTGCTTTCTAGGCTGGTCTCAAACTCCTGGGCTCAAGCAACTTGCCTGCCTCGGCCTCGCAGAGTGCTGGGATTACAGGTGTGAGCCACCATGCTTGGCTGATGATAAAAAATTTTAAGCATAGCCCGAGCATGGTGGCTTTCGTCTGTAATCCTAGCACTTTGGGAAGCTGAGGCAGGTGGATTGCTCGAGCCCAGGGGTTCAAGATGAGCCTGGCTAACATGGTGTAGCCCTGTGTCTACCAAAAATACAAAAATTCGCCAAATGCAGTGGTGTACGCCTGTTGTACCAGGTACTTGGGAGGCTGAGGCAGGAGAATCGCCTGAGCCTGGGAGGCCGAGGTTGCAGTGAGCCAAGGTCGCACTATTGCACTCCAGCCTGGGAGACAGAGTGGGAGACCCTGTCTCCAAAAAAAAACTTTTTTTAAACATACAGAAAAATTGAAAGAGTTGTGCTGTGAACACTCATGTACCTACCATCTGGATTTCATCATTTTATCTTTTGTTGTTGCAGTTTAAAGTAGCAGATCTCAGTACACTTCAACCCTAAATATTTTAGCATGCACATGATTGGCTAGAGTTTAATATTTGTGTAGAGGACTTTTTTCTTTTGAGGTAAAATTTACATAGAACAATATGCAAATATTTTAAATAGAACATTTAATGATCTCTATCTTCTGTTTCAAGTCACTTGTGTTCTACTAAGAGGACTAGCATAACCATTGTAAGGCTGCACTCCCAAAACTTGGCAGTTTTAGAAGTAAACTTTGAATACAAAGTACCTTAAAAATTTCTCCTTTTTTGTTTTTATTGTATACATGTGCTAGACAGCAAAATGATTATAGTCAAGGCATTTATTTTTTCCAAATTGTTCTATACTATAGCAGAAACTCTTAGCATGGTTTAATGCTATTAGACAGTGCATGCTGGAGGAAATCGAGGATATTTTTGTTTAGTTAAAAGTATGAAAAGGATTGCTTTTTTTTTGTCAATTTCACAAGCTAAATATGCAAAATAGGTAGTTAATTCAAAATGCTTTAAATATTTATGGAGTGCTTTATAGTTTATTAAGTGCTTGGATTTTTCTTAATTCATTTGAGCTTCACATTAACCATGTTATATCAGTGAAACTGATAAAGAGATGGAGGCTTAGAAAGTGGGGAGGGTAACACAGGAAGTGGTAGTGCAATCAGTTGAACTTGGATCTTCTCATTTTAAGTTTTGTCAAGTGGCAACAACTGCAGTCACACTAAGTCTTTAGTTCAGGGACAATTCCATATACTGGGATTTGTTTATGAATAACTATGAAATGTTTTCTTGTGCAGACTAGCGTTCACTGTAATGGCAGCTGTGATGCAAAGACATACTAGGACAATATTTTGAATTCTCCATGATGCAATACTTAGATATAAAAGAACTATCTATCAGGATCCAGATTAGGCACAGAACTTTCTAAGTGTCCTGTATTTAGAATGTGACATACTGATGCTACATGCACATTCTGTTCTTACAAAAGTGGACAATATCATGATTGAAGTGCCACTTTTACTGTGGCAAAATGCCTATTGTTTCAGACGTATATTATATGAGAAGCTCATTGGAGAAGACAAAGCCTTATTGAAATATCTGTCTGTTTTGGAAGGTTTATATTCTGCAAGATCCTGAAGATACTTTCCTTCTTTTCTGTAAGTAAAATATGTCATGACAAAACCATCTGGGGAAAATCAACTTGACACTATGTGGGTAAAGGACTTGACAAAAATACAGGCAGTTTTGTTCTTACCAATTGAGGAAAAGGTTTAGTTCTTTAAGTTGTTTGATACCACCAAGGAAACACTGGAAGGAGTTAATGTGCTCCTGAAGAAAAGGGTTCTTGAGGAAACCTTAGGGTAGAAATTTACTGCAAGTCCTTTAGGATCAGAAACAAAATTATTTAAGGTTTCCTTTGAGTCTACATTCTCAGTTTTGTCATTTTGTTGAAAAGTTTCCCACTGGCTATGTTAAGAATCGTATTCCTTTCAAGGTTTCCTCCATCACTGATACAGAATGACCTGGAGTTACTAGAAAATAGATTGCATGAGAACGGAAAAACCTTTCATCTTTCCTTCTTTTTTTTCTTTTTTGAGACAGGGTCTCCCTCTGTCACCCAGGCTGGAGTGCAGTGGTATTATCACGGCTCACCGTAACCTTGACCTCCCTTGGCTCACATAGTCCTCCCACCTCAGCCTCCCAAGTAGCTGGGACTACAGGTGTTCGTCAACATGTCTGGATAATTTTTTTTTTTTGTAAAGACAGAATTTCACCATGTTGCCTAGTCTGGTCATTTTTCTAATATTGGTAAGGAAATCTGCCTACAGGGTCCAAATAATACAGTTCTTTTAAAAGTACTAGGTTATCCTTTGAACTAGGTAGTCCTTGATCTGCATCATGTGAACTGAAAAAGGTAACTGGACCTGGCCAATCAGTCATATAAAAACCTAGGTGTTCTCTGTAGATATGACAAGAAGAATAAGGAAGATAGACAGGAAGTTCTTCCTATTTCCTGCTTATCCTGTGCTGCTTTTTCCTGTCATCTCTTTCTCAGGGCTGTCTATTCTGGAGCTTGTTGAAACCATTTTGTTTGGAAGCAATTTTAAGAAAGAATAATTTTTTACATAAATCTGTGGTCCAGGAATACTCTGGCAGGTCTAAGGCATAGGCATTGTTAGTTGAGAAGGAAAGAAAATGGATCATGGGGGTAGAGGAGAAAGAAAAGAAAGAAGTACATTCAAAAGAATGCTACCAGAAGTGGTTTCAGATTAGTGTCTCAGTAGTATGGCATATTATGTTTAATTTTGATGTGATCCAGTTGGGGACTAGTTTATTTTTTGAGCCTTAGATTGGAATGTTTTTATTTTTATTTATTTATTTTTTGAGATAGGGTCTCACTCTGTCACCCAGGCTGGAGTGCAGTGATCATGGCTCACTGCAGCGTTGACCTCCCAGGGTCAGTCAGTTCTTGCACCTCAGCCTCCCAAGTAGCTGGAACTACAGGCGTGTGCCACCATGCCTGGCTAATTTTTTTAAAATTTTTCTAGAGACAGGGTTTTGCCCAGGCTGGTCTCAAACTCCTATGCTCAAGCAGTTCTCCTGATTCAGCCTCCCAAAGTGCTGGGATTATTAGATGTGAGCCACCACGCCTGGTTTTAAAATGCATCTCTTTTTCCTTAATGCTATTGAAATTTTAGAGAATTAAGAAAAAATGCATCCATAATCCTATCTTCCTAAAAAAACCACTGTTAAACTATTGATATACTTCCAGCCAAATCTATTTTTATTCTCTAATGATTTTTATGTGTCTGGAATTAGAAAATGCTTACATTTTTGTTTCCTGCTTCTGTGAAATATCTTTCATTGTGTCCTTGGAAAGCTGACTGATGGACAAATATTGGATGATACCATAGTGCATTCACTAAATTGTCAATCTAGTCTGAAAAGGAACATTGCATTGCATGTTGCTTATTTTTAGTAGATGGCTAATATTTGCATGCACCACTACCATTTTTTTAAAAATTTCATTTCGGTCATGTGGCTCATGCCTGTAATCCTAGCACTTTGGAAGGCTGAGGCGGGCGGATCACCTGAGGTCAGGAGTTTGAGACCAGTCTGGCCAACATGGTGAAACCCCGTCTCTACTAAAATTACAAAATTAGCCAGGTATGGTGGCACACACATGTAGTCCCAGCTACTCGGGAGGCTGAGACAGGAGAATCACTTGAACCCGGGAGGCAAAGACTGCAGTGAGCCAAGATCATGTCACTGCAGTCCAGCCTGGGCAAGAAAGAGCGAGACTCCGTCTCAAAAAAAAAAAATTATTTCAATAGTTTTTGGAGTACAGATGGTTTTTGGTTATGTGGGTAAGTTCTTTAGTGGTGATTTCTGAGATTTTAGTGCACCTGTCACCCAAGCAGTTTATGGTGTACCCACTGTGTAGTATTTTACTCCTTACCCAGCCGTCCTTGCCCCCACCACCAAGTCCCCAAAGTCTATTATATCATTCTTATGCCTTTGTGTCTGTATATTTTAGCTCCCAATTATAAGTGAGATCATATGTTACTTCACTTACAGTAATGGCCTCCAGCTCCATCCAAGTCACTGCAAGAGACATTATTTCATTCATTTTTATGGCTGAGTAGTATTACATGGTGTATATATATCACATTTTCTTTATCTTCTTGTTGGTTGATGAGCACTTGTGTTTTTTCCGTATCTTTGCAATTGTGAATTGTTTTGCTATAAACGTGTGTGTGTATGTGTCTTTTTCATATAATAACTTCTTTTCCTTGGTAGAGACCTAGTAGTGGGATTGCTGAATCAAATGGTAGTTCTACTTTTAGTTCTTTAAGAAATCTTCCGGCCAGGCCTGGTGGCTCATGCCTGTAATCCCAGCACTTTGGGAGGCCGAGGCAGGCAGATCACCCGCCTCCTGAGGTCAGGAGTTCAAGACCAGCCTGGCCAACATGGCGAAACCCCGTTTCTACTAAAAATACATAAATTCGCTGGGCATGGTGGCATACGCCTGTAGTTCCAGCTACTTGGAAAGCTGAGGCAGGAGAATTGCTTGAACCCGGGAGGCGGAGGTTGCAGTGAGCTGAGATTGTACCACTGCACTCTAGCCTGAGTGACAGAGCGAGACTCCATCTCAACAAAAAAAAAAAAAGAAAAAAAAAAGAAATCTTCATATTGTTTTCCATAGTGGTTGTACTAGTTTACATTTCCACCAGCAATGTATACACTGTTACTATTAGGTAAGTGAATAATCTTTAAAATTATGCTGAAGATGATTAGAGAACTCTGAGAAAAGTTTTCTGTCCTTATCAGGAGTTGTTCTGATTTGTATCTGGGATATATCAGCTGCTACATTAAGAAGTACCTTTTGTCATGTTCCCTTTTTTTTTTTTGAGATGGAGTCTTGCTCTGTTGCCCAGGTTGGAGTGCAGTGGCACGATCTCGGTTCACTGCAATCTCCACCTCCTGGATTCAAGCGATTCTCCTCCCTCAGCCTCCCGAGTACCTGGGATTACAGACATGTGCCACCTCGCCCAGCTAATTTTTGTATTTTTAGTAGAGATGGGGTTTCGCCATGTTGGCCAGACTGGTCTTGAACTCCTGATCTCCTGTGATTTGCCCGCCTTGGCCTCCCAAAGTGTTGTATTACAGGCATGAGCCACCATGCCCAGCTGGTGTTTCCATTTTTAAATGAGTTCTTAATAATCATATCCAGATATATCTTCTCTAGTGAAGTAAAAGTAATAAACCATCATCAGTCTTTATTCTGGTGGACAGAATAACAAGCTAGCTCTGATGAATGAGAAATGGTGTCAGATAAGTTGGGAATGTCCTGAATCTTTATTGGAGAAAACTTTTTGGTGGAATAGTTCTGCTTTATTTAGCCGGAATCAACTAAATTCCAGTACATTAAAGTCACTTAGAATTTCAGTATAGCCAATTGTGTTAGGACAGACTTACTTGAGAATTTCTTTGTGATTCATACTGTAATGAAATTTTGCTGGTTTATTTTGTTAAAGCAAGTCAAAAATTTTTTAAGTTATGGAATATTTAGCTAAATGAGCTATACTTCTTAGCAATGTGTATAGAAGAAAAGAGGGCATGAAATTTGGGTTGCATTCTTTCATGGTAATCTTTAATCTCAAATACCATCTAACCAAAGGTTAGATGGTCTTTTTCATCCTTATTATTTAATCCTGGTGGATGGGTTTTTCTTCTTCCTTTTGTTAAAATAGGTCTAATAAGTAATAGTAACAGGTTCATAGATATATTCTTTTTTTTATATTTCGAGAAGGAGTTTCTCTCTTGTTGCCCAGGCTGGAGTGCAGTGGTGCAACCTCGGCTCACTGAAACCTCTGTCTCCCAGGTTCAAGCGATTCTCCTGCCCCAGCCTCCCAAGTAGCTGGGATTACAGGCATGCACCACCATGTCCTGCTAATTTTGTATTTTTAGTAGAGATGGGGTTTCACCATGTTGGTCAGGCTGGTCTTGAACTCCTGATCCCAGGTGATCCACCTGCTTTGGCCTTCCAAAGTGCTGGGATTACAGGCGTGAGCCACCGCGCCTGGCGATATATTCTTAATCATTTGACTATATCAGTTTTCTTCATCACCGTACCTTTAGCACCTCCTATAGTACCTGGTAACAACATGGACAGTGTTGGTTATTGTTAATTGCAGAGTAATAAACCTTCATTTTTTCTTTTATATGGTTGTGGGTTTTTTTTGTCTGTTTGTTTTTGTTTTTTTTTGAGGTGGAGTCTCTCTCTGTCACCCAGGCTGGAGTCCAGTGGCGTGATCTTGGCTGACTGCAACCTCCATCTCCTGGGTTTAGGTGACTCTTGTGCCTCAGCCACCATAGTAGCTGGGATTATAGGCATGCGCCACCATGCCTGGCTAATTTTTGAATTTTTAGTGGAGATGGGGTTTTACCATGTTGGCCAGGCTGGTCTCGAACTCCTGGCTTCAAGTGATCTGCCCACCTCAGCCTCCCCAAGTGCTGGGATTACAGGTGAGAGCCACCGTGCCTGACGTTGTCATGGTTTAATTGGAATTTTTCTTAAATTACACTAAAAAGCAAAGTTACTTTTGTAACTATAAGGCTTAGTAGTAAAACCTCTTGAACATTTTCTTCTAAAAGTTTAGGCTGAATAACTTCTGAAATGTTTTTCATTCTGGGATGGAAATTGGTTTTAGAAATAACTATAGTTATTTATTTATTTATTTATTTATTTTGAGACAGAGTCTTGCTCCGTCTCCCAAGCTGGAGTGCTGTGGCGCAATCTTGGCTCACTACAACCTCCGCCTCCTAGGTTCAAGTGATTTTCCTGCCTCAGCCTCTAGAGTAGCTGGGATTACAGACATGCACCACCCTGCTCGGCTAATTTTTGTATTTTTGATAGAGACAGGGTTTCACCATGTTGGCCAGGCTGCCCAGCTATAGTAATTTTAAATGGTTAAGTAGAATTTCTGCTGATGGCAGCTTTCTGAGGCTAATATTATAATACACACAGATTGCTGTGGGTAGCATAGTGAAAAGAAGTAGGAGTTTTAGTAATTAGTATAAAATTAAATATTCTAAAATTTATTGGAATAATTTGGTAGTGGGAAGAGGTATTTGGTGACTAATTTCTCTGTTAAAAGTGAATATATAAATGAGCATGAAAATTGCACAAAGAAATACCTTAAGTTATTATGTTTTTGTTTACTTCAGGGCTGAAAACACAGTTAAATCACTTTCAAAGTTAAAAGACTATTAAGAACACAAGATGGGGACTCCTGCTTCTGGAAGGAAAAGAACACCTGTGAAAGACCGATTTTCTGCAGAAGATGAAGCTTTGAGTAACATTGCCAGAGAGGTATGTTTGGTAAATCCCCTCTCAACACTGAGTTGCACAGATGTATTGTAAAAATGCCGATTTGACAGAGATATAGACGTTTACTCATTGAACTAGTTTCAGATGTTTATTATGAGCAAGATGTTATAGCTAGTCTCTAAAATAGTGTGTTAGAATAAAATATAGTTGGATATTATCAACAGAAATCAAATATAGAGATGAATCTCTGAACAACACATTTTATTTGAGACAGTAGAATTGTAATTTGGGCATACACACAGACTGCATTGGTCTTTGGTATGTCCAAAGAACAAAGAAAAGATTGAGGTTTTTATTAGAGAAATGTTATGCATTGTTTTGAAAGAAAATGCATTGGCACTAGCGAAGTTTTTGGGAGCTGGCATGCTCTGATTTGTGAGTGACTGTGGTAGGTAAAACTAGTCTTAGAGTTATAGCAGTTCGTTTCCGCAGCTACTAGGTAAAACTGATCTTAAGGTTATAGCAGGTCATTTCAGCAGCTGGCTTGCCAGATAATCCCTGGGCAGGTGCTTGTGCCCTAAGTGCTTTTCTTTTCCTTTTCTTCCTCCCTCATCTCATGACTGTAATTTAATTGGGTATGACAAGATAATTCCAATTTATATAATCAATTTTCACAATATCCAATGCATCCAAAATTAATTTTTCTTTATATTTTTATGGGTTACTTGAGTTCCATGTACTTGTTATAATGTATTGAAGTTTATAATTAATCTTTCGAATGTAAACTTAGGATAATTAGAATGTTGAAGATATGATGACTATATTATAGAAATACTCATTGGGCTATGCAGTTAATATGCTTCAGACGTGGTATGTAAATGTTGATGGAAACAATATTTCATGTCGGTTCAGATTCAGTGTTTTATTTTTTGAAACATTGCAGTGGAATTTTTATGTTTAATTCTGTTAGCTGGTAACAGAACTTCTGGGGCAATTTTGTTTCAGTTTGTTGTAACTCAGAAAAAAGAAAAAGGGAAGGGGCGTCACCTATTGAATCGCTGGCAACATTTCCTGCCGTATATTGGAAATTTAAGATGACTGCCAGCTGGGATTTCTTACTTAATTGCCAACTTTGTTTCAGACTCTATCTGCAACTGCAGACTGACCACAAACTAATATGGTATAAGAATTGCTTAGAGCATCATTAAATTATATTCTTTTGGTGAGAATTATTACCATATCACTTCCTCTTTGTTATTAGTAAATAACTTATTTAGGAATAGTGTATTTCCTTTTGACACATTACACACTTTTTTGATCCAGCTCATTGTTATGATTTTCCTTTTGGAAGCTGCTCAGTTAGCTTTTGAATTAGAAGTCAAATGCTGTAGGAGGCTATTTGTAGCAAAGGAAAGTTATTACCTAAAACCTGATAAGAAATTGTGATATTACTATAACAAAAATACATTAAAAATCAATGAGAGCGTTTGGGTTGATTCCATGTCTTTGCTGTTGTGAATAGTGCTCCAGTGAACGTACATGTGCAGGTATTTTTATAATAGAATGATTTATATTCCTTCAAGTAATGGGATTGCTGGGTCAAATGGTATTTCTGGTTCTAGGTCTTTGAGGAATCACCACACTGTCTTCTACAATGGTTGAACTAACTAACATTCTCACCAACAGTGTAGAAGTGCTCCTGTTTCTCCACAGCCTCGTCAGCATCTGTTGTTTCTTGACTTTTTAATAATCACCATTCTGACTGGCGTGAGATGGTTTCTCATTGTGGTTTTGATTTGCATTTCTCTAATCAGTGATGTTGAGCTTTTTTTCATGTTTGTTGGCTGCATACATTGCTTCTTTTGAGAAGTGTCTGTTCATGTCCTTTGCCCACTTTTTAATGGAGTTTTTTTTTTCTTGTAAATTTCTTTAAGTTCCTTGTAGATTCTGGATATTAGACCTTTGTCAAATGGATAGATTGCAAAAATTTTCTCCCATTTTGTAGCTTGTCTGTTCACTCTGATGATAGTTTCTTTTGCCTTACAGAAGCTCTTTAGTTTAATTAGATCCCATTTGTCAATTCTTACTTTTGTTGCGATTGCTTTTGAACATGAAATTTTTTGCCTGTGCTTATGTCCTTAATGACATTGCCTAGATTTTCTTCTAGGGTTTTTATAGTTTTGGGTTACATTTGAGTTACATCAACTCAAATGCCCATCAGTGATAGACTGGATAAAGAAAATGTGGTACATATACACCACGGAATATTGTGCAGCCATAAAAAGGAACTATATCATATCCTTTGCAGGGACATGGATGGAGCTGGAAGCCATTATCCTCAACAGACTAACACAGGAACAGAAAACCAAACACTGCATGTTCTCACTTATAAGTGGGAGCTGAACAATGAGAACACATGGACACAGGAAGAGGAACAACACACACTGGGGCCTGTGGAGAGGGAGCACAGTGGGGTGAGGGAGAGCATCAGGATAAATAGCTAATGCATGTGGGGCTAAATACCTAGGTGATAGGTTGATAGGTACAGCAAACCATCATGACACGTGTTTACCTATGTAACAAACCTGCAGGTCCTGCACATGTATCCCAGAACTTAAAAATCAGTGAGATATTTTTCAGTTAAAAGATTTAAAAATGAAAACGTAGATACGACTCTACAGTGAGTGATCTTAACTATTTGCACAAATGAAGCATTTTGGAAACAACATAATTGTAGTTGAAATTTGAAACTACCCAGAATGTTTCCTTTCAAAATTGGAGGGATTTACCCAGATTTCTGTAAGGGAGGAAAATGCCACCACCTTCTAGTCTCCTTTTGTGTTGTCACTAAGTATTTGAACTTTTTTTTTTAATGTGATGCTTTCTTTAAAAAATTGTATAGGATTCTAACATCCAGCACTTGCTGAGTGCTGTGTAGCAAACACTATTCTAAGCATTTTACATGCATTAATTCATTTAATCCTTATAAAATCTGCAGTCAGTTTTTTTATCTGCATTTTGCAGATGCGGAAACCATTGCACAGAAAAGTTAAGTAACTTCCCCAAGGTTACGTAGCTAGGAAATAGTAGAGCCAGGATTCAGACTCTGAAGCTTGGCTCCAGAGTCTGTGCATTTAACCTCTTACTATGCCAGATTGTTTCTCAATCAGTCTTCTCTAATTCCACCATTAATAGCTTATTTTTTGTTTTTCAGTAACTTTTCATGACTTTGAAAGCAGTTTCACATCTTGATTCTCACAAAAGTCTTGAGCTAAGTAGGATAGATATTATTACTAGCCATGTTTACAGCTGAGGAAACAGATGATGTTCAGATAGCTCTCTAAAATGTATCAGAAGCAAGGCTAACATTCACCCATTTGAAGTCATTGTTCATGTTCCAGGAGAGGTGGGCTTTGGAGACTTACAGGGATTTGGAGAAAAAAATTCAGATGGCACAATATCATTAACCTAAATTTGAAGACAGTACTAGCAACACCTTTTTTTCCCCCTCTCACAAGTATTTATATTAGTCCCCAAATTAGTATTTTTGGTTAAATGTATCATTGCAGATCCAAAGTTTTACTTTTTGTATACTGTTTATTGGGTTGTATAAAGTCCTCTCTCATTCCAAAAGAATATTTTTGCTGTCAAAAGGTCTCCGAGTAAATGGAAGATATAGTTGTTTGACATCAGAAAAAGATGAGTTAAAATTCCTAGAGTTTATCTACTACATGTTGGTGTTTATGCTCAGAAAAATTTAAATATTTGTCCTCAACTACCAAAAACTTAAAGTGGTTAAACATAATCATATTGTAAGATTTAATTAAAAATTTTTGTACTAAAGGGAAGTTGCTAGGAAATAGAGCAGTAATTTTTGTTAATTTGGAAACCATGGCAACACAGTAAATATTATGTCTCTTAATTTGTCTTTCAGTGTTTTTTTGGCATGAGTGTCATGGAAGAGTAAACAAAATTAAACACAGTGAACTCTGAGTCTTTGCTACCTGAGTTAGTCATTTTCTTTGAATGTTTTACTTTCTCAAATTTTGTATTTCAAATTTCTTGAAATTAAAGCATAGTCTGTAAAGGCCCAAATTGTACATTATCTCTCTTTTGTCCATGCCAGTTGCATAGGTTTTATGTTATGGAACATATGTGTGGCTGGCAATTCCAGACCTCATTGGCTCAGTTCAGTGCATTTCTGTCAAATTATGAATTGTAAATTTGCCTCCTTTAAAATAGCAGTTTTAGCACCATCAACACTGTGATACTAAAGTTTTAAAGCTAGAGGATTTTCTTCTTTTAAAGTCATTTGAGTGTGTTTTCGTGTACTACTGTAGTATTTTGTTTTGTTTTGTTTTTGAGATGAGGTCTTGCTAGGTTGCCCAAGCTGGACTCGAACTCCAAGGCTCAAGTGATTCTCCCACCTTGCCTCCCGAGTAGCTGGGATTACAGGCACCACTACCATGCCTGGCTTGTTTTTGAAAAACATTAAATACAGAAAGATTTTGGCAATAATATAAGTATCCATGAGTCCAACACCCAGCATTAACAAATGTTAACATGTTGTCACAGTTGTTTCAGATCTTTTCTTTAAAATGTTAGGAAGAAAGGAAGGGAGAAAGAGATATAAACCAAGTTTAAGGTCCTTTGTTTCATTCCCCAGGCCTATCCCTCTCCTTCCTCCTATTAAGGAATCAGTGTGATAAAATAAAAATGTGTCCTTCTTGTTCATGTATTAAAAGTTCTAATAACTTCTGAACCTGCCACCTGGAGTCGATGTAGCTATGAGGGGCCGTGTCTCACCACCACTGCCCAGGCCAGGCATGGTGTTGGGCGCCAGGCCTGCCTCACCTGTCTTGGGGTGCCCAGGGTAAAGGCAGGAGTAGCGCTGACACCTGTAAGCAAACTGAAGTGCGATGACAGTCTCGAAGGGTCTGGGACGTCAGCCATAGCATCCGGCCCCAGTCAGAGGGTTCTGTGAGAGACAAGTTGATTGTTAAAGAGGTTGCAGAGCTTGAGCTTATTTACCTTGTACATGTCAAGAGTATTTCCTGATCTAAAAAGCTTCATTGCTTTCTGCTGACTGTAACCCCAGACGAGGGTTACTACTAGGGTGGAAAATTTCAGCTCGAAACTGGACTTCCTGATGCATACAATGTGGTGCCTTCCAAAGTGAAATGCCTGACCAGGATCTGGTACCCTAACATCAGAGATAGGGGAAATATGTCTAAAGTTTACTGAGGACATTCGATTGACAGCACTGGCTGGGCTCCCACGAGATCATTAAAGGATGTTATTTGGAGATTAAATTATTTGTTTACTAATCTTCTGAATTTTGACGATCCACTGAATGTTGAAGCTGCAGAACATCATTTGTAGGACAAGGAGGACTTCTTGAATAAAGTCGATGACTACATCAAGTGTTAATGCCAGATGATAAAAGGAGAAGATTGCAGGCCCATGGACTGTGTGTTACAGTTTGTCTCTAATGTGAAAAAGCAGCAAGAGGCATTGCCTTCTCTCCCCTGTCCCCTGACTCTCCCTCTCATTCCCCTGGATTGTCCCAGTCCTGTGACCATGTTGTCCTGACGAAGACCATCTTCATGACTGCCCGTTGTAGATGGAGAATTCAACATAAAGACAGCAAGAAAACGTATTTAGGTTTCTAAAGAGTTATCTGCTTGTCTTATGTTTTAGGCTGTTCTTGCATTGCTATAAATGCCCAAGACTGGGTGATTTATAAAGAAAAGAGGTTTAATTGGCTTATGGTTTGGCAGGCTGTAGAAGCATGGCACTGGCATCTACTTGGCTTCTGGGGAGGCCTCAGGGAGCTTTTACTCATGGTGGAAGGTGAAGCAGGAGCAGGCACATCATATGGCGAGAGTGGAAACGAGAGCGCAAGGGGGACAGCCAGATCTCACGAGAACTTACTGTTGTGTTGAAAGCACCACGTCGTGAGGGATCCACCCCGATGACCCAAATACCTCCCACCAGGCCTCACCTCCAACACTGGGGATTACATCTCAACATGATATTTGGAAGAGACATCTAAACTATATCACCTTAACATGTTTACTTTTTTGAACTCGTACTGTTTAGGCTGTTGGTGATACTCTTGAGAAGTTGTAATGAACTCAAAATTGAGGCTGGAGCTTTCTTATTCTTTTCCCCAACAAAATTGGTTTTCTCCCGAAGTGATGCTCATGATGTGTTCAGTGTAACTTGCAGATTGGAATAAGAAACCTGCTACAAATTGTGATTGGATACAAATGCCCTTATCCTCTGTGAATGTTGGCCCTATCTACATGTTATGAAGTTTCCCAGAATGCATAAAGTCTTTCACTGTAGACATTTTTATTGAAATGCATATTTTATTTAAGTATATTTTGGACCAATTAAATTAAATTTTTACAATGTAATGCTTTATTTTTTGTGTTCTCATTTTGTATTTTGTATTTTCATTGTATAGGGCAAAGACGTTGGGTTGGCCGAGCATGGTAGCTCACGCTTGTAATTCTAGCACTTTGGGACCAGAGGCCGAGGTGGGCGGATTGTGTGAGCCCCGGAGTTGAGACCAGCTGGCTGGGGCAACATGGTGAAACCCTGTCTCTACAAAAAATACAAAAATTAGCCAGGCATGGTGACACGTGCTTGTAGTTCCAGCTACTCAGGAGGCTGAGGTGGGAGGATTGCCTGAGCCCAGGGAGGTTGAGGCTGTGATGAGCTGGGATCATGCCCTGGGCAACAGAGTGAGACCCTGTCTCAAAAAAAAAAAAAAAAAAAAGTAGGAAAAATGTTGGGTCAACCACCTATTGAAGAGAAATACAAAGAAACTATGAAAGGCATTATTCATTTTGTCCAAATGCAACAAGAATATGGCTCTGAAAAGTCATCTCTTGCTCTCAGGTCCACATGTGGCAAGGACATTTTGGAGCTCTTTGAAACTAGATCTGGATGATAAAAATAAAAACAAACAAACAAAAAGGCAGGAAGCCCATTCTCACATGCTGCCCAGAGGAAACTGGCTGGAGCTGGGACCTGCTGGGGTTGGTGTTCTTGCAGTGATCTTATGATCGTGAGCCAGTAGCTACTTAGAGTGCCAAACCCTGGCTGTCCTGAGGGACAGGATAGATACTCAGGAATCAGCCCAAACAATGTCTGATGCTACTGAGACTGTACCTGTGGCCGCCTTCTGCATTTGCTTTGACTCCGGGCCCTGCCTGGGGATGAGCCTCTTAGGCCTTAGAGGACCAGGATTCAGCAACAGCATATGCCATACTTGGCCAGATTAACACACATTGGAGGAAGAGCCCAGAAGAAAGACAGGTGGATTTACTCCAGCTTTTAAACATTTGAACCAATGAAATCAAATGCGAAATAAATGTTTGGTTTCAAAAAAAAGGTTTAATATGTATCACCATAAACAGCCTTGTTTAATGGGTTTTTGTATATTGCCTTCTAAGAGCTCTATAGACACCGGGGTGTAAAACAGCTAGCACTATGGTGGGAAACTGCCAGAATAGTAAGTAGTTCAGTATAGCTGGAGAGGGGCTAGGGAATGGGAGGAGGTGATGTTAGGGAGGAAATAGGGACCAATCATGAAAGGATTTGTGTGCTGAGGAATTTACATTTGATTTTCAAAGCTGTGGGGAGCCATTAAAGGGTAAATCCTTTTTCAGATTTGAATTACAGTATAATTGCTTTAGCCACCCAGTGGAGAGTGAGTGGTAGAAGGTAGAAGGCAGAAAACAGGAAGCTGTTATAGTTTTCCATTTATTTTTTGAAACAGGGTCTTGCTCTGTTGCCCAGGCTATAGTGCAGTGGTGCAATCTTAGCTCACTGCAACCTCTGCTTCTTGGGTTTTGGGACTACAGGCATGTACCACGACACCCAGCTAATTTTTGTATTTTTTGTAGAGATGGGGGTTTGCTTTGTTGCCTAGGCTGGTCACGAAGCTGTTGTAGTTATCTTAGTGAAAGATGATGAGAACCTAAAATAAGACAATGACAATAGGAATAAAGAGGAAGGTCTGGATAGAAGAAATAGTAAAGAGAATCTTGATGGGAGCAAAGTAGTTGAGACTTAGCAACTGAATATGGAGGGAGGATAGAAAAGAGGAAGGACCCTTATGATGAGTCTTTGTTTCATATTTTGGGTAATGGGGTAGTTGATGGGGAATATAAAAAAGAAGAGGAAGATTAAGGGAATGATTATAAATTAAATTAAGGTTGTATTAAGTCTGAGTTCTAGTGGGAGAGCCTCAGTTTTTTTTTTTTTTTGGAGACAGAATCTCATTCTGTCTCCCAGATTAGAGCACTGTGGCATGATCTTGCGCTACCACGCCCGGCTAATTTTTGTTTTTAGTAGAGACGGGGTTTTCCCATGTTGCCCAGGCTGGCCTTGAACTCCTGAGCTCAAGTCATCTGCCTGCCTCTCAAAGTGCTAGGACTACAGGCATGAGCCACTGTGTCCGGCCTCAATAAATAAATACATGAATGAATAAATAAATAAAGATGCTTCACAAATTTGTATATCATCCTTGCACAGAGGCCATGCTAATCTCTGTATCTTTCCAATTTTAGTATATGTGCTGCCATAGCGAGCACAGCTTCAATTTTTAATAGCAAGTTGGATCAGGATTGTGGGAGAAAATTCTAGCTTGGGCATAGAGATTTACAGACTAACAGTATGGCCCAGGAGAGAATATAGAATGAAAAGAGCAAGAGGTGAAGCTTGAAAACTTTGGTTATATTAACATTTAAGATGCTAGCAGGGAAAAATGTGCTTATGAAGGATGCTGAAGGAGAGAGATGAGAGAATAAAGAGGAAAACCAGGAGACACTAGTATTGGAGAAAGCTAAGAGATGAGAGTTTTAAGAAAGAATATGTGTTTAGTGATATTGAAAGTCCAGAAAAGACAGATGAGATAAGAATAGAAAAATTCTATTGGGTTTGGTAGTTAGAGGTCATTAGTGACTTTTGTGATGAACAATTTCAATAAGGTGATATGAGCAGAAGCCAGATTGCAGTCATTTGAAGAGAGTGAGAAGTGAAGAGGGAGGTGTGAGAAAGCTTAGCTGTAAAGAGAAGATAGGGTAGAATTGGACCAGGGTGAGATTTTTTGCTTGCCTTTTAAAGATCAGAGAGACTTTGAACCTAGTTATGATGAAGAGAGTGAACCAATAGAAGTAGAGAGCAAAGACCCAGAAGAGAGATCAGATAGTTGGGACAAAGTCCTGGGGAGGACATCATAAAATGGAGGGTGTGTATGTGTGTGAGTGTGTGTGACGGGGCTTGGGAGGGTTTGACTTTCAACAACAGAAGAGGCAGCTCTTCAGTAGAACCACAGGGAAAGTAAGAAAGAAGGGAAGACTGGGAAGTCTGTTAGTGGCTTTGGAGGGTGTGAAGCGAATGCCTTCTTCAGACCTTAAAATGCCTTCTGTCATGAAAACATTGGCACAGGAGGGGAAATACTAAAAGTGTCAGAACTGGAATAATGAAAGAAGTGCTGAACTGATAAGGTCTTGCAGAGAAACTTTTTCCATTGATAATTCAGATCATTTACATTATATATCTTGGAAATACCTTCCTGTTTTGTTGTTGTTTTTTAAATAGGCTACACATTGATTGGTACCCATTTTGTTTTTAAAAACCTTGTATGGTTCATTGTGCAGAGCCTCTCCTTCATGTGATTTTGCTTTCTGAGGTTTCAGTTACTTATGTTTGACCACAGTTTGAAAATATTAAATGGAAAATTTCAGAAATAAACAGTTTGTTTATTTTTGTTTAAATCGTGCAGTGTTCTGAGTAGCATGATTAAATCTCACATCATCCTGCACAGGACATAAATCATCCCTTTGTCTAGTGTATCCACACAGTGTATGCTACCTGCTAGATAGTCTCACAGGAGCCGGCTCTGTTATCAGGTTGACTGTCATGGTATCACATTGTTTGTGTTTGAGTAACCTTTAGTTTATTTAATAATGACCCCAAAGAGCAAGAGTGACTCTGGCAGTTTGGATATGCCAAAGAGAAGCCATAAAATTCTTTCTTTAAGTGAAAAGGTGAAAGTTCTCAACTTAGTAAGGAAAAAAATTGTGTGCTGAGGTTGCTAAGATCTGTGGTATGAACACATCTTCTATTCATGAAATTGTGAAGAAAGAAAAGAAAAATCTGTGTTAGTTTTCCTACTGCATCTCAAACCACAGAAGTTATAGCCAGTGTGTGTGATAAGTATATTATGATGGAAAAGACTAGATTTCTGAGTGGAAGACATGAACAGAAACATGTTCTGATTGATGACAGTGGGATAGGGTTTGGTACTATCTGCAGTTTCAGGCATCTCCGGGGGGACTTGGAACTTACTTGGATAAGGGGGAACTACTATATACTTAAAGTACCTACATCCTGAAGAAATACACTTATTTGTGGTTCATTAGATACAGTACTTAAATATACATACCCTTTTCCTCCTCTCAGATAGCAGTCTCAAGTGAAATTCAATTTATGGATTTTATTTTAGGGAAACAGCACTGCCTAGCCCATTGAATAGGTTCCTCCTACTTGTAGACCCATTGGATGGATGGAAAATTTAGAATACGATTGATTGGCCTCACATGAGTCTCTGATTTGGAATGCCACCATGAGCCACAACAAGTTTATTTTAGCCTGTTCCCCTCTGTTTATTTAACTGAAGCAGTAACAAAATCCAAATTTAAATATCAGAAAGTTTAAGAATGCTTTGGGTATTGGGCATCACAGAATATAGCTAATCACGTTTTACTTTGAGACATTTTTACCTCACTTGTTCCTTGTTTCAGGTAAATTGCTTCAGGTAAATTAATTCCACGATGGAATAGTACGGATGGGGATAGAGTTGAGATGGAGAAACTGAAGTTAGGATTAGAAAACTTGATGTATTATAAGTGAAAGTACAAAGAGCCTATTTGGAAGTAGAGGGAGTCTGTTGGAGTAGATGGAGAGGATGGATTCAAGGGATATTGTAAAGGAAGATTTGTTAAGGAAGTAGGAGGTCGTCAGACCTTGGGTTTGAACAAGAGTGACAAGATTCCATTAATGGAAACTGGAAAATAAGGAAGCAAAGCCTGTTGACTGGGGGAAAATGAGACTGATTTTATTCACTCTGGTTTTGGTGCTGACAAGATAGATGTTAGAAATGTAAGTGTTTATTTTGGTAGAGAAGTCAGAGCTTGAGATGCTAGATTTGAGTCATTCTCATTGGCTGGTAGTTGAAACTGGGAATAAAAAATGAGAGTAAAGGCTGTGTACAGTAAAAGGAGATTATCTACATTTGGTTATTAGATACTGTGTATGGTAAAAGGAGAAGATTATTTACCTATCTAGTTCTCTATTCAGAGAACTAGAATAGTATTATTTCATAGAAAAGAGAGAATCTGTGCTAAGTTGAAAATCCTAGGATAATTATCCAAAGTAAGTTTTTATGATTTGTCTAAGGATATGCAATTATACTTGGACTATAAAGATGTAAGTTGGTGGCAATGTGGTTAAGAGTGTGAACTGAAGTAAGATTCTTAGGATGTAGATCTCAGCTCCAGTATTTGCTTGTCTGGGGAAGGCAAGTTACTTAACCCTTCTGTACTTCAATGGGTTATTTTGTGGAAGAAAAGAAAATAAGGCCAGGTGTGGTGGCTCACACCTGTAGTCCCATCACTTTGGGAGGCCGAGGCATGCAGATTGCTTGAGTCCAGGAGTTCGAGACCAGCCTGGGCAACATGGTGAAACCTTGTCTCTACAAAAACAAAAACAAAAACAAAAATTGTTTGGATGTGGTGGTGTATGCCTATAGTCTCAGCTAATCAGGAGGCTGAGATGGGAAAGATCACTTGAGCCTGGGAGGTCAAGGCTGCAGTGAGCTGAGATCATGCCACTGCACTCTAGCTTGGGTGCCAGAGTGAGAGCCTGTCCCCGCCCCCCCCCCACCCCCCCACCCCCCCCAAAAAAGAAAGAAAATAAGGATCTATCCTTGCTAAGTAAGTGGTCAAACCATGGTAGATATATTATCTGAATAGTTTGGGTTTTCTATTGTGAGGTGATTATTCAGATAATTTAGTTTAATTTTATAAGTATCAAGAGCAAAGGTAAGATTTAGTACAGTTGTAATTGGATCCTGATATATTACTTAATCATTATTTCCCAAACTGTGTTTCTTGGAGCATGACCCTTGAAGTATCATTTAGGGTTTATTTAGTAATGTGGTCAAGTCTGAGAAATACTATATATTCTATCCTCTTCTTTGAGATTCATAATGCATATTATTAAGGACTCTGATTTTAAAAAATGTTTAACTTAGCATTTTCCAAACTTGTTATTAATAGGTTATAAGCTCCCCTTTATCCCATTTTATATATTAAGTTTTATGTATTAGAATTTTATATATTTTAGTATTTATTTAGCTTAGGCATTTTTGATGCATTCAGTCTCATCTATTTAAAAAATTTAAATTGAGATATAATTCACATACCATCAAAACTATTCACCATTTAAAAATATTCAGTAGTTTTTAATATATTCACAAAGATGTGCAACTGTCACCTACCTAATTGCATAACATTTCATCAGCCCAAAAAGAAACCTCATACCACTTAGCAGTCACTCCTCATCTTCCCCTTCCCCAGCCCCTGGCAACCAGTAATCTACTTTCTGTCTTTATGTTTTTGCCTATTCTGGACATTTCATATAAATTGAATCATGCAATATGTGACCTTTTGTGTCTGGCTTCTTTGACTTAGCAAAATGTTTTCAAGGTTCATTCATGTTGCATCCTGTATCAGTGTTCGATTTCTTTTTAAGGCTGAATAATATTCCATTGTATGGATAATCTCGCTGGTTTATTCGTTCATCAGTTGATGGATATTTGGGTTATTTCTACTTTTTGGCTATTGTCAATAATGCTGCTATGAACATTCATTTACAGGTTTTTGTGTGGATATATGTTCTCGTTTCTCTTAGGTACATATTTAGAGGTGGATGGATGGTATCACTGTGTTTAACTTTTGAGGAACTGCCTCAGCAGTTCACACAGCAATTGTGCCATTTTACATTTACCCCTGTAATATATGAGGGTTCTAATTTCTCCACATCCTTGCCAATTTTAGTTATTTTCAGTTGAAAAACATTTTTTATCATAGCAATCCTAGTGGATATCAAGTATCTCAATATGGTTTTAATTTACATTTCTTTAATGACTAATGATGTTGAGCATCTTTTTATGTACTTATTGGTCATTTTTATATCTTCTTTGGAGAAATGTCTATTTAAATCCTTTGCTCATTTTAAAATTATTTATATTTTTATTGTATCTCATCTACTTTTCTCAAATTCCAAAAGAACATAATACAAAATTATGATGGTAAAGGAAGTATCTAATGTAGAAATACATAAACCATAGTACATGTTTAGTTCTCTTTTCCTGGAAGTTCTTTTTTTTTTTTTTTGAGACTGAGTCTTGCTCTGTTGCCCAGGCTGGAGTGCAGTGGCATAATCTCGGCTCACTGCAGCCTCCGCCTCCTGGGTGAAGCGATTCCCCTGCCTCAGGCTCGCGAGTAGCTGGGATTACAGGTTCACGCCACCATGCCCAGCTAATTTGTGTATTTTTAGTAGAGACAGGATTTCACCATATTGGCCAGGCTGGTCTTGAACTCCTGACCTAGTGATCAGCCCGCCTTGGACTCCCAAAGTGCTAGGATTACAGGTGTGAGCCAACGTGCCCAGCCTTTTTTTTTTTTTAAACAGTAATTTAAAGTTTATTCCAGCTATAATGCAGGTTATTCTGACTTTAAGGTAGCATCATATGGCATTCTTCTGAGTCCATTCCCGAGATATTCTGTTGTACTTTTACGTCTGTCTATTTTATGGATCCGTGTGCTCTCTGGCACTAGGGGGTCATCTGGGTTTGGATCACATAGCAGTGAACAAATGGATAAAAGAACTTTAGAAATAGTTTTAAAGCAGGCAACCACTGTGATCTTAGAATATCGAGACAAATGCTGCCATTACTGTTAATATTTGGATGACAAATCCTTGTTGTACATGCAACCTTAGGTGGTTTGAAGGAGCAGTCTGTAGGAAAATGAATTGCCAAAAAGAATACACCGCTTTGATATGGGCTGTCATTAGGTCCCATAATTGTGGCTTGCCAATGAAACATACCATCCTCAACTGGACCTGCAGAACATTGTGCTGGAGGGTCATGGGCCAAATCACTAAGTTCCTTATTAATCTGTCTTAGTGCCATAGTATGTGCTTGTCATCTGGCTCCTCACTCTCTCGGTATGTGCTCAAAAGTCTGGCCAAAACTCCTGGTTATCCCGGAGGTGGGACAGCATTGTCTCATCTCATACCGGCTCTGCCAGACACAAGCTCTTGGTATTGTGGAGACGACTCTCATGACAACTTTGTGGCTGGCTAACCAGAGCTGTAGCTTTGCAATGACTTAAGAGCAGTTTTTTGTGCTCTTCCGAATGGGGTTCCACCCCCAAATCCACAAATTCTTGCGAGATGCAGTGAGGTACCGGCTCGAACTGGAGCAGGCCACCGCCAGGCCGAGAAGTTCTTTCTTAGTGTCCATTATGTGATTCCTAATTATTCATTGAGTGATACAGTGAATATTCTACAAATTTAAAAGTTCTGTGAGTTTAAATACAACCTAATGCATTTGTTCTGGGAGTGATCAAAGCCCATGATTTTCACTGTCTTTTTTTTTTTTTTTTTGAGACAGAGTCTTGCTCTGCTGCCCAGGCTAGAGTGCAGTGGTGCCATCTCGGCTCACTGCAACCTTCGTCTCCCAGGTTCAAGCGATTCTTCTGCCTCAGCCTCCCAAGTAGCTGGGACTACAGGCAAGCGCTACCATGCCTGGCTAATTTTTGTATTTTTAGTAGAGATGGGGTTTCACCATATTGGCCAGGCTGGTGTTGAACTCCTGAATTTTTCTGAATTTTTCTGAATTTTTATATTAACTTTATTATAACAGTTGGGGTCATATCAGCCGAAAGACTCTAAAAGTATTTAAATAATTTAGGCTTCTGAATACTTCTAATTTATATCTTATTCTGACTTTTAAATTAGCCAACTTCTTTTGGTAAAATATATGTAACATGAAATTTATCATGGTAACTATATTTAAGTATATAGTTTAGTGGCATTACATCCATTTGCATTGTCATGCAGCCATCACCACTATCCTTAAGAACTCTGTCATCATCCAGTACTGGAACTCTGTACTCATTAAATAGTGAGTCCCATTTCCCCCTACCCTCAGTCCCTGGCAACCACTATTGTGCTTTCTGTCTGTATGAATTTGACTATTTTAGGTTTCTCATTAAGTGGAAGTATACAATATTACTCCTTTCTGTCTGGCTTATTTCATTTAGTATAATGTCTTCAAGATTCATCCATGTTGCAGCATGTATCAAAATTTTCTTTTTAAGGCTGAATGATCCAAAGTATGTGTATACCATAATTTGTCTATCCATTCGTCCATTGATAGATATTTGGGTTGTTTCTGCATTTTGACTGTTGTGAATAATGCTGCTATGAACATTGGTATATAAATATATGTTGTCTCTGCTTTCCAGTTCTTTTGTATATGTACCCATAGGTGGAATTATTGGATCAAATGGTAATTGTGTGTTTTAGCCAACTTTATTTTGTTTTGTTTGTTTGTTTTCTGAGACAGAGTTTCACTCTGTTGCCCAGGCTGGAGTGCAGTGGTGCAATCTTGGCTCACTGTAACCTCTGCCTCCAGGGTTCAAGTGATTCTCATGCCTCAGCCTCTGGAGTAGCTGGGATTACAGGCATGCACCACCACGCCCAGCTAATTTTTTCCATTTTTAGTAGAGACGGGATTTCGCCATGTTGACCAGGCTGGTCTTGAACTCCTGGTCTCAAGTGATCTGCCCGCCTTGTCCTCCTAAAGTGCTGAGATTACAGGCGTGAGCCACCACGCCCAGCCTTTACTGTGAATTTAGTTAAATCTTGGTTGTCCTTTATTGTTATATCCCATTTATTTTGTATGTATGAGGTGTATATTAAAATGAATCTGTAGCAGCTCTTTATCTGATTGTATTCTGAGGTAAAAATGCTAGTGTTAACTACCTAGAAGTATGTTTTATGTACCCATAATTGTCTATTCAAAAATAATTTTAAAATATATCACAATAAGTTATAGAGCATATATTTCGTCTACTAGGTTGGAATCAGTGTTGGCTCCTTGCTACTCCTGCTTATCCATGTTGCTTCAAGCATCTAGTAATAATGTATAGAAAGAACCAGATAAAGTAGTTTTAAATCCTGTTTATTTCTTTTAAAGCATGTGGTTTTAATGGCCTCTCTTCAACACAGTCTCCAAGGGAGGTAACATCTGAGTTGGCTAAGTAACAAAGGGAAGGGTGTTTGTGTGTCTCTGAAGCCCATGTTCTTTCTGTTCCTTTCCTTTTTGTAGTTAAAAATGTCTTATTAAAGAATAGATTTTAATTATCTCTAAGTTGGGTTTTATGAAGGAAGTCTCATTTTAGTATATATAGATTGTACAGAATTGGCCACAGACAAATCTTAGAAGGATAAAATTAGCATTCTTGAATTAAATTTCTAAAGGAGGCTTCAGGTACAATTTAATATACATGTAAATGAAAATTCCTACACATTGATAGGGCTTTCTTAAAAAGGTTTGAAAGTTTTGATGCTTTGTGATTTTAAAATACATTTGCTATCTACTTAAGCTTAAAAGCCTTGAAGTGTTTCCTATTAAAAAAAAAAAACTCTAATAAGAAACTAGTGTCTACTCATAGAGGGGTGAAGAAGGCAGATAACTTGAAGCAGAGCATAGGTTTTGAAAAGACGGAGGCCAGTGTAAAATTCATGGGAGAAAACTAATTTCTCTAGATTGTTAGTGGTTACAGCTTACGGTTGGTAGATTACAATTTACTTTGCAGGGGTTTTTCTATTAAAAGACCAGTTACACAGACTGGGAAATTGCCACAATTGGAATAGTTGAGTAGCAGTTAACTATTTAACTCTCTCTGCTTCTTAGAAGCCTGCTGTGACTTTGCCAGGCAAAACTAATTTCTCCCTCCTACATGCTTCCTTCCCATAAGCATTGTGTCTCTGTATTCTTCAACTTTGTGAGCTGCTTTAGGGCAGAGATGTCATACTTTACTCTGTATTTTCAGCACCTAGCATAATTGCTTAATGTAGTAGATCCTTTTAAACATTGGTTGAGTTTATTCTTACTATGAGACTTGGGCACGAATATAACAACATGGGAAGACAACAACTATAGTTATCAGAGGGGATAGTCTGAATCAGAGTTAGGATGTGACCAAGGACAGAGGAAACCATTCCACTACCATATAGAAAGCAGACAGAAGATTTCTAAGTTTCATGTGGCACATTAAGCTATTTCCTTATCTCATTTCCTTGATACTGTGACCTATGCCCTGCAATTCATTTGTTTTTTTTTAGCAGACCTTGAGGCATAAAAGTTGTGGGGTGAGAGAAGCATGGAATTTTAATACAACATAATAAAGCCGCAATAGAGACATGGGTATAGAGCCTTACTTTATGAAAGAGGGACTGGGGAGAATCTTCATAGAAGGTAATATTTTACTGAATAAGAGAAAGGAGAACAGCTCCTGCCAAACAGTTTGTGAAGAGAGGCGTAACAGAACACAATAGAGTCCAGGAATGGAGAGAGATGGGATGCACCCAGTACACGTGGAGCAAGTAGAGTAGTCCCCACCCCTCCAATCCATGGGAGATACATTCCAAGCCCCCCAGCAGATGCCTGAAACTGTGGATAGTAGCAAACCTGATTGCCATCAATCAGAACACATTTCTATTCATGTTTTCCACCTACAAATGTAATGCCTTTTCCATCTTAACTATCATGCACTGTGGCTGTAACTTTTGCCGTTTGAGGTGCGGCAGCAAAACTAGCACAAATTTCTTTTTCCTTCTTCACAATTTCATGGATAGAAGATTTGTTCTTACCATAGATCTTAGCAACCTCAGTGCATGATTCTTTTTTCTATTAAGGTAGAACGTTCACCTTTTCACTTAAAGGAAGCACTGTGTGGCTTCTCTTTGGCATACCTGAATTGTCAGAATTACTCTTGCTCTTTGGGGCCATTATTAAATAAAATGAGGATTACTCCAACACAATCACTGTGATTTGATAACTGAGACAGCTAACAAATGGGTAGCATAGACAGGATGGATATACTCGACAAAGGGATGATTGACGTCCTGAGAGATTTTATCATACTACTCAGAATGGCGTACAATTTAAAACTTATGAATTGTTTATTTCTGGAATTTTCCACTTAATATTTTTGTACCTTGGTTAACCATGGGTAACTGAAACAACAGATAAGGGGGGAACTACTGGACTTGGAAGTAAGGTGGGGACCTGACTGTGAGGAGCCTTATTTCAGTTTTACCTTTCTTCTTTCTGTTCCTCCCTTTGTGCTGTTCTGTGGAATTTTTGCTTTAACCATAAGTAATAAGGAGTTGGTGGAGGATTTTATGCAGTGGAATGATGTGATCAGAAATAATACATTTTGAAAGGCTGATTTGTCCATCATATAACCATGTAGAAGATAAATTATAAGGCAGATTCTGGAAGTAGGCAGATGGATTTGGAGGTAACTGTAAGCAAGAGATGAAGAATTCCTATGGTATGATTCCATGTATATGAAATGTCCAGAATAGGCGAATGCATGGACACAGAAAGTAGATTAGTGGTTGCCAGGAGCTGGGAGAAAGGGTTAATGGGGAATGACTACTAATGGGTACCAGGTTTCATTTTGGGGTGTGAGAATGTTCTGGAATTAGTCATGATGATTGCACATCCTGTGAGTATACTAAAAACCACAGAATTGTATACATTTATTTATTTATTTTTGAGACAGCGTCTCACTCTGTCATCTAGGCTGCAGTGCAGTGGCATGATCTCAGCTCACTGCAGCCTCCACCTTCCAGGTTCGAGTAATTTTCCTGTCTCAGCCACCCAAGTAGCTGGGATTACAAGTGTGCACCACCACACCTGGCTATTTTTTTTATTTTTAGTAGAGACAGGGTTTCATCATGTTGCCTAAGCTGGTCTCAAACTCTTGGCCTCATATGATCCTCCTGCCTTGGCCTCCCAAAGTGCTGGGATTACAGGCCTGAGCCACTGCATCCAGTCGGAATTGTATACATTTAAATAGTGAATTTGATGATATGTGAATTCTGTCTCAATTTTAAAACAGAGGTGGGGAGTGGGGAGATGAAGAGTTCCTGAAATGAGCAGGAACAGTGAGAATAAAGAAAGCTGAGATGGGTTTGATAGAGACTCAGTGGTAGAGAATTGTCAGTACTTGGAGACTGATTATTGGCAGTGTCCAAAATGAAAGAGAGGTTGGCTCTGAAGTTTCTAGTTTATATGATTGAATCAATGGGGAAAAAATTCTGGAAAAAGAGTAAGTTTGGAGAGGCATATAACAAACTGTATGAAATGTGTTGAGTGTGTAATCAAACAAGAAGTTAAAGGTAAAGGCCCGGATTTGAGGAAAGACTTAGGAACTAGAGAAAGAAATGAGTTTATAAGAGTTGATTAAAACAATCAATCAAACTTGCTTGCTGATAGATAATATCTTCTCCTGCCCACCCCTTTTGCGTGGTAATGTCCCATTCTTTATTTTCAAATCTGGTGTACAGGTTGTTTTTGTTTTTGTTGTATAAAGCTGAGTTTTATATTACTTTTCAGGCAGAGGCAAGGCTGGCAGCAAAACGGGCTGCCCGGGCAGAAGCAAGAGATATACGCATGAGAGAACTGGAACGACAACAAAAAGAGGTAATTTGAGGGAATAACCCTAATTTCATATTTGTCTCCCCCAAAATCAGTACTTGGCTAGTTTATTCTGATGTGAATCTGGTTTCCTTTGAAACATTGAAAATAGTATAAACTGATGTATGTATTTTATCAAGCCATTCTGTGCCAGCAAATTAAATGTGATATTTGTTTTAAGTAGTAACAACAAACACATTTATAGCTATTATCGTGTCCATTGTTATAAGTTACTAGTATTATGAGTGCTTCACTTACATTAGCTAAGGTAGCTTTAGCAATGACAAAGTGTAGTATAGCTTTAATTGTCCTAAAATTTGGATTAATTATATTATGATATCTATATAGTAAAACACTGTAAAGTCATTCAGACTTACAATTTTAAAACATATTTAATAATAGAGGAAAATATGTAAGAATATGAGATAAAAGCAAACCAAAACAATAAAATTTGTAGGACCCCAATTTTATATTACAAAAACCAGTATCCATATATAGCATCAAAAAACTACTAGAAGGAAGTGATTATTAATACTGCAGTTTGTCTATGGTGGAATTATTGTTGGTTTTTCTTTCTTTCTATACTTTTCTATAATTTACAAACTTTCAGTATACTTTTATCAGAAAGGAAAACAAGAAAAAAATTTTTAAGAATAGGCATATGGAAATTGGGCTGATTAAAATGAAATAAATATGCTTTTACTTTTCTGACATTGACTTGGTCCTGAAAATTCCCATAATAAATATTTTTGATGTTGTAGTAGTATGAAGGGGCAAAAGCCTATGGGACAGTATTAAACACTTTCTTTTGATTTTGGTGGTGAATTTTCTGTGAGCAGGTTAAAAAGCAATGTAAATATTTTATATTGTCACAGCTCAAGAAAAACACTAACAATTGACATGTTGCTAATTTTCTTTTAACCTCATGTATAGTTTCAAATATGGAATGCAGTTCTTGAAGAGGAAGTGTTGCAATCCGTTGTCTTTTTACTCCTAAAATTATACTAAATATAATAATAAGTGGATAAGCTGAAGTGGAGGATCACTTGAGCCTGGGAGTTTGAAGTTGTAGTGAGCTATGATGGCACCACTGCATTCCAGCCTGGGCAACTAAGTGAGATCCTGTCTCAAAAAAATAAATAAATAAATAAATAAGTGAATGAGACAGTTATTAAATGTAAGTTCTATTTACAGTTCTCTGAACTACAGGGAAACATGCATCTCTTACTATTGAACATATTTAGCTTACTAATTTTCTGTATTTTGAATGTGTAACTTTGAGTCAGCTATCATTGTTTTTTAGGGAAAATGTGTATGATTAATTTAAGGTTTTTGGAGAATGCAATATGTTAGAAACTATTTGGTTTATGAAATTTTTGCATTTCTAGTACTCTCTTCATTCCTTTGATCGGAAGTGGGGACAGATTCAGAAGTGGCTGGTAGGCCAGTATTGCCTGTCCTGCATGTTGTGATCAATTGCTGAAATAATGCAGTCTTGAAGTAAAACATTAACTAATAGTTTGCAAAGTAGGAGTGTTTGGCCTGTGTGAACCTAAAGGTCAGAGTGTCTATTCTGTCTATAGTGGACCAGAGGTATACTTGGAGTCCTGCCATTTTATGTTGTAGTCAGTATCCTCACCTTCATCTCATGAATGCTCCTGATCAAGAAAGAGTGAGAAAATGAATGTGTGTTTTCTTTTTATGGGTTTGTTCTTTTCTTCCCCCCTTCTCTCTCCCCTTTTTTTTTAAAAAAATAAGTCCACATGGTCTTCATTGAAAGATGACCCAAGTAATTCTTTTCATTTCCTCTGAAAATTACTCTTATTATATCAACTCCTTCAGGTCCTTTTTAAATTCTCTACCACTACTCTCAAATTTGTTAGCTATAAAAACAAATTGTGAATCAGTAAAATGTTAGATAATGTGAATCATTCCTAAATTTGAACTTTTTTTTAGGCTTGGTAAGTTCCCCACTGTCTCCTATTACAGGGCTTCTTAACTTGGTATATGACTAGGCTTGGGAGAGGGATATGAAGCCTTAAATTCTACTGCAGACTTTCAAATGTAATTATTTTTATGGGAAATGCCCACAGGTATTTTTATTGTCAGATTCTCAAAGTAGTCTGTAATTCCTAAAGGGTTAAGAACCACTGTCTGATTGCTGCTAAACAAGCAACTTTCTTTCTTTCTTTCTTTCTTTTTTTTTTTTGAGATGGAGTTTCGCGCTTGTTGCCCAGGCTGGAGTTCAGTGGCACAATCTCAGCTCACTGCAACCTCCGTCTCCTGGGTTCAAGCGATTCTCCTGCCTCAGCATCTCAAGTAGCTGGGATTACAGGCGCCCGCCACCATGCCCAGCTGATTTTTGTATTTTTAGTGGAGACAGGGTTTCATCGTGTTGGCCAGGCTGGTCTCGAACTACTGACCTCAGGTGATCCGCCCGCCTCGGCCTCTCAAAGTGCTGGGATTACAGGTGTGAGCCACCGCGCCCAGCCAAATCTTTTTTTTTTTTAAACCTCTGTGAAATTTGTATAGTTTAGGCAGTGAGTACGCTAGATTTTCATTGAAAGGGGTGACCTTTGGGCTAGAGTTTTAAAATTCAGGTAGTGACTAATCCAAGTCTTGATTTATGGGCAGGACTTGGACCTGCAGAGAAAGTGGCATTTCTTTTCAGATGGGAATAATTATCACTTCTAACCCGTTCTGACACTTGCTTTTACCCTGTTAAAACTGATTCTTTGGGTCTGGGCATAGTGGCCCATGCCTGTAATCCCAGCACTTTGGGAGGCCGAGGCAGGTGGATTACCTGAGGTCAGGAGTTTGAGACCAGCCTGGCCAACATGGTGAAACCCCGTCTCTACCAAAAATACAAAAATTAGCCAGGCACGCTGGCGGGCGCCTGTAATCCCAGCTACTCAGGGAGGCTGAGGCAGGAGAATCGCTTGAACCTGGGAGGTGGAGGTTGCAGTAAGCCAAGATTGTGCCACTGCACTCTAGCCTGGGCAACAGAGTGAGACTGTGTCTCAAACAAACAAACAAACAACAACAACAACAACAAAAAAACTGATTCTTTGGTGTGAGTTGGTTGAAGGTAAACAAAATAAATAAAAAGAAAAAGAAAAAAAGAAAAAAATTAAACTGATTCTTCTGCTCATTTATCTTTGTCTCTCTGGCTGCTTTATCTGTGAGCCCATAAGGAGAAGTTGGCATGTAATAGTTACAATACAAAATATAAATGGCTAATGTTTATAGTAAAATAAATGATGCATACACACACAATCCACAATAGGATTGTCAGTTACTAGAAGGAAGGAAATTTTCCTATATTTGTAATTTCCCCTAATTATAATACCTTTTTTTGGGTGGGAGTGTGATGTTGGGACATGAATAGGGAATGAAAAGGAAGGAAGCTCAGAAATGAGTCCAACTTTGAGTGCATACTGTATATCAGCACTGTGCTAGGGCTTTTTACATAGGTTTTTATTTCACATTATAAGACAGTATTACTGTCTCAATTTTATAGACATGTTTATAAAGAATTGGTGAAGTAAATAACTTGCATAGTCATTGGCAGAACCAGTATTTGAAGGTATGAGAGAGTGCCACACCTGGTAATGTGCTGGAAGGTGAAAGGACCAGGAAGAAAAGGACCCACACCTTCCTGGGCCTCCCATTAGTGTTAGTTTAGTCAACTTTCCATGAACCCAATGATTCTATTTTTAAACTGGGTGTCTTTCTTAATCAGTGGTGATTCTGAAAGAGTAAATGCATGTCTTGAAGAGTAAATACGGTTTTTGAAGTTCCTTCTAATTTGAAACTGAAGGAATGACTTTGGTGTCAACTTAGTAACAAATACTATTTGTTGACAGAAAAGATGGCCAGGTATATTCATGGGACTGTGGTTTTCTTTTAATAGAACCATTCATCCTCCCTTCAGGTGAACGTTTAAAAACAAAGAGTATATTTCATTTTCATTAAATGTATCAAAACAGCATTTTGAACAAATACATGTCTTTTTTTTTTTAAGGCGTTGTACTGTTTGTCCAGTCTTTAGTGCTTTAGTGCTAATAAGGACTTTTGGGATAATGACGATGTATTATTTTCCTCACTGTGGAATAGAGGGATACACCTTGTAACTGGCACCTAAGAACACAGTTTGCTGTAATCTGTTATCTTTGTCCACTGGTATAATTTCTTCAAGAGAAACCTATTGGCAATATAAATAGTGCTCTAGAAATACCTGGCAAATGAAGCTTTTTGTTCTTCCAGAGAAGGAAGAATCTCTGAGTAAAAACCAGAATACCTTGCCATTTTCTTTCTTTCTTTTTTTCTTATGTAATTGGTGGAAATTTAGCCAGTATAGGATGTTATCTTTACAGTTCAGTTGTCTGGTGAATAAAAACGTCTAAATGCTGGTCTCAGCTTTATGATCTCATAGATTCTTACTTAATCCTTCTGTGCTGCAACTTTCTTACTGCAAAATGAAGGGGTCAGACTAGATGATCTCTAAGGACTCTTCTAGCTCTTAAAAATAGAATTGCTACCAGGGTCACTTTATATCGTTGCTACCAGGGTCTGTTTCCCTCATGTTTGCCACTGTGCAAAAGTATTCAAGGTAGAAGTAATTAAAAATGACCCAAATGTTTTGCCTTTCTATATGAGAGTGGTCCTACTTAGCAGGCTCTTAGTAGAATATGTGTTTTGAACGTTTTTGGTATAATTAAAATTTGCCTTGAGCTTGCCTTACAGTTTTACGTAAACACATTTGTCAAATAGGTTTAGAGAAGTGCTGTCAAGTATGGTAGCCCCATGTAGGTAATTAAATTTAAATTTAAATTGACTAAAATTAAATAAAATTTAAAATTTGGTTTCTCAGTTGCATTTCAAGTGCTCAGTAGCCACGTGTGGCTAGTGGGTACTACATTAGCACAAATATAGAATATTTCCATGGTCAGAGAAAGTTGTATTGGACAGTGCTTATTTAAGGTATAGTTTGTGACTGTGGAATAAACTATACTCTTTGTCCAAATTAACTGACCTGTATGGGGGTTTATATTTTATTCTGTAGTTTTCAGAAGTCTTTTTAGGCCAATTTTTCAAATGGAGCAAGAAAAGCTGTTTAAATATAGAGGTACTATGTATCAATACTTAATAAGGTATTTTAATTTATAATTGTTTTTATTAATATAAGGGGCATAATTGAAAGTATGACTTCATCTGTCTTTGCTGCATCTTTAATGGGATATGCTCTTTAGGTGAGATTTTTGAAAATGCTCTGTGTGATAGATGGAATGGAAAAAAGGCTAGAATAAAGGGAAGATTAGACATTAAACCGTATTTACCCTAGTACCTCAAATAATATTGGAAGAGGCATGTTGAGTTAACTCACCTTATAGTAAAGGCTTTTTGAACTAACCAAACTAAGTAGCCTAGAACTGATTACCACTTACTAAGCTGTACCTGCCCTTCTAGGCTAACACACATGCCCCCAAAACTTTCGTGGTTGATAAAGAAAGGGAAGAAATTTTCTTGGCTTCTTGCAGACTACATGTGTCTATTGCATAATAAAAAATGTAAATCAGTGGCCAGGCATGGTGGCTCATGCCTGTAATACCAGCACTTTGGAAGGCCGAGGCGGGCAGATCCCTTGAGGTCAGGAATTCGAGACCAGCCTGGCCAACATGGCGAAACCCCATCTCTGCTAAAACAAAAAGTAGCCGGGTGTGGTGGTGGGTGCCTGTGGTCCCAGCTACTTAGTAGGGGGCCAAAGCACGAGAATTGCTCGAATCCAGGAGGCTGAGGTTGCCATGAACTGAGGTCGCGCCACTGCATTCCAGCCTAGGCGACAGAGCGAGACTCCGTCTCAAAAAACAACAACAACAACAACAACAACAACAACAAATGTAAATCAGTGACGAATTCCTAAAGATCAGAATACCTGATTAGAAATTGAATCATAGTAGTGCTTATAAACAGACTTCAGCATACATTTGGTCAAGGGCATCAGTCACAGCAGATGTCAACCAGGGAGTTTTGAGGCATTGATTCATTTTGCAAAAATACAGCATTGATAAGCTATGAACCCAGTTGGTCAGTAATGTATAGATTTTCAGTCAGCACACATTACTTTAACACTTTGGACTTGAAATTCTGAAAGATCAGAAATTCCTTACTGTTTGAGATGATTAGGTTTTAGGGACTAGCCATTTTATCTCACATGACTCAGGCCTTAATGCTCCATTGCTAATAGCTAAATGTGGAAAAGTTTAGAATTACATTTAATTTAGTCAACTGTTAGGCTGCAATCATTTTTTTTTAAAAATCTGCTTATGGCATTATTCGAGATAACTTGACCAACTCTAAAATATATATGTAATTACTTCTAGATGTAAGTAGTTTTTCATATTAACAACACAATCAGGCTCTGTTTCAGTTAGTTCTTAGAGTGGTGAAAAAAAATCTTTACAGTAAGTGCAAAATTATAATCCAAGTATTTTTAGAATCATATACTGTCTTAAAATACATCAGTGATAATGTTAACACTTCTTCCTACCTGCATAAACTGATGATCACAATGAAAAAATAGATTAATGTCTTTTTTTAATGCTGAACTCAAGTTCTCTTTGTTAAGTATACTTGCACATTTTTATCTTGGTATATTGAACTCTCTTGGTCTTATACAGACCATTCCAAGTGGTCTGACATACATACGCCTGATAAAATAGGAACATTGCCAAGATTATTTCTACTTTCTTTCCAACCAAAGAATGTGACCGCCCCACACATACACACCATGGAATACTATGCAGGCATAAAAAAGGATGAGTTCATGTCCTTTGTAGGGACATGGATGAAGCTGGAAACCATCATTCTCAGCAAACTGTCGCAAGGACAAAAAACCAAACGCCGCGTGTTCTCACTCATAGGTGGGAATTGAACAATGAGAACACTTGGACACAGGAAGGGGAACATCACACATAGGGCTTGTTGTGGGGTGGGGGGAGGGGGGAGGGATAGCATTAGGAGATATACCTAATGTAAATAATGAGTTAATGGGTGCAGCACACCAACATGGCACATGTATACATATGTTACAAACCTGCACGTTGTGCACATGTACCATAGAACTTAAAGTATAATTAAAAAAAAAAAGAAAGAAAACTAGTACTGCTATATTGAAACTTACACACACACACACACACACACACACACACACACACACACACACACGAATGTGGCTGCCCCTAAGATAAGTTATCCAAACCTGCCTGCTCTCAGGAGTTGTTGCTGTGCTGTTAACTGACTGCTCTTTGCTCAGTTGTTCTGATAAACAACTGTCTATTCAGTGATTAACTCTCCATGTACTTTCTCCTTTCCCAGGAAGATTCGGAAAGGGCCAGGTATTCCCACCGGTCCAGTCACCATCGTCCTTATCTGGTTTGTAATAACCTATACACTTGCCTCTAATACTTTTCCTCATTAGCTTAATGTAATCACTCACAAACTTTTACTGTGTTTATTTTCATTTTTATCAGGGAGTTGAGGATGCATTGTCCATTCGAAGTGTTGGCAGTCACAGGGTTGGTATTTTAACTTGTCTACACAATACAAAGCTTACGTGTGAGCTTTCTTCAATAATGTTGCCTAAACAATCTGACAATGTTCCTGTATTTCTTTGCGTTTTTAAAAGAAGTATAAAATATTGGCAAAGACCTTTCATTGGAAAATGATGCTTTCTTTCAAATTATTGTCATAAGTAAATCAACTCTAAAATCATGAATACTTTAATCTATTAACATGGGTCCAATCTCTTTTTCTATAGAAGGACCTTTGATTTTGGAAAAGTATCACAAAATAATTAAGATTGATCTTGTAGAATAACATTTGTTTGGTTCTAACTTTCAGACTTTCCCTACTTTCATATCTTAAAAAATGACAATTAAATGCAAAATAGCTTTGGGGCTTGGATGATTAATTGTAATTTTATTATGTGGAAAATTTGAACAACTGATTTGAAAAGTTCTCTGAATATGTATAGGAATTATCATGCTTTGACATTTTGATTAACATTTTATAGAATGCCCCAGGTTGTTTTTTGCATGGATTGTTATAAGTCAGGAGGAAGGAGAAGTTGCTCCTTAAAAACCCTTGTATTATGCCAAGACCCTAATTTCTGTCTTAAAAAAGTATGCTTTACACCTTAAAGCAGCACTTTTATTTTGCACATTGATAATGCTGTATGTATACTTTCTTTTTTTCCATTTTATTTTATTTAAAATTTTTTTTATTTTAATAGCTTTTAGGGTACAATTGCATTTTGGTTACAATGCTGTATGTATACTTCCATGTAGTTTTCTTAATCAGTAAAATGATCTTTCATGTTAAAGTCTCTATTTGTTAGTTTTCCCTGACTGTAATTTTCTTTCTACCTTGTATAAATGATAAAAATAGACTCTAATAAACTGAGTGTGCTCTGGCATACTAGTTATTGACATGTTTATATTCACAAATATAAACTCCAGGCTGGCTGTTTTTCTTGGTGAATGTTCTCCAGGCTGGTTATTTTTCTTGGTGAATGTAATGTACTGTCTTTTTAGAGTAAGTTACTAAGCTGGTTACTAAATCAGGAATATTTTAGTTATAAAACTTTAGATTTTTAAGAATATTGGCCAGGCACGGTGGCTCACACCTGTAATCCCAGCACGTTGGGAGGCCAAGGCGGGTGGATCACCTGAGATCGGGAGTTCAAGACCAGCCTGGCTAACATGGTGAAACCTGTCTCTACTGAAAATACAAAATTAGCCGGGTGTGGTGGCGCATGCCTGTAATCCCAGTTACTTGGGAGGCTGAAACAGGAGAATTGCTTGAACCTGGAAGGCGGAGGTTGCCGTGAGCCAAGATTCGCCATTGCACTCCAGCCTAGGCAACAAGAGCAAAACTCCATCTCAAAAAAAAAAAAAAAAAAAGAATATTAACAGATCTTTACAGAAATCTAAGATAATTGGCAGCTTATAAATGATTTTACAGTAGAAAAATTTTAATAGTGAATTCATCATACTTCTCCCTGGAGATATAGTACTTTGTTTTTTTCTCTTTAAATATTTTGAAAAGGCCGGGAGCGGTGGCTCACATCTGTAATCCCAGCACTTTGGGACACTGAGGCGAGCAGATCACCTGAGGTTCAGAGTTCCAGACCAACCTGGCCAACATGGCAAAAACCCCTGTCTCTACTAAAAATACAAAAATTAGCCAGGTGTAGTGGCTCACGCCTGTAATCCCAGCTACTTGGGAGGCTGAGGCATGAGAATCAGTTGGATCCGTGGGCGGAGGTTGCAGTGAGCTGAGATCGTGCCACCGCACTCCAGCCTGGGTGACAGAGTGATACTCTGTCTCAAAATAAAAATTAAAATAAATATTTTGTAAAGAATCATGCAGGGAGTCAGTCAATAAAAGCTTTAAAGTTAAGTCTCAAAGGCTGTGAAAATAATCCTCTTCTTGTATTTATGGCTTTTTCATTTGCTTTTCATTATAATGTTCGCAGTGTGTATTTTCACACAGTTGTTATTAAGCCGGTTATTTATAAATTTGTATGTGGCCTTAGGAAATTTGATTATATATTTGTTTAACTTAAAGGTAGAACCAGCAAAATTTGAACATTTGGGGGCCTTTAAAACAAATCTGCAAACAAAAAAGGAATCTGCAGTTAAACCGATAATAACTATATACCAGAATGTATATAATCAGGATGATTTTATTTTTATGGCATTTGTATCATTAAACAAATTTAAGATATAACTCCAGTATTTAATTTCATTATGTTGATTTTGAAAATTTGTTACTATGGGATAGAATAAAACTCCCAGTATTTAAAAACGTCAATGTATAAATGTAAAAATTAATAAAAGTTTTACATCCTAGAGGAGATTCTAGTACATTACTCTCTGTGAGTGCACATCTAACACAGTTTAAATGTTTAGACTTTCCTGGAAACAAGTCTGAAGGCTCACTACTAATTTCATTTAAAAGAAATATAATTGAGATAAAACTTTTTCTGTTTTACCCAAATAATATTGTGAGTTCTAAGTTTTCATCAAATTATTTGCTTTTAAAATAATTTTTCCATTAAGCTGAATTGTTAGACAACTTTTGTCCTCTGTAGATGGCCTAAACACTGACCTAAATTTCCTTGTGGTTTGCTATATAATTTTGGAGTTATGCATTTCTCAGCCAGTTATTTTTAAAAACTTAAGGCCGTGTACTAAGAGGTCTAATACTTTTTGAACGTAGTATTTGATGTTTGAACATTAGCAGTACCTGAATGTGAGGTGGATATATTTATGGTCTTATGCTGCATTCTTAGGACTTTAGGTTTCTCCTTTTGTCCAATTAACTTTCATATACTATCTTTTTGAAAGGTGGCTTACCAGAAGCTATATGGGCTGGAAATGTTGGTGTCAGTGCTATAGACATTATGTATAAAAATAAAAACAGCAAAGGTAGTTCAAGACTGTGAATGGTAGGATTGGGGGAGGGAAGATTAAATCAAAGTTAGGAATTTAGAATTGAAACAATCTGTGTCTATTAGTTTTGTATAATGATTGGATTATTAATAGTGCAGAACATTAGTAGCTGCTTGGTCATTGCTTTATACATTGAAATACAAGAAGACAGTAAGGTAAAGATCCAAAATTAGAAAATGAAGTGATCTTGGCCAGGCACGGTGGCTCACGCCTTTCATCCCAGCACTTTGGGAGGCTGATGCAGCAGAATCACCCAGGAGTTTGAGATCAGCCTGGGCAAAGTAGTGAGACCTTGTATCTACTAAAAATAAATAAATACAAATAAAATAAATTAGCTGGGTGTGGTGCTGCATGCCTGTGGTCTCAGCCAGTTGGGAGGCTGAGGTGGGAGCTGTCCGGGAAGTCGAGGCTGCAGTGAGCGTTGATTGTGCCACAGCATAAAAACGAAGAAAAAGTGATCTTGATTGAATCAGAGCAGTAGGGATACATTGCCTTTTCTCATTGGTGGAGATTTTTACTGTTGCATGTATTTAGTTACTATTTATATACCAGTAGCCTTGGTATAATTTTAATGAATTTAATTTTTAAAATATACTTACAATTTTGTGTTTTATTATTTACTATTACACTGTTTAATTCTATTGAAGAACCCATCAAAGGATATAACTGGGACACTTTGGAGTAGAGCCAGTACACCCAAAAGGAAAGACACTATGGTGTGTAGCCCAGGAAAATGTGTGGTATTAGTGTTATGCATTCACTTTTGACTTTCAGTGTCCTTGATATTTGAGTAATAGGTACATTCTAATAGAGATTGACACTTGCTGAACTTTGTTCACTGTATGTACTTTCTTTCTAGTTTGTTTCCTAATGAAAACTTTCAGGCAAGTTTGACAGTTAAAATTTCTTTAAAAGATTACAATAGCAAATTTTGGATTTTTTTTTAACTTTTAAAGTTAAAAAAAATTTTCTTTTTTCTCTATGGTTATAGCATCAAAAATTTGGAAATGAGCCCTTACTATTTTCACTTTTACCTCCTTTGATGAATCTTTCTTTTCTTTACAACAATATAAAGGCCAACTTTTACTTATTGGGGTGACTTTTTTTGTTTGCCCATTGTTCTAGTAGAAATTGGTATGCCCAAATTATGGATTTTCCTACCAGATAGATTCAACATTTTTTTTTAAACCAGCTGAATTCTACATTATATTTTGGAAAAGGAAAATTGAAACAGGTTATTTCCAGTTTGGCTTGTTAAATCCTATGCCTGTGTAAAATGCCACTGGTGCTATAGAGAGGATGATAAGAGGAAAGACAGCTACTCTTTTCCATGAACTTACCTTATTTGGAGGATGGAATAGCTTATCTGCTAGAATGTGTGACTTGAGTAATATGTTTTGGTCATGGAGGTTTTTTTTTTTTTTTTAAACAAAAGGGTTAGATTTTTTTTAATTTAGAAATTTCTATAGAGAAGCAACTTTATTTTTGGGGAAGTGTCTCTCCATGGTAAGTGACATTTTACTACTACACAGTTTAAATGCATACTATTACGCATTTTAGAAAATTTTGTAACAAGATTTTGTTACACATGCAATAATAATATTTTTTATTGTGTTTTCTGTTAGTTTCAGGATAATATAAGAAAAGCATGCGGTACAGATATTTTGCTCCAATAAAATTGGTATTTATTACAATAACATTTTCAATGAATTTATACCAGTGGTAAAATGGTACCACTTAGTCTGATACTTATGGAATTTATTTTTTGAGGTTTCTGCAATGTTTTTTGTAAATGACCATTTCATTAGGCATGAATGGAAGGGCTTTATTCTGACTGAACTATTATTTTAATGTCTTATTAGAACTAGATTATATACTTTGATTTTCTAATATATTTTAAGCTTTTTAAAAATTGTGATCTCTACAACAAGAAATACATTTTACACCATAAGTCAGTATACACATGAAGATTCATGCATGTGGATTTGTATATATGTAAAAGTATAGAAAATACATTATTGAAACAAAAGTTTCACAAAATAATATTTGCACTTACTTTGCACAACACCCTCTAATATTTTCTCTTCTAGTTTAGTTTTTAAAATGCTGGTTGAGGGCAGGGTACGGTGGCCTCTGCCTGTAATCCCAGCCCTTTGGAAGGCTGAGGTAGGAGAATTGCTTGAGCCCAGGAGTTCAAGACCAACCTGGGCAACATAGCAAGACCCCATCTCCTAAAATTAAAAAAAAAAAAATTAGGTAAGTATGGTGGCATGTTCCTGTAGTTCTGTAGTTCCAGGTACTTGGGAGCCTGAAGTGGGAGGATCACTTGAACCCAGGAGTTCGATGTTGCGGTGAACTATGATCAAGCTATTGTACTCCAACCTGGGCAAAAGAGTGAAACCCTGTCTCAAAAAAAGCTGGTTGACCCTACTAAGTTGATTTTATGAACTACTGATGAATTGCAACCTATCCTTATGAAAACGTTACTTTAGATTGGGTTTTTGAATAGTATTGCTTAAAATTTTAAATGAATATAAGAGTTGGAAAAGAAAGATATTTTTATCAAACAATTAGTATTTAAACTACCTGAGGAACTTGTTCATTGCTTTTATTTGTTTTGTATATGACTTTCTGGGTAGACAGCTTAAAAATATAAACTAGAATGCTTAAGAAACGATGTGTGAAAACCATAAATCTATGTAGTTACTATTTAGTTTTTCTTCCCTGGATTTGAAATGTGGTATTACATATCTTACTTTTAAAAAGGATCCTACATGAAATGTGGGTGTTCTGGTCTTACGAGTTTTGTATATTTTTCTTTGATTTATATTCAGTGTCACACCTGTATGTATACTGTGCAGTTCACACATTGACCAGATTTCTCAAAATGAGAAATCGGCATTTTCTTGAGGAAGGACATTCTTAGGTGTTTGTTCACAAGCAGATCCAAGGGAATGTTCCCCATCTTGGTGCTGCAATTGTTCTTTTGTAAGCTTGACCATGCTTGTTATGTCAGCTTGCCTCATTGCCTGTTCATCCTTTGCTTTTGCCATTTTTCAAACAATAGGAAATGATGTTAAAAGTGATAATAATTTTCTTAAAAAGCATTTTTGACTTTAGAATGCTTAATTCTTGTATTTAAAGGCTCCCTTAGGATGTTTTGTGCTATAGTGTACTGAGATTGAATCATATCACTATTACTGATTATGAATTTTGTTGTTTAAAAGAAAAATAAACATACAGTTTTGAATATACATACAGTTTAGCAATACTTTATACTAGGAAAAAGTAGGAGGAAGAATATTTTTTAATTCAACTGGATTAGCTTTCATGTTTAATAATTTTTTATTTTAAAATAGTGCTGGATTTTTAAAATAACCTCAAATATTACTTCTTCTCTTCTTTATATTTCTGAATTTGGAAACAAACCAACTTTCATGTTTTGCTGAAACCCAGTATGATATGTTCAAGGATAGATCATCAAGACTTTCATCATTAGTATGTAGCACATGACTTTGTGTTATATGTGGAATTTTACTTTATAAACATCTGTTGATGCTAATTATAGAATATGACTAACTTTCATGGCTTTGTTATGAACTTTTGGGGAAAATGTGTGACTAACAAAGCAAAAAGCTAATGTTTTGTGGTTGTGGCATGAATAGTAATTTTTTTCTTTAGGATTTCAGAATTAGACACAAGTTATTCTTATCTATTGAGGACTAGGATTGGTAGTAATATCTTTTTTTTTTTTTTAATTTTAAAGATGGGGTCCCTCTCTGTCAACCAGGCTGGAGTGCAGTGGTGCAATCATAGCTTACTGACTGCAACCTTGAACTCCTGGATTCAAGGGATCCTCCCACCTCAGCCTTCTGAGTAGCGAGTACTATAAACATGTGCCACCATGCCCAGCTAATTGTTTTATTTTTTTTGTAGAGATGGGGTTTTGCTATGCTGTCCAGGCTGGTCTCGAACTTTTGGTCTCAAGTGATCCTCCCACCTTGGCCTCCCAAAGTGATGGGATTACATATGTGAGCCATCATGCCCAGCTGGTAGTAATATATCTTTTCTTAAAATGATGAGCCACCCACCTAACATATACTCATTGTCATTCTAACACTGTTAGAAACTTGTCTTCATGTTGAGCACAAGCCCAAATTGTGTTTTATGTCATATGTCACAAAGCTGGCAGGTGTGAAGTTGCTAGATAGAAAACATCCAGTAGTGTTAGAGGACACCTAAGACATCAGTTATGTCCAAACATTTTGGTTTGATTTGGTTAGTTTTTTATGGTATGTCATTAACCAAGGAATTTAAGTTATAGCTTGTTTTTCTTGGGTTAATATTTTGTCAATAGGTTGCCTGAGTTTCTAAATTACATAGACATCTCTTAAAATATTCAGAGTAATGTATAAAAAGATGCATATTCAAAAAAAAAAAAGTAAAATGAGTTTTTAATCATTGATTGGGAATACAGCTATATATATGTGAGATGGTTTACCTAGAGCAGTCTGTTGCCTTTGGCTCTTGATAGGTAGGGCACTTCTAGCCACACTCTCTTATTTCAGGCAAGTAGTACGTACCTAGATTAGATTTCTTATCTACCAATTTACCTATTTAGTAGTATTGCTAGCCTTAATTTCCCCATATGTACTTGGCTGTGTACTCCTAGGAAAAGTTAGGTATTGAGACAATCCTGTCTTCAAGGGACCCTTTTATAAGGTGACCATTTATGGTATGCTGGGCAATCCATACCATGTTGGTTGTTTTCCTCCTGAGCATTACATACTGTGGATTCACTAATTTGGGTTAAGAGTACTGTCTGGGACAGTTTAATGTCATGTTCTTTGTTCTCTCAGTCCTGTTTTAATTGTTCCAAAAGATTGCTTTTTGACCTTTAGGTAAGGAAGACTATAGAAGGAAATGAATTATCTTGTTACCTATACCCTTAGCCAGGAGTGGTGTCTCATGCCTGTAATCCCAGCATTTCAGGAGGTTGAGGCAGGAGGATCACTTGAGGCCAAGAGTTCAAGACCATCCTGGACAACATAGCAAGACATTGTCTCTACCTGTTCCCCCAACCCCAAATTAGCTGGGTGTAGTGGTACATGCCTGTGGTCCTACCTACTCAGGAGACTGTGGCAGGAGTCCAGGAGTTCTAGGCTGCAGTGAGCCATGATTGTACCACTATACCCCTGTCTGGGTGACAGAGTGAGACCCTGTTTCTATTGAAAAAGAAAAAAAAGAAGTCAGAGGGACTCAAGTGTGGTGTGAAGGTCTCCACAAATATTCTGCCTGGTTCTTAGTTCTAATCAAGTTTTCTTTAGCTGGCCAGACACACAGATGCTTGGCACAGAGGGAGGTGAGGGAGGAATGCAGATGTGTAGAGAGGCCAGGTAGACTAGCTAGTAAAGTGCAGTGAATTGTTTACTAACCTTTGGGAAATAAATTGCATGTAAACTATTGTGTATCTCATATAGACCTTTGTGTATATAATTTGAAGATGAATTTTATTATTTTCATAACTTCGCTATGCAATCATTGAAGTTAACTTGGAATATTTACTTCCAGAATCATTCTTACAGTCACTCTCATGGAATGAAGAAGAGGTCTTCTGATTCTCATAAAGACCTACTGGTTAGTTCTGTTGTCTCTCATATCACAATTCACGAAGTACTGTTAGGAACTTAAGGATTATGATTGCTTTGGTGTGCTACTAGGACATTATTGAAACTTGATAATCTGCTGAAACATGATTTATCAGAAATTTAAAAATAATTTTGTTTTCATTTGCAAGTTTTAGTATTAACATATGCAAACCCTAGCAGCCAGAGTTAGTACTATATCACAAGAAGCTCATTAACAAGTATTTTCATTTATTAATTGTCCTTTGGAATATACCTCAAGAATAGGTTTAGTAAGATTCTCATCCTTATTTTAGGAATTTGAATTGATTTAGTTGTGGTATTATGGGCCGTAACTAAACTCACAAATAGGTTTCATTCTAAAAGTTTGTGTTTTGGGAACTTGGAATGCATTTTCTAGTTTCTTCAATAAATATGTAATGGCAAAGTTTCCATACTAGCTTGCTGAAAACTCTTTAACCTATAATGTAATTAAACTGCAGAATTAATATACTCTTTATTCTAGTCACTTTGTGAAACAACACTTCTTTTTTCTTTTTCTTTTTTTCTTTTCTTTTTTTTTTTCTTTTTTTGAGATGGAGTCTCGCTCTGTCTCCCAGGCTGGAGTGCATGGCGCGATCTCGGCTCACTGCAACCTCCACCTCCCAGGTTCAAGCGATTCTCCTGCCTCAGCCTCCCAAGTAGCTGGGATTACAGGCATGTGCCACTCTTCCTGGCTAATTTTTGTATTTTTGTAGAGATGGGGTTTTGCCAGGTGATCTGCCCGCCTCTGCCTCCCGAAGTTCTGGGATTACAGGCATGAGCCACAGTGCCCGGCTGCTAAACAAATTTCTGTGAGGAAAATAATGTCTCCAGAATGCCCACTTGGTACATTGGAAACACCCATTTCCTGTTAGGCTGCAACAGTACTGGCAAAGGAAGTGCAGTCCCAACTCCTTGCTAATTCAGGGTTCCCATGGGTTGAACGGGGAGAGGGTTGGAAGGCTTTGGTTGGTACAAGGGAGGAGAGAAGGGAGAATGTAATGGGGAGGAAATTAACGAGAGGCCCTGGAAGGTAGGGTCTTGGGATCTCTGGGGAGAGGTGAGCCTTAGGTGCCTAGTTGAGGGTGTGAGTGGGGAGTGAGGAGCGGTGTGGGAAGGCAGGGCTAGGGGTGGTAGGGATGGGGTGGGAGTAGGGATGTCCTCAACTCCACTGTCAACACTGATGGAGTCTTTAAGTCAGAGATTGCCTAAATTTGCTTAACCTTGAGTAAAAAAGTTGGCTAGAGAAGTTGGGAAGGGAATTTTATAGATGGTTTTCTCTCCCTCAATTAGCTATAATGTGTACTATTGTTTATTTTGTACATTGTATAAATGAACCTGCCGTAAGTGTTTTAGATCAAACCATATTTATCGTACTCTCTCTTTCATTTTGGTAACTTAATTTGTCAGTTTATTTTGACAAGTAATGGGACTAGGAAATGTTTGGAACCAAATACATAGCTCTTTAATAACTTCTGTGGCTTTGCCAGATGGATTGTAAAACTGGTAATTATTCAGTTGTCCAGGAGTGTTCAAGGACTTTCTTAAGTATGGCATGAGAATAAATTGTTTTCATTCCATTTTCTCTGAGGGTTTATTGTCTTGTTTTTAAATTTAAAAATTTAGTAATGTCTTTGTTTTAGGGGCTTGAAATAATTGTCACTTTGACTTAATGTGATATGATGATTTAAAAACATTTTGGAGAAGAAGGGATTTGGCAATATCATATTTTGCCTTTTTGTGTTCAGTTTTGCCTTTGTGTGTTGTTAGGTTATTAACATTTAGCCTAAGAAAAATGTGTTTAATTTTGCTTTTTGCAGAGTGGCCTCTACTTTGACCAGAGAAACTATAGCAGTCTTAGACATAGCAAACCCACCTCTGCCTACTACACTCGGGTTTGTCTAAACTTTTTTGGCTTTATGTGTTTGATTCACTTTTAACATATTTCTAATCTCCCCATTTTGCATTTTGACTAGCTGTAACTAATCTGTAAATGGCTACGTATATACTAGTTTTTGGTAACTGAATTTATATAGTCTGTGGGAGTCTCTTTAAACAACGGGAACTATTCAGTCATCATGTTTATAAATCAGTACCATTAAAGACATTTTTAAATAAAGATGTTTAAATGTACAAAAAAAGTTCAAGGAATAATACAGTGAACATCACATACCTATCATTTAGATTATATAATTCATTATATTTCCTTTATCACATAATTATCTATTTGACCCTCTAACCATCAATTCATCTTAGTTTTTGATACATTTCAAAATAAGTTGTAAGCATCCATATACTTCAGAGTGGGTACCCTTTTAAAAAAGCTTACATATAAAAATGTAAACACGTGGCATGAGAAGAATGTAATTATTTAATGTTAGAATCTCTTGTTTTTTTAAAGGCATTTGACACATCATACATTTAAGACACATTAAGTGTATGGCACACAGTACATTTAAAATAATTTTGTTTAAAAAACCTGCACACGCAACTTAAGTACTCTTATTTTTCATCTCTGATTGGGTTTGGTGAAAACTTGAAAAGTATGTCCTCAGATGACATCAGGAAAAGCAAGATTTAATTCCTTTAAAAACATGCTGTGTTCTTTTAGTGCATGGATTCATTGACTAGTACAATTTATCTAATTCAACTAAGGCACTTTGTCCATGGCTTGTTTTGAAGAACAGGTTTTCTAATCTATTTGGAAAAGAGTGTTTGTAGAGATAACTTGGAGCTTATTTATCTGGTTCTCCAAAAATCAGTCTAAGCCAATTAGGAGTTGGTCATAAAATCACTGAAAATATCATAAGAACTGGGTGAGTGGGATGTGGCCACTGTTTTCCACACTCCCGGTACCATGACCCTCTTTCCCTCAGTGTTTTCTTACTTGCCATTCCATATCCTAACAATAATGCTCGAAGACCAATGGGACATAAACATATTTATAATTCATAGAAAACTGTTCCAGCTGTTTCTTATCCCTTACAATTAATATTCAAAACAATTTCTAATTACTTAAGTTTTTCTTATTTCTTGTGTTTCTTAACTACCTTAAGCACTCAGGAATTGCTAATGAATTATGGAGTATAAAATCATAAACTTAAGTCCTCTGCATTCATGATGGTGAGACCAATTCATCTTTGTTTTTGTTTTTGCTTATTTATTTTGTTTTTGTCTCTTAGCAGTCTTCTTCCCTGTACAGTGACCCTCTGGCAACATATAAGAGTGACAGGGTTAGTACTTTCTGAGGAATGTTCTGCCTTTAGAGCTACCAGTTGCTTTTTTTGGGGTTTAATAATACACTTTTTTCTTAGGCCTCTCCTACTGCAAATTCTGGTCTGCTGAGAAGTGCCAGTCTGGTTTGTATTTTCCTCTTCCAGTGTGTGCAGTGCTGGTGGGGTCAATGTCATGGTGCTAACTCTATGGCTTGACAGCTTTTCTCCAAAATAGTTAAGGACACATGATTTTAGTGTCATGTATACTGCAGAATGTGCTGCCTGTGCTTAAAATATACAACTTTAGGGTATTAAAAATGAACATATTCCTTTCACAGAGGGCTGTTGGTAGCCCTTGCTTAGAATCAGTTTTTTTTTATCTAGAGAAGATAGATTTGCTTGAGTCCTACCACACTCACATACTTTTGTGAGATGGCTGCTTATGGAAAGGATATTGTTTTTCTTTGGGACAGTTATGATCTTGGCCTCTGATACTAGGATCTAATAAAGCAAGCTGACTAGAAAAGTAAAAGCAGTAGCTCTGTGTAATGTGTGAGCTGTGAATTTGTTGCTTTCAAGCTGTTTGTTGTGTTGTGGCCTGTTCTAGTGGACTGGGATCCTGAGGTTTTATAACTTAATTTTATTGTAGTAGTAGGCAAAATGCTCTTTGTACCTCAGTTTCCTTTCCTGCTCTGTTTCCTCTTTTGAGAAGATAAATGTGTACACGTTAATTCTCCCAGTTTCATAACATGATGGTGAAAGAAAATACTGTAACCAGGGGTGTTTTTTAAAAAATGAAGTGCAAGGTTGATAGCAATTTTTGCATATAAATGAGTATTACCGCCTTCAGGGTTTTCATTCTGGGAGGCTATACACTTATATCATTCTCCAAAACTTTTTTGGTACTGAGTATTGTGAAAACATTAAGTCATTTTCAAAACAACCTTGAAGCTAAATAGCTAAGTGATATTTCCTTTGTTCCTTAGGCATCATTGTACAATGGTGGATTATATAACCCTTATGGTCCTCGAACTGTAAGTCTAAATAGGGGAAGGTGGTGAAGAGGAGGGAAATGTGGGTGGGCACAGTTTACTTTCAAAGAAAAAGTCAAAAATTAATAAAAAAGAAAAATATACAAAGAAAAAGTCATTTAATCTGACCTGGAATTACTCTCTAAGCTGTGATCAAGTCATTGAGCTAGCCAGTTGTGACTCTCACCCAAGCTGTGATAAAATGCCTGCTGGAAATCATGATTTCAAGTATTAGGGAAATGCATAGAAAAACCACTTTTCTTGTTCATTAGTTCCTCCTGAAGAAGTTCTGAGCAGCACTTCTCAGGGCATCCCCTTCCTCTTCGCTCCCTCTAGCCAAGGGCTGGTGGATCTTGAGGGTGGGGATGAGGTAGAGTTCTACACCACTGAATAACAGTTACCTTTATCTTGAGAACCAGGGGCAAGTTAGGTAAATGGTCCCTAATGTATTCTCATTAGAATAATGAGGTGATCATTGTTGTAAAACCTTTCTTCTTGGAAACTTTATAGCCATCTGAATGCAGTTATTATTCATCAAGAATAAGTTCAGCCCGAAGCAGTCCAGGGGTGAGCTGTCTAGTCTCTGCATGCTTTGTAGAAATTTTTGATTGTTGCGTTAATCTGTACTCACTGTTTAGAATATTGAGGATATGGTGTGATTCACTTTGTTGTGCATGGATTAGGTGTTCCCTTAGTACATAAACTCAAGCACTAATTTGTCCTAATAATTGGTGATTTCTCTATAAATGTGACTTAGCATGTAATTTCTTAAATGAGTCTCTAACCAGTGCCATTAGAATTTTTAAAGTTTTTATATTTAATTTTCATTTGTGTAGAACTTCTTGTCTTTCAGTGGTGATAATTCATTGTATAGGTTGACTATCCTGTGTTTCTCCTTTCTATCTTTACATTCTGCACATTGAGCCATTTCACCTGCTTGCCAGCGCTTCTATCAGTGCAGTGAAAGGAGAAGAAATAAAACAAGCTGATTAAAAAAAATTGTTATACGAAAGACAAAACTGGGACAATTATAATTACCTAATCTTTCTAGAGTATTTTTAAAAGTTTATAAAAATAATATTAGTTAAGGAAAATTCAAAGTAAAATTCCCCATTTTCCTTCCCCAAATGTAATCTCTGTTCTTCAATAACCTTTCAGAGATATTTTATGCACGTATGAGTGCTCTTTATTTTGAGTGCAAATGGGTCATATTACATACTGCTCCTCAATATATTTTCTTTATTTAAAGTAGCTTTCTGTATCAGCACCTATAAATTTATTTCATTCTTTCTTTTTTTGATAAAAATTTTAAACAAGTAAGCTGTGTCCCTTAGTTTTTCCACTTCATGTCTCTTAGAGGTAGTTTCATATTAGCACATTCTTTTTAATGGCAATATATTCTGTTAGTGCGTAAGTATACATTTTAAAAGTCATTTCCTGTCCGGGCATGGTGGCTCACGCCTGTAATCCCAGCACTTTGGGAGGCCGAGGGCACATTACCTGAGATCGGGAGTTTGAGACTAGCCTGACCGACATGGTGAAACCCCACCTCTACTAAAAATACACAATTAGCCTGGCGTGGTGGCACATGCCTGTAATCCCAGCTACTCGGGAGGCTGAGGCAGGAGAATTGCTTGAACCCGGGAGGTGGAGGCTGCGGTGAGCCAAGATCACGCCATTGCACTCCAGCCTGGGCAACAAGAGCAAAACTCCATCTCAAAAAAAAAAAAAAATAGTCATTTCCCTGTGATGGACATTAGATTGTCATATTTTTGCTACTATAGACACTTATACAATGACCATTCTTATCCAAGTATATTTTTGTGTACTTACATGGGTAAATCTGCAAGGTAAATTGTGAATCATGAAACTTGTGACCTCAGGTGGTCCACCCACCTCAAACTTGTGACCTCAGGTGGTCCACCCACCTCGGCCTCCCAAAGTGCTGGGATTACAGGCGTGAACCACTGTGCCTGGCCTAATTTTAATTTTTATTTAGAGAGGGTAGCTTTCTATGTGGCCCCTGCTAGATTTGAACTCTTGGGCTCAAGTAATCCTCCTGCCTCAGCCTCCTGAGTAGCTGGGACTGCAGGTGTGTATTACTGTACCCAGCTTATATTTTCAGTCAAATGTAGGATCTTGTCCTTATAGGCTGGCTAGATCGTATTTCATTTGCAGGTTGGGGTTAGAATAACTATTTTAGTGATGCCAGAATGGTTTCTTAGTGATGTTAGAATGGAGATAAACTACACATATCGAAGATGAGTCTTTGGCTGGTAAAGCAAGAAGATGACAGAGCCATGTAGGGTGATGTTAGCAACATCTCCACTAGCTGCATAGGAATGAATAAAGGAAATAAGAACCATCACTTCGTTGTCCTTGTTGTAGGAATTTCTGTCATTGACTTACATTGTTTTGCTTTAAAATATTCTTTTATTTTCTCTCTCAAACAAAAACATTAAGTATATTTGTTGACCCCTGATGGGATCCCAAAGGGCCCAGAGGTTTAAAAAGTATGAAATCCCTAGCTGGTTTTGGTTGGCTTACTTATGCACCTCCCCTTCTTTAATTTTTTGAGGTGGTGTCTTGCTCTGCCACCCAGACTGGAGTGCAATGGCACGATCTTGGCTCACTGCAACCTCCGCCTCCTGGGTTCCAGCAATTCTCCTGCCTCGGCCTCCCGAGTAGCTGGTATTACAGGCACCCGCCACCATACCCGGCTAATTTTTGTATTTTTAGTAGAGACGGGGTTTCACCATGTTGGTCAGGTTCATCTTGAACTCCTGACCTCAAGCAATCCACCCACCTTGGCCTCCCAAAGTGCTGGGATTACAGGCATGAGCCACCGCTCCTGGCTTTCTTTAATGTAACTTAAATAAAATATAAGGTTTTACTTTATTTGTGCTTTTTGGAAATGTCTCCTGATTTTTAATAACAGTTTATTATGCCTTGTACCAGCTTTTTTATTAATATATAAGGTGCCCACTATATTATACCAATTATGCTGCTTATATAGTTATTCATATGCATCTCAAAACCTTCCTTAATGTACTTATAATGAGGTAACACCATAGCAAAATTGCATCTTTTTCATTATCTGCATTTAATATCTATAGTTTACCAACGATGACACTGCAAGCATTGTGTCTTCTGATCGTGCCAGTCGTGGACGAAGGGAGAGTGTGGTGAGCATGATTTGCATGCAAAGAAATAAGATGAGTTTTAAATGACAGCAATGCATGATCACATGAAGTCTGTTGGAAAGTGAAGTTTGCATTTGACAAAAAGAGCATTTTCCTCAAATTTAGTTATATAAATATTTTGCCTTATAAAACATGTTGAGAACACATATTCTCTGTGGGCTGTGCAAGCTTTCATTAATAATTTGCCTTTTTACATCTCTTAGGAGTGAATCATTATTTGAAAAGTTTTTACTTTTTCTTCTTTGTTGCTGTTTTATGCACATACATGTGTGTGCAGTTCACCAAAGACAAATTTCTTCAGCAAAATTAATGTTTCCATATTGTATAAAACTCATAACTATGGATTACAAATCATGTTACCATTAATTGCTTTCTATATTGTTGTATTTAGATTTAACCAGTGTTTATCCACCTGTTAAGACCTGTAATCCAGTCAGGGTGGCTCATGCCTATAATCCCAGCTACTTGGGAGACTGAGGTGGGAGGATTGCTTGAGCCCAGGAGTTTGAGGCTGCAGTGAGCTATGATTGCATCACTGCACTCCAGTGTGGGTAGCAAAGTGAGACTGTGCCTCTCAAAAGAAAAAAAAAAAAAGACTTGTGAACTTAAGAATTGCTAATGACAAAATTTAAAAATTCTAGTCTTAGACATTCAATTGGATAATAATTGTAGAGGCAACAAATAGCTATGTTAGAATACAAATAATATAATTTCAGGTTATTCTTTAATGAAGCTTTAAATTTTACAGAAAACTGATGACATTTTTGTTATATTTAAGAAATTGATTTGGAAAATACATTGTTCCGGATGGTATGTCAGCTTAGAGCTAGAATAAAGAGCATAAGAGGCTGTAATTCCTTTAAGAAAAATAGGCCATTTAACATGAGTTATGTGAAAGATTATAAACCCGAGTTTTCATAGAGAAGGGGAACATTAAATGTTGGAGAGATTTGTTACCATACATTCATTTATTTAATTAAAGCCGTTTTAGTTCCTTAGCAAAGCAACTAATGCTCACGCTCACAACTGAAGGAGAAATAATATGCCACAACACCTAAAAACACCTTGGAACGCAGTGGAGTGGAAAGGGCAGGGACTTTAAATAATGATGCTTGGGCTTGTATCCACTTCTACTACCTGTTAGTGTGTAAATGGCAGTGTCTTTATTTGTACATTGGGGATGTTAATACTATCTTTGTAGGTAGGTTTAATATATGGATTAAATGGAATACTATATAGAAAATGCCTATCAAAATTCTCAAATAGGTGCCAATAAATATTAATATCTATAAATGCAATCATTATTATTATTATTGTGAATAAAAATACCATTGCTTGATTTTATCAGTCCTTAGCAAAACTTCATACTTGTAAGCCTGTTTTATCTCTGTGGATGGGCTTCTGAATTCCCTTCCTTGAGAAGTATTTTAAAGCAAGGCAAACAGTCAGCTGAAGTAAGGAATAGATGATGAATGAGGTTAAAAAAAAATCACTTATTTTAAAATTAAATAAATGTTTGTGGAGTACCTGTTGTATTCAAAGCCCTGTGTTAAGTGCTAGGAATACTATTTTAAGCCAGTCAGACTAGATTTCTGACTTTATGGAATTTATATCCTCGTGAAAGAGATGGAAAATAAGCTAGTAAAGAAACAAAAAGAAAGAAATGTCAGGGACTGTGAAGAGAACAGATAATGTGATAGGGAACCTGGAGGGGTCTATGTGTGTGGGTTACCCTTTGGATGGGGTGATTAGAGATGCTTCTCTGAGAAACTGACCTTTGAGCTGAGACCTGAAATGTGAGGAGCCAGTTGCTTGAAGAGCTGGGAGGGGAGCGTTCTAGGCCAGTGCCAAGGCCTAAGGTGAGGGAGAACTGGTGTGTTTGGGGAACTAAAAAGAGGCCGGTATAGTTTATTTCCTTCATTATTTTGTCTTACATTTCCTGGTCTTTGGGAATATAAAAAAAGGGGAACTGTGTAAACTGAGAAAAGGTGCAGTAAACACCCTGCAAATAATTCTGCATTCAGCATATATATTCTTAACAGAGTTGATAGCTATAATGAATTATAAATTTTGAGAATTATAGTAGAGGTATATACTGACCTAGAAATGCCTCTGTTCAGGGTGATAAATATCTTAAACATGAGAGATTTGCTGGTCCTCAGGAAGTAAATGTTCTCTGTAGCATAGGACTCTAGTTAAGATGAGTAAAAAAGCTGATTGTAGAGCTGTGATTTCATTTAGGAACCCCTTTTCTTTTTTATTTTTTTGAGTAGGTTAATTGCAGCAGTTTCCTCATTTTATTTCTTGGTACTTTATCACCCATCAAAATTTTAAAAAACTTTTCCCTAATTGGCCAATGTTCTTATTTTTTTCTTTCTTTTTTCTTAACCTTGAAAGCATCTTGTTTTTTTTCTGACCGAAAGGTATCTGCCGCTGATTATTTCAGTCGCTCCAATCGTAGGGGAAGTGTTGTCTCTGAGGTGGATGATATCAGTATCCCAGATTTGTCCAGCGTGAGTGTATTGCATGGGGTGGTTGGTTATGTTGTCCCAGGCTTGTGACTAACAGCTAATATGTTAGCTATTTTATAATAAAAGTGGGAACTTGATTTATTGTCTTAAGAAATATTTGTTTGGGCCGGGCATGGTGGCTCACACTTGTAATCCCAGCACTTTGAGAGACCAGAACAGGCAGATCACCTGAGGTCAGGAGTTCGAGACCAGCCTGGCCAACGTGGTGAAACTCTGTCTCTATTAAAAATACAAAAAAAATTAGCTGGGTGTGGGGGCGCACACCTGTAATCCCAGCTACTCTGGAGGCTGAGGCAGGAATATCGCTTGAACCTAGGAGGTGGAGGTTGCAGTGAGCCGAGACCACACCACTGCACTGTATCCTGGGCAACAGAGTGAGACTCCATCTCAAAAAAAAAAAAAAAAAAGAATTGTTTGAACATGTTAAAATCAAACACATTTGCTCTGTTTTGGAATGTATTTATTAATATGTTCTTTTTTAAAAAAAAACTTTTTCCCCCTCTGTGGAAAAATCTCCGCATAGAACCCATCAGCATCTGCAACAATTATCAATATTTTGCCAATTTTGTTTCATTGATTTCTTCCCCCTTCCCTCCTTTTTTTCCCTGAGTTATTCTAAAGCAAATCCCATGTCATGTCATTTCCCAATAAATAGTTCAATATGTATCTGTAACTGAACATTTTTTCAGATCTCTTATATCATTATCATCACTAATGAAATAAGTAATTCCTTAGTATCATCTAATACCTAGCCCTTATTCAGACATTCCTTATTGGTTAAAAAAAGTATTTTCCTTTTTGATTTTAGTGAATCTATAAAGTGATAGGTAGACTTAGAAAGTTGAATAATGAAATATAGCACTTAGTAAAGTGTCACTAATTTGTACTAACCAGGAACAATCTGAATATATTTTAAATATTTGGATTATGGCATTGTTCTGAAGAAGTGTGCCTATCCATTGCTCCCACATTCATCAGGAACTGAATTTAGGAAAGGATTGTCCTTGGGGCATTTGTCTTAATGAATGAACTCCAGCCAACAACTTAGGATCTACCTGCTCATCTCAAAATAACAGCCTGATTATCTCTCTGACGCTTCTCCTCTCTTGCTGGCATTAGTGTTGTTTTGCCCATGGACCAAGGCTATACTGATTGTACTGATTGTCAAGCACTTTGGAGGGGGTGAGAGGTGGCATTTTTCTTTCTTTCTTCTTCTTCTTCTTTTTTTTTTTTTTTTCTTGGTGACAGGGTTGAGACCTATCGTCCAGGTCGGAGTGCAGCAGTGCGATCACAGCTCACTGCAACTTCAACCTCCTGGGCTCAAGTGATCCTCCCACCTCAACCTCCCAAGTAGCTGGGACTACAAGCGTGTGTCATCACGCCCAGCTAATTTTTGTATTTTTTGTAGAGCTAGGGTTTTGCTGTCTTGTCCAGGCTGGTCTCGAATTCCTGACCTCAATCAATCTACCTGCCTCAGCCTCCCAAAGTGTTGGGATTACAGGCATGAGCCATCACTTCTGGCCAACATTTCTTTCTTTTTTTTTTTTTTGAGACGGAGTCTCACTCTGTCACCTAGGCTGGCATGCAGTGGCACGATCTTGGCTTACTGCAACCCCCACCCTCCGAGTTCAAGTGATTCTCCTGCCTCAGCCTCCCGAGTAGCTGGGATTACAGGCGTCTGCCACCACGCCTGGCTAATTTTTTTTATTTTTAGTAGAGACGGGGTTTCACCATCTTGGCCAGGTTGGTCTTGAACTCCTGACCTCATGGTCCACCCACCTCAGCCTCCCAAAGTGCTGAGATTACATACATGAGCCACCGCGCCCAGCCAACATTTCTTAATAGAAACGTTAGACAGTAGTTTTAAATGAAGAAATAATTATTTATAATTAGCATTTCACTGATCGTATTTAAATAACTATTTCTGAACTGTTTTAATTCTAGAAGATAATTTTATGTGTGGTTCTTAAGCATTCCAGATCATTGGTTCTCAAATCTGGCTATGCAACAGTATCATCTTGGTGTGGGTCTAATCAATAACTCTCTCTGCATACAAAGTTAGAAGACTGGTTTCCAAGTCATTCCCCTGAAATATTGCCCTTTATATTAAATTGCCTAGCAATCCCCGTTTTTCCCCCATAAGTATGGACAATTAAACTTACTGTTTACATCTGTTCTCTTAAAAACTGAATTCTGTCAGCCTCTTAATTTATAATATCTGAATTAATAGTTATGTCTTCCTTATATTTATTTTGTGATGATTTACTTTAGTACTTACATATAAGTGAAAGTGCTGACAGTTTAAAAAATCTCCCCCTGCCCCTACTAGTTAACTGTAACTCTTTAACATAAGGAAAAAGTTCTCTAGAACAGGGATTTACAAATCTGGCTAACCCCTGTTATTTTATAGTCTGCAAGCTACTGGTTTATTTATATGTATTTGTGTATACACACACAGACACACACATGTGTATACATATATGTATGTATATGTATATATACATACACATGTATGTATGTATGTATACATGTATGTATGTATGTGTATATATATACGCATACATACATATATTTTTTTAAAGAGACAGGGTCTCGCTCTGTCTCGCAGGCTGGAGTGCTGTGGAGCCATCATAGCTCACTGCAGCCTCAAACTCTTGGGCTCAACTGATCTTCCTGCCTCAGTCTCTCAAAGCGCTGGGATTACAGGTGATTTGTGTATTTTTAAATGGTTACATATCAGTACCTTATCCTTAATTTTGCCTCCTGGAAAAGCCTACAGTATTTTCTGGGCCTCTCTCTGGAGCAAATAACTTTCTCTAGTAGTATTTCTTTTTAAGGGTATGCTGTAGTCCAACTCATCTTGTAGAGGAATACAAAGGGGACTTGATGTTGATAGACCTCCCTCCCCTCCCACTTTCAAAAAACGGTGACCTGGAAATATTTCAACATGAAATATTATGATTTTTAAATGCTGGCAACGAATTCAGAATTTTAAAAGACATTTTCTGGTTACCTCGTTGTGTACTAAATATGTTTGTAGGCTAATAGTTTATAACTTCTGAGCTAGGAGGTGCTGAGAAAGGGTGCCAGGTCATGTTTCTGCAAGCCTATATAATATTTTTGGGGGTTCTAGCCTCTTATTTTCTTCTACATTGGCTTTATTTCTGTTTTGTAAGTCAGGCTACAATAAAGCAAACAAATGTAAATGTTTTTTAAGCAAAACTGAAATTTTGCTGATTGTTAATAATTAAACCCATTTCTAAATGGAATCCTTAGCCAGTTTTGCTTTAGGAAATTGTTAAAATTGATTGATGTCTTCCCTTCTGTGGTTGTGGAAATCAGATATTTTTTCAAACAATTTTTGAGTAGCATTATCAAGTTAGTATATATATAAATTAGAAATTAACAAAAGATCAAGATCCAATGACTGCATTGAAGAAACTACACTGTAAATACTTTATTAAACTACAGTTTTACAGCTTAATATATTAAATATGATTAAATTTTATTCTGTTTAAAAAGCTTTTTTCTGGATCTGGCAGACTCTGGATCATCATTATGAACATTAGCTTGTTATTGCATTGCAGCCATGTAGAACTCTTGGCTGTTGGATCCTATTGGGCTTTTAGAATACCAAGTTTCAGCTAGGTTTTTGTCTAAATGGAAGATAGCACACAAGATAGTACAAGTCTAAGAAGTGAGAACTTGCCAAGTTAGTGTAGCCAAAATAAGAGAACTATGGCATGGTTGCTTTGGGTAATTTTTGCTGGCTTGACAATCTCCGAGGTTTGGTGCATGATCAGTTTGGGTTGCGACAATTGGGATCTCTCAGAAGATGGTGAAAGCAATAGAGTCAACATTGTGATGGATTAGTTCAGTGATGCAACCTCTGAAATATAAGATTATTCCATGGACAGTCTATTAAAAACTGGATGATTTTGGAGGTCATTTTTGTGAGAAGTGGGTATGAGGAAGGATTTCAAATAAGCTTAGAAGACTTTTAATTTTGAATGCTGTGTGCTTTTCTCTTTAACACATTAGCAGAAAAGAGTTGGAAAATACTCAGGAAGATAAGGCAGTTTATTCAAATATAATATTTCTTTCATCTTGAAGAATAATACATTAAATATTGGGCAATGCAGTATAGATGTGTAAAAGGATTATTCCTTTTTATGGCAATAATTGGCAATATAGTATTTAAAAACAAATTTCAGGCCAGGCATGGTGGCTCATGCCTGTAATCCCAGCACTTTGGGAGGCTGAGGTGGGCGGATCACTTGAGGTCAGGAGTTCGAGACCAGCCTGGCCAACATGTTGAAACCCCATCTCTTCTAAAAATACAAAAAAAAATTAGCCGGGCGTGATGGCGGGTGCCTGTAATCCCAGTTACTTAGGAGGCTGAGGCAAGGAGACTAGCTTGAACCTGGGAGGCAGAGGGTGCAGTGAGCCAAGATCGCACCATTGCACTCCAGCCTGGGTGACAGAGTGAGACCCTGTCTCAAAAAAAAGAAAAAAAAGAAAAAAAATTAAAGTTAAAAAAAGCAGCATGGCACATGTATACATATGTAACAAACCTGCACGTTGTACACATGTACCCTAGAACTTAAAGTATAGTAAAAAAAAAAACATTTCAATCGCTGTCATTACCTGCTTTGAAACATTTATATGTTGTTTTAAAAATTAAAATGAACTAAAATTAGTTTCTTTTTCAGAGTTTTTACAGCAAGAAGTAACAAAGAGTTAAATGTCTAAAAATAGTGTTTATATTACTGATGTAATACTATCATCATAATAAAGAATATTTATAAACATAAGTGTGGGTAATAAAAAGAACACTAAAAACTTTCAGATATGTGGAAGTTAGGGTGAAGTGTTCTGAGTAGAGCCAGAAATGATGTTTCATGTTTTAATAATTAACTGAGAAGGTTTTCAGATCTCTTCTCTAGATTGGGTCTAGAAGGTTTGTGTAGGAGTTGGAGTTATTTTCATTTAGTTACATCCCTATGTGCCTTTTTTCTCCTGGTGATAATTGGAATAACATATATATTCAGGTAAACAATATGAACACTGAATTGAAAATTTACAAAACTAAGGGTTGGATTCAGCTCTGCAACCTTCAGCAAAATCTGTCACCTCTGAATTTCTTTTTCCTTAGCTATAAAACTCAGGGTTTGGACTAGACTTTTAAGGTACCTCCCTTCTTGAAATACTGTCTGAAACAACCTTAAGGCCTATCTACAGAAGATAGGTTAATTTAATTGTGGCAAGTTGAGATAACAGGCTACTATGAAGCTGTTTAAAATAAATGAGGGAAGTCTATTAGTATAGATGGGGTATGATTTATTCATTCATCCAACAAATTTTGAGCCCTTCTCTATGCCAGACACTATTCTTGATACTAGGAGTACAGAAAAGAACATACTGATATAGAGCTTACATTATAGAAAGAGAGCAGACAATAAATAAATGGATAAATACCGTAGTGTCAGGGAGTGATAAATGCTATGAAGAAAGATGAAGTAATTTCTCAAATCTCTGAGACTTGGTAAGGGGAAAAAGAAGATGTAGAACATATATGGGACACTTACTAGAATTTTTTTAAAGACTTTGTGGTTGGTTGCTATTAGAGACTGGTGGTCAGGGTATGGCATGGTAGGGAGAGAGCCCTACTCATACTCTTTTGTGCTGTTTGATTTTTTTTTTTTTTTTGGTCATGTGCATGTATTACTGAGAAAACAAAAAATCCTTGATGTGGGGGAAAATATTTTGGTGACATATTTAACATGCTTTAATCTAATCTGAACTTTTTTGGCTGAGTGTACTAGTCTTTATCTGTGTGTCCTGTGTCCTAATAATGTTTAGAAATAAAAGTTTTTCGCTTTTGGTTTTATCAGACTTTTCTTTTTGATATGTACAAGCTTTTTTTGTATTAACATTTGCAGTGCTAAAACTTTATATGTAGCCTTCTTTAATGTGTTTTAAATACCTTAAACAGAAAATTTACCCAAAAGTTCTAAACTTTTGAGTAAACATAGATTGCTTACTCAGTGTCTCCCTTAGGATAAAAATTAAAGTTGCTGACATTTTATCTTATGTTAAACTGGAATTTTAATTTCATTTTTAATATGTTTATTTTTAGGCTTCAAACATCATTGAACTTGGAAAACTCAAGATCACTTTTTTCCTCCCAAAAAAAGTCAACTTGCTAAGCATCTTTACTGATTTTTATCTTTGTTCTTTTCTAGTTGGATGAAAAATCTGACAAACAGTATGCTGAAAATTATACAAGAGTGAGTATGTAAATTCCTAAGGGAAATTCTCAAGGTCAATTAAACTTGCTATCTGTAACTTGTTCATTATTTATTTTACAACAATTGGTCTGATGTAGCTGCTCTTCCTCCCTTCATCTATTTCCTGTCCTTGACCCTCCAAAATTCCTTCGGAGTTAAATCATGTGAGGCCCTGGGAAGAGAAGAGGCACTGCATTTTATTTCCTTGAATGTCACCTCTTTAGCTTTTGGCTGCTCTTTTGATTTTCATTCCTCTAGAAATTGATCCTGAGAAGAAGCCAGTAAACACTGAAAATGAAGTTTCTTTAGGAATGGTGGTGACAAACTCTGAGATATTTTTTCCTTTTATATATATAAATTGTTTCTTGAAGTAAAATAACTCCTTTCTAGAATTTGCTTTGTGTTAAAGTCTCTTTCTTCTGAAAGTATTATTAGAAAGTCAGGGAGATGATTTATCAAGATTAATTTTATGCTATACCCAAGAAAGATAAATTAACTCTGTCCAGTAGAAATGTAATGCGAGCCACAAATGCGAACTTATATGTAAGTTTAAATTTTCTGGTAGCCACATTTAAAAAGTAAAAAGCAGGTAAAATTAATTTAGGTGATATATTTTATTTAATCCAAATATCCAAACTATTTCAACATATAACCAATATAAAATTACTAGGCCAGACTAGGTAGCTCATGCCTGTAATCCCAACACTTTGGGAGGCCAAGGCAGGTGGATCACTTGAGGTCAGGAGTTCGAGACCAGTCTGACCAACACGGTAAAACCCTGTCTCTGCTAAAAATGCAAAAAAAATATTAGCCAGTCATGGTTTTGCGTGCCTGTTGTCCCAGCTACTCCTCAGTCTGGGAGGCTGAGGCATTAAAATTGCCTGAACCCAGGAGGTAGAGGTTGCAGTGAGCCAAGATTGTGCCACTGCACTCCAGCCTGGGCAACAGCGAGACTCCACCTCAAAAAAAATAATAAAAATAATAAATATAAAATTATTAATGAGATATATTTCATTCTTTTTTCTACACTAAGCCTTCAAAATCTGGTATGTATCCTATATGCAACTCTCAATTTGGACTAACCACATTTCAAGTGCTCAGTAGCTGCATGTGGCTAATCGCAAGTATATTGGACAGCACAGATTCATGCAGTTTATTAATCAATAGCATAATCTCACGTTTAAATGAATTTTGGGAAGAACAGTCTACATTCATAGTGATATCCAGTGTTGCTACTCTCTGCTGCAAATAGTATCTTCACCTTTATCAACTCAACAGAGTATTAGAGAAAGAAGAGATTGATAAGCAGTTCAGAAATTAAAAAGGGGAAGTGCTGATTAGCATATCAGTTATAAAATTCTAAAACTGCTTTAAGTTAATCTGATGTGCTCACTTAAGTATTGTTTACAGGATAGCAAAGATAAACTTAGAAAATAACCCTCATAAAAACGATTTTCTTTTTGGTTATTACGAATTATAGATTTTGATAAGGTATTTGTGTCATGAAATTTTGCTTAGTATGCTTGGGCCCTTCTCTGTATACCTGGATACCTGCAAAGCCAATCTAAATTGACCATTGATTACACATGGTAACTTCTTCATCTGAAACCCACATCTTCCCCCAACCACCCTGCCCTGTTTTTAGTTTCCACAGCAAACATATTTTTAAAGAAATGAGACTTAGAAGGGTCATATTTCTCTTTCTAGCCTTCATCTCGAAATTCTGCCTCAGCAACAACCCCTCTAAGTGGAAACTCATCCAGACGAGGAAGTGGGGACACCAGCAGCTTAATAGATCCAGACACTTCATTAAGTGAATTGCGGGTAAACTGAAGTTTTTGGTTTTCTTTTTAAAAGCAGTTTTTTGACTTGGTAATATACTGGAACTTTTAACCTTTAATGTGACTTAGTAGAAAGAAGGAATATGATTTCTTTTTAAAAAATAAGTACTGTACAAAAGTGTGACTCAAGTGTTTCAGAGCTTGAAAGGAAGGAGATTAGATAGTTCTTTTTTCTGTCCTCTTTCCTGTAAATTTAATGGTGTTGGAATTTCTGCTAATTTACAAATGCCAAAAAAAACCCACTTTGTAATGTATGTAAAAGTAATTCTCTCAGAAACAACTGGCCATGTTTTAAATGGAAAATATGTGAGTGTACAAAGAACTAGATTGTGGGAATTATTAGTCTTTTGAGCCTTGATGGTATTCAGCTGCTTGAATATAGTTATCTCTCAGTTTTTCATAGTAATAGAAGTGTAATAATATTTGGGTAACAGAAATACCTGAGATAATGAAAAGCTTATTTGACTCATTAAGTCTCCATCCTTATTAACCCCTTTACTTGGAAAAAGAGAACTTTAAAAAATATATATTTTATTTGCTGAACCTGCTGTTTGTGAGGCAGGGGATAGTGAGAGAAATTGCATACATTTGTTCATTCAAGATTTATTGAGCACTTGGCCTTGGAGATTTAAGAGGCAAAATATGTTCTGGCCTTCAGGATTTCCCTTTTTCATAGGGAAGACAAACTGATACAAACCAATAAAACCAGGTGGTGTTATACAATGGTAGTAGCAAGAATGGGGCTGTTAAGGTAATTCAAGAAAGCATCATTTAAATTGGACTAGGAGAAGAGGTAACAAAAGGCTTTTCAGAAAAGACAAACTCTGAGCTAAAGTTTGAAGGAAAAATAAAAATTAACCAAGGAAAGTAATTGAAGGGGGAAGGCTTCCTCAAAGAGATGCATTCAGACAACCCAGAAAGCTACCTGTATAGCAAAGTTGCCAGAGGGTGGCATGAGAAGTGAAGAATAGTAGCGTGTAAGAGAGAAGGCTGGAAAAGTAGTGAGGGGCCAAATCACAAAGCATCTTGTATGCTAGCCTGAAAGGAATTCAGTTTTACCCTGACAACTGTGGGATATTAAATAGGAGAGCAATACTATCTGCTTTGCATTCTTAAAAAATAACTTTGATCACAGTCAGAGGAAGCATTGCAGGCCAGAAGTTCAGTAACCCTGTGGTTCAACAGTGAGGATGAGGTGAGCAAGTCAAAACTGCAAGGGGAGAAAATATGAGAAACTTGCTCTGGAGTGAATACGAGAGACTGGGAATTGGTTGGGCAATTGGTAGGGAGAGAGAAATTTAAGAAAAGGTTTTTAGCTTTCTTTTAAAGGTGAGAGTGATTATTATTTTCTTTGGTTGGGTTGAACCAGTAGAGAGAGGAGGAAGGTTGAGGAAGGAGAGAGGGGTAACTGACAGATCAAAATACCTGCGTGGGTGAGAGGAGAGTCCAGGACTCAGATGGATGAGCTTGCCTGGACTGGAGGTCCCCTCTTCACTGGAGGGGAGGTAGAGGACAGGCGGTGACTAAGATTGTAGGTAGGGGCTAGTCTGAGTGCAGTAATGTTTACAAGTAATTGATCACAAGCGGTTACAGATTTATTTGTTCCTTCTCCACCTTCATTGCTTCACTTGACTAGCCTTAAAAAAAAATTTGTCACCCATGTAATCCCAGGACTTTGGGAGGCCAAGGCAGGTGGATCACGAGGTCAGGAGTTTGAGACCAGCCTGGCCAACATAGTGAAACCCCGTCTCTACTAAAAATACAAAAAATTAGCTGGGCATGGTGGTAGCCACCTGTAATCACAGCTACTTGGGAGGCTGAGGCAGGAGAATTGCTTGAACCCGGGAGGCAGAGGTTGCAGTGAGCCGAGATCGTGCCTCTGCACTCCAGCCTGGGCAACAGTGCGAGAATCCATCTCAAAAAAAAAAATAAATTGTCGGTAGGGTTGGAAAAGGAGTCTTACTTGTGAAAATGGGTTGGGGGGTTAGGGGAGGATAGAGAGGCTTGCAACAGCGGCAGAGAAGGAGAGCACCTAGGCCAGCATGGCCATTGGTTTGAAGGTGACAGTATTAATTGAGCTCTTACCAGCTCTTACTATGTACCAGACATAAATGCCAGGGTGGAAAGTTGAATAAGATAAACTCTTGCCTTTAGCTACTGCATTCTAATGGGACAAAAGGATATGAGAGGACAAGGCCTTCCAGCCTTAGACTTAGCTTTCTTTTGTCATACTACTTGTTGCTTGTTTTTTCTTCCTTGAGAGAATGACCTTCTTGAAGGAAGTGTTATTTTTGTATCCTACCATCTGCCTCCTAAATAGGTCCTTCATAAATGTGTATTGAATGAATCGATAAGTAAAAGACAGTCAAACCTACTGGAGAGGCAATGAAGGAGGCAGGGAAAATATAATACCAAAAATGTGTATAATCAGCCTTTAATAATTGATCCTGCTTGTAATTGCAGAATTGTATTTAGGGCCCTGTGCAGTTATTTCGGACATAAATCGAGCATTCAGAATAGACCTTATATAACAAGGTCAGACACAGGGAAACAGTATTTTCCATTTAAAATTTGACCTGTTTCACTTTTCTTATAAGGATTATAGTAACATTTGGAGCAAGTGCTTTTCTCATCATTTAAATGGTATCCTCAGGATAGAATATCTCATTTGACATTCTGTTCAAAATGTTTAACTTCCCTCCCTTTACTCCCTTTCTCTCAAGTTAATTGTGGCCAGTAACCAAGTCATTGAAAGAAAACTTTGTTCATATTCATTTATTATATTTTTAAAAAACTTTTGCATGAATCATTAAAATTTGCCACCTCTTATTAATTTACTGTATATTTTACTAGTTCTAGGTGAAGCATTGTGCTAAAAAAATTTTAAGTGATTTATAAAATATTAAAAGTTGTATGATTTTAAATATTATAATTTATATAGCTTTTTCCTCCATATATAGCCCTGTCCCCATTTGCTACACTGTTATTAACAGAATTTAATGCCAAGAAAATATTTAACATTAGATTGATTACTCTAGACCTTCCCCCAGTCCCACTATCCCCTGACCTATTTGCCCTTTTCAGTGGTTGGGAGTGGGAGTTATGTTTTTGTACTTTGATTTCTCTGCTTTTAGTCTGGAATATACAAAAGTGAGTCACATTTCATCTGAATCCTTTGCGATTTAAGATACGTTTGTGCATGGTTTTATGCAATGGTTCATTCCTATGTCCTGCAGGATATCTATGACCTTAAGGACCAGATACAGGATGTAGAAGGGAGATACATGCAGGGGCTTAAAGAACTAAAGGTATCAGGGCCCATTCTGCAGCCCAAGCATGCTCTGTATGCAGAAGTGTTGGCAATGGTGGCTTTGCAAGTTCTGTTAACCAACTGCACATAGCTTTACTAACAGTGTTTGTCTTTCAAGCATGTGCTTAACCTGCAGTGCATAGGAATGGTGAACTTTCAATCTCTGCTTATGTTTAAATGTGTAGTACAGTTTTTGAATATTCCGCAGAAGATATCATTTACAGTTTTTTTTTTTTCTTTTTTATTTTTCTTGTACAGACAGGATCTTACTGTGTTGCCCAGGCTGGTCTCAAATTCCTGGGCTCAAGCCATCCTCCTGCCTTGGCCTCTCAAAGTGCTGGGATTACAGGCATGAGCCACCTCGCCCAGCCTCCTTTACAGTTTTAAAACCTTGTAAAATACATGCATATCCGTGGTGTCTTAGCCATACAAAATTAAATTGGTCAAACACCTAAAAAAATACTAAGAATATTTTTATTGAGAATTAGACCTCAAAATTTCTTCCACGCTAAATGAAAAAGTGTTGCATATTTCTGTTACCAAACTCAGTCAGTATTAAATGTGAGAGGAAGTAGCAACTGAGACACCATTATTATAAATATCCCCCCTGGAGGAAGGAACATGAAGGCATGAGGCCTATATTTTCTTTTGGCTTGGATTTTTTTAACCTATAGGTCAAAAAAGATGACACAGATCTAGTGCCTTAAAGAATTTGGAGGTAAATGTAAATGGTCTTTATCTTTTCCCAGAAAGGATCACTGACATTTTTCAATATAAATGTGTGAGGCAGACAGTTTGGTTGTACATAGCATTTGGTTATCATGCTCTTCTTTTCCTCACATGTCATTCTGAAGTTCAAGCCTCCTGTTATGAAGAAACCAGAAGTTTATTTGAACACATGTATGTCCTGATTTGAAATCAAAATACACACTACAGGGCAGGCACAGTGGCTCATGCCTGTAATCCCAGCACTTTGGGAGGCCGAGGTGGGCGGATGACCTGAGGTCAGGAGTTTGAGACCAGCCTGGCTAACATGGTGAAACCCTGTCTCTACTAAAAATACAAAAAATTCACCAGGCATGGTGGCAGGCGCCTGTAATCCAAGCTACTTGGGAGGCTGAGGCAGGAGAATTGCTTGAACCTGGAAGGTGGAGGTTGCAGTGAGCTGAGATGGTGCCATTTCACTCCAGCCTGGGTGACGGAGCGAGACTCTGTCTCAAAACAAACAAACAAACAAACAAACAAAAAAAGTAAAATACACACTACACCTCTAAAAAAGCAAAAAGCAAGACATTTAGAAGGGTGACTCAGGATATATCCAAAGGACAAAGCATAGATTTCATGGGCAAGGGTTTTGTCATCTTCCCTGGCATGATTTGAAGTAGCGCCACTATCAGCCAAACTCTTCATGCAAGTGATATGGTCCATGAGAAACAGAGTAAGACTCAGGACCCAAAAAGGTGAGAAGTCCAATGGGAAGTGCCCATGAGGGAAGCCTGCAAGTTGCTGATAGGGCAGCATGAGTTTGTCAGTAAATATCAGAAGAATTACGGAAATAGTTGATGTTCTCATTTAATCTTACTCCTTTAATCTTCAGGATTTAATCTCTCTTTTAAGGTTTTAGAGATACGACTTTTGAAATTATCTTGGATCAAACAAATCGGTACATTAAATAAATATATTAAAGTCACATGTGTAACAGTGTATCAGGAAAGCAATCATGTGATTCAGGGGCATTCTTACTGGCATTTTATTTAAAACGTTTTTTCCTTTCATGTTAGATCTACCATTTATTGCATTCTTTGAAGAATACAAAAGAACAGATTAGATTTGAGATTTGAACAGATGAGATCCCTTGTCCTAATTCATGCCAGAATATAATTGAACTTGACTTCAGATTACGTTTATCCTTGACACTTGAAGTGGAAAAAAACCCATAAAAATAAAGAAAAGATTGTCTGATTGGTGACCAAGCATGGTGGTATGATGTATCCTATTGAAAAAGGATGTTGGCTCATTGCTTGTGACATTACTGTTATTATGTTTGCCTTTGGGATGCTCTCAACCACTCTCCCCTCCATCCTTTTATCAGGAAAGTTTATTATTACTAATACAGCATTTGCCCATGCTGTACTAGTATATATGTGTATATATGTGTATATATATTCATGTGTACTATTACCCAGAAAATGCAGTAAAATATTAATTGTAAAATTTAGGTGATCTATTTCATGAAAGATTAACGATTTTGTAAGTCAAAGGACTAAACCCATTAACCCATTTTAAAAACTATTAAAATTAATACTTTATTAAATTTAAGTACAGAGTTATAGCAATAAATAACAATAGTAAATCTATAGTGACTGAAAACTTTCCAAGATGTATTGAAAAAAGGCAAGCTATAGAACAAAATGTAGAGTATATAATTTGTATTAAAAATATATATGAAGTCAAGGGTATATATTTTATACTGTAAACAAATAGGAAATGGCCTGAAAGATAATCTACCAAACCAATAGCACTTGTGCCTCTGGAGGGCGCGTGGTCAAGGAAGACTTTTGCTTTATCTGTATTATTTATTTTTACCTCCAATGAAAATCTTATGTTTTACTTAGGTACTTTTTTTAAAATTAAAATTTTATTTTTTTATTTAAAATTTTTTTTTAGAGACAAGGTCTCTTGCTCTGTCACTCAAGCTGGAGTGTAGTGACACAATCGTAGCTCATTGCCACCTTGAACTCCTGGACTCAAGCGATCCTAAGCCTGCTGGGACTATAGGGGTGCACCACCATGCCTGGCTGATGTTTTAATTTTTTATAGATACGGAGTCTTGCTATGCTGCCCAGGATGGTCTTGAACTCCTGGGCTCAAGCAGTTCTCCCGCTTGGCCTCTCAAAGCATTGGGATGACAGACATTAGCCACCATGCTTGACCCCTTCGCTTTTTTTTTTTTTTAAATGCAGTCTCACCATGTTGCTCAGGCTCATCTACAACTCCTGGGCTCAAGCAATCCTCCCACCTCTGCCTCCCAAAGTGCTGGGATTACAGGTGTGAGCCACCATGCCTGGCCAATGTTCTTTTTAAATATTGCCCATGCCTTTAATTCTTAGAAGGACAGTAAGAATAAGGAGAGAAATAGCTTTAACTTCAGTAATCCCAGAAAGAACTGTCAAGAGTTAATAGACTGTAGGGGTAAGTCTTGCCATCAGCTGTAAATTGACTGATGTATGAAGTGACTGAGAATAAAACAATGAAGGTATCATGTCCCTGAATTCAGATAGCTCACAATCTGGTTGACAATTTTGGTCATAGGGTTGTGAAGGCTTGTTCTAGAAGTATATGGGCATAGGTAATCAATGCTTAAACATTAACACAGTGGCTTCAGCACTTTGGTGTGTGTCATAATCACCTGGAGCTTTTAATAAATACAGATTGCTAGACTTTACCCTCAGATTTTCTATTCATTGGGTCTGGGATGGCATTGGAAATTTGCATTTTTACCCAGTTCCCAGGAGATGCTGTTGCTGCTGATCTGGAACCCACACTTTGAAAATCGGTGACTTAGAAGCATTCAAGGCTGGGCACGGTGGCTTACGCCTATAATCACAGCACTATGGGGAGGCTGAGGTGGGTGGATCACCTGAGGTCAGGAGGTCAAGACCAGCCTGGCCAACATGGTGAAACCCTGTTTCTACTAAAAATACAAAAACTAGCCAGGCATGGTGGCGGGAGCCTATAATCCCAACTTCTCAGGAGGCTGAGGCAGGAGAATCACTTGAACCCGGGAGGCTGAGGTTGCAGTGAGCTGAGATTGTGCCATTGCACTCCAGGTTGGGTGACACAGTGAGACTCCGTCTCAAAAAAAAAAAAAAGAAGCATTTAAGTAAAACCAATTCCAAATGGGTATCACTATGTGAGTGAGATTAAGATCACTAAAATACCTGACACTTCTGTTTAAAACAGTCTTTTGTGGTCTAGTGTTTAAAGGAAGATTACATTGGATACATTTATGTCTTATTTATTGTATTATATATTTTGTGCATGCATCTAGTACTTGAGCTATCTTAAATTCTGGTGTTCATGTGGTTTTATATGGCACTGAGTTGTGATGACTTTTTTCCTGCTATTAGCCTCTCAGATGGATGAGAATTATTTAAAGTCTGCAGTATAGTAAGATACATTTAGATACATTTAGAGCACTGTATAATTGACTTTGCTTATATTCTTTGTTTTGGTTAAATTTGTTTCTAATCGTAGTTTAAATCTTCCCTGACAACTTAATTCTGGTTTATGAAGCATTATTAAAAGTGTGTGTGGCCAGGCGTGGTGACTCATACCTTCAATCCAGTTTTGGAGGCCAAGGTGGGTGGATCACTTGAGCCCAGGAGTTTGAGATCAACCCGGGCAACATGGTGAAACCTTGTCTCTACAAAAAATTAGCCAGGTGTGGTAGTACGTGCCTGTGGTCCCAGTTACTCGGGAGGCTGACATGGGAGGATCACCTGAGTCTGGGGAGGTCGAAGCTGCAGTTAGCTGAGATTGTGCCACAGTGGTCTAGCCTGGGTGACAGAGTGAGACCCTGTCTCCAAGAAAAAAAAAAAAAAGTGTGTGTATGTATGTATGTATTTTTATTTAGATATAATTCACATTCCATAAGAATTTACCCATTTAAAATATATAATTCAGTAGTTTTTAGCATACTCACAGAGTTGTGCAACTAGCACCACAACCCATCTTTAGAACATTTTCATCAGCCAGAAAAGAAACCCCAATCACTAACTTTCTGTCTCTGTAGATTCGCCTATTCTGGAGATTTTATACAAATGGAATCATACAATATGTGGTCTTTTGTGATTGGCTTTCATTTAGCATAATATATTCAATATTCACCCATGTCATGTTATCTGTCAGTCTTTTTTTAATGGCTAGATAGTATTCTACTGTATGGATTTGCTGCATTTTGTTAATCCATTTGTCAGTTGATAGGCATTTGGGTTGTTTATACTTTTCTGTCTATTATGAATAATGCTGCTGTGAACATTTGTGTGCAAGTTTTTGTGTAGACATATCTTTTCAATTCTCTTTGGTAGATTGCTAGGAATAGAATTGCTGGCTCATGTGGTAACACTATATTTAACATTTTGAGGAATTGTCAAACTGTTTTCCAAAGTAGCTGCACCATTTTATGTTCCTACCAGCAATATATGGGAAATGTAGTTTCTCCACATCCTTACTAACACTTGTCTTCTGTATTTTTGATTATAGATTATAGCCATCCTAGTGAGTGTGGTGGTATCTTATTGTGGTTTCGATGTGCATTTTCCTAATGACTAATGATGTTGAGCGTGTTTTCATGTGCTTATTTGCCATTTGCATATCCTCTTTGGAGAAATATCCAGGTCCTTGCCCATTTTTAAATTGATTTGTGTGTCCTTTATTGTTGAGTTGTAAGAGTTGTTTATATATTATTCTGCATATAAGTCCCTTATCAGATATAAGATTTATAAATATTTTCTCCCATTCTGTGGGTTGTCTTTTTACTTTCTTGATCATATCATTTGCAGCATAAAGGTTTTACATTTGGGCCAGGCGCAGTGGCTCATACCTGTAATCCCAGCACTTTGGGAGGCGGAGGTGGGCAGATCATGAGGTCAGGAGTTCGAGACCAGTCTGGCCAACATAGTGAAACCCCATCTCTACTAAAAAATACAAAAAATTAGCCGGGAGTGGTGATGTGTGCCTGTAATTCCAGCTACGCGGGAGGCTGAGGCAGGAGAATCGCGTGAACCCGGGAGGTGGAGGTTGCAGTGAGCCAAGATCGCGCCATTGCACTCCAGCCCGGGCAATAATGTGAGACTCCATCTCGAAAAAAAAAAAAAGTTTTATATTTGAGTGAAGTCTTTTTTTTTGGTTTATAATGCTTTTTGTTTGTTTGTTTGTTTTTGAGACATGGTCTCACTCTGTTACCCAGGCTGGGGTACAGTGGCATGATCTTGGCTCACTGCAACCTCTGCCTCCTGGGTTCAAGCAATTCTCCTGCCTCAGCCTCCTGAGTAGCTGGGATTACAGGCACCCACCACCATGCCCGGCTAATTTTTGTATTTTTGGTACAAGAGATAGGGTTTTAGGGTTTTACCATGTTGGTCAAGCTGGTCTTGAACTCCTGACCTCAAGTGATCCACCTGCCTCAGCCTCCCAAAGTACCAGGATTACAGGCATGAGGCACCGCACCCGGCTGGTTTATAGTGCTTTTGGTGTATCTGAAAAACCATTGCCTATCCCAACTTCATGAAGATTTGTCCATATTTTCTTTGAAGCGTTTTATTGTTTTAGCTCTTACATTTACATCTATGGCTTATGCTGAGTTAATTTTTGTGTATGGTGTGAGGTGGGAGTCCAACTTCATTCTTTTGTTTGTGGGTATCCACTTGTCCCAATACCATTTATTCTTTTCCCATTGAGTTACATGGACCCCTTTGTCCAAATTAACTGATTGTAAATGTAAGTTCTGGGCTGTTAGTTCCATTTCATTGATAAACATTTGTGCTAGTATTTTTTAAATTTATTTCCATAAATGATTACTTTTCCTGTGTGAAACATTTTTTTTAGCTTTAAAAAAGTCATTAGGCAGTAGTAATTACCAAAGTAGATATAGTTACACACAAAAAAACATGTAAGCTATTTTAGGCAGAAAATTTTGAGATATGTAACGTTCCAGGCATTTTGTGGTACCTTTTTTTTTTACTTCAAAACTGTGACACTAGATCAGACTCTCTTATTTTGTTTTGTTTTATTGATAGAGATAGGGTCTCGCTCTGTCACCCAGGCTGGAGTGCGGTGGCACAATCTCTGCTTACTGTAGCCTTGACCTCCTGGGCTCAATCGGTCCTCCCACCTAGCATCCCAAGTAGCTGGGACTACAGGTGTGCGCCACTGTGTCTGGCTAATTTTTGTACTTTTTTTTTTACAGAGACAGGTTTTTGTCATGTTGCCCAGGCTTGTCTTGAGCTCCTGGGCTCAAGCAGTCTACCCCCTTGGCCTCCCAAAGTGCTGGGATTACAGAGATGAGCCACTGTGCCTGGCCAAGCTCTTTTTTTAATATTCATTTTTGTGTTGCTTATTTAAACATGATTGAAATTTGGATAATTGCTAGAAAAAATATTTACCTTTATGTTGGCATTTTTATGCAGAACAGGAAAGTACTAAAAACAACTGTCTAGAAAGTGGCAAAATTCAAATGCGTATGAAGTTCACCTGTGTAAAGAGAGGCTGTATTCTGTGGTATCACTGCGTTCTGAACACCAGTCTGTTATTAAAATTATAAGAGTAAAATTTCTGAAAATATTGATGATTCTTCATTTTATGACCCTTACAGATATATGTTGTTGCAATTCTTTTCATCTTTCAGAGGCTATGTTGCTGCTTAATTTTGTTTTCTTGGGGAACAGAGAGCACATATTGTTCTTATAAAGGCATTATCGGCTTATTATTGTCTTCCTGTTTCACATGCATGTTACTAAACAAGGAGTTCCCCAAACCGCTTGTATTTTATGAAAATGCATCTTTATGTGTTTGTGGCAGTGCTATAATTTCCTGTTATATTGCATGTATTCAATTAACATTTTAGATATCAGACTGATGACTTAACTCTCATTTAGGAATCTTTGTCTGAAGTGGAAGAAAAATACAAGAAAGCCATGGTTTCCAATGCACAGTTAGACAATGAGAAGAACAATTTGATCTACCAAGTAGACACACTCAAGGATGTTATTGAAGAGCAGGAGGAACAGATGGCAGAATTTTATAGAGAAAATGAAGAAAAATCAAAGGTAATGCTTATCTTGTATTTTCTCTTGGGGCAGAAAATAAAAGCCTGCCACTTACAAAGTGATGGAAGATTGCAGCATACTTATTTAGGAATGATGTTTCAGTCAAAACTGAATGGCCCAAGGAAATTGACAGAACACCATGAGATATCAGGCCCTGGATGACTCTTTTTTTATTTAAAAAAATATTTTCTTGAGGAAAAGCTTATGTCTTCTGTTAAGTTTCTGAAAATAGAATACAACTCAAGTTTTAGCTTCATTTTCTATCTCTTAATTGGGACTGTAATTACAGTGTTACTTATTTCTTCTGGTTACAAGTGACTGGAACTCCCGCAAAGCTCCAAAGACTCTCAATAGGATGATTCATTTTTTTTCTATGAACTTCTGAACGGTTCAAGAGAATCCATTTTCTAAATAATTGGATAGAAGTCTTTAATCAGTTATTTAAAATCAGCAATTTGGAGATGTGGGTCAGAAATTGAAAGATGTTTTCTTTAGAGGTTTATAAGTTGTAATGTTAAAATGTACAGATGGAGAATATAACGCATTGTCCAAGGCCCAGATTTGCTCTCTGACAACTGCAGAAAACAAATTGGATTCTTTTAAAAGCATATGTTTTAGACTTTTTGAAGGGTTGATGTCAGTTCAAGCAGAGGTCAAATGGGTATTATTGCCAGAAATGGATTGCTACTACATTGCCAATATAAAAAATCCAGAAAATAATTTAGGAAGTGCATATTGATAAATTGTTAGAAACAGCAATCTGAATTTGCACATAATAAAGGGAGAGAAGCTGTTTATATAACCTGTAGGAGACCAACATTATTACTGTAGTCTTTATAGGAATTTCTTTCCTTGAGGACTAGAAATGCCCATTCCAGCCTGTTTTGGTCACATTCAAAAAGTGTTAGAAAGTGTTTGCCAGGCGTTTGGAGGAGAGGGATGAATAGACCAGAGCACAGAGGATTTTTAGGGCAGTGATACTATTCTGTATCATATTATAATGGTGGATACATGTTATTATGGATACATGTATGGATACATTTGTCCAAAACCATAGAATGTACACCACCAAGAGTGAACCCTAATGTAAACTCTGGACTTTGGGTGATAGTGATCTGTCAATGTTGGTTCAGTGATAGAACGAAATGTACCACTCTATTGTGGGTTGTTTATAATAGGGTAGACTGTGCGTGTGTGGGGACAGGGAGTATATGAAAACTCTCTGTACTTTAAACATAATTTTACTGTGAATCTTAAACTGCTCTAAAATTGTTTATTTAGGATTGGTATTTAGATGGTGAAAAAGAGGCTTCTAGTTGTTTTCATATTGGACTGACAGTGGCCCATTGAAGAGCATTATATATGCTAGATATGTATATCTTTGATTCTTCTTATATATCCCATAGGCCATTTTTGGAGATTCTGAGCCATCATGCTTTTCCTAGAGCCTCTGGACTCCTTTTTTTGCTGTCCCACACATTTTTTCTTATCTGTCTTTGGCTCTTTGCTTCTAGCAGACTAGAGTAAAAATCTCATGCTAAGTATTTAAGGGTCATTACTAAAATGAATTATCTTTCCATCGTCTCAAATATCCTTCAGCATTTTTAAAAATAAAGAAAACCCTTATAATTAGCTATTTTAACCAACTTAGTTTTTCCCTCCATCATTTTAGAAGGTAATAGAGTTATTTTAGTATGCATAGAGTTGTTTTCTTAATCTTGTCCTTTTTTTTTTTTTTTTTTTCTTTTGGAGACAAGGTCTCACTCTGTAGCCCAGGCTGGAGTGGAGTAGCGCAAGTATAGCTCACTGCAGCCTCTGTCTCCAGGCTCAAGTGATCCTCCCACCTCAGCCTCCTGAGTAGCTGGGACTACAGGCACGTACCACCACGCCTGGCTAATTAAAGACAAATTTTTTTTTATAGAAACGGTTTCACCATGTTGCCCAGGCTGGTCTCGAACTCCTGGGCTCAAGCAATCCACCCACCTCAGCTTCCCACAGTGCTGAGATTACAGTTGTGAGCCACCGTGGCAGGTCTTGTACTTTTCAAACCTAAAATGTATTGTTTTTTTTAATACCCTGGAAATTTGCTTCACGTACTGTGATGCAGAACACTTTGTGACAGTATCTCTTTCTAACATACCTTTACTCCGAGCTCTCTTGTTCTAAACAACTATTGCTTTATAAAGTAGAATGTTTATATTCAGAGATACACAAAGAGGTCAGGCATTCTGGTGTATTTCATTACAGAAGCAGGTAGTGAGAGTAGAGAAGGACCATTCCATAATAATTATACAGTATTAATAAAAATTTTCAAAATGTCTTTGGTGCCTCCTCCTGGAATTACAATAACTATTTTGTTTTATATTTTAATTTAATTTAATTTTATTGTTTTTACAGACAGGGTCTTGCTCTGCTCCCCAGGCTGGAGTGCAGTGGCACGATCATAGCCCACTGTAACTTTGATCTCCTACGCTTAAGTAATCTGGAGTAGCTAGAACTGTAGGCACATGCTACCATGCCTGGCTGTTTTTTAAAAATCTTTTTGTGGAGATGGGGCCTTGCTGTATTGCCCAATCCTCCTTCTTTGACCTCCCAAAGTGTTGGGATTACAGGCATGAGCCACTTTGCCCAGCCCATTGTTTCTCTTTTAAAGCATAATCAAAAGACCATTTCACACCTGTAAAATTAACAATAATTCATATTATATATCTAATCAATGTTAAAATTTCAGTAGTTTCAAAATGTCATAAATGATTTTTCTTTTTTACACTTAAAAAAATCGGGATCCAGGTAAGTTTCACACCTTAGAATGAGTTGATAAATCTTTTAAGTCTCTTTTCATGTATAGGTCCTCTTTCATGTTTTTTCTCCTTATAATATATATGTTGAAGAAACTGGGTTGCTTAATATTTCCCAGTCTTACAAGTTTTTCCGTTTTCGTCCCCATAGTATCTTTACCATGTTTCCCTTTCCTCTGTATTCTCTGTAAATAGGTAGTTAGGCACAGAGGCTTAATCAAATATAACTTCAGTTTTTTTTGAAAGTCTGCTTCATAGATGATGCAGTTGTCTTCCTTCAGGAGGCCCAGATGTGTGGCTGACTGTTAGGCTGTATGTGTGTGCTTAGATCCTTTAATTGACTAGGGGCTGCAAAATGGGATGTTCTGATTTTATCATTACCAATTTATTTTATTTTATGTTATTTTATTTATTTTTTTAAATTTTATTTATTTTATTTTTTTAGACGAGTTTTGCTCTTGTTGCCCAGGGTGGAGTGCAATGGCGCAATCTCGGCTCACTGCAACCTCTGCCTCCCGGGTTCAAGTGATTCTCCTGCCTCAGCCTTCTGAGTAGCTGGGATTACAGGCATGGACCACCACGCCTGGCTAATTTTGTATTTTTAGTAGAGATGGGGTTTCACTTTGTTGGTCAGGCTGGTCCCGAACTGACCTCAGGTGATCCACCCACCTCGGCCTCCCAAAGTGCTGGGATTACAGGTGTGAGCCACTGCGCCTGGCCTATTTAATGTTATTTTTAAGCAGCTTTATTGAGATATAATTCAAATAACATACAAATCATCCATTTAAAGTGTACAATTCAGTGGTTTTTAGTATATTCACATATATGTGTAACCTTCATCACAGTTACTTTTAGTATGTTTTCATTACCTCAGAAAGAAACCATATACCCTTTAGTATCATCTTCCTTTCCCCCAAACCCCTCAGTCTTAAGTAACCACTGATCTACTTTCTATCTATAGAGTTCCCTATTCTAGACTCATATGAAAGGAGTCATATAATACATGGTCTTTTGTGACTGGCTTCTTTCGCTTAGCGTGATGTTTTCAAGGTTCATCCATGTTATACCATGTATCAATACTTAATTCCTTTTTATAGCCTATTAATATTCCATTTTTTTGGGTATGCTACATTTTGTTTACCCATTTGTGCATTGATTGACATTTGGGTTGTTTATACTTTTTCCTGTTAAGAATAATGCTTCCATAAACATTTGTATACAGGTTGTTTTTTGGACGTAAGTTTTCTTTTTCTTTTTTATTCTAAGAGATGGGGCCTTGCTATGTTGCCCAGGCTGGTAACTCCTGGCCTCAAGCAATCTTCCTGCCTTGGCCTCCCAAAGTGTTGGAATTACAGGCATGAGCCACTGCTCATGGTCTGGATATATGCTTTCCTTTTTCTTAAGTATATACTTGGGAGTGGAATTGCTGATTCATACGATAAATCTGTGTTTAACCATTTGAACAGTGCCAGACTGTTTTCCGAAGTGGCTGCACCATTTTATATTCTCACACCAGCAATGTATGCAGGTTTTGATTTCCCCACATCCTCACCAACACTTGTTATCTGTCCTTTTTATTCTAGCCATCCTAATAGGTGTGGTTTTGATGTGCATCTCCCTGGTGACTAATGATTTTGAACATATTTTCATGGGCTTATTGGCTATTTGCATATCTTCCTTGGCAAAATGTCTATTCAGATCCTTTGTCCATTTTAAAATTGGATTTTGCCTTATTATTATTGACTTGTAAGGTTTATATATTCTAGATATAAGAATTTTATCAGATATATTATTCGCAAATATTTTCTCCCTTTATGAGTTTTCAAAAAAAGGAATTGGTTGTGACCAATTACTTTTCTCTTAAAATATCAATATGAAGTCATAAATTCAAGCATTTGATATCTTCAGTTGCATTGCAGCTTTTATTCTTTTTGATGATAAAATTGTCCCATCTTTGGCTAATGTGAACCTCTTGAGGTTGATTCTCAAGTACTTCTGGTGAGTCTAATTGTTTTTGATAGCTTCTTTGCTTTCTGGCAGAAGATGTCCCAGTCTCATCTTGTACATTTTCTGCCCCAGACCTGGAATCAGCCATTTGTCCAAGGAGCCCTAGTTCTGTTTTAGTATGAGTGCTAGAGATGCTCATTGCCACCAAGTAGGTCAGTGTTTATGGGTCTTTTCAGTGGATAAATTTGGGAAATATGTGTGTGAAGTTTTTTTTTGTTTTTAACAACAAAATACATTATGAGTTCTTGCTGATAGTTCCAGTTCACATGCAGGACTCTAGGGTTATTTAACCTCTTCTGTCTTACATCTGTATCTTTGTTTGTTTCCCCTACACTACAATTCCTAGTTCTCAAAGTTTCTAGGGATGATAGTAATTATGTTACGTTCTGTTCTCTTTGCTTTATCCGAAGTTGCCTAGAATAGCAATACCAACATTAACACCAACAATTTAATTACTGAAAATAGTTAAAAGATTTTTATTTTGTTTGTTTTGCTTGGCTGTTATTTTTGCCACTAGTCTGTGTGTGGCCAAACTATTGTTTTTAGAAGTTACTTGAAATAGTTTCTTTCTGCGCTTCTAACTGGATGTATAGTTAGGTTCACTGCATTTTATTTTCAATATTTGGAATTACTTTTAAAATTATTTTTATTTTAAAAAATTTAATTATCATTAAAAAACATGATAAATTTATTATCTTAACCATTTTAAAGTGTAGAGTTCAGTAGTGTGAAGCATATTCACATTAGTGTACATCAGATCTCCAGAAATTTTTTATCTTTCAAAACTAGAACTCTGTACCCATTAAACAATTACCCATTTCTCCCTACCACCAGCCCTTGGCAACTACCATCCTACTTTCTGTCTCTGTGAGTTTGGCTACTCTGTGTACCAAACTCATAAGTAAGTAGAATCATATAATAATATATCTTTTCTTGACTGGTTTACTTCATTTAGCATAATGTCCTAAGGCTCATCCATGTTGTAGCGTGTGACAAGAGTTTCTTTTTTAAAGCTGAATAATATTCCACTGTATATATACCACATTTTGCTTATGCATTCATCTATCAATGGCCACTTGAATTGTTTCCACTAGGAATTGCTTTTTAAATTTAATTTTGTTTTACAATTTTGTAACTATCTAGAATAGTTACATAGATCTGGAGTCACGTTAACAAAGAATATATCTGAAGAAGTTAATCTTCTATCCCTGTCTCTGTCTCTATTTTCTCCTTCCTTTAGGGAATTTTAAATTTTAATGGTTTATCTTTCCATGTTTTAAATCCAAGAAGATAAATTAGGTAGCCATTTTTAATCTAAAAAGATATATATGTATATATAATCATTCAAAATATATGTACAAATATATGTATTTCTTACTCTTCTTAGAAAATAGTAGCATATTGTTAATATAAATGCTGTCGTGCATGTAGATTTTATCACCTTATGAATGTTGTATAGAGATATCTTGCTCATTCTTTTTCACCACTGCATAATTATTCCACAGTATGGATGTACCACACTTTATTCTACCAGTTCCCTATATTAATAGACATTCAAGTTTGTCATGTTTTGCTGTTAAAAATAGTCCTGTAGAAATAACATACTGCATAGGTCTTTTTGTATTTTTGCCAATGTATCTATGATGAAGAGTGAGATTGCTGGGTCGAAAGGTATGTAGTTTTGCAGATACTGCTGTAGTCTCCTTTGTAAGCATTATACCATTTGCATTCTCACCAAAATGTATGAGGGCCTATTTCTTTCCCCATAGTTCTGTTCTGGAATATGTTGTCAAGTTTTTGAACTTTTGCTAGTATTTTGTTTGTTTCCGTTTCTCTTAGTATGAGTATCTTTTCATATTCAGAGCTATTTCTATTTCTTTTTCTGTAAACTGTCCGTTTCCGTAGCTTATTATTCTATGCAGTTAGTGTTTTCTTTCTTTCTAGTTTTTGTTTGTTTGTTTTTTAAGACAGAGTTTCGCTCCTGTTGCCCAGGCTGGAGTGCAATGGCGCAATCTCGGCTCACCACAATCTCCGCCTCCCAGGTTCAAGCAATTCTCCTGCCTCAGCCTCCCGAGTAGCTGGGATTACAGGCATGCACCACCACGCCTGACTAATTTTGTATTTTTAGTAGAGACAGGGTTTCTCTATGTTGGTCAGGCTGGTCTCGAACTCCCGACCTCAGGTGATCCGCCCACCTCGGCCTCCCAAAGTGCTGGGATTACAGGCGTGAGCCACCGTGCCTGGCCTAGTTTTAGAGATTCTCTGCCATTCAAAAGTTTTATTTATTTATGTATTTATTTTTTGGAGACAGAGTCTCACTCCGTCGTCAGGCTGGAGTGCAATGGCACCATCATGGCTCACTATAGCCTTGACCTCCCCAGGCTCAGGTGGTCCTCCCACCTCAGCCTCCAGAGTACCTGGGACTACAGGCACACGCCACCAACCCTGGCTAATTTTTGAATTTTTTTTATAGAGATGGGGTTTTGCCATGTTGCCCAGGCAGGGTCTTGAATTCTTCGGCTCAAGGGATCTGCCTGCTTCAGCCTCCCAGAGTGCTGGGATTACAGGCATGAGCTACCATGCCCAGCCCAAAATTTTTATTTTTATGTAGTCTAATTTATTGTACCATTACCTCATTGCTTGTGGATTTTTGAGTCATTTTTTCAGTAAAGATTGCCCCACTCCTTGGTTACTTTTATTCCTGTACAGTTTGTTCTCCCTTCCCTTCCCTCTTCCCCCATTCACTCCCTGGCTTTCTTTCCTTATGTAAATCTCTGATTGATTTGGAATTTGTCCTGGTGTGTGGTATGAGGTATAGTTCCAATTTTATCTTTTTCCAAATGGATATCCAGTTATCCCAACATTACTAATTTAAAAGTCTTTCCTTCTCATTGATTTGAGATGCTCTTATTTTTATTGTTTTTAAATATATTTGTATATTTAAGTGGGTTTTTCCTGAATTCTCTATTCTGCTCCCTTGGTCTATATTCATGTGCCATAACAACATTGTTTTAATTATAGAAGCTTTATAATATGTTTTAATACCTAATAAGGCCGGCTTTCTTCTTTTTCAGTATGTATTTTTCTGGCTACTTTTTCTTGTGTTTTTCTTTCAAATCAACTTGCTCTGATGATGATAAAAGAAAAACCTGATGGTATTTTTATTTGTACTACATTAAATGTATAGATTAATTTAGGGAGAACTGGCATTTTTATAATGTTGTGAGACTTTTAATCCAAGAAGACGGTATGCCTTTCCATTTATTCAATCCTATTTCTCTGTCTTTTGGGAATGCTTTATATAATTTTCCTCATATAGGTTTTTGATATATTTTGTAAGTTTACATGTATGTTTTTTATTTAATATTGATTTTATTTTGATATTGCATTTATTATTCCTTCTTTGAATTTTATTTGTATATGAATGTCATTGAATTGTATATGTTCATTTTATAACCTGTTACTTTACTAAATTATCTTTTGTTTTTAATAATTTTGCCATTGATTAGTTCAGGTTTTCCTGATAATTATACAAGATGGAATTTTAAAATTTTCTTAACTTTTCTATAGAATACACAATTTTTCTAAGTTACTATGAATCAGGAGTTTGGGCATGTTTCTGGAGGTCATACTTAACCTCTGTGTTGTATTGTGTATGTTCAAATTTCTTGTGTGCCATGACCTGTGTAAATGATATTATTTGTTTAATAACAGGAGTTAGAAAGGCAGAAACATATGTGTAGTGTGCTGCAGCATAAGATGGAAGAACTTAAAGAAGGCCTGCGGCAAAGAGATGAGCTTATTGAGGTATGTACATGAACTGTGGGAATACTTAATTTTGAAAAAAAATGAGTTGAATGGGATGAGGATGTGTTGGGAGGGAAGGAGAGTTAAGATGCATCAGAGTTTGTCTCTTTATATTTGACTGTACACTACAAATTTTCAAACATAAACCAGATTATGCTTAAAAATTAATACTATAAATCCTATAAACATTACCCCACTTTGGTAGCAGAAATTTTTGTGTCTTTTATTCCTAAGCACACTGTTTCCTACAGATATCTTAGGAAATGGGCAAAAGGAAAAATTATAGAATAACATTATTCTTTGGAATTAGTGAATGCCATCTTTTGGGACATGATTCTTGGGGAATAAGTTTGATTTTCACTCAGGTAAATACATTTCTCAGGTGGCTAAATGAAAAAAGAAGAAACATCAAGATACGTTCTGTACAAAAAGGTAAAGAATGGTTAGTCTGAAGGTTCAGGTTTCTGCAAGCGAAGGGACTCTGCCACATTGCTGGCAACATCTTAGGAATGGAATGAAGCATAGTCTACCAAGAACTCTTTGAAAACATTAGTCATCCTTGCAGGCCTGCTACATTGCATGCATCTTTTTTCTTTAAATGTGGTTTTCCCTCCTGAGACGATGTTTTTAGATAAATATGGAAATAAGTTTGAAGGGGGATCCTGCCCACTATCTAGGTGTGGCTATCAAAGGCATCTAATGTTAAGTTAGTGTTGACACGCCAGAGATGTCAGGAAGCATAGATTGTTAATGATCCCAGGAGAGAGATCTCACAACCACACTTGTCCACATTCCTGGCTACTCAGACCTTAGCCTTTCTTTTTCTCTCCCTCTTTCTCTCTTTCCCCTCGGACCTACCTCTTAATATGTCTCTCTACAAATGATTTTTAAAAACCATTTAATAGAGAAAAAGAAATGACTTTAAATTTGAAGACGTGTTAATTTTTGTCATCATTAAGAATAATTGAACATACTCAGAATTTGTGGATTTCAAGTGCAGATACAGATAACCTTTTGGATCTATCAGATTACATGTGAAGTTAATTTTCTTGGTTTTTCTCCATATAAGGTAGGAAGCATATTTTCCAGAATCTGTATCCTGCTGGTATTTTAAAATAATGTGAAATTCTTTCCCTTTTTGTTCTTTTATCTTTTTGTGCCAAAATGCCAACCACATAAAATAATAAACCTGCTTTGGGGGCTGCTTCTCAAATTCAATAGCTTAAGTTAGGACTGGTAAAGTGTTCTAGTAATTAATTGTAATTGCATTTAAGAAGAATATAATGCTTGATTTCTATAGTTCATCACTGTGGCTTCTTTAAAAGCTTAGGGTGCTAGGTATACAAACTTTGAGAACTATAGTTTTAGATGTTTTTTACATCTAGAATGAACATCTTTTAGATGTTAGTATCTATGGTTATGCTGAAAAACTTTAAATATTACAAATAATGTTTTTTGGTCTTTGGAATTGAAAATTCCATGGTAAAGTACCTAATGTATGAGTAGGGAAAGGAGGACATAATAATTTACCAATAATGCATAAGAAGAAAACCTGTTAAGCACCATTGCCTAATTAGAAAGGTCATTTAAGGATTGTTAAATGCTAAATTTAAATGTTTCAAAATAATATAATTTTAAAATAATACAAAATTCATGGTGTTCTTGCTGTCATAGATTTTGCTAACAGAAATTCAAAATGATCAGTTCTGCTTAAAAAATAAAATTCAAAACTGCTTGTTCTCTAAGATGAAAGATCATTTGTTCATAAGCAAACCTAAATTTCCCTCTCTAGGAATGTAAGTTCTTGTTTGGTAAAAAGGCAGTTATCAAAGAAAGAATATACATATGGAGCTGTATGTACACAGAAATTCTAGCTGGCTTGCTGCCACGTAGCTGTGGTTGGAACAATTATTCCTGGTTCCTTTGCTTACTTTTGTAGGGGCAAGCCAATAAGAATCTTGTGGCCAAGACTGTGAATGTCATCTTTTCTTTTGGCAGACCAATTTTGCTTTTCCTGTTCATCACAGACTTTCCCTTTTGGTTAAGTTTCTTTATCGGCTTTATTTTTGTTTCCTCCCTCAAACCTCCTCTCCCTTTTCTTTCTGCTCTTTTATTACTTCTCTTCCCCTCTTCCTCTGCAGGAGAAGCAGCGCATGCAGCAGAAAATAGACACCATGACAAAAGAGGTGTTTGACCTCCAGGAGACACTTCTTTGGAAAGATAAAAAAATTGGGGTATGAAATGAAATTGGGCTTTGGTTAGAAGCTCATTGATGAGGACTACAGTAGAATTTAACCTAGAGATTGAAAAAACCTGTCCTTTTGATTCTTCTTGAGCATTTACACAGTATGAAAAATGAGTCAGTAGGAGACAGAGACTTCCATAGGAAAACCTGACGTTGTGCCTGGAAGAACTCTTCTTTTCAGCAAACACTAGGCTTGTAAAATGTATAAGTAGGAACTTTTAAAGGAAGTTTCTCTGTATTCCCTTAGGATTCTTTTTTTTTTTTTTTTTTTTTTTTTGAGACGGAGTCTCACTCTGTTGCCCAGGCTGGAGTGCAGTGGCATGATCTCGGCTCACTACAACCTCTGCCTCCTGGGTTCAAGTGATTCTCCTGCCTCAGCCTCCCGAGTAGCTGGGATTACAGGCACACACAACCATGCCCAGCTAATTTTTTGTCTTTTTATTAGAGACGGGGTTTCACCATGTTAGCCAGGCTGGTCTCCAACTCCTGACCTCAGGTAATCCACCCACCTTGGCCTCCCAAAGTGCTAGGATTATAGGCGTGAGCCACCATGCCTGGCCTCCCTTCAGATTCTTATCCAGAAACAGCCACAGGCATTCAATTCAAACTCTGTGGTTAACTTGATATCCTTACGTTACAGGAATTTGGATAAGAAGAGGGTAGTGGTGGGGAGAAAGTTATTAGCATCCTATAAATCCTTGGTGTATAAAATAGGAAGAGATTAAAATCAATTCAATTACAGAAATGGATAGGAATGTAAGACTTTCTAGGGTGGCTGTCTGTAATTATAACCACAGAACTCCCCCAAGTAAGGGCCCAGATAAACGAAATGTCTTCATTGCTGTTTTGCTAAGCCTTGCAGGTAGATTCCATGTACACCAAAAGCTGGAAAAAATTCCCTCCAGTTCATCTCATGTGGCCTTTGATTGGCAGTCCCATCACCTGGCTGAGCTCTCTGTTCTACAGTAGGGGAACCACTTAGCCATAGTTGCCAGAGGCTTACCTTGTCAGGGAAGGGCAGAGGAAATAGAACATGTAAGAAAAGTCTTGTTCTGCTTAAGGTTAGGGGGAGTAGGGAATAGTTGTTAAAGATCCCTGAGAACATCTCTTGAGAGACAGGCCTGGATATGAAATCCTGTGGATTATACCCTCAGAATGTTGTTAGGAACATTCTGAAGCCCAACCAGTAGTCAGCAGGATCCAGTCTTTTTCATCACTTCAAGGACCTCTCTCATTAATATACACATGGGAAGATTACATTACCTCTTAAGAGTTTGTAGGCTCATGCCTGGAATCCTAGCACGGAGGATCGCTTGAGGCCAGAGGATTGCTTGAGGTCAGGAGCTTGAGACCAGCTTGGGCAACATAGTGAGACCCACCCTGTCTCTGCAAAAGAATTTTAAAATTTGCAGAGCATGCACCTGCCCCAGCTACTTAGGAGGCTGAGGTGGGAGGATCACTGGAGCCCACACGATGGAGGCTGCAGTGAGCTATGATCGTGCCATGGCACTCCAGCCTAAGCAATAGAGTGATACCCTTTCTTTAAAAAAGTTTGTAGACCAAAAATTTAAAGAACAAAAGCTACTTTATAGATAATTCTCTGACTTTCAAATTGCTGAGTATTAAAAATTCCATCTAAACCTAGAAAAGCCTTCTGGGGAATAAATCAATAATTCTGTTAGGTGTTTTGAAACTATGATTTTAAAATTGAAATTTGAAATTGAAAAGTGAAATTTGATTGTTGAACCATTGATTTGATTTAAATTTTTGCTTGGGAAATATAAGAGGTGAAAAAACGTGGGGCAAAGTAGGTAATTTAAAATTTTTAGTTAAAATCTGGTCACTGTCTAGAATGGGCTTCTTTTAGGACTTCACATAATTTTCTTTAACACAGATCTGTAGGCCCAGGATTTCTAGCTTGTATGAGTGCCTTAATATTTTAAACTGATAATCTTGGACCAGCCATAGAAACCCCTCAGATGTCTCAGTTTAAAATATAAATTATTTGGCTTTTAATTGGAAAATATTTTATTTTAGTATTCTTTTTTTGAGATGGAATCTCTCTCTCTCCCCAAGGCTGGAGTATAGTGGCACGATCTCAGCTCACTGCAACCTCCTGGGTTCAAGCAATTCTCCTGCCTCAGCCTCCTGAGTAGCTGGGACTACAGGTGTGCACCACCACGTCCGGCTAATTTTTGTATTTTTAGTAGAGATGGGGTTTCACCATGTTGGCCAGGCTGGTCTCGAACTCCTGACCTCAAGTGATCCACCCACCTCGGCCTTCCAAAGTGGTGGTACTACAGGCATGAGCCACTGTGCCCGGCCAGAATTTTAGATTTACATGCAGTTGTAAGAAATTAAACAGGGCTGGGCATGGTGGCTTATGCCTTTAATCCCAGCACTTTGGGAGGCCAAAGAGGGTGGATCCCTTGAGGTCAAGAGTTCGAGACCAGCCTGACCAACATGGTAAAACGCTGTCTCTACTAAAAATACAAAAATTAGCCAGGCATGGTGGTGCACACCTGTAATCCCAGCTACTTGGGAGGCTGAGGCATGAGAATCACTTGAATCCGGGAGGCCAAGGTTGCAGTGAGCTGAGATCATGTCACTGCAGTCCAGCCTGGGCAACAGACCAAAACCCTGTTTCAAAAAAAAAAAAAAAAAGAGGAAATTTAACAGAGATCCTATATATTCTTTGCTCAATCTTCCCCAAATGTAACATCTTACAAAACTATAGTACAATATCACAACCAGGATATTGCCCTTGATATGGTGAAGATACAGAACATTTCCATCAATATAAGGGATTTCTCCTCCTCTTGCCTTTTTATAGTCATAGCCTTAATCTCCCCTTCCCCTCCCAAGCCCTAAGAACCACTAATCTTTTCTTCATTTGTGTAGTTTTGCTCTTTTAAGAATGTTATAAAAATGGAATTATATAGTATATGTTAACCTTTTGGAATTATCCCTTTTCACTCTGTATAAGTCCCTCAAGATTCTTCCAAGTTATTGAATCACGAGTTGACTCTTTTTTAATTTGAAAAATTGTGCTAAAGTACAAATAACATAAAATTTACCATTTTAACTATTTTTAAGTGTACAGTTCAGTGGCATTGAGTACATTCATGTTGTTGTGCTACTGTCACCACCATAGAACTTTTTAGTCTTCCCCAGCTGAAATCTGTACCCATTAAACAACTCCCCATTCAGTCCCTTCTCCCAAACCCCTGGTGGAATGGCAACTACCATTCCACCTTCTGTCTCTGTGAATTTGACTGCTCTAGGTACTTCATGTAAGTGGAATCATACAGTATCTGATTTATTTCACTTGGCATTATGCCCTCAAGGTTCATTTTGCAGCATATGTCAGAATGTCCATCCCTTTTAAGGCTGAATCATATTCCATTGTATGTATATACCACATTCTTCTGTTGATATATCAACACATCTACCTTTTGGCCATTGTGAATAATGCTGCTGTGAACATGGGTATTCAAATAACTCTTCAAGACTCTGCCTTCAGTTGTTTTCGGTATGTACCCAGAAGTGGAATTGCTGGATCATATGGTAATTCTGTGTTTAATTTTTTTGAGTAACAGTTATACTGTGTTCTGTAGCAGATGTACCATTTTACATTCCCACCACTAGTGAACAAGGGTTCCAATTTCTCCATGTCCTTGCCAACATTTGTTATCATTATAATACAAGGGCAGTGGTCCTCCCTTGACTTTTAAGACACATTTTCAGTATGGTCAGTAACTACTTGTCTCTAGCTTCATTTTTAAGATTTACATTTAGTAACTTAATGAAGAAATATGTCCATTATTCCCAGGTTAAAGTTCAGTTCATTAGTGGTCTTGCCTCTAGCTCCACTGCGGTTCTAAACACCAGGAGCCCATGTATAGAATAGGTGCGTATGAAGAACTTGCGTATCTCTATAGCCCAGCATAAACTCACTTCCATTCTGACCAAAGATATTTGTTCCCCAGTACAATTATGTGGAGAATTAACCCCTTGCCCAAAAGTTCAGCCCATTATACACATCCTTTTGGCTTCCGGGTGGTAGGATTTGAGGTTAGGTCAGGGATAAAGAGTTATTTTGAACTCTACAAGCGTGTACTTTTTACCCTAAAAAAAATCTACTGTAGGAGCTATTGTTGCACACAAACACAAGGGTAGTGGTTATATGGTCAGGTAATACAGAGGGTTTTAGATCCAGCTTGAATACATTTGATCCAATTATAAGGTATTTTAGTAGTCTTCAAACTTTGTGGTGAAGTGGGTGAATTTACAGGATGTATTTTATTTTCTCATCTGTAATTATGGGAAGAGGAAATTAAAAAGTCCGAAGGTAAAAATAAAACCCAGTGCAATACGATGTGGAAGAAGAGCAAATGTCATGTATATCATTTGCTAGAATTCCTAGTTTCAAATTGGCCTGTTCCTCAGAGGTCTTTTTTATTCAGTGTTGTTGTTTATGTAGAGCATGTTGTGACAGTGATCATTTACCCACTTATATGTGGTGATACATGACATAACTATGCATGCAGATACCAGTAACCAAAAATACCTAATCCATAAAGTGACACTCAACACATGGGAAAGTATTGTTGTGCTTTGTTTTCCCAATGTTTCAGTTATTATTAATTATTAACATAATGGAGTGTTAACACTAGCTAGATGGTGCTAGAAATGCACATTGTTAATTCACAGGCAGACTTGAGACACATCATATAGTGTGAATGTAAATTGTTGAAAAGAAGTCAGATATTGACATTGCAGTTTGGATAAGTAAAGAGTAGGATTTGCCGTATGGACTCCTTTCCTAGCATCATCTGGGCTAACAATAAGGGAATATAATGTGGCCTTCATAGAGCTGTGATATTTAAAAAACTATTTAAGGGCTTTGGAAACAAAAACAACCAGATTCATTTTCTGGTTTTGCCACTTACTGTGACTTTGGGCGAAAAAATATAACCACTGTGAGCCTCAATTTTCTGATCTGTTAAATGGGGATAATACAAGTACCTCACAGGATATGTAGAGGTTTCAAATGTAAAATAATGTATAAGAGAGAAATTATATAAAATAGTGCCTGCCATATAATTTGTGCTATACAAATCGTAGTTGCTATCATCCCTTATTTACTTGCTCCCTATTTGGTTGCAAAACAGGATTATAATGATTTTTTGAATTGCCCAGCTATTCAGCTATCAATTTCTCAGCAATTCGCTGTCCCACTTCCAAACCCAGTGAACTGAGAGGAAAGTTACCTGATATAGTTTAACTTCTTGGATTAATGGGAATGCTAACAGAAGACATTAAATATATGAACAAAAATATTTGGGGAAAGGCTTTTTCAAATAGGCCAGTAATCAGATTCCTGCATAGACTACTTACCTTGGGTGTATTTTTAATTCTGGGTTATTTTCTTTTACAATAGATTTTATTTTTTCATAGTAGATTTTATTTTTCATTGATGACCAAAGTATGTTCCTGCTTCTGCATTGTCCTCAGCTGACAGTTGTGAGATTAAGGAAATGGCAGGGAATTTACAAATGAAATCACCAACCTGATTCTCCTGAACTGTCCCTGCTATCTAGGCATTACAGGCAATGCTTTACCTTGATTTATGCCTCTGCCCTTGGGATGGGTGCTATTATCCCTTCTGTTTTTCCAGTGAGGAAACTGAGGCATAGGACAAGTATGTGCCAGAACCCAAAAGCCTGATTCTGAAATCCATATTCTGTAACTCTTCATAGCTTGGCTGTATTTATTTTGTCAGTGTTTATTTTTGTTTTTCACATTTTGGGAGTATAACAGAAAGCCAAATGAGTCTCAGTTATATTTAATTAAGTTGTCAGAAGTTGATCTTTGAATCCTTTTGGAGGTTAACTATTTTGAATTAAGTGGTATTTGAGTATTTTGCCACACTACTTGGAGAAAAATCTACAGCCAATATTAAATTAAAATACCTATGTATAATAGTTATTTTTATTCCAGAACTATTTTTTAAAAAATCAACTGTATTCTTGAATAAACTAGTTTAGTTAAACATGAAATGTGGGGTTTTTTTTGTTCACCAAATAAAAATGCACTTAGGCAGTCAGTAAGGAAAGCTTTATTTTACTCTGGCTTCTCTCTTTATCTTCCTTTTCCTGTTTTATTTTTTTCATTGACTGGAAAAGATTTATTTCCCTGCTTGATGTGATTAAACATGTTTTGCCAAATTGATGCATGAGAACCAGTTTCTATGAGAAGTCTCTTCTGGAGATGTATATCCATGTAACTCTGTATTTCCTCCCATATCTGACTGTTTGTTTCCAATCTTTTGACTGCTTTCTTGCTTTTTATGCCTTTATCTTTGCTTATTTGAATTAGGTACTTCTCTGCTACCTTTCACCTGCTCTTTTTCTGTGCCATTGTTTCCCTTGCTACCTTACCTAAAACCAGGCCCTAGAGAAACAGAAAGAATACATTGCCTGCCTTAGGAATGAGCGAGATATGCTCAGAGAGGAGCTGGCTGACCTGCAGGAGACAGTGAAGACGGGAGAGGTATGTTAGCATTAGCCTGGAATTCAGGTCCCTCACTGTTTTACTCTCTATCTTCCTTCCTTTCATCCTGCCATCTTTCCTAGCCTAAATACAAACTACAGTGTTTATTCTCTAATCCAGATTTGGTAGGTTGAAGCTATTTCTTACACAGAGCTATATTTCATGTAACTGATTCTAACCAGGTTTTACCTGTAGCAAACATGTATTGTTGCAGAGTGACCTCACAGAGCTTACAGCTTCCATACGGGCCTTTTGTGATGGTGGGTTTTTCCCCCCTGCAGAAACATGGCTTAGTTATAATCCCCGATGGCACTCCCAATGGTGATGTCAGTCATGAACCAGTGGCTGGAGCCATCACTGTTGTGTCTCAGGAAGCTGCTCAGGTCTTGGAGTCAGCAGGAGAAGGGCCATTAGGTAAGATACTGGTTGCTATGTTGACTTGGATTAATGTTACCCTATTGGGTTTTCTGCTTTTTCATATCCCAGCTTGGAAAACAAAAACAGCATAAGGGCTGAGACTCAAGTAGATCCTTAACTAGAAGAATCTGGGCACATTGGCACATTGTCTTCAGACATCCTTGACCTTGGGAAATCAGCATCTGGGTCACTGTAAGGCAATAAGTGTAACTGTAAGGCCTGTGGATGGAAGTACTATGGGCCTATACACATCGGTTTTTACTTAACTACAAACTGTTCTGCAAAGAGATAGTCTAGTATACCTGTGCTAGGGGAGCAGTAGGCTAGCAGGAGACTTCTCAAGTGTGTTATAAGTTTCTCATCCTTGGAACATCTGGTTTTATGTTCCACTGCTTACCCCAGGGTTCTGTACCTCTTTTCCACCACATTTCTTAAGCCAAGAAACAGATGACCAAAAAGATATCAGAGAAGTATGACTTCCAGAGCAGGGCTTCCCAGACTCTTAAAGTCTAAACCTCTTAAATTTAACCCTTTGAGAATCTGACACCTCTCTCCAGGAAACCACAAAGTTGCTGACACCTCTGTCTGAGAAATCAAAGTCACCCATCCATTGACCCCACAAAGAAATCTACTCTAGAGGAAGAAAAATGGCACAGATAGATACTGTATCATTAGCTCACTTTTATTTTAAAAAAAAACAATTTTTTTGTTTTTCATCTTGTTTTCATATATGTGTAAGCTTCTTAGAGGAGTGAGAGATACAAGTGTGAAGCAAACTGAAAAACATTTTGAAAGTTAGTAAGCACATTCTCTAATGTGCATTCCAGAAATGTGATTGTAGGGCACTTTGAATAAAACAGGATGCTGGGTGAGCAAGAGAGATCTGGAGAATGGAACGAGAGTCTGGCTATAGGCAGCCCAGAGTGTTTCCCTGCTGTTTTTTCCCTCGTCTGCAGGTCCAAGCAGGCAGATCTGCTTGGAAGGTGCAGAAGAAACCAAAATCTTTATTTGGCTATGACCCTGTTTACAGAGGGTAGTGGTTGGCGAGGTATCAGCTGCTTTTTTAAGTGAACCATGGTATCTCCTCAGCTGAAGGGGCCTATTTTAATGCAGGCTTGGGAAGAGTCAAACCTCCACAGGCTAGGAGTGAGCCCTAATGGTGCTGCCACCAAGCCGCAGATCTACCCATGGATGCCCACATCTTTTTTTTTTTTTTTTTTGAGACGAAGTCTCACTCGGTCGCCCAGGCAGGATTGTAGTGGCGCGATCTCAGTTCACTGCAACATACAACCTCTATCTCCCAGGTTCAGACGGCTTCCCGAGTAGCTGGGATTACAGGCGCCTGCCACCACGCTTGGTTAATTTTTGTATTTGTTTAGTAGAGACGTGGTTTCACCATTTTGGCCAGGCTGGTCTTGAACTCCTGACCTCAAGTGATCCACCCACCTAGGCCTCCCAAAGTGCTGGGATTACAGGCGTGAGCCACCACACCTGGCCTGGCTGCCCACATCTTGGAGTGGGTCCCCTTCCCTCCCTACTAGCTTTTGGGGACTTTGCTTCTTCCAGCATTATGCTCCTCTCTTTTCTCTTCTCTAGCTTCCTTTGCCCAGTCCTGCTCTTACCCCATCTTCTTTCACATATTTGGATCTCTCCCGCTAAGGGCTCAGCCTTTAGGAACACACTTGACATTTGAGTTGTCTGTCTACTAGTGAAAGCTTGAAACAAGGAAATGACCTCCTTTGTACTTCTGTTTGTCTTTAAGTGGCAAATCACTGCTGTGGGGAACAAATGTTGGATTTGGTGCCCTGATAAATATCAGTTGTGTGGAAATACTTTTTAGATAGTTAAGAACTTTTCTGTAATGCTATTAACACCTTTATTTCTTTAGATATTCAGAGCTGTAAGTAATGTAATTTATCAGATAATATTAGCTGTTTATGAGTTTGAAAAATTTTTAATTGTTTATGTACTATATCATCACATATTTAGTTTATGATCTTTTTCATTTGTTTTAGATGTAAGGCTACGAAAACTTGCTGGAGAGAAGGAAGAACTACTGTCACAGGTAAAGGCATTCTTATTGGAGTGTAATATAATTTTAACAAAGTTACATGGTAAAATACTGGCTAATTGAAATGTTCATTAAAAAAATATGCTTCTTTCAAACATCAGTACTCAAGTGAGATATGAAGGATAGATAATTCATATTTTACCTCTTTGTTATTTTCTGTTCTTAAAACATTTTTTTAAGGACACATAGTTTAAGGAGTCATATAGTTTTTTACAAAGCTTGTTATGAACACAGCAGTCCCCTGCCCTGGCTCCTCTGACCTCGCCCCTGACCATTTCTGTTAAATACTTTTAGCTGATTCTTGTGTACTGTCCTTGTATCTCTGTATAACATACTTATGTTGCATCTTGATTGTTCTGCTTCAGGCATTCTATATTGACATCCTTTTATGGAAGATGAGGATTTAGCTGTTTTTCATCCTTTGTCCCTGCCACACACATACTTATTTTCCACTCTTATATCCTCCTAATAAAGGAACAGTGTAATTCCAGCCTGCTTGTGTCATTAGGACCCTCTAAACACTACTCACACAGTGGAGCCAGGTTGCATTCTAGGATCATCTCCCTCAGAACTATTAGTTTCCTCTAAAGTTAATGTTATGGTTTTTCTTTGTATTTGCTTGGTTTTCTATCATCAATTTAGCCACAGAATCTCCAAGAGTAGATTAATCCCACTCAGTATTTTCAGATGCATCTGGTGTTATTTCAGTTCCAGTTTGTTGAATCTTGGTGCATCTGACTTGTCCCTTTCTAAACTAGTGACTTGCCCTCTCGGTACATAGATGTGGTCACCCTTCATTGGCATCTGGAGATTTTCTTTGCATGTGATTTAGGTTGGGTTCCCTTTTTCCGGTGTCTCATGCCTTTCTCCTTATTTATTCTCTTATTTTGGTACATCTTCCAGTAGCTTCCTGAGAAGAGGGTTTGTGGATTGTTAATTTTTCATGACCTTGCAGGCCTGAAGATGTCTTCATTCTACCCTCTCACTTGATTAAAATAGTTTGGCTGGGTAGAGAATCCTGAGTTGCCATGGTTCTCCTTAAGATTTTTTAAAAGGACATTTCTTCATTGTGCTGTGACTTCGAGCATGGCTGTTGAGTTTTCATGAACATTTTGAGTTCTGATCTTTTCTGATTTGTGATCTATTTTTCTCCTCTTTGTGGAAGCTTGTATCCTATTCTCTTTCTCTCTAGCATTCTGGTGTAATTTGAAGATAGTCATGTGATTTGAAGTTTTCATGTGTGATGCTGGGCCCCTGTCAATTCTAGGAGCTCCCATCCTTTAGTTCTGGGAAAATTTCTTGAATGATTTTGTTACTGATTTTTTTCCCCTCCCATATGCTGTGTTCTCTATTTTGGAACTCCTATTCAGTCATTCAACAAATGTTGAGTGAGATTCTACTATTTAACATGCACTATTCTAGGCACTGGGATATTTCAGTGAATAAATTAGTTTAGAAAAAAAAAATTCCTGCCTGAGAGGCATTCTAGTAGGAAGACATCAGACAATATTATATGATATGTTAGAAGGTTTGTGTGAATGCATTTATTATATGTGTTTCTCTGGCTACTTACAGCAGCATAGGGGCAGGCATGGAGTGGGTAGAGAGCTAGATTTTACTAGGACAGTATTAATGGGGCAGGAGAGGTGAGGGAGTATGTAAGAAAATGATTATAATGATGGACCTTGAAATTAAACTGGATGAAGAGGATTCGGGAGATATTCAGGAACACATCAAGGTATAGTAGAAAGAAGATGTAATCTGTAGATTAGTGGTACCAGTGTGGTTGAAGGGTTGTTGGAATTCGGGTCTAGAGAGAATGACCTGGAAAGATGAGGAATAGTGGTTAGAGAGAGGATACATGGAACTAAATTGTGTAGGGATTACAATTGTCTAATGATGAGATCTGGTATATGACTGTGGGAGTGAGTAGCTGAGGGCAAGAAGGGATAGATAGCAAGATCCTTGGAAGGGAGGTGGGTTAGTCCATTTTTTGCTTCGCTATAAAGGAATACCTGAGGCTGGGTAATTTATAAAGAAAAGATGTTTGACTGGGCACAGCAGCTCATGCCTGTAATCCCAGCACTTTTGGAGGCTGAGGCAGGTGGTTGAGGTCAGGAGTTGAGACCAGCCTGGCCAACATGGTGAAACCCCAACTCTACTAAAAATATACAAAAATTAGCCGGGCATGGTGGTGGGTGCCTGTAGTCCCAGCTACTTGGGAAGCTGAGGCAGGAGGGAGGTGGAGGCTGCAGTGAGCCAAGATTGCGCCACTGCACTCCAGCCTTGGGTGGCAGAGTGAGACTTTGTCTCAAAAAAAAAAAAAAGGAAAAAAGAAAAAGAAAAAGAAAAGAGGTTTAAACTGGCTCATGGTTCTGCAAGCTGTAGAGGAAGTATGTTGTCAGCATCTGCTCAGCTTCTGAGCTCAGTTTCCTGAGGCCTCAGGCCAGGCTGGTCTTGAACTCCTGACCTTAGGTGATCCACCCACCTCGTCCTCCCAAAGTGCTGGGATTACAGGCATGAGCCACCGCGCCCAGCCAGCCTCAGGAAACTTCTCATCACGGCGGAAGGTGAAGGGGCAGCAGGCACGTCATATCTCGAGCGGAAGCCAGAGAGAGTGGGGAGGTAACATACACTCTTAAACAACCAGATCTTGTGTGAACTACCAGAGCGAGAACTCACTCATCACCAAGGGAATGGTGCAAAGCTATTCATGAGGGATCTGCCCCATGACCCAGATACCTCCTGCCAGGCCCCACCTTCAGCACTGGGGAATACATTTCAACATGAGATTTGGAGGGGACAGACATCCAAACCGTAAGAGGAGATATACCAGAAATTGAGAGATCATTTGTAAGGGAGATCCTCTACTTAGATGTACATTGAAATTGCCAAAAATTAAGACAGGAATAGTCTAGAGGGAGTGCAAGTTGGGAGCTATTTAATAAATGGTGATGAAGGAATGGGATTTTGGCAATGATAAGTAGTTAGTGTATATAATTTGAAGAGACGAGATTAAGACCTGGGACTTTTAGGGAAGATGGAGGGAAAATACCAGCAAGGAAAGCAAGAGGACACCTATTCCATTTCTAGATTCAGTGGTAGGAAGCTGTGGAAGTACAAAAAAAAAAAGGGCCGGGCATGGTGGCTCATGTCTGTAATCCCAGCACTTGGGGAGGCCAAGGTGGGTGGATGACTTGAGGTCAGGAGTTCAAGACCAGCCTGGCCAACATGACGAAACCCCATCTACTAAAAATACAAAAATTGGACGTGGTGGCATGCACCTGGAATCCCAGCTACTCGGGGGGCTGAGGCAGGAAAATCGCTTGAACCCGGGAGGCGGAGGTTGCAGTGAGCTGAGATCATGCCACTGCACTCCAGTCTGGGCCACAGAGCGAGACCCTGTCTCAAACAAACAAACAAAACAAAACAAAACAAAACAAAAACAGTGTTTGAGAGAGCTGCAGAAGCAGCAGGAGAGGGTTATCAGAGCACGAGGGTAAAGGGGGGATGCTCAGAAAAGACTGAGGACAGAGGGTGTTTGCTGATGATGGACTGATAATTCTAGAGGGCCCAGTGGAAAAGTTTCAGGCATTGGGAAAGGTTAGGAGATGAAGGTTAGTGGTCGTACAGACCCTTGTGAGGAAGACTGCAGAGGAAGGATATGACCCTTTGTGAGATGCACATAAATAGGAATGATGGAGATACTGAGATTTGTCCTGGTTCCCTCAAGGCAGCTAATGATGGTGACCCTGTGTGTTGAAAGGGCAGAGGTGCCTGGGAAGTATAGAGTTAGTCCCAATATAGAGCTTACCCTTTTCCCATTGGGGAGTGGCAAACTTAATCTTAGTGCAGAGGCCTCCCTTTGACCCCTGTTGGTGGAGTTAAGGACAGCTGGGGAAGCCATCTCTATGTATCCAATTATTATTATTATTATTTTTTTTTTTTTTGAGACAGAGTCTCGCTCTGTCACCAGGCTGGAGTGCAGTGATGTGATCTCCACTCACTGCAACCTCCACCTACCAGGTTCAAATGATTCTCCTGCCTCAGCCTCTGGAGTAGTTGGGACTACATGCGCGTGCCACCATGCCCCACTAATTTTTGTAGTTTTAGTAGAGATGGGGTTTCACCATGTTGGCCAGGATGGCCTCGATCTCTTGACCTTGTGATCCGCCCGCCTCAGCTTCCCAAAGTGCTGGGATTACAGGCGTGAGCCACCGTGCCCAGCCCCAATTATTTTTACATACAGGATGTTTTCTAAGTAAGAAAATTTAACCTATGTCTAAAAGTAAACAACAAAAAACTGCTCATGGAATCTTCCATTTTAAGAAATAATCTCTTGAATATACCCTATCAGTTAACTGTTTATATTTTTGTTTTATTTTTTTTAGAGATGAGGTCTCACTGTGTTGCCCAGGTCGGTCTCAAACTCCTGGGCTCATGTGATCCTCATGCCTCAGCCTCCCAAGTAGCCTGATACATAGGTACATGCCACTATGCCTGGCTAGAATTTTCCATTTTAAATAAAAGTAACAAAAAATACCCCAAAGATGTACTGTTCCATAAGCAGACACAAATTTAAAATATGGCTATTTTCTACTGGGACACCTGGTCCTGGGGCTTGCTCTTTTCGATGTTTGTTCGTAGCTTATCTTTAGCACCTAGGACGATGTGTGTCTCCTATTAGGCACTCAAGAAAATAGGTTTTGAATGAATGTGGCTGATACGATAAGGGTCTGCTTTGTTCTATGATGTGACCATAGAATAAGCATCGGCTTCATTTGAGAGATTGGATCTTGCTGATGAACCTTTATTTTCATTTCAGATTAGAAAACTGAAGCTTCAGTTAGAGGAGGAACGACAGAAATGCTCCAGGAATGATGGCACAGTGGGTGACCTGGCAGGACTGCAGAATGGCTCAGACTTGCAGTTCATCGAAATGCAGAGTAGGTACCAGGGGACAGGCCAGTCCCAGTCTGTATATAGACTGTGTCCCAGGGGTGGGTTTGTCAGCAGGTTGCTGGTATCTTGTAATACACTTTTCTTTTTTTTTTTTTTTTGAGATGGGAGTCTCACTCTGTCACCCAGGTCAGAGTGCAGTGGTGCAATCTCCGTTCACTGCAGCCTCTGCCTCCTGGGTTCAAGTAATTCTCCTGCCTCAGCCTCCTGAGTAGCTGGGATTATAGGCGCCTGCCACCATGCCCGGCTAGTTTTTTATGTTTTTAGCAGAGACAGAGTTTCACCATAGTTACCAGGCTGGTCTCGAACTCCTGGCCTCAGGTGATCTGCCCACCTCAGCCTCCCAGAGTGCTGGGATTACAGGCGTGAGCCACCGCGCCTGGCCGTTAATATGCTTTTCTTAAGAAGAGCTATGCTGCAAAAATTGGTTAGTCCTTGGCTAGTCCAGAAAAACAGTCCTAGTCAGCAATATAGCTGAATAGAGGCTCCACTAGCCTGTGTGCTTCAGGGGATAATGAGGTTTATTGCTCTTACCCTTTCTGGATAAAGTGATTTCTAGGAACTTTTTGCACACAGTGAAATGCCTTTTGACAACCTGGCACTGTCCTTTTCCACATCCATTTGTCATCTTTAAGCTCCCATACAGCAAGCACCCTTCCCCATTAAAGTTTTTTCTCTGGAATTTGTCTTGGATAATTGGACGAATCTATTTGGAACTACTTCACACTAAATTGAGTAGTTTCAGAATTTTCCTAGAAGTATTTTGTTAATCCAAGTTTATCTTTATTAGATGAAATTTAAAATAAGTCCACAAAATAAAGTCTATTCTATTCATTTTACCCGAATTATTCCAGTTTTTCTCATTTTTCTACTTCTGACCTCATAATAAAATGATCACTGCAGTCACACTAATTCCCATAGTAGGAAGATTTCAGCAGGAATTTGTAGTTAGCCTTTGTTAGTGATTATGTGTAATTCTCGGACAGAGGAGATTTTCATTTTTCCAATAAGAATAGTGACTTTTCTGATAACTAATATTAAAATCTTGTTTATTCCATGGACTTTTCATCTAAACCTTCTGAGATAGGCTGCCAAGAAAAGACATGTTGGGGCCAGGCGTGGTGGCCCGCACCCATAATCCCAGCATTTGGAGAGGCTGAGGTGGTGGATTGCTTGAGCTCAGAAGTTTGAGACCAGCCTGGGCAATGTGGTGAAAACCCGTCTCTTCAAAAAAAAAAAAAAGAGAAAAGACTTTTTGGGTTAAGGCTTATTAATACTAACTTTTGATATTGGTATTATCTTTTCTGTTGGACATCAGTTAGGACACTTGTGACATTTCCTGGTGAATATTTTGTTCAAGAATGTCATTTTGGTGTTGGCGGTAGATGAGAACAGGGACATGGGAAAAGGCAGGCTGACTAGTTAGGAAGCTACTACAGTGGTGAGCCTGAACCAGTTCAGTAGCTGTCAGCAGTCTTAGAGAGAGGGTAGGGAATAGATCTGAGAGATTGTCCTTAAGCAGCAAATTTAAAAGGAAACAGATTTAGGGGGAATGGGCTGGCATTTATGTGTGAATACTTCCTAGAGTAGGTAGGTTGTTGTATAGCTGGTATTTGCAGAAGGTAAAGTACCCAGGCAGGAGGTGTAGAACAAAGTGAGCTTTGCAGGACTGTGGGAAAGCTGGCAAAGACAAAAGCAAGCAGCTTCCCTGGACCAGAAGGCCAGGAGTGGAGCAACTCTTGGTTCTGGATGGTGCCTTGCCTATTATGAGAGTGTTTTGGAATGGGATTTCAAAACACACATGAAGTTACTGAGATAAGAGACTTAAACTTTTGAAAACAGGAAGGGAAAGGTGGTTTGGAGAGTGAGAAGGAAGAAGTACATTTGGATAATCAATAGATTGCTGAGGATAACAATTTAAAAATCAGATCCTGAAGCTTGTTTTAGGGCTCAGAAATAGGAATACTTCTCTTTCACTACCAGATATGGCTTTTGGGGAGATGGTAACCCTGTTCCTTTTAAGGTGACAGTAATTGTCCAATTAGAAAAACCTCTCACCACTTTAGGAGGCTGAGGTGGGTGGATCACGAGGTCAGGAGATCGAGACCATCCTGGCTAACATGGTGAAACCCCGTCTCTACTAAAAATACAAAAATTTAGCCAGGCATGGTGGCGGGTGCCTGTAGTCCCAGCTACTCAGGAGGCTGAGGCAGGAGAATGGCGTGAACCTGGGTGATGGAGCTTGCAGTGAGCCGAGATCGCGCCACTGCACTCTAGCCTGGGCGACAGAGCGAGACTCCATCTCAAAAAAAAAAAAAGAAAAACCTCTCACATTGAAGACTGTATAAGTAATTGTAACCTTGGTCATGTGGAAATGTAGAAAAGTTCTTAAGTTAGATAATCTGAATATTTCCTGTGGTATGTTAGATTTGGTTTATCTTTTGCAAATCTTATTACTGTAATCATGCCAGAGACTGATTTTTGCTAAACTTGGATTCTTGGAGGGATTTTAAAAGTCCCCTGCCATCATTTCTAAACTTTTCATTTTAAGTGATTTACTTCCTAGGTCAGATGTTCATCTAGTAACTTATAGCTCTACCCATAACACATTATCACATTACTGAACAGCATTTATTCCAACATATATTTATTTAGGCATACACTGTGTGCACTTGGCTAGGTACATAGGTAGATTTAGGAAGGCCAAGACAGGGCCCCTCTTCTTGCTTACACATACGATGTTTAAAAAGCATGACAAATGTCATAAAAATGCAAATAAAATACAGCAAGGGAAGGACTTATAATTAAGGGGAGTCATGAAAGAGGTGAAAATTGAGCTTGGCCTTGAAGCAAGTCAGAGGTGGGAGAAAAGGACCCTTACAGTATTGGACAGCAGAAGCAAAACCTGGGAGATGGGAAGGCATGGGGCCGCGTTCAGGGAACTAGAGGGCCCAGTCCCGTGGGCAGGGAGGCTCCACAAGGTTACACACAGGGTTGGTAGGGGCTGCTGCTGAATTGGCAGGGCTCCTTTCTCAAGCCCTGCTCACACATATCATAGGGTAAAGAATTTTCTTCTAACTCTTGCTGCAAGGGATACTGTAGTAACATATATGCTAGAGCATCTTGTAGTATATACAGTCCAGAACCTGGGCTGCTGAAGATGCTGTGGTTGTTGTGTGTGCATTTGTATTTTGTAATTTTTTTTTGGCAGGGGGACGGAGTATCGCTCTGTTGCCAGGCTGGAGTGCAGTGGCGCGATCTTAGCTCACTGCAACCTCTGCCTCCCGGGTTCAAGTGATTCTCCTGCCTCAGCTTCCCGAGTAGCTGGGACTACAGGCCTGTGCCACCACGCCCAGCTAATTTTTATATTTTTAGTAGAGACAGGGTTTCACCATGTTGGCCAGGATGGTCGCCTCTATCTCTTGACCTCATGATCCACCCACCTCGGCCTCCCAAAATGCTGGGATTACAGGCGTGAGTCACCGCGCCCAGCCCTGTATTTTGTAATCTTAAGACTGCATGGTCCTCTCTGTGCCACAGAGGTACTGCCTGATGGCTCATACTGTCATCTCTGACAGGTGAAGATAATTCATTGTCTTCTTCTGTTCTAGGAGATGCCAATAGACAAATTAGCGAATACAAATTTAAGCTTTCAAAAGCAGAACAGGATATAACTACCTTGGAGCAAAGTGTAAGTACTTCTATATGGTACTAAGTTATTTAAATGTCCTTCCTGCATCTAAGTGGCTAACAACCCATGAGTGCCTGGGTTGCCTTTGCAGTTGGATCAATAATAGTTCTGTATTAAAATAGAAAAGCCAGCAGAGAGCACTTGTTGGGACATTTTAGCCTTCTGTTTTCTCTAAAACCATAGGAAACTATAGCTATCAGTTTTTGTAGATATTTCAGGAGAATTCAAGATCATCATTTGTAATAAAATCCCTTACGCATTCCAAAAAGTGTAAGAACTTTTCCATTTAGTGTCTCTTCCTATATTGCTTTGGCACTTAAACAATATGGTCATAATAAAACTTAGCATGGGAAATTGGCCCTAAAATGACTCTACAGCTGTAATCCTCTCTGGGGACATTACTTGATTTATAAATAGCAACTGAGTTCTGAGAGGACTTATGAGTCACCCTTAGGGGACTTGTTAGTAGATTACTTGGCATTTATAATGACATTGTATTTCCATCCTGGCTACCAAAAAGTGGTGACTTCTAGTGCCCAGTACTAGAGGCCTATGTTCTCATACTTACAGATTAGCCGGCTTGAGGGACAGGTTCTGAGATATAAAACTGCTGCTGAGAATGCTGAGAAAGTTGAAGATGAATTGAAAGCAGAAAAACGGAAGCTACAACGAGAGGTACTTCTTTTAATATGTTTCTTGGAGAATACATTCCTAAAAAGAAAAAATCTTCTGGAAATAATTCTTAGCTGTGTAAGAAATTTGATACTTAAGGAAACAGCAGTGGAGTCACTTAACTAATTTGTGTTGGTTTTTGACCTGCATAGTGACTGCCATTTACTTTTATGTTTTGGTCAATTAGATACTAAGTAAAAAGATAGTTTGTATTTTTGCTTCAGATCAGGTCTATTTCTCCAACTTCTATATATCCTTTCTGTGATTAAAACAAATAAACAATCCTCAGTATCATCATTTAACACCTCTAACTGATAGAAAAAATGAGGTTGTGGGTCCTGTGCAAGGCCATCACAGTTAGCAGTGCTTTCATTTCCCAGGAAGTTGAAAATAGAGTAGCACTGGATGTTGTTTCTGACCACATGTAGTGACTGCATTCTCCCTGTCTCCAGTTACGAACAGCACTGGACAAGATTGAGGAGATGGAGATGACCAACAGCCACCTGGCCAAGCGGCTGGAGAAGATGAAGGCCAATAGGACAGCACTTCTGGCCCAGCAGTAGGAAAACCACCCTTCAACCTGGGTGATGCTCCTTGGGGCCCTACCTAGAGGGACTGACTTTTGTCCATTGACACAAACCCCTTTTAGTACTGTTTTGAGTTTTGTCATTAAAACAGCCACCTTTGTATTTTATAATTTATGACAGAATGAAGTCATTTTGAATCTACATGAATGAACACTTTGGATTTTGTTGTAGTTTGATTCTAGGGTAGAACCAGTCCATGCTGTTTTTATTTTTTATCTCCGTAATTGTAGAATCATGTTTACTCAACGTTTTTCCCCAGCTGCCTCAGTAACTGGGCACTCGGAGGCCTTGGCACGGGTTCTGGAGGACAGACAGCAATTCTATGAGTGCTCACTGAGATACTTGCTGGAGACCTCAGAAAACACAAGTGCCTTCTCCACGGTGCAATTCAGACTTCAGTGATCTCCAGTGGTCAAAAGACATTTACCCTTAATATCAGACAACATTTATATTTTAGTGAAGAAACAAGTTCTCGGGTGGGGAATCTATGTTTCACTCAGATTTATATGTTTGGAGGAAAAAAGCCTTTTTTTGTAAAATATTTAAATTTATATAAGAAAATGTTAGAAAAAAATATGGGGAGTGTATATAAAACTTGCTTTATTGCATGGGGCAGGGGAAGTCCAGGCCTAATACTCCTAAAGTAAGAGTTGGGTCCTTTTTTTCTTCAATACAACTGTGCTGTACCTTGTAAAGTATTTTATCTGCTGCTTATTTGTGGAATGAAACCTCAAACAAACCCAAAGGGGGAGGGTAGGGCAGGGCAGGCAGATTGGAAATCTGCCTGCAGATTCTATTAAATACACCCTTTTGCCAACCACAATTGGCTACTGACATGTTCATTTTGTTATAGGAGACTTTAAAACAAATCATGGCAACCACATCCCTCTTCTTTTGTCTCCTTCTCAAGGAAAAACAATCTGGAATGTAGAACTTTTAAAGACTTGAGTTTCACCTTTAGAGGTACCCTGTCCAAGAGGTTTTTTTAAAATCATGGAGTGCAACTACTTTGCAGAATTTATGATTCTCTTTTGCTCTTAGTACCCAGGTGGTTTTATAGAAATGATTATTGTATCTTTAAAGTGCTTACACAGAAAATATATTGGGGGAAAATCTAGTGACTAAAGGCACATAAGATAATAAAACTAGACTTTAAAAAGGTAACTCAAAAGTGAATAAAATCTCTAATATTTGTTCCTTTTTTAATTAGCCCTTCATTTAAAAAATATGGATACCAATCTTCTGAATTGAGATGATTTTCTATACATTTTCTTTCTTTTTTTTTTGAGACAGAGTTTCGCTCAGTCACCCAGGCTGGAGTGCAGTGGCACGATCTCGGCTCACTGCAACCTCTGCCTCCCAGGTTCAGGTGATTCTTCTGCCTCAGCCTCCCGAGGAGCTGGGACTACAGGTGTGCACCACCACACCCGACTGATTTTTGTATTTTTAGTAGAGATGGGGTTTCACCATGTTGGCCAGGCTGGTCTTGAACTCCTGACTTCAAGTGATCTGCCCACCTCAACCTCCCAAAGTGCTGGGATTAGAGGTGTGGGCCACTGTGCCTGGCCTCTTTTTTTTTTTTGAGAGACAGTCTCGTGCTGTCACCCATGCTGGGGTGCAGTGGTATGATCTTGGCTCACTGCAACCTCTGCCTTCCGGGTTCAAGCTTGATTCTCCTGCCTCAGCCCCCCAAGTAGGTGGGATTACAGGTGTCTGCCACCACACCCTGCTAATTTTTGTATTTTTAGTAGAGTTAGGGTTTCACCATGTTGCCCAGGCTGGTCTTGAACTACTGACCACAAGTGATCTGCCTGCCTCAGCCTCCCAAAGTGTTGGGATTACAGGCATGAGCCACCGTGCCTCAGCCTATACATTTACTAATAGTAGCAAGTTGTGTGGTTGGGGGTGGGTAGAAAGGTGTTCTAAAGTGCAGGTTTGTTCTAGAACTCCATCCCAGCTAAAACCAACACACTGTGTGGCCCAGCTCTTGAAGCTCAGAAAACCCCTCTTCCTCTCCACTCAAGATCACCCAGCCTGTGCCCCACCTGGGCTCATGGAACCTCACTTCTGAGATGCCCTGGTCTACTTTATGGAGTTCTTATTGTTCAAAACTGACCTTGCCTATTTTGTGGCACAACAAATACGTCTGTAACATTTTGTCTTCCTAGTCTTTCCAAGTGAAATTGCTCCATTTCTTCATAAGATGAGAGTAGTCTGTTCTTTATCACTGAACTTTCTTCACTGAGTCTTGGAATATGGATTTTACCTTAAAACCACAGACATTCTTCCTTTCTGAGCTGAATGCTCCATTTCTCTAAATGTAGGCAAATATTAAGGAAGTTTATTTTGTCACTCACAGTTTAAATTTATATTTTTACATCATCCTTCAAACAAGATTACCTAGAAACTTCTTTATCTTAAGCTATTAGTACTCATAGTCATTAACAAAGTGGGCTAACTTAAAAACTCATACTTAATGCCGGCCGCAGTGGCTCATGCCTGTAATCCCAGCACTTAACTTTGGGAGGCTGAGGTGGGAGGATCACCTGAGGTCAGGAGTTTGAGACCAGCTTGGCCAGCATCGTGAAACCACATCTCTACTAAAAATACAAAAATTAGCCGGGCGTGGTGGCAGGTGCCTGTAATCCCAGCTACTCAGGAAGCTGAGGCAGGAGAATTGCTTGAACCCGGTAAGCGGAGGTTGCAGTGAGCCAATATCGCGCCACTGCACTCCGGCCTGGGCAACAAAGCAAGACTCCGTCTCAAAACAAAAAAACAAAAACCTCATTATAGATGAAGTAAGGACTATTTTCTTTCTTCAAGTTTTTTTCCTTAATAATTAGCTTTGGTTATTGTAGACACCAGATGATCAAATCAAGCTTTCTCCATGGTCAGTGCCATCAGAGCCTGTGACATGTTCAAGACCTCTTTTTGGCATCTGAACTGACACAATATATACATAATAAAATTAAATAAGAAATTATGTTAAGACACATCTATTTATTTATAATCAATCCACTGTGTATAAAGGAATACTATCAGAAGGCAAGTATAAGTCTTAAGTGCTACCAACACTTATGTTGGTACACTTTGTATATCACACTTTGATACAACACTTTGTATCGGAATACAGAGAAAGAAGAACACATCCCACAGTGCATAAATAACCATATTTAACACCTCTCAAAGACTTTGTATAGATCAGGCAGGTTAGCAAGCTGCAGGATATTTCCATCTTCTGTGAAATGTTTAGGAGGCAGAATGTGTGAGCGCAAGGCTTTATAGACAATGTGTTCCACAGTCCACTTCCAGGAGTTTGGAATGGAGCCAGGCACTTCACTCTGGAAAACACATTAGATGTCATAAGCCTCCCTGTTTGCATCCCAACATACACTGGTGTCCTGGCTGATGGGATGTGCACTGGGTCTGGAAAGACTTGGTGTTATCTAGGGCTTTTGAAGTGGATCTTGTGGGCTAGCCTCTCAGGGGATCCCACAGGCCTGAACACAAGAGGATTTTTTGTTTGTTTGTTTATTTAGAGACAAGGTCTTGCTCTGTCACCCAGGCTGAAGGGCAGTGGTGTGATCATAGCTCTACAGCCTCAAACTCCTGGGCTTAAGCCATCTTCCCACCTCAGCCTCCTAAAATGCTGGGATTACAGGTGTGAGCCACTGTGTCCAGCCAACATGAGGTTTTAAAGGGAGGAAAAGAAGCCACTGCTCTGTGGGACTGTCTCCTGTGGAACCTTTGTTTTCATTCAGGGAGAAAATGGTTTTATTGTAGCAGGAGCTAACATCATGTCTGATCCTGACTGATATTTGGATGGCAACTGTAGGAAGTACCTAACTTACCATTAAAATCGGGTCTGAAAGTAGTTCTAATCCCCAGGGGAGGAATGAAAATATTAATGAGGATTATTTTGCCTCATTATTCCTCTCCTTCTTGTAAGCCTTAGCTGTCTCATGTGTAAGAAAATGTTCTTTCTCAACTGTCCTTCCTCTTCTTGAGGTAAAATTTCTAATCAAATGAGATAGTTTCCACACAGTTTGGTAAGTGTGTTGCCTTCTCCACTGGAGTGAGAAATTCCCTAGAGGCTTTGGCCAACAGGACTAAATCTCTGCCCTCCCACCTACAGACTTGGAATCCTCGAGCATGCCTGACTGGCCTTCAGCCTCCTCATCTGAAACTCGCTCACACTGCTCAGGAGATGACTGTGAGCAATCAGGGGTCATACTCTGATTAAAGTGGGCTACTCTTTGATTCTTAGAATATTTCAACTCTCCCTTCCAACCTCCCCCAAAATATATGTTGATTTGAAAAGCATTATCATCTGACTGGGAAAAGTGACAATGAAACATTAGGAATCCAGGCACCCTTTTTGTGTCAAGCTGACCTGTAAGAGGAGTTATAGAGCCTTGTTTTCCTGGCAGGGCAGTGGTCGGATAAAGAGTAAGGCAAAAGCTAAGAGAGACTGAGGCAACTGACCCAGAATCTGAAGACTGGCTACACACTTCAGAGCTAACAGTGGGAGTATATGGACTCTCCAGCCTTAGACAATCTAACTCAACCTCCCATTTCTCACTGTGATGGCTTGTGTTTTCACATTTGACAATTTCTGAGGTCACTCTGGAGGTATGTTCTACATCAGCAGATGGAAGTAAAAATCATGAATAAAAGCTGACTGTTGTGTTTGAACCTTGTTGGGTACAAAGAAATCCCGAAATTTTAGAGATGGGCAAGTTTCATCTCCTAAAGATTGTATGAGGTCCTGTCCTAGTCCTGGGGTGCCAGTGTGCATCACCACTGTACCTGCTGGCCTGAGAGGGTCGACTCCTCAGATATGTACTGCTTCCGGATGGAATAGAACATAGCGCATTCTTTACTGAGGCTTTCAAAACATTCCTTTTCTTCGTCCCAATTCACCTGGTCCAAAGAAATTCAATACCTCAAAATAGGTACGAATTTAAACATTCTCATTCTAAACGGAGATCACAGACTACTTAAAGCTAAAAAACGAAATGTGATACTTTAGGCGTTAAAACTGTAAATGGGACTGCTGAATATTGCTGGGAATGAATATTAGTGGGGATGAGAGCAGGCCTTCAGCTATCCCACCCTTATCATCTTTATCATTCCAGATCAAAGGGTGGTCATTTGCCCTTTCCCTCCAGCACACATGCATGTACCGAAATGCTTAGTATCTGCTTGATCACTGACCTCAGTGGCTAGTCGAAGAATGAAGATAGGCAGTCCCTCCAAAGGGGGCACATAGTTGTCAATCAGAAGGGGTAATCCAATCAGGTTCCCTTCCTGCTTGCAGGAAAAAGGACAAGGGAACAAGAAATAATGCTGTCATAGTTTAAACAAATCCCATTTCTCCAGTGCTTTCCCAGGCCTTGTGCTCCTATCTGCCACTCTGGGTGACCACGTTACTTGATTGGGCTGGGCACTGGGGGCAGACCTAAACACTTAAAAAAGAGTTTTTCATCCTGACAAACAGCACGGCAGAACAACCTTTTCTTTGGATCTGTTCACGATCCAAAGAACACATCAAGATGGAGAGCCCCAAAAATGAAAGAATAAGAAGAAATGGGAGCAAATGGCATAATCTCATTTATAATGGCCTGCAGGGATTCGGCTCTCCATGTCTGGGTCCTTCACCCTGGGAACAAGAGTAGGCATGCATGGATAGTAGTACAGTTATATAACCTAGAAATGCAAATAGGGAGTGGAGAGGATGTCACATATGTCACTTGCTGCTTCTGAGGGGAGGCCTAGTCCTGACCTTGGAACGTTCTTTTTTTTTTTTTTTGAGACGCAGTCTCGCTGTCGCCTAGGCTAGAGTGCAGTGGTGCAATCTCGGCTCACTGCAACTTCTACCTCTTGGGTTTAAGTGATTCTTCTGCCTCAGCCTCCTGAGCAGCTTGGATTACAGGTACCCGCCACCACGCCTGGCTAATTTTTCTATTTTTTTAGTAGAGACGGGGTTTCATCATGTTGGCCAGCTGGTTTTGAACTCCTGACCCCAAGTTATCTGCCCACCTCAGCCTCCCAAAGTGCTGGGATTACAGCCATGAGCCACCGCACCCGGCTGGAAATTTTATTTGAAGAATACAACAGAAGTATAAGAATGGCTGTCACACCTCATCAATTTCCAAAGAGAAATAGTCTGCAAGCATCTCAGCCTTCTTCTTCAGAAACTCAACAATGTATTCAGCAAGTCCTTCTTTGGGACCATCTTCCTCTGTCCAGCCACTCTCTGGACTATCTAAGGCAAGCATGGCAAGGTCAAAGAGCGGTGCTGGCTCCTAGGAAGAAGCAAGAACATGAAGGAGCAAGCTTTAACGGAGCATCCAAATGAAGCCTGAATTCCCAAGAATCCACTATCAGAATGGCAGGTGAGAAACCATAAATGTAACACTCATCCCCCATATACCCCAAAGGAAGTGCCTGAACAATCCACAACAAAACCCCTTTCCTCCTCTTGTCAATGGCCATTTCAACAGAGAAGATACGACAGACAAAAAGCCTGCTGAAAGGATGGGAAGGGTGAAGCCCTGGGGAGGTACTTTCTTTCTGTGTAGCCTTAAGGACTCAACTTTCGTATTTCTAGAAAACCACAGGCAGATCATTTCTTTCTACTGCCTCATAACCAAAGCTGGGCGGGTGAGGATGGAGAGTAAGTTAAATTGAATGACATTTCAGGTAAATCATCTAATGCAGAAACAAAGGGAAAACTATGCTTAAAAATAAGATGCCTAAGTTATCTTCCATTTCTCCCCTTCTGATAATATGTTACTCATACTTTTACATATGTTATAAACCCACAGTATATTATCTTTTCATAATAGAAGAGTCCATTATCAAAAGGATATAACAATCCTAAATGTTTATGTACCCAATAACAGAGCTTTAAAATATATGGGCTGGGTGCAGTGGCTCATGCCTGTAATCCCAGCACTTTGGGAGGCTAAGCTGGGCGGATCACGAGGTCAGATCGAGACCATCCTTGCTAACATGGTGAAACCCTGTCTCTACTAAAAATACAAAAAATTAGCTGGGCGTGGTGGTGGGCGCCTGTAGTCCCAGCTATTCGGGAGGCTGAGGCAGGAGAATGGCGTGAACCTGGGAGGCGGAGCTTGCAGTGAGCCAAGATCACACCACTGCACTCCAGCCTGGGCAACAGAGCAAGACTCCATCTCAAAAAAAAAAAAATATATATATATATACATATATATGTATATATATATGAAGGCAAAAACTAAGAGAACTGCAAAGAGAACAGACAAATCATAATTATAGTTGGAAGTTTCAATACCCCTTTCTCAATAACAGAACAGGCAGAAAATCAGTAAAGATACAGGAGACTTGGGCATCACTATCAACTTGATATACCTAGAACATTCAACTCAATGAGATCAGAATACAAATTATTTTCAAGTACACATGGAACATTTACCAACACAGACCATATTCTGGGCCATAAAAAAAGTTTCAATAAATGTATAAAAAAAGGCAAGTATGTTCTTTGACTGAGATGGAAATAAATTAGAAATCAATAACATATTGTTTTAAAAATCCTCAAGAGATTGGAAACTAAATAACACAGTTCTAAAAAACCTGTAGGTCAAAGACGAAATCAAAAGGGAAATTAGAAGGTATTTTGAACTGAATGAAAATGAAAACAAACTATCAAAATTTGTGGGATGCTGTTGAAGCAGTGCTTAAGGGATATTTGTAGCACTTAACACCTGTATTAGAAAAGAAGAAAGGTCTCAAATCCGTGACCTCAGCTTCTACCTTAAGAAATGTGAAACAGGCCAGCCACAGTGGCTCACACCTGTAATCCCAGCACTCTGGGAGGCCAAGGCAGGTGGATCACCTGAGGTCAGGAGTTTGAGACCAGCCTGGCCAACACAGTGAAACCCCATCTCTACTAAAAATACAAAAATTAGCTGGTGGTGCATGCCTGTAATCTCAGCTACTTGGGAGGCTTAGAAACAGGAATCGCTTGAACCTGGAAGGCTGAGGTTACAGTGAGCCAAGATCGCACCACTGTACTGCACTCCAGCCTGGGCGACAGAGCAAGACTCTGTCTCAAAAAAAAAAAAAAAAAAAAAAAAAGAAATGTGAAACAGAAGACAAATTAAACCAAAATAGGTATAAGAAAGATTAAAAGTCAGAGCAGATATCAATGAAATAGAAAATAGAAAAATCTATGAAACCAAAAGTTAGTTCTTTGAGAAGATCAATAAAATTGATAAACCTCTAGCCAGACTGACCAAGTTAAAAAGAAAAGCCTGAAATTACCAATATTAGGAATGAGAGAGGTTATGTCACCAAGAGATCCATAGATAATAAAAGAATAAGAAATATTATAAATAACTTTATGTCAGTAAATTTAAAAATTTAGATTAAATGCGACAAATTTCTTCAAAGAAACAAAATACCAAAGCTTACCTAAGAAGAAACAGATAACCTGAATAGCTCTATACTATTAAAGAAATAGAATTTGCAGTTAAAAACCTTCCCATGAAGAAAATCTCCAAGCCCAGATGGCTTCACTGTTGAGTTCTGCCAAACATTAAGCAATAATTTTAACATCAATTCTACACAAAACTCTTTCAGAAAATGGAAAAGGAGGGGATACTTACCAACTCATTCTATGAGGCCAGCATTACCCTGATACAAAAACCAAAGACTAAAAGAAAACTATAAACTAGTAACAATCATGAGCACAGATAAAATAATTATAATAAAAATTTTAGCAAATCAAATCCCATAATAAATAAAAAGGATTATATATTATAACCAAGCAGAGTTCATCCCAGGAATGCAAAGATTGGTTTAACATAAGAAAATCAATGTAATTCACTATATTAACAAACTATAAAAGAAAAATCATATGATTATCTCAGTAGATGCAAAAAAAGCATTTGAAAAAAATTCAACATCCAATCCTAAATAAAATCTGTAGCAAATAAGGAACAGAGGGAACTTCCTCAACCTCATAATGGGCATCTACAAAAAAACCTATATGGCTAACAGCATACTGAATGTTTTGTAACTTTCCCCTTTCCCCCTTAGATCAGGAAGAAGAGAAGGATTTCCATCCTTACCACTTCGTTTTTCGTGTGTGTGTGTGTTGCCCAGGCTGGAGTGCAGTGGTGCATTCTTGGCTCACTGCAACCTCCGCCTCCTGGGTTCAAGTGATTCTCATGCCTCAGCCACCCAAGTAGCTGGGATTACAGACGTGAACTGCCACACCCAACTATATTTTGTATTTTTAATAGAGACAGAGTTTCACCATGTTCGCCAGGCTGATCTCAAACTCCTGGCCTCAAGTAACCTGCCCACCATACTCTCCCAAAGTGCTAGGATTAGAGGCATGAGCCACCATGCCTGGCCCATTCTTACCACTTCTATTCAACATTGTATTGGAGGCTCTAGCCAGTGCAGTCAGTCAAGAGAAAGAAATAAAAGGCAGCCGGGCGCAGTAATTCACGCCTGTAATCCCAGCACTTTGGGAGGCCGAGACAAGCAGATTACCTGAGGTCAGGAGTTCAAGACCAGCTCGGCCACATGGTGAAACCCCATCTCTACTAAAAATACAAAAAAATTAGCCGGGCGTGGTGGCGAGCGCCTGTAATCCCAGCTACTCAGGAGGCTGAGGCAGGAGAATTGCCTGAACCCAGGAGGTGGAGGTTGCAGTAAGCCGAGATCCAGCCACTGCACTCCAGCCTGGGTGACAAGAGCAAAACTCCGTCTTAAAAAAAGAAAGAAAGAAAGAAAAGGTGTTCAGTTTGCACAGCAAGAAGTAAAAGTTTCTTTATTCTCAGAAGACATGATACATATATAGAAAATCTGATAGAATCTACAAAAAATATACTAGAACTAGTAAGTGAGTTTAACAAGGTTGCAAGATACAGCATCAAGGTACAAAACTATATGTATTTCTATATACTAGCAAATAAACAATAGGAAATTGAAGTTTTTTGGCTGGGTGAAGTAACTCATGCCTACAATCCTAGCACTCTGGGAGGCTGAGGCAAGAGTATCACTTGAGGCCATGAGTTTGAGATTAGCCTTGGTAACACAAGACTCCCGTTTCTACGAAAAAAATTTTTTTAAAAAAATTAGCCAGGTGTAGTGGTACACACTTGTATTCCTAGCTACTTGAGCCTAGGAGTTCAAAGCTTCAGTGACCTATGATCACGCCACTGCACTCCAGCCTAGGCAAGAGTGAGACCCCTGTCTCTTAAAAAAAAAAAAAAAAAAAATTTGAGGCCAGGTGCAGTGGCTCACACCTGTAATCCCAGCACTTTGGGAAGCCAAGGTGGGCAGATCACCTGAGGTCAGGAGTTCAAGACCAGCCTGGCCAACATGGTGAAACCCCCTCTCTACTATAAATAGTTTAAAAAATTAGCCGGGCATGGTGGCACATGCCTGTAATCCCAGCTACTTGGGAGGCTGAGGCAGTTTGAGAATCGCTTGAACCCAGGAGGCGGAGGTTGCAGTGAACCAAGATTTTGCCATTGCACTCCAGCCTGGGCAACAGAGCAAGACTCTGTCTCAAAAAAGAAAAGAAAAAAGAAAATTTTTGAAAAATGCCATTTAGCATTTAAAAATGTGAAATACTAAGGGATTTATCTAACAAAAGTTTTTCACCCTAAATTGATCTAGATTCAACATAATCCCAATCAAAATCTCAGCAGGCTTTTTGTAGAGTATATCACATGAAAAAAGTGGATATGAAACCATATAAACAGGTAGTATGATTTTTAACTCAGAACTAAAATTCAGCATTGAAAAAGTTTTTGACAGTTTTCACAAAAGGCATAGAAAAAAAAAAGTCTTGGAAGAAATGGACTAAAATTGTTGGCAGGGGTTGTGTTTGGACCACGGCTTTAGACAATGTTTATTTTTATCCCTTTCCAAGTATTAAGTGTCAGTAGATATTTATTTTTTTGAGGGAATCTTGCTCTGTTGCCCAGGCTGGAGTGCAGTGGCGTGATCTCAGCTCATTGCAACCTCTGCCTCCTGGGTTCAAATGATTCTCCTGCCTTAGCCTCCTGAGTAGCTGGGATTACAGGCGCCCACCACCATACCCTGCTAATATTTGTAATTTAGTAGAGACAGGGTTTCATCATATTGGTCAGGCTGGTCTTGAACTCCTGACCTCAAATGATCTGCCCGCCTCAGCCTCCCAAAGTGGTGGGATTACAGGCATGAGCCACCGCACCCGGCCGAGTATCAGTAGATATTATTAACTTCTATATTAATAAACATTTGTTTAAGTTGGCTACCAAATGACTATTTTGCTAAAAAGTATAAAACTTCTTATAGATACCTCCATATGCAAATCATACAATACAGCAACTATCCTTAGAAGTTTTAGAAAAATTTAACATACTACAAATAAGATATTAGTGGAGAGCTACTATTTTCAGAAACGATCAGTTGAAATTTCAGAAGTGAAAAGGATCTAAACTTACCGATAACCTGAGAACACCAAAATTGGCAAAATCATAAATGAGTATCTGGTAGAACAGTTCTTCACTGAAAATAAAAATGAAGTGACTTTAAGGAAAAGCTGAATTCATGCTTGAGATACAACCAGTTGGGACAAAATGGGAGAAGTAATCCCTGAAACATGGATGAGACAGAAATAGTTCTGCCTGGCTGTGGAATCTGGTTAACAGTCTAACAAAATCTCTTACCCCTCCAAAGAGCTGGGATTCCCAACGTCTTCAACCAGGGGTCTGACTGGCCAGCCTCTAACAGACAGGTTAGAGCACTAAGACCAAGTCTGGCTTGCTGCCACTCATGTTCTGTCCCTACCTGTCTGGTGCTATAAAAGGTTCCTGACACTCTGCAGTAAGATTTAAAAACTTTTTGTCTGCTTAACTTCCCCCACTTACAAAGAATCCTATAAATCACTTTTTTACAACTTATTAAAAATTATGTGAAATGTATAGGAAGGGCAGGGAGTCTTCCTAAATAATCAAAAGTAGACCTAAGGCAGGATTATACTATGCTGACATGTAGTTTAGGATGATACACTGGCTGGCAATAGTCCAAAAGCAGCTATGAAGTACACACTATATTGAATTACTTCCAAGAACACAATGGGAATAAAGGCCACATTTATATGGTACTTTATAGTTCTTAAAACACATTGAACCCCATAGACTTGCTTAAAGACTTCTCATCAAAGCAGACAAAGCACCTTCTATGTCTGCATTTTGGTGGGGAAACTGAGGCACCTATTGAGTAGCTGACTTATTCTACATCAGTTAGTAAAGTGCTAAAGGAAGGACTTGAATCCAGATATTGAACTCTGAACCCGGTTCTCTCCCTATGTTTTTCTACCCCCTTACTGGAAAACCATTCACATTTATTAACAGCTGCAAATCTGGGACTGGCCTGGATTGTATCTGTGAAATGAAAGAACATGAATACAACTGTGATTTGGGGCCTTGGAGGTCATTCCCTTAAACATGCTGGAAAAGAAAAAGCAAGGCGAGTAGAATTCCTAACAAATTAAAAAGTGACAGCTCACTATACAAGCCCAAGCATTCTCAAAGCAGACAATGGAACTTGAACAGAGTTGCACCAAACGGGTTTCCAAGCCTAAATGGAATGAGTTCTGAATACATACAAGGAGGTACATGTGCTAACAGGAAGCTTCTGGACTGGGGCAGTTTCAAGGGATGGCGAATAGGTTTCTATCTCATGTACCAACTCCATGCAATGTATAGTGGCTGCCCCACTCACAGGGCCAATAAGCACTCTGAGGCCACAGCAGGGCTTAGAGGGAGAGTCTCACAGTAGATAGGTGATGTCTAGTAGATGCAAGGTGGCAGCATCCTCCCATATGCATTACCTATTTGAGAACAGATTTAACAGAGATGCTAGACTCAACAGGAGCTCATCCGCCAAGGTCCCTGGAAACAATCAATAGAAATGTTGCCAGCCATGCAATAGTCAAATGAAACTGCCGGGGTCACCTTTCCTGTGCTGATCAAGCCCACTGGCTCACTTGGTGGCTGGGGTAGGCCTTTGCTCCATTCTCAAAGCTGGGAGGAAAGAAGGCATCAGGTCTTCTTTCTCTTGCATCACCTACAGTACTCTGTTGCACAGAGCAGATACCAGAATTCTCTAGCAGCACCAAACCCTCACCACCTGGTTCACAACATTTATAGGGCACTGAGCAACTACCAAGGACTAGGCTTCTTGGGTTATTTCTTACCCTCACAAACAAACAAACAAACAAACAAACAAAACCCCTGCATGTTAACTAGTAATACCACAACTTACAGATGAGAAATCTGAGACATAGTTTAGGAATGTAACTTGTCTACAGTCAAATAAATGGGAAATGGTCGAACTTGGATTTGAAACCACATGTGTCTGACTCCAAAGCCTGTGCCCTCCCAACTACCTCATGCTGCTCTCCTTAGCTTTTGTGCCTGTGCTCCCTGGACCATTGTTGTAGTAGCTCTGCTTGTTCACACACTCAGCTGATTTACCTAAGCTTGGTGGTGTTGAGAAGGTATAACTTGGTTTGATGCTGTGCCAAGGCCCACTGAGGATTCACACAGCCCACGAAGGAGTGGTTATGCAACATCTCCCGGAGAACTGCAAAACAAAAAATAAAACCAAAAAACAGGTAAGTAATAGAATCCTACCAACCCCACTTCATTGACCAAAGCACCAGGCACCAGAACTAGAGACACCAAGTAAGCAAAGAAGCCTGAATTGAGCCTCCTGGTGAAAACGAACACAAATGAGGAATAAAATATAACTAATCTTTTAACATGCAACAAGGAATTGCTAAAAGATTAAAGAACACTCAAGGATCAAAATCTAAGACAAAGCAGGAACTCAGAGAGGTAACGAGATCTCTGAGGTCAACTTTATTAAAAGACATTAGAGAAACCTCAGGAATCACAAACATTAGTTTTTACAGGCTCGGAAGGTGGCAAAAGGAGGACAAAATCATGGAATGGTTTGAAATGGAGAGTCTAATAGGAGACCACTTCCCCAACACATTAAGCTGAGACTCCAAGGGCTGCACCCCCAGTGAAAAGGAAAACCATACTACTATGCCCATGCCCACTCCCCTGTCCCTCCAAGGGCAGTAAGCAAAACTGCCACCTCTAGCATTGGTGTTGGAAGAAAACATGACACCCTGTGAATGTGTAATCATAAACTGGTCCTCACATGCTTTTCCAGCCAGGATTCATGCTAAGCAGGTTGCCTGAAAACCTTAAGCAGAGATTTTAATTTAAACTGATATCGGGGCTGACTGTTCCTCCAGTAGAATCAAATGCAAATTCTCTCTGCAGAATTTCATTGTCAACCCAGGCTTCAAGTAATTCCCCACAGATAAAGTATGAGGAATTAACAAAAAACAAAAAAAATGCCCCATGAATTAGAATCCAGAAGAATCCACAGAATGAGATCTGTAAAGGTTTCAGGAATTGGAAAGATTAGCAAATAACATAAAATAAGTATGTTCAGCATGCTCAAGAACTATTAAAACCATGAGTAAGCAGCAGGACACTATCCACTATCTCCTGGGATCAAGATTTCCAAAAGAGCACATAAAGTTTTTAAAAATGAAAAATACAATAATTGAAAAGAAAAATCAAGATAGACTTAAAAAGAGATTTGACAAAGTTAACAAGCTAATTAACTGGAAGGTAGATCAACAAAATTATCCAGAATGTAGCACAGAAAGATAAAGAAATTGAAAATATGTAAAGATAACTTATGCACATGGGAGATAATAAATACATAACTCATGTTCCAGAAGGAGTCGGAGAGAGGGCAGGAAGAGGACAATATCTGAAGACTTTGAAGACAAAATACCTGAGAATATCCCAGAAGTGATGAAAACTGTCAAGTCTCAGCTAGCAAGCCCAACAAAATCCACACGTGACACACAGGGTTACTACATGGTATTTCTGAAAGGAGATCTTAAAGGTACTCAGAAGAGAGATTACCCACTAAGTAAATAAAATATAAGACTGGTAGCTGGATTTTCAACAGGTAATAAATTTTAAGATTGATAGCTGAATTTTCAAGAGCAAGAGTAGAAATCAGAAAATGATACACTATTACCTTCAATGCACTAAGAAAAAATAATTACCAATCTGGAGTTTTAAACCCAACACAAATACTTTTCAAAATAAGAGTGAATTAGACAAAGCAAAAAAGTTTGCCATGGCTATTGTTTGAATGTCTGTGTCCCCACAAAATTCATATGTTAAATCCTAACCCCCAAGGTGATACTATTAGGAGGTGGGGCCTTTGGGAGGTGATTAGGTCTTCCCTCATAATTGGGATTAGTGGGATTAGCCCTTATGAAAGAAACTCCAGAGAGCTAGCTATTCCCTTCCACTATGTAAGGATACAGCTAGAAGGTGCCATGTATGAGGAAGCGGGCCTTCACTAGACACTAAATCTGTCGGTGCCTTGATCTTGGACTTCCCAGCTTTTAGAACTCTGAGAAATAAACTTCTATTGTCTTAAGCCTGAAAGGACTAAGCCATCAAAGGCCCCACTAAAGGTTTAGGCAGACCATAAAACATCTACAGGAAAGAATTATGATCAAATAATATGTGGTAAATCCAAACAAACTGACAATAACAAGTATCACAGAACAAGTAGATACAGGCATACCTCTGAGATATTGCAGGTTCAGTTCCAGACTACAGGAATAAAGTCAATATCACAATAAAGCAAGTCATGTGAAATTTTTTGTTTTTCAGTGCATATAAAACTTATGTTTACACCACACTGTAATCTATTAAGTGTGCAAATAGCATTATGTCTAAAATCAACGTAGGTAGCTTAATTTAAAAACACTTTTTTGCTGGCCGGGCGCAGTGGCTCATGCCAATAATACCAGCACTTTGGGAACCCGAGGTGGGCAGATCACCAGAGATCATGAGTTCGAGACAAGCCTGGCCAACATAGTAAAATCCTGCCTCTACTAAAAATACAAAAATTGGCCAGGCGTGGTGGCACATGCTTATAATCCCAGCTACTTGGGAGGCTGAGGCACAAGAGTCACTTGAACCTGGGAGGTGGTGGTTGCAGTGAGCTGAGATTGTGCCACTGCACTCCAGCCTGGGCGACAGAGTGAATCTCTGTCTCCAATAAATAAATAAATAAAATTAAAAAGGTTTTTGCTAAAAAATGGTAACAGTCATCTGAGCTGTCGGCGAATTGTTATCTTTTTGCTGGTGGAGGATCTAGCCCTGATGATGGCTGTTGACTGATCAGGGTGGTGATTGCTGAAGGCTGAGGAAGCTGTTGCAATTTCTTGAAATAAGACAACAGTGAAGTTTGCTGCATCAATTGATTTTTCCTTTCATGAAAGATTTCTCTGTAGCTTGTCATGTTGTTTGATAGCATTTTACTCACAGTAGAAATTCTTCCAAAACTAGTGTCAATCCACTCAAACCCTGCTGCTGCTTTACCAAGTTTATATAATATTCTAAATCCTTTGTTGCCATTTCAACAATATTAACAGCATCTTCACCAGAATTAAGTTCTTTCTCAAGAAACTACTTTCTATGCTCATCCATAAGAAGCAACTCCTCATCTGTTCAAATTTTATCATGGGATTGCAGCAATTCAGTCATATCCTCAGGCTCCACTTCTAATTCTAATTTTCTTGTGATTTCCACCACATCTGCAGCTACTTCCTCCACTGAAGTCTTGAACCCCTCAAAGTTATCCATGAGGGCTGGATGCAATTTCTTCCAAACTCCTGTTAATGTTGATATTTTGACTTCTTCCCAGGAATCTCGAATGTTTCTCAGGACATCTAAAATGATGAATTCTTTCCAGAGGTTTTCAATTTACTTGGCTCAGATCCATCAGAAGAATCACTATCTATGGCAGCTAGAGCCCTATGAAATGTATTTCTTAAATAAGACTTGAAAGTCAGTATCACTCCTTGATCCATGGGTTGCAGAATGGATGCTGTGTTAGTGTTCATGTCCTTATATATCTCCATTACAGATCTAGGGTGGCCAGGTACATTGTTAATGAGCAGTAATATTTTGAAAGGAATCTTTTTTTCTGAACAGTAGGTCTCAACAATGGGCTTAAAATATTCAGTAAATCATGTTCTAAAAAGATGCTGTCATCTAGGCTTTGTTGTTCCATTTATAGAGCACAGGCAGAGTAGAGTTAGCATAATTCTTAAGGGCCCTGGGATTTTTGGAATAGCAAATGAGCACTGGCTTCAACTTAAAGTCACCAGATGCATTAGTACCTATTAGAGTCAACCTGTCTTTTGAAGCTTTGAAGCCAGGCAGTGACTTTTCCTCTTTAACTATGTAAGTCATAGATGACACCTTCTAATAGAAGATTGTTTTGTCTACATTGAAAATCTGTTGTTTAGTGTAAGCCACCTTCATCAATTAGATCTTTTGGATAACTTGCTACAGCTTCTACATCAGCACTTGTGGCTTCTTCCCTTAAACCTCATCAATCTCTGCTGGCTTCCAAGTTTTCTTCTGTAGCTTCCTCACCCCTCTCAGTCTTCAAAGAATTGAAGCAAGTTAGGGCTTTACCCTGGATTAGGCTTTGGCTTAAGGGAATGCTGTGACTGATTTGATCTTCTATCCAGACCACTAAAACTTTCTTTATTACAGCAATAAAGCTGTTTTGCTTTACCATTCATGTATAACTTGGCTAACTTGCACAAGAGGCCTAGCTTTCAACCTATACTGGCTTTTAATATGCCTTTCTCATTAAGCTCTTCCTTTCAGTTTTTTTTTTTTGTTTTGTTTTTGAGACGTAGTCTCACTCTGGTGCCCAGGCTGGAGTGCAATGGCATGATATCGGCTCACTGCAACCTCCACCTCCTGGGTTCAGGTGATTCTCATGCCTCAGCCTCCTGAATAGCCAGGACTACAGGCATCTACCACCAGGCCTGGCTAATTTTTGTATTTTTAATAAAGACGTGTTTCACCATGTTGGCCAGGCTGGTCTCGAACTCTTGACCTCAGGTGATCGACCTGCATTGGCCTCCCAAAGTGCTGGGATTACAGGCTTTTGAAAGGAATCTTTTTTTCTGAGCAGTAGGTCTCCACAATGGGCTTAAAATATTCAGTAAATCATGTTCTAAAAAGATGTGCTGTCATCTAGGCTTTGTTGTTCCATTTATAGAGCAGAGGCAGAGTAGAGTTAGCATAATTCTTAAGGGCCCTGGGATTTTTGGAATGGCAAATGAGCATGGGCTCATTTGTGAGCTCAAATGTGAGCCATTGCGCCCAGCCTCTTCCTTTCACTTAAACACTTGTGGACGCTGTGGGGTTATTAATTTGCCTAGTTTCCATATTATTGCGTCTCAAGGAATAAGGAGGCCTGAGGAGAGTAAGGAAGACATGTGAACACCCAGTCAGTGGAGGGGTCTGAGCACACACATTTATTAATTAAGCTCACTGTCTTATGTGGGCATGGTTTATGCCCACATAAGACAGTGAGCTTAATGGTGCCCCAAACAATTACAATAGTAATGCCAAAGATCAGTGATCACAGATCACCATAACAGATATAGTAATAATGAAAAAGTTGGAAATATTGTGAGAATTACCAAAATTTGACAGAGACACTAAGTGAGCACATGCTGCCATAAAAATGGCAGCTATCGGACTTGCTCTACGAAGGGGCCAATCTATAACTAGTAAAAAATGTAGTATCTGTGAAAATCAATTCCAGGTGGGCTAGAGGCTTAAGTATCAGTCTTTTAGGAAACAATCTAAGAGCATATCTTTAATTATTGCAAAGTTAGGAAGGATTTCTTAAGCTACAAAGCCAATCTGTAAAGAACAATTGATAAAATCTGCCTACATTAAATCTAAGAATTTCTGTTCCTAAAACAAGTATTCATTTTAAAAAGTTACTAGAGGATCCCTAAACTAGGGATATTTTCATGTAACTCATTACTATCTAGAATATATCAAAAACTCCAAAAATTAATTAGAAAAGACAAAAAAAGAGCCCATCAAATATTGGGTAAAAAACTTGAACAGGTACTTAACAGCTGAGGAAATATACTTATTTATTAATTGATTACTTATTTATTTAGTTATTGCTCTGTTGCCCAGGCTGGAGTGCAGTGGTACAATCTCGGCTCACTGCAACATCTATCTCCCGGGTTCAAGTAAGTCTTGTGCCTCAGCCTCCTGAGTAGCTGGGATTACAGGCATGTGACACCATACCCATCTAATTTTTGTATTTTTAGTAGAGATGGGGTTTTGCCACGTTGGCTGGGCTGGTCTTGAACTCCTGGCCTCAAGTGATCTGCCCACCTTGGCCTCCTAAAGTGCTGGGATTATAGGCATGAGCCAACGCACCTGGCTGAAATACACAACTTTATTTCAACCAAGAAAATGCAAATAAAAACTACCATCAGACACTGTTTCACAATCACCAAACTGGTAAAAATCTGACAATATAATTGTTGGTGATAATTTAAATCAATATGACCCCTCTGGAAAACAATCTGTCATTTTATGACCCAGCAATAACTCTCTTAAATATATGACCTAGAGCTTCTCATCCAGTATGCCAGGCCACCAATCAACTCATATGAGGCTGGGAAGCAGGGTGGCATGTGGGGACACAGAGACTGAGGCCATATGAGTCCTCCAACTGTCCTTTAACAGAAGAATGAATGAACTGTAAATTCACGAAGCAGAATCTATATTATACAGAAAAGGTAAACCAGAGCTATATGTAACAAGATGGATGAATCTTAGGAATATATGTGTAGCTATATATAAATTACAGAAAAATTAAACTTACAGTGTAATTCTACTTTTATAAAATCTAAAGCTTGCAAAAGTAAACAAATTTTTAGGAATACAAATACAGGTAATAAAACTGTAATTAAAACACTATAATAAAAAAAGGAAATAATAATCCCAAAATTTAGAATAGTAATCACCTCTAAGGAAGAAGGGAAGGGAATGGCACAGGGGAGCAGCACATAAGAGCCTCAAAGGTGATGGTGATGTCCTATTTTTTAGGCAGATGCTATTCTCACAAGTGTTCATGTTTTTCTGTAGATGCTACATATATTTCATAAATATGTTTTTAAATTTACCAATGTATATGTTTATGTGTGTTATGCACACATATATACATATACTTGTGCATATATCTATGTGTGTGTATATGTTATCTTTTTTTTCATGAAATAAGTAAAAATATCACCAGCAAAAAGGAAGAGTGAGGACAAGAGAGGTTGGAGAAAACGGGGCATGGGTCATAGCACAGCAATAAGCCTATACATTATGTTTTTACTATACTTTTTTTTTAAGCTTTGGCACCACAAGTGAATTCTCATACTATTATAGAAGTTCTGCAATACTATCACCCACTCCATAAAAAAAGGTTTATTTTCTTCATTTTTAGAATAAGTATTCCTCTCTGTTCCCACTGGAACCTCAACGTCTCTACAGGATGTTCTGCGTAGGCGGAAAATGATTATTTTAAAAGCTGGAGAACATCAAATAATACTGAATAACGAGGCACTGGAGGAAAGGGAGAGCAGTGTAATCCACTAAAACAGTCAGAGATTTTCCACACAGAATGTTCATGGACTGCTCTGACGCATCCAGAGCTACTGAAGCGCAGCCCTGCCAGCAGGACGGGGAAGGGAGGCGGCAGCACCAAGCACAGGGCTTTTCTTCATTGGGCATTGTGAGGCTTCTTGGACCTCTTCACAGCCTCTTATCAGGACTTAATCAACTTGCATTTCGTCCCTAACCTAAATATGCCCATAGTGCTGTCTGTAGGCATTTCCCTGCCAAAATCGGACAAAATCCATCTGTGCTTCAAAGCCAAACCACATATCTGAGTTCATAACCGAGGCCATGAGTCTCAGCATCTTTTTCTGCAGCAAGGGAAACCAAAGCTGAAGAAAGGGCAATCAGTCCTCTAGTTCCTAATGCTCACTTGCAAGGGTAAACGCCCCCATCCCCTGCTGGTTGTCTTCCAGTGGCCACTGTATGCCAGTGCCTTTGCTGCTACCAGAGATGATCAAGACACCCTTCCATCCCTCTCAGGAGATCTCACCCTGGCTTTCTGCTGAACTGGCCTCATATCTCTATTAGAGGATTTCTTTCATTCTACCTAAACAATTCCCATACAACACCATGGTGTTCTTTAAGGCAGGGGTCATAGTTTATCCATTTCACTTCCTACTTCTGAGCTTGGCACATTACACTTTTTACAGAGAAGATACTTGACAAATGTTCACTGAACTGATTTCTTGTTCCAAAAAAACCTGTCACCTAGTGACAAACCATGGATATATACATTCAGACCCAGGACTGTTCACCAAAGAGCAAGAAAATGAAATTAAGTGTGGATATCTGGAGGCAAAAAACGTTAAGGGTATTTTCACTTTAAATGGTACCAAATAGCTTATGACATTTCTTAACCCCATTAATTAACGTCAAAATTATGGGACTAGCAGTAAGTTAATTCAGTCATTACTAATCCCTGAGATGAGCCTTATTCCATAGAATGCTTGCCTGGATACTGCAACCTGTCAAAATTAACCTTACTTTTTAACTGAAAGTGTGTCCACCATGGATGGGTAAATCCCTGGACTCAAGAGAACTGTCTAACTGAATGTTCAACTTTGATATCCCTTTAAAATAAAGATTCTAGGGCTTTACCTCCCAGGCTGCTCCTCTCAATCACTGACTCGCTCCCTTAGCAAATATCTACTGAGTACACATGCCAGGCACTCTGCTCAGCACCGAGGACGAGGTGGTGAGCTCCACAGACATGATCCCTGCACAGACAACACACTGATCAAATAATCATACAGGTGCAACTAAGAAAGCTGTTACAAGGAATGTATCTCTTACTTCTTTCATGGCCTGGGGAACTTCATCAGGGAGTAGCCAGCCTGTTGGTCTGTTAAGGTTAGTGGTCTTCCTCACCAAATCTGAGCCTCAGTCAAATCCCTATACAGCATTCAACTAGAGAATCAGCTTCTCCCAGGCTGGGGCTTTGGATGTCAACCAGATACCAGTGGGTAGGGGCTCATGGCAGAGGTCCCTCCCCTTGAACAGTGCCTTACAGATTATAAAGCACACACACAGTATCTTAAGTGTTCATCACCACAGCCCAGTAAGGGCTGCAGTGAAGCACATTTTACAAAAGCACGAAAATCATGCCCAAAATGGTGAACAAATTTCTGTCTGGCCTCTGAATGGTGTAGGTGGTGGGAGCTTCAGAGGAGTTCTGGCTCCAAAGCAAGAGCACATTCCATTCCCCATAGCACAGATGACTCTGTCTGTAAGACCCTACACCAGCACGTTTGAAAACACCAGCCTCAGTCGATGGAATCAGAATTACATGGCGTGCTTGTCCTGCACGGGCTGTTGACCTGGTTATGCATCTAGCCTTCCTGCATGAAGGCCACAGCCAGTAGCAACCCACTGCCAACAAGGCATGAACCTGGGCCTGTTTTTGATTGCGAGGATGTTGCAATTAGTCTGTCCTTTCCATTTTCCATTCCATTTTCCTCATCTTTAAAATAGAGAAAACGGCATCTGCTCTGCCTCACTCACAAGACTATTACATAATTAAGTGAGATACTGTGTAGGAATACACAATTTTAAATCATTTAGATTTATCATTTTAGCCTCAGTAAGACTCCAAAGCTGACCAAACTTGAGGCAGGTTAGTTTTGTTAATACACTGCACTGAAAACAGTTTGATACTATTCAGAAAGTTATTGACATTGTAACTTTCAACAGCCTGCTATACATGAGGGAGACAAACCCTTAAAGAAAACTCATAAATTCCAAACTGAGGGAGTCTGTCTATCAAAACCACTGTGAGGAAGACTGCTAAATGCATCAAGTAACAGCTCACTTTTATTTAAAAGCATTTTAAAAGTTCCTAGCTTGAAAGCTAACAATGATGGAAGGGAAGAGCCACTGGAGCAAATCATGGAAATAAAAACCAGAAGCCAATTGGCAGCCACTTCTACAGCTAGCAAAACCTCAGTCACAGGAAGCCTGTATCCTGCCCAAAGGGAGAGACGACCTGTGGGTCTTTTCCCACGTGTAAACAAAGGCCCAAAATGCTAAGAAAAGGGAACAAATGTAGAAAGGCAAGGTGAAGCCTGCCTGAATTTGCTTAGACAAATGGTGACTGAGACCGACAAAATTAAAGAAGCCACTGAATCAAAAGCAGATGGGTTTTTTTTTTTTTTTTCCTTTTGAGATGGAGTCTCGCTCTGTCGCCCAGGCTGGAGTGCAGTGCCACAATCTCGACTCACTGCAACCTCTGCCTCCCGTGTTCATGCCATTCTCCTGCCTCAGCCTCCCGAGTAGCTGGGACTATAGGCATCCGCCACCCCGCCCAGCTATTTTTTTCTATTTTTAGTAGAGACAGGGTTTCACTGTGTTAGCCAGGATGATCTCGACTCATGATCCACCCGCCTTGGCCTCCCAAAGTGCTGGGATTACAGGGGTGAACCACTGAGCCCAGCCAAGAAGCAGCTGCTTTAAAAGGTTAGGGACTAGTGGGAAAGGCACAGAATTGCTCCTTGGCTACTCATATCTTTTAAAAATTAAACCAGATCGTCGTATTTTAAGATACACTTTGTAACAGTTTTCAAATTTGACTACTTTAATTAAGAAATGTGTAATAGGCCAGGTGTGGTGGCTCACACCTGTAATCCCAGCACTTTGGAAGACAGAGGTGAGAGCCTAGGAGTTCAAGACCAGCCTGGGAAACATGGCAAAACCCCACCTCTAAGAAAAGAAAAATTAGCTGGGCATGATGGCACATGCCTGTAATTACAGCTACTCAGGAAGCTGAGGTGGGAGGATCACCTAAGCCCAGGGAGGTTGAGGCTGCAGTGGGCCATGATTGCACCACCACACTCCAGCTGGGTGACAAAGTGAGACCCTGTGTCAAAAAAAAAAAAAAAAAAAGGTATAATAGATGAAAAATAGAAGGGTCACTGCTAAATTCTCAAGTACAGAGCTGCCTACTGGAGCCCTGGACAATGATGTCTACACTTAGACCATTACTCATAGTCTCACTCATAAAGTGGGGTCAGGACTGTTGTTTGGACCAGTTCACTGTTATATACCTCAATCCCTGAGTCAGTTCATCCCTTGGAGGTGACTAGCCTCACCTTTTAATTCCTAAAACCATTATTTTAGTTTTGAAGTAACAGGGATCAAGATAGTTCTATACTCAGGTATTCTCAAAAGCTATTTCTGACATAGATGATAATGATTTACCACTTTGTCTTCAGAATATAAAAGTGTCAACTCCTTGCTCTGTAACAAGTGTTATTATTTATATTTTATCTCTAATCAGCACGATGATCTTTAAGGGTAAAATTAATTTCATTTTATAGGTAAGAAAGAACTGAGGCATAGAAAGGTCAGGAGTCTAAGGTCACACAAGAGAGGTGGTAGTGCCAGGATTTGAGCTCATGGCTACCTCCCAAGCCTGTGCACTTTCAGCAACAGGACATGCCATTCAGTACACAAGATAAGAATTTTGCTGACCATTACACTGCTGTTAGCTAAGACAGAAACAAACTGAAAATTGGTGAAATGGCTGATTTACTCTGACTCCTATGGTTTAACAAGAATACCAATTAATGCTAATTAAAATAAACAGAGATTATTTTTCTCCCTTTTCTCCCAATCAAAAATTGTCTTTAAGCTGATGCTATTGTGGGTTAGTAAAGGAAGAGGAGCTTGCCCAGCAAAACTGTAGTGGCCACTCTGACAACATGACTGCTTTCTCCATTTCCAAAACCTTGGCAGTTGAGGCCCTATGCATCCCAGGCAGGCCACAGCGTTTACGTACCCTCATGTCCCTGCTCATTAATTTCTTCCTGGAGACTCAAAACACTAGTGAGGTTAATGATCCTTCTCCGGGGGGTACAAGCTGCAGTCATTTCCTTTCGGGAATCATCTTCCACCATTTCCACATCAGAATCTTCCCGATGTCTCTTTCTGCAATGAAGAAAAGGAAGTGCAGATCATTATTATTCTTGTTTTTAAACTTAGCCAAATTTTGTGGGTTGCATTTTGGAGGAGCAAGCAACTTCTCTGTGCTGGTTCTACAGAGCTGTGAATGAACCCCTGTGCTGGCAGAAGGCCAACAAGATCAGTCTGTTCTCTGGTAGACTGCTTATCTGACAACCCTCAGATCCCAGCAGCTGGCCACACAGCCAATGTAGCAGGACTCTGGAGTATAGCTTCATCCCGTAGAGCTGCAGGGCCTTGAGCAAGTGAGCTGAATTTGTGAAGTCTCATTCATTCATTCCTCCATCTATCCATCCATCAGATACTGCTGTATACTAACTACATCCAGCAATGAACAAAACAGAGAAGGTACCTGCCCTCACAATGCTTACTTCCTTTTTTTTTTTTTTTTTTTTTGAGAGAGAGTCTCACTATGTCTTCCAGGCTGGAGTGCTGTGGTGTGATCTCAGCTCACTGCAGCCTCTGCCTCCCAGGTTCAAGTGAGTCTCATGTCTCAGCCTCCTGAGTAGCTGGGATTACAGGTACGAGCCACCATACCCAGCTATTTTTTGTATTTTTAGTAGAGATGGGGTTTCACCGTGTTGGCCAGGCTGGTCTCGAACTCCTGACCTCAGGTGATCCACCCGCCTCTGCCCCACAAAGTGCTGGGATTACAGGTGTGAGCCACAGTGCCCGATCTACAATGCTTACTTTCTAGTGGGAGAGTCAAACAGCAACAGAAAAGAGATCATTTTAAGTATCAATAAACACAATGAAGAAAATAAAACAAGGTAGCATAATAGAATGATGGGGAAATGAGAGGAGAAAGAACTTCAGACTCAATGGACAAAGGCCACTGGCAAGAGGTGACTTGCTGGTCTCATACTCCCAACCTCAGGTGATCCGTCCGCCTTGGCCTCCCAGAGTGCTGGGATTACAGATGTAAGCCACCACACCAAGCCAAGAGGTAACCAGGGGGTTCCCAGGCTGTAAGAACAGCAAGAGCAAAAGGGTAAAAAGCTCAGTCAGTTCAGATCAGCCACAAGAGCTGTATGGCCAAATCACCACATGGGAGAAGGAAAGTGGAGGGTTGGAGCAAGGGTAGGGTGAGGGATTTAAGTTTTATCCCAAGAGCAAAGGAAACCACTGAAACATTCTCAGCAGAAAAGTGATACCACTTGATTTTGGGCTTGAAAATATTTGTCTACTCTGTGGTAAATATCACTTAGTTCTGCAAGTGATAAACAAATGTTAATACTTTCCCTGCAGGGATAAGAGCATTAAATGAGATAACGTATGCAAAGTATTTGGCACACCGTAGATGCTCCATAAATATTAGCTTCCTTTATTATTCCCTGGAAAAAAATCTTTTTTTTTTTCTTTTTTTGAGACAGAGGATCTCACTCTGTCAGCCAGGCTGGAGTGCAGTGGCGTGATCATGGCTCACTGCAGCCCCAACCTCCTGGGCTCAAGTGATCCTTCCACCTGAGCCTCCGGAGTAGCTGAGACTACAGGCATTTGCCACCATGCCTGGCTAGTGTGTGTGTGTGTGTGTGTGTGTGTGTTGTGTGTAACTCCTAGACTCAAGTGACCCTTCCACCTTGGCCTCTCGAAGTGCTGGGATTACAGGCCAATGTACCCGGCTGGAAAAAATTCTTAGAAGTCATCTTGCTAGGCTGACTCAGAAATGAGCAAACTGAAGTAACGTGTCCCAGTTCACACGGCTAATTAGTGCCACGATAGTGCAAGTGCAGCCTTGGGCAAATTCCTTCACCTTGAGCTCCAGGTTTCATACAAGTACACTTTAAATAAAGAATATCTACCTTAGAGATTTCAGTGAGGTAATGTCTTAGAGTACCTGCAAAGTGTACACTGGAAGTACTCAAAATTAAATGACAATCTTTATTATTATTATTATTATTATTATTATTCCTGCTCCTTTTCTCCAGCTTTCTTTCACCACTAGCTCACGTACTTCAGGGATTTTTGGGGTTTTTGTTTGTTCGTTTGTTTTGAGACGGAGTTTCGCTCTTGTTGCCCAGGCTGGAGTGCAATGGCGCGATCTCGGCTCACTGCAACCTCCGCCTCCCGGGTTCAAGTCATTCTCCTGTCTCAGCCTCCCGAGTAGCGGGGATTACAGGCATGCGCCACCACGTCTGGCTAATTTTGTATTTTTAGTAGAGATGGGGTTTCACCATGTTGGTCAGGCTGGTCTTGAACTCTTGATTTCAGGTGATCCACCTGCCTCAGCCTCCCAAAGTGCTGGGATTATAGGTGTGAGCCACAGCACCCGGCCAGGGAGTTTTATAAATTAGATTCAGAACGTGTGTTTTTTCCTGAAAAAAGTGAAAGCAGCTTTAAGTAGGATGAAAAATAATCCTCCAGATATGTTAGGCTTCTCTCTCTAGCCATTTCTGGTGTTGAGGCTCTATCAAAATTCTTTACTAAAAATAAAAGATAAACTTGCTTTTTTTTCTGGTGTGTGTGTTTATTCAATTGAACAACTACTCTACATTCTGAAGTGTTTTTAACTCATGCTTGGAACTGTGGACATTTAAGTTATTTCAAAGGACACTATGGTGGGTGACTTTCAAGTTATGGTCAAAGGCAGACAGTGGACAAGGCCACAGGACCATTCCAGCACCATTCCAGAGGGCAAGTCAGGCAGAGAGAAGATGCAAGTGATTCATGAAAAGCCAAAGTTAGAAGGCAGTTTTATTACAGAATAAAGGAGGTAGGCTGTACTTTTCCCAAAAGGCCATACCTGGGGTTGCTGGAAGTAGGTCCTCTCTTCTCTGACATTTCTGAAGTCCCCTTTGTTGTATCCCCCTCCAAGCTCTGATTTTTGGCAGCCACTTCAGCAGGGGCTGGGAGTTCAAGCATCTCCTCATCTTGCTGCCTAGCCCTGCCACTAGAAATATCTGTCTTATCCTCTGTGACAATGGCCTGGGGCTGACTGGACAGGGGTTTGCTCAGAGGCTGCAGAAATGCATCAAGCTTCTGTTCCCGGGAATCTGTACGAACCATCTGGTGGGCATAGACCTTATCACTACTTCCAGAAGTAGAAGACGAGGTCAGACTTGTTGTGGATTTAACCATCTCCCCAGAGGGGCCAGCAAGTCCTGGTAGCAAAGTCTGTATTAAAAAAAAAAAAAAAAAAAAATATATATATATATATATATATATAGTGGAGAGACTCAGAATAAGAAGTATAGATATACAGGTCCCCAAATGGAGCAGTACTAAGAAAGAAGCTAGTATGAGGTATAATTATCATTGTTATAGAAGCAATTCTGCCCGAAATTTGAAGTATAAAAGGTTTACAGGTATAAAATTCAAGAATTAAGCAAAATCCTTATAATCTTAAAATTATCTTGAAATGGAAGTATCAGTGTAAAATTTTCATATTTTTGTCTTGGGGGGGTGCTCCCAGAAGAAGACTTTTTTTTATTGTGGTAAAATATATATAAAATTTACCATTTTAACCATTTTTAAATGAGAGCTCAGTGGCATTTACATTGTTGCGCAACCATCACCACCAGCTATCTCTAGAACTTTTTCATCTTCCCCAAACTGAAACTCTGTGCCCATTAAACAATTTCTCACTTCCCCTTCCTCCCAGCTCCTGGCAACAACCATTCAACTGTCCATTTTTAAATATACATATTTCCTAGCTCTGACCACTGGAAAAGCCTAAAAGTAATGACTACTCAGTAGCAATGAGGACTCCCAGATCCCAGATTATAGTCTCTAAATACCATTTCCCACTAAAATGAACTAGAGCTCCTCGGAGAAAAGGCCTATTCCAGGGTTTGGGCTGGGAAAGTATAAAATGTGCCTGCAACATCTTGTCTTGTCAGAAACAAGGAAATTATCAAGACAAATGGAAATCCATCAAAAGGTAGAGGGCCCTAGCTCCAAGGGCTTGCTTCCATGGGACTAAGACGGGATAATTTGAGCACCAAAAAGAAAAATGACTACAATTGATTAAAATATGTTGCTCTGTTAACAGCTATGACAAAATACTGAAAGAGCAAAAAACTGAAAGTGAGGAGGGAGGAGATGGAGAGGGAGGGAATAAGAGAAGGAGAAAGAGAAGGGAAAACGTAATTAAACACCACTGGAAATTACTAGGACACCATTCATTCCTTCGAAAATTGATAGCTAGAGGGATATAATTCAGCATTTGGTCTTACTTTCTAGTAAGAACTGTACTTCAGGACAACCAAATAGCTATTAACAAGGGAAAGTTCTTCTATACCAAAGAATTACAGTCAATACAGAAGAAATGATAAAATCAGAAAAGCATAATCTTGCAATCTAATGAAATAACTGATTCAGGTAATGGTCATCACAAAAGGTGAAACGATTAAGCTACATGTTGATGGATAAGTTTACAATGAGGGAATCAGGCTGTCACCAGCTGAACCCACTTATGAATCTTATCACCAGAATGATATAACAACACATTATGCTCCTCCTGCTGGGGTATAATAAGAAGTACAGGGCCAATGGAAACAAAAAGGTACAGTGACTTTTCTAACTTCAAAGAGACTTAAAAGATTTTTAAGAGTAGTTATGGTAATTTCTGCTTCCCAAAACCAACCAGTAAATTAAAAAAATATATATATACACACACACACATACACTTAATATACGTAAGTATATATATACACTTAATATTTATTTAATATGTATATATTTTTGTCCAAGGTTCCCAGCTCATAACTCCCATAGTCCTGTTATCGTCTTCTGTTATAATGTTGGGGTGCTTTAGGCCTCAGAAGGTCTTAGGCAACAGAATTTCTCTTACCTTCTCCTGCTTTCCTTTCACTTGCCCAAGGCAGGACTCTAATTTGATTGTGGGTCATAAGACCCTCATTCCATAGGGGTCCTGCCCCATATCCTGGAGGAAAGAATGGCCACAGAGAGGCCAAGAAGAATCTGAACAAACAGGCCTCACTGAGTTTAGACCCCTTTATGTCCAATCATATTTCGACACAGTTGTCCATGTTTCAATCATGCCTGCCTAACGACGTCTCCATAAAAGGCCCAAGAAGACAAGAGTTTGCGGGCTTCCAGAGAGCTGAACATGTCGAAGCTGACAAGAAAATGAATAAGAACTCATCCATCTGCTGGGAGCCAAGTAGATGGGGACAGAAGCTCCTGCGCTCCAGACCCTTCCAGATCTAGCCCTGTATATCTCTTTATTTGGCTATTTATTGGTATCTTTTTAAATCTTTGTAATAAGTCCAGAAAACTAAGTGTTTCCCTGAGTTCTATGAGCCACTCCAGCAAATTAATCAAAAATAAAGTGGGGGGTTGTGGGAACCCCAACTTGAAACTGGTCAGAACTTCTAGAGTCCTGGACTTGTGACTGGTGTCTGAAGCAGGAGACTGGGGGCAGTCTAGGGGACTGCACCCTCAACCTGTGGGATCTAATGCTATCTCCAAGTAGACAGTGTTGGAATTAAATTGGAGGAGACCAGCTGCTGTCCACTCTGGAACTGACTGCTTGTTTAGTGTGTGGGGAGAAACCCCCACACAAGTGGTTATAGAAATCTTTTGAGTTGATTGTTGTTATGGTGAAAGATTGGAGGAAAAACACAGCAACCAAATATGATGAGTGGTATCCCCAGGGTTCCTGATTTCCATATCAAATGCATTCACTGCAAACCAGGGCTTCTGATGTACTGGCCATGATCAGTGGAGTACAAGGCACAATCTAAGAAGCAGAAAGATGGTGGTTCCATGGGCCAAAAAGTCAGGAGCCAGTGTGACCTGCTGGTGGCAGGGAGAGAAGGTATTCTGATAACCCTATGAAAACAGGGAGCAGCAAGGAACCCACCAAGCTGGTGTCATGCACCAATGGACAAGGGCAGGCCCTCTGATCCTTCTGAAAACATACTGGTCAGGACTTAAGCAGAGTTCCACTGGAAAAAAAATGTAATCTAACAAAATGAATCTGACTAACCCAGGATAAGACAAGGAGGCATGCTGAGAGGTTCTTCTCCCCATGGAGCCACAGACTCCATGATCTCTGGCCAACCCCTTGGACCTCAACTGGGACAGAGCAAATGGCAATCACTCTGGGCTAGGCAATGTGCTCTCCATCTTCATTTCACACTTTGGGCCTTTCTTCCCACTCCCCACCAGCCAAACCATTTCCAGGTCCTAGCAAATCTACATACTCAACTATTAGTGAATGGGGCTACTTCCTGTGTCTCAAGTCCCTCACCACTTCTCCCAAATCACTGTAGGCTTCCATCTTGCTCCTCTCCAATCCATTCTGATATTGCAACCAGGGAGCTCTTCATAAAATGCAAATAAGATCCCATCCATTCCCACCAAATTGAAATCTAAACTCTTTAATATCCTGATGAAAACCTCTCTATTTGGCCTGAATTCTGCAGCCTCAACTCCATCACCGCCACTTGCCCTAACAGATCCATACTCAGACCCCAGCACAGCTTAACCCCAGCTGCACATGACAGTACCTGGGGAGGGTTTTAAACAATCCTGATGCCCAGACCCCACCACCCAAGAATGATTTATTGTTTTAGGGAGGGCCCAGACACTGGAATTTTCTAAAAGTTTCCCAGGTAATTCTAATGGCAGCCAGGGTAGAGAACACTGGACCCACTGCACTCAACTTTCAGATCCTCAAACACATATTCTCTTGCGCCTCCAGGCCTTTATCCTTGCCATTTCCTCTGCCAGAAACACTCTTTTCATTCCCCCTCCCCTTTGGCCCAGCAAATTCCTATTTAGCCTTTGGGTCCCAGCCTCCATGTCTCTTCCCTCCCTTTCCTAACTGCCAAAGTCCAGGACAAGGGCCCCTGCTATATTCTCCCGAGTCTGTTTTTCTCTCCCATGGGATATATTCTCTAGCAGACCATGAGCGCTTCTGTGGAAGGCAGCAACATCTATGCTGCATCCCTGGGCACCCAACACAGTGTGTGTCTCAGATAGGAGTCTCAATGCACATGTGCAGAGGGAGGCAGAATAAAAGGATCAGTAAAGGGGCACTGAGCTTAAGTGAGCAATGGGAACAGATATCAAACCAACTAAGAGTTACTGGGCATTTCCTGTGTATCATAGTGCTCCAAGAGCCTTACCCACGCTAGACATGTTAACCCACTGGGGGCATGTGTGGCCTCATCTCATCCATGGGCACTATAAGGCATAGGGACTTATGGCCTCTATAAGACCTAGGGCTCATGTTGGTACCAGGAGTCAATCAATAACGGAGGAACAAGGGTTGGTTTCCAGACAGAACTTCTTCCTCCCACCTGCCACATATCCCTTTCAGGTCTCACCAGTAGGAACCTTTCTCTCTGCATCAACAATCTCCAGATGTGTGGGTTCCAAGGCTGGTGGGGCTGCCCTAACTGGGTTTAATCTCACCGCTTAGTGCCCATGCCACCTCCATCTAGATTCTTTCCAGGTAGGTAACTGTCAGTGTCCTTCCGAGAAGCATTCATCTGCTTGGGAATTTTAAGTTTTCTGTGAAGTAGGGTTTCACAGTTCCAGTTTTTGCTTCTAGGATCCAGCATAATTTAATGGAGAAAATATTTATATTCCTATTTTGTAGTTTCAGTGTGCTTATGATGAACATCTTCACCATGATTAAAGGGCTGCCCACAATCACATCATCTCAGGACCAGGAGTATATTGGAGAACATTTTATCCAACCTGCTTATCTTATAGATAGGAAAACTGAGAACTCAGGTAAGTGAAGTGACTTAGAATAATAAGCACTTAGAACCTGTACCAGACACTTTCTGTTCACTGACTGCTTGTAACTGTCCCTGGATTTGGGGATGACACATTCCTTCATTACTGAGGGGGATATGGAGGCCAGGGAAGGCTAGTCACACGGCTGGTAACCCAGGTCTGTCCAACAGTAGAGCCTCCGCTCTTTCCACTCTTCCTGCTGCCTCCCTGGGGCCCAGACCCTCCACTGCACCCTGTGTAGGTGGGAGTAGCCTCCTCCTGAACATCTCCAGTGAAGAGCACATTGAAGAGGCACCCTATTCTGTTTTCAGACAGCTCGTTTTCCTAGGAAGTTGGTCTAAGGTTCCAGATGGAGGCAAAGTGAGGAAGTGAGCTCAGGCCTTATGACTCTAAGCCTAGGAACAACAGCACAATACCTTTATAACTAGGTTCAAAGAAGAAAATGTTAAAACTATCCAGGTAATACTTGCAAAGAAAGTTCCTAAATAACAGGCAAAAATCTGGGCTCTCACGTCTGGCCGGGCACATTTCAAAGGCCCCAGAGAAGTAGCTGGATGAGAAGCGCCCTGACCTGGGTGAAGTACATCCTGGAGGAATTGGAGCCCAGGAGCTTGCTCTCGATGTGCTGCTGCACCCGCTCCAGGATGCTCTCCTCGTGCAGGAAGTGAACTTCATGCTTTGTGGGGTGCACATTAACATCCACATTCTGGGGACTGATTTCTAAACTGTCAGGAAAATAAGAGAGAACAATTACCTTAGATAGTGGGAGGGGGAGAAAAAGCCCACATATGGTGTATGTGGTGGCCAGAAGATTTGAGGCCAGATGACACAGTGGTCAAAACCTCAGGATCGAGTCTGAGTGTGTTCAAATATTGGCACTGCTACTTAAGAGCTGTGTAGCTTTGCGTAAGTTACATCATCTTTCTTTGCCTCAGTCTCTTCATTTGTAAAGTGGATATAACAGAATTACCTATCTCACAGGTTTATGGCGGGAATTAAATTCATGCCAAGTGGCCGGGCGTGGTGGCTCACGCCTGTAATCCCAGCATTTGGGGAGGCCGAGGCGGGTGGATCACAAGGTCAGGAGATCGAGACCATCCTGGCCAACATGATGAAACCACGTCTCTACTAAAAATACAAAAATTAGCTGGGCGTGGTGGCGCATGCCTGTAATCCCAGGTACTCGGGAGGCTGAGGGAGGAGAATCCCTTCAACCAGGGAGTCAGAGGTTGCAGTAAGCCGAGATCGTGCCACTGCACTCCAGCTTGGCGACAGAGCAAGACTCCATCTCAAAAAAAAAAATTAATGCCATGTGCTTTATATGTATCTGCCACATACAATGTATGTTAACTGTAATTACTGTCATTTTAGAACTAGTGGAATTCTTTGTGTGACCTTGGGCAAGTCACTTAACTTCTTAGGATCTGTTTTCTCATCTGCAGCCATGAATAAGTCCCCTATTATGTAAAGAAACAATATATATAAGAACACTTTCTATCCATAAAATGTAGTCATAAAAGTCAGTTTAGAGGCTATGCTAGCTATCAATTTATCGCCTCAGCTCTGAGTCCATCTTTCATTGCTTGCTCTGTGATAATGGAGGTTTGCAATGTAAAGCTTTGCCAGTATAAGGTGCTAGAGGGACTCAGCAGGAAGAAAGGGTTTCTATGCCAGGTTAGGGTGCACTCCTATCAGACTTCAAGTTCTTTAGCACAAGTGGCCAGCAGCATGTGCCCTCTTCTCATGGGCAGTTTTCCCCAGCATCCCCTCAGAGTGGTACTGGGGAGCGCCTCATTGACTTTACCTCGCAGCAAGCCAGTTACATTCTCTTCAATAAGGTCTGCATCTCAGTGAGTAGGTGGGGGAGTGTGGTGAGGGGATGGTATCTCAGCCATAGGAGGAAATGGTTGTTCTTTATATCTGCTGTTCCTATCTCTTCACCTCTTACTATCTAATCCCCTATTACTCTAATCTCCTGTTTATAATTCTTTATTCAACTACTCAAATTGTTGCATGGTTTCTATCTCCTGTTTGGACCCTGATTAATATGGAGATGGAACAAGGTGATAACTTGACCAGTTTATTACTTTGCAAGGGAAAACATGAAAACACTTAATCTAAAACTAACTTTAGGCTGGGTGCAGTGGCTGAGGCCTGTAATCCTAACACTTTGGGAGGCCAAAGTGAGAGGATCACCTGAGGTCGGGAGTTCAAGACCAGACTGGCCAACATGGTAAAATCCATCTCTACTAAAAATACAAAAATTAGCTGGGCGTGGTGGTGCACACCTGTAATCCCAGCTACTCGGGAGGCTGAGGCAGGAGAATTGCTTGAACGCGGGAGGTGGAGGTTGCAATGAGATGAGATTGTGCCACTGCACTCCAGCCTGGGTGACAGAGCAAGACTCCATCTCAAATAAAAAATAAAACTACCTTTTACCACAATTTCTATGCTCTCCCCCTTTCAATCAAAATGAAAACAAGGATAATTAGGATATGAAATAGACAAATTAGTAGCAGACCCAGAAATAATAGAAAGAAATCCTCCATAAGTCAGCTCTGGACTATAAACTCCTTTAGAGCAGGGGTACCTCACATTTATTCTGTATTTCAAATACCTACTATGGGGTTTGGTCTATTTAATGCAAGTGCTAAACTATTTACGACTGCTAAATTAATTACATCAACATCTGGGCAATCAACAGTGGATATGTTAAGACAAGAACCTCCACAGAACAGAACCCAGTCTTTTTTTTTTTTTTTTTGAGATGGAGTCTCGCTCTGTCGCCCAGGCTGGAGTGCAGTGGTACAGTCTCAGCTCACTGCAACCTCCACCTCCTAGGTTCAAGCGATTCTCCTGCCTCAGCCTCCCGAGTAGCTGGGACTACAGGCGCCCGCCACCATGCCTGGCTAATTTTTGTATTTTTAGTAGAGACAGGGTTTCGCCACGTTGGCCAGGCTGGTCTCAAACACCTGACCTTGTGATCCACCCACCTCAGCCTCCCAAAGTGCTGGGATTTACAGGTGTGAGCCACTGTGCCCGGCTGATTGTCTTTTATGGAAGATGAACAGTAGCTGTTGTGGCTTCCCAACTGACCCCAGCAGAAGTAATATTTAGAGCCTCTAGAGCACATCTGTTTCCACTCCGCCTACAAGCTATCAGCACCTCCTGATGGGGTGAGGCATGGCATTCCTTTTATTGCTAACGCAGAGCCTGGCATATAGGAGGCTCTTAGTGAGGTTCTGCTAAATTAGTGAATAAATGAAGGAAAACTGTGCCTTGTACCTGTAAGAAGGGACAGAACATCCTTTTGCCAGTGGTGTATGGGATTCACTCTGATTGTACTATTAGCATGCTCATCTCTTTCAAAGAGGAGAGCCTGATAGAACATCTGTTCCTTGTGAGTCTTGGTTGAGGAGTTTGGTGCTACATTACCTGAGGTACAGGAATGGGTGTGTGTTTTTGGGCAAATAGGCTGCATACACTGTTTCTATGGCTTTTCTCAAGGAAGTTGATTCTACCAGACGATCTAAACAATAAAAAGAAAGCAACCAGTTCAAAACTGTCCTGAGGGGTGAGGTCACAGGTGTACATTCACACAAAGTCATGAAATCACCTCAGGAAAGACATTTCTGTAGTGATATGCACATCACATCCCCAGGAAGAAAGGTGCACCTTTACCTGTCGCCACTTTCCAGCCCACTATCTTACTATCGGCTTGGGACTGTTTTACTTCAGCCAAGTAATAGAAAACATGATAAGGCAGTACATTCTCCCTCCTCACTTCCCTTTGCCCCCATTAGCTCATGTGGACTAACTGTGCTCTTTCTGGGCACAGTGGGAAATATGATGTCAGCCCTCAGACTTTTCATTCTGCAAATACATACTGCATATCACACACACCAAGTGCTGGGAGACAACATGCTGATAAATAAACTAATTCCAACCCCAAGTGGCCAGCACTATTATAGACGTGTGTGTGTGCTAAATAGTGAGCCAACTCTTCCGGTTCTAGGTGCTTCGGGAGCCGCGGCTTAAGGTGTAGACATGGCGAAGTCCAAGAACCACACCACACACAACCAGTCCCGAAAATGGCACAGAAATGGTATCAAGAAACCCCGATCACAAAGATACGAATCTCTTAAGGGGGTGGACCCCAAGTTCCTGAGGAACATGCACTTTGCCAAGAAGCACAACAAGAAGGGCCTAAAGAAGATGCAGGCCAACAATGCCAAGGCCATGAGTGCACGTGCCGAGGCTATCAAGGCCCTCGTAAAGCCCAAGGAGGTTAAGCCCAAGATCCCAAAGGGTGTCAGCCGCAAGCTCGATCGACTTGCCTACATTGCCCATCCCAAGCTTGGGAAGCGTGCTCGTGCCCGTATTGCCAAGGGGCTCAGGCTGTGCCGGCCAAAGGCCAAGGCCAAGGATCAAACCAAGGCCCAGGCTGCAGCTCCACCTTCAGTTCCAGCTCAGGCTCCCAAAGGTGCCCAGGCCCCTACAAAGGCTTCAGAGTAGATATCTCTGCCAACATGAGGACAGAAGGACTGGTGTGACCCCCTACCCCCGCCCCTGGGCTACCATCTGCATGGGGCTGGTCCTCCTGTGCTATTTGTACAAATAAACCTGAGGCAGGAAAACAAAACAAAACAAAACAGTGAGCCGAGAGAGCAACTAACTTTGCTCAGGAAGTTCTGACGGTGGAGTAGCCATACTGAGTTTTCCAGAATTTCAGGCAGTACAAGTGTCAATGCATATTCAAGGTAATTTAGGAAATGAGGCTGGTTTGAAGAGGGTAGAAAGCAATAAAGGCAGAAAAAAATAAGACTAAAATCAGGGGAAGATGTATTTTCAGGAAACAGCTCTCCTTTCTCTCTGAACAGATTTAGATGACCTGCTGATTATCTGTTGTCCTGTGTTGCTGTAGACAAGGATACGTCAAATCTTTTTATTTCCAACAGGAAAAGTGGTTGTGACTTTATCAATGAAGAGACTAACATCCTCTGAGTGCTGACCATATCCATGGCCCCATCATTAATGTCACTGTACTCTGTAACACGTGTCCTGACCACACAGGCCTGGAGCAGGCATGGGCACCTGACAAAAGGACAGCTGGAGCCCCTCTACTGAGAATTCTGAACTTGAGATGCGCCAAAGGAGTGGTCTTTGTCCCTGCCACCTGAGTGCGCCTGCACAGTGTAGATAAATGAATGGCATGCGTAAGAGCTTGACCTTTCTTTGCTACTGGGAACTTGGTATTGTGAACACACTAGCTAATGATAATGCAGAGGCTGTGGTAAGCAGCCCCAACAGAAACACGGACAGAGGCCAGTCAGGCAGCACCTACAGTGAATTTTTTGTCTGCTTTATAGCCAGCATGTGTGTTACAAAGCAGTTATTCTTCATGGTTAGGAAAAAAACTAATGAAAAACATTTTCTGAGCCTTGATTAAAACAAGCTTTGTTATATATCAGGTGTAAGTCCTTCCTAATAAAATAGGAAAAACCCTGCTAATAGACATCAGTTTAACAGAATGTGGTTGTAAAATGACTGGCTCTGTCCTTACTGTTCCTGTATTGCTTTGAACAACTGCTGTAAAACATGCATATTTTGAAACATTTACAGCTGGTTAGCAGTCTAAATGGAAGGAGGGAATATTCCATTTCCAACAGCAAACAAGCAAACAAAACAAAAACTATAAAATTATTATGAAATGCTTTAAAATAAAGATAAGTAACCTATAGGATAAAAATGATGAAAACTGAAAACACGGAAATGGAAAGATTCATCTTATTTCTGGATGGAAAACAAAAAATTCAGACTGTGTTTGGGATTACTTGTTGTTGGTAGGTCACCATCAAAACCTTGTAATAAACAATTAAGTTATAAGGAGCACAATACAAAATAGCATTTGTTTAGTAAATAACAATCATGTAAACACTATATCAGCAGAGAGACAAAAACTGTAAAGGAATTTGAGAAATATCCTAATTAATTTAGTTAATTCCCTCCCTAATTTTTAGAACTGCTCTTTGTATCATAAAGCTCATTCCTTAAACAGGAAAATCTCAAGTATCTTAGCAATTTCTTTAATGACAATGCCTATACCTAAGGTACCCCTTTTCCGTATCCTGCTGTGCAATTTCAAACAGTGGCCCTTGATCTCTTCCAGCAATGTTCTGGCTAGGGCTTACTCGTAAGGACTCTGACACCATCAGGTGAGGACAGTGTGCTGGCTTTATGCCCTCTCCTGGGCTTCCTCTTAGAGGTAAGAACCAGACTCCAACAGTCAACCAGCAATGAGCACATGTGGGAGGGCTGAGCACAGACTTAGGACAAAAATTATACATGCTTCCCAATAAAACCAAACTTTGCCATGAGGTTTCTCCATGTTTAATCAAACCTATGGATCAGAAATTTTTCCATGGTCCCATAAAATTCCCTGTGGGTGTTTCCTGTGAGTGGATTTCCCATGTGGTTCTTTTTAACTTACGGTTGATGAAGAGTAAGAAGATGCACTTCTTCACTGAGTAGTTTGCATTGGATATGTAACCATTCATTTTGAAGGCTAGGGTTTTATCCTCACATCCAATTTCTATCAGTTCTCTATTAGAAAAGAGATTCTGAAGCTTTTGAAAATACTCAAAACTCAAACATTACAAAAGAATCAGAATTTAAAAACACAAGGTTCCTTCCCATAAACTAACTTTGTGAAATGAGGGCCCCGAAGACTTGGTCCATTTGAGGTCCTCCTGTGCCTGTCCATTCATCCATCCATTTGTCTGTTCACCCATTCACCCACCCATCCTCCCATCCATCCATCCACCCACCCACCCACCCACCCACTCACCCACCTACCCTACTCAGTCAGTGTTTTCAAGCACTTGTGCTATGTGCCAGGTACTGCTCTAATTGCTGGAACAGAACAATGAATCCAAGCTCTGAGACCTTATTTTGCTCAAACTTGAATGTATCTTAGTAACTAAATCCCAAAGATGAGATTCCAAGAACTTATCTCTGCTGAATTACTTGCTATACTGAACAGCACCACAACGTGGTTCTACAATGTGTGTTGTTCCCAGGAGTGTTTACTGGGGAGGGAAGGTTAATAGGCGAATAAGAGGTCCTCAGACAAGCCACACTTATTTCTGTCTGGAGACCTTCCCAAGAACTAGTCCCTCTGTCTGGAAAGCTCTACTCCTAACCTATTGGTACCTAGTTAATTCCTATTTATCCTTCATATTTCAAAAAATATTTCTTCAAAGAACCTTCTCTAATGATCCCTTTCTCTGACCCTACAGAGTTTTCCATCATGTCCTTTATTTTTCCAGTGAGGCATCTAGCACAATCTGCTAATGAATGGCGTAATTATTTCATGTGTCTTTCCAACTGCAAAGTCAGCTGAGAGCAGGCATCATTTCTTCTTTGTTCACTACTATAACCCTACCATATAGCACAATACCCAGGAAATAGCAGACACTCAATAAGTTTGCCGAATGGCTGGTGGAAGCTTTTTATGCAGTAATGTGTGGAATGAGTGTCTTCAACGGAGGGTACGGCTTGTGGCACTGCCCATACACACTGAACCAGCAAACTCTTTTTTCCCAAAATGCCTCATGAGGCTAGTGTTCTGGAAGCCTGCTTTGGGAAATGCTGCTATAGAGGATTTCTAATCTTGTACAGTCCCTAAGATTTCACAACAACTAATTCTGATCTTAAAATCTAGTTAAAGAAGCTCTGAAAAGTTACACTGTAAACAGAGCTCTCCCTTCGCTCTAGGAGCACAGTTTTAAAAAATTAATTCATTAACAATTAGAAAGAAAATAGTGGCTGGGCACGGTGGCTCACGCCTGTAATCCCAGCACTTTGGGAGGCCGAGGTGGGTGGATCACGAGGTCTGGAGATCGAGATCATCCTGGCTAACACGATGAAACCCCGTCTCTACTAAAAAATACAAAAAATTAGCTGGGTGTGGTGACAGGCGCCTGTAGTCCCAGCTACTCGGGAGGCTGAGGCAGGAGAATGGCGTGAACCCGGGAGGCGGAGCTTGCAGTGAGCCAAGTTTGAGCCACTGCACTCCAGCCTAGGCAACAGAGTGAGACTCTGTCTCAAAAAAGAAAAGAAAAGAAAAAGAAAATAGTAAATTAAAAGCAAACTAATTGTTCCTCAGTCAGGTTAGCTCAAAGAATAAATAATCTGCCCTTCAAAGTAGAAACTGGGCTCTGGAATGACTGCTGCTGCTTTTCAGATTTCTGGGAAAAGTGAAGTCAGGAGCTGTCTCATCCATATACCTCCCATATATGGAAGGGTCTCAGTATTTTTCCTCATATTATGACATAGGCACTTTGGGCTTTATAAAGTCCTGAGACCGCTAGGAATCTATGATGGAAATGGTGATTTTTACATGCAGAGGGGAGCAACTATGAGGAATCCATAATGCAAGCACTTTTCCCCACTTATGCTTTTCTTGATAATGAAGACTTAGCAACACGAATCTAGTCTTTAAGGGCAGGAAATATCTTATTTGTCTTTATATCCCTAACTTCTAGCACAAAGCCTGGAATATGAGAGGCAATTAATAAATGTTGAATGATAAATAAGTGAAATCCTAAAGTGATGATAATGGAAATACAAGGAAAAGAAGGAGCATTGGAGGATAAAATAGTTCTACTACACTATAAATATTTTCAAGACTAAGACCTTGAAAGAACACATGATTCACGCCACAGAATCTAGGAGATTACATACACCTAGAAAGTGTTGATTACGTGAAATAAGAACTCCATTAACAAATCTGAAGCATAAAACAAGCCTGTGTATTTGACTAAAGCAAACTCTTAACACACATAATATCTTGAAAGGTTCCAAAATAATGTGATGGAATGATAAACCAAGATAATAAATGTAAAAGATTTTTTTATATAGGTTATCGACATACCGACTAACAGCATTTCCAAAGATGGAGCGAATATTGTCCACGGTTGAGGCATTGGGTAGTGTCCTAACATCAGCTACTGTCTCTCCTTGCTGATAAACAAACAGCAGAAGACACAAGGATTTATTGTCTCATGGCTGAGACTGAAACATCATAACCTTATCTCCACCAGCAAACTATTAAAAATCCCCTTTTTTCTTTTCATAAAACAAAACCATCCCCCATAAACCAAGAACTTACTTTTTTAACTGAGAAACTAATGCCTGCATTGTGTACTGAATACCTGGAAAAGAAAAACAAAAGAGTAAGAAAAGAGTTGCCAAAAACACACACTAGATGTCAGAGCCCCCTTTTAGTTAAATAAATTAGTGGAGTTGAGTAATCTAAACAAAGGTACATATAAAGAAAAATATCTCCATACAGCCTATTAATATTTTACCCACAGAAAAATAAACCAGCAGAAACTTCATGGAAATAAAAATGCTAAAGGTGACTGAATCAAAACACAGACTCCTCTCTACTTTTATAGGTTGCTGATAGAATCAAGGATATCACGCCACTATCTCTTTTTTATTTATTTTTATTTATTTTTGAGACAGAGTTTTGCTCTTGTTGCCCAGGCTGGAGTGCAATGGCACGATCTCAGCTCACTGCAACCTCCGCCTCCTGGACTCAAGCGATTCTCCCGCCTCAGCCTCCCGAGTAGCTGGGATTATAGGCGCCTGCCACCAGGCCCAGCTAATTTTTTTTGTATTTTTAGTAGAGATGGCGTTTCGCCATGTTGGCCAGGCTGGTATCGAACTCCTGATCTCAGGTGATCCACCCGCCTCGACCTCCCAAAGTGCTGGGATTACAGGCGTGAGCCACCACATTCGGCCCACAATCTCTTCACTTTCAGTTTTATTTTCAGAGTGTCCCAAAGGTCTGGTTTGCCTCAAGGACATCTTGAGAAGCTAGCTCCAACAACCCCTGCTTTTATTCTCTCTCAGAGCTCTCAACATGCCCTCCTTCTCACTGGCTTCTTCCTGCCCCTGGGTCTTATTCTAGTATCTCCCAATCTTTTCTTGGTTGGCGGTTATTTCTCTTTTCTCTACAGAGCTCGTGAACCGAAGGATTGTGTCTAGCAAAATGCATTTATTAAGTAACAATATTTCACTTTACCACACCTAGAATCAAAACAGCCAACTAGAACTCCTTTATTTTTAGGAGGTAATGAATATTCTGACACTGATTGATAAAATTCCAAGAAAAAGGCCGGGTGCAGTGGCTCACGCCTGTAATCCCAGCACTTTGGTGGGCCGAGATGGGCGGATCACCTGAGGTCAGGAGTTCGAGACCAGCCTGGACAACATGGTGAAACCCTGTCTCTACTAAAAATACAAAAAAAAAAAAAAAATTAGCCGGGTGTGGTGGCATGTGCCTGTAATCCCAGCTACTCAGGAGGCTGAGGTAGGAGAATTGCTTCAACCTGGAGGTGGAGGTTGTGGTGAGCTGAGATCGCACCACTGCACTCCAGCCTGGGTAACACAGCAAGACTCTGTCTCCAAAAAAAAAAAAAAAGTATAAAATTCCAAGAAAAAGCAAAGAAACTTGATGTACAAACCTGTCATTCTATTAAGGTGAAATGTTTGACCCACTTTAGATTTTTTTTAGAAATACTGAAAAATGGGCCAGGAGCGCTGGCTCATGCCAGTAATCCCAGCACTCTGGGAGGCCAAGGCGGGAGGATCATCTGAGGTCGGGAGTTTGAGACTAGCCTGACCAACATGGAGAAACCCCATCTCTACTAAAAACACAAAATTAGCCGGGCATGGTGGCATATGCCTGTAATCCCAGCTACTTGAGAAGGCTGAGGCAGGCGAATTGCTTGAACCTGGGAAGTAGAGGTTGCGGTGAGCCGAGATCACACCATTGTACTCCAGCCTGTGCAACAAGAGTGAAACTCTGTCTCAAAAAAAAAAAAAAAAAAAAAAAAAAAAGAAATACTGAAAAATGGCCAGGCATGGTGGCTCACGCCTGTAATCCCAGCACTTTAGGAGGCCAAGGCAGGCAGATCACCTGAGGTCAGGAGTTCAAGACCAGCCTGGCCAAAATGATTAAACCCCCTCTCTACTAAAAAAAAACAAAAAAAAAATTGCCGGGCATGGTGGCAAGTGCCTGTAATCCCAGCTACTCGGGAGGCTGAGACAGGAGAATCGCTTGAACCCAGGAGGCAGAGGTTGCAGTGAGCTGAGATCGCACCATTGCACTCCAGCCTGGGCAACAAGAGCGAAATTCCGTTTCAAAAAAAAATATATATATATACACACATATACATATATATAAATATATATATACACACATATACATATATAAATATATATACATATACATATATAAATATATACATATACATATATAAATATATACATATACATATATAAATATATACATATACATATATACACATACATATATATATACATATACATATATATACACACACACATATACATATATACACTGAAAAATAGTTAACATATCCCTATCATAATCAATGATATGTGGGTTCGGAGAGCCTATACTGAAGCCACCTGTACCATCTGTACCAGCAGCGTAAGTCTATCATGGATATAACGTTGTTTTCATCTGTCCTGAATCCCTTCTCCTCCTCCTGGTAACAGCCTCTCATCTTCCTTTAGGAAACTACCTCTATTCCATTCTACTTGATATGCACCCTTAGTAAGACTGCCAATCAAGAAATCTTCTCCCCACAGATATGGGCACATGATCATCGAATGTACTCTGTTAGGAAACTGACTCTAGAGCAAAGTCAGGAAAAGAATGAAAACAACTGGAGTACAGTAATGATGTTAAGTCCCAGAGGCACCCTGGTTCTTATTCTCTCCAAGGGGCAGCTGCACACACTTCATGTGGTAACTCCTAGCCTTCCACTAAATTTCTTTTTAGCTCAAGTTGGCTAGAGTCACTTTGTTTTGTCTGCCATAAAAGAGCTCTCATTGATCTAAAGACCAACTGCTCTTTCCTGGGGAGATGAGAGAAACTGCAAAATTGGTGGCTAAACCTTGACCAGAAACTATCTGTAAGCTAGTTTTACTTTTCACCATCTAGCTCAGCAACTGTTCAATGTATGAGCACTAGAACACATTACTTTGATGACAAATCTCAGAGACCCACTCCCAGATTTTGGACTGTACCTGCCAACAACTTCCAAAATTTTCCCATATTCTTCACTTGGATTTTTTAAAGCTTTTCTCCTCGTGGCTATGTTGTAAAAAAGGTCCTCCACCTGAACAGAAGATTGATTTTTCTTGTAAATTCATAGAAGTACTTGAAAATAAAACCCAAGATGTCCTGGCAAAAGCGAGGTCTTAAGATAGTGAATCCAATTATATTTACCAACAGCACAGTTCTAAGCACTGACTGGGGCCAGGGATAAGACAGCATTAACAGAAGAATTAAAGGACATTTTTCCTGCCTCCCACATTCATTCACTGATTTCTCAACTATGCACTGGGGGCTAGCTTTGTGTCAGAGTCTTTGCTTTGTACAGAAAATATGAAGACAAAGCATGATCCTGCTCAGGAGAGTACATGATTTAGTGGGACACACATGTAAACTGACAAGTATAGTATCACATGGCATTCAAAGATATTTTTCAGGCTGGGTGCAGTGGCTCACGTCTGTAATCCCAGAACTTTGGGAGGCCAAGGTGGGTGGGTCACCTGAGGTCAGGAGTTCGAGACCAGCCTGGCCAACATGGTGAAACCCTGTCTCTACTAAAAATACAAAAATTAGCCGGGCATGGTGACGCATGCCTGTAATCCCAGGTACTCAAGAGGCTGAGGCAGGACAACTGCTTGAACTCAAGAGGTAGTGATTGCAGTGAGCTGAGATCACACCACTGCACTTCAGCCTGGGCAACAGAGTGAGACTTTGTCTCAAAAAAAAAAAAAGTATTTTTCAAACTAGTAATAATCACAAAATTTCTTAGATCATTTGAAGTTCTTGGAAATCACATGGTGGTCACCGTGGTAAAAGATTTTTTTTGTTTGTTTGTTTTTGTTTTTGAGACCCTGTTTCACTCTTGTTGCCCAGGCTGGAGTGCAGTGGCATGATCTCAACTCACCACAACCTCTGCCTCCCGGGTTCAAGCAATTCTCCTGCCTCAGCCTTCCTGAGTAGCTGGGATTACAGGCATGCGCCATCACGCCTGGCTAATTTTGTATTTTTAGTAGAGATGGGGTTTCTCCATGTTGGTCAGGCTGGTCTCGAACTCCCAACCTCAGATGATCCGCCCTCCTCAGCCTCCCAAAGTGCTGAGATTACAGGTGTGAGCCACCGTGCCCAGCCCAAGATGTCTCTTAACATGTATTGCAAAACACACATTCTTTTCTGCCTCCTGCCTGGCTCGTCACATCCAGGATTAGGCAGGTTACAGTGGACTTCAAGAAGATGTGCTCTAGATGGGACTTGGAATGGAGGGGCGGGATGGATAACATGACAGCGGAGTGCTTTGTGTAATCATAGAAGGGAAAGAGACCAACTTGAGGCACTATACATAGGCAGCACGATGGACTTTCTCCCAGCTAATGATACAGTCATATGTCTCATCAGACACCCTTTAAGTCAAGAGGGCAAGTATTCTTTGCTTCATTTGACAGATGAGAAAACTGGGGTTAAGGGATGTTAAGTGACTTGCCTCTGGACATACAACCATTGAGTGACAAGGCTGGGCTCTAACCCATGCCTTCTGGGGTCAAGCTTAATCTTCTTTCAATGACAACTACCCTGCCATTGACTTTTGCCATCCCAATAAAGAATCTCCTAGCCCTTAAAAAAGACAAGGACGTGGCAGGCTGCCATGCCACAAAAGCCAATAGTCATTTATCTTGCTTAGAGGATATCTTGGGACCTCCATTAACTAGTGCAAATTCATTTTATTATTACCCTGAAAACTTAGAAGCAATTTTATTTTTTATTCCAATATTTATACAAACAAAGCTTCAACAATTTACTCTCCCATGTACCATTCTTACCGTGATCTGGGTCCCTTGATTGCCAGCACATGGTTTAGGAGGGGCTTTCAGTTTTCCATCTGAGTAACTTGCTCTAATGAGAAAATATAACAAATTAATATCCAGTAGAGAGATAGATACTAATCCCAAGGGGAAAAGAGAAAATCATATCAACAATAGATTAAAATATAGCCATATTATATATTATCTTAATTATTTATCATTTTCCTGTTTATTTCTCCACTACTTCCATAATCATTTGAATTGGATTTTTTTTTTTTTTGAGACGGAGTTTTGCTCTTGTTTCCCAGGCTGGAGAGCAATGGCACAATCTCAGCTCACTACAACCTCCGCCTACCAGGTTCAAGCGATTCTCCTGCCTCAGCCTCCCAAGTAGCTGAGATTACAGGTGCCCACCACCACACCTGGCTAATTTTGTATTTTTAGTAGAGACGGAGTTTCACCATGTTGGTCAGGCTAGTCTCGAACTCCTGGATACGCCTGCCTCGGCCTCCCAAAGTGCTGGGATTACAGGCATGAGCCACCATACCCAGTCCTTGAATTGGATTTGAAAAACTATCTGTTCTTCCAGCAAATGTTGCTATTTACTTGCTGAGTTCTGAGCTACCAAACAATGGTTTTACCACTGCCTAAGTTAACAGTAAAATTTTTCAGTAATTCTGCAATTATTTATTGAGGAACTACCATGTGTCAGGTCTGTGGAAGCCCTGGTAATAAAGAAAGGTCTTGGGGCTCGGCGCGGTGGCTCATGCCTGTAATCCCAGTGCTTTGGGAGGCCGAGGTGGGTGGATCACGAGGTCAGGAGATCGAGACCATCCTGGCTAACTAACATGGTGAAACCCCGTCTCTACTAAAAATACAAAAAATTAGCTGGGCGTGGTGGTGGGCGCCTGTAGTCCCGGCTACTCGGGAGGCTGAGGCAGGAGAATGGTGTGAACCTGGGAGGCGGAGCTTGCAGTGAGCCAAGATTGTGCACTGCACTCCAGCCTGGGCGACAGAGCGAGACTCTGTCTCAAAAAAAAAAGAAAAAAAAAAAAGAAAATTAAATTAATAAAAAAAAACAAAGCTCTTGATCTAGTGATAGGTAGACTTTTTACCTAACTGTAGAACAATATGCTAAGCGATCTAGAGAAGGGTCCATTCAGCCTGAGGTGGGAGTGAGGGTGGGTAAAAGCATCCCAGAGAGATGGCAATTCATCTGTTCTTTAGAGAGGAATAGTTTCAGGTGGAGACAGCAGGAAAGACCATCCAGGAAGGCAAAAACAAAAATGAAAGCATAGAGGCTTTAGAATACATGGCAGCTGGGAATAGGTAGAGAGAAGGGGCTGGAAAGGCAGACTGAGAGCACATTGGCAGGGGCTGGTTGCCAAGATAATGACTCTATTTCATCCTGCTATGGAAGGGGAGCCATTTTAGCATGCAGCAGCATACCACAATCTAGGCTATCTAGGAAGGCATTAACTTACAACTCTGTCTTCAGTTAGTGACAGGGGATTCTAATAGTATCAGCCCGTCTAGATCTAGGGCAATTAGAATTCACACAGAGTCAAACGCCCTTAGCATTAATGTTGTGTAATCTGAAATCTCCACCTTCCATTACTTCACACATTTATCTGTTGAGGAAGACTGAGAAACAGACAGAACTATCCTTTGTTGAAGATATTTTCCCTTATTTATTTATTTATTTTAAGGTTGGAGTACAGTGGTGTAATCACAGCTCACTGCAGCCTCAAACTGCTGGGCTCAAGCAATCTTCCCACCTCCGGAGTAGCTAAGACTACAGATATGCATCACCATGCCCAGCTAATTTTTTAAAAATTTTCTGTAGAGACGGGGTCTTGCTCTGTTTCCCAGGCTGGTCTCAAACTCCTGACTTCAAGCAATCCTCCCACTTCAGCCTCCCAAACTCACAGGCAAAGCCACTATACCTAGCCTATTTTCCCTTTTAATCTACAAACAACCTGTGTGATTTTTAAAAATTATCTTTCTTTTGGCATGAATTAGGTATTCCTACCAGTCTTCAACTAGTGAATGGCCAGTGCTTATAAAAACAAAGGTGCAATTTTGTTATTCTGAATCTCATTTTTGTTCTGTTCAAAGGCCATTCATCAGTTTCTGAAAACTGTACCAGCATAACAGATAGCCAGCAGCTACTTGTGGGAAGGCAAACTAGCACAGGTATACACAGGTGGTGGGAGCTGGTGGCTCAGGAGCCAGCTAAGGAAACATGAACCTTTAGCATCCCAGCCACAGCCCTCTAATCGGTCCAAAGCAATACCCCAACTGAAGGGCAAAGGGGCAGAAATTACATCAGCAGCTACCATTTACTTAAAATACCTACGTGTAACAGACACCTTGCTAGGCACTTGTAATATGTTAAATCATATCTTTTAAGAATCCATGAAGTAAGAGTATCACCTAATAATCATCCTTGAGGATTATCAATTTATCAATAAGGAGAAAAGAAAACGTACTCAAGATCTCTGCCAAAAAAGATAACACTGGTGTTGAGACAGGATTACTCTGAGACCTAGGCAAAAAATACATTTCAGAATGAATATATATGAGTAAAAGAAGTCAGCACTATACCTGTATGCACACTTTCCATCAGCTGTTTTCGTTGTAATAGTAACATGAGCCACATGGCTTATGCTGGCCAAAGCCTAAGGAAGAAAAGAAAATAGACTGAAAGAAAAACTCACTGCTGGGTCACCCACTGTCACCTCACCAAAGGGAAAGGTTATCTGAACTGCTGCTTCCATTTTGTATTAATATGTGGCAACGATGAGCACTTTGCTCACTTGCTTTGATGACATGTTGAAAAAGAAATGATCAATCTGTAGCATAATTACTAGAACAAGTGAAAAATACATATTAAAAAGTCCAAAACACACCAAAACATTAATGTGTTAATAAGCAATTGTGTTGAGGTGGTAGAACTATAGGCATGTTTAATAATATTCTCAATGAAGTGTCTTCTAGTAATTTTTAAAACTTGCCTTCAGAAATGGGTAAAGGAATCACTCCAAATAGATAGTGTTTTATATTGTTAATCAAAACTGCTTTATATAAGCAATTATTCATTTAGAAATGTAAATTTGAAATGCAATTAAGACAAAACAAATTTTAAAAACCCATGACCATTTTTCCCCTTTATAACCAAGATTGGTTTCTCAGACCTTTGGAATCTGTATCTTTTTTCACAAGAAGGATACTACAGTATGTAAAGATGTAACTCAGGAACTGTGCTATGACGGGGTCTGTGTGACAGCATCTCAGTAGACAGTAAATACAGCTGTGGCAAGTTCAGTTCATTGAAAGTCACATGGGTCAGGCTCAGAAATCACCAGGTCCTAGCTGGATTTCCCTGGTTTATGTAATTGAGCTAATGTGCATCATTAAAAAATATAAGGCTGGGTGGGGTGGCTCACGCCTGTAATCCCAGCACTTTGGGAGGCCTAGGTGGGTGGATCACCTGAGGTCAGGAGTTCAAGAACAGCCTGGCCAACATGGTGAAACACCAATCTCTACTAAAAATACAAAAATTTGCTAGCTGTGGTGGCATGTGCCTGTAATCCGAGCTACTTGGGAGGCTGAGGCAGGAGAATTACTTGAACCTCGGAGGCGGAGGTTGCAGTGAGTGAGACTATGCCACTACACTCTAGCCTGGGCAACAGAGTGAGACTCCGTCTCAAAAAAAAAAAAAAAAAAGTAAATGATTTTGAGACCTGTATAAGGAAAGACATGAAAATGCAAAGTAGAACACAACATCACACCAGGAAGATAGAGTACCACTACACACGGCACAGCAGATGGTCCTGCTGCTTCAGAGGCCTCTTCCCCAGCAGTGGAGCCAAGTGGACAGGGGCACAGACTCTGGAGTCAAACTGCCTAGTTTCTAATCCCCACTTTGCCATTTTCTAACTGCGTCCGCTGGCCATGTTTCTATGTAAAACTGGGTAACAGCAGAACCTCTGTAGAGTTACTGTCAGGAGTCAGAGTTAATACAAAGTATACAAAGTGCTGAGAACCACGGCTGGTACACAGAAATCCCTCAATAAATCTTCCTGTATAATTACAGTGAAATAATAGCCACAAAGATAACCTACAGCTAGGCGAAGACTCCAGGAGGCCATGGGCTTGGAAAATGACCCAGGGAACTGCAAGGCCAAAATGAAACTGCCTTCCTAGAGTTTGATCTAAGGTATCCTTAAAATCAGGAGCCGTCTCAGTGTAAACCAAGTCTTGGAAATTGTCCCTTCTTGGAATAATCTAGTGGTCACTGTGAGCAAGACAACACATGAGACCACCCTAGTTTGATGTAAATTGATCTAAATTACAGAGACTGAATCACAGCTGCTTTTTACTTTTTAAAAATTAAAGTAATACATGTATATGATAAAAAAATTCAAACTACTGAAAGGCCAAAAATGAAAAGTAACAGCCTCTTTGACTGCCCAACCCCATCTTCACTTTCATTCCCTTAAAATAACTACTGTAAAGTAGTTTCTCTGGTCCCTTGGAACCTCCATAGAGGAACACAGCCCTGCCAAAACCTTGATTTTAGCCTAGTGAGGCCTAGTAAGACCCGTATCTTCTGATCTCCAGAACTGTAGAATAATTAATTTGTATTGTTTAATGCCACTAAGTTTCTGGAAATTTTTTGACAGCAACAGGAAACTAATACAGTTTTTAAAATATGTATTCTTTTACCAAGGAATGTTATTTCTATAAATTTATCCTAAGGAAATAATTAAACGAAACACAGTGTACCTATAAGAATACTCATCAGGACCTTAAACAAGGCCAGACGTGGTGGCTCATGCCTGTAACCCCAGCACTTTGCAAGGCCAAGGCGGGCAGATCATTCAAGGTCAGGAGTTCAAGACCAGCCTGGCCAACATGGCCAAACCCTGTCTCTACCCAAAATACAAAAATTAGCTGGGCATAGTGGTGCACGCCTGTAATCACAGCTATTCAGGAGGCTGAGGCAGGAGAATAGCTTGAACCCAGAAGGCAGAGGTTGCAGTGAGCTGAGATCATGTCACTGCACTCCAGTCTGGATAACAGAGCAAGACTGTCTCAAAAAAAAAAAAAAACAAAAAAAAAAACAGAACGTTAAACAGGAAAAAATGGCAAAGAGCATAAATGTTCAATAGGAAACCATTTAAACAAACTACAGTACATACATGTAGCCATTAAAACCTAGATAGGACTATATTTACTGGGTAGAAAGATATCCAACAGGAAGTGAGTCACAAAATATAAGATCCTATTTTATCCTTTTATATTTTAATCCGTTTTCTAAATCATATACTCCTATACGTCATATAATTTTACCCACAAATATTTTAGTATGTATCTTAACAGGTAAGGACTCAAAAAAAAAAACCCATGACAATATTCTTATACCAAGATAATTCATAATTTCTCCTTAATGCCATCAAATAGTCAACCTGTATTCAAACATTTGTCTCAAAAAAATTTTTTTATAGTTTGCTCCATCAGGATTTAGGTAAGATCTATACACTGGACCTGGTTCATATGTCCCTTAAATGTCTTTTAATCTACAGGTTCTTTACTCCTTTCTCTATTCTTTTTTCCCTGCTGTCTATCTGTTGAAGGGAACAAGTCTTTTTCCATGTAGTCTCCCAATCTCAGTATCATTTACCATGCTTCCTTGTCTCCTATATTTTTCATATATTGGTACTTAGATCTAAGTAATGATCAGATTCACATTTGATTTTTTGACAAGAAAACTTCATAGGTGGTACTGGGTACTTCCATCAAGAAACATATATCAGAGGTCTCTGCAGGTAAAATAGTTTATTTATGAACAATTCTCAGTCTTTGAAAGTTAAAGTTCATTAAGTTTGCTCAGATTTGCATACATTTAACAAGTAAAAGGTACCAAACCTTATTTATCTATGTTGAGAAATACATACTAACAAATGACAGACAATGTCATCACAGGAGGATATTTTACACATTTCTTGAATCTTTAGCTTACCTCACCTCGAAAGCCATAGGTAGAAATACTGGCTAAATCCTCAAAGGACTGCAGTTTACTAGTAGTGAACCTTTCACATACAATATCCAGATCTTCTTTCTGTTAGATACCAAAAAGATGAGTAAATAATCATGTTACTCATTTTTCCAAATCTCTTTGAATTCCCATTTTCTTGATTTAATCCAGGAAAAAAAAATCCTCTTAGAAGAGTTTTTTTTTCTTTTCTTGGTTTTTGTTTTTTTTTTTTTTGAGACAGAGTCTTGCTCTGTCACCCAGGCTGAAGTGCAGTGGCGAGATCTCAGCTCACTGCAACCTCCTTTGAGACAGAGTCTTGCTCTGTCACCCAGGCTGAAGTGCAGTGGCGAGATCTCAGCTCACTGCAACCTCCGCCTCCCGGGTTCAAGCAATTTTCATGTCTCAGCCTCCAGAGTGGCTGGGATTACAGGTATGCGCCACCATGCTTGGTTAATTTTTTCTTGTATTTTTAGTAGAGATGGGGCTTCACTATGCTGGCCATGCTGGTCTCGAACTCCTGATCTCAAATGATCTGGCTGCCTTGACCTCCCAAAGCACTGGGATTACAGGCATGAACTACCACACCTGGCCTTAATTTCTTATATTTTTAGTAGAGATGAGGTTTCACCATGTTGCCCAAGCTGGTCTCAAACACATGAGCTCAAGTGATTTACCTACCTCAGCCTCCCGAAGTGCTGGGACTACAGGTGTGAGCCACCATGCCCAGCCTGAGAAGAGCTTTAAAATTAGCAGTAACTTCCTTGTTTGGAATCCAGAATACCACACTGTCCTGGTGTTCCTCCTTTCTTACTAGGTGGCTCCTTCTCAGTCACTGCTGTTTCTGCCTCATGTCCTCACTTGACATCAGAGTCACCCAAGACTCCTTCCTTGGACCTCTTCTCTATCTACACATACTCTCTTGATTATCTCATTCAGTCTCAGGGCTTTTTGTTGTTTGTTTAATTGACAAGCTTCTTTATTAAAAATCTCCAAGGCTGGGTGCAGTGGCTCACACCTATAATCCCAGCACTTTGGGAGGCTGAGACAGGAGGACTGCTTGAGGTCAGGAGTTCAAGACCAGCCTTGGCAACAAAGCAAGGCCCTATTTCTACAAAAACAAAAATAGGCATGGTGGTGTGAACCTACAGTTACTACTTCAGCTGGCTGAGATGACAGAATTGCTTGAGCCCAGGAGTTCAAGGTTACAGTGAGCTATGCTTACACTACTGCACTCCAGTGTGGGCGACAGAGTGAGACCTTGCCTCTAAAAAAGGGAAAAAAAAAAAAATTCTAATTTTTCAATGAACTCAAATTTACAAGAAAAAAACAAACAACCCCATCAAAAAGTGAGTGAAGGATATGAACAGACACTTCTCGAAAGAAGACATTTATGCAGCCAAAAAACACATGAAGAAATGCTCATCATCACTGGCCATCAGAGAAATGCAAATCAAAACCACAATGAGATACCATCTCACACCAGTTAGAATGGCGATCTTAAAAAGTCAGGAAACAACAGGTGCTGGAGAGGATGTGGAGAAATAGGAACACTTTTACACTGTTGGTGGGACTGTAAACTAGTTCAACCATTGTGGAAGTCAGTGTGGCAATTCCTCAGGGATCTAGAACTAGAAATACCATTTGACCCAGCCATCCCATTACTGGGTATATACCCAAAGGATTATAAATCATGCTGCTATAAAGACACATGCACACGTATGTTTACTGCAGCACTATTCGCAACAGCAAAGACTTGGAACCAACCCAAATGTCCAACAATGATAGACTGGATTAAGAAAAGGTGGCACATATACACCATGGAATACTATGCAGCCACAAAAAATGATGAGTTCATGTCCTTTGCAGGGACATGGATGAAGCTGGAAACCATCATTCTCAGCAAACTATCACAAGGACAAAAAACCAAACACTGCATGTGCTCACTCATAGGTGGGAATTGAACAATGAGAACACATGGACACAGAAAGGGGAACATCACACACTGGGGACTGTTGTGGGGTGGGGGAGGGGGGAGGGATAGCATTAGGAGATATACCTAATGCTAAATGATGACTTAATGGGTGCAGCACACCAACATGGCACATGTATACATATGTAACAAACCTGCATGTTGTGCACATGTACCCTAAAACTTAAAGTATAATAATAAAATTTAAAAAAATTGCAGTAAAATATATGTAACAGAAAATTTTCCATCTTAACCATTTTTAAATGTACAGTTCTGTGCCATTAACTATATTCACACTGCTGTGTTAACTATCATCATGATCCATCTCCAGAATTTTTTCATCTTCCCCAAACAGAAACTCTGTACCCAATAAACAATAATTTCCATTCTCCTCGCTCCCCCCGGCCCTGGGCAACCACCACTCTACTGTCTCTATGAATGTGACTACTCTAGGAACCTCATAAGGGGAATCATACAATATTTGTCCTTTAGTGACCAACTTATTTAACTTAACATGATGTCTTCAAGGTTCGTATATGTTGCAACATGTGTCAACATTTTATTTCTATTTAAGGCTGAAATTATTCCATTTTGTTTATCCATTCATCCACTGACGGACACTTAGGTTGCTTTCACCTTTTGGCTACTGTAAATAATGCTGCCATGAATATGAGTGTACAAATATCTGCTTGCATCCCTTCTTTTGGGAATAACTCAGAAGTGGAATTACTGGATTATATAATTATGTTTAATTTTTTGAGGAATCACCACAGCATTTTCCACAGCACCCTGCACTATTTTACATTCCCTCTAGCAATACACAAGAATTCCAATCTCTACATCCTTGCAAACACTTGTTTTTGTTTTTGATAATAGCCATCCTAATAGGTGTGAAGTGGTATCTCATTGTGGTTTTCATTCATTTTCCTAATGACCAATAATGTTGAGCATCTTTTCAGGTGAGTCTCAAGGCTTTTTTTTTTTTTTTTTTTTTTTTTTGATGGAGTTTTGCTCTTGTTGCCCAAGCTGGAGTGCAACGGTGCGATCTCGGCTCATCGCAACCTCCACCTCCCAGGTTCAAGCGATTCTCCTGCCTCAGCCTCCCGAGTAGCTGGGATTACAGGCATGTGCCACCACGCCCGGCTAATTATATATTTTTAGTAGAGATGGGGTTTCTCCATGTTGGTCAGGCTGGTCTCGAACTCCCGACCTCAGGTGATCTGCCCGCCTTGGCCTCCCAAAGTGCTGGGATTACAGGTGTGAGCCACCATGCCCATCCTTCTCGTGGCTTTTAATACCATTAAAATGCAGACAACTACCAAATATTCATCCCTAAATCTCTACCCTGCATTCCAAACTCACATAAACATCCAACTAACAGGCATCTTAAATTGAACATGCCCCAAAATGAACTTCTGATCTCTCTGAAAATCTGCTTCTTTCATAGTCTTTCCCATCTTAGTAAATGGCAACTCCTTCCATTTAGCAGACCAAAACCTTGAAATCATTCCTGATTCCTCTTTCTCTCATACCCTATATCAGCAAATTCTGAGAACTTTGCCTCCATAATTAACCCAGAATCTCACTGCTTCTTACATCTCTACTGCGACCAAGCAGTCTGCAGGACAGACTGCTTCTGCCCTGTCCTGCTATTTTCCACACAGAAAGACAAAGGATTAAAAAAAAAAAACTCACCACACCACGTAACCTCTGCTTAAAACCCTCTAACAGTATCCCACCATATTCAGAAAAAAAGCTAAAGATTTTACCTTGGCCCACAAGGATTTACGTGTTTTCACTCAGACCTCATCTCCTATTACTCTTTCCTTTTCAGCCTCTAGACAAACTGGCCTCCTTGATAGTCCTTTAACATGTCAGGTATGCTTCCATTTAATAGTCTTTGCGTATATTGTTCTGTAAGCCAAGAATACCTTTAAATAGCCTCACAACTTGCTCCTTGACTTCCACCGGTCTCTCAAATATCACATCCATATTGAAGCCTTCCTGAACTACTCAATTTAATTGCAACCTTTCTGGCTTGCACACTCCTATCTTCCTCCCTGCTTTAGTTTTCTCCACAGCACTTAATGCTATCTAATATAATATTTATTATACCCATTTTGTCTCCCACCACTATAATGTAAGCATCAGAAGAGAATAGATTTTAATCTATTTTATTCACTGACACATCCCCTGAACAGTGCCCAGCAAATAATAGGTACTCAATAAATATTTATTGTTGGTGTTGAATTTTTCAGTGAAAAAATCCCATCTGCAAAAGCCTAGTTTCCAGAACAGAGAAAGGTCCTGACTCTTCCATGAAGCGCACAAACATCCTGCTACTTTGAGGTTTTACTTACCCTGATCCCGGTGCCATTGTCTTGGATCTGAATCAACTTCAGGCCTCCCTCTTTAACAATCACTTGAATACTTGTGGATTTTGCATCTAAACTGGCAAATCAAACAGAAAATAATTTATCAGTCTGCAACTACTCTAATGTACATATTTTAATATGAGCCAAGCAATGATAACAAACTCCAAATACAAACAATAGTGCCTCATTAACGTGTTTTTCCTTTGTCTTACAGGCTCATACACTGTATGAGTTTACATATTGTGTGAGAGAGAGGGAAGAGACGGGCAGAGCAACCATCATTTCTAATAGGACATTCAGCACTATTTCTGTTCCTCTAGGAAAGACAGCAAGTGAAGTTAAAAATAGATTTCTTTTGGCAGATGTCTCTTCTCAACTAATTTTACTTTTACCTGAACTTTATTCAGCCTCAGGTTCCTAAGTGACTCTAATAAAATGTCACTAAATAATGTCACTAAAAAATAAAATTCTGAATGATTTTCTCTACTATTCCCTTTTATATTTACGATGGAGGGGAAAAAAAAAAGTAATGCAGAAAGTTAATAAATCTTTAGGAAGTCAATGAATTTTCTGGCCAGGCGCAATGGCTCACACCCATAATCCCAGCACTTTGGGAGGCCAAGGCGGGTGGATCACCTGAGGTCAGGAGTTTGAGACCAGCCTGACCAACATGGAGAAACCCCATTTGTACTAAAAATACAAAATTAGCCAGGCATGGTGACGCATGCCTGTAATCCCAGCTACTCAGGAGGCTAAGGCAGGAGAATCACTTGAACCCAGGAGGTGGAGGTTGCGGTGAGCTGAGATCGCGCCATTGCACTCCAACCTGGGCAACAAGGGCAAAACTCTGTCTCAAAAAAAAAAAAAAACCCAAAAAAAAGAAGTCAATAAATTTTTTGTGCTTTCAAAGAGTAGCCTATAAGCACAGACCAACTGCTAGAGAAAACAAATTTTCTAGCAGGGGCTGCATGAGAAAGAGTTATCTATTCCCCACACAGACAATTCTTTATTCAGAAATAAGATAATAGGCTGGGCACGGGGGCTCACACCTGTAATCCCAACACTTGGGGAGGCTGAGGTGGGCGGATCACCTGAGGTCAGGAGTTCAAGACCAGCCCGGCCAACATGGAGAAACCCCGTCTCTACTAAAAATAAAAAAATTAGCCGGGTGTGGTCATGCACGCCTGTACTCCCAGCTACTCGGGAGGCTGAGGCAGGAAGATCGCTTGAAACCAGGAGGCAGAGGTTGCCCTGAGCCAAGATCACGCCACTGCACTTCCGCCTGGGCAACAGAGTAAGACTTCATCTTAAAAAAAAAAGAAAGAAGACAATAAGTTACTTAAATATTACAGACATTTCTCATGAGCCCCTGTATTGAAGTTGTATTAGTCATCTCAACTTATATATTAAAAAGAGTATAACTGGACTCCATATAAAAATCTCCACTTGAGCCGGGCGCGGTGGCTCATGCTTGTAATCCCAGCACTTTGGGAGGCCAAAGCGGGCAGATCACCTGAGGTCAGGAAATCGAGACCATCCTGGCTAACATGGTGAAACCCTGTCTCTATTAAAAATACAAAAAACTGCAGGGCGCGGTGGCTCACGCCTGTAATCCCAGCACTTTGGAAGGCTGAGGCAGGCGGTTCACCTGAGATCGAGAGTTTTGACACCAGCCTGACCAACATGGAGAAATCCCATCTCTACTAAAAATACAAAATTAGCCAGGTGTGGTGGCACATGCCTATAGTCCTAGCTACTCGGGAGGCTGAGGCAGGAGAATCTCCCTTGAACCTGTGAGGAGGAGGTTGCAGTCAGCTGAGATCGCGCCACTGCACTCCAGCCTGGGTGACAAAGTGAGACTCCGTCTAAAAAAAAAATAAAAAAAAAATAAAAATCTCCACTTAAGTAATTAATTACAAGCCACCAAGCTAGTATGTTTAGTTTTGTTTTACAGTATTCTGGCACAGTACAATAATAGGCCCAGTTGTCCTGTCAATTCATTCTAACACAGTAGAAACAAAAGCCAGTCTGCCATTGCTTCTGTTACTACTATTACAAGTGAAAAGGAAAAAACATCCCCAGGTTCTTGCTCCTTCTTTCATCTACCTTCCAATTCTCTTCCTTTCCTTCAGTGGTCCTTTCTACCCACTGTTCTCTCAGTCCCATTGCCCTGAATAGTTTATACTTTCACAATAAATCCCTCTAGAAACCTACCACTCCAAACTGAAGCATTCTTTTTTCTATTAACGTACGGACGTCACTAACAACTGATTTTAACAAAATAATCTGACATAACGTTTAGGTGTATTTTGGGCTTGTCTTTTTGGAAGTTTATAGTCTGCACTCACTTTTCCTTCCACATGTTTCAAATCTCTTCCCTTCACATTTTTTGTCACAGTTATAAGCTTCAAAATCCAAGGATGACCCATAAAATCTGGTATCTTCGAAGTGCGTCCTCCGAAATAAAGGACAGGAAAACACTAAGAGGGGTCACTAATTTAACAATAGGGTAATCAGAAGTCAAGCCCAAAGTGCATCAGCCTGTCCTAAAACTACAAACGATTTGTTTTGAAAGAAACTCAAAATGAATTGTGCCTTTGGATGTGAACAGATGATTTCTGGAATGAATGAAAAGCAAGAAAACAGTAACACAGTACCCTCTGAAAAAAGGTTTTTCTCCCCATCTTAAGCTTTTATACATCTTTTAACTTCGCATGTTCTGCATACATAATTTTAAATTAAGTGGCTTCCTTACTTAGTTAACGGTACCATTAAGACAACACTACGTATATTCCTCCACTTACACTCCAAACAACCCTTAAAAGGTCTCGGGGGAGAGCGGTAAAGAAACACACGGTCTGCGGAAAAGGAGAAGGCCTGACTGGCACGTCAGGGAACCCGGCGGCCTCCGCCGTTGTGGGCATGCGCTGTACATGCCTCTGCCCGGGCAAAGAGGCGTGTCCGCGCCATTGAGTGACGCGGCCCGTTAAGTCGTAGCCCTTAAGTGAGCCCGGCTCGACTCCCTCCGTACCAGTTCTCAATCATCTCTTTGATAGCATTAGCTGGCCGCTGGATAACTTCCCCCGCCGCGATGCGGTTCACCACTGTCTCGTCCAGCCGCCGAATAACCCCTGCCACGAACGACATTTTGGCGCCAGAAGAGCCAAGGAAACGTCTAGATGCTCAACGGAAGTGCCTTCAGCCAATCACCTCAGTGCCTCGTGCTCACGTTCTTCCTTCAGCTGTAGCTTACGCCATCCAGCCCCACCCTTCAGCGGCAGCTATTGATTGGACAGCTTGAATGCCAGTCAAATTTCTCAACTCTGTGGGTTGCTGGGTCTCTTCGTCCCTCCCTGAAGCGGCTACTGCCCGCTACCTAGAAGGATATGCGCTTGCGCGTTAGAGATCGCTGTCCGCTCTTCCTATTGGTTCGTTTTTAGGAGCTCGGGGAATACGAAATATCCAGCCAATAGGAGCAGAGATGCCGGAACCGGGCTTGTGTGCCTCTGCTGAGGTGATCTGGCGCAGAGCGGAGGAGGTGCTTGGCGCTTCTCAGGCTCCTCCTCTCCCCTTGCGGCCTTTCTAACGTTGGCCCTGCTCTTGTGGCCTCCCGCAGAATGTGGATGACGCCCAAAAGAAGCAAGATGGAAGTCGACGAGGCTCTAGTTTTCCGGCCCGAGTGGACCCAGCGTTATTTGGTGGTGGAGCCTCCGGAGGGCGATGGGGCCCTGTGCCTGGTCTGTCGCCGCCTCATCGTAGCTACCCGCGAACGCGACGTCAGGCGCCACTACGAGGCTGAGCACGAATACTACGAGCGGTATGTGGCGGACGGCGAGCGCGCGGCCCTGGTGGAGCGTCTGCGTCAGGGCGACTTGCCCGTGGCCTCCTTCACTCCTGAAGAGAGAGCTGCTCGTGCAGGCCTCGGGCTCTGCCGCCTCTTGGCCTTGAAGGGTCGCGGCTGGGGTGAGGGGGACTTTGTATACCAGTGCATGGAGGTGTTGCTGAGAGAGGTACTGCCCGAGCATGTAAGCGTCCTGCAAGGCGTTGACTTATCTCCAGATATCACAAGGCAGAGGATCCTGAGCATTGACAGGAATCTACGCAACCAGCTTTTTAACCGAGCCAGGGACTTTAAAGCCTATTCTCTTGCCTTGGACGACCAGGCTTTTGTGGCCTATGAGAACTACCTCCTGGTCTTTATCCGCGGTGTAGGCCCTGAGTTGGAGGTGCAAGAAGATCTTCTGACCATAATCAACCTGACTCATCATTTCAGTGTTGGTGCGCTCATGTCGGCAATCCTAGAGTCCCTGCAGACAGCAGGGCTTAGCTTGCAGAGAATGGTTGGACTGACCACGACCCATACTTTGAGGATGATTGGTGAGAACTCAGGACTCGTCTCATACATGAGAGAAAAGGCCGTAAGCCCCAACTGTTGGAATGTCATTCATTATTCAGGATTTCTTCACTTGGAACTGTTGAGCTCCTATGATGTAGATGTTAATCAGATCATAAATACCATATCCGAATGGATAGTTTTGATTAAGACCAGAGGCGTTAGGCGACCTGAATTTCAGACTTTACTAACGGAATCTGAATCAGAGCATGGTGAAAGGGTTAATGGACGATGTCTGAACAATTGGCTTAGGAGAGGGAAAACTTTAAAACTAATATTCTCTCTAAGAAAAGAAATGGAAGCGTTCTTGGTTTCAGTAGGGGCAACAACAGTCCACTTCTCAGACAAACAATGGCTTTGTGACTTTGGCTTCTTGGTGGACATTATGGAACACCTTCGAGAACTCAGTGAAGAATTACGAGTTAGTAAAGTCTTTGCTGCTGCTGCCTTTGACCATATTTGTACTTTCGAAGTTAAGCTGAATTTATTTCAAAGACATATTGAGGAAAAAAATCTAACAGACTTTCCTGCCCTCAGAGAAGTTGTTGATGAGCTAAAACAGCAAAATAAGGAAGATGAAAAAATATTTGATCCTGATAGGTATCAAATGGTGATCTGTCGTCTCCAAAAAGAATTTGAGAGACATTTTAAGGACCTCAGGTTCATTAAAAAGGACTTAGAACTTTTTTCAAATCCATTTAACTTTAAACCTGAATATGCACCTATTTCAGTGAGGGTGGAGCTAACAAAACTTCAGGCAAACACTAATCTTTGGAATGAATACAGAATCAAAGACTTGGGGCAGTTTTATGCTGGATTGTCTGCTGAATCCTACCCAATTATCAAAGGGGTTGCCTGTAAGGTGGCATCCTTGTTTGATAGTAACCAAATCTGTGAAAAGGCTTTTTCATATTTGACTCGAAACCAACACACTTTGAGTCAGCCATTAACAGATGAGCATCTCCAAGCCCTGTTTCGGGTTGCCACAACTGAAATGGAGCCCGGTTGGGATGACCTTGTGAGAGAAAGAAATGAATCTAATCCATAAGGCTTTGTAGTACAAGATTGAAAAACTCAACAAGAATTTAATTCTAAAAGCAAAAATTGGTTTGAGTTTTCAAGTTTACTAATTTGGATTGTGAGAAAGTACCAAGTACCAGCCGTCCAAACTGATCACAATTAAAATTCTGACAGTTGCCTTTTTTTTCATCTCAAATGGCAGCATGGGACTGAAACATGAGAATGCCACCTTTTTTAAAACTTAGTTTAGTGACAAAGTCATTGTCTTTTATGATATAGTTAATTTTAAAGAGATTTAGTATTAATGTGAGTTGAATTTGCAGTCTGTTTTTTAGGTGTTCTGAAGATAAATGCCAAAAATTTCAGCTCTTATTTTAATGGAGTGTTAAAATTCTGATTCATATAGTCTTAAATTATCAACTCCTTAAATGTGCTTTTGAACCAATTTGCAGAAGCTCACATAGCAAGTTCATAAGTTTCCAAAAAGGAAGCCCATACATAACAGTGGAGGTGTTTTGTCTAACCATCAAAATGTTTGAGACTTTTTTTTAAACATTTCTGAGTTCGAAGGTAATACTGACAGATTTCTTCCCTCTTCCCTCCCCATCACCCACCTCAGTGATAACACATTACTGATAGAGGAAGTCATTAGAATCATTTTTAAGTTTCAGATATAGGAGACTTCATGCAATTTGGAGATAAGACTAATTATTGGGGGTTTTCCTTGGATTTTTTTTTTAATAACTGGGGGCTATTTTATCAGCTTGCCTATTAAAGGACTATGGTAAGTATAGAATCTTAATGGTTGCCAGTTAGTAATTCTTTTTTTTTTTTTTTTTACTGTAGACACAAGTTTGGCCCTATCAAAAACGATGAGGAAAAAAGATTGCACTCCAGGATTAGGAGGTGTGAGATATTTTAGCTTTTTTGTCTTATCTGCGTGGGTATTGCTGCTTTATTTTAAAAAATCCTGCCTAAAGTAAACACTTTGTTTTAAAATGATACAGTATCAGATTTTGTTAGATGCTAGAAATGGATTTATTCTAAAATTTGGAACTGTCGTACACATTCTATATGTAAGATAGCACACAAGTAGAAATATTTAAAAGCAGTCTTATTCACAGATTGCAGTAATTCTGTATTTCTACTAAGATAATCTGCTTTGTGCCAAAACAGTAATTTCCAAACTTCTGTTCACCATGAAAAGGCAATCTTAAAGTTCATTATGTAAAACTAATTATAAACAGGACCCAATTTATATTCATAGATCCTCTCAAGTATTATACAATTTAAAAACTCTTGTTCCAAAGTCCTGTCTTAACTATTGAAACACCTTAATCTGTGGTTACTAATCCAGCAAATTCAAGGAACCAGGCTATGACTAAGAATTTAGGTGGAATTGATGTCTGGGCAATTAAAATAAATGGCATAAGAGCTTAAAAACCAAAGTTGTGCCAGTGGCTTTCAACTAGAGGCAGTAACCTGTCATTCCAGAGGATGCTGAGAAATGTGTAGGGGCACTTTTTTGGTTGTCATATTTACTAGGGGCTTCTGTTGGCATTTAAGCCTAAAGACACTCACCCCTGCAGTGCATGGGACAGCCTGGCACAATGAAGAATTAGCCCTCCCAAAATGTAGATTATTTTATTTCAAGGGATAGGGCAGATTACCATTAGAAGCAAAATTAAAAGTACAAGCTGGGCAAACTGACAGAATACTAGATAGGAGAGACTAATTCCAACCTTCTAAATTTGGCTAGTAAAGTGCAATAAAGGCATTGATAAGTTCTGTTAGCTCACCATAGCACTTGTAAATCAGGAATTAATAATTGAATCAGATTTAAGGGCTCTGTCCTGTTATACATATTTAAGGCAGAAAAAAAGTTACATGTCGATTAGGTACTTATCAAGAATGGTCAAGCTGAGATTTTGGTTAATAGAGTAAGCTTACATATCTAGAGAAACAACATAGTGGAAAACCGAAAAAAAAAAACAGAAAAATCTACCGGTAATTTCCCAATAGCTTTGAATATTCACAGCAGAGCTTTATTACTTGAGAGAAAGACTGGAAGACCTGAAAGCCACTTCTGCTTTCTAACCCCAGTTCCTTAAATATTGAAATCTTGTACATTTTGTGAAATTCCAGTATGTTTTGCTTAAGGTGTTAATAAAATTAGTTTGCATCATGTAGTCATTGAGTGAGGGGGAGATATAAGCCAAGGATTTTAAATTGACCCTTAGCTATAGAGAATTTGCTATAAGCTAGTCTTGTTTGTAAAAAAAAAAAAAAAAAAAGAAAAAGAAAAAAGTGTATTTTACTGTTTTCTGTATTAAGTAATTCTGTAACTGCATGGCAGTCTTTTTTTTTTTAAATAAATATAGTTGTTACTGGTCCTGTTGTAGCAGTGAATATAGTTAAAATACGTACATTAAAAAAAAAATTATTAGGTCCTTACCAGTTACTGTCCTATAGCTCATTCCTACTAGTTTTCTTGACAGATTTGTATTCCCAGTGTCCCGTATTGCCACTCAAATTGCTCTACTATGCTAAGTCCTTGTTAATAGTCTTACCCTCCTTGAAACACTTGAACACTTGATGACTTTAGCTTTGAGGAGATACCATCTCCAGGTGTGCTTTCTTAGTCTTTGCAGGCACCTCTTCCCTTCAATATCTGTTCTTCGTATTTTTAAAAAAATTTGTTTTAGACTGCCTTGTTCTGTGTCAGCTCGCTAGCTGATCTCATTTCCTTCCATGGTTTCCTTACCATTTATATGCAAATGACTGTCAGATTCATATCTCCTTTCTAGATCTTCCCTAATTGATGTATCTAATTGCTAACAAATGCTCTTTGCTGTCTCAGGCACTACATGTCATTGATCTTGCCCCCAATCCTGCTCCTCCTCTCATGTTTCCTCTTTGACTAAATGGCATTACCACTACCAACCATTCATTTGTCCTTTTTACCAATTCTCCAATGCTGCCATTTTAATTCAGGCCATCAACCTACCTAAATTATAGCAACAGCCTCCTTATTAGTCTCCCTGTTTTTTATTTTTATTCCTTTCTACACTACAACCAAATTGCTCCAAAAGACTTACTGATCATGTCACTGCATTGCTTTCACCATTGCTCTTAGGGTACAATACAAATTTATCTTCATCTTTAAGGTCTCAGTATGCCACTTCATCTAGGAAACCTTCATTGATGCCCTCTAGATTAGGTGCCCTTACTATCCATTCCCTATACACCCTGTTCTTTCCCAGACATACACTTGGCACACTTTATTGTTACTGCTTATTGATCACTGCTAGACTGTAAGCTTTGTAAGGGCAGGGACCATATAAGCCTTGTTCACTGTTATATCTCTAGTGCTTAGCACAATGCCTGGCATTTCAATAAATGTTTGGACAAACGAATATTTGTGTAGTGTTTTACAATTTTTGAAGCTCTTTCACAGTCTTATTTGACCTTCACAGTCATTCTGCCTTAGACTGTCCATTGGGTAACTTTTATCCACATATTACTAATTGAAAAATGAAGACAAGTTCTTTGTAACTAGGGACCTCGTTGTATTCTCAGAATTTAGTGTAGTGCTTAGCATGTGACTTAAATATGTATTATGTGACTGTTAAACAAATTGTGGTTTTCTCTGTTGTATGAAAGGAGAGAAGGATAACAAATTGCGGTTTTCCCTGGTAAACACAGTAAGTAGTAAACTCAGGATTCAAAACCAAATATACACACCAAATCCACTATGTAATATTAAGTTTGCATATCCATGTATAGAATCTTATTTTTTTTTACCCTTTGTAAACAGTGTCATATATATATATATATTTTTTTTTTTTTTTTAAATTTCCAAAGGAACCTACATATAGAGGGAAAAGATTAGACAACTACTTAGTGAACTAAAACAATATGTTTTTACTAAATGTTACATTTAGTATTGGAAAAAGATAATGCCGCCTAAGAGTTAATAATCATTTTTCCTTTTGTAGGCATCAACACTAGGAGAAAATGGCATGCTATTTACTTGCTACTTTCCTTTACAGATGATTTTTGGCTCTTCTGGGATTTAAAAGTAAGTAAATTTAACAAAGTAGAAGACTGACTCAGCCCTTCTGGTCACTATATATTCAGTTCACTTGTTTTTACACCTGCAGAATGTCCTTATCACCCAAAGGGAGATGACCCAAAAGTGACATCTAGTTAATGTATACTTCTAAAGTTTGCTGTATTCCTTTGCCTTCTTGTTCCCATGCCTCTCTGAACTTAATTTCTGGGTAACTGAGGCTTTTCAGGCTTAGGTGGGAAAGCCACACCCTTAGTCTGTTTCCTTAAGCCATTTTGACCAATTTATGGGATTAACTAGTATAATCTTAGTTGGAGTTTTAGTCTGAGGCATATTAAGTCATTCAGAGATCTTAACAGTAGGTGTCATAGTCATCCAGTGATTTGGTGCTTGCTGCAAAACTGGCTTTTTTTTTTTTTTTTTTTTTTGAGGCGGGGTCTCACTTTGTCACCCAGGCTGGAGTGCAGAGGTACAATCTCAGCTCAATGCAATCTCTGCCTTCCTGGCTCAAGCAATTCTCCCACTGCAGCCTCCTAAGTAGCTGGGAATACAGGTATACACGAGTACACCCAGCTAATTTTTGTATTTTTATGTGGAGACAGGGTCTTGCTGTATTCCCCAGGCTAGTCTCGAATTCCTGGACTCAAGCAGTCCGCCCGCCTCGGGCTCCCAAAATGTTGGTGTTATACGTGTGAGCCTCTGCACCCGGCGGCAAAACTGGCTTTTAATCAACCTTTTGGCTAAAGGATTTCTCTTTTTATTTATTTGTAAAAGGATTTCCCATTTTTATCTTTCTTTTTGATATTAAAATGTTGCCTCATCCTACCCAGTAAGTACTTGAATTTGAATTCTCTTCCTTTTCATTTTTGCCTGCAAACTGACCAGTCTTTTCTGAGTTCATCTCTTCTGTACGTTTTGTCAAGTGCAGTGAACAGCAACTACAAAATATTTTGTTTTTCTGTCTTTTTCTTTAGTAAAGGGTAGATGATCTGCCTTTCAGGTTATCTCAAGGGGCAGTTTCACCTTTCCATAATATAAATTACCCTTGTGTAAGTTATTTCTTCCATCTTCTGATAGCAATTTCCTGAATGCCTGCCAGCTAACCATTAAGCCAGTGTTCAGTATTTTAGCATTTTAAAAAACAAGGGACCAATTTCTGTGTCAGCATGGGCTAGCTTGCCATTGAATAACAAAGGCAAAATCTCACTGTCTCACACAACTTTTCTATTGCAACTTGCCTAGGGACTTTGGTTTAGATCATAGGTTGGCCATGATCAAACTATGGTCCATGGGCAAAATCTGTCTAGCTCCTTATTTATCTAAATAAAGTTTTACTGGAATATAGCCTTGTCCATTTATTTATTATCTGTGGCTACTTTGGTTCTACAATGGCACAGCTGAGTAGTTGCTACAGAGTGTGTACATCTCACAAAACCTAAAATACTTATTCTGTGGCCCTTTACAGAGAAAGTTCACCAATTTGTGCTCTAAGTTGCCTTCATTCTGGGTCTCAGGCTGACAAAGCAGATACCATCAGGAGTGTGGGTGCTAACTTTGGGAAATGAAAAAAGAGTATGGCAAATCACTTAAGGACTCTTAAAGGACTTTCATTGGCCAAAGCAAATCACATAGCCACATTAAAGTTCTAGGAGGAGTGTGATCCTTGCATATACCTGGGAGAAAAACCAGAAATATTTGGAAGACAACACCACTGATTAACATCTTCATTTATATGCTTTCTTCCAATATATTTTCAACTTGTTACTGAGGTAAAATTTAAAAGTGTACCGATATTAAGTGTACACCTCAGTGGGTTTTTATATATGCCCTTGAATGCACCACCCAGGTCAAAATATAGAATATTTCTAGCACTTCAGTAGGTGTCCTTATGTTCCCCAGGCCCCCACCAACCCCTTTTATCACCACGGATTAGTTTTGCCTGTTTTAAAACTTTATGTAAGTGAAATAATTATATGCACTCTTCCGTGTCTTGTTCAACATTGTATCTGTGAGAGTAATCCATGTTATATGTAGTAGCAGTTCATGTTTTACTTCTGTGTAGTATTCCATTGTGTGACTACATCACAACTTACCCATTCTACCGTTGATAGAAATTTAGGTTGTTTCCAGCTTGTGGTCATTATGAATAAAGTTACTATGAAAATGATCACATCTGTCTTTCAGTGAGCATGTGCACCCATTCTTGGCATACTCTTTGGTATGTACCCTGCTTCTATATTTTCCTCATATAGTTTATTCTCTACATAGCATTCAGAGTGATCCTTATTTTAAAATATAAATTAGGCCAGGCGCGGTGGCTCACACCTGTAATCCCAGCACTTTGGGAAGCCGAAGCAGGTGCATCACCTAAGGTCAGGAGTTTGAGACCAACCTGGCCAATATGGTGAAACCCCATCTCTACTAAAAATACAAAAATTAGCCAGGTGTGGTGGTGCATGCCTGTAATCCCAGCTACTCAGGAGGCTGAGACAGGAGAATCGCTCCAACCCAGGAGGCAGAGGTTGCAGTGGCTGAGATCATGCCACTGCACTCCAGCCTGGGCGACAGAGCAAGGCTCCGTCTCAAGCAAAACAAAATATGTGTGTATGTGTGTATATTCATATAAATCAGACCATACCACTTGTCTGCTCAAAATCACCAATGGCTTTGTATCACAATCAGACTAAAGTCCAATGTCTATCATGGCCTACGAGACCCTGCATACTCTGCACCCACACATACTCTGCACACATACCCTTTTTCTTCCTACCATCTTACCTCATACCCTTTATCCCTTTCCCTGTTCCTTCTCACTCTCCTCTGTACTAGACATAGTGCTTGTAAACTTGGGAATCAAAATTAATGATGTGGCCTTGTCCTTAAAAGAGATTGTAATCTAAGTAGATAGTTTTGACATAAGCTATAACACTGGTTTATGTTAAATCAGTTACCCCAATTTATACTGATGTTTAACTCCTGGAAGGGATTTAGAAATTAAAATGCAAAATCTTGACAAATTTGAGGAATGTGTAAGATCTTACCTCCTAATTCTACTAATTCTAAATTAGAGTTTACCAATTTTTGTTTGTTTTTTTTGAGTCTCGCTCTGTCACCCAGGCTGGAGTTCAGTGGCGAGATCTCGACTCACTGAAACCTCTGCCTCCTGCGTTCATCTTCTACTTCAGCCTCCCAAGTAGCTGGGACTACAGACGAGCACCACCACGCCTGACTGATTTTTTGTATTTTTAGTAGAGACGGAGTTTCACCATGTTGGCCAGGCTGGTCTTGAACTCCTGATCTCAAGTGATCTACCCGCCTTGGCCTCCCAAAGTGCTGGGATTCCAGGCATGAGCCACCATGCCCGGCCCGAATTTACCAATTTGGTTATGACATTCATAATTGTTCACTTTTATGGGAGCAGAGGGTGAAGGGAGTTGGGAAAGCAGTGGAATAAATCAGTAAGTACTGATATTAAGTCCAAAATAGCACAGTCATAAGGGACCTCCTTAAATGTTGTACCATTATTGGTACATTATTGGTTGTTCTAACTGAAATCAGTTAATAACTGAACTCTCCACATTTTTTACAACTTTCATATACAATTGAAGTACAAGAAACTGCACGTATTTAAAGTAGAAAATTTGATTGGTTTTGACATAAATGTGTGAAACCATCACAATCAAGAGCGCTAATCCCATCATGAGGGCTCCACATTTATGAACTAGTTGCCTCTCAAAGGCCCCACCTCGAAATACTGTTGGATGTTAGCATTTCAACATATGAATGGGGGTGTGGGAGACACAAACATTCAGTCCATAGCAGGAAAATATAGGGATGTCTCAGAACCACCATTGTCTACTTTCCTGTTTGTGTCTGCTTTCTTATCACTTCGCCTGCCGGCCAGCCTTTATGCGCTGCATTGGTGTCTATCACCACCTTTAGTGCTGCTGACCAACTGACCTAATCTCATGTGCCAATTCTGTATTCCTGAGTGGGGACATGTGATCCAGTCTTCGGTGGTGTCTTTCCTGAGGTCTGACATATACCTGTAGTGAAGTAAGTGGTGGCTATGAAGGGGAGAATATCATAATGTATTTGGAAGGGCTTTCTGGTTGTAAGAAAGAAACTTGTGCTAGCTTAAGGGGGAGGAATAATTGAATGATTAGAGAAATACAGAAGTATCTCATGGAAACCACATGAGGGAATGAAATTCAGTGGTCCTTCAATAATTATTTGATGAAAACCTGCTAGGGCCAGGCACTGATCTAGGCACTGGAGATTCAGCAGTAAAGCAAGCGGTATTTCCTACCGTGATGGTTGTCTGTGGTCCCTTTGCACATCCGCTTCATTCTGTCTGAACAGCAGCTTCACCTGCTCATTTTTCTTCAAGGGAGAACATAGTTGTGACTAGCAAGATACTTTTTCCTAAAAGGATCCATAATACATAGCTACAGGCCCCCAGGCCTGTGGTTGGGATGGGTTGAGGTTAGAGACTTTATAGGAGGATATGAACTGACAGGCACACCAAAAGTCGTCTTACTCAAAGCTATCCAGTGAGTTTATTGCCTCCCAATTATTGGAGTTCTCACTGAACCCTCTGAGTCAGAATTTGTGGAACTGAGTATTAAAGGGTCCATAACTTCTTTGCAATGTAAAGAAATTGGGCCCCAGAGAGGTGGTTAAAGTTATCTTGAATTATGTAGCAGAACCAGGAAGAAAAAGCAGTTTTTTGAACTGTTGCAGTACTTTTCTCATTCTGTCATTGCTGTCATTACCTGACTGCCTTCATGCCTCCATTTCTTTTAAGAAACTTTTTTTGGTGGAAGACCTCAGAATCTTCATGGTATTTTCTTTGGTTCTGACTAGCAATGGCTAAGACAGGTTATCTCTCAGTGCTTATACAGAAATCCTTTAGGAATCTGGAATTCTATTAGATTATCAATATGTTAGATATATAATAAATATTAGAAACATTTTATATTTTGTGTGTATTCTGAACTGTTTAAAAAGCACAAATATTACCTGTTTCTAGAGGATTTGAAAAAATTTATCTGAAAAGAATGGAACTAGCTGGGCACAGTGGTGCATGCCTGTAATCCCAGCCACTCAGGAGGCTGAGGTGAGAGGATCACTTAAGCCCAGGAGTTCGAGACCAGCCTGGGTGACAGAGCAACACCCTTATTTCTAAAGGAATGGGACTGGCCAGAGCAATTAGAAAAGAAAAATTTAAAAAGGGCATCAACATTGAAAAGGAAAGCCCGGGCACGGTGGCTCACACATGTAACACCAGCACTTTGGGAGGCTGAGGCAGGTGGGTCACCTGAAGTCGGGAGTTCAAGACCAGCCTGGCCATCATGGTGAAACCCCATCTCTACTAAAAATACAAAAGTTAGCCAGGCATGGTGGCGGGCGCCTGTAATCCCAGCTACTCCTGAGGCTGAGTCAGGAGAATCACTTGAATCCAGGAGGCAGAAGTTGCAGTAAACCAAAATGGCGCCACTGCACTGCAGCCTGGGTGACAGAGCGAGACTCCATCTCAAAAAAAGAAAAAAATGGAAAAGGAAGAAGTCAAATTAGACTTGTTCACAGATGACATGATCTTATATTTAGAAAAACCTAAAGACCTCACCAAAAAAAAAAAAAGAAAACTGATAAATGAATTTAGTAAAATTGCAAGATACAAAAAACAGTAATATTTATATACACCAAGAGAGAAAAATTTGAAAAAAAAATGCAGTCCCAATTACAATAGCTGCAGATACCTGGGATCATTTTAACCAAAGAAGTGAAAGATCTATAGAAGGACAACTATAAAGCATAAAAGAAGTTGAGGAGGTCACAAACACACAAAAGAGATTCCATGTTCATGGACTGGAAGAATTACTATTGTTAAAATGATAGCTGAATGCGATGGCTCGCACCTGTAATCCCAGCACATTGGGAAGCCAAAGTGGGAGGGTCACTAGCAGCCTGGGCAACATAGTGAGACCCTGTCTCTATAAAAAAATTAAAAAAAATTAGTTGTGGTGGTATGCACGTGCAGTCCCAGCCACTTGAGGGCCTGAAAGTGGGAGGATCACTTGAGCCCAGTGAAGGTCAAGGCTACAGTGAACCATGATCATACAGTAAGCCATGATCACACCATTGCATTCTAGACTGGGTGACAGAGTGAAGACCCCGTCTCAAATAAAATGGCAATTCTACTCAATGCAGCTTACCAATTCAATGCAAAACCTGTGAAAATACCAACGACATTCTTCACAGAAATAGAAAAAAAATCCTTAAATTTATGTGGAACTAGAAAAGACCCCTAATAGACAAAACAATCCTGAGCAAAAAGAATAAAGCTGAAGGCATTTCACTACCTGACTTCAAAATTTACTGCAAAGCTGTAGTAACCAAATTAGCATGGTACTGGCATAAAAATAGAGACATAGACCAATGGAACAGAATAGAGAACTCATGTAAATCCACCCAGCCAACTCATCTTTGACAAAGGTACCAAGAATATACAATGGGAAAAAGACAGTCTCTTCAGTAAGTGTTACTGGGAAAACTGGATAACTATATGCAGAAGAAATAAACTAAACTATCTCTCACCATACAAAAAAAAAAATCACATCAAAATTGATTAAAGACCTAAGTCTGGGCTAGGCGCGGTGGCTCACACCTGTAATCCCAGCACTTTGGGACGCGGAGGCGGGCAGATCACGATGTCAGGAGTTCGAGACCAGCCTGGCCAGCATGGTGAAAACCCATCTCTACTGAAAATACAAAAAATTATCCAGGCATGATGGCGTACACCTGTAGTCCCAGCTACTCGGGAGGCTGAGGCAGGAGAATGGCGTGAACCCACAGGCTGTGGTTGCAGTGAGCCGAGATCGCACCATTGGACTCCAGCCTGGGCAACAGGGCGAGATTCTGTCTTAAAGAAAAAAAAAAAAGACTTAACTCTAATGTGAAACTGTTAGAAGAAACTGGAGACAGTTTCTTCTTCAGGACAGTGATCTGGGCAAATTTTTTGTGTAAGACCTCAACGGCACAGGCAACCAAAGCGAAAGTAGACAAGTGAGCTTACATCAAGCTAAGAAGCGGCACAGTAAAGGAAACAATCAGCAGACTAAAGAGACAACCCACAGAATAGGAGAAAATATTTGCAAACTACCCATCTAACAAGGAGTTAGTGACCAGAATATACAAGGAGCTCAAACAAATAGAAAAAAAATCCGATTTAAAAATGGACAAAAGATCTGAATAGACAGTTCTCAAAAGAAGACACACAAATGGCCAACAGGTACATGAAGAAGTGCTCAACATCACTAATCATTAGATAAATGCAAATCAAAACTACAATGAGATGTCAGCTTACCCCAGTTAAAATGGCTTTTATCAAAACAACAGGCAATAACGGATGCTGGTGAGGATGTGGAGAAAGGGGAACCCTTGTACACTGTTGGTGGGAATGTAAATTAGTACAGTCACTATGGAGAACAGTATGGCGTTTCTTCATAAATCTAGAACTACCATATGATCCAGCAATTCCACTACTGAGTGTATATCCAAAAGAAAGAAAATCAGTATACGAAAGAGGTATCTGCACTCTCATGTTTGTTGCAGCACTACTCACAATAGCTCAAATATGGAATCAAAGTGCTCATCAACGGATGAATAGGTAAAGAAAATGTGGATGTGGGCCAGGCACGGTGGCTCACGCCTGTAATCCCAGCACTTTGGGAGGCCAAGGTGGGCAGATCACAAGGTCAGGAGATCGAGACCATCCTGGCTAACACGGTGAAACCCCATCTCTACTAAAAATACAGAAAACAAAAACAAAACAAAAAAAACTAGCCGGGCGTTGTGGCGGGCGCCTGTAGTCCCAGCTACTCGGGAGGCTAAGGCAGGAGAATGGCATGAACCCAGGAGGCAGAGCTTGCAGTGAGCCGAGATGGAACCACTGCACTCCAGCCTGGGCAACAGAGCGAGACTCCATCTCAAAAAAAAAAAAAAAAAAAAAGAAAAGGAAAAAGAAAATGTGTATGTGGTACATATACAAAATAGAATATTATTCAGCCATAAAAATGAAATCCTGTCATTTGTAGCAACATGGAATTAAAGGTCATCATGCTAAATGAAATAAGTCAAGCACAGAAAGACAAATATCACATGCTCTTACTCATATGTGGAAACTAAAAAATTGGATCTCATGAAGATAGAGAGTAGATTTATGGTTACCAGAGGCCAGGAAAGGTATCAGGAGGAGACGAGGAAGAGAAGTTGATCAACTGATACAAATATATGGTTTTATAGAAGAAATATGACCTAGTGTTTGATAGTTTACAGTAATCTTGTACATTTCAAAGTAGCTAGAAGAGAATAGCTTGGATGTTTCCAGTGTAAAGAAAAGACAAATATTTAAGGTGATGGATGTCCCAAGTACACCAATTTGAACTTTATTAATCCCATGTACTCCAAATCTATGTGTACCTATTATACATCAGTAAAATAATTTTTTTTTTTTTTTGAGACGGAGTCTTGCTCTGTCGCCCAGGCTGGAGTGCAGTGGCATGATCTTGGCTCACTGCAAGCTCCGCCTCCCGGGTTCACGCCATTCTCCTGTCTCAGCCTCCCGAGTATCTGGGACTACAGGTGTCCACCACCACGCCCAGCTAATTTTTTGTATTTTTAGTAGAGATGGGGTTTCACCGTGTTAGCCAGGATGGTCTCGATCTCCTGACCTCGTGATCCACCCGACTTGGCCTCCCAAAGTGCTGGGATTACAGGCGTGAGCCACCGCACCCGGCCAATAATTCATTTTTTAAGAAAGAATGAGGATGGTGTCACTTTAGGTTTTTTTTTTTTTTCGGTTTATTTTGGTTTGGTTTTTTTGAGACAGGGTCTCACTCTGTCACCCAGGCTGTGCGGTGGGATAATCACAACTCACTGCAGCCTTGACCTCCAGGTTCAAGTGATCCTCCCACCACAGCCTCCTTAGTAGCTGGAACTACAGGCACACTCTACCACACCCGGCTAATTTTAATGTTTTTTTTTGGTGGAGATGGGGTTTTTGCCCTGTTGCCCAGGCTGGTCTTGAACTCCTGAGCTCAAATGATCCTCTCGCCCCCAACCTCCCAAAGTGCTGGGATTACAGGTGTCAGCCACCGCACCCAGCTTCACTTTAGGTAGTTCTCTGACAACTTTTCCATTTCTTCTATCTTACACATATTGAATTAATTTCAATTTTAACAAATTTTCCTAGGGAGTTTTTCATTAAGGTTTTCAAATTTATTGAGTTATTTTTAGCATTTTTGTTTTCTCTGTATCTCAGGTTATGCTCCCTCTCTCATGGGCTTTCTCTTTTTCTTAATTAGGCTCACCACAGATTATTTTTGTCTTTTTAAAAGAATTTATTCCTGCATTTATATATTATTATTATTATTTCCTTCCTTCCTCTCTTCTTTCCTTCCTGACAGGGTCTCCCTCTGTCACCCAGGCTGGAGTGCAGTGGTGCAAACATGGCACACTGCAGCTTCAGGATCCTGGGCTCAAGTGATCCTCCCCTGCAGCTGGGTCTACAGGCGCACACCTCCATGTCTGGCTGATTTTAAATTTTTTGTAGAGATGGGGTCTTCCTATATTGCCCAGGCTGTTCTCCAACTCCTAGGCTCAAGCAATCCTCCTGCCTTGGCCTCCTAAATTGCTGGGATTACAGGCATGAGCCACCACACCCAGCCTATATATCAGTATTATTATTTTCTATTTCATTGACTTCTGCTTTTTAAAATTAATTCTTCCTATTTTCTTATTTTTTTCATTATTTTTCCATATCCTTGAATTGAGTATTTTTATACCTTGTTTAATAACTAATGTATCTTTATTGTACATCAAACCCATTATAAATATAAATTTCTAAAACCTATATTATGCCTTTTATTGCCTTTTTTTTTTAATTGCTAAAAAGGCAATGAGGGTTTATTGAGTCCCCAAACACCGGCTCTTTAAACCACTCCAACAACTGCTGTGAAGGTCACTGTGCAGAGACCCTGGGTAGGGGAGGCTGGAGCCAGGTGAGATGTGACAGGTCACAGATGGCTCTCAGGCCACCTACCTTCAGCACCTTTTGTTTCAGGTTCTATCCAGAAGCCCTGGGGCCTGTCTCTTACCTCTTCTGGGACACCCTTGGGGGCCCTGGGGAAGGGAAGGTCAGTGGTGTGGTTTCCCTCTTTCAGCCTAGCAACGCCCAAATCCTTTTCCTCTACCTGGCTCCACTTGTCCCCAAATGCTATTCCCAAATTCTAAATAGCAAAATTCCTGGGTTTCCCCTTACCATCTCAGAGTCACTTATGGCTGGAATGTGGGACAAACTCTTCTACCAGAAGGACCAGGACGGTTGCTGCAGCTCAAAGGTGGGGATACTGGTGACATTGACTGGGATGGAAATGATGGCCCATGGCAGCCCAGGCTGTTCCAGGGAGCGGCGGATCATGTAGCCTCTCGGCTGAGAAGAAAGAGGGCGGAGATGTCAGCTGTGCGCTGGGTACTGTCCTGGATCATCGCCACATAGAAGCTGTCATTGTCAACCGCATTGTCAGAGATGATCACGGCCCGCCCGCCATGCTCTTGGACCACCCGAGTCTTGGAGAGGAGGGAGCAGCCCCCACTCTCCACCAGAGCGATCTGGTCCTGGATGAAGAAACCTGCTGAGTTCCCCGCAGGCCTCTGGAGGTTCAGCAGGGACAAGGTGAATCTGCTCATACCTTGTGTGAAAGATACCACCGAAGTCCTTGGCAGGTGTGGCTGTGAAGATGTATCGAATGTCCCCAGGACTCAGCACTTGAAAGTACAAATAATCATGGATACGGAAGCCGTGGGAAGCCAGAGCACGAGACAACACCAGCCCGCGGCGCCGGGGACCATCTCCAGCGCCCGGCCCGGCCCCGCGTTTCCTCCCGCCGCCCAGCCGCGTGTCGCTCGCCGAACTTTAGCCTGACAGCTGCCTTGAATTATTTGACTGGGCCGGGCACGGTGGCTCACGCCTATAATCCCAGCACTTTGGGAGGCCGAGGCGGGTGGATTACCTGAGGTCAGGAGTTCAAGACCAGCCTGGCCAACATGGTGAAACCCCGTCTCTACTAAAAACACAAAAAAAATTAGCCGGGCATGGTGGCACACCCCTGTAATCCCAGCTACTCGGGAGGCTGAGGCAGGAGAATTGCTTGAGCCCGGGAGGCAGGGGTTGCAGTGAGTCGAGATCTTGCCACTGCACTCCAACCTGGCCGACAGAGCGAGACTCTGTCTCAAAAAAAAAAAAAAAAATTCTTATTTGACTGATGATGTAGATGCTGTGCTGTGCCATGTGCCACTGTGCCCTTCTTCAGCACTGAAGGTCTTATTTTTATCTCTAAAAACAATATAAATAATTACAATCTTACGTAATTACAGTACCATTATCACACCTAATAATAATTCTTTGGTAAAAACTAATGCCTAGCCCATATTCAGATTTCCCTATTTGTTTTCAAAAATTACTTTTTACAATCGATTTCTTCAAATCTAGATCCAAACAAGGTCCACACATCATACTTGGCTATTGTGTCTCTTAAATTTCATTCAATCCAGAGGAGTCTCTTTGCCTACTTCCCATTTTTTTCCATGCTATTGTCTTGACCAAGAAACCAGCTCAGTTTTGTAGAACGTGGCCCACTCTAGATTTATCTGTTTTCTTCCTTTTTGTGCTGTTGAATTTGTTCTTCTGCTCTCCATATTTCATCCAATCGTAAAGGTAATTCTAAAGTCTTGATTAGATTCAGGTTTAACTGTTTTGGCTACTGAAAAGGTGGTGCTATGTACTCCTTATTGCTTTACATCAGAATCACAGACTATCTGGTCAGCCCTGTTTTAGTAATGCCGAGATTGGTCAGTGGTTTCAGGTGGTTACAGCCCAATCTTGCCACTGACAGGTTCCGTATAAGTGTTTCACCTGATATTTTTCATCCGTTGGTCATTGTTGTGTGGGTCTGTTGTTTCATTAGGACTTAAAATATAGTTATTTTTCTAACTTTATCATTCCCTCTACATTTATTAGCTGAAAGTTTTCTGTAAGATGGAACTTTTTCTAACTACAACTATTTGGTTACCTTGAAATATAGTGTGAAGCAAGCATGCAAAGGAGTCACTGACAAGATCAATGAGGAAATTTATTTTACTTTACTGCTGAATCTTCAGTGCCCAAACCAGTGCCTGGACCCAGGGGGACTTCATTAAAAAATTTTTGGCCAGGCATAGTGGCTCACACCTGGGAGGCCGAGGCGGGAGGATTGTCTGAGCTCAGGAGTTGGAGAACAGCTTGGGCAACATGGCGAGAGCCCATCTCTACAAAATGGAAAAAAGGAAAATTAGCTGGGCATGGTGGTGCACACCTATGGCCCTGGCTACTTGGGAGGCTGAGGTGGGAGTTTTGCTTGAGCTCAGGAGTTGGAGACCAGCCTGGGCAATATAGTGAGACCCCATCTCTACAAAACATTTAAAATCAGCCGAGTGTGGAGGCACACACCTGTAGTCCAAGCCACTTGGGAGGCTGAGGCAGGAGAATTGCTTAAGCCCAGGAGTTTGAGGGTGCAGTGAGCTGTGATTATGCCACTGTACTTCAGCCTGAGTGACAGAGCAAGACTCTGTCTCAGAAAAAAAAAAATTGTTGAAGGCTTCTTTCCCTTTAATTACTAATTTTCAGAGTTAGGAGTTAGCGTTTCTCTCCTCTTTTTTACTTGTGGGCTTTTAAATAAAACCTTTTATTTATAAACTTGTGGACTTTTATCTTCTTATTTATTTTGGTTTGCAGTCATTATTCTTTTTAGTGCTTATTGCTTATGTTGCCTCATCTTCGACTGGTGAGAGCTTGTTTTTTAATTTTTTTTTAAGGTATGAGGTCTCACTCTGTTGCCCAGGCTGGGGTGCAGTGGCTATTCACAGGCATGATCATAGTGCACCACAGCCTCAAGTGATCCTCCTGTCTCAGCCTCCCAAGATAGCTGGGACTACAGGCATGTGCCACCACACCTGATTTAAATGTACTTTTGACTTATGATATTTTCAACTTATGATGGGTTTATTAGGATGTAACCCCACCATAAGTCAAGGAGCATTTGTAGTTATCTGATATCTAGCCCTGAGAATGATTAGGACAGAGGAACATTGCCCTCTGGTGTGGAAGAGCCAGGTAAAGGAAGTGGTTTCGAGTATGGGCTCTGGATTGGTTGGTTTGCATAGGAATGGCATGCTTACAGGGGAGTGGTTTGATATTTCTAGGAATTAGCTAGTCCTAGGAGGGGAAGTCTCTTAGGTCAAAGAGGCACCTGATGCTAGAACATCAAGAAGACAGAAAGTAAGGAAATATAGTTAATACACATGGTACCTGCCATTTCTGAGCCCATGATTTCCTGGCAGGGAAACAGGCAAGTCTCAGCTCAGGTGTAGCTGACCATACTTGCAGATGTTCAGAGGACTCATTTCAGGAGCTTCCTATTAATAGGTCACTGGCTCTTTTTTAAGCATGAGCATGTCAAGGCTACCAGGTGACTTACTGGAGAATTCAGTCTTGGCTTTTGTGCTTGGCTTGGGTTTCTAGGGTTCCCATGTAACCAGGAAAGCCCACCAGCCCACTAATACTGTCGGATTAAGTACTACTCACACATAGCACCTGGTTGAGTCCCCTCTCATGGATCACATGCACCACAAACACAAATAAAAGCTTCAGCTTCCTTTTATGAAAGGAAAATAACTTGTTAGAATATGAAGCGAATGGTCTGAATGGTAAGTGATAGTGAGGGTTCTCTTATGGCCTATCTATTGTGACCTTTATCTGCTGCTCCTTCACCAACTATGCTTTATTGTTATCCTATCCCTTGAGCACAGGCTGAAAGACTGGCCATTAGTTATCTAACCTTATTCATCAGGCAGCCTACAAAACACCATTCTTAGTTGGAGTTCCAAATAGATCTTTGTTTGTCCCTGATCTTATAGCTGCTATAGAGAAGGTATATCTTTGTCCACCTGCTACCAAATGTTAATCATTATTAAAGCTTGTGGTGGGTACCTGGAGATCTCTCATCTTTTGTGTGTGTTTGAAAATTCCATATTAAAAAGGTTCGAAAAATGAATAAAGTTTACATCCAGTAGGATGGCTACCACCAACAAAACAGAAAATAAGTGTTGGTGAGGATATGGTGAAACTGGAACACTCATGTTCTCTTAGTGGGAACGTAAAACGGTACAGCCACTATAGAAAACAGTATGGCAGTCACTCATATTAAAAATAGAATTACATATAATCCAGCATTTCAACTTCTGGGTGTATACACAAAAAAGTGAAAGCAAGGACTTAAACATGTTCGCGGCAGCATTATTCACAATAGACAAAAGGTGGAAGCAACCCAAATGTTCATTGACAGATGAAATCGTTAATAAAATTTGGTATGTACATACAATGGAATATTATGTTGTAGCATATATCAAAATGTCTTTCCTTTTAAAAGCTGAGGGCACTATCCTAAGTGAAATAAGTCAGTCACAAAAAGACAAATACTGTTTGATTCCACCTATATAAGGTTATGTGCAGTAGTCAAATTCAGAAAGACAGAAAGTAGAATGGTGGTTGCCAGGGGCTGGGGGAGGGGGTAATGGAGATTTTTTGTTTTTAATTCTTTTTTCAAAATTTACTTTTTACTTTTTTCTTTTGTTAAAAAAAATTTTACTCTTAACACCACTCAATGAGAGATTACTGTTTAATAGATACAGAGTTCCAGTTTTGGGGTTTTTTGTTTGCTTGTTTGTTTGTTTTAGATAGGGCCTTGCTTTGTCACCCAGGGAGAGTACAATGGCACGCTCAAAGCTCACTGCAGCCTTGAACTCCTGGGCTCAAGTGACCCTCCCACCTCAGCTTCCTGAGTAGCTGGGACTACAGATGTGTATCACTATACTTGGCTATTTTTATTTTATTTTATTTTATTTCATTTCATTTATTTATTTATTTATTTTGAGATGGAGTCTCGCTCTGTCGCCCAGGCTGGAGTGCAGTGGCATGATCTCGGCTCACTGCAAGCTCCACCTCACGGGTTCATGCCATTCACCTGCCTCAGCCTCCTGAGTAGCTGGGACTACAGGCGCCCGCCACTACTCCCAGCTAATTTTTTTGTATTTTTAGTAGAGACGGGGTTTCACGTGTTAGCCAGGATGGTCTCAATCTCCTGACCTCGTGATCCGCCCGCCTCAGCCTCCCAAAGTGCTGGGATTACAGGCATGAGCCACCGCGCCCAGCTATTTTATTTTTCTGAGATAGAGTCTCACTCTGTTGCCCAGGCTGTAGTGCAGTGGCACGATCTTGGCTCACTGCAACCTCCGCCTCCCAGGTTCAAACGATTCTCCTGCTGCAGCCTCCAGAGTAACCGGGACTACAGGTGCGCGCCACCATGCCCAGGTAATTTTTTGTATTTTTAGTACAGATGGGGTTTCACCATGTTGGGCAGGCTGGTCTTGAACTCCTGAGCTCAGGCAATCTGCCCACCATGGCCTCCCAAAGTGCTGGGATTACAGGCATGAGCCATCGCGCCTGGTCTATTTTTATTTTGTTTTTATAGAGACGGTGTCTCACTATATTGCCCCAGCTGGTCTCAAACTCCTGGGCTGAAGCGATCCTCCTGCTTCGGCCTCTCAAAGTGCTGAGATTACAGTCGTGAGCCACCGCACCTGGTTCAGAGTTCCAGTTTTGCAAGATAAAAATAATTCTGCAGATGGATGGTGGTGATGGTTGTGCAACAATGTGAATGTGCTTCGTACCACTGCACTGTACAGTTAAAAACAGTTAAGACGGTTCATTTTATGTTATGTGTATTTTATCACAATTTTAAATAAAAGAATCAAGTTTAAGTACTCTATAAAATTAAGCATAAACCTATACCATACCTCAATAATTTCACTCCTAGGTATTTACACAAAAAAATCAAAACATATGTCCACAAAAATGTTCATCGTTCAAGAATGTTCATAGCAGCTTTATTCATTATAATCCAAAACTGGGAACAAACCAAATGTCTGTCAACAGGAAATGGGTAAACAAAATAGGCTCTATCCATACAATAGAGTACTAATCTGGAAGAAACGACTGATACACATAACAATATGGATAAATGTTAAAAACATTATTCTGAGGAAAATAAACCAGACACAAAAGGAAATATACTGGTTTTATGAAGATCAACAGCAGAAGAATCAAAACAATGGTGATAGAATCAGAGCAGTGAGGGTTGGGAGTGGAGATGGGAAGGCAGGGAGGCCAAGGGTTGGGGGCATGGGGGGGTGAACTGCTACTGACAGAAGGAACTTTCTGGGTCGATGTATGGTTTTTTTTGTTGTTTTTTGTTTTTTTGAGACGGAGTCTCTCTCTGTTGCCCAGGCTGGAGTGCAGTGGTGCTATCTCGGCTCAATGCAACCTCTGCCTCCCGGGTTCAAGCGATTTTCCTGCCTCAACCTCCTGAGTAGCTGGGACAACAGGCATGTGCCACCATGCCTGGCTAATTTTTTGTATTTTTAGTGGACAGCCAGGATGGTCTCGATCTCCTGACCTCATGATCCACCTGCCTTGGCCTCCCAAAGTGCTAGGATTACGGGCATGAGCCACTGCGCCCGGCTGATGTAAGTATTTATATCTTGACTGAGGTGTTGGTTCCACAGGTATACATATTTGCCAAAACTCATCAAACTGTATACTTAAGGTCTGTGAACTTACTATATGTTCTTTATACCTCAATATAATTAGTATTTAAAAAAAGAGAAAGTCCTCTCCCTGCTCTCCCCTCTTCCCCTGGGGTCAATGAAGCAAGTATGAAAAAACTAATGTGGTTTTGATATTATTCTGTGTTCTGTGATGCATATCATTTATAAAACAACAGAAGTTCATTTCTTGTGAACAGTTTGCTTATAATAAACCAAGGGCAACAGGTCACTGCTGACTGGCCTAGCTCCCTTAGCCAGCATCACAGATGACTAAGAGGGAAGTGAGAGATAGCAAGTGTAAGCTTCGTGCAGCATGACAGTATCAAACAGGAGCAAGAGACAGTTCAGGAAGGTGGGGGCATAGCTCATGAGGAAGGTTGCTTGGTGAGCGGCAGGCCTCTGCATTATCTTTGGTATCAGTGAAGAGCTGGTTTCCTTGGCAACAGGGGCCTACTTAATGAATGGTGCCTGCCAGGCAGCAGGCATGGACATGTCCATAGCAAGTGTACAATAGTGAAAGAAGATCTCTTCACCAAATATTCCCTTTTAGTCTACATACTGAGATCTGTTGATGGTTTAAGAACAATCAGAGAATGCTGAAAGACATAATAAAAAGCTTCAGTGCCATTACCCACTTCTCTTCTCCCCCATTCCTAGTAACAACCACTTGTAACCTTTTATCCTTCTCCTCCTCCCCCTCCTTCTCCACTCCTCCCACTCCTTCTCTCCTCCTCCTCCACCCCCCCCCCCCCGCCCACGCTCCCTCCCTCCCTCTCTTCCTTCCTTCCTTCTTCATTTTTTTAAATTTTTTTTGAGATGGTCTCACTCTGTTGGCTCACTGTAGCTTCCACCTTCTGGGCTCAACTGATTCTCCTGCCTCAGCCTCTGAAGTAGCTGGGAATACAGGCATACACCACCACACCCAGCTAATTTTTCTGTTTTTTTGTAGCGATGAGGTCTCACTACGTTGCTTAGGCTGGTCTCAAACTCCGGGACTCAAATGATCTGCCTGCCTCTGCCTCCCAAAGTGCTGGGATTACAGGCCTGAGCCACCGTGCCCAGCCTCCTTTTCTTTCATTAGTTATTTTGGTTTCATATATATTTCTGTATATTGCTAATTCTTAATTTATCAACTGTAGGCATTGTCTACTTATTGCTTATGATTAATAAGGATTTAACTAATTAATACCACCCCATTTCTCCTTTTCTTCTTTTTACCATGACTTTTGTTGTATCATTGGTTTTCTTTCCATTGGTTACTTTTATACATTTAGATTCTGTTCTTAAACTATTTGTTTTTAATTCTGTCAATTTTCACTAACGTCTCTTGACTTTTTTCCCCTACCCTTGCCTCCATCTCTTTTCCTACTTCTACCTTCTGGTTTCTGTGAGCTTCACTTTGATATTTACATTGTTGAGGTTGAAAATTTACATTCTGTTCAGAAACCTGAACCCCCATCCTTTGTCTGTAGGTTGATGACACAAATTTAAAATTACTAAAAATATTAAATTGTTATGACATTATGTTTTCTTGTATAATTATGTCATCACCCTAGACCTCTCAAAGGACAATATTCCTAGAAAATTCTATGATGGGCCAGGCGCGGTGGCTCACGCCTATAATCCCAGCACTTTGGGAGGCTGAGGTTGGCAGATCACTTGAGTTCGGGAGTTCAAGACCAGCCTGACAAACAGGGTGAAATCCTGTCTCTACTAAAAAATACAAAAATTAGCCAGGTGTTGTGGCGGGCACCTGTAATCCCAGCTGCTTGGGACGCTGAGGCATGAGAATCACTTGACCCCGGGAAGCAGAGGTTGCAGTGAACTGAGATCACCACTGCACTCCAGCCTGGGTGACAGAGTGAGACCCTGTCTCAAAAAAAAAAAAAAAAAAAAAAGAAAAAGAAAATTGCATGGTGGATTCTCTTTTCTTAAAGAACCACAGTTGCCCAAATTCATACCACATTTGTTTATTTCAAGTTTGGATCATAACTTTCCTGTCTTAGAATTTTTATAATTTTTCCCTCATCAGGAGAAGCAAAAGCCTTCTTCATGAAAGCACTGATATCTATTAGTTCCTTACTCTAAAATTGTTCAGGGTCTATTCTAGAAGTCTTAAGAATATCTTTGTGTTGTATGAAAGGGGAGAAGGTTAGTACTCCCCTTGACAAGGATGGAAGAGGCCCTCAGGCCTGACAACACACATACGGTTAAGGCATTGCCACCTAGTTCGTGGCATCTAACTATCGTTTTTTCACACACTGGGGCCTGTTATGGGGTAGGGGAGGGGGGAGGGATAGCATTAGGAGACATACCTAATGTAAATGAGGAGTTAATGGGTGCAGCACACCAACATGGCACATGTATGCATATGTAACAAACCTGCACGTTGTGTACATGTACCCTAGAACTTAAAGTATAATAAAAGATATATATATATTTAAAAAAAAAGAATATCTTTTTGGAGCACATGGACCTCCTGTTTTAATTTGAATAGATTTCTTTCAAACCCCACTGCAAGCAGTCATCCTGGGGTTTCTTTTTATTAGATTAACAGGGTTAGTACTATCATCTTCTGTTTTCTACATACTCCTCACACTTGGTTTCCTGGCCAACATATTCAATTGTCTCCTTCAGATAGCATAAATAGTAGATAAACCCTGAATCCTTACAGGTGTAAGAATGGCTTTAGTTTGTCCTCAGTCTTGATAGCTAGCTTGTCTAAGTTTGGATTTCTAGGCAGAATTATTTTCCCACCCAACTCTGAAGGTGTGCTCCATTAATTAATTAAGGAACATTTAAGATTGTGAAATAGAACACATATATACAAAAAACACAAATGTGTATCTTAATGAATTGTTATACAGTAAATATTTATATAACCACCAGGCCATAAAACAAAATTTTGTCAAAATCTTAGAAGTCTACATCAACATTTTCCACCTTTGGCCCACTGGTCTCTTTCCAATTCCAATGTTCCTCTTTCCTCTTAGAAATATCCACAATTACGAGACTCTGTCTCAAAAAAAAAGAGGCCAGCCACAGTGGCTCATGCCTGTAATCCCAGCACTTTGGGAGGCCGAGGTGGGCGGATCACGAGGTCAGGAGATCGAGACCATCCTGGCCAACATGGTGAAACCCTGTCTCTACTAAAATACAAAAAATTAGCTGGGCGTGGTGGTGCACACCTGTAATCCCAGCTACTAGGGAGGCTGAGGCAGGGTAATCACTCGAACCTGGAGGCGGAGATTGCAGTGAGCTGAGATCATGCCACTGCACTCCAGCCTGGCGACAGAATGAGACTCTGTTTCAAAAAAAAAAAAAAAATCTACAATTCTGAATTTTATGGAAATAACTTTCTTGCTTTATAAAAATAATGTTATCAAATAAATATGCTTCTCTACACATATAATTTAGTTTGCTTATTTTTGAGCTTCACGTAAATGGAATAATACAGCATATATTATTTTGAGTCTGGCTTTATTTGCTTAGCATTATGTTTTGAAATTCATCCATGTTGTTGGATGTACCTACAGTTCATTTCATTTCCATTGCTGTTCAGTATTACATTGGATTAATCTAATACAATGTGTTTATCTCTTCTACTAGTGATAGATATTTATTAATAGGTCGGTTCCAGTTTGAGGCTGTCATGAATAATGCTGCTAGGAAGATCTTTGTATGAGTTTTCTCACCCTGATGTGAAAGAAAATTTTTTTTTTTTTTGAGACAGAGTCTCGCACTGTCGCCTGGGCTGTAGCGTAATGGCGTGATCTAGGCTCCTTGCAACCTCTGCCTCCCGGGTTCAAGCAATTCTCTTGCCTCAGCCTCCCGAGTAGCTGGGATTACAGGTGCCCGCCACCATGACCAGCTAATTTTTTGTATTTTTTAGTAGAGACAGGGTTTCGCTGTGTTGGCCAGGCTGGTCTCGAACTCCTGACTTCGTGAACTGCCCGCCTCGGCCTCCCAAAGTGCTGGGATTACAGGCGTGAGCCACCGCGCCCGGCCGAAAGAAAATTTTTGACTGCTTGTTCTATCAGTTACTGAGATAATTTTGTTCAAATCTCCCGCAAGGATTGTGAGTTTCTCTGTGATTCTGACAGCTTTTGCTTTATACATGTCAAGGCAATAATATTTGGTACATACATATTTTGTACCAATGTTAATTATTCCTGATGACTTGAAGCTTTTATCATAATTAAGTGGTCCTCTCTAATTTTTTTGTCCTAAATTCTGTTTTGTCTCATATTAATAAAGCTAGACCAGTTTTCTTTCATTTTTTTTATCATGGTAAAATACACATAATATAAAAATTTCCATTTTAACCATTTTATTTACTTTTTTTAGAGGCAAGGTCTTGCTCTGTTGCCCAGGCTGGAGTGCAGTTGCATGATCATGAAACCGCCTTGGCAAAATTGTGACTGAGGAAATTATGACAATGAAAGCAATCAGACCTAAATAACTCCATCTTGCTTCTAACCTTTAAGCTGTCTTTGTTCATTCCTGCGAGTAGGCCAAACTAACCTTGGGAAGGAATTCAGTTCATGGTTTGACTCTGAAACAAAATTAATAACAGCCCTTTCCTGAAAAGACCCCCTTCTTGCCTGGGGACCAGTCTGCCTTTGCGAACTAACAAATTAGCTACAAGATTAGAAATTACAGTTTAGGGATCATGCCACCTCTGGCGCCTAGAGTCTGAACTTCCCCTAATTGCTTCTGGGGATAACATCACTATTGTAAAACCTAAGATCAGTGCTTGAGATATTTGCAGACCCTACACTCAATGGATCAGCTGACACCACTCAGACCAGGAATCTGGCTCAACCAGTTCTGCCATCACACCCAAGAACAGAAGACAGCAAGAAAAACTCACTTCAACCACCTATGATTCCATCTCTAACCTGACCAATCAGCACTCCCCACTTCCCAAACTCCTACCTGCCAAATTATCTTTAAAAACCCTGATCCCCGAATGCTTGGGGAGACTGATTTGAGTAATAATAAAACTCCGGTTTCCTGCACAGCCAGCTCTGTGTGAATTACTCTTTCTCCATTGCAGTTATCCTGTCTTGATAAATCGGCTCTGTCTAGGCAGCGGGCAAGGTGAACACATTGGGTGGTTACAATCAGAGTTCACTGTAACTTCGAACTCCAAGGCTCATGCCATCCTCCCTCCTTGTCCTCCCAAAGTGCTAGGATTAGATTACAGGCATGAGCCACTGTTCCCAGCCCCATTTTAACAATTTTAAAATGTACAATTCAGTGGTATTAAGTACATTCATGATTATCACTATCTAGTTCCATAACTTATTAATCATTCAAAGAAAAACACTCTATGTCCATTAAATAATAACTGCCAATCTTCTCCTCTGTTCAGCCCCTGCTAACCACTATTCCATTTCCTGTCCTTATGAAAATGACTATTCTGTGTACCTCACATGCATAGAATTATACAATAGTTCCCTTTTTGTATCTGACTGTATTCACTTAGCATAAAGTTTCCAAGGTTCATCCATGTTGTATGTGTTTGTACTTCATTCATTTTATGGCTGAATATATCCCATTATATACACATTTTGTTTATCTGTTCATGAGTTGGTGGACATTTCAGTTGTTTCTACTTTTTGGTCAAGAAAAAAACAGGTGAATTGGACTTCATCAAAATGAAAAACTTTTGTGTATCAAAGGACACTATGAAGAGAATGAAAAGGCATCCCACAGAATGGGAGAAAATATTTGCAAATCATGTATCAGGTAAGTGATTAATATCCAGAATACATAATGAACTCCTACAACTCAACAACAAAACCGAACAACCCAGTTAAAAATGGACAAAGGGCTTGAATAGCCATTTCTCCAAAGATATCCAGATGACTAATAAACACATGAAAAGATGCTCAACATCACTAATCATTAGGGAAATGCAAATTAAAACCACAATGAATGTCACTTCCCATGTACTAGGATAGCTATTTTTTAAAAAGAAAAATAAGTATTGGCAAGGATATGGAGAAACTGGAACTCTCACATTTTGCTGGTGGAAATGCAAAATGGTGCAACCACTTTGGGTACAGCTTGATATTTTTCCAAAAAGTTAAACAAAATTACCACATGATTCTACAATTCCACTCCTAGGTATATACCCCAAAGAACTGAAAACATATACTTAAACAGGCATGTGTACACATGTTTATAGTAGCACCATTCACAATAGCCAAAAGGTGGAAACAGCCTAAATGTCCCTCCACAGGTTAATGGATAAACAAATTTTGATATATAAATACTATGGAATATTATTCAGCTATAAAAAGAAATGAAGTACTGATGCATGCTGCAACATGGCTGAAACTCCAGAGCATTATGCTACATTGTGAAAGAATCCAGACAAAAAAGGTCACATATTATATGACTCTGTATACTTGAAATATCTAGAATAGACAAATTCATAGAGTCAGGGCCGGGCTTGGTGGCTCATGCCTGTAATCCCAGCACTTTGGGAGGCCACGGCGGGCTGATCGCCTGGGGTCAGGAGTTTGAGACCAGCCTGGCCAAAATGGTGAAACCCCATGTCTACTAAAAATACAAAAATTAGCCAGGCATGATGGCGGGCACCTGTAGTCCCAGCTACTTGGGAGGCTGAGGCAGGACAATTGGTTGAACCTGGGAGACAGGTTGCAGTGAGCCGAGATCACGCCACTGAACTTCAGCCTGGGTGACAGAGTGAGATCCTGTCTCAAAAAAAAAAAAAAAAATCATAGAGACAGAATGCAGATTGATGGTTGTCAATGGCGGAGGGGAGAGGGAATGGAAGGAACAGCTTAAGGGGTTTATCGTAGAGTGATGGAAATGCTTTAGAGCTAGGTAGAGGTAGTGGTTGCCTAACACGGTGAATGTATTGAATGCCACTGAATTGTTTATTTTAAAATGGTTAGGGCCGGGTGCGGTGGCTCACGCCTGTAATCCCAGCACTTTGGGAGGCCAAGGCGGGCAGATCACTTGAGGTCAGGAGTTCCAGACCAGCCTGGCCAGTATGGCGAAACCCCATCTCTACTAAAAATACAAAAACTTAGCTGGGTGTAGTGGCGCACGACTATAATCCCAGCTACTTGGGAGGCTGAGGCAGGGAATTGCTTGAACCCAGGAGGCAGAGGTTGCAGTGAGCTGACATCATGCCACTGCACTCCAGCCTGGGTAACAGAGCAAGACTCTGTCTCAAAAATAAATAAATAAATAAATAAATAAATAAATAAATAAATAAAATAAAATGGTTCGGCTGGGCCACGTGTGGTGGCTCATGCCTATAATCCCAGCAATTTGGGAGGCCGAAGGGGTGGATCACCTGAGGTCAGGAGTTCAAGACCCGCCCCGCCAACACAGTGAAACCCTGTCTCTACTAAAAATACAAATATTAGACTCCCTGTAGCCTCAGTTACTTAGGAGGCTGAGGCAGGAGAATTGCTTGAACCCAGGAGGTGGAGGTTGCAGTGAGCTGACATCAAGCCAATGCACTCCAGCCTGGGCAACAGAGCAAGACTCCATCTTAAAAATTAATAAAAATAAAATAAAATAAAATGGTTAGGCCAGCACGGTGGCTCACACCTGTAATCCCAGCAATTTGGGAGGCTGAGGTGGGTGGATCACCTGAGGTCAGAAGTTCGAGACCAGCCCAGTCAACATGGTGAAACCCCATCTCTACTAAAATTACAATAAATCAGCCAGGCATGGTGATGTGCACCTGTGATCCCAGCTACTCCAGAGGCTGAGGCATGAGAATCACTTGAACCCAGGAGGCAGAGGCTACAGTGAACCAGGACTGCGCCACCACCCTCTAGCCTGGGCGACAGAGTAAGACCTCTGTCTCAAAACAATAAATAAATAAATAAAATGGTTAATTTTAAGTTATGTGAATTTCACCTCGGTAAATTATTTTATTTATTTATTTATTTATTTACTTATTTATTTATTGAGATGGAGTCTTGCTCTGTCGCCAGGCTGGAGTGCTGTGGCGTGATCTCGGCTCACTGCAACCTCCAACTCCCTGATTCAAGCGATTCTCCTGCCTCAGCCTCCTGAGTAGCTGGGATTACAGGCACATACCACCACACCCAGCTAATTTTGTTTGAATTTTTAGTAGAGATGGGGTTTCACCATGTTGGCCAGGCTGGTCTCGATCTCCTGACCTCATGATCCGACCACCTCGGCCTCCTAAAGTGCTGAGATTACAGGCGTGAGCCACTGCGCCCAGCCAATAAATTATTTTTAAAAATATTATCTTAGGTCAGGAGGAGTGGCTCACACCTGTAATCCCAGCACTTTGGGAGGCCAAGGCAGGTGGATCACCTGAGGTCAGGAGTTCATGACCAGCCTGGACAACATGGCAAAATCCTGTCTGTACTAAAAATATAAAAAATAGGGCCAGGCACAGTGGCTCACGCCTGTAATCCCAGCATTTTGGGAGGCTGAGGCAGGCGGAACACCTGAGGTCGGGAGTTCAAGACCAGCCTGACCCACATGAAGAAACCCCATCTCTACTAAAAATACAAAATTAGCAGGGCGTAGTGGCACATGCCTGCAATTCCAGCTCCTTGGGAGGCTGAGGTAGGAGAATGGCTTGAACCCAGGAGGCAAAAGTTGCAGTGAGCCAAGATCACGCCATTGCACTCCAGCCTGGGCAACAAGAGTGAAACTCAGTCTAAAAAAAAAAAAAAAAAAAAATATATATATATATATATATATATATGTATAAAAATTAGCTGGGTGTGGTGGTGTATGCTTGTAGTCCCAGCTACCCAGGAGGCTGAGGCATGAGAATCGCTTGAACCCGGGAGGCAGAGGTTGCAGCGAGCCGAGATCGTGCCACCGCACTACAGCCTGGGGGATAGAACAAGACTCTGTCTCCAAAAAATAAAAATAAGAAATATAATAAAATTTTATCTTGGTCTATTAAGGCTGCTGTAACAAAATACCGTAGACTGGGTAATTTGTAAATAATAGAAATTTAAGGCTGGGCACGGTGGCTCATGCCTGTAATCCCAACACTTTGGGAGGCTGAGGCGGGTGGATCACCTGAGGTCAGGAGTTTGAGACCAGCCTGGCCAACATGACAAAACCCTGTCCCTACTAAAAATACAAAATTAGCTGGGTATGGTGGTGCATGCCTGTAATTCCAGCTACTCGGGAGGCTGAGGCAGGAGAATCACCTAAGCCTGGGAGGCAGAGGTTGCTGTCAGCCGAGATTGTACCGCTGAACTCCAGCCTGGATGACAGAGCAAGACTACGTCTCAATACATACATACATAAAAATAAATAGAAATTGATTTCTCACAGTTCTGGAGGTTGGGAAGTCCAAGATCAAGGCACCAGCAGGTTTGGTGTCTGGTGATGGCTTGCTCTCTGCTTCATCAATGGCACCTCTTTGCTACATCCTCACATGGTGGAAATGTAGAAGGGCAAAGAGGACTAACAGACTCCCTCAAACCCTTCTATAAGGCTAATCCCTCATGGATGGGATTAGTCATGACCCAATCACCTCGTAAAGGCCCTGCCTCTTACTACTATTGCATTGGAGATTTTCAATATGAATTTTGGAGGGACACAAACATTCAAACCATATCAAATGAATATCCAAGTACCTTATTTTCCTTGGAGTGGTTGTAAATGGTACTGCATTTTGTTGTTGTTGTTTTTGTTTGTTCGTTTTTGTTTTGAGACAGGGTCTTGCTCTGTTGCCCAGGCTGGAGTGCAGTGGCACAATCTTAGCCCACTGCAGCCTCGACTTCCTGGGCTCAAGCTCTCCTCTCACCTCAGGCTTCTGAGTAGCTGGAACTACAGGCACACGCCACCATGCCAGTGAATTTTTGTATTTTTTGTAGAGACAGGGTTTCGTCATGTTGCCCAGGCTAGTGTTGAACTCCTGACCTCAAGTGTTTCACCTGCTTAGGCCTCCCAAAGTGCTTGGATTATAGATGTAAGCCACCGTGACCAGTGGTTCTGTGGACCAGTGGTTCTGTGTTTGAAAGTATGGGTTTTTTTTTTCTTTTTTTTTTTTTTTTTGAGACGGAGTTTCACTCTTTCGCCCAGGCTGGAGTGCAGTGGCATGAGCTCGACTAGTGCAACCTCCTCCTTCCGGTTTCAAGCGATTCTCCTGCCTCAGCCTCCAGAGTAGCTGGGATTGCAGGTGCCCGCCACCAAGCCTGGCTAATTTTTGTAATTTTTTTCTGTTTCCAAGACCATCTCTATTACTTCTGGGGACATATTTTTTATGTTTATTTATCTTTGTCTTTCATGAATAGTTTTTCCTCAAATATGTGGAGTCCCTTGGTTGACTAATCATATCTAACAATGAAGAGACAGGGAGGCTGAATGAGCTGGCTCTGCACACATTAAGCTAGTTGAATGGGTTTAATTGGCAAGGAGATGGGGAGGGAGCCAAATGCCATAAAGAGAAGGGCTTTACTCGGCACATACCTCTTTTCTAGCTGGCATATTGCCACCATGAAGGCCGAATCTTCCTGAGTGAAGCTCTGGAAACACTGTGTCTGAATCCCACACTTTTCATTACATGAGCCAGTACATCTCCATTTAAGCTAATTTGAGTCAAGTTCTCTTTTACTTAAAACCAAAAGCATTTTAACCTGCTTTAAATTTCCTTCACTTAACCTGAAATACATCTCTTTCCATATCAGATAGTGTCCAACAATTCCTTATGGCTAATGGTCCATGGAGAGTAAAAACAAAGCCAGATCTTTTGTTTTGTTTTTTCAAAAAAAAAAAACAAAAAAACAAAAAAACAGAGTTTTGCTCTGTCGCCCAGGCTGGAGTGCAGTAGTGCAATCTTGGCTCACTGCAACCTCCGCTGCCTGGGTTCAAGTGATTCTTCTGCCTTCTGAGTAGCTGGGATTATAGGCATGCACCACCACTGCTGGCTATTTTTATATTTTTAGTAGAGACGAGGTTTGGCCATGTTGGCCAGGCTGGTCTCGAACTCCTGACCTCAAGTGATCCGCCCGCCTTGGTCTCCCAAAGTGTTGGGATTACAGGCGTGAGCCATCGCACCTGGCCAGGATAGTTATTTTGAATTGTTTGCTAATCATTAATAGTCACTGTTTTAGGGCGGTGGAATTATGGGTGAAAAATTTCTACTCTCACTTTTCTGAAAAAGTGATAAAATGTTTTTGGAACTTTAAAAAACAAACGTGCTATATCATCTTTATATAAGTCCACTAAGCAGAGATTTTTTTAAAGCACCTGCAGTATGTAAGGCCCTATGGAGGAAGCAAAGTTGAATAAACCTCTGTTCCTAAAGAGGAGGAAAACACAGAAGGAATACACATGAAGGAGGGAGGGCCTGGTTGATTGTGAACTGAGTTGCGTATGGTCTTCTTTGCTTGACCCCAGCTAATGTAAAGATAAATCTCTGTATGATATTTAGATGTCATTAAAGTTGGATCTGTAAACGTGCTGAGCTTGAGAACAATTTCCATCCACTTATGTTAAGGTAAAATGTGAGCCTGCCAGTAAGTCATGTAGCTGCACACTCCCACCGCACGGTGGCGGCATACCTAAATGGAAGGAGCAGCTCCTAGTGTAAAGTCTCTGCAGGACTGAAGCTAGGGAAAAGAAGCAACAGTGATATCACCATAGGAAACAAACACCTTTACAAGTGTGGCAGTGGTTCAAGATGGCTGTCAGCAGAGTCCTCGAAGCACTTTCTTATTCTTATCCCACCACCTCAGTTGTCCCTACACAACTGTCTCCTCACAGTTCCCCTTTAAGAATACTTTATTATAATTATTTTATTTCATTTGTTGTCTTACTTGCCACCCCTACCGTTCTCGCTGTCAGAGACCACCGCAGGCTTTCTGACCTTTGGGACTTTAGTTTCATTTCCAGACTGTTCTTCCTTTTTCCTCCCCTTACCTATGAGAATTAGTTTCCCAGTTCAAATGCAAATTCCTTAGCCATCCTGCTGAAAATTGTTTTCCTCCACTCCTAAGCTCTTATGATGATAAACTTATTGTCATGAATACTAATTTGTAATTATATCTAGTAGCTTCCTGACATTGGTTTAATTACTGATCTGTGCTGTTTATTCATTCATTCCACAAGCATTGTGTCAGTAAAGTGCCAGGGAGCTGGGAACACAGAATGAACAAGATAAAATCCTAGACTTTGAGGTGCTCACCCTCTAGTGACAGATGACAGACAGTTATAAAATGATGTGATAAGGGCTGTAATAGAGGCATGAATAAGGAGTATTGAGCAGGGAGTGGTGAAAATGGGGAGGCTGGGCTGTCTATCTGGGAAAGTCCAGGTTTACACATGGGAGGTGATGATAAAGATGAGTCATGAAGGTCTCATCACAAGTTTTGGAGTTTGCCAGATAGAAGGAGGTGGGAATGTCATATCAGGCCACAAAAATAACAATTCATGAAAATACCACTAGTTCTTCAAACTGGAGTTCAGTAAGTTCAGGGCAAACCAGGTGTAGGATAGCTTCAGGCTTCCTCAGCTTGCCAACTAGATCTGATAGAGGTAGTTGGTTTTATTTGTGGTAATAAACTTGCCAAACTCTCTGGCTTGTCTGTGGCTGAGTTTTATTTGGTAGACACTGTGTCGAAATTTTGAATTAGTTGAACAGGAACTTTCACATAATTAAATCAAGTTTTCCAGTTTCTATCAGAAAATCAAAAGTTTTTTGACATCAAGCCCACCATCTCCATGGCAACAATTAGCTGGAGCCACTTTAGAAGGAGTCTGGCTGTCCCAGTTTGCTGTAGACCTTACCTCTCCCGGGCACTTATACCTACCTGGCCAGACACATTTAGTTGTGATATTTGCCTGACCTCTGTAGACAGCTGAATGTGACCTCTGTTTTGAGACATCTGGGGGCCCCAGTTACAGGAGTAAGCCAGGATTCTTTTTTTTTTCTTATTATACTTTAAGTTGTAGGGTGCATGTGCACAATGTGCAGGTTTGTTACATATGTATACAAGTGCCATGTTGGTGTGCTGCACCCATTAACTTGTCATTTACATTAAGTATATCTCCTAATGCTTTCCCTCCTCCCTCCCCCCATAAGTCAGGATTCTTAAGAAATCTGGTGCAGATCCCCTTTGTGGAGGTGATAATGAAGGGGAAGAAGGAAGGGGGAGCAGGAGTTGACCCAGCTGCTGAGGTTGGTTGTGTAGAGCGCCACCCAGAGGGGGATGGGTCAGAGCACAAAAAGAGAAACAGGCAGTAGTCCCTGTGGCTGGGGCCTACAGGAGGAACAGAGTGATGCATGAAGATGCCCAGGACCTATTCCTTGGACATTAATCCTGACCTGTGGGGGTAAGAGTGATAGGTCCACCCCTGACTGTCCTGGGAGCTGGGGCAAGAGTTCAAATGGAGATCCAGAGCCCATAGCCTGCTCCCTTTCTCTTCATATCCTCACCTCTGTCCCATAGAATAAAGTACACATGTGTGTGGACACCCGAGGCCATAAATCCAAGTTCTGTCCACAGCTTCCCTAGTTGCTGGCAAATAGCTGGCCCTTGGTCAATCGTTGAACCTGGGGGTATGTGCACTGCTACGTGGCCCACTCTCAGAAAGATAGACACAAGAACCAGGCCTGACCAGACTCTTAAACAAGTCTCAGAGCTGTTTTGGCAGGAAATTTTGGGGTCTAGGTACCCCAAATGTGTTCTAGAAGCTAGGTGTGGACTCTAGATGGGCACATCCCCTTGGGCTGGTAGACTCCTCATCCCCTATGGAGGGGCATAGTCAGAAGAGAGCCAGAGTCCTAGAGCCTTATAAATTCGAGGGCAAGGGCTGAAATATTGTCAGGAACAGGGATGCACTTGGGTTACTATGGGTAATGGGGTCTGCATTAGTGTGCTAGGCCTACTGTAACAGAGTACCACAAATGGGTGGCTTCAAACAACAGATACTTATTCTCTCACAGTTCTGGAGGCTAGACGTCCAAAATTAAGGTGTTGTCAGGATTCATTCTTTCTGAGGGCTCTGAGGGAGAATCTATTCCACACCTCTCTCCTGGCTTCTGGCGACAGCTGGCAACGGTTGGCTTGCAGATACATCACTCTAATCTCTGCCTCCATCTTCATGTGGCATTCTCTGTTTCTCTGTGTCTGCACATGGCCATTTTCTTAAAAGGATACAAGTCATATTACATTAGGGGCTCCCCCTATTCCAGAATGACCTCATTTTAACTAATTATACCTGCAACAACCCTACTTGCAAATAAGGCCATATTCTGAAGTAGTGGGAGTGAAGACTTCAACATATCCTTACTGGGGGGCACAGTTCAGCCCACAAGAGAGTCTATCATCAAGTCCCAGGCACCGACAAGGGAAGTAGGACTCACAAGTGTGCAGAAACCACCTTGCAGCCAGGCCTCCTACAGCTTGGGAACAAGGTGGATGATCCCCCAGGACAGCTTGGTTCTCCTTGACTCTTTCTTTCTTTCTTTTTTTTAAACGTGTTCTTACTCTGTCACCCAGGCTGGAGTGCAGTGGCATGATCTCAGTTCACTACAATCTCCACCTCAAGCGATCCTCCCCCCTCAGCCTCCTGAGTAGCTGGGAGCACAGGTGCATGCAACCACACCTGGCTAATTTTTTGTCTTTTTGTTAGAGACAGGGTTTCACCATGTTGCCCAGGCTGGCTCATTGACTTGTACTAATAGATTTACTGATCATCTAATAGCACGGCGCCCCAGTCCCTCCTCTTCAGCTTCAGTCACTCCTGCTGCTTTCCCAAGCAACTGCCTTCACTCTGTGTATCTCTTTCTCGACCTGATGACTTCAGCTGAATCTGGCCCTGTGGCCCCTGTAGCTGCTCTTTCATTGTTTTTCATCTTTTGCTCCCACTATCAGTTGCCCCTAACTTCCAGTTCAAACTGCTGAGAGATGGTCTGGTCCAGAAAATTGCTGTGGTCCCTGTTGGCATAGCTTTCTCACCAGTTTGCCTCAGGGGAAAATGGATAATCTGCATATTGTCTGCCCTAGGAATAGGTGCCTGCCCACTCAGGTCCAAGTAGCTGTGTCCCTGGTATCCATGGCCAGTTATCTCAGAGGAAGCAGCCTAGGTGGTTTATTAGCAGGTGGCTAAGGGCAGGACAGTTGCCCATTGCTCCCCCCAAGACAAGGTTTCCCAACCTTGGCATTACTGACATTTTGGGCTGAATAACTCATTGTTGTGGGGTACAGACCTGTCCGTTCTAGACTGTTTAGCAGCATCCCTGGCCACCACCTAACAGATGCCAGAAAAACCCTTTTCCCTTCCTGCAGAATTGTGACAATCAAAAATGTTTATAGACTTTGCTAAATATTCCCTAGGGGAAAAATCACCCTTGGTTGAGAACCACTGTTCTAAGGGTATGGGAGATACCAGAATTAGCCCATCCATGTGGGTGTAGTAGGTAGTCAGGACTGTGAATGTGAAGGCTACTGATTATATATCTACCCTCTCAGGGCTGACTCAGAGACTGAGAGAAGTAGCTTCTGCTAAGGGCAAGGGTCAGATAGAGCATTGATGGGTTCATAGATGAATGGCTGTGCTCATTCAAAATGGGGAAATCAAGACAGAGTAGTGTGTGTGTGTGTGTGTGTGTGTGTGTTGCAGCTGCATGGACTTGAGTGAGCATATTTATTGGTTTACTCTTTGTGTATGTATACATTTTTGAGAATGTGCAATTCCCTGTGTGGGCAAAGGTATCTGTGTGAGGGCATATATATATGTGTGTATCCAAGGTTGGACTGTAAATAGTCCATGCTGCCCCTCCTATGTTATCAGGATAGATTAGTGTCATATATGACACACCTCATTGGCATTCTCAGATTCTTACCCTTAGACAAGGTAAGAATCAGTTCCACTGAAGGTGAAATGGAAAACAACTTCTGCTGCAGTGTTTTTTGTTGTTGTTGTTGTTATTGTTGTTGTTGCTGTATAAACCTGTCTGTCTGTAAGCATATGTAATAGATAATGCTCCCAGTGGTCTCCAGTGACATTATCCTTGAGCATCAGAATCCAGGACTAAGCTCAGGGTCCAAGAGACACACAGCCAAGCCTATTCTGAACTTGTCTCTGTTTTCTAGTCTTAGCCTTTTGACCAAGTGGTTATATAGCAGATTGCTTAACTTTTAATTTCTTTAGTTTTCCTTTCTGTAAAATGCAGATATTAATACCCTTCTTAGAAGACTATTTTAAGAACAACTTACGTTATCATAAGGAATTTAAAGAATAGTGTTACAGAAATGTTGAATGAAGATAAATCGTCCTTCCTCCTGTACTTGCATTATTTAAGTTTTTCTCTTTTAAAAAAATCAACTGATATTTATTTCTGTACTGCATGCTCCTGGTCATCTAAGTATTTGTCTTTTTTACTTGGTTAGCTATCTGGGTACACAGAGTTTGGTCTGTGGTCTTCACTTGGTATAGTGGCTACCATGGCATAACTCAATAGTCATTTGTTTCTGTTGATTTTTTTTTTTTTTTTGACAGAGTCATGCTCTGTTACCCAGGCTGGCATGGCCTCGGCCCACTGCAACCTCCTCCTCCTGGGTTCAAGTGATTCTCCTGCCTCAGCCTCCCAAGTAGCTGGGATTACAGGAACCTGCCATCACACCCGGCTAATTTTTTTAAAATTTTTTAAATTTTTTATTTTTTGAGATGGAGTTTTGCTCTTGTTGCTCAGGCTGGAGTGCAATGGTGGGATCTTGGCTCACTGCAACCTCTGCCTCCTGGGTTCAAGTGATTCTCCTGCCTCAGCCTCCTGAGTAGCTGGGATTACAGGCATGTGCCACCACGCCTGGTTAATTTTGCATTTTTAGTACAGACGGGATTTCTCCATGTTGGTCAGGGTGGTCTTGAACTCCCGACCTCAGGTAATCTGCCCACCTCAGCCTCCCAAAGTGCTGGGATTACAGGTGTGAGCCACCATGCCCAGCCTGCTGATGTTTTTGACAGTGATGATTCTGCCCTGCCTACATCCCGAAGATTATCTGACAACTTTCAGTTATTCAGTGTTATTAAAATGGGTCCTTGGATACTTTCAGATGAGAAGAGCTTACCTTTCTTTCAACCAACCACCACATGTGAGAAGCAGAAAGATAGGTGGGGCAAGGCCATGCCCTCAAGATATTATAGTAAGGGATAAGCCACAGACTCAGAAGATAGAGACCTGTGGACACCCTAGTTGGGTGATTTTCTTATCCTTTGAAATTAATACTTTAAAATTTGTGTTCAGTCTGTCTACAGAGGAGAGACTGAGCAGTGTCTGGGCAAAGGCATTGGACAAAGACTTTACTGGAATATCAGCCTTTCCTCTGTGGTCCAGGAAATTTTATTTCGGACCTGACTCCTTACACTGCTTAGCACAAGCAGAACCCTGCATCTAATAGGACCTACTCCTGTTGGAAAACAGTTGAGTCACCTTCTATTGTTAGTGAACTTGTCCTTTGGATTGGTTCTCCATCAGTCCTGCCTCCAGCCCCCAAACCAACTGGTATTTCCAAAAGCTCTTTCCAATCCCATATAAAACTCTCTCCAGAGTTTTGGTAGATAAAACTCTTCATCTTGTTAGCTTTCCAGGAATGTTTTGGGGCTTGTTGGAGGTGAGTAGCATAGGCAGTTGCCCAGACAAATCACGCCTTGATCTGTCTCTGCAGTCTAAGGCCTTAAGGGAGTGATATCAGGTGCCATGGAGCAAAAGCCTAGGGAGGCATGGGAGTGGGGGATGTGGAATGGGGAGAAGAAGCATTATTGAGCACATTCTCCAAAAGACAGGACTTTCAACCATTTAAAAAAATATTGTAGGACTATGGTGAATTGAAAACAAGTATTTGTTTTTTCTCCCTCCTGAAACCCCACTAAATTGTTAAAAGGCATACGGAGAGGAAGAACACGAGAGAAGGCAACAGCAACAAAAGCCTGGAAGCTGGAAAGCTATTAGAAAAGTGGGAAATGGGCCGGGCACAATGGCTCATGACTGTAATTCCAGCATTTTGGGAGGCAGAGGCAGACAGATGACTTGAGGCCAGAAGTTCGAGATCAGCCTGGCCAACATGGTGAAACCCCATCTCTACTAAAAATACAAAAATTAGAACTGGTAGATCGAGAGTAGGGATTCTTAACCTTTAATTTGTTATGCACCTCTTAGCAATCTGATGACATCCATAGACCCCTGCTCAGGATAATATTTTTATTTTTATTATTTATTTATTTATTTATTTTTGAGACGGCGTTTCGCTCTTGTTGCCCAAGCTGGAGTGCAATGGTGCGATCTTGGCTGATTGCAACCTCCGCCTCCCAGGTTCAAGAGATTCTCCTGCCTCAGCCTCCCATGTAGCTGGGATTACAGGCTCATGCCACCGTGCCTGACTTATTTTTTGTATTTTTAGTAGAAATGGGGTTTCACCATGTTGGCCAGGTTGGTCTCAAACTCCTGACCTCTGGTGATCCGCCCGCCTCGGCCTCCCAAAGTGCTGGGATTATGAGCATGAGCCACCGCGCCCGGCCAGGATAATATTTTTAAATGCATAAAATGAAATGTATAGGATTACAGAGAAAACTATTTATATTGAACTATAATTCTCAACATATTAAAAATAACTCATTTGTGATATAATATATCTTCTTTATTAATACATTAAACAACAAGATCTAACAGTAGGTCTAATCATAATTATAAAGTAGATAAGCAAAAACAATATTCTGGGGTATCCACAACACTGTAATGGAATATGAAAGAATCCATGATTTCTATTGTTGACAAAGCTTTGGATACTGCTTTTACTGTAGTTTTAGTTTTTTCTTTGTTTTTGCCTACATACATAATCGAAGGCAATGCTAAATTTCAGTTAAAGAATAGTGCAGATAAAGATGATAATTACGTTCTTATTCAAATTCACAGACTTCCCAAATTCTCTGTATGGATTTCTGGTTAAGAACTTCTAGTTTAGAGGCTTGCTTAAATTCAGATTCAATATTTTTGGGTAAAAGTTCTTCACTCGTGTTGCTGTGTACTTCCTTTTGCATCACATCAGGAGGCACATAAAATCTGGCTGTCCCACTTTTAATGATGTTGGGATTGGTAAATGAGATTTAAAAAAACCTTGGCCAGATCTATCCTTTCTCCTAGTGTTTTTTTGCTCCATCGATAATCACTGACTACATGGGCTCCCACTTTTTGAATATGGGAAATCAGAGCATTCAGAAAAAAATATTGTAATGATTAAAGTACACCGACTGTATTTTTTTAAATCCATGAGTCATTTACAAAATTTGCTGAATCCCAGGGTACCAACTCATTCTGAAACTGGTAAATAAAGGGAGAAAAGCATTTATCCCACTTTTCCTATATGAACTATTTTTCAGGGCAACCAAATGATTGTAGATGGACAGTTTTTTATAAAAGAATTCCAGCTAATAAATGCAGAAAGAATGATATAATTAGAAAAATGATTTTTCTTTTTCTTCTCTTTTTTTGAGACAGGGTCTCTTTCTGTTGCCCAGGCTGGAGTGCAATGGCGCCATTATGGCTTACTGTAGCCTTGAACTCCCAGGCTCAAGCTATCCTCCCACCTCAGCCTCCTGAGTGGCTGGGACTGCAGGCTCATGCCACCATGCCTGGCTAATTTTTGTATTTTTTGTAAAGACAGGGTTTCTCCATGTTTCCCAGGCTGGTCTCAAACTCTTGGGCTCAGGTGATCCCGCCCCACCTTGGCCTCCCAAAGTTCTGGGATTACAGGCATGGGAGTAGTCAAACCACCATGCCAGGCCTGATTTTTCTTTTTAATGCTTAATTTCTCATGTTTGAGCAGTGGAAGCCCGTTTAAGTTGCTTGCAGGATCCTTGGACACAACCCCATTACTCTTTGGTAGCTTCTTTGCTTTCTGGAACAACAAAATGTCCCAAGCTCAACTTGTACATTTCTGCCCCAGACTTAGAATCTTTTTAATTTGCTTTAGAGTCTTGGTTTCTTGTAGAGAAGAATGTTGTTTAGAGATCACTTCCTGGGTGCCAGAGGTGCACATTGTTAATGATCCCAGTAATACCACATCATATCAAAGATGGACAGAATGAATAGAGATAGGAAATAAATCATGAGTCCATACTGGTGTTTCTAATTCAGTTTTCAGATTACAGATTTTTCCATCAACTTCTTTTATTTTATGTTTGTATTTTTCTCTTATATTTAATATCTTGGTTTTGAATGACACATTGTCATAATTAATTATTTGCTTATTCTAATTTATACTCATTATTAAGTAATAAAAATATTACTAAGCAATATTTTTAAACAAATGTTTTAAAAATAGAGTACCAGTATTACTTAGTAAAAATATGACTATTAAATTCAATATTTTTATTGTTTGTTATCTTTTTCCCTTGGTATACATCCCTGTAGTCAAAATATTATGTCTTAATGTCACTAGAAATAATTTTTGTGTAGTTATGCTATCTACTTGATATACAGTTTAGTTTGTCTCAGTTTGTTTTCAATTTTAGGAACTGCTTTTTAAAACTTAAATACAACTTCTCAATTATGTTAAATGCATATATGGTTATGAAGCTGAAACTATAAAACAAGGCATATTTAAAGAAGCCTAGCTTCCCTCCTGGTCTCCTCTACCCCTTTCCTTCTTACAACCACATATCTCAGTTTTTAGTTTTCTTTCCATTGTTTCTTTCAGAAATCATAAGCAAATACATAAAAATACCCACTTCTACTTACTTCAAAGGTAGCATACTATAAACACTGTTCTCGTCTAGATTTTTCTCACTTAGCAATATTTCCTGGCCTTCAGCCCACAGTCTTATATAGAAATACTTCTCATTTCTTAGTACAGCTCCATAGTTTCCCACAATGTGGATGTACTATAGTTTATTCAATCAGTTCTTTGTTGATGGATATCTTGTTCCCCACTGTTAGTAATGAGTAGATAAGCATCTGAGGAAAATCCATAACAAGGGGAACAAAACATAACACAGAAACAGAAAAAGAATCATGGAGAATAGAGCCTATGCAAAAGGAAAAAAAAACCCAATTACCATCTGCAAGGAGATAATAAAAGATATGCAATCATGAAAAGGCAATGGGGTACTCCAACAAACGAATGCTCATAGAATAAAAAAGACCTCTTGGAAAAGTTAAAGTATGATATCAGAAACAAAAAACTCATTAAGAAGTGGAAGATAAAGTTGAGAAACTCTCCCAGAAACTACAGCAAAAAAGGCCAAAAAAGATGGAAAACAGGGCCGGGCGTGGTGGCTCACGCCTGTAATCCCAGCACTTTGGGAGGCCGAGGTGGGCGGATCACGAGGTCAGGAGATCAAGACCAACCTGGCTAACACAGTGAAACCCCGTCTCTACTAAAAATACAAAAAAAATTAGCTGGGCATGGTAGCAGGCACCTGTAGTCCCAGCTACTCGGGAGGCTGAGGCAGGAGAATGGCGTGAACCCGGGAGGTGGAGCTTGCAGTGAGCCAAGATAGTGCCACTGCAGTCCAGCCTGGGCGAAAGAGCGAGACTCCATCTCAAAACAAAAACAAAAACAAAAACAAAAACAAAACAAAAAAAAAGATGGAAAACAGGAGAGAAGTGATTTGAAAATTAAGCAACTGTATCACAGAGATCAGTCCTGGAAGTTCAATATCCTGAATAATAGGATTAAAAAGAGAGAGGGAGAGAAAGAAAATGGAAAAAAAAAATCAATAAAATAATTCAAGATATTTTCCCAGACTGAAGAGCTTGAGTGTTGAGACTGAAATAACCCACGCAGTACCCAGTGGAATCAATGAATGGGCCCACATCAAAGCAGATCATTGTGTAATTTCAAAACACTGGGGAGGAAAAGAAGATTCTTCATGCTTCCAGAGATTTAAAAAAGAAGAGGTCCTATAAAAAGATTGATGACTGATGCTTGAACCCAGGAGGCAGAGGTTGTAGTGAACTGAGACTGCACCATTGCACTCCAGCCTGGGTGACAGAGCGAGACTCTGTCTCTAAATAAATAGATAAGATTGATGATTGAATGTTTTCAGAATTCCCAACAGCAGTACTGGAAGCTAGAAGTCACTGAAGTAATAGCTTCAGAATTCTGAAGGAAAATGATTTCTATTTTTTTTTTGTTGAGACAAAGTCTCCCTCTGTTGCTGAGGCTGGAGTGCAGTGGCATGATCTTGGCTCACTGCAGCCTCCACCTCCTGGGTTCAAGTGATTCTCCTGCCTCAGCCTCCGGAGTAGCTGAGATTACAAGTGCCCACCACCACGACTGGCTAATTTTTGTATTTTTGGTAGAGACAGGTTTTCACCATGTTGGCCAAGCTGGTCTTGAACTCCTGACCTCAGGTGATCTGCCTGTCTCAGCTTCCCAAAGTGCTGGGATTACAGGTGTGAGCCACCACGCCCGGTAGAAAATGATTTCTAGCTGATAATTTTATACCCAGCCAAACTATATTAAGGATAAAGGTTTTCAGACAAGCACAGTCTCAAAAATTTTACCTGATCATGCATAAAACTGAGGGGAAAAAAGCCCCAACAACAAGAAGTAGCAATACAAACGTTATTTAGAGACATGAGCATAGGCATCAAAATAATCAGCTGAAAGATGTAAAAGTGGTTGTTTCTAGGGAAGAAGTCAGGTGGAAGGGAAAAAGGGGCCTGCTCTTTTTATTTATTTATTTTTTATTTTATTTTTATGATTGTTTATTGAGATGGAGTCTCGCTCTGTTACCCAGGCTGGAGTGCAGTGGCATGATCTCGGCTCACTGCAACCTCCACCTCCCAGGTTCAAGCGATTCTCCTGCCTCAGTCTCCAGAGTAGCTGGGATTACAGGCATGCGCCACCATGCCCAGCTAATTTTTGTATTTTTAGTAGAAATGGGGTTTTACCATGGTGGTCAGGCTGGTCTTGAACTCCTGACTCAGGGGATCTGCTTACCTGGGACTCCCAAAATACTGGGATTACAGGCATGAGCCACCACGCCTGGCTGAGGCCTGCTCTTTTAACTGTGAATGTATAACTGATAAAAATATAAAAATAGAAGACAGAGAAGAAACAGTTTTAAAAAGAAAGATAACATACTGACGTGACTTTTGAGGATTATGGTGAAGATATCCAAAGAAGATGTATGACAACAAGATTTTGAGATGCTTATGAAAACTAGTGAAAGAGTGGTCAAAGTGTAAACGGACTTTTTGGTTTTTTTAAATCCTCCTCTCTTCACCAATCCCTTGGCTTGCTCTCTTTGATGTAAGAACCTGGCTAGGCTTTCTGGAAGTAGACTCCTTGAAGTTGGCAAAAATAACAACAACAACAACAACAAAACAAAATAACCCCCCAAAACAAAAAGAAAAACAAAAAACCCCAAAACCAAAAATATCTCCGAAACCAAAAAATACCCCGCAACCAAAAAACCCCAAACCAAAACCAAACCAAACCAAAACCCAAACTGAACAAACCCAAAAATCACCAACAGAAAGAGGTATGCTAGAAGAGGTGGCATGTGCTTTCCTAAATATAGAATTGGGGGATGTTGGGAAAAGTATTGGAGGAAGGATATGGAAAGTATCCTAAAAGTGAAAGGACCAATGATGTCTGGGAAATAGCAAGTAGTCCAACTATTTGGTGGCTAGCAGTGATTCTCAAACTTTGCAGCATGTTATAGTCTTTTAAAAATCCTGATGTGGCTGGGTGTGGTGGCTTGCACCTATAATTCCAGCACTTGGGGAAGCCTAAGTGGGTGGATCACTTGAGGTCATGGGTTTGAGACCAGCCTGTCTAACATGGTGAAACCCCGCCTCTACTAAAAATCTAAAAAATTCAGCCGGGCAAGGCGGCGGGCACCTGTAATCCCAGTTACTCAGGAGGCTGAGGCAGGAGAATCACCTGAACAACAGAGTGAGACTGTCTCAAAACAAAAACAAAAACAAAAATTCCTGACGCCCATGTCAATTAGACAATTTGGGAGTAAAAGCCAAACATACGCATATTTTTGGGTTTTTTTTTTTTTTTTTGTATTTTTAGTAGAGATGGGGTTTCTCCATGTTGGTCTGGCTGGTCTCAAACTCCCGACCTCAGGTGATCCGCCTGCCTCAGGCTTCCAAAGTGCTGGGATTACGGGTGTGAGCCACCCGCCCGGCCTTGTTTTTGTTTTTAAGCTCCCCAGGTGATTCTATTGTGTAACTAAGGTTGGGAAGCACTGCAGTATAGAGTTTGCATGAGGAAGCTAAGATTGGAAATGTGGGGCAAGATTGTGAAGAAGAATCTCAAATGCCCGGGTACCTAACCTGATCTCTAGGAGACAATGGAGTGCCACTGATGGCTTTTGAACTGTACGTGATTCATCCTGATGTTTGGGGAAGATCAATGCACAGAAATCTCTGTGAGATTCTAGAAGCAAGGAGACCACTAGCTAGACTGAGACTAGTTCACAACGCAGAATGACCAGTGGAGAGAAGTATACTGTGTGCCTTAGGTGTGTCCACGTGTTACCAAAGCCTCTCTGTTTCGCTGAAATGTGTGGTCCCCCTCACTAAAGCTCTGGTGGTGTCCTCCCTGCCACCAGGCAGCCTGGTGTGGTGGTCCCCCAGAAGGATGGGCGAACCACCGGGATGCAGTGTAGGCCGAACCTTGCCCCAGGGGAGGGCGGCGGGCTTAGCTCTCTGATTGGGTGGATTCTCTGGTGTGTAGGAAAGTACTCCCAGGCCCAGAGAAGCTGTGAAGACCAAACCGGCTCCCTAGGCCGAGAACCGCTGGGGAGGTAGCAGCCAGAGGTGGTCCTCTCCGACCCACTACTCTGTCGATCATCACTGGGGAGGTGGAAAGACAAGGCAAGATCCTCATTTTGTTGCCTGCTCAGGCCTGTGCGCACTTACTCTCCATGGACACGACGGTGAGCGTGGAGCAGCCCGCGGTCTCGCTGCCCCCTTCACTCCCGGACCCCCAGCCTCCCCAGAGTGGAGGGGCAAGCACACAGTAAGTACTTGATATTCGCCCGACTCCTGAGCTCCTCATCTGTAGGAGCTAGGGGGCTTGTTCTCCGTACGTCCTTTGTTGGAGGGAGGAACGAGGGAAGGAGAAAACCCACGCTGAGGCCGTTGGCCGATCACTTTCTTTACCTCCCGGACAACATTGATGGGCCCCACTAAGGAAAGCCGAATTCTCGCATGCCCGAGGAGTGTCGGAGGTGGTTGTGCGCCTAGTCCCTCCTGGTAAAGGGTTCGAAGCACTCGTTTATTCAAAGGCGGCCGAGAGCCATACCATTTGCTTGCATGACGGGAGACACCGAAACGCCCCTTTTGAACGCGATGACAAACACCTCCTCCCACTCAGCAGCGACGTGCACGTGACAGTTTTTGGGCTCTCGCAACTACGTGGAAACTTGGAATAGGTCTGCGGCTGCACACCGCCCGGACGCCGGGGTTCCTGCGTCCCCCGCCCCCTCTGATCGCGGCTGGGTAGCCGAGCCGCAGGCAGCTGGGGGCCCCCGAACGCCGCCTCTGCATCGCGCCGCCCCTGCCCCGGGCTCCGGTAGCTTTCGGGCTTCCGCACTGCCCGCCGCGCCCTGCCCACAGGGAAGCGCTTCCCCAGGCGGCGGCGGTCCTGGTGCGGACCCTCCGGCCGCAGCCATGTGGGACCCGCGGGCAGCTAGGTGCGTAGCGGCGCGGGAAGCACTGGGGCATCTCTGGCCTTCCGGGCCCGCCACCCTTCCTGGCGGGAGGCGGCCGCGCGCGGGGACTGGCGACCCTGAGGTAGCGGCCGAACGGGCCCGCCCGGCCATCCCTGTGGGGCCCACAGCCATCTAGGTGCAGACCCGAGCCAGTTGCGCGGGGTCGGTCGCGGGGGACGGCTTCGGCCTTTTCGGTCCGGAGGGACCAGGGCACGCGCTGCGACAGGACTGCGGCGGCGCGCGGCCTGCCTAGCTCCCACCCCGGCATCGAAGCCGCAGCTCTCGGGCCCACCTCCGCATCCTCAGGGGTTCCCGGGGGCTGCCGACAGGTTCCTGACCAGCGAGCGCGCCCCCGGGGCAAGCATTCTTGGCGGGCAGAAACCTGGGAGCGGAGCACAGCGGTGCAAGGGAACCGTGCCAGGCGGGAAGGGCGGAATTTGCGGGGAACTTGGAGCGCGCTGGCCTCTTCCCGGCAGTAGGAGGCCTTCTTCCCTGCCCGCCCGATTGAGGGCTGCTGGGCTGGCTCAAACTGGACTGCACGGTCCATCAGCCTGGGCTCACCGAGTCTAGGGGGAAGGTAGTAGTAGGGACCCAAGGCTGGGAAGCGGAGCCCTTAGAAGCCCTTGCTTCTGCCTCGGAGCGTTTCCGAACCGGAGCTCGGAGTCTGTTGCCTGGGAGGCGCGTTGCGTTTCCTCCCAACTCCCTGTCTCCGTCCCGCGGGGAGCCCTGTGCACTTGCAACCCGGCTGAGATAGAGCCCATCTTTGAGGTGCAGCTCAAGCCACCTTTTCTCCCAGATCGGGGTGTTTCTGGGCAGTTGAAAGCTTTGGTGCTTCCTAGGAAAATTTTTATGGAAGTGTGCAATTTGGAAAATAAAAGAAAAAAAAATTTAAGAAGCAGAAAGAGAATGGGGCTCTGAGGTCTCTAGTTCCCCTATCTGCTCCAACCCAGTTGCTGCTGGCTCAGTTAGTCCTTATGCGGGAAGGAATAGCTGGGATTAAAGCCTTGTGTTCCCAGCGTAGGTATGCGCTCCTGCTCCCTCGTGCTGAGCGTTTTGGGTTCCAGGATCCTTTTTGATATAAGGCTGTTATCCGGATGGCATCCTGTTTGGTCCTTTATAGAAAAAAAAAAAAAGTACTACGGTGTGTGTGTGTTGGAGGGCGGGGACGGTGGTCAGGAGTTTGTTTCAACTGTTTTCCAGGCAGGTCTGTTTTGTAGGATTGCAGGATAGGTGCTTGAGTTCATATGCTCTTTGTTGGCTTTTGCATCCTCTGCGGGGGGTGGGGGGGTGGGTAGAGGTGGGATAGGTGTGTGTGGCATTCACTCCCAGAGTCGCATCCCACTGCCACTGGCCTATGTATGGGTTTCTAGGTCTTTTTTCGATCAAGACCCACACCCACCCACCTATATGTATATAATGTATATATGCATAATATGTGTGTAATATTATATATACATATATACGCACACACACATACACATGTAAAATTGCAGCAAGAGCTTCATGGTATAGTTATTCTTTCTACAGGGTGAGGCACAATGATATTTTCCATTCTATTCCCTCCCCCCACCCCCCACCAGAGGGATTCTCGCTCTGTCACCCAGGCTGGAGTGCAATGAGGCGATCTCGGCTCACTGCAGCCTCCGCCTCCTGGGTTCAAGCGATTCTCCTGCCGCAGCCTCCGAAATAGCTGGGATTACGGGGGGCCGGGGGTGGGGCGCCACCAAGCCTGACTAATTTTTGTATTTTTAGTGGAGACGGTGTTTCGCCATGTTGGCCATGCTGGTCTCAAACTCCTGATCTCAAGTGATCCACCCGCTTCTGCCTGCCAGAGTGCTGGGATTACACGCCAGAGCCACCACGCCGGCCCATTCTATGTTTTTTTTTTTTTTTTAAAGCGGGTCATAAATTGTTAACTTCACTTTATGACCGACTGACCAGCTTTATGGGGCAACTGCAGGTTCTGTTTCCGCCGCTCTCCCAGAGTATGAGGAGACCGTCAGCATTTCACAGGGGAGTTGACTTTGGAAGTGAGGACTTGGTGTAGGAGTGATGAAGTAGACTGAAATTCATACTTGAGTGATAGAATACTGTAGGACATGGCTGTGTGGTTCAAGCCAGTACCATCTACAAAGACAGACCGCAGATGCTTCTGGTTACTTTGGTTCTGGCTATGTGTCCACAGAGAGCTGGCCTCCTGCATGGATCCCAGTGGGGCCTGGTGTAAATGCTAGGGAGGTAGGGGCATAATAGCTCCTGTTCTTTTTTTTTTTTTTTTTTTTTTTTGAGGAAGAAGAAGGGAAGATGCTGCAACCCTACTGCAGCCTTGGATTCATAGTTTTCTAAAAGGATTCTTTGGGTCTTGTCTCAGAATTTCACAGCTGCAATCAAGAGCTGGACCACGATCATTTTATAGATGAAGAAATTAAGGCCCAGAAAGGCCATCACTTGTTAGTCATTACCAACGAGTTAGTGTTAGATCTGGGATTAGACAACTTATCTCTTGACTTCCCAGTCCATGGCTCTCAGGAACCAAATAGAGACTGGCCTTGTGGAAATATTAAACTTCTATTTGCTGGTTGCTTCTGTTTTCCTGAAGTTACTACCAAAGACCCATTTCTATAGTATATGCCCTCATTATTTTATCTTTGCTTTTGGGGATGAAGATTATTTTAGCAGCCAAGTAGAGCCTGCAGTCCTCCTGTTTGGGGAAGGTAAAGTGATCTGAAGAGGAGGATTTTAAGAACTGAAGTGGAGGTTGAGGTGTGGGCCTCTCTGGCCATTATCAAGTATGTGGTGTTGGTTTTCTTGACCTTAAGGAATGAACCCTCCACTGCATTTCCAGATGGGGAGGTGGGGCTGACATGTCAGTGCTTTGCCCTCAGAGTGACCGCAGGCTCATTGCTTTTAAAACAAATTTCCTTGGAGTGCTGCCTGAGGTTCCCAAGGCCAAAAGCACCCTTGTTAAGAAATCTTTACAGGAAAGAAAGACTTGGGGCAGCAAAGATGACACTGTAACAGTTACAGCAAAGACTGATAGTCGGGCTGGTTACAGCGATGGGGAGAATGGTTAAGTTTAACCTTTAAAAAAGAAAGTATTGAGCCAGATAAACAGGCATCTTTGGAACACAAAAATGTCACAGTGCCCAGCCAAGAGTGATTACTCCTTTGGTCACTCCTTAGGTTAGCAAGGTTCATTCTGCCAGAGCAGACATTTTTCTTGGTCTAAAATTGCATAAGTATTGCCTTGTTTGTTTTTGTTGAAAATCTGGAAATGTGAATGACCTTTGCCTAAGATACCCTGGACTCCGTTTACCTGAATCAATTCCATCTTTTGCTTAGATGCTGAGCCTCACAGTACCTGCCCTGTGCTCACCATAGCATGCTTGTGTGAGCTCCTGTGAGCCTGGTGGGCTGGTGGGACTCCCTGTGTGTCTTTTGGAGCCAAGCCAACTCTGGGTTTAGCTATATCTGTCTTTGAAGTTCCAGCAACATTTTGATTGGGATTTTTTATTTTTTAAGCACTGGGTCCTCCTAGCACTTGGAAAGAGGGCAGTATTCCCAGTCCGAAAAATCAGTGATGGATTTTGGAGGAAACCAGGCCAGTAGTGCACAACACATAAAATATAGAGAATTATAGCACTATATTGGGTGATCTTCATTCACTGGGGCAAGAATGCTCAGACAGCAGCCTTGACATTGGATGGGCTCATCCTTCATGTTCAGCTGTGGCCACCAGGGCAATCATTTTTGCTCACCCTTAGACTAGCTCATCTTCTGCCCATGAAGGTCCACTCTACCTGGAGGCTCAATCACTGATGACTTCTAGGGACTCATTGGCCTGAACTCATTGGCCAGGTACTAAGGCCATCTATAATCTGGCCCCCAGACTGTTTCTCTAATATGGTCTTTCTTCTTGCCTTTTCTCACCCCTTCTTGCTTTTTGTTTTTCAAGTCAGTTCTGCTCCTCAGATATATCCAAGGGTCCATATTGGGTATGGAGGATGTAAATATATAAGACATAGGCTCTGCTAATTGTGATAGAACGGAGTTAATGTCATGTAGACCTGTGGAAAAGGATTAGTGGAGGTGCAGACAAGCTCTCGAAGAGACTTCCCAGCTCCTGAATCCTTCCCAGAAGAAGTATGGGAGGTCAGTTTTGAGCTGTACCTAAACAGGTGGAGAGCACTTCTAGCAGGCAGATTAGGATTGCCAGGTGGAAGAGAGGGACACTCCAGATTAAAGGAGCAGCTTCTTTTTTTTTTTTTTGAAACAGATTCTCGCTCTGTCGCCCAGGCTGGAGTGCAGTGGCACGATCTCAGCTCACTGCCAGCTCTGCTTCCCAGGTTCACGCCATTCTCCTGCCTCAGCCTCCCAAGTAGCTAGGACTACAGGCGCCTGCCACCACGCCCGGCTAATTTTTTTGTACTTTTTTAGTAAAGACAGGGTTTCACCATGTTAGCCAGGATGGTCTCGATCTCCTGACCTCGTGATCCACCCGCCTCGGCCTCCCAAAGTGCTGGGATTACAGGCTTGAGCCACTGCGCCCGGCCAAGGAGCAGCTTCTTACTAAGAATAATGGTGGGCCAGGCGCGGTGGGTCATGCCTGTAATCCCAGCAGTTTGGGAGGCTGAGGCGGGTAGATCACCTGTGGTTCGAGACCAGCCTGGCCAACACGGTGAAACCCTGTCTCCATTAAAAAATAAAAAAATTAGCCAGGCATGGTGGTGCACACCTGTAGTCCTAGCTACTCGGGAGGCTGAGGCAGGAGAATCGCTTGAACCCGGGAGGTGGAGGTTGCAGTGAGCCAAGATTGCACCACTGCACTCAAGCCTGGGCTACAAAGCAAGACTCCGTCTCAAAAGAAAAAAAAAAAGTGAACAAAAGGGCTTGGACACTAAACATCAACATAATAATAATAGTTTACCCTGTGCCAGCCTCTGAGTTGTGTTTCATATATTATTATATTTAATTCCCACATAAATATTTTGAGCAAGTACCATTTTACAGATGTACCTGTACTGGAATGTGAGCTTCATGAAGGGGCAGCAGTGTTTTTTGTTATTGCTGTTTCACATAGCTCAAGCATCTGGCAGACAGAGTACCTGGTACACAGTAGGCACCAATCAATATTTGTTGACTGTGTGAGGAGACAAGGAGTCCAGTCATGTATGTGATACTGTCCTTGTTTTCCAGTAAGGAAACTGAGGCCTAGAAATTAAGTGAATTTACCACCTGACACCAGGCCTGGAAGAGAGAACAGTGGGACTTGATCCCAGATTTCTGGATTTTCTCTTCTATGAGGAAAACACTCATATCCTTGTATCTTCCTTTTGGGACTAGTCCCAGCCCTGTTAACACTGCTGTGCAAAGTCATGTGAATGGGAGGGAGCCACATGAATTTGTGGTCATGTGGCTAAAACATGGTGGGCACATAGTGTTAGAGAATACTAGAAAGGTAAGTAGAGGCGTGTGTGTGTGTGTGTGTGTGTGTGTGTGTGTGTGTGTATGTTAGAATGGGAATCTGAACTATTCAGGCTTTATTCTACATGAGGGTAGAGGCCATGGAAAATATGTTTGTGTGCCTGTGTATACACACAGCTCTGTGTTATTTATTTATTTATTTATTTATGAGACAGGGTTTCGCTCTGTTGCCCACGCTGGAGTACAGTGGTGCGGTCTCAGCTCACTGCATCCTCCACCTCCTGGGTTCCAGCGATTCTCCTGCCTCAGACTCTCAAGAAGCTGCAATTACCAGCATGTGTCACAACACCCGACTAATTTTTGTATTTTTGTATTTTTTTTTTTTGAGACGGATTCTCGCTCTGTTGCCCAGGCTGGAGTTTGGTGGCACGATCTAGGCTCACTGCAGCCTCTGCCTCCTGGGCTCAAGTGATTCTCCTGCCTCAGCCTCCTGAGTAGCTGGGACTATAGGCACGCGCCACCACCCTCCGCTAAATTTTTTGTATTTTGGTAGAAATCAGATTTCACCATGTTTTCCAGGCTGGTCTCGAACTGCTGAGCTCAGGCAATCCTCCCACCTCGGCCTCCCAGAGTGCTGGGATTACAGGTGTGAGCTATCACACCCGGCCAGCTCTGTGTTTTATTTAGAAGTTTTGACTCTGGAGGCTGGGAGTGTGGATAAATACATCTTTCAGCCTGGCCAAAGTCCACAGTTTTTTCAAGGTAAAGTTCAAGTCTCTATGTATGTGTCAGGAAACTATGAACTAGTGTTAGAACAGAGGCTAGAATGGCTGGGCCTGGTGGCTCACGCCTGTAATCCCAGCACTTTGGGAGGCTGAGGTGGGTGGATCATGAGGTCAGGAGTTTGAGACCAGCCTGGCCAACATGGTGAAACCCTGTCTCTACTAAAAATACAAAAATTAGCTGGGCATGGTGGCGGGCGCCTGTAATCCCAGCTACTCAGGAGGCTGAGGCTGGAGAATTGCTTGAACCCAGGAGGCGGAGGTTGCAGTGAGCCGAGACCAGGCCACTGCACTCCAGCCTGGGTGACAGAGAGAGACTCCCTCTCAAAAAAACAAAAAAAACAAAACAAACAAACAAACAAAAAAACCCAGAGGCTAGAACTCCGATTCTCCCAGTGCTGTTAAGGGGCCACCCTTCAGATGTCCTTGTCCATGGGAGATTGTTTTGTCTACGGGGAGCTCCTGGACACCTCCAGACCCTCCCCATGCAGCAGTGAACGGTGTTTTCACCTCTCTGCTGGGTTTGACTTGCCCCTCAGATTGAGGAGGAAGCAAATTGCTGTGGTCTTGGGGTTGGGAGGTGGAATGAAGGGCATTAGTTAGCATTTAAATGCTACATAGAGGCTTGGAGAAGGTTCTGGGTGGGGAGATGCCTGGGCTGCTATTATCAAAGCCCAAGTTCTCCTTTGATTAGAAAACATCTTTGTTTAATGGCTGTCACTGGAGTGCCTGGTGTACTCCCTTTTCGGGGCTGCTCCCAACTTCATAGTTCCTGGGACACTCTGCATAAACAATGGGGGCCATGAAGGAAAAATGGCAGTTATTGGGCAGCCTAGGCCTAGCACAGATACCTAAGTCAAGATTTATGAGTAATCTGTGGTTGGCTGATGCTTAACTAAATCATTTGTCTTGAGACATTGTGGAATGCTAACTTATTGGTTATTCTTTGGGCTGGCTTTTGCAGGAATTTGATTTTAGTTTTAAAGGCCCCTTTTCTGATTTTCCCAATAATCTTTACTCTTTGTACACCTCTTCTGTCCTATGGGTTGTTAACACAGATTTTTATATCAGACTTAAGTTTGTTCCTTGCTTGGAGAAGTCCCTTCATTTTGTGTAAATCTATTTCCTGATCTGTGAAATTGGGATATTTGTACCTCCTGGCATTCTTAAAGACATTCAGTGAGAAGATGCTTGAGATGGGTTTAGGACAGGGCTGGGCACATAGTAAGTGCTGAATACACTTTACTTGTTATCATGCAGCTGCCTTAAACTATTCATCCAAATAATGATCTGGAAAAACAATAGCCTGTGGCACACTGAGGAGAAATCATGTGTCTACCACTAGCTACACAAAGGGAGGGATGGCTTAGGGTCTCCTCTTTGGAGGTTGAATGACTGAGACTCCATTTCAGACCCAGAAGTTGAAATTGATCTGTCTTTGCCATTTATTTATTTATATATTTTTTGAGACGGAACCTAGCTCTGTCACCCAGGCTGGAGTGCAGTGGCATGATCTCGGCTCACTGCAACCTCCGCCTCCCGGGCTCAAGCAATTCTCCCTCAGCCTCCAGAGTAGCTGTGATTACAGACATGTGCCCATGCCTGGCTAATTTTTGTATTTTTAGTAGAGACAGGATTTCATCATGTTGGCCAGGCCAGTCTCGAACTTCTGACCTCAGGTGATCCACCCGCCTCAGTCTCCCAAAGTGCTGGGATTACAGGCGTGAGCCATCATGCCGTCCTGTCTGCCCTTTAGCAGTATTTCTTGAGCATTTTCCTGGCTTGGTTTTAGGGAGTTGGAACCATCATCTGTCTTTCAAGGCCCATCTCATCTGCACGCTGTCCATGACTAAAATGTGGGGCGAGGCTCTCAGCTCATCCTTCCTCGAGAATGGCTGTTTTTAGCCTGAGTTTACACTCTTCATCCTTTTTTTTTGGAGTTAAAATGTTCCTCCTTTTGTGAAATTATTGGGGCGTAGTTGGTACTTTTTAAAAAAGTTCTTTTTTGGCAAAATTAAGTGTTGGCAACCCTATCTTAGATTCCCTTCAATTTCCTTTTTTTTTTTTCTTTTTTTGAGACAGAGGATCTCACTCTGTCACCCAGGCTGGAGTGCAGTGGTGTGATCACAGCTCACTGCAGGCTTGACCTCTTCCGTCTCAAATGATCCTCTCACCTAAGCCTCTTGAGTAGCTGGGACTACAGGCATACACCACCATGCCTGGCTAACTTTTAATTTTTTTGTAGAGATGTGATCTCGCTATGTTGCCCAGGCTGGTATTGAATTCCTGGACTCAAGCCATCCTTCCACTTTGGCCTCCCGAAGTGCTGGGATTACAGGCGTGGCCCACCACACCTATCCCTTTTCTTTTTTTGTGCGTGCAAATGCTACTGTTTTCCAGTTCCAAAAAGCTAGGAATTACTGATCCTCCAGGATTGTTCTTAGCTTTTAGCATTTTCGAATCTCCAGGACTAGAATTGCTCACGGGGATATGTTACCTTGTTTGCTGACCATTAGATTCTCAACAGGTGCTTATTAATTTGTATACACCTTTTCCCTTTGTTTTCCCCAAGTAACAAAACCACCTGGCTTTATGGGAAATGGCCAGAAATCCAATACCACCAGTGAAATAATCTAGTTTGAATTAAATCTCCCAAACTTTTATTCCTTTTCTAGTCCTCTAGCTTAATCATCTGCCTCTGATAAGTAAGAAGTGGCCAGAGAATCATTTATTCATGCAACAAATGCTGAGCCCTTGGGTTGCAGAAATAGTAAGACTTACTAAGACTTAGTTTTTGCCTTAAGAATTCAGGCTTTGGCCGTGTGCGGTGACTCACGCCTGTAATCCCAGCCCTTTGGAAAGCCGAGATGGGCGGATCACCTCAGGTAAGGAGTTCAAGACCAGCCTGACCAACATGAAGCCACATCTCTACTAAAAATACAAAAATAGCTGAGTGTGGTGACATGTGCCTGTAATCCCAGCTACTCGGGAGGCTGAGACAGGAGAATCACTTGAACCCGGGAGACAGAGGTTGCAGTGAGTTGAGATTGCGCCATTGCATTCCAGCCTGGGCAACGAGAGCAAAACTCCATCTCAAAAAAAAAAAAAAAAAAAAAAGAATTCAGGCATCTTCTAGGGAAAGCAGTAAAACAAATTAGTGTCTGGCACAGAGCTGTCGAGACCAGCACAGTGCCCCAAACATAGAGGCAGGGTGGGAAATATATGGCAAAAGAACGAGTAAATCATAATTCAGGGGATTAAGTGGTATAAAAGCTACACACAGGACCTTATAGAGGTGTGTTAAGAGCAGCAGCAGTGACTGTGGCCCCTCACCCTCCCGGGGTGGGCATGCAGGGAGACCATGAGGTTTGGAGGGGGTTAAAGTGGAGGGAGGGAGAAAGGCCCAGAGAATCTGCAAGTCCCTTGGGGAAGAGCTGATGTTCATAGAAATTGTGCTGGGAGGCAGATGGGGTTGGGGGCCTGGGTGATCTTGGGGTCTTTTTTAATCTGGACACATAGCACATGATCTGATGGTCTTGGGGACTGTCTTACAGATTGTGGTGAAGAGGCCATGCTGGAGCTGGGTGAGGGTGGGCCAGGGAGAGCAATGAAAAGGCCAATTTTGCAGTAATCCAGCCTGGCAAGGAAGATACCTCTGGAGGGTGTGTGTGAACCCAACTCAGGGATAGCTATTCTGGGGCCTGCATGCCTCCTAAGGGAGGCAAGCTGGGAATGAGCTCGAGAACAGCTGACTGTGTGTCTTTGGCTTGTTGTTTTCTAGTTAGGACATTCTGGATGCTTGTGCTTAAATGCACAAGTTGATTTTTGGCTCAAGTCTTTGTTGTCATGTAAACTGGGAATGGCACATAGGATTCATCTGGGGCGTGAACTTGTGGCCACCTGGAATGAATGTTTCACAAAGGATTCCGAGGCCTTGTCAGGTACTACAGGAAGGAATACTGTGACCAGAGATACCCAGGGCGGGGTGAGGGTAGGACACCCCTGGTATTATAGACCCTTGTCTAATGTGCAGCTGTAGAGAAGGATGAAACAGGCAGGTCACTTTTCCTTGCTTCCCTCGTTTTTAATGAATGAGAGAAAAAACAACTCAAACGATTTAGACAGAAGGAGGAAAGTTCCTGAAGGGTGCTTAGTAACCAAGGAAGGGGTAGGCAGCAGCTGGGCCTCAGGGCAATGGGATGTGGAATTTGGGGGCTGTAGGAGCCCCGCTTTCTGCCTTTCTTTTCTCTGGGCACAGGCATTATATTCTTTTACCCCAGAAATTGGCTTCTTCTCAGGGTAGGAAGTAAGGCTGCAACCCTCTGGAGCCTCCTATCTCAGTTTCCAACACAAGGGGACTCTTCCCAAAGTTCTAGTTAAGAAACTCCCAGGAAAGGGCCTTGTCCTGGCAGGTCTGGCCCATGGAGCACACACAAGGCCCTGGCCTGCCTCTGTGTACCTTGGCTCTCCCCTGGAAGGCCTTTGCAGTGAGCTGAGCAGCCATCTAGAGCATGCCTACCATGGTGACATTGCCCTCCAGCTGAAAAGGGTTTCTTAGGGCCCCTGAGCAAGTGCCCTGTTTCCTAAAGGAACAATCACAGTGGAAAGAGTTGGGGCTATTTCCAGACATCACAGTGCTGACCTGTCCCATGCCTCATCCTCACAGCCTATCTTAGCTTGGGAAGTGGGGCAAGGTCTTGAGTCCCACAGACTTTCTCAGCTGTAGCTGCTTAATTGATTAGTAATTTCAGGGAACCCCTTTGAAAAACAGACAAATACTAGGGCTATGTTTTTACCAAATATTTTCTCCTCACTGGGTAAACAAAGCAAAGGTTCTGTAAATGTTGCAGGGATTACACTCAAATAACATGCAGGGATCACCATGGCCCATATCCCATTAACCTGAAACATCATGAACCAGAAGCAAGCCCTGGGATCTAGGCCTGTCTTTCCTGCCCACCCAGAAATGGCAGGTGACAGGTAGTGTGGACCAGGGTGCTGGGGTGGATGCTAGGAGATAAGCCTGGGTTTCACCTCTGGTGCTCACTGCTGTGTGGCCTGGCTCAAGGCCCCCTAATCTCTGAGCTTTGGGTTCCTTGCTCTAGAAATTGTAGTCCAATCATCTCACTTTTGTTGGGAATAACATTCAAAATCCTAAGGAGATTGAACACTCAAACAGAGGATTCTTAGCAAAGCAATTTTACTTTGCGCAGAGGGGTGCCTCCTTGGCCAGTCGCCATGACAGCACACCTGAACAAAGGGGCACGAGAGCCTTTATTCCTGAAGCAAGTGCGCCTGTACCCTTTCCCCATTGGCTGGGTTCAGGCCGTAAATTCTAAACTAATCCCGGTTGGCTAAACATTTGAACTTTTTAAAGATAAGGTGGGCACATAAGGGAGAGAGGGGAAAGGGGAAGGGGTGTCTGCAATGAGCTAGAGAGCATTTCCAAATAAGGAAAGGAATGTGAGCTAGTACTGATAACGCCTGGTACTGTGGCATGTCTGGACATGTAACAAAGACAGAAAGGAAGAAAAAAAGAGAAAAAGGGGTTTGGGGGTACTATGAATTAAAGAATAAAGGATTGATCAAGCTATTTGAAGAGAAACCTCATCATATCCCACACTTTATTGCATTTTTTCTATTTATATGATTCTGTGAATATATTCAGTGGTGGTGTATTAGTTTCTTAGGGCTGCAAAAACAAACTACCACAAATTAGCTGACCTAAAACAACAGAAAAATGTACTCTCTCATAGTTCAGTAGCAATCTTCCCATTCCCAGATCTGCTCCCCAAAGATCACTGCTCTTATTAGTTTGTTAAGTCAGAAATCTCTCTATAGATGAAATGTACACACACACATACATCCTTAAGCTCTTCAACTCGTTCTCTAAGTTGCTCTCCAAATTGCTCTCCAGTTTGCTTTATTCACTTTAATTGCATATTTTGACACTCTGATAGCTCTAACTCATACTTTTTGTGTGTGCGTGTTTGTTTGTTTGAGTTGGAGTTTCGCTCTGTTGCCTAGGCTGGAGTGCAGTGGTGCGATCTCGGCTCACTGCGACCTCCACCTCCCAGGTTCAAGCGATTCTCCTGCCTTAGGCTCCCGAGTAGCTGGGATTACAGGCACCACACCTGGCTAGTTTTGCATTTTTAGTAGAGACGGGGTTTCACCACATTGGCCAGGCTGGTCTCGAACTCCTGATCTCAAGTGATCCACTCACCTCCACCTCCCAAAGTGCTGGGATTACAGGCGTGAGCCACTGCACTCTGCTGTGCATTTAACATTTCTATAGACAGATGCTGTACTGCTTTATCCGCCATGGCAGTATGTCAGTGAATCTCTACGCATAACCATGTTGATTTAAAGTATTTTCAGTGCCTTTCGATATATAGGAGTTTGTAATTTTCATGGATTCATGTCTGTTACTTTTTTTATGATTTCTGCTTTTGGTATCATTAGAATGACCTCAAATGTGAAGATTACATAAAACTGCACTAAAGCTCTTTTGAATTTATGTAATTCAAGAATCTAACAATATATAAAAAGGTTATGAAGAAAAGTCTCTCTCCTGTGTTCTCTGCCCCACCCTCCCAATAAGGGTAAATAATTTTATTTCTAGGGGATCCTTCCAGATTTTTTTTTAAGAGACAGATTTTCCTGCTCTGTCACCTAGGCTGCAGTGCAGCGGTGCAATCATAGCTCACTGTAACCTCAAACTCCTAAACTTAAGTGATCCTCCCACCTTGGCCTCCCAGAGTGCTGGGATTACAAGTGTGAGCCACCACACCTGGCCCAGAATTTCTTTATGCATATATAAGCAAATGCAAATGTATATTCTTTCTTTCTTTCTTTCTTTTTGTGACAGGGTCTTGCTGTGTTGTCCAGCCTGTAGTGCAGTGGCATGATCATGGCTAACTGCAGCCTTGACCTGGGCTCAAGTGATCCTTCTGCCTCAGCCTCTTGAGTAGTTGGGACTATAGGTGCGTGCCACCATGCCCAGCTAATTTTTGCATTTTTTGTAGAGATGAGGTCTCACTGTGTTGCCCAGGCTGGTCTGGAACTCCTGGGCTCAAGTGATCCACCTGCCTTGGTTCCCCAGAGTGCTGGGATTACAAGCATGAGCCACTGTACTTGGTTGCAAATATTAATAGATATTCTTATTCAGCCCCTCTCTTCCTTTCTGTACAAAAGGGAATGTAATATAAACACTGTTCTGCATTTGCTTTTTCAAATATATTTTGGAGGTTATCCTAGATCAATATACAGAACTGTCTTCATTCTTTTTTTTTTAACACTTAATATTTTGTTTTTTGGGGGGGTGCTGCACTTTAATTTATTGAATCAGTCCCCTGTTGATGGGTCTTAAAGTTGGTCCTAGTCTTTTATTATTACAGCAACATGATAGTGAATAATCTTACACATTTGCCATTTCCAATGTATGCAGTCAGTCTGTAAGATCCATTCCCAGAAGTAGAGTCAGTTGCTGCTTCAAAGGCCATATGTATGTGTCACTTTGTTAGGTATTGCTGAATGTCTTCCTAGAGTGGTTGAAGATTATCTAAAATCTGTACCTATATTTTCTGTTAGTGCTTTTCTTTTTCTCGGTGCTTTTTAAAAAATGAGATATTTGCATGTAATAAACAGCACAGATTTTAAGTTACTGCTCAGTGAGTTTTAACAAACATATGCACCTGTGTGGCCACCACCACAATGTCAAAATACACATTTCCATTCTTCCAGAAAGTTCACTGATACCCCTTTCCAGTCAGTCCCCCTCTCTTTTTTTGGCAATCACTGTTCTGATTTCTTAGATTTGCCTGTTATAGAATGTCATGTAAATGGAATCACACAGTTTATGTTCTTTTGTCTGGCTTCTTTTGCTCAACATAAACTTTTTGAGATTCTTCATGTTGCTGTTTTTATCAGCAATTTGTTCCTTTTATTGCTGTGGTATCATTTTCACACTGACTTTTTTTATTCATTTGGAACTAATTTTGGTGTATGATGTATATTAGTTTCCTATTGCTGCCATAATGAATGACCACAAACTTAGTGGCTTAAAACAACATGAATTTATTATCTCACAGTCCATAGGTTAGAAGTGTGGGCTAGCTTGGCTGGTTTCACATGGCGAAAACCAAGATGTTGGCTGGCTGAGTTCCTACCGGGAAAGTCTGCAAAGACCCCCTGCTTCCAGACTCACTCATGTTGTTGGCAGGATCCAGTTCCTGGTAGGTGTAAGACTCAGGTCCCCATTTTCTTACCGTCAGCTGGGAGCCTCTGTTCCTTAAGGTGACCCACGTTCCTCATCACTCCTCCCCGCTCCGCCTTCAAGGCCTGCAGTGATGGGCCCACTCCTTTTCATGCTTCAAATCTGCTGCATCTCAGCTGGGCAAAGTGGTTCATGCCTATAATCCCAGCACTTTGGGAGGCAGAGGCAGGTGGATCACCTGACATCAGGAGTTTGAGACCAGCCTGACCATGGTGAAACCCCGTCTTTACTAAATACAAAAAAAAGTTAGCCGGGTGTGGTGGCACATGCCTGTAATCCCAGCTACTTGGGAGGCTGAGGTTGTAGTGAGCTGAGATTGTGCCATTGCACTCCAGCCTGGGCAACAAGAGTGAAACTCCGTCTCAAAACAACAACAACAACAACAACAACAACAACAACAACAATCTGCTGCATCTCCCTTGCCCTCGTCTTTCCATGAGCCTGTCTGACTCTGGCCACAGGGCCACAGTCAAAGAGTTCTTGTCATTAGATTGCGCTCACCCTGATAATCCAGGGATAGTATCCCTAGCTTATGGTCTGTAATGATAATTACATCGGTAAACTTCCTTTTACCATGTAATGTAATATATTCATAGTTTCTGGGGATAGGGATCTGGATGTCTTTGGGGGAATTCATTACTTGGCCTGCCACATGGGGTGAAGTAGGAATTTAACTTATTTTCCAGATGTTTAGTGAGTTGTACCAAATGATTCACTCTTTTTCAATTTACTTAAAAAGCCACTTTTATTACATATGGCATGTGTTTCTGCTTTTTATACTATATATATTTATTGCTGGATATTCTACTTTGTTCCATTGATGTGCTTACTTTCATGTTAGTACCTGACTTTAACAATTTAATGTTTTATAGGCCCGGTGGCGGTCACTCACGCCTGTAATCTCAGCACTTTGGGAGGCCGAGGCAGGTGGATTGCTTGAGATCAGGAGTTTGAAACCAGCCTGGCCAACATGGTGAGACCAGCCAGGTGTGGCAGTGCGTGCCTGTAATCCCAGCTACTCAGGAGGCTGAGGCAGAATTGCTTGAGCCCAGGAGGCAGAGGTTGCAGTGAGCCAAGGTCTTGCCACTGCTCTCCAACCTGGGCAATGGAGTAAGACTCCATCTCAAAAAAAAAAAAAAAATTAATGTTTTATAAATATGTATTTTAAAATGTTAGAGAAGATTCCCTTTTCTACTCTTTTATTTATTTGTTTTATTTGATTTACTTTTATCCTTTAAGCCTCACCTGGAAGAAGATTCCCTCTTGATACTTCTCTTTTTATTAAAAATATCTTTGCAATTCTGGCTTATGTGTTCTTTTAGATAACCTTGACAGCTGCTTCATTAATTTCTTTAAACATTTTATTTTTTATAAATTGAAATTTTGCTGAAAATATACATTAATTCATTAACATGGGAGGACTTGACATTTTATAATAGTGAATTTGCCCAAACCAGAAACATGTTAGTATTTTAAAAATACTTTTTTTTTAAGTAAAGTTTTGTTTTTTCTCCATATAAGTCTTGAAAATATAAGGACATTAGTTCATATTTTGTAAGGAGCTTTTAAAAAATGCTCCTATGAGAATTACATGTATACTTTTCAAAATTAATGTTCTTCTTATTACCTTGGTTTTTCTTTGAAAATCTGTGTCTATATCCTCAGGTCACAGAGATACAAGTTATTTTAGTCCTGTATTAATTTAAGCCTGTAAACATCAAGTCATAAAGCAGTATTAGTGTAATTAAACTTCCCAGGAGTCCTGCTTCTGCTTTTCTCCCATAGTGAAATGTTCCATGTGTAATGAAGAATTTAATGAAAAGCATCTTTTGAAGTACTGGTTGGTGAAGGGACAAGAGTGAGTCAGTGTGTGGTGAGTGAAGTCCTAATATGAATATCAAGGGAAACAGGACTTTAAAGTTGGCTGTATTGAAAATTCTCAACAGCTAGTCAAATAGGGATCAGATCTGTAGAAAAAAAGACTTTTTCCCCATTCCCTTCACAAACAAAAAACCACGTTGCTTCATGAAATCATGTCAGAAATTTTTCTTCATTTTTGCTTTGCAAGGTCAACGGCGGTTTTATTGGGCGTACCTTGGTTTTGCAGGCCTTTGCTCTAGTTTTCAAGGGAACAAGTAGATAGAAACTTAAAATTAATGTATTTATGTGGGAGCTATGGGGCAAGAAACTAGTTTCCAGTTGTAATACTGTGGGCACTAATCAGGGAATGCTTGGAGAGATATGGGCTGGGTTTGCTCATCACAACCTGTGACCCCACATTCTATATCAAAATGCACCACAGAAGTAATTCCACGAGAATTTAGTTCCTGACTGCAGATATTCATCTTATGTCTTAGATTTGTGCAGGCTAGAAAGACAGCATGATTCTCTGAGGTGGGAATAGGATGGAGCATGGACATACCCAACTCCTGGGGCACTCCAAAATTTGGGGAAACAGCCCTCATACTCTCACACACAAGAATTGAAGGCTAAATTTCCACTGAGTAGAAAAATAATATTTGAGATGTTGCATCTGGCTTATTATTCTATGTGGAACTGCACTCTCCAAAACTTTCTCTAGATCTGCACTGTCAAATATTGTTGGGGGTGAGCGACCACTGGGCCAGTGGCGTGCAGAGAAAAGAATTTCCCAAGACAGTTGTAGGTGAAGAAGGGCAGATTTATTAGAGCAAGTAACTAAATGGGAGCTGACTGCCAGGAGACAAAGTCTTGCCGGGGATTTTATAGGATGGTTCTTAGGCTGCAGAATGCTACGTGGAGTTCTGATAAAACACCAAGGTTGCAGTGAGCTAACTTGCAGGTGTCTGGTGATAGTTGGGTGAAGGAAGATTGTAAGTTATTTGTGCAGGAGGGCTATGTGTCCTGGACCATGAAGAAAGGCAGACTTACAACTTATCTGTTGTCTGTTTTTGCTTTCCCTTGGTCCTGCCAGCCTGACTTCTTTTCTGCAATTAGGACTCCACATTCCTCCACTGACAGAGCAGCGATGACAAATCTTTGGCATGTGAGTGTAGGTCTCACCTTCACCTTCTTGCTGACCAGGGACGTAGAGTTGGCCCTACCTAGGATTGTTAGTCGGTCAGGAGGTTACATGGGCCTCAGTCCCTGGGTTGGGAGTTAAATTAGGCAGAGTCGCTGTGGGACCTTAGGGGAACAGCATTTGCAGCCTCAAATTTTGTTCTGCTGGCTCCAAAGGGGATTCATTAGTTCTTTTACTGGCTGATACCCTTGCTGCAGTAACATTTTGGTTTGAAGTTGTATTCTAGAAGACGCAAAACAAGATATTTCATGAACAATACAAGGTGCAAATAAACTAGTATAATCATTATTATAGGCAGGAGAAGTGGGGCCTGGCCTGACAAATAAGGTTTTTAAATATTAATGGGATAAGGGAAAATTGAGGAACAGATATAGACATATTAGTGAGGTTAAGAAGTTGCCCAGTTTCGACCCTTGTTCCTCTGTATTCTGTCCCATTTGCTGAACCATTTATAGGCATAAAGGAATCACTCTAAATTTTGCTGGCATTAACTTTGTTGTTTCCCAACCATAGAGAAAACCTGCAGAGGTACACAGTGAACTCGTTAGAGTTGTTGTTTGGCTACCATTCCTGGTACATTTGATTATAGTTAATGATGTAACTATAATGGGCTTGTGTTAAAGCCCCTAGGAAAGGGCCAGACCCCTTGGAGTTTCTGATGCAGAGGTGAGCCTTACAGGCCATTTCTGGTGCCTTCCCTATTTGCTTTGTCACGGTGGATGATTGCCATGAGGGATCGATTGGCCCAGGTCTCTCTCCTAGACCTGTGTTTTTGGTGTGCATGTAAACGGTATAGTCTAATCCAGAGTATTGGGCTTAACAATTTCTTCTGTAGATCATGGGACTGCTAAGAGTGTAATGTCATCCTCAAGTGCTTGTTTGCGAGGGCACATCCAGCAGTTAGTGCTGTGTGTTATGTTAGCAACCTGTGATGTTACTGAGTAGAGTGGATGCCTGCGTATAGCCATTGAGACAATAGTTAGCCATGATAGACGAATAAAAACAGAGCCATGTTTAGGGAAAATGACAATATACAGGAAACTCAGGAAGACAGGAAAGAAGAAGGGCTGTAAAGAGTATAAGAAAAACAGTTAAACGCAAAGTACCTCAGCACATTGTTGTTGTGGTGTGGGGGTATATGTCATTACTGGGACAAATATAAAGAAATTTTGTCTGGGCAGTAATCTTGGAAGTTTCCTTGCAAATAGCAATTGTATACTACTTCCCTTATAAAAGCATCAATATTAAGAGGGTGAAGCTGCTTAAGAGAGGTAGTTGGAGAGTTACTGAGAGCCTGCAGTAGAACTGAATAAAAAGAGTTAGCTTTAAGAATAAGATTCAACGGCCGGGCACAGTGGCTCATGTCTGTAATCCCAACAGTTTGGGAGGCCAAGGTGGGTGGATCATGAGGTCAGGAGATCAAGACCATCCTGGCCAACATGGTGAAACCCCATCTCAAAATACAAAAATTAGCTGGGTGTGGTGGTGTGTGCCTGTAGTCCCAGCTACTCGGGAGGCTGAGGCAGGAGAATTGCTTGAACCCGAGAGGCAGAGGCTGCAGTGAGCGGAGATTGCACCACTGCACTCCAGCCTGGGTGACAGAGCGAGACTCCGTCTCAAAAAAAAAAAAAAAAGAAAGATTCAAAAGAGGTATTGGACTTACTAACTTTTAAGGAAGGTTAAAAAAATTCTAGGTTCTTTGTTTAACAAAACTTCTTTTACCTTTTTTTCTTTAACTTTAAATGAGTTTCCAATGTTTACATTCTAGTTGGATCATAAATAACGAGTCTTATCTCAGCACCAGCAACTTGGTAACAGTAAATTTAAAGCAGACAGAAAAAAAAGAGGAAGATAGAGAACTTTAGATGATTCTACTTAACCCTATGGTGCAGGTTAACCATTTGAGCTCTGACTTTTTCTTATTGTAGTTTGCCCATTAGTTTAAAATGTGCACAAAACAGGCCATAATATGTAACTAGCTGGAGTTTTAAAAAGAACAATAAAATCAGAGGTTAGGATGTTGGAAACCATCTTTTCAATCTGGACCCCTAGATTGAACAGGAAAAGAAAAAAGAAAGGAACAGAGAGGAAAAGGTTAAACTTTACAGGAGAGTTTGTGTGCCTCCTGTAAAGTTTGTGTGAGAGTGCCTGGGTTACCCCCTTTCAGCCACTGAATGGTGTGGGGCCAATACCCCTAACACCCTTGTTTCTCTCCCATCAGGGAGAGCCTTAGCACCCCAGACCTTTATGGTGTGAGATGAATTCTTCCTCACCTCTGCAAGTTACCAGTTAAGGTGAGCTGTTTTTAGCAGGAGCAGAGAGCCTCTTTAGCTTAAGGCCACTGGGGTTTGGGATTCTGTCCGGGGGGGCTCCTTTGGCTCTCAGGGCAGTCCTGTTTCCAGTGGCCAAGCTTGTGGCAGAGGGGGCAAGCATGTGGGACTTTTTTTCATTTATTCAGTTGAGGTGCTTTGCCTTTTAGTGGCCTGGCCTTTCGCACCGGTGGCAGTTATCTGGAGGAGTGTCCTTAGGGCAACGAGGAGGGGGCTGGGGTCTTGTGAAGCAGCCAACAGTTGAGCCTGGTTTTTGTCTCTGCGTCTTTCTTTTTAGCCCTGTTCTCCTTATTCTGCTCTTGGTTATAAAAGACTGAGGAAGTTAATTTGATGATTTCTTTTGCATAAGGGTTATGCTGTGTTACACAAGAAAATTACACATTTCTCTTTTTTGAGAGTCTGAGAATTAAATTTGTTTTAATGCTTTAGAATGTAGCCCAGAGGTGAGTTTGAAGGATAGATGGGGTTTGTCCCATGGTGGGACTGGAAAACATGCTGCTTGGGAGCGGTGCCACTTCAGGGCACTAATTGCACTTTCTCTTGGGACATCCTGCCAAGATGAAAAGAGGGTTCCACTTGTGTCTGCTGAGGGACTTTGGGTGCACTTTCCAAAGGGGTGTTCCACCTATTAGAAAAGAGCACTTGGCTGCTAGGGGCCTTAACGCTGGACGGCCAGTCCAGGTACTCACTCTGGGTGATCAGCCCAGGTACGAGGAAAAAAGGGTAAAGGGTGATCTCACCTGGTGCCCGCCCAGGAGAGGGAGTGGGTAAGGGAACCCTCACCATTTTGAGGCTGTCCGAGGTCACCTGATTTAGCAATGTCCAAGACAGGATGGCTGGCTGACCCCACAGGAGAATGTAGAGTGAGAAAGAGAGCACCTGAGTTACCCCAAACGTGTGTGAATTCACTCTGGATGAGCTTCTGCTGCCAGATAGGAGAGAGAGTCTTCTTCCCTTCAGGCAAGGCAGCCAGCCCTGTTCACCCTTTGGCCTTCAGGCAGCACTGGAGAGCACCAGGATGGTTAAGAAGCCAGCTGCTGAAAGACTGAAAAGAGTAAGTGAACCCAGGTCCCTCACCCAATCTGGGCAGTGGCCGTCAGATGCTTCCACACAGTCACCTTTCAGTCCCACCAGAGTGTAGCTCCTGCCGGAGACCTGCAGTTGCCTCCATGCTTAGAGGCTATTCTCGGAGGGTGCTGACTGGAGAAAGGGAAAGAGAGAGGGGAGAGAGTTTCCTGTGAGGACAGTTCCCGTCCAGAGAGAGTTCCCCCTACAGGCCACCAAAATGTTGTGGGTGAGCAGTGACTATCCTGGTGGCATGGGGGTAAAAGAATTTACCAAGGCCAGGCGCGGTGGCTCACACCTGTAATCCTAGCACTTTGGGATGCCGAGGCAGGTGGATCACCTGAGGTCAGGAGATCGAGACCAGCCTGGGCAACATGGTGAAACCCCGTCTATACTAAAAATACAACAATTAGCTGGGCGTGGTGGCGCACGCCTGTAATCCCAGCCACTCGGGAGGCTGAGGCAGAAGAGTTGCATGAACCTGGGAGTTGGAGGTTGCAGTGAGCCGAGATTGTATCACTGCAATCCAGCCTGCACAACTGGAGCGGGACTCCACCTCAAAAAAAAAAAAAAAATTTACCAAGACAGTTGTAGGTGGAGAAGGGTGGATTTATTAGAGAAAATAGGAAAATATGTTACAAGAGGGCAACGGTCAGAATCAGCAGAAGAGGAGCTGACTGCCAGGAAACAAAGTCTTGCTGGGGATTTTATAGGATGGTTCTTAGGCTGCAGAATGCTACGTGCAGTGCTGATAAAACACTAAGGTTGCAGTGAGCTAACTTGCAGGTGTCTGGTGATAGTTGGGCAATGGAAGATTGTAAGTTATTTGCACAGGAGCACTGTGTGTCCTGGACCATGAAGAAAGACAGACTTATAGTTTATCTGATGTCTGTTGTTGCTTTCCCTCGGCCCTGCCAGCGTGACTTCCTGTTCCTAATTAGGACTCCACAGATAAGATAGCTACTAGCCACGTATGACTATGGAGTACTTGAAATGTGGCTAGAGTGACTGAGGAATTGAGGAATTAAACCTTTAATTTTTTTTTTTTTTTCTTTTGAGACAGAGTCTTGCTCTGTCGCCCAGGCTGGAGTGCAGTGGTGTGATCTCGGCTCACTGCAACCTCTGCCTCCTGGGTTTAAGCGATTCTCCTGCCTCAGCCTCCCGAGTAGCTGGGACTACAGGTGTGTGCCACCACACCCAGCTATGTTTTTTGTATTTTTGTTTTTTGAGATGGAGTTTCACTTTTTCACCCAGGCTACAGTGCAGTGGCATGATCTCGGCTCACTGCAACCTCCACCTTCTGGTTTCAAGTGATTCTCCTGCCTCAGCCTCCTGAGTAGCTGGGATTACAGACACCCACCACCACACCCGGCTAATTTTTGTATTTTTTGGTACAGACAGGGTTCCACCACATTGGCCAGGCTGGTCTCCAACTCCTGACCTTGTGATCCACCCACCTCGGCCTCCCAAAGTGCTGGGATTACAGGCGTGAGCCACTGCGCCCGGCCCTGAACCTTTAATTGTATTTAATTTTAGTTAAATTAAAATGTAAATAGCCATGTGTGGTTACCACATTGGACAGAATGTTCCAGATAGAATAGTAATAGTAGCCAGATAGAATAGTAACTGTCACAGAGCTAATTGCCCTGCTTTCATTTTTTATTTATTATTATTATTATTTTTATTGAGATGGGGTTTCACTTTGTCACCCAGGCTGGAGTGCAGTGGCATAGTCATGGTTTACCACAGCCTTGACCTTCAGGGCTCAAGTGATCTTCAGCCTCAGTTTCCCAAATAGCTGGAACTACAGGTGCATGCCACCATGTTTGGCTAATTTTTTAATTTTTATTTTGTAGAGATGGGGGTCTCACTGTGTTGCCTAGGTTGGTATGGAATTCCTAAGCTCAAGCAATCCTCCCAGCCCAGCCTTCTAAAGTTTTGGGATTAAAGGTGTGAGCCACCGTACCTGGCCTGCTGTGCTTTTAGTTACAAGTAACAGAAAGCCTAACTTAAACAATAAGGATATGTACTAGCTCACCCTGTTGTTTGGCAAACCCAGCAGCTCCTACCTACATTCTCTTCCCTGGCCACCTACCATTATAGAGCCACATACTTATGTTTTTCTAGATTCCTATTTCTGACTAGTGAAATGTAGAGAAGTCTACTTGGGGGCTTTGGGAAAGTTTTATGAAAGAGATACGTGGTACCAGGGAGCCAGTGGTTGCAGGGACCCCTTCTTCCTGTCTTTAATGTGATGCCTGGAGTTATAGCAACCTTCAATCTTGAGGGGACAAGCATGAGGGCACAAAGCCAGTGTGCTTAGGATGGTGTTACAGAGAGATAAAGAGCTGTACTCTTACTCCCTTACTTCTGATTCTGTGAGAATGTTACAAATAAATTTTCGGTGCCGCAAGGAAATAGCACTGGAACATAAATTTAATTTTCTCAGCAAGGCAATTTTTACTTCTATAGGAGGATGTGACTCGTGAATGGAGTAATGGTGAGAGCACACCTGGACAGGGGAGGGGAAGGGATTCTTATTCCTGTCGCAGGTAGCCCCTACTGCTGTGTTGTTTCCCTATTGGCTAGGGTTGGACAGCACAGTCTAAGCTAATTCCAATTGGCTATTTTAAAGAGAGCAGGAGTATGAGCCAGAGTGGTGGGGTTAACAGTTTGGCAGGAAAGACAGTTATGGAACAAGTAACCGAAGGTGACTTAGGTCAGAACAGGGGACCGGGGGTGACTCAGGTCAAAGCAGGTAACCAGGATGAGTCAGGATGGAGCAGGTGACCAGGAGAACAGATGTGAACTACTGATTAAAACTGGTGGAAAAGGTTGTTTACTGAAACTACGAGGAAGTTAAACTTTAAAATGGAGGACAAAGAACTGAACATGCTGACATACTGATTCTTTGAAGAGAAATTTAGAACTCATTGTATCCAATAAGAAAATTACACAACCCCCAACTCCTCGTTTGCTGCCAAAGTCATCCTAACTGATGCACCATATAAGTAGAAGTCCAGAGATAGGGCAGGCCTCAGGATTCTCCCCAAATTGATGGCTCCCCACTATTTTCCTTTATTTTCTTGGGCCCTGTCCTTTTCTGTCACTGTTGGTTTCATCCTGTGAGTGTTGATTTCATCCTTACGCCGGAAGCAAAATGCAGCTGAAACGTAGGGCCACACATTTACACATCTCAGTGTCAGGATTCACAGCTTCACTTCCACACTGGACAGTGCTCTGTGTAATAGAGAGATTCTCTTCTAGAAGCTTATCCAGAATGATGATAAAACACTGTCTTGGAATCCTCCAATAAACATCTTTTTAAGTTTCAGGGGCCAGAATTGTGCCCTACACTCAATACTGAACCAGTTTCTGTCAGGGAGATAAATTTGCTCATCAGACCCTTAGGAAGTAAGGGTGGAGTCAGCTTCCCTTAAGTCTAAGGAGCTTGGGGAAGAGAGGCACATAACAGAAACAAATCTGGGACTCAGTGAGGAAGGAGTGGCCACTTCAAAGGTCCCAAGAATGGTTCACTGTAGCCAAATGGGTAGAGTGTCAGAACTTCCTAAATTATAAATATCATTAACTGTTACTAAGGGTCAACTTTCAAGTATCTGACATAAAAGTTTAACCTGTTTTTAGTTTTTTAGAAGAATATTTCCTGGCACCACGCTGTCACTATAATCTAATGAAATATCCTTAGCCATTTATTGGTAAAGCATTTTAAGAGAATTTATTTCCTGAACTTATTATAGTTTGTGTACCGCATAGGAGAATGATGGCTGTCCAGTGTGCAGGTCAGAGTCCATTCTTTCCTCTGCTATTAGCAATATTGCAAGAACGTGAGCTACAATGGGCCTGGCATATTGTCATCTAGTGGTTAATTATTAAAAACAAAACAAACAACTCTTCTAGGATTGGTTCTATTTGGAGCTTCACAAAAGAGGACACTCATATGGCCAATAAAAGGCACACAACATTATTAGTCATCAGGAAAATGCTAATTAAAACCACAATAAGATACCACAGTGGCTAAAATTAAAAAGACTGATAGTGCGCAGAATTGACAAATGTTGGCAGTTTATATACACAAAACACTGCTTTTGGGAGTATAAATTGGTTCAACCACTTGGAAAACTGGCAGTCTCTACTAAAAGTAAATAGCACATCTTCCCTGTCACTCAGCAGATCCACTCCTGGGAAGAAAGGCAGACAAATAACTCACTGAAAGACATATACAGGATCATTTATAACAGCTTTATTCACAGTTGTCTCAAACTGGAAACAATTCAAATGCCCATCAACAGAATGGATAAGTAAATTGTGGTATATTAATAAAATCAAACACTACACAGCAATAAGAGAAAGGAGTTACTGATATATACAACAATATAGTTGAGTCTCACATGGATAATCTTTAAGGAAAGAGGGAACCCACTATGTTATTATGGGGTTCAAGAACAGGTGAAACTCATTTATAGTTTACAGATCAGAATAGTGGTGAAGAAGGTGGGTTTAGACTAGGAATGGACAAGAGGGAACCTTCTGGAGACCTGGAAATGTTCTATATATTCACCCAGGTGGGAGTTAGATGGGTAGATGGGTATAAAAATCATAGCTGAACACCGAAGAGTAGTGCATGTTACACGCATTATACTAGGTTTTGCCTCAATAAAAATGTTAAAAAAAATTGGGCCCATCAAGATAATGGGATATGACAGACCTCTACTGTACGTCTTTGTTAATATTGCACAGTAATTGTTGCTGTATGTTGTTTGACCATTTGACTGTAACCCCACATATCCTTATTGCATAATATAGTTTTTTATGGGCACATAAATTATACTTTGAATACTGCAAACCCACCTGCCTGTGATGCCTGCTGGGGGATATTTTAACTGTCATCTTGTCAGCGGGGCCAGGGTCTTAGGATGGCTCTGTAAGTAATTAGTATCTTGGCTGCTTTTACTTTCCTGAATGTGCATGTAAATCAGTACTACTACAAAACCGAGGAAACTTTGATATCCTGCCATCTTTTGGGTATCATGATGTAACATAGTGTGCGTAAGGAAAATCAGTAATGTTTCTGTCAGACTTGGAGTAGAAATACAAGTCCAGAACATATTTGTTTACATTGGCGTTTCTTTCTTTTTCTTTCTTTCTCTCTTTCTCTCTCTCTCTTTCTTTCTCTTTCTTTCTTTCTTTCTTTCTTTCTTTCTTTCCTTCCTTCCTTCCTTCCTTCCTTCCTTCCTTCCTTCCTTCCTACCTTCCTTCCTTCCTTCCTTCCTTCCTTCCTTCTTTCTTTCTTTCTTTCTTTCTTTCTTTCTTTCTTTCTTTCTTTCTTTCTTTCTTTCTTTCTTCTTTTCTTTCTGGGTTTTTGCTTTATTTTCTCTTTACTTAAAACAAATTTTAACTGTGGTAAAAAACACAAAACATAGTTTGCCATCTTAACACTTTTTAAATGTATAGTTCGGCAGTGTTAAGCACATTCATATTGTACAAACGATTTCTGGAACTTTTTTATTTGCAAAACTGAAACTCCATATTCATTTGACAACAACTTCCCATTTCTCCTTCCTTATAGTACCTGGTAACCACAGTTCTACTTTCTGTTTCTATGAAATTGACTATTTTAAGTAGCTCATATAAGTAGAATTGTAAAATACTTGTTTTTTGGTGACTGGCTTATTTCACTTAGCATGATGCCCTGAAGGTTCATCCATGTTGTATCTTGTGTCAGGATTTCCTTCCTTTCTAAGGCTAAATAGTACTCCACTGTATGTATATGCCAAATTTTGTTTATATATTCATCAGTAGATCTTTTGTTTACATTTAACACCCTTTCCTCCATCCCTCAATTTCCTCTAGGGTAGTGTTACTCAAGCATTTTTTCATTATAGCTCCTCCCAACCTTTTCAGACTTTTAGCTAATCTAGCTTCCCACCCCCTATGAAATTTTAATACCACAGATAATACTGTATATCCTTTTTTTTGTATTGTATGTATATCTGTGCTTTGTGCATGAAAAGAGTAAACATTTTTACTCCCCAATATCCCATTTTCTTTCCTTTGGGGGCAATATTGCCCCATTGAGAATGCATGCTATAGGGAAAACCAACTCCAGATTAATACATACAGAGGTAGCCCCAAGTTTACTAAATACTTGGTAATGAAAGAAATGGTACTTGGAGAAAATCTTAAACTCGCCTCTCTCTTCTCTGCTCCCACCAAACTTCCAACATCTCCTGCCCTCCCTTAAACAAACAGATAAATACACAAAAAGAAAGAAAGAAGTTCACCTCTTGATCTTTCCTGGTCCTGGTACGGGGATGACCTCTCTTTTAGAGGGGCGAATGGTTCTCTGTGTCTCCTGCCTCCTCCTTCCCCTGCTGTTGTTGCTGAAACACTTTAATGGGTTGATGACACCATATTTAGCTCATAATGTATATTGTCCTATAGAATATATTTCTTTTTTCCCATTTCATGAAAAAAATATAGAATATATTTCTATTTGGTTCATCTTTGACAGTTTTAAGTTTATCTATTCGAGGCTTTTGTGTATTTCCCAAATTTATGTGCTTTATAGAGCATATACTTTGCCCCATTAGATGCAGTGGTATTGCAATAGTTATCCTCAGGGAGGTAGGCTGTGTGTGTGTGTGGGTGTGAGTGTATGTATTTGTATAAAAGAAAATCCAATATTACATGCATTTGGCCGGGCACGGTGGCTCACATTTGTAATCTCAGTGCTTTGGGAGGCTGAGGTGGACAGGTCATTTGAGGTCAGGAGTTCGAGACCAGCCTGGCCAACATGGTGAAACTCTGTCTCTACTAAAAATTAAAAAATTAGCCAGGCGTGGTGGTGTACATCTGTAATCCCAGCTACCTGGGAGGCTGAGGCAGGAGAATCTCTTGAACCTGGGAGGTGGAAGCTGCAGTGAGCCAAGATTGCACCACTGCACTCCAGGCTGGGGGACAGAGCAAGACTCCGGTCTCTTCAAAAAAACAAAAAACAAAAAAAAAAACAAAAAAAACCCATACATTTATATTTGAAACCAAAGCCCCTGTTTCTGTAATGCAAAGTAAAATTTGGCTAAAAGCCTTGGAGTTCATTTCTTTTGCCTTCCACTCTCAAGCCCATGAAATTCATCAGGAACTCTTATTGGCTGCTCTTCCTGCATCCATTTTACATTGGCTTATTTCTCTCCATCTTGCCTTCAGCCAGGATGATCTGGAAGTATCAATTGGATCTTGGTTTTTTTATTTTTTGAGACAGAGTCTTGCTCTGTCACCCAGGCTGGAGTGCAGTGGCACGATCTTGGCTCACTGCAACCTCTGCCTTCCAGGTTCAAGCAATTCTGCCTCAGCCTCCTGAGTAGCTGGGATTACAGGGATGTGCCACCATGCCCAGCTAATTTGTATTTTTTAGGAGAGACGGAGTTTCACCATGTTGGTCAGGCTAGTCTTGAACTCCTGACCTCGTGATCTGCCCGCCTTGGCCTCCCAAAGTGCTGGGATTACAGATGTGAGCCACTGTGCCAGGCCAAATTGGATCTTGTTAATCTGCAACCTAAAACCCTCTAGTGTTTTACTGTTCAATACGGTAGCCACTAGCCACATGTGGCTATGTATTGCAAAGTTAATTAAAATTAAGTTAGATTTGAAATTCAGTTCTTCATTTGTACTAGTCATATTTCAAATGTACAGTAGCCAGTTGTGGCTAGTGCCTTCTGTATTGTATAGTATAAAATTGAACATTTGCATTATCACAGAAAGTTGTCATAGACAATGCTGCTTTCCCAGTTGCATTTAGATGAATTCCAAGACCCTCTGATGGCCTTCAAGATCCATCATCTACTTACTGCAGCAATTACCTACTCTTTCAGCTTCACTTTTGCATCCTACTCACCTGACAGTTCTTGAACTGTGAAGCTCAGAGCTTTTGCATGTGCTGTTTCTGTGGCCTGGACACCTACTGTCCTCGTCACTGGGCTAACCGCTCACTATTTAGATCTTGTCTTAAATGTCAATTCCAACAGACTTGCCTTGATCCCTGCAATCTAAGCTGTGATCTCCTGTTACAGCCTTTCTTATACCCTCTACTTTTTCTTCATAAGAAGAAAAATATTTTAACTATAATATTTGTGTGATTATTGATGTACTTAATGTTCATCTCCCTAACAGACAGTAAACTTCTGGAAGGTGGGGATAGTGGCCATCCTTTCACCATCAGACTCCTGATCCCCAGCACAGTGCCCAGCATAGGGTAGATGCTATATGAATAATAGGATTAGGGTGTGCTGAAAGTTCAGATCCAGTGGGAAGGCACATGTGTGTTGGGTGTGTGAAAATTAAAAACAGTTCTTTATCACTGTAGGATGACTGTAGTTAACAATAACATATAGTTCAAATAGCTAGAAGGAGGATATTGAACATTCCCAACACAAAGAAATAATAAATGTTTGAGATGATGGATATGCTACATACCCTGATCTGATCACTTATACATTATATGCATCAAAACATCACTATGAATATGTACATTATCAATATGTCAATTTAAGAAATAAAATAGGTAGGCCTGGCGCGGTGGCTCACACCTGTAATCCCAGCACTTTGGGAGGCCAAGGCGGGTGGATCACGAGGTCAGGAGATTTAGACCATCCTGGCTAACACAGTGAAACCCCATCTCTACTAAAAATACAAAAAATTAGCCGGGCGTGGTGGCCGGCGCCTGTAGTCCCAGCTCCTCAAGAGGCTGAGGCAGGAGAATGGCGTGAACCCGGGAGGCGGAGCTTGCAGTGAGTGGAGATCGGGCCACTGCACTCCAGCCTGGGTGACAGAGATGAGACTCTTTCTCAAAAAACAAAAAACAAAAAAGAAATAAAATAGGCCTGGTGTGGTGGCTCACGCCTGTAATCCCAGCATTTTGGGAGGCTGAGGCAGGTGGATCACCTGAAGTCAGGAGTTGGAGACAAGCCTGGCCAACATGGTGAAACCCCGTCTCTACTAAAAATACAAAAATTAGCTGGGCATGGTGGTGGGCACCTGTAATAGCAGCTACTAGGGAAGCTAAGGGAAGAGAATGGCTTGAATCCACGAGGCAGAGGTTGCAGTGAGCCGAGATCGCGCCATTGCACTCCAGCCTGGGTGACAAGAGTGAAAACTCCTTCTCGAAATAAATAAATAAATAAATAAATAATCTAGAAAAATGTTCCCAGGAGCTGGGGATGGGGGATTGGGGGTGTTCTGTATCATGACTGTGGTTGTGGTTGCATGATCATAAATTTTGTTAAATGAATTGAACACTTAAAATGGGTGAATTTTATCATATGTAAATTGTACCTCAATAAAATTTACTTAAAAAAAAAAAAAAAAGGAAGACACCAGCTGGGTGCAGTGGCTCATGTCTGTAATCCCAGCACTTTGGAAGACCGAGGGATCACCTGAGCGCTCACTTGAGCTCAGGAGTTCAAGACCAGCCTGGCCAACATGGTGAAAACCCTGTCTCTACTAAAAATACAAAAATTAGCCTGGCATGGTGGCGTGCGCCTGTAATCCCAGCTACTTAGGAGGCTGAGGCAGGAGAATAGCTTGAACCCGGGAGATGGAGTTTGCAGTGAGCCAAAATTGCACCACCGCACTCCAGCCTGGGCGACAGAGTGAGACTCAGTCTCAAAAAAAAAACAAAAACAAAACAAACCCAAAAACAGTCAAGAGACCCTAGATATTGGGGAGGTAGATAATTATTTATGGTGTTTACTTTTTGCTGTGAGAATGACTTTTAGGTTATAAATTTTACAAAAACAGTTCGGAGCTGGTCTCGTCAACTGGCTTTAGAAATACCATCTTTGGTGTGCATGTAGTTGGGTGTAATTGAGGCTGTAAATAAATGAGGAATAACTTAAAGTTGATGGGCGAAGGGGATAAGTTGCACTGGTAATGCCTTAGGTTTAGTGCAGGCCACTTTACTGGGCTTTGGTCGGGGGCAGGATGGTGAGACAGCTGAGGGGGGTGGTGGCAAGGTGTTCCGGTCTTGTCCTATTTAAATGCCCTGGGTAGGGAAGACTTGGGTGCAGCACCACATACTTTTCCAGGGGCCTTATGAAATATTTTGAGTGAGTTTCTTAAGAAAATTCCTGTTCTTCTTGTCCCACATTTGTACCCCTTTCCCCAAGAAAAAAAGAAAAAAACAAAACAAAACACATTGAAGTCCCCAGGATATATTCTGACTTTGGATTTTTATCCTTGACTGTCTGTGGCACCCTTCCTGCGGGGAAGAGGAAAGAGTCACTTTTAAGAGAGAGAGAAAGAAAGAGAGGAGAGGAGAGGAGAGAAAGAAAGAGAGGAGAGGAGAGGAGAGGAGAGGAGAGAAACAAAGCAAGAAAAAGAAAGCAAGCAAGAAAGTAAGTGAGCAAGCAAGCAAGCAAGCAAGCAAACAGGCAAGAAAGAAAGATAGATAGAAAGATAGAAGGAAAAGGACGGTCATGGTGGCTCAAGCCTGTAATCCCAGCACTTTGGGACACGAGGCGGCCGGATCACTTGAGGTCAGGAGTTCGAGACCAGTCTGGCCAACATGGGGAAACCCTATTTCTACTAAATATAGAAAGTTAGCTGGGCATGGTGGGATTACAGGGCGCACGCCTGTAATCCCAGCTACTCAGGAAGCTGAAGCAGGAGAATGGCTTGAATTCGAGAGATGGAGGTTGCAGTGAGCCAAGATTGCGCCACTGCACTCCAGCCTGGGTGACAGAGTGAGACTCCATCACACACACACACACACACACACACACACACAAAAGAGACATACTCTTTCTAGCTTCAACTTGGATCTACTGCTACTGCCAGCATTCCCGAGTTAATCTTGGATCATTGACTGCTTTTGGGCTCTTTTGGCAACCCTAAACAAAAAAAGCAAGCAAGCAAACAAAAAACCCCAAAAAAATAAAATAAAAAAGTAAACAAATTTGTTGTCAAGAATTCAAGCAGTACCCAGATAATGTATGAAGGGAAAGCCATCCTCTCTGCCCATTTCAGTAATAACCCCTCCATAGGCCATCTGTGTTGCCAGTCTTTGCTGTAATCCTGTATGTCAGTTACAGAACTTCATGTGTATACGTATACACAATGAGTCATAAAACCCACAACCACCTGGATCTGCTCTGTTTCAGACTTGCTTGTTTCAAAATCTACTCAGTGCATTTGCATTTTTCTTGCATCTTCTTCCTCATATGTAGCTCAGCAGCCTGTGACAGCTTCCAACAACTAGAGTTTGAATTCTCATAGAGACATAGTGAAAATTTCTGAAAGCCAGCCAGGCAGCTGTGCAATTGTCCTTAAGTATTTTGTAGCTTTTACACCATTAACGAAACTGAAAGTGCAGGGTAGAGTGCTCAGTGCCAGCCAAAATATAAGATACCCTAGTGATTTTACTGGGTGCTGATCTTTTAGCCTCTGTCTTGGCCCTTCAGAGTGTAGTTTGGCTCTTAAAGTGAGGCCACCTAGGTTGGAATTCTCACATTACCAATTTCAGTGTGACTGTGGCAAGTGGTAAGTGGCTTAACCTGTCTTTGCTTCACTTTCCTTATGTGCAAAATAGAGATAGAGTCACGCTGACCTTATAGCACTTTTTTTTTTTTTTGACAGAGTCTCACTCTGTTGCCCAGGCTGGAATGCAGTGGCTTGATCTCAGCTCACTACAACCTGCATCTCCTGGGCTTAAGTGATTCTCGTGCCTCAGCTTCCTGAGTAGCTGGGGCTATAGGCATGCACTACCATGCCTGGCTAATTTTTGTATATTTTTAGTAGAGATGGGGGTTTCACCATGTTGGCCAGGCTGGTCTCGAACTCCTGACCTCAGCTAATCTGCCTGCTTCGGCCTCCCAAAATGTTGGGTTTACAGGCGTGAGCCACTGTGCCTGGCCGAGGCTTCTTATAAGAATGAAAAGACACAATGATGTAAAGCACATAGTAGGTACTTAGCAGATATTAGCTATGAAGAATATTGTCATTATGGTAAATTATTACCACTTTTATTTAATAATTTCATCTTATAAATAAATCATCAGTTGGTCAGTTTTTTCTTTTTTTTAAAGACCCAACAACGGAGCCATCTGTATTCTATTGTAGAGATATAAAGCATTCTTCCGTGTAATGAGAATGTAACTCTCAATGAATCCTATTAGGAAGAAAAAAGCCTTCTGTATGGTTGGCATTCCTTCTTTCACCTTTGATGTGATTGTATCAATAAAAAGCAGAAACATAGGTGGGTGAATACATTTGTTGTTGCTCACATAACATTAAGAGCTGACTTGGTTTCTAGAGAACTATGAAAAATAATATTGAAATGAAGAGTTTTTTTTTTGTATTTGTAAATACAATGGAAATACCTTGTGTTTGAATTCTTCAGTTAAACCCTTAAAGAGTCTGTTTGATAACATTTATGGTCTGATTAGTAAGAGGGTACATCGTAGAGTGATTGGAAATTCAGAAAATCAAGGAAGAAAATTAAAATTCTGTCAAATCCCAAAGGCGTGGCTTTTAACATTTTGGCATATTTTCAATACATTTTATGTATTTAAAACAATTTGGGATTATATGCCTTTTCAACCTTATAGGCCTATATTTTTCATTTACTAACTTGCTCTGTCATTAAATGTTCTTTTACAATATGCCTTTTCAACCGTATAGGCCTGTATTTTTCATTTACTAACTTGCTCTGTCATTAAATGTTCTTTTACAACACGATTTTTTTTTTTCCAGATGGAGTTAGCGCTTGTCACCCAGGCTGGAGTGCAGTGGCGTGATCTTGGCTCACTGCAACCTCTGCCTTCCGGGTTCAAGCAATTCTCCTGCCTCAGTCTCCCAAGAAGCTGCGATTACAGGTGCTCACCACTATGCCTGGCTAATTTCTGCAGTTTTAGTAAAGACGGGGTTTCACCATGTTGGCCGGGCTGGTCTCGAACTCCTGGCCTCAGGTGATCCGCCCGCCTCAGCTGATCAGCCTCCTAAAGTGCTGGGATTACAGGCATGAGCCAGCGCACTGGGTCTTTTGCAACATGATTTTATTTTATTTTATTTTATTTTTTGGAGATAGAGTCTCACTCTGTCACCCAGGCTGGAGTGTAGTGGTGTGATCTTGGCTCACTGCAACCTCTCCCTCCTGGGTTCAAGCGATTCTCCTGCCTCAGCCTCCCGAGTAGCTGGGATTACAGGTGCGTGCCACCGCACCTGTCTGATTTTTGTATTTTTAGAAGACATGGCGTTTCATCATGTTGGCCAGGCTGGACTCGAACTCCTGACCTCAGGTGGTCTGCCCGCCTCAGCCTCCCAAAGTGCTGGGATTACAGGTGTGAGCCACTGTGCCCAGCCACAACATGATTTTAAAAATAACTGTGTGTTGTTCTAACATACGGATCTTCTATAACTGATTTAAACCCATTATATATTATGGAACATTTAGAGTTATTTCCAAGTTTTCGAGGTGGTGAACATCCATGAGGCTAAACCTATTTATGATGTATTCTATTTCCTCTGTAAGCAGTGTCCCCAACATTTCGTGTCATTCTTTTAATTATTTTCCAATGATATTTTGTTGTTCAATTTTTGATTTACTTATGCACTAGTGAGGGTGATCCTATTTACCCACTTTTCATATATTTAGTAGCAATTACTTGGTGTTTCTTTGTGAATTGTTTCTTAGGACCCTTATACATTTTGGTGAGAATGTTGGTCTTTTCTTGCAGTGGAAAGCTATTTATAACGGAGGGATATGAACTCTTTGTCAGTTATTGCAACAATTTTCTTGTTTCAGTTGTTTGACCATGGCCAGCTTAAAGAATATTTATTGGACAAATGGCCGACAATATTTGAAAGAAAAGCATACTTTATTCCCTAGTACATAGCTCTTTACATTTTTTCATGTTCTTCTTAGTCATCTCTGTGTAAATAGTAGTCATATAATTTAGAGATTACTACATGAAAAGCATAGGTAGAGTTCAGTATTCTGACTTAAGAGTCATGTGTCTCATTCTGTTAAAGCTCTGCTTAAGAAGTGGAGTACAGTTCAAAAACCCCATTCCCAAGAAGTCAAATTGTTTAAAATAAATCACCACTTATGTGTGCTTGGGTCTGTTTCCCCCTCTGACCCCTTACTTGGATTTAAAATGATAAAATTAATAATTACTGTCTCTCCAAGAATTGTGTTGGTCATCAAGACACCTAAGAAATTTTATGACCCCATAGGTACATGTCATCTGTGAACACCTGAAACTGTCCACATATTTAAGACCTACCCTACCCTACCAATTTGCCTTTCCCTCTGCCATCTTGAGAGGAAGCAATACTAAAGGACCTCTTCTCTGACCCCCACCTTTTCCCTGTCTCCTTGGCAGCTGCTTCTTAAGATCTTCCTGGGTGCTCTCCTCTCCTGCCTTTGTTCAGCACACTTACCAAGGCCCCCCATGTGGTCAGGGCTGCCAGGCAGTTCTCTCCAACCACCCAGGCCACACTGGAGAAAATCAGTAATGTGCGTCTTCTCTGGGTCTGGCATTCAATTGTTACACCACAGATATTTAAGTACCCCTTATGTTCAAGGCCATACGGCTACAAAACTTAACAAAATAGGGGTTTGACCTGAAAGAGGCAAATACCCTTGGGGGACACAGACAAGTAGGCAGGCAATGGCTGTCTCAGGGACAAATATTTCAAGGCTTATTTTATAGTGTTTTAAGAAAGGAGGGGGACAGGAGAGACAGTGGTTGTGTCTCTGTGTCCTAGCCACTTGCATACTGAGGCCTTCACCTGCCCTCCCTGTTCCATCTGCTAAGAGAGTGGAAGTACTATCAGCTGAGTTTTTACCAATACGTGATGTGGTACAGTGGTCAAGAGCAGAAACTAGAAATTGGTCAGATCTGGGGTCAGAAATGGGAAATGCCATCAGCAGATTTTTAGGCAAGTGACTTGAACCTCTGAGCCTCAGTTTCCTCATCTGAACAGTGGGGACAATGCCTTCCTGTGGGCTGTGATGATGGGTAAATGAGATTAATAATAATGCCAGTTACAGGGATAGCACTCACTACCTGCCAGGTTTATGTTGTCTCATGCATGGAAGCAGCCTCCTCCAGATCATTAATGCTGAATAAATGGAATTGGTCTGGCCACCCTTGAGAACAGAAAAGAACTGACAAAGAAATAGTCTTGTCAGACACTCTGCCTGGTTTCCTGGTGGTGAGAGGTGTTGCCAAGATGTGCCCTTTGAAGGTGGGTGGGGCCATAGTGAGCGAACTCCTTCTCCAGATTTCAGCAATGCAGACCGGAAGGTGAACATGCCCTGCACGGGTCTGGCAGCAAGCGTCTCCCCCGTCTCCTCACAGGATGGACCTGACAGCTTACGCTGAGCTGCTGAAAGAATCCGGCAACCAGGTTCTTAAGAATGGGAACTTCTCTTTGGCCATCAGAAAGTACGATGAAGCCATCCAGATTCTCCTGCAGTTATACCAGTGGGGGTAAGTGTTTGCATTTTCACCTCATCTTTTCTTTTTCAGTACATGGGACTCTGTTCCTTATGATTTCTTTTCATTTCTTATCATTCCACCCTGTTTCTGTTTTCTTTATTGCTCACTTCCTATTTATCTTCTCTGCATTGTCAGCTTAGAAGTGAACAGGGATTGTGTAAGAAGGGAAATAGAAAGTGAAACATAGAGGACTGTTGATAAACATAACAAAACTTCCCGTTCTGGCTGGCTAGGGGTCAGATTTAATGGGATGGCTGAAGTCTTCGAACAAACCTCTTCGTTGTCATTCATTTCATCTTCTTTATTATCTATGCCATTTACTCCGTGGCCACAGCGCACACCCCGCCGGGCACTAAGGTTCACTTTCTCTTTCCTTGCCCCTTCAGCTTCTTACAGACCTGTTCTCAAACATTGTAGTATCACAACATGCTTAAACATTGCTGAGGACCCTAAAGAGCTTCTTCTGTTTATGTAGGCTGTAGCTGTCAATACAGTATGGTAGAACTTAAAACTGATAAAAAAATAAAATATGTATTTATTTAAAAATATTGGCCGGGTGCGGTGGCTCATGCCTGTAATCCCAGCACTTTGGGAGGCCGAGGTGGGCAGATCACGAGGTCAGGAGATCGAGACCATCCTGGCTAACAGGGTGAAACCCCATCTCTATTAAAAATACAACAGATTAGCCGGGTGTGGTGGTGGGCACCTGTAGTCCCAGCTACTCCGGAGGGTGAGGCAGGAGAATAGCGTGAACCCGGGAGGTGGAGCTTGCAGTGAGCCGAGATTACGCCACTGCACTCCATCCTGGGCGACAGAGCCAGACTCCGTCTCAAAAAAAAAAAAAAAAAAAAAAATCAATAAATTTGCTGGGTAGAGTGGCTCAAACCTGTAATCCCAGCACTTTGGGAGGCCGAGGCGGTCAGATCACCTGACTTCAGGAGTTCAAGACCAGCCTGGCCAACATGGTGAAACCCCATCTCTACTAAAAATACAAAATTAGCTGGGCGTAGTGGCGCACGCCTGTAATCCCAGCTACTTGGGAGGCTGAGGCAGGAGAATCGCTTGATCGTGGGAGGCAGATGTTACAGCGAGCCGAGATCGTGCCATTGAACTCTGGCCTCGGTGACAAGAGTGAAACTCTGTCTCAAAAATAAATAAATAAATATATCAGTAAATCTATTACATGTTGTATTTTTAAAGTATATTTTCCAAAACAAAAACTTGTACATTTTTGTAAATCTCCTTCTTAATGTCTTGTCTCCACAGAAGACAGCTGGCTTCTTACATCTGTATTCAGTCTGTTGCAATATCACATGTCATATGGCTTCTGGAAAACTCCCTGTGTGAGTGTGAGGGAATGAGTATGAACAAGGCACATTATGTCTTAATTATTGTATTAGTTTCCTGTTGCTGCTGTAGCAAGTTACCACCAATTTAGGGCTTAAAGCAATACAAATTTTTTCTCTTGCAATTCTGAAGATCAGAAGTTCTAAATGAGTCTAATGGGGCTAAAATCAAGGTGTTAGCAGGGCTGGTTCTTTGTGGAGGCTCTGAGGGGGAGAAGGCACTTCCTTGCCTTTCTCAGCTTTGAGTGGCGGTGTGTATTCTTTGGCTTGTGGCTCCTTCCTTTATCTTCAAAGCTTATCATTCCAATCTCTGCTTCTGTCATCACCTTGCCTTCTCCTCAGCTGTGCTTCTGTCTCCCTCTGTCTCTCTCGATCATAGGGACCCTTGTGATTTTATCATAATTCAGGATAATCTCCTATTCCTAAAATCCTTAAATTGATCACATCTGCTACATCATTTGTTAATCACAAAAGTTTGTCTTTTTCCATAAAAAGAACAGTATTTGGGGGCCATTATTCAGCTTACCACAACTGTGAAAGTATTTTCACCTTGTGGATCACCTGCAGTGGCCTTGAGGGTCCCCAGAAGTTCCCAGATCATCCTTTTGGAACAGCTGCAGTAGAGCGAGCAGATGTTGGCATCTGTAGGGTGCACACAACCTAAACTTGTGCTAGGAAATGGCACCAAATTAAATTACTGAAACACGGCTCCACCTCCCCCTCCCATCTCCTTGATGTCTACACTCTAGTTGAGGTTGAGTTGAGTGTAATTAGCTTGTGTCTGTAGTTTCTGCAGTTCTGCCTTGTCCTGGTACATATCAGAATTGTGTCAGAGCTGGGTCTAGAGATCCTCGATCAAGGCAAACATTCAGCTTTCTTAGAAAGAGGTAGTATTGTGTAGTGTTTATGGTTGTAGACTGACCCCACACTATGTGTGTTCAAAGCTCAGCTCCACCACTTACTGTGTGACCCCTACTGGGACTTCTGCCTGGACCCTCATGTTGCCTTTTGTGGGACCTTCCTGACACTGTTCCCCTTGCCCATCACCTGCTGCTGGCCTTCCTGCCACAGCTAGCTAACACTGAGACTCAGGTGCATGTGATTTACAGCGTACTTGCAGGAGAAAGGGGACTGAGGGAGGCAGGATGGCACAAGGAAGGCTCTAAGCAGGGATGGTGTCTAAACCAAGCAAGATTTGCCTGATCCCATAGGCAGCTCTGGAGCATGAATCATACTGCAGAGCTGGTTCCATCTTGAGGCAAGGAGGTTAACCTTTTGATTCTCATATCAGTCAGTCACTGGTTTTAGGCTGTCTGGCTCCCGGCAGTCATCCTAGGGAGTGGGCTATATTAGTCTGCTTGCGCTACCATAACAAAATAGCACAGACTGGGTGGCTTAAACAACAGAAATTTATTTTTCAAAGTTCTACAGGCTGGGAAGTCCAAGATCAAGCTGCCCCCTGTGAGGGCTGTCTTCCTGGCTTGTAGATGGTTGCCTTCTCACTGTGTTACGTGCAAAGAGGAGAGAGCAAGCTCTCCAGCGTCTCTTCTTATTCCATTGTGAGGACTCCACCCTCATGACCTCAGCTAAACATAATTACCTCCCAATGGTTCCATGTTCAAATATTGTCACATTGAGGGGTAGGGCTTCAACCCAGGGATTTTTTTTTTTTTTTTTGAGACAGAGTCTTGCTCTGTCTCCCAGGCTAGAGTGCAACGGCACGATCTCGGCTCACTGCAAGCTCCGCCGCCTCCCGGGTTCACGCCATTCTCCTGCCTCAGCCTCCCGAGTAGCTGGGACTACAGGCACCTGCCACCACGCCCGGCTAATTTTTTGTATTTTTAGTAGAGATGGGGTTTCACCGTGTTAGCCGGGATGGTCTCGATCTCCTGACCTCGTGATCCGCCCGCTCGGCCTCCTAAAGTGCTGGGATTACAGGCATGAGCCACTGTGCCCGGCCTACCCAGGGATTTTTTTTTTTTTGGCAGTTGGGGATGGGGGAAGTTCAGTCCCTAGTATGGGTGTAACTTCCTGGGGAGAGGGTAGCTCTCATTAGGCTGAGGATAAATCTCTGGAGAACAGGGTGCTGAGAACCTCTAGCTGCAGCCAACAGACATTGCAGCTGGGAATGGCTGCACTGGCCAGAGTGTCTGGGATGGACACCATGGCATCTCTTACACTTGCGGTCACTGCTCCCTTGCTGATCCCTCACTGCCTGACCCCACTGCCTCCTGTGTGCTTCTGGGGCCTCATCCCTTCACCTAGAGGGAATGTTGGGCCATGAAAGAAGCCAGACACAAAACATCGAGGGTGGGGACAGTAATGGAGGTGATTTTTCCTTTGTTTATTAATATTTTTGTGCTTGTCTGCATTATCTACAGTGATTTTTGTATTATTCTACAGTGATTTGTATTATTTTTACGATTAAGATTTTTTTTTTTCTTTTTTTGAGACGGAGTCTTGCTGTGTTGCCAGGCTGGAGTGCAGTGGTGCGATCTTGGCTCACTGAAATCTCCTCCTCCTGGGTTCAAACGATTCTCCTGCCTCAGCCTGCCATGTAGCTGGGACTACAGGTGCACCCCACCACACCCAGATAATTTTTTTGTATTTTAGTAGAGATGGGGTTTCACCATGTTGGCCAGGATGGTCTCGAACTCCTCGCCTCGGCCTCGGCCTCCCGAAGTGCTGCGATTACAGGCATGAGCCACTGCGCCTGGCCTATTTAATATCTTAATTATGTAATCCCAGCACTTTGGGAAGCTGAGGCAGGCGGATCACGAGGTCAGGAATTCGAGACCATCCTGGCCAACATGGTGAAACCCCATCTCTACTAGAAATACAAAAATTAGCCGGGTGTGGTGGTGTGCACCTGTAATCCCAGCTACTCGGGAGGCTGAGGCAGAAGTGCTTGAACCCAGGAGGTGGAGGTTGCAGTGAGCTGAGATTGCACCACTGCATTCCAGCTTGGGCGACAGAGTGAGACTCTGTCTCAAAGATATTAAATAAAAAAGAAGTCATAAGGCTTGCTTTTTTTATTTGTGTGTCTTATATTCCATTGGTAGCTGGGCTTCTCTTGACATATTGTGGTTTGCTTTGAATTTTCCTTTTTCTTCTGGCCTGGTTTCAGCATTAACTTGCAGCTATATTACCTCTAGACCAAGGCCAGAGCCATCCCTGCCCTGCTGCGCTTTAAAGGGCCCTCCTTTGGCCATCTTCCAGCTGTGCCCCTCCTCACAGGCAGGAGTCTGTGGGGCCAGGGCCGTACTCACCCAGAGTTCTTGCATCCCCTTTGGTCTACACTGTGGGTACCAAGACTATGGAATTCCCTGCCTTATAGGCCCTGCTCCCAGGGCCTGCACAGGCCTCTTACCTGAAGCCGATTCTTCTGAGGGCTGGCAATGGAGATGAAATGATTATGCGTGGAGATCAGTGAGAGATGGAACCAACCTGTTGAGAACAATTGTCATTAAAAGACGGGAGCAGAGTATTTGGGAGTGAGGAAGGACAGATTTATATATTGTAAATGTTCCAGGCTCGTTTGGGGTCTGGGAGACTGATCTGATAAGCATGAATGAGTCATTTCCTACTGAAACCCCCTTCCTGATGGCAGCAGCCAGCACCGAATGGGGGGACTTCACAGACTGTTTTCTGTATTTGCAGAACCATGACAGACCACCGGTTTGTTCTTACAGGGTTCCCCCGAGGGACTTGGCTGTGCTGCTGTGCAACAAATCAAATGCATTTTTCAGCCTTGGGAAGTGGAATGAGGCATTTGTTGCTGCCAAGGAATGTCTCCAATGGGATCCAACCTACGTGAAGGTATGGGGTGGGAGGGTGAAGGTGTGGGGAGATGACTTGAGAGTATTGGGGTGGTGGATGAAGGTATGAAAGGATGAGAGAAAGTGTGGGGCAGTGGCACCTGGGGGTGGCAGCTGCTGCCTCCTTCCTTTTAGCCTGCCTCTTTCCATTCCTTTTAAAAGTGGAAATGCTAGGAGTTCTTCTAGATCTCTTTGCATCTTCAGACAGATGCCCATGGGGCATGTGATCATTATCTGGAGAAGAGTAAAAACAAGGATCGCCTAGTGTTGAAATGCACTTTGTAGGAACAGCAGAGCTTGGCCTCCTAGTGGATGGAGCACAATGGAGATCACAGAGGAACTTGTTTTGTTCTGATATAGTTACACCCAAACTCATAATCTGTGCATGTTCTTTGCCGTTCGCAAGTTTCATCTGAGCAAAGCTTTACTTCAAATGCAAGCTGGGTGGGTGACACAAAACCAATTTTTCAGAAGGCATTTCTTATAGTAGAAACCAGCTCTTCAGAGAGATCATGGAGTTTGAGAGGCCACTAAGACCCTTTAAGATTGTTAACAAAGGTCAATAAACATCATTTGATTGTTTTTTCATCAGAAATGCCCTGAGTGCCACTCTTCATGGCACCTTTACTGTTCTTGGTGCCTCAAGGCAGACAAAAGGAGCAGAAGACTCATCCCAGCTCTTGAGTAGTTTGCATTCAATCTGGGGAGAAAAAGAGCACTACATTCAGAGGCCTTAAATTCAATAGCCACTCTGGAGCATCTGAAGCAACACATAATGTGTGACTGCTAGAAACAAAATACAATGGAAAGGGAGTGGTGGAGGTTTGACCTATAGAGTACTTTAACTTTAAGAGAGGGATTTGGATATTTTACATAATAAGTAGACACTGACTCTTAAACTTCTTATTGGAAGATGAATATTTTAGAACAAGCTCGTCCAACCCCTGGCCCAGGACAGCTTTGAATGTGGCCCAACACAAATTCATAAACTTTCTTAAAACATTGAGATTTTTTTTTGCGGTTATTTTTTTAAAGCTTATCAGCTATTGTTAGTGTCAGTGGATCTTATAAGTAGCCCAAGACAATTCTTCTTCCAATATGGCCCAGGGAAGCCAAAAGATTGGATACCTCTGCTTTAGAATTTATTGACTAGTTTTGAAAATGGGAGTGCATTCCTGGGAAATTTCTTCCCAAAGGTATTTTAGGATATTCCCAATCCTCTCGCTGGGACAGTATTAATATTTGGGTTTTGCCCAAATCCCGGAAGTGGAGGCTGTGACTGTGGCCCAAGGGACTTGATGCTCTTACATCAAGGGGCTTCTTCCTTGATTGGCCAAACCTGCAGCAGCCCCTGACAGCACAGCAACCAGGGCCACTTCCTAGTTCTTACCCAGAACTCCTGGGAGTCTCTCTCCATCCTCTCTCCCCTTCCCCACCGCAATTGTCCTCTACAGGCAAGGCAAAAAATTTTCCCTCTACCTTCTTTTGGTTCAGTGGCTGAGGCCTTGCAAATCAGATTGACAAGAGACAGATTAACGAGAGAAAAGCACACAGATTTCATTTGATGTTCACTTTTATGTGTCAAAGGAATCTTTCTAGAAGAGAGGTAAAGCTCCAAAAAATGTGGACAGGCCTGAGATCTTCTATGATATTTTTAATAAAGAATAATAAATTGTGGGGATGCGACAAGATAAAGGAAAAGAGTTTTAGGTCTCTAGGGGCTGCAAACTGTGGGAAGGTGTATATATGTGGGAACGTAGTGGAAGATAAGGGGCTATCTTAGCAAGGTTTGTTCAGGCCAGTCTTGGTGCTCAATTTCTCTCTTCTTCATGGCCATAAAACTTCCCTGGGAGAGAAGATTTATGGCAGTCCTCATTTCTTCAGAGTTTCTGCTTTTTAATCAGTTAAGTGAAGCTCAGGGGAGGCTTCTTTTTGCATCTGTTGAATCTCAGATACCTTCAGCTCGAAATAATCCTTATGCCAAAGTGGCATATTTTAGGGTGGCATATTCTGATCCCCTTCATCTTCCTCAAAAAAAAAAAAAAAAACAACCTTGAATCTGAGGAAGGCAAAGAAATGGGAGATTATCAGCTTGCCTAGTTAGAAAAAACGAAACACACTTTTTTTTCCTCCTCTCTTTGATTGTTATCTGAGGTCTTTAGACTTTCAAAATGAAAGTTAAAACAAATCATTAAATAGCCAGAAATTTGGTGTTACGTGGAGTTTTAAAGTACTTCCTTTTTTATGAACCCAGTTGGTGAACACCTGTTATCTTTTTTTTTTTTTTTTTTTTTTTTTGAGACAGGGTCTTGCTTTGTCACCCAGGCTGGAGCCTCACCTCGTGGGCTCATGTGATCCTCCTCCCTCCGCCTCTGGAATAGCTGGGACTACAGGCTTGCACCACCATGCCCAGCTAATGAAAACAAATTTTTTTTTTGTAGAGACAGGGTCTCACTATGTTGCCCAGGCTGGTCTTGAACTCCTGGGCTCAAGCAGTCCTCCTGCCTTGGCCTCCCAAAGTGCTGGAATTACAGGCTAGAGTCACTACACCCGGCTTTCTGTTATCTGAGACAGAAAATTGTTTTGGTAGATCCCTGATGCTGATTCAGGTGATCAACGTGGGGTAGGCAATATCATTTTATTCCCATTCAAGAGTCATATTATTTGTATATAGGCAAAACTAGACCATTTTCTTCTATTGATCATTGTAATTTTCCTCTTTCTATAGAAATCAAATATTTCTTTGGCCTCTCGTGAATATTGCTTATAATGTAGAACTCAGTAAATCTCAATGTTTGTCATTACAATTTGTTTTCTTACGTACCCAGTGGAAATTGTGTTTACTTTGAAAGGGGCAGGAAAAACACCTTTGTTTTCATGTCAATCTCATTCTTTTCCTGAACACTAATCAAAGGATTATTTTCATTCTTTTGTTCCGGCCCAAGCTGTGACTTGAAGTATGAATTAATAAATAAGGCCAGGTGCAGTGGCTCACTTGCACTGCACCCCGGCTTCATAATCCCAGCAGTTTGGGAGGCCGAGGCAGGAAGATGCTTGAGGCCAGGAGTTCAAGACCAGTTTGGGCAATATAGCAAGACTTCGTCTCTACAAAAAATGGAAAAATTATCTGGGCATGGTGGTGCACACCTGTAGTCCCAGCTACTTGGGAGGCTATGATGAGAGGTTAGTTTGAGCCCAGGAGTTAGAGGGTAGCAGTGAGCCAGGATCATGCCACTACACTCCAGCCTGGGTGATAGGGCAAGATCCTGTCTCAATCAATCAATCAGTCAATAACAAACCAACCAACCAGAGACGTAATTGAAAGCAGACCTTCTTCCTTCTCTCTGTGTCATATGTTAGATGCTATGTAAGTCATGGATTTGAAAGTGATTCTTTTCTTGGCAGTTAAATGACAGGAGCAATGTGGCACAGAATATAATGTGGAAACCCTGTATCCAGTGTTGGTTAGAAATCCATGTTTACATAGAAGTAAGACAGGATATAAGTCTGTTGCCCAGGCTGGAGTGCAGTAGCATGACTGTAACTCACTGTAGCCTCTATCTCCTGGGCTCAGGTAATCCTCTCACCTCAGCCTCCTGAGTAGCTGGGACTACAAGGTATGTGCCACTATACCCAGCTAATTTTTATTTTCTTTTTAGTAGAGACAAGGTCTCACTATGTTGCCTAGGCTGGCCTCCAACTCTTGAGCTCAAGCGATCCTCCTGCCTTGATCTCTCGGAATGTTAGGATTACAGGCATGAGCCACTGTGCCCAGCCAGAAGTCAGACTTTTAGAGTTGGATTTCCCATGTTGCCAATTTTGCTTTTTCTTTCACCAGCAGGTTAAAGGAGATGTGGTACATGACAGTTTTGCTTTTTATCCTGTTCCAGGGATACTACCGAGCTGGTTATTCCTTGCTGAGGTTGCACCAGCCTTACGAAGCCGCTCGCATGTTTTTTGAGGGTCTGCGACTTGTGCAGAGAAGCCAAGACCAGGCACCGGTTGCTGATTTCCTTGTTGGAGTCTTCACCACTATGAGCAGTAAGTTGGAACTGGGGAGACTTTTTGTAAAGTCCTTGCTATTTTATTGAAATAGCTCCTGGGGACTCAGGCTCATGGGGAGATACTTTCTGGGTGTTTCTTTGTGGCTGATTTATGCAGTTTAATGAATCTAGTTCACACATTAGAAAGCATTTTGGATGCTTCGGTGGCTTCTGCCTTTGTGAAAACAATGAAGTCCTTTTCACATAAATGACTAAAACTTTGAGAGTTTGGTTTCAGATTTTTTTTTTTTTTTTTTGAGACAGAGTCTTATTCTGTCACCAGGCCGGAGTGCAGTGATGCGATCTTGGCTCACTGCAAGCTCTGCCTCCCGGGTTCAAGTGATCCTCCTGCCTCAGCCTCCCGAGCGGCTGGGATTACAGGCACACGCCACCACACCGGGCTAGTTTTTTGTATTTTTAGTAGAGATGAGGTTTCGCCATATTGGCCAGGATGGCCTTAATCTCTTGACCTCGTGATCCGCCCGCCTTGGCCTCCCAAAGTGCTAGGATTACAGGTGTGAGCCACCCTGCCCGGCTGGTTTCAGACTTCTTAAGTGTTTTGTGTTGCTATTCATAGGGGTTTCCGTATTTATACTACTCGCCTGATGTGACTTTTGCTCTTTCCTGTAATTTTTCTTTTTCTTTCTTTTTTTGTTTGAGATGGATTTTCAGTCTTGTTGCCCAGGCTGGAGTGCAATGGCACGATCTTTGCTCACTGCAACCTCTGTCTCCCAGGTTCAAAGGGTCTCCTGCCTCAGCCTCCTGAGTAGCTGGGATTACAGGCGCCTACCACCCCGCCCGGCTAACTTTTTGTATTTTTAGTAGAAATGGGGCTTCACCATGTTGGCCAGGCTGGTCTTAAACTCCTGACCTCAATCCACCTGCCTTGGCCTCCTAAAGTGCTGAGATTACAGGCGTAAGCCACCATGCCTGGACTTTCCTGTACTTTTTCACATGTATTTTTCCAGTCTATTGAGAAAATATTTGTTTGCTATGAAGATAACCTGGAAGGGCCGATGGCGGGTCCTGTGAAAGCTGATAATGGGTGCTCCATGTCAGGGTTGTGAAGCTCAATACCCGGCACTGCAGAATCAGCGGAGGACCCAAGTGTTCAGCCTAGCAGGGAGGGGAAGCTTTTGTGTCACTGCATTAAGTTACTACTCTAATGGCCTGGCCTAAGACATAGCTTTGTTGGTGGCCCAGATCAGGCAAAACCAGAAACTGGTAAAGCACAGTGTAATAAACTTCACTCCTTGGCAGTGATGGTGCAGTCTAAAGTCCTGCCAATACCTAGGCTGTTGTTTTTAAATACGGTGTTTGATCAAATTTAAGTTGCACTAAGATGTGCTATTAATTTATGCTCTGCCAGTGAAAGACAACATTGATTGTAAGACATCCTGATTTCAGAGATGTTAGAATATGAAAAATGGCACATGTTAGAATTTCTGAAAAATGGTCTTTGGTTTTTAAATATGGGGAAACCACAGCTGACAATGGATAGACTGTTATCAATCAAACTGTTCCCATTGCAGTTGTGGGAAAGCAACTTCTGTGGTCTGTAGGTGGAATCTCACAGATTTTGACAAGTTTGGTACAGAGAGGGGACTAGAGTAGTAGCAGGCAGTGGGAAGGAGTTAGAGGCAGGTGCAGCCATGTCCCCTAGACAGGGAAGTGGAAAGTCTCTAGATAGGTGCTGATGGGTCACAGCTCTTCAGTCAGTCTTTTGCCAACAGTAGCCAGGGCTGGCTTCATTTTCTTTCAAACCCAATGACTTGGCCTGCACTTCTCTGCATCTTTTTTTTGAGACGGTGTCTTGCTCTGTGGGCCAGGCTGGAGTGCAGTGGCGCAATCTAGGCTCACTGCAACCTCTGACTCCCAGGTTCAAGCGGTTCTCCTGCCTCAGCCTCCTGAGTAGCTGGGACTACAGGTGTGCACCACCACCACGTCCGGCTAATTTTTGTATTTTTAGTAGAGATGGAGTTTCACTATGTTAGCCAGGCTGGTCTCGAACTCCTAACCTCAGGTGATCCACCTGCCTTGGCCTCCCAAAGTGCTGGGATTACAGCCTTGAGCCACTGCCCCCGGTTTCTCTGCATCTTTTATATTTTTTTTGAGATGGAGTTTCACTCTTTTCGCCCAGGCTGAAGTGCAATGGCGCGATCTCTGCTCACTGCAACCTCCGACTCCTGGGTTCAAGCGATTCTCCTGCCTCAGCCTCCCTAGTAGCTGGTATTACAGGCACTGCCACCACATCCAGCTGATTTTTGTTTTTTTAGTAGAGAAGGGCTTTCACCCTGTTGGCCAGGCTTGTCTCAAATTCCTGACCTCAGGTGATCTGCCCGCCTTGGCCTCCCAAAGTGCTCAGATTACAGGTGTGAGCCACTGCACCCGGCCCTCTGCATCTTTTAAATGTCACTGTTCTGTCAGAAGCCAGGCCGGAGTTATGGGAATTCCAAACAACTGCTTCTTGATGGCTGCCCCTTAAGATAACCTGGGTGGTTTTCATTCTGCCCCCAACCTGAAAGGGGGCAGTTAACAGGACTTCTTAAGATGATGCAGCCAATACTTTACCAAAGTACTCCTTTTTGGAAGGTAAAGAAATTGGCGTCGCCCAGTTTCTAAATTTTGAAAAACATATTTATGGGAAACTTTGTGTCATTTCATATAGTATGCGTTTGTTTTGATATTTACTTATTTTTTGAAATTAATAACCTTGGAAGAGGTGCCAAGTTATTCTGAGTCTTGACCTGTCCCCTTGGACATTCTCATCCATGAATTTGAGAAATATGGTTGGAGGATCACCAGGTGCAATAGGTCGATGGGCCACCAGGTCAGAAGAATGTGTATTGATGACAAGAGTTGGTAGATCTGGGTTCCAGTCTTGTTTCTTGTCATGAACTAACTGCATGATATGCCATGAAACCTATCTTCATTTGTCATAGTTTCTAATGTTTTGGGTAACAATATTTGTCACATTTTTCTTAAAGGAAGTGAGTTTTGTAACTTAAGCTTCCATTTCCTCCTCTATAAGTGGAGATAATAGGCACTTCCTTAGTGGTTTATTTGAGGTATTGAACATAAGCACATATCACTGGGCTTGGCAACTAGAAAGGCAAAGCGAATGTTAATTATCCTGCCTAACTCTTAGGGGATTGATTTTATGATGAACTGAAAATAATTGCCACTTCAACCAATTATAAAGGACTTCATACTACTTTGAAAATGCCTTTCTTTAGGGTATCTTTAATTTACCATTTGTCTATGTGTGAACTTAATTGGAGGACCTTTTCCCAAATGCTGTAGACTTTCCCCACATTAAAATCCCTAAATTATGAAACTTTCTTTTAGGTGACTCCATTGTTTTGCAAAGTTTCTTGCCTTGCTTTGATCATATTTTCACAACTGGATTCCCAACAGAAGTGTGGCAATCTGTAATAGAAAAGTTGGCAAAGAAAGGATTATGGCATGTAAGTAAAAGGAGATGGCTCTCACGGGGAGAGTACATTCTTGATGAAATGATTCCTTTCCATTGGCATTGAGGGATTGTAATTTATTATTTGTTGATCTTGATGCCAGGGTAAATTTTTAACTAGGATATCATTAAAGATGAAAAGTCTTTGAGATAGATTAATTAGCCAGTTTCCATTTATTTTTAAAAATGGGAAAAACGCTTAGATCTGTGTCTCCACTGTCATCAAAGAAATGTAAAGTACAGATGCTAATGGTAATATGGAATGAGAAAAACAAAGCTGTGTGTTCATTTTCACAATCCTTTTTTATACTGCTTTAGCTAGTGTGTTCCCGGATGACCTATCTGGGCTGCTCACAAGGGTTCCCATGTGGTTTTGAGGGGCTGCTAACATTTGGGTAGTGGCTAAGTGAGGTTGTAGGACCTGAACCCAGGGCCAGGAATCCATGGAATGGAGGAGTGAGTGGACTGTGGAGGTCTGGGCTTCAGTGTCACACAGATGTGTCCTTGAATCAGAATCCCCCACTTACTATTTTGGGCTAATTACTTCCCCTTTGAGTCTTATTTCCTCATTTGTAAGTTGCATTATATAAACCTATTTCTTCAGAGTTTTGGTGAGATCAGAAATAATGGACAAGAGCACCTATCAGGTAATGTTTGTGGAAGGTTTACAGTGCCAGGCATTGAGCTGAGGGGTTTTATAATACCTGGCATATTCTAAGTGCCCAGTGAATAGTAGTCGTCATTGGTGATAGGCTATAAGTGCTCATGAGAATGGGCTGGCCAAGCTACGAATTTGGTTAGAACAGCCCTCCTGGGCTTTCAAAAGCTGGGCAGTCCAGAAAAGTCACCAAAAACAAGGGCAACCTATTAAGGACTCCTGATCCTAGCAGGTTGGATGACTTTAGAATAGAGAATTCTTAAATTTTGGGCAAGGTAATGGATTCTGTTGGAAATCGAATGAAATCTGTGGGGCTCTCTTGTCATGCACTGACAATTATGTGTATAGTTTCAGGGGGTTCATGGGAAACCTCCTGGAGTCCAGCCATGGGCTCCCTGAAGCTTACCCCTGTATTAAAAAATCTTGGGAGGGCAGGCAGCAGGGTTGAGGAAGGCAGACTGAACTCTTGGGGAACCAGTAGTCAGAAATCCAGGGTCCCATTAAAAGACATTTGAGATATTTTCTCCTGGGATAAGGTAGCTGGCCTAAGAGATTTATAAGGATCCTTCCAGCTTTATTTTTTAAAAAGTTTTGAAATTCTGTGATTCCAAGTGCTAGGGTAGATCTGTGAGCAGGAGGCCTTAGGCCTCATTAGCAGGAAGATAGTTTAATTTACTGCACTCAGGGAAAGAACCTTGTCCTCTCTTCCCAGTGTGGGGTGGATATGAATAGAGCTCCATGGCCTAGGCAGAGAATGAGAGAATGGGAGACAGGCAACTCCTAATAGATTATTATCCCAGCCAGTCAAGGGAGGGCCCAGGAATCCAGCCCAAGTGGCAGGTCCAACATCCTACCTGCAGTGAGGCTCTGGTAATTCCCAAATACTGCAGACAGAAGCATCTTTTAAAAGGCCAGCAATCTGCCCACTAGAATGCTGAACTTATCATGTGGGGTTGAGTGTGGGCAGCGAGGCTTGTTTAGGGCAAAAAGTTAAGAATGGGCATCACAGAGGTTGCAGTGAGCTGAGATTGCACCACTGCACTCTAGCCAGGGCAACAAGAGTGAGACTCTGTCTCAAAAAAAAAAAAAGAATGGGTATCAATCTGAAAGAAACTAGAAGTGAGATGTGGCCATGGGCTCAGTTCCTGTGGTCCTAAGTCCACTGGCAAAAGCCATACATGAGAGAGGCTGGAGCTGAGACTGGGTCTCCAGTCATGGTCATAACAGAGCCGGGAATTCTTAGATCTGTTAGCATACCTGAATGATCTCAGTAGGGGCTTCTCAAGATGTGCTGTGAGACCTGTGAAAACTGGCTTAACTTCTCTGGGATTTAGTCTCTTCAGCAACTTTAGATAGGGTCAGTAGTTTAACAACTGGGTCTCTGAAAAGAAAAGGTCCCGATTTGTAGCATTTGCTAACTTTGGTAGTATAAATACTCTCACCATGGCCAATTTCCAGCTACTAATATGACATACAAGACTTGGAGTTAGGAGGAGATGTGCATCATCAACTCAGTAGCTGATAGGAGCCGGCTGCAGCACACCATTGACAGGGTCTAATGGGCTCCAAGTACTTGGGGCTTTTAAAACGCTGATGTGAGGAATAATTGATTGGGATGGGATATTTCTAAAGGATTTGAGTCTTCCACTTGCTAAGCCTTAAGAACTTGGCAGGGAATTACTCTTTTTTTTTTGTAATCTCATTGCAACTATGCTGTGAAATGCTACATGACATCATCTGCTCCTGTCCTCAGCAGGCTTTGAGGAAGTGTGGAGGGGCCTTAGTCCTCAGCAGGAACAGGAAGTTGGCTAGACAGAGACTTTAATTGTCACAGCAAATAGCTGAAAAACTTGGCAAGCACTTTAAAAAAAGACAAGGCTAGAGAGTGGTTTTTTTTTATTTGCTTGTTTTAAAGCTTAAAATAACTTTTTTGCTTTAATAACCTATGTGGAGAACATTATTATTCCAGCCTTTTCTGTCTTCTCCCACCAGTCATTTCTGCTTCTGTCAGCAAAAAAAGACCGATTACCAAGAAATATTCATGTCCCAGAGTTATCACTGAAAAGTCTCTTTGAGGTAAGGTGATATATATATCTATATATATCTATATATATATATATATATGTTTTGTTTTGTTTTGTTTTGTTTTGAGACTGAGTCTCGCCCTTTCGCCCAGGCTGGAGTGCAGTGGCATGATAGCTCACTGTAACCTCCTCCTCCTGGGTTGAAGCAATTCTCCCTGCCTCAGCCTCCCGAATAGCTGGGATTACAGGCGCCTACCACAGTGCCCGGCTAATTGTTGTATTTTTTGGTAAAGATGGGGTTTCGCCATGTTGGCCTGGCTGGTCTTGAACTCCTGACCTCAGGTGATCGGCCACCTTGGCCTCCCAAAGTGCTGGGATTATAGGCGTGAATCACTGCGCCTCGCAAGGCGATTTCTTGAAACATACACTTCCTTGTGTCTTGTACTTTCTCCTTCAGCTGCCTTACCACAAATTTGTTATTTATAATAATCCTAGGCTTGGACCACAGCTAATCCAAGTTTTACTGATTCCATACTTTATGGGTAAAGGAGTTTGAAGCTTCATATTGATTAGTGACTTCCATAATTTGTCCTGTGTGTTTTTTTTCCCCAGAAATACGTTTTCATTGGACTTTATGAGAAGATGGAACAAGTGCCCAAGTTAGTCCAGTGGCTCATCTCCATTGGTGCAAGTGTTGAGACTATAGGACCGTATCCCCTTCATGCCCTCATGCGACTCTGTATCCAAGCCAGTGAGTCTTCTCCCAGTTTTCCACCCTCCAAGCTGCCCTTCTAGCCTAGTTCTGGAACTCTGTTGAGCTCAAGTGAAACTAGAATTAAGCCACTTGAATGCAGACCATTTGAATATTCAAATGATCTGATTATTCAAATGAATGAAGCAGCAGGAAAATAGTATCATTTTTATCTTTCCTGGCACCTAGTAGCTGCAGGAGGTCCAAACGGAAAGGATTCTGTGACTCTAGGCAGATCCTGGCAGGAGGATGGAGCCCTGGGACCCATGGAAGGGACTTAGGACAGACAGCTGTTGCTGGGCAACACTCCCAGGAGACCTGCAGAGTTTCCTCCTTCCGGCATAGGCAGCTTTGGTCTATTTCTCTCGGTTCATTTTCACTCTAGGGTTGACGGCTGTGTTGTGGGACACAGAACATAGTCCCTTGGCTGGGGGTATCCCAAGGGAGACATGAGCTGTTGCTGATACAGTTTGGCTGTGCTTCTTTTAAAGGACTGCTATTTTCATGAAATTCTTTTTTAAGCTTTGCCATCTGGTTATAGGCTTTAACTTTAAAAATATTTTTATTTTATCATTAACACACACATATGCACACACTCACACTTTAGATAGAAGTTTGTTTTTCTTTCCAAGCACACGTAGCAGCACTGTGGGACATTCACCCATAGCAGTTTAGTGCCAGAAAGGGCCGAGAGAACTTGTCTAGTCTACCTCTTGTAGGCTGTATCATCTCCCCAGGAATGGGGGTGTGGGAGGTGGCCATGGGCTTGAGGCCTGGGACCCCTGTCTTTGCTTTAGCCAGATTTGTCCTGGTGTTATTCATTTCATATAGTGGGGAATTTATAAGAGATTTTTTTTTTGAGACTGAGTCTCACTCCATTGCCCAGGCTGGGGGAGTGCAGTGACGTGATATTGGCTCACTGCAGCCTTTGCCTCCTGGGTTCAGGCGATTCCCCTGCGTCAGCCCCCCGAGTATCTGGGATTACAGGCCCCCGCCACCACGCCTGGCTAATTTTTGTGTTTTTAGTAGACATGGGGTTTCACCATGTTGGCCAGGCTGGTCTCAAACTCCTGATCTCAAGTGATCCACCCGCCTTAGCCTCCCAAAGTGCTGGGATTACAGGCGTGAGCCCCACCATGCCTGGCCAAGAGATTTTATTCTTACACAGAGATTGGTAGATAAAACATTTAAAAGTAAAGCCTGATTGAAAGCTACGCAATCTAATCCTCCCAGTTTCAAGTGAGGAAACTGGAATGCAGAGAAGCGTGGCTCTGGTTATGAATGTCATGATTCCCCATTGTGTCTACTTTTAAGTTAGTTCCTGTGATTATAGGTGGTATCAGTAAGATTGAGCCTTCAAGGTGGTACGTTTTAATCATTGATTTGTTTCTCAGAGAACTCTGACATGGTGACAAATTGGCATCCAAAGAGTTGGCAGAGGTGCGTGGCTTTCCTAGATCTCAGGAACTCCAAGGAAGGAGTCTGGGAAAAGAATTCAATATATATGTCTTATTGATAGTAATGTAGTAGGGTAATCTTATCAGAGATACTGGCTTGATTATTAAAGTGGAGGCTGTTGTGCCTCACCCAGATCCTCTTTGCCACCAACCCCCTCACCCCCACCTGTTGTCAATGTTAGCTGCTAACAACCCACAGCTGGCCCCTTGGGCAGAGAGTTGCTCTTTGTCAACAGAAACCACTTCCCAGAGAGGTTCTCTCTGGACCTTGCCTCTCCCTGAGTGCATTCTGTAGCTCTTGATTGACTGACATGGGGATTCAAAAGGCCAGCCCCAGTGCCTCAAGGTGGCTCCAGGCTGTGGTGCATTCCTGCTGCAGGGCTGCTCATGAGGTCAGGCTGGAGTGACCCTACTAGGATCACAACCTTGCTTAGCTGCTTCCCCTACCTGTCCTGCCTCCCTTGCTCTCTCTCATGCTATCTCTTGCTCAGTCACATGTATAAGAATCCCTGTCTCAGGCTTCTAGGGAACCTGACCTACGATGATTATGGGTAGCTTTCTATAACTCATCCTCTCACTTGACAAACGCCTGCATCTCCCCACACCTGTTTGTGGTGAGTGGAAACGTATGTTGGATTCCTCATTTGGTTACCTTAGCGTGGTCCACACTGACTTGCTTTGCTGATTTTCTTTCTTTCTTTTTAATCTATTGCTTCTGCACAAATTAACTTTGCTGACTTTCTGTATGTGGAAAACATTAGTAAGTCATTTTAATTCCCTTCAGGAGAAAACCATCTTTTCCGGTGGTTAATGGATCACAAGCCCGAGTGGAAAGGCCGCATTAACCAGAAGGATGGGGATGGCTGCACTGTCCTGCACGTCGTCGCTGCCCACTCCCCAGGATACCTCGTTAAGCGTGAGTAGTGGCATTACCCAGAGGGTGCGCTGTGGCTGGCTGGTGTCAGGCTTTGAGGACCCACACCACCGACTGCCTTGTTTTACCCATTCTATCCCTAGCTGGCTCAGAGGGCTAAACTTCCCCTTGAACTAAACTTGATTTTGGTGGGTGGGTGGGTAAGCTGTAATGCAGAAAGAAGGTGAGGTGAGAGAAAGAAGAATTGCTGGGCTTCAGGAGCTCTTTCACCTTGAAATGGCTTCTGTGGGGTTGAATCATTCAAGAACATGGGCTCCTGGCTGCCTTTGTTCCCTCCTTCATCACATGGTTACTCATTTTATTTTATGCCAAATCTGTGTTAGCTGGTAGAGAGGAATTGTGAACTGAACTGCACATGGTTCTGCCTTCATGGCACTTAGAATCTAACACAGGGATTGCATCTTCCCATACCTGCTGGGGCCAGACTAGGCACATGAGCGAGTGAGGCTTGCACATGCAAGGAAAAGCTGGTTCTTCTGACACCGGTGCACCATGTTAGCCTGGGAAGCAGGAAGGCTGTGTTCACTCTCTCAGAGCTCTCTGATGTCACTCATTTTTCTTGAAACTCTCAGACCCCTCAGTTTTTGCTTTCTGTTTGGGATAGAGAAGAACATACAGTGGACTCTCAGCCTCTGTGGAAGGGAGGTGACAGGGAGTGGTGAGGAGCTTGTGCCTCGTGCTGCTGCAGCCTGGAGCTGATCATAGGAACCAGGCTGGGCTGTCATCTTCTCATGGCAAGAGATGTTGGACATCTGGATTTTTTTTGAGATGGAGTCTCACTCTGTCGCCCAGGCTGGAGTGCAGTGGCACAATCTTGGCTCACTGCAACCTCCGCTTCCCAGGTTCAAGGGATTCTCCTGCCTCAGCCTCTCCTGAGTAGTTGGGATTACAGGCAAACACCGCCATGCCCAGCTAATTTTTGTAACTTTAGTAGCTCTGTTGGCCAGGCTGTTCTTGAACTCCTGACCTCAAGTGATCCACCTGCCTCGGCCTCCCAAAGTACTGGGATACAGGCATGAGCTACCATGCCTGGCCAGAAATCTGGATTTTTTAAAACTGTGGAATCTTGTGATTTTTCAGCTGTCTGCTCAGATTTAAACATGCCTGTTAACTAGAACCAGCCTGAAGGCCTCCTTTTGGGGACTTCTGGTCTGGTGGGTTACTCGTAGGAAACTGCAGTTTCCTCTCTTCAGCATCTCTCAGGAGGAGCCCAGCGAGGCTTGTTTCTCTAATGTCATTCCCACTGAACTGGGACCTAGGAACCTATATCTAGGGAAACAAAGGAGAAGGGGTCTATGGATTTTTGAGCTTTATTGAAATATTATTCATATACTATATAATTTACCTGTTTAAAGTGTACAGTTAAATGCTTTTTGATCTATTCAGAGTTGAGCAAGTAACATCACAATACATTTTAGAACATTTTTATCCTAAAAAGAAACCCCACATCCATTAGCAGTCATTCTGTTTCTCCCATCTCCAAGCCCTAAGCAATCACCACTTTTTGTCTCTATGGATTTGCCTATTCTGGATATTTCATGTAACTGGAATCATAGAATATAAGGCCTTTTGTGACTGGCTTCTTTCACCAGCATATTTTCAAGGTTTATCCGTGTTGTAGAATGAATCAATACTTAATTCCTTTTTATTGCCAAATAATAGTCTATTGTATAAATATACCACATTTTGTTTATTCATTCTTCAGTTGATGGGCGTTTGGGTTGTTTCCACTTTCTGGCTATTATGAATAATGCTGCTGTAAATATTTGTGTACAGGGCATTTGTTTTCATTTTTCCCAGCTAGATACCCAGGAGTAGAATTGCCGGATCATATGGTAACACTATGTTTAACCTTTTGAGGAACTGCCAGACTGTTTCCCAAAGTGGCTGTACCATTTTACAGTGCCACCAGCAGTGTATGACGATTCCAGCTTCTTCACATCCTAACCCTTGTTATTTATTATCTGTTCTTTTGATTTTTCTGTGTTTTAGTCCCTTCTCAAAGACAGTGATATTCTGGCAAACAACTAGCTCTTCAAGACAGAAGCTCAGAATTGTAGCATTTCTTGAGTTCCTTGGTATAATCAGGGGTGTCTGATCTTTTGGCTTCCCTGGGCCACATTGGAATAAGAATTGTCTTGGGCCACACATAAAATACAGTAACGCTAACGATGGCTGATGAGCTTAAAAATAAAAGAAGGTCCGTGCACAAATCTCACAATGTTTTAAGAAAATTTACGAATTTGTGTGGGCCATGGGTTGGACCAGCTTGGAAATACTCCCATGGTGGCATAATTCATGGTACCAATGTGATGTCATGCAACACAGAGTTGGGAAGAGATGTGTGGTGGGACGTTATTATATTTTATTTTTAGTATACAGATACATTTTAAGATAGATGTAAAGAAACCTCATCATAGATAATAGCAAAATGTAGTAAAAATTATTAGGAAGTGATGGGTTTTGTTTGTCATATAATTTTTTATTTGAATTTTTATCAACCAGCTTGCAACATTTCTGGACATTAAACAATTGGCTCTTGTGAACTGATATGAACTGGGTCTTAGCATACCACTGTGCTAAAGCTAACATTAGCCTAGTAATTTATGGTTAAAGAATGTGCCACATCAATCATTGTGCCCTCTTTACGTATCTCTACCTTGCAAATCTTCAATAAAAAAATAGTTCCTGTCTGACTCTTTGATTTACAAAAAACACATCTCCAGGTATCCTGACATCCATGTGGCATAGTAGCATGCGCCTGTAGTCCCAGCTACTCGGGAGGCTGAGGTAGGAGAATGGCTTGAACCCAGGAAGCGGAACTTCCAGTGAGCTGAGATTGCGCCACTGCACAACAGCCTGGGCAACAGAGCGAGACTCTGTCTCAAAAAAAAAAAAAAAAAAAATCCAACAAAAAATGTAGGTGGAAGGAAGAAAAATTTTAAATCAACATTAATTAAAGACCATAGTAATACCTGTAGCTTTCAAGATCTACCTCAGCCTCCCAAGTAGCTGGGAGTACAGATGCGTGCTACTATGCCCGGCTAATTTATTGTATTTTTAGTAAAGATGGGGTTTCACCACGTTAGCCAGGATGGTCTCGATCTCCTGACCTTGTGATCCGCCAGCCTCAGCCTCCCAAAGTGCTGGGATTACAGGCATGAGCCACCGTGCCAGGCCATTTTTCTCTTTATTTTTTGTTTTGTACTGTCTTTGAAATCCAGCATGTTTCACTCTTTTCACCACACCTCATCATGCATTTCAAGTGCTCTATAGCCATATGTGGCTTACACTCTAAACTGTATGTGGCTTAGAATAACAATTTTATACTATTTCTTATAAACACAGAAACCCTTTCAACTTTCTGAAAGTTGGGAGGATAAAACGTAAAGAGAGGGCTGGCTGGGTGTGGTGGCTCATGCCTGTAATCCTAGCACTTTGGGGGAGGCTAAGGTGGGTGGATCACTTGAGACCAGAAATTTGAGACCAGCCTGGGCCACATGGCAAAATTAACTGGGAGTGGTGGTGGGCACCTGTAGTCCCAGTTACTTGGGAGGCTGAGGCAGGAGAATCGCTTGAACTTGGGAGGCGGAGGTTGAAGTGAGCTAAGATTGTGCCACTGCATTCCAGCCTGGGCAACAGAGCAAGTACTTGTCTCAAAAAAAAAAAAAAAAAAAAAAACAACAACAACAAAAAAAGAAGGGCCTTTTCTTCCTTCAATTAGAGATGTCAACATAGGCTGCCACTATGACCTCCAACGAATGAGGCTTCTCAACTCTCACAGGCTCCTTCTTCTTCTGCTTTCTCCCATACCCTCTTCATCTTCTTTTTCATCAGGGAATATTTTTAAAAATGTTTTATTTTGAACTAATTTTAGACTTATAGAAAAGTTACAAAAATGGTTCAGAGATTTTCTGTACTCCCCTCACCCAGCCTCCACATAAAGTTAGCATGCTGTATAATCAAAGTTTAGGCCAGCACAGTGCCTCCTGCCTGTAATCCCAGCACTATGGGAGGCCAAGATAGGAGGATCACTTGAACCCAGGAGTTCGAGACCAGCCTGGGCAACATAGTGAGAGCCTGTCTCTATAAAAATAAACATAAAAAAATTAGCTGGGTGTGGTGGCACAGGCCTGTAGTCCTAGCTACTCAGGAGGCTGAGATGGGAGGATGGCTTGAGCCCAGGAGTTTGAGCCTGCAGTGAACTACGATCGTGCTACTGCATTCAGCCCAGTCAGTTGACTGAGACCCTGTCTCTAAAAAATAATATACAGACCTCATATGAGTTTCGCTAGCTTTTTCACTAACGTACCTTTTCTGTTCCAGGATCCCACATTGCATTTAGTTTTCATGTCTCCTTAGTGTTCTGTAGTCTGTGACCATTCCTCAGTCTTTCCTTGCCTTTTGTTACCTTGACCCTTTCAGAGAGTAGTAGTCAGTTATTTGGTAGACTATCTATCAATTTTGGTTTGTTTGATATTTTGTTATGACTGGAATGAAGTTATGTGTTTTTGGTGAGAATATTACAGAAATGATTTTGTATCCTCAGTGAATCGTACCAAGGGGTTCATGATGTCAATACTTCTTATCATGTTAACCTTGATTATTTGATTATTTGTTAACCTTGATTATTTGTGATGTGTGGGGCTTCTCCACTGTAAAATTACTATCTTTTCTTTTGTAGTTAATGAGTATCTTGGAGGGGATACTTTGAAACTGCATATACCCTGTTTCTTCTCAAACTTCTGCCCACCAATTTTGGTATCTATTGGTAGATCTTGACAGCTACAGGTATTACTATGGTCTTTGATTAACATTAATTTAAAATTTTTCTTCCTTCTGTCTACATTTATTGTTTAATTTTTTTTTTTTTTTTTCTGAGACAGAGTCTTGCTCTGTCTCCAGGCTGGAGTGCAGTGGCGCGATCTCAGCTCACTGCAGCCTCCGCCTCCCGGGTTCAAGCGATTCTCCTGCCTCAGCCTCATGAGTAGCTGGGATTACAGGTGTGTGCCACCATGCTCAGCTAATTTTTGTGTTTTTAGTAGAGACAGGGTTTCACCATGTTGGCCAGGGTGGTCTCAATCTCTTGGCCTCACGTGATTCACCTGCCTGGGCCTCCCAAAGTGCTGTGATCACAGGCGTGAGCCACTACGCCTGGCCTATTGCTTGGAATTCTTATGTAATGAAGAGCTGTTCCTTCTCCCTGTATATTCAATTATATAATGATTTCAGTATGGACTCGGATGTTTATTTTATTCTATGGGATAAAATCCAATGGTATGATTATTTATTTTGTTGCTAACGTTGCTCCAGCTTTAGCCATAAGGCACTCCTTCAGACTGGCTCCTGTGTTCCTTCAAAAAGTCCCCTTGAGCACTTCCTTACTTTCAGACACCACAAGGTGTTCCAGGTTCATATTGCGTGGTCCCTGTCCCAGCCCTGGAATCAACCACTTCTCTAAGGATCCCTGGTTCCTATTGGAGAATGTTAGAGGAAACAAGATCTGGTACTAGGTATGCCATTGCGAAGCGGAGTGTCATTGTTTCTAGGACTTTTTGGCAGATAAGAGCTAGGACATACATGTATGTGCACTAACCGATGATACTACATCTGTATTATTGTATCTCTCTGCATATGTCTATGTTAAAAACCATGAGTTTATACTGATATCTCTGATTCCAGTCCAAACACCATGATCATTCAGCCCTTTTTATTTGTAATATTGTTCATCTACAATATATTTACTTATTCAGTCTATGAATTTCAGACTAGGTAACCCATAATACCTCTGTGAGAAACACATTTACTGACTAGATTTATATTCACTTTATGTTCATTTATATTCAGTGTTTTTTGTCTTTAGCCTTAGAGCATCCTGTTAAGATACTGGTAGTTCTTTTCTTTCCCACTCCCTTTACCATGGTTTTGTTAGTAATTTGTAGGACACTCAAACTCATTTTTTTAGTGTTTGTATTCCATTTTAGGATTTGCCCCACATCCTGTTTGATTTTGTTTATATTTTGGGTATATGAAGGGCATGTGAAATATTACCATGGTTCTAGGAGTCAGAACTTTACAAAAGATAGGCTTAAAGAAATGTCACTTCCGTCTCATCCTTGCACCCTGGCCATTTCCATTTCCTCCTCCTTTCTGCCGCCTGCCCATCCAGCCTTATAGATAATCAGTTTCTTTAATTTCAGGCCTATTCTTTCTGGATTTCTTTTGCAGCAATGAACACACACATGCTATTTTCTTATAGCTCCCTTTTTTTTTTTTGCATGAAGAGTTACATTATATAGATACTCTTTGGCACGTTTTCTTTTTTCTTTCTTCTCTTTTCTTTTCTCTGCGTTTTTTTTTTTTTTTGAGACAGAGTCTTACTCTATCACCCAGTCTGGAATGCAGTGGTGCAGTCTTGGCTCACTGCAGCCTCACCCACCCGGGCTCAAGCGATCCTACCACCTCAGCCTCCTGAGTAGCTAAGACTAGACATGTGCTACCATGCCCCACTATTTTTTTTGCTGTTGTTGTTGGTAGAGACAGAGTTTTGCCATGTTTTCCAGGTTGGTCTCAAACTCCTGGGCTCAAGTGATCTGCCTGCCTTGGTCTCACAAAATGCTGAGATTACAGGCATGAGCCATTGCACCTTGCCTGATTTTTTTCACTGAGAGTATGTCCTGGAAATCACTCCATATTAATTCATATGTATAAATGCTTATGTAGTTTTGTTAGATATTATCAACTTTTCATCTAGGAGAGGGTTGTACCAATTTGCGTTACCACCGACAATGTATGAGGGTGCTTCTCTCACAACAGTCTCACCAGTAGAATTTGTTGTCTTATTTTAAAAGGTTTTCTGGTCCAATAGGTGAGAATTGTTCTTCCAGTATCGTTTTAATTTGCATTTCTCTAATTATGTGTGAGGTTGAACTTTTAAGAATGTGTTTAAGAATCACTTTAATATCTTTTACTATGAATTATATGTTCATGTCTCTTTCCCATTTTTCTTTATGGTTTTTGGTCCTTTGTCCTCAATTTTTAAGAATTCTTCGCTCATTAGCTCTTGTCTGTGGTATATACTGCAATTATTTTCTCCCGGTTTGTCAGTTGTCTTCTGACTTTGTTGTTTTTTGTCATGCAATTTGGTTTTCTTTTTATGTAGTCAGATTTATCAATCTATTGTTTATTGCCCCCAGATTTGGAGTTAACAAAGTCTTTCCTTACACCAAAGTTAAAGAAGAATTCACCTGTATTTTCTTCAGGTGCCTGTAGTGTTTCATTTTTTTACATTTAGATTCTTGGTCCATTGTAGTTTATTATAAGAATCTAGCTTTACTTTTTTTTCCAAATAATTACCTATTTGTCTCTGCACTATTTATTTAAAAGTCTGTCTTAACCTCAGTAATTGGAGATGTCACTAATGCTGAACTTCCTGTTCTATTCTGTTTATCTCTTTGCCTATTCATGTGTTGTAGGAGTCTTTGAATCACCTTTCTAAAAACCAGTTTAAAAATTTTAGATACACTTTATACCCACCAGGATGACTAAAATAAAAAAAGATAACAACAAATGTTGACAAGGAAGTGGAAAACTTGGATCCTTCATACATTGCTGGTGGGTAAGAAAAATGGTGCATCTGCTTTGGAAAACAGTTTGACAGTTGCTCAGAAAGTTAAACAGTTACCAGAAGACCAAATCTGTCACTCATAGGTATATACCAGGAGAAGGTAAACATGCCCAAATAAGAACTTGTACATGATTATTCATATCAGCATTATTCATAATAGCCAGAAAAGTGGAAACAACCCAAATCTCTATCAACTGAGGAATGGATAAACAAAATATGCCATATCCATACAAGGGAATATTATTCAACCATAAAAAGGAAGTACTGATACATGCTACAACACGGAGGAAGATTGCGTTATGCTAGGTGAAAGAAGCAGACAAAAAAGACCATGTGTTGTGTGATTCCGTTGATATGAAATGTCCGGAATAAGGAAATCCCTAGAGACAGAAAGTAGATTACTGGTTGCCAGGGGTTTGGGAAGGGGAGTAGAGAATGACTTAATGTGTATGAGATTTATTTTAGGGGTGATGAAAATGTTCTGGAATTGGACAGTGGTGATGGTTGTACAACTTCATAAATATACTAAAACTAATTAAATTATATAGTTTATATTTATTTATTTATTTTTGAGAGAGATTCTCCTTGTGTTGCCCAGGCTGGAGTGCAGTGATGTGATCTCGGCTTACTGTAGCCTCTGCCTCCTGGGTTCAAGCGATTCTCCTGCCTCAGCATCCCAAGTAGCTGAGACTACAGGCATGTGCCACCATGCTTGGCTAATTTTGTTTTTTTTTTGAGACGGAGTCTTGCTCTGTCACCCAGGCTGGAGTGCAGTGGTGCGATCTCTGCTCACTGCAAGCTCTGCCTCCTGGGTTCACGCCATTCTGCCTCAGCCTCCCCAGTATCTGGGACTACAGGCGCATGCCACCATGCCTGGCTAATTTTTGTATTTTTAGTAGAGATGGGGTTTTACCATGTTGGCCAGTTTGGTCTTGAACTCCTGAGCTCAGGTGATCTGCCCTCCTCGGCCTCCCAAAGTCCTGGGATTACAGGTGTGAGCTACCACACCCGGGCAAATAATACACTTTAAAAGAATGAATTTTATGTTATATGAGCTGTATCTCAATGGAAAAAATATTTTAAAGGGGAAAAATATTGAAAGTTCATGTTTTTGATAAAAAAAAGTTCATTGGATGTGGCTTGAATTTAAGGTGCACAGGGTTGTAGATGCCACAGACCCATGACCCAGAACAGCTGAGAGGCAGTGAATAGTGGCTCTTCAAGTCTGCAATAAGAAAATGGCCTCCAATTAGGGTAACATCACACACCGGGGACTGTTGTGGGGTGGGGGGAGGGGGGAGGGATAGCATTAGGTGATATACCTAATGCTAAATGACGAGTTAATGGGTGCAGCACACCAACATGGCACATGTATACATATGTAACAAACCTGCACGCTGTGCACATGTACCCTAAAACTGAAAGTATAATAATAATAATAATAATAAAAGAAAATGGCCTCCAATTAAACTACATTGCAAACAAGGGGAAAGAAACAGAATGGAAAGAGTAAAAAAGTTGGAGAATTTGTGGTGGAAAAAGTAGTAGATTGATGTGTAGTGAAAGGGAAAGTGGATTATTTCCTCAAGTGGAAGGGATTTACAGATGCTACAGACCTACAGATGGAAGAACGTCATGATACAATGCTTGGTTACCTGAAGAAAATTTAGATTCTCCAGAGTTAATTGAAGCATTTATTAATTCCCAAATTAAGTAAAGAAAAGGAATTACAAAATACTTTATCTCACAGTAAATCTGATGAGAGCAAATCAAAGGAAAGAGATGCTGCTGAGAAACCAAGAGGGCTGGCTAGAGGTCTTAATCCTGAAAGAATAATTGGTGCCACAGACAGCAGTGGAGAATCGATGTTTCTCATGAGGTGGAAAGACTCAAATGGGGCCAACTTGATGCTGGCAAAAGAGACAAGTGTGAAGGGTCCTTAAATTGTAATTGCTTTTTATGAAGAAAGACTAACTTGGCATTCTCGTCCAGAAGATGATGTAATTGTTCACATTGTTTTATATATATATATATTTATGTTTATATATATTTATATGTTTATATATATTTATATATGTTTATATATATTTATATATGTTTATATATATTTGCATGTTTACATATATTTGTATGTTTACATATATTTGCATGTTTACATATATTTGCATGTTTACATATATTTGCATGTTTACATATATTTGCATGTTTACATATATTTGCATGTTTACATATATTTGCATGTTTACATATATTTGCATGTTTACATATATTTGCATGTTTACATATATTTGCATGTTTACATATATTTGTATGTTTACATATATTTGTATATTTACATATATTTGTATATTTACATATATTTGTATATTTACATATATTTGTATATTTATATATTTACATATTTATATATATTTATATATATTTATATATATTTATATATTTGTATATTTATATATATTTATATATTTATATATTTATATTTATATTTATATATTTATATATTTATATATTTATATATATTTATATATTTATATATATTTGTATATTTATATATATTTATATATATTTGTATATTTATATATATTTATATATTTGTATATTTATATATATTTATATATTTATATATTTATATAGATATATTTATACAAAATCTGGGTCTTGGTTTTTTATTTGCTAGTGTGAAGAAATAACTACATTCTAATGAAAATCAAGTTTGATATGTTCATTTTGAAATGGTATTGGGAGAGTTGTTGGGTTTGTTGTTTTTTTTCATCAGTAGAACTGGTTACTTTGAACAAAGAAACAAAAGCTCTCTGTAGTTGCTTCCTTTATCAGTAAAGAGCATTCAATACCATGGTATATTATTTCCTCTGCAGTAGGGAACAGATTTTCTAAATGTTGGGGAAAATTCTCATAGTCATTAATCATAACTTGGCTTCTCATAAGCCTAAGGATCATTCTGGTTGTTTTGTTTTTGTGTATGTATATATAAAATGCATATGTAAATAGTTTTCTTTCTTTTTTTTTTTAAACAATTGCCAAAACCAAAGTCCCAGGTAAGCCCATGTTTCTAATATGCCATCATTCTGAGCAATGTAAGAGATAAATCACTTCCAGATAAATTGAAAATTTTCCTGAAGCCATGTGTATCAAGTGAAATAAATGATTCTAATTAATCAGACAATTTAAATTGATATTTTAAAAGCATTTATATATAAAAATGCAATGGTTTGTTAGCAAAATTCCTTAAAGAAAAATTTTATTGTTGCCAACAACCCAGCAGCCTCCCTATCCAGATGAGGAAACTAGGAAAATCCTAGTACGTTTTAATTAAACAAGACAGTTAAATGGGCATTTAAAAAGATTTCTTTTAGTGAGCCATTTCTTTTCTTTCTTTTTTTTTTTTTTGAACTTTCATTTTAGGTTCGGGGGGGGTACTTTTGCAGGTTTATTATATAGGTAAACTGCATGTCATAGGGGTTTTGTGTGAAGATCATTTCATCACCTGGGTAATACGTATAGTACCTGATAAGTGTTTTTTCTGATCCTCTCCCTCCTTACACCCTCCATCCTCAAGTAGGCCCTAGTGTCTGTTGTTTCCCTCCTGGTGTCCAAGTATTCTAGCTGTGTAGCCCTCACTTACAGGTAAGAACATGTAAGTTGAAATCCCTGTTGCTACATTGACCTAAAGGTCATGATTCATGGACTATCTAAGACGTTGCTCACGGAAACTAATCAGATGGTTAGAGATGTTGGTAGTTTAGGACCTGCAGCTGTAAATGAGTGAACCAAGTCTTGTAATCTAAAGCAGTGGTCCCCAACCTTTTTGGCACCAGGGACTGGTTTTGTGCAAGACGATTTTTCCACAGATGGTGGGGTATAGTTGGGGGTGGGAGAAGAGGATGGTTTTGGGCTGAAACTGTTCCACCTGAGATTGCCAGGCATTAGTTAGATTCTCAAGAGTGGCAACATAGACCCTAGATCCCTCACATGCGTAGTTCACAACAGGGTTGCACTCCTATAAGAATCTAATGCTGCTGCTTATCTGACAGGAGGCGGAGCTCAGGCAGTGATGCTCGCTGTCCTCTGCACACCTCCTACTGTGAGGCCCGCTTCCTAACAGGCCACAGACCAGCACCTGGGGGGTTGGGGACCCCTGATCTAAACTATTGACTCGCATGTTTTTTCTTTACCTCAACTTATTCCTTACATGTAGGCTTAGTCTTTTCAGTATTTGTTTTACTGGTTCAGCAGAAGCCAGGAAAAACAACTTTGTATTAATCAGAATGTTATCCAACTGTATATTGTTTATTATTTAAAATACTGGTGAACGATGGTCAATAAATAGTTTTGTATTCCTTTAAAAAATTCAGACACTTTCAAAGAATGTGATAAAAAGTAAATCTCTTTCTACAAAATCAACTACTAAAACTTTTTTTGTCAGTCTTGCTAGTAATGTATATGTATAATGCCAGTTTTTTCCCTTTTAAATATAAATGTAGGTACACTGTACATTCTGTTCAGCAACTTGCTTTCTTCACTGAACAATGTATCTTAGTCATCTTTCCCTAATAGTATCTGCATGGCAGTTTCATTTTTTTAACAACTCATACTAATAGATGGTTAAATGTATTTTAGTTCATTTTGCAATTGAAAACAAGGCTTGGAGACCATTCTTTTACATACATGTTTGTGAATCAGTGGGGTTGCATCTATAGGATGATTTCCTTGTTAAGAAATTTCTTGTTTGAAGGAACTGTACATGTTATTTATTTGGATACATTTTAATTTTATTTAAATTTTAAATATATTAAAAAATCAAAAGGTACAAAATGTATACATCAAGAGTCTATTCTACTCTGTCCATTAGGCAGCAAGGAATGAGTGTTACTAATATCTTACATTTTTTTCTGCAAATATTTTATGATGTACAAGTAAAAGCGTATATGTTTAAGATGTGCTAGCTTATTGGTATGCATTTGGATTTTGAAAGCTATTGCTAACTTAAACCCCAGAAATGTTGCCTGAACACTGGGTTTATTATCTCCTTCTTAAGTATTGTTTGGTACATAGAGAATCAAGAACTTTCCAGATTATTTAAGTTGGCCTAAATTTTAAACCCATTTGAAAAAATTGCAGTGTCAGTTGGGCCTTAGAAATCTTCAGCTTTGTTTGTAATTTGGTGGGTGCTTGTTGTTACAATGGTCTCATTGGCTCTGGTACATAGAGATTTCAGAGGCTCAGGAACTCACCAGAGCTGGGCAGCAGCAGAACCCGTCTAGATATGGTTAGCTCCTGAAATTGAAGGAGTGAGGTTGGATCATTACATCTGTCTTGGTTAGAAGCTACACTCAAACTGGTTTAGGCAGGAAAGAGAATTTATTGTCTCATGCGACTGAAGACTCCAGAGTTTGGTTCAGGTGCTTGCTTCAAAGCTGTCTTCATGAGTCTGTCTTGCCTTTTACTCCGTTGTGTGAAGAAATAACTATGTTCTAATGAAAATCAAGTTTGATATGTTCATTTTGAAAGTGGTGTTGGGAGAGTTGTTAGGTTTGTTTGTTTTCATCTGTAGCGGTTTGTGGTTATTTCTTCTTTCTGTTAGTTTCGTTTTCAGACAGGCTGTCTTTCAGTTAAGGCCACCAGAACCTTCAGGCTTACTTTCTGCCAATTTGTCAATCTCAGTCAAAGAGGATACCTCCTCCCAATAGCTCCTAGTGTGTCTTAGTGACCTGACTTTGGTCACATGTCCTCCCTATGAACCAATCAGTCACTAGAGCCAGAAGAATGGAATGATCTGATTGGCAAGGCCCTGGCCAGGATTTAGCCTCTGGAAGAGGGTATGGGACAGAGCTAGAAGAACAGAATGATTTGAATGGCCAGATCCTGGTTAAGTGTTAGCCCCTGGACCTGGGCGTTGGTGAAATGGTAGAGAATGTGGTTGTCACAGGGGTGTGTGTCAGTCGGTCTGGTGTTCACACCATCAAATCTGGTAAGGCTGAGAGAGAGGAGGTGCTGTCTCAAAGGAAAACTGGGTGGTTCTCAGAAAAAGGGAGAATGGATACTGACCAGACAAAAAAATAAGTCTTATTTGTTGGTGGTTTTCAAATTTTGCTTCCTTATCCCCCCTTAAAGAATTTTGAAAACCTGTGTACCTCTCTGCATGTATTTAAGTTGACATCTGGAATTTTGTATAATTTTGTACACATGGATATTTTAAAATAAAACTGTTATTTCACTTCTTTACTTGTATTTAATAGAATGGAAATGACGTCCTCCCAACATTTCTGTGATTGTAAGGCTCTAAGCGTTACTTTTTTTCTGGATTGAATTATTCCTAATTATCAATATGGAGCTTATCAAAACAACATAAATATAGTGAAATTTCTATAATTGTTAAACATAAAAATAAAATTCTGGGGGGAAGTAGGTAGGGGATGGATTATGTAGTGCCTTTTAAAAGACGTTTTGCAGGTATCAGTTAGTTTTAATTGTCCTTTGGGTTGATACCCTGGAGGTTAGGAGTTTTTACCCCCTTTGGGGCAGTATACTATAGTTATGCTGTGTCACCATACACTTAGTGGCTTGAAACAACACCCATTTATTATACGTCAGTAGAGTGACATGATGTGACTGAGTTTTCTGCTCAGTGTCTTGCAAGGCTGAAGGTGTTGGCTTTGGCTATGTTCTCATCTGGAGTTCTGGGCCTGCTTTTAAGCTCACATGGTTGTGGAAGAATCCAGTTCTTTGCCATTGTTGGATTGAGATCCCAGTTTCTCTGCCGGTTATTAGCCAGAGGCTGCTCTTGACTTCTGCAGGCCACACACATTCCTTGTCCTGCCTCTTGTATCTTCAAAACCAGCAGAGGAGAATTTCTTGTGCATCAAATCCCTCTCATACTCTGAATCTCTGACCTCTAGAACTTTGACTGTTAGGACTCATGTGATTAGGTCAGGCCTCTCTGGATAATCTCCCTATATTAAGATAAACTGATTTGGGACCTTTGTTTCATTTGCAAAATTTCATCACAGCAGCACCTAGGCTAGTATTTGATTGAATAACTGGGAAAAAGTGTGGATGCACAGCAGGTCAGAAATCTTGGGGGCTTAGAATTCTGCCTACCACAGTGAGATTCTCGATGGGTGGGAAATATGACTTAATTCTTTTTTTTTTTTTTTGGTAAAGTGGGAGAAGTGCAGTTGCCTTCTCAGGAGGTGAATTTTAGGAAAGCTTACATATGGAATTTGGAGATTAGGCATTGAGTCATTTAACTCTCTGTGCCCATTTAAGTCTTTGTGTACCCCCAGGGATATACCTGTTTCATTCCGCAAACAGTTGCATCTGTGACCACAGACATACGTTGATGCTTGGCAAATGGATACATCAGAGCAGCAAATGGAGTTGGCATCCAGGGAGTTGGGGCTAGGAGGGTGGTAACAGTGACAACAAAACAGCCCCTGATGCCAAAGCAATCACCGCTTTCATGTCCTGTCTCCAGGCAGACTTTTCTCCTGGAAGAATATTTTGTTTCCTCTCTAGGGAATAAAGAAATCTGAAGTCACAGCTTGATGTTATCCTTACAGCTGTAACTGTTGCTTAGTAACCAGATTCCCCCTCTCCTTGCTTGTTACCAAGGAGAGGGGAGAAAGGTAGAGAGGAGCGCACTTCTGAACCTCTTGAAAGCTATTGTCCTTCCCACTCCACAAAGAACTCCTTGCTTCAGGGAGTTGAGTGGACTACCTGAGGCTAGCAGTGCAGGCTCCACAAACAGAAGACCCTAGTCCTCTTGCCCTGGGCTGCTTGGGAGGAGACTGAGAAGAAGAGCACTCATGGGGACATCTTATGGAAGGAACCATGACAAACACCCCTTCTCATTTTGGCCTGCCCTAGGACAAACAGAGGATGTGCAGATGCTCCTGCGCTTTGGGGCAGATCCCACTTTGCTGGATCGACAGTCTCGGTCTGTTGTGGATGTCCTGAAGAGGAATAAGAACTTCAAAGCCATCGAGAAAATCAACAGTCACTTAGAAAAGCTAGCTACGTGTTCTAAGGACCTATCAGGTACAGCTTCCAGTGTATTAACTTTTGGGGGGCATAAAACTGGTTCTGTGACATTAGATACAAATCAGTTTATCTCTTTTTGGTATATATATATATACACACACATATATATATGGAAGTGAGACCTACCAATCTTTGGAAAACTTGTTTGCTTTTTTTTTTTTTTTTTAAAGGTAGAATGAGATAGCTCTTATTTAGAGAGATGCTATGACATTCTGGGAACTTTTTCAAGTCCACCTTTTGACAGTGTGGGTGATTTTTTTTTTTTCCCATGCATGTACACAGCAAAAAAAGGAAAAAAATTAGACAGAATATGAGATAACAAAATCAAGTCTATTCCTTAGAAACAATTATGGCCAACAATTTAAAATACACGTACATCTCTATTTCTTGGTTTATCAATTTTGGACAGCATCTGCTGACAAGACCACGTAAAAGATGAAGTGCTTGGCTGTGTCAGTCCTATTTGTTGGGTTTTGTTTAGTAATGCTACGTGTATCATTTATATTCTATTTCTTAACTCTAAGTTTTTCATGCTGCATCTACAGATTGATTCTAAAAATTGCAAATTAGTGAATGACATTTGCATGGTAGTATAATTATGTAAATGTTACTCTTTCTACAACTAGTAACATGGGCAGACCTATAGAAAGGAATCGCCAAATGTCCTGAAAACTTTGCTCTTTAAATGTGATACTCTTTAAGCATCTCAGTTTAATGAAACATGTATATATTTTTATACTTCTTGTAGTTTTTGCACTCATACATGACTCCTATGGCTACTGTTATCCACATAGATTTCCTCCTTGATATGTTGGAGTACTTGGTCAAGTAAGTTTTTCATGGAGGAGGCATAGATAGTAGACTTACAGAATTTTTGAAAATGTCTTTCTTTTACCCTCATATTGATGGATAATTTGTCTGAATATAGGCATTGTATTTCTTCAATAGTAAGTTACACTCCCCCCTGCCTCCCAGCAATTTTAACATCTTTGAAATGGGAATGTGTTTTATAATCAGTGACATGTCATAGTTTAATGGCAGTCTTTTCTGGTATGTTCATCGATATCTATGGTATCTTAGTTTTATGAAATGTACTGTAAAACCTTGTTCCTCACAATGTATAAATTATTTCATTATCTTCTAGCTCCCATTGCTACTGACAGAAGTCTGATGTCAGTCTCATTTTTTCCCCCTCTAGAATTTTCTCTGTCCTCGGAGTCCTGCAATTTCCCTAGTATGTATCTAGATATGGGTCCTTCCTCATTCTTCTGGCTTGGCACGTGTTGGCCCCTTGCATTCTGTTTTCTTAGCTCAGGGGAATTATCCTCTATTATTTTGTTCCCATCCAAGTCTCTTTTCTCTTTGCCACTGCTATTAAATGGATGAGCTTCTTGAATTTATAATATATGTCTCTGTACCTTTCCCTACTAGTCTCTATCTCCTTTTCTCTTCCCAGATCTTTAAATTCATCTAAAACTTCTCCTTTTATAATTTATCTTGTCCATTGCTGCATTTTTTAATTTGGAAAATTATAGTTTTAATTTCTAGAACTCTTTTGATTGTTTCTTATCTATAGCAGCTTATTCATGTTTTATATTTGCCACATCTTCTTGAATTGCATTTAAAAAAGCAAATACTTTTTTTTTAAAAAAAGTTTCTCCTTTCTTCTCTGAATTATTAATGTTACTTTTGGGGTTAGTTGACTCATTTTCTTTTTTTTTGAGACGAAGTCTCGCTCTGTTGCCCAGACTGGGGTGCAGTGATGCGATCTCAGCTCATTGCAACCTCCCATCTCCCAGGTTCAAGTGATTCTCCTGCCTCAGCCTCCCAAGTCATTGGGATTACAGGCATGTACCACCACACTCGGCTACTTTTTGTAGTTTTAGTAGAGACTGGATTTCATCATGTTGGCCAGGCTGATCTCGAACTCCTGACTTCAAGTGATCTACCTGCCTTGGCCTCCCAAAGTGCTGGGATTATAGGCATGAGCCACCATGCCCAGCCTGACTCACTTCTTGCTTCTCTTTTGTGCTATTCCTTTTCCCTAATTATCTTCTGATCTTTGGATGGTTTGTATGTATGACTGAAGGACTAGATTGATTAATACTTAATAGTTGGTAAGCATTTATTTCCTGCAGTTATTTAAATGTGCTTCCCTAGAAACACTCCCTCTCTTGAATGTGCAAGTGGGCAGCAAATTGCAGGCAACCTGTAGAGGGCATGTGTTGGGGTGGGAGATAGTCTGTCAGGCTGCAGATTATTGCAATTGCCAGAGTGAGAAAAGTTTTATGTGAGGGAGATTGAAGCTGCTTTTTAAACACTTCTCCCTTGACTCCATTTCCCCATTTATGTTTTAATTTTTATTTATTTATTTTAAAGATGTCATTTCTATGAGACTGTGAGAACAAGGAGAGAGGGGTAGAGCCCTCTTTTTATTTTTTTCCTTTTCATGGGTGTTCTTTTAAAGCTTTGACATATGATGTTTAGTTTTTAAATGACCTCATGTTTTTAGGAATACTAATTTCTTCGTGAGGTTGTATAATGAGTAGGTCATTGTGGAATGCTTTTTGAGAGCTTGTGCATATCATCTCAGTTTCAGAATGGTTTCCATGATTTGAGAAACTCCAAGTAGCCAAACAGGTCAGTGAATTTTCAGGCTTTAAAATAATGGCAAAAGAAGAACCACTGGTTAGTGGTAGAGAATGGCTGACTTGTTTGATATATATATTTTTAAGAGACGGGGTTTCACTCTTGTCACCCAGGCTGGAGTGCAGTGGCACGATCTTGGCTCACTGCAACCTCCGCCTCCCCGGTTCAAGCGTTTCTCCTGCCTCAGCCTCCTGAGTAGCTGGGATTACAGGCGTGCACCACCACACCCAGCTAATTTTTGTATTATTAGTAGGGACGGGGTTTCAGCGTGTTGGCCAGGCTGGTCTTGATCTGCTGACCTCAGGTGATCGCCCACCTTCGCCTCCCAAAGTGCTGGGATTACAGATGTGAGCCACTGCACTCAGCCTGCAAATTTTATATTTTATTAATTTTAATCTCAGTTCTTAGAATACTGTGCATGTTCTATTTAGTGTTAAAGTCTTTGGCCTAAGTCATTCATGTTGGTTTAGTTTTTAAGGTTTTAGGTTTTTTTTTTTTTTTTTTTTTTTTTAGTTTCCTTGTATAATACAATCCTTGAATATCTGTTAATCCTAAAAATGCCTTGTCTTCTGAGGCAAGGTTCTTGCTCTCGCTTCTCTTCTCTTTCCTTCACCAGTTAAATGTGACCTGGGTTTGGAACCAAGAGAAGAGACTCAGTAGAATCTCAGTGTGTCCCCTTTTCACTCATTAGAATTCACCTGTACTTGCTTGGCAGAAAAGCATGCATGAGAGGACTGTGCATCGTTCCAAGCTTGCCATTTGGCTTACCAGGTAGCCTGTGATGGTAGTGGATGCAGTCAAGCCTAAAGCCTTCCGTACTCAATGGTAAACTTGTTGGACGTTTGATTTCTGTAAAGTTTTCCAGGCCACTGGTCACAAAGATTTTCTTGCCATGCTAGAGGAATATTGAAAGACTATAGAGAAACATGAGTGAAAGGAACTAGTAAAAAAAAATCTGTAAAGAGGAGAAGTTAATCAGGAAGGGCTGGCAAGGTGGAGTTGTATATTTCCCAAAGTATTCTAGGCAGTGGAACTCTCTCTCTCTCTCTCTCTTTTTTTTTTTTTTGAAACAGAGTTTTGCCCTTGTTGCCGAGGCTGGAGTGCAATGGCAGAATCTCTGCTCACTGCAACCTCCATCTCCCGGGTCCAAGCGATTCTCCTGCCTCAGCCTCCCACGTAGCTGGGATTACAGGCATGCATCACCATGCCCGGCTAATTTTGTATTTTTTGTAGAGATGGGGTTTCACTCTGTTGGTCAGACTGGTCTTCAAATCCTGACCTCAGGTGATCCACTCCCTTCAGCCTCCTAAAGTGCTGTGATTATAGGCGTGAGCCACCACTCCTGGCGCAGCAGTAGAACTTGTGGAAAAGCCTAAATAAAGCCTATGTGAACTCTATAGGTGATGATCTTTGAATGAAATTATATATTGAATATCACTGTTCCTTTATACATCCAGAGAGTTGTATAGAGTTACATGCATACATTTTGTTTCTAAGATTTTACTGATGGCACAAAGTTTAAAACCTAAGGTGGGGCTGGGGGATCTTTCTAGACTAGGTCCATGAAGTATAATTTTCCTAGATGATGGAAATGTCCTACACCTATTCTGTCTGATATGATAGCCACTCGTCACATGTGACTGTTGAGCAGTTGAAATGTGTGTGGCTCATGCATCTGAAGAACCAGAAATTTCATTTTATTTAATTAACTGTAATTTTATGTAAGTTAGTGGCCATGTATGGGATAATGTAGCTTTAGACTTTAGCTCCCAGAAGGTGTTTCTATCCAGAAAGTAGTTGAAGAGACTGGGAGAATCAAAGGAGGAGGCCCAGGGCCATGGGAATGAAGGAGGATCTACTTTGTTTTTATGGACCTTAATCCTTCCCCATCCTAATCCATTAAAGGGACAGATGGAAGCATTGTCTTTAGGAAGAGCTGCCGCTAGGGAGCTGTATCTGTGCCTAACATTTGTTTTTTGCATCTATGGTCCTGAGCACAATAACATTAGGATTTGAGTTGTTTTACATCCAGATGAATGAACATTCCAATTTACAGACCATGATGAAAGATACTTTCTCCCTTGACTCTTCCTCAAGTTTGCTGTACCCCATTTTGCTGATAACAGTGGTCCTTATCTCTTAGGATGGGGCTGCTTTTGGCATCTAGGTGAGAAATAAAGGGTCTTGCTAAAGATTTCTGCTGTTCTCTAAACCAGTGTTTCTCCATCTTAACATGTACATGAATTATTTGGGAGCCTGCTAAAATGCATGTTTTGATTCAGCAGGTTCAGGGCAGGACCTGAGATTCTGTATTTCTCACTAGCTGCCAGGGCAAGCCAGGGACCACTTTGAGGAGCAAGGCTTTAGTCCTAAATAGTCAAGATTACAGAATGGTCTTTATCCAGTTTTCATAGCCACCACCAGATGGCAGCATGTCCACTTTCTCTACCTGATGTTGCTGCTCAGCTCTTTCCTTGGGACCAAGAAGCGCAAGATTGGAGCCTTTGTTTTTCTCACAGTTGTTTGTGATCTTCTCTCTGATTTACTAGTTCTTGGCCTTTTCGAGTCAGCTTACATCAGGCCTCTGAATCCTTATCTTTCTGGTCCTCCAGTGGGGAGCCAGCTGCTTTCTGCTGTGCTCAGCACCAGGACAGTGCCTGTTTTCAGTATATGCAGGCATAGGGTATTGACTTAAAGGATGTCTGTCATACTTCTTCCTTTTTATAAAACCAATCTTTTTATATACTTAGAAAATTTATGAAATGTAGAAAAGAAACTATTAATTATCTGTAATTGTACCTGCCAGAAAAAAATTAATGTGTTTGTGATTTGGTCATTTAGTCTTATTCCATGCATTTTTAGTTATATATTTATATTTTCTTTTATAAAATGTGATGAGAATGTAAATTTAAATTGATAAAAATGTATGTAATAAAACCTAACACTTTTGCTTTTTAAACCTTATAAAAAGATTTTGGACAAAAATGAAATCTCCTTTTGAAATAATTTATTTCTATTTTCTATTACTTCTGACTATGGTTGCAACTTCAGAAGAGCTTTTTAATTTTTAATTTCAAATCTGTGTATATACACAGTAAGTCATCACTTAACATTATTAACAGGTTCTTGGAAACTGACTTTAAGCAAAATGATGTATAACAAAACCAGTTTTACGGTAGGTTAATTGATAACAAACAAGAGTTAAGTTCCTAAGGCATAGTTTTGGTCACAAAAACATCACCAGACTTCTAAATAAAGATCTAATATTAAACATGGAAATAAATGTGAGCTATATATACATTTAAGAAAGGTTAATAAAAACAAGTAAGATAATTATTTACCGAGTTATTCCAGTTCAGTGTTGAAGGTGGCCAGTTTATTCCGGCAGCTTAGGGAGCCAAGTGGGAGCCAGCCCTCCACAGGATTCCATTCAATTGCAGGGCTCACTCACACACATCCGCACTCACTCAGACTGGGACAACTGAGACATGTGAGTTCACCTATCGTACACATCTTTGGGGTGTGGGAGGAAACCTGAGTACTTAGAGAAAATCCATGCAAAGATGGGAAGAACGTGCAAACTCCACACAGTGTCCCCGGTGGGGACCAAATTTGTTTTCTCATCGATGTTATAATGAAATTCTGTTGAAAGGAATGTTATTTGAGGACCTGCTATATTTGCTAAATGTGATCATTGTTGAAAATTTGTAAAAGTATAGTTTTATATAAAAGCAAATTTATTGTAATTGCATGTTAGCACATTTTTATTCAGTCTTTTGTTGTTCAGTACTTACGTAGTCATCTTTTAAAAAACTCTTGATTATAATGCATAAGCAACTTTGTTTCCTGATGTTTCTTTTGACTCTTTAAGCTTATAGGAAATTTAGAAACAAAATCAGAAAAGATCAGTGAAGTAAACAAGTCACCCACAGCCCTCCTGCCAAGGGATACCATTTGTCAGTATTTAGCAACTTTCCATCTGTATCATTCTCTGATTTCTTTCCTGATGTTTGAATCTTTCGCTCATCTATAACTGCCTTCTTAACAAGTCTGAACCATGTAATCATGTATTTATTATGCAGCTGCATCTAATTGTGTCTTTTGTTGAGCTTAGTATGTTTCTGTTCATTTTCATGTGAGTTTTTTACTAAACTTACTTTCCTGGGGGAAGAATGATGTTTTTGCAAAGATTCTATCAGGCAGACAAGCAGCAAGTTTCCATCAGCTTGATAGTGAAGGAAGTTTCTCTTTTACCAAAGGTCCTATTTTTTTTTTTGTACTGTGAGTTTTCATCCTTTTTTGTTTGTCTTCATAGGTATTTTAGGATGAAGATGGGAGGGGAAAGTCCAGGGATGCTAGCCAGATATTGCTTTACTACACATAATTTCAGTCTCAGTGAGCTTCCAGCCAGGGTGATGTGGGTCTTTCTTTGCCAAATGATTATCATTTTCTGTTCTCTGGAGGATGATGCTATAGTGGATCTTCCTTCTGCCTGGCACCTGAACGTCTCTTGATTAGAGTGGGCAATGAGTGTTTGCCCCGGAAGTGGATGTGTGTATGTTTCTGGTGTTCTGGCTTGATTTATTGAAGTGTGATTTAGATGTGTGTCAGAAGGGGTGGCAGATGTTGGAGAGCTCTGTCTGGATTCCCCTGGATCCCTTTCACCATTTCTGAGTACCCCCTGACATTGGTGTGTGTGCAGTTTGAAAAGTCAGCACCCAAGGCTTGTTTTCAAGGGAGTGTCTTTGGACTTATAGCGGCTGTTTTGCTCTTGCTTCTTTTTAAACCAGAAATGTCTGGGAATTTATATTGTCCAAAGGCAGCCTGCAGCTAGTGACTGATAGATGCGAGAATATGAAAGCTCATTTCCTTTGCCTTGCACAGGGACCACTCTGAAGTGTGACTCACACTCCAGAGCCTTCCTGTGGGATCAGGCTGAGACCACCCTCTGTGGGACTTTGCCTGAGTGCATACCTGGGTTTGGCTTCCCCTCTCACCCTTACTCTGCTTCCCCCACTCACCTACTGGTCTTCCTCCTTAATAAACTACTTGTGGACAAATCTGGTGTCTGCTGCCAGGGAACCTGACTGAAGCATGCTTTTAATTTTTTTCCTGTTTTCAAATAGGCTGTCTCTTTTAAAGTATTCCCACTCTGGTAGAACATGACATTGAACATTCATTCATTTCTTCACAACCATGATAGTGCTACTCTGGGCCAGGCTCTTTTCACTTGGTGTGAAAATAAATGTCCAGTTCTGCTCTCTTATCTGTTCAGTAAGATTCCATTTTAATTAACAATACTTTTTGATACCTAATAAAAAAAATTTGTCATTTTTTCCAACACTTCATCGGTGACTCTTTCTTTCTTTCTTTCTTTCTTTCTTTCTTTCTTTCTTTCTTTCTTTCTTTCTTTCTTTCTTTTTCTTTCTGTCTGTCTCTCTCTCTCTTTCTTTCTGTCTGTCTCTCTCTCTTTCTCTTTCTTTCTTTCTCTCTCTCTCTGTCTCTGTCTCTCTCTGTCTCTCTCTCTCTCTCTTTTTTTTCTTTTGAGACAGGGTCTTGCTCTGTTGCCCAGGCTGGAGTGCAGTGGTGTAATCATTACTCATTGCCGCCTCAACCTCCTGGGCTCAAGCAATCCTCCTGCCTCAGCCTCCTGAGTAGCTGGGACCACAGGCATGTGCCATTACACCTGGCTAATTTTTGTATTTTATTTGTATATATGAATATGTCTATATATATGTATGTGTGTGTGTACATGTGTATGTTTTGTAGAGACTGGGTTTTGCCATGTTGCTCAGGCTGGTCTTGAACTCCTGAGCTCAAGCAATCCACCCGTTTCAGCCTCCCAAACTGCTGGGATTACAGGAGTGAGCCACCGCACCCAGCCAGTGGGTGTTTTCTCATCATGACTACTTTATCAAATAACTTGAATGAAAAAGATATTGCCTTCCCTTCCTTGGCCAGAGAGATGGCTCCTTACTTGGCCTTTTCCACTTGCAAATAAGACATAAAAGTTTGGGTGGCTGACATGTAGTTGGATGTTGCCATCGTGCTAAGCCATCTTTCTGCTGTCACTCCCTGAATTGTTATATCAGTTATTTATTACTGCATAACAAAATACTCCAATTTTCGTGGCTTAAAACAAGAAGCATGCTGGGTGTGATGGCTCACGCCTGTAATCCCAGCACTTTGGGAGGCTGAGGCGAGTGGATTATGAAGTCAGGAGTTCAAGACCAGCCTGGCCAATATAGTGAAACCCCGTCTCTACTAAAATTACAAAAATTAGCCAGGCGCGGTGGCAAGTGCCTGTAATCCCAGCTACTCGGGAGGCAGAGGCAGGAGAATTGCTTGAACCTTGGCGGCAGAGGTTGCAGTGAGTGGAGATCATGCCACTGCACTCCAGCCTGGGCGATAGAGTAAGACTCCGTCTCAAAAAAAAAAAAAAAAAAAAACCAAAAAAACAAAAAAACCCCCAAAAACCAACAAGCATTTATTTGGCTCCTGATCCTACAGGTCAGCAATTTAGTCTGGGCTGTTCTTATGGCCTTAATTGAACTTACTCAAGGGTCTGCAGTCTTTGCTGATGTTGGCTGGTTTCTTTCACATCTATAGGGTCTCAGTTTGGACAACTAGGCCAATTCCTTCCTGTTCTATGTTGTCTCTTATCTCTCAGTAGGCTAGCCTGACTTGTTTACATGATGAAGGCCACAGCCTCAAGAAAGTCAGCAGAAGTATACAAGGCTTCTTGAGGCCCAGGCTTAGAAAGGGCACAAAAATCACATCTACTGCATTCTATTTGTCATAGCAAGTCATGAAGCTAGTCCAGAATCAGGGGAGGGTGGAGGGGAAAGAGGCTCCACTTCTTGATGAGAGGAGCAGCAAGTCACACTGCACAGCATGTGAGTATGTGGAGGGTTGGAGAATTGTGGTTATTTTTGCAATCTGTAACAGCTGCAATTTCTGTATTCAGAAGCATTACCTGGTGCTGTTTTGTAGGATTCAGCAATGGTGATGGACCCACTAGTGAAAACGACATTTTCAGGAAGGTCTTGGAGCAGCTGGTGAAGTATATGAACTCAGGAAACCGGTTATTGCATAAAAACTTTCTGAAGCAGGAAGTAGTTCAGAGGTTCTTGCGTCTCCTTTCTACTCTGCAAGGTAATTTTTTCCACAACGTTCAATGATGTTAAAAATGATTTATGTTCATTAAAATTCTTTTCTAATATCTGTTCAGAAATTAATTTTAAAAAATAAAAATAATGTATCTACATGTAAAACATTCAGACAGCACAGAGCATTCTTTGGTGTAAAATCCATTACATACCCCTGAACTTCAACCCCTAAATCCCATCCCCAGAAACAACCTGTTACTAGCTTGTTATGTGTCCTTCTAGAATTACTCTTTGCATATACAGTCATTTAAAAAATACTATAGATATTTCTCTCTTCTGTAGATACTGGCTAATGTTGGAGTATAAAGTTATTGTAGAATTGAATGTTCTTCCTTTTCATTATGGGGAAATCAGGAAACTTCCTGAAAAGAACTTTAGATGACAAAAATTTAAATAATTTGGGAAGATTCTAGAAATTCTAAGTAGGTAAAATATAATATTTTTAAAATGGACACTTCATAAGGCTGGGATGTCTCCATTTTACAAAGAGTGCAAGAAGGCATGGCCAGAGAAACCTAAAATACTCAGGGTGTGCAGCAGATGATAGTATTTAAGGCTTGGAGTTTAGCATTCAAGTCTTGTTTCCAACATACCAGATCTGTGACCTTAGGCCAATTAATTAACCTCTTTAAGCTTCAGTTTCTTCATCCCCTTGCCTTGGGTAGGGAACTAACCTCGTGAGATAATGAATATAGAACAATTAGTCTAATGTCCTGCACATAAAATGCTAGTACTCGTTAGCTGTTAGGATGGGTTGCGATGAGGCTAGGTTGTCAGCCTTTCTTTCTTAGGTATCAGTGAGTCAAAGATAACCAGCATACCTGTTACACACACTCTAGGATGGGGCCATTTTGTATGGGATCTATTAGATGTAGATATTCTGTACAAACCACATCTAGGGAGCCTTTGGTTTTTGGACTTAATGTCATTTGATCTGTGGCCCATGAAGACTGTCCTCATTTTTACTTAGGGTTGTGAAAATAAAACCTTATTTAATGGTATTTGGTAAAAATCTCATAAAAGCCCATTCGATGGGAATGCTGCTTTTCCAATGTCCTTTGTGTCTTATGGCCTGTGTTCCTGTGCCTCCTTTTTTTCTCTGTAGGGTATTGTGAGTGTTGGTGTGGGTTCTTCTTTCTCTCACTTTGGCTTGGTTACTTTCCCCTTTCCTCTTATTCCTTACTCTTTGTACCTTTCTTGAAGGTCTCTCCCTCAACTGTCTTCCAGAGCTGAGTGGGTCTCTAAACCACCCAACCTTTTTAACTTTTTTCTGTCTTCACTTTTCCTTTTTTTTTCCTCTTTGTATCCTTAACTGGCCGTAGGGTAGGCTATTTATAGCTCTTCCTATTGAAAATGACAGACTCGAATGGGCTAAAAATTGGCAAAAAAGTGACTTTTTTTGACTCTCCTAATAAAAGTGCCAGGCTGGCTTCAAGTACAGCTGGCTTCAGGGAGCTCACCAATGTCACTATGACCCATTGTCTCCCATCTTTCAACTGAGCTCTCTGCTAGTTGGCTTCCATCTCAGACTCTCTGTGGAGATGACATTGAAGTCTCTAATCTCTGACTTGTCCCACATTTCTGGACTTGTGGACCCGTCTGTCTCTCTCTTTCAGTGGTTCGAACAAATGTCCTAGGCTTCACTTTGGATCATGATGTATACCTCTGTAGCTGAATGTGATCAGAAGGATGGAGATTCTTGATTGGCTTAGGTCCAAATCACATGCTACCATATCTCATCCATATGTCAACAGAGAGTGCCAGAAGGTGGGAGAGGGCTGATACCAGATGATGAGTGAATAGATTCCGGGGACAAAAATTGCAAATGCCGATTTAAATAGTTTGCCTTTTACACTTTTATTCTGATTCCTATTAAAATAAGATGATAGACTAGCCTATATTTAATTTCTTCTTATTTTAAAATGAACATTTTAAATATTAAAATGAATATTCATTTTAAGAAAACTTGGAAAAAGATGGGAAGCGGAAACTAGCAAATGCAAATCAAGTTGCTCTTATTTAGGTAATCCTTGATTTTTCTCCCCTTCTGCTCTTCCTCCCTGCTTTCTTAGTGGTAGGGTTGCCAGACAAAATACAGAATTCCCTGTTGAATTTAAATTTCAGATAAGCAATGAATAATTTTTTAGTATAAATATGTCCCTAAATATTGCATATATATACTTATACAAAAATTTATTTGTTGTTCATCTAAAATTCAAATTTAATTGGCATCCTATGTTTTTATTTGCTAAATCTGACCATCTACTTGCTGAAGATCTGTTAAAATGTTTTCTACTCTTGGCCGGGTGCAGTGGCTCACGCCTGTAATCTCAGCACTTTGGGAGGCTGAGGTGGGCAGATCACGAGGTCAGGAGATCGAGACCATCCTGGCTAACATAGTGAAACCCTGTATCTACTAAAAATACAAAAAAGTAGCCGGGTGTTGTGGCGGGCGCCTGTAGTCCCAGCTACTCGGGAGGCTGAGGCAGGAGAATGGCGTGAATCCAGGAGGTGGAGCTTGCAGTGAGCCGAGATCGCGCCACTGTATTCCAGCCTGGGCGACAGAGTGAGACTCCATCTCAAAAAAAAAAAAAAAAAAAGTTTTCTACTCTTAAGATTCACCAACAGTATGAAGTGGGATAATTTTTATCCTGTCTTTAGACATCAAAGATCAGATGGAAACATTTATTTATCATGATAAAAAATCAAGAATTAAGGGATAAGCCATCCTCTCATGGTTACCTTATGGCTCTTGACGTTTTAATTGTTCTGTAGTATCTCTCTGTATTTCAGTATTTATTAGGAAAGGACACTCTTAATATCATGCAAAATTTAAGTCAGGCTTTTGCCCTTCTGATCTCAGCAGAATACTCTGAATTCAAGTATTCTGCGTTAAGACACAGTCATCATTCTTCTGTCTCCTGGGCCAGGGTCTGTACTCTTCATAGGGTATTTCTGATCTTCCCATGAAGTCTCAAGGTCATTACACTGATGTTCATGAGTGGTTAAGCAACATGGCCCAAATAATCAACTACTTGTTTATATAATCCGTGTTAATTATATATGGATGTTGGGTTGTGATTGGGGAAAGAAGAGAAATCATATGAACATTTTTGGAATGTGTCTTACTCTTATTTTTGAAAGAAATTCCTCCTGACCTGGTCTGTGATATTAATCAAGACTGTGCCACCACCGTCTTCAAATTCTTATTGGAAAAACAGAGATGGCCTGAGGTGCTTCTGCTGCTGACCCGCAAAGTAAGTGGAGAACCACCGCTTGGGGATTGCCTCATCAAAGACTGCAACTTCTCAGACCTCGACATCTGTACCATCATCCCCCATCTCAGCACCTGGGACCAGCGGAAGAAACAGCTTCTGGGCTGCCTGATAGACAGTGGAGGTGAGAGTGACTGGATGCTAAGCGTTGGAGACTTGTCCACATTCTCCACGTGATGGAGTCCAGGCCACTGCCTGCCTTTCCCTTGCTTTTGGAGGCACCATGAAGTTCACCCTCATTGCCTACCCTGTATATTCTTGTTTTGAAACAGTGATGGAGGTTACTGCCCTGTGAGTGAGTTGCCCTTGAGGATCTCTGCATTTTTGTGAATTCCAGTTACTACCTTTCTCTTTTGTATGGGAAACATCAGGTGTTCTCTTTTGTATGGGAAACATCAGGTGTGTGAAGGGTCCTTGGCTCTGGTTTAGCCTACAGCAGTCATTTCCTCCTGACCTCTGGCTAGACTTTGACTTGCAGTGGATATACTGTGTGGATCCTTATCTACTCCTGTGACATTCTTTTCTGATCAACAGATTGGGATTCAAGATGCTTGTTTTTAAAGAAACGGTCAAGTAATTGGTGGGTGGAAGCATCTGCTGCTTTAATGAGAACTATCATGCGTGGCTGGGTGTGTGTCTGGAGTGTGCAGACATCTTGCTGAATTGGCTTTTATTTCCAAGCTGATTTAGAAACACCAACCTCCTCCTACCTCTGTCCCTCACACCTCCACTAATGCCAGTACTAACTGTGTGGCATTGGACATGCCATTTATGACTTCATTTCCTCATTGGTAAAATGGGAATAAATAGGCCCCCTTTTATAGGGTTGTTTTGGATATTAAATAAGTTAATGTGTGCAGGCTTTTAGAAGAGTACCTTGGCTATGTAGTTCTCTGCTTGCTTCGTGCTGTATGAGGAATTGTCTTTTACGAGAAAAAACATTATGTGTTATCAATAACACATAATATGTAAGATATAACAGTGACACACAAGACATTGTGTGTTATCAATAACACATAATATGTAAGATATAACAGTAACACACAAGACATTGTGTGTTATCAATAGCACATTGATCCTTAGCCCTCAAAGTGCCACACACCTTGCAGAGCCTTTAGGTGTTGGCTCCATCCACAGCTTTCAGGAGGTAGGTGGGGTGGCTTCTATAATTTATTTTTTTAAACTCCTTCCTTAAGTGGAGTGTTACTTTCTTTGCCTGGAAACCACAGCTGTCATGGAATTCCTGTTTTATTTCTTGATTCGGCAAGCACTTATAGAGCACATCTCAGGATCAGGTGCTAGGAACCAAGCCCACAGAGGTGAGTGCGCAGCTGCTGGAAGTGTGTGGAGGAGACTGCAGATCTATAGTGGGTGGGTCTGCCTTCTGGTGGAGGTTGGGGAACTTTGATGCAGAGGAGCTGTGTGGACTGAACTAAAAAGAAGGTGATTTCGGGTGGAGAGATGTCAGGGAAGATGGCAGTTGAGAATAGGAGCTCAGTAGAAGCAAGGGATGTGGCATGTTCTCACTCATAAGTGGCTGTTGAACAATGAAAACACATGGACAAAGGGAGGGCACGTCACACACCAGGGCCTGTCAGGAGGTGGGGGGTTAGCGGAGGGATAGCATTAGGAGAAATACCTAATGTAGGTGACAGGTTGATGGGTGCAGCAAACCACCATGACACGTGTATACCTATGTAACAAACCTGCACGTTCTGCACATGTATCCCAGAACTTAAAGTATTAAAAAAAAAAAAAAGAAGCAAGGGATGTAGAAAGTGTCCTCACACTGACTGTGTCAGGTATGATGTTAGGTGGGTGTTAGGGTTTCAGTTCTCATGCCCTGTCCTCATGCCAGGACAGTGGGAATGGTGGGAACTATGCTCCTGTGGTGGGGAGCTGGAGAGGAGGCGGGGGTGAGGCCCCCAGACAGGGTGCTTGAAGGAGCTGGGCTTTCACTTTGTGGCTACTGGCAGAAGCCTTTGCCTCCCAGAATGGGTGCTGGTAGGAGGATCTTGGAAGTTAGGTAAACATTAGCTCTTCCCTTGCAACTGAATAACTGAAGCATTCCTTCTCTCGTCAGGCGAGCCAGGCTGTGCCTGCTCACATTGCGCTTCCCTTCTCTCCTCTCCCAGCCTTGCCTGATGGTCTTCAGGAGAGCCAGGAGAGGCCAGTTGTCACGTGCCTGAAACATGAGGACTTCGAGTTGGCTTTCCTTCTCTTGACCAAGGGCGCAGACCCCCGTGCTATTTCTCTCACGGAAGGTGATACTCCTTTGCATGCAGCACTCCACATCTTTCTAGAGATTAAAGGTAAGCCCTTGTTTTTTAAGCAGCCGTCTCCTTGAGGAGGAAGCTGGATATTAGAACTGATGCTATGTTTTCTGGTCTTTCCTTTTGTGTAAACCAGTGATCTGAAAAAGGCCCATTTCTTGGCCAGGCCTGCCCATGTCACCTGGCCCCTCACTTGTAGCATAATGGGAAGAAGTGACCACCATGGTGAGTGGTCAGGGAGGGTTGATGGAGGATTCTAAAGTTCCAGAGTTGGCTGTTGGTAGCTGAAAAATACTTTCCATTTATTTATATCATTTTCAAGGGTCTGCGTATGAAGGATCTTGCTAGAATCTTGTATGGTCATTTCAGGAACTACCATGACATTTGGGCTGGGTAGTTCTTTGTTGTAAGGCACTGTTCTGTGCGTTGTAGGATATTTAGCAGCATCCCTGGCTTCCACCTGCTAGCTGCCAGTGACACTCCCCTAGCTGTGACAATAAAAAATGTCTCTATACATTGCCAAATGTCCCTTGGGGAGTAAATCACCATTGGTTGAGAACCACTGAGCTCTTTAATGGATTTCAGATTTTTTGGGGGAGTTCAGCATTCTGAGATGCCCCTGGCTGGCATCACTCTCAAACCCCAGGGTCTGCTGTCCCCTAAGAAGAGTGGCTCAGTGCTCACAGGGTTTTGTTTGTGTCTTTCAGCTGACATTGGTTTTAGCTTCCTCAGCCATCTGTTGGATCTGTTTTGGTCCAACCCCACTGAATTCGACTACCTCAACCCCAATGTCCAGGACAGCAATGGGAACACGCTGATGCACATCCTCTTCCAGAAGGGCATGCTAAAGCGCGTGAAGAAGCTGTTAGACCTGCTGGTGAAGTTTGACATCAACTTCAATCTGAAGAACAAAGAGGGCAAAGATGCACGGCACCGGATTAAGAAGAACGACTCTCTGCTCTTGGCCTGGAACAAAGCTCTGATGGAGAACAGGAGGAGGAGCCGGCAGGACTCTGCTGCCCACCTGGGGAAGCTCTCAAAGTCCACTGCCCCTGGTCACACATCTCAGCTCAAGTCCCAGGGTTCATTCAAGTCAGTGCCATGTGGTGCCACTGCCAGAACACTGCCTGAAGGAAGTGCAGTCCCTGACAGCTGGGAGACTCTCCCAGGTACCCAGGTGACCAGGAAGGAGCCTGGAGCTCTCAGGCCCTGCTCGCTGAGAGACTGCCTTATGCAGGACATCACAGTTTTGATTCAGCAGGTTGAAGTGGATCCGTCTTTCCCAGAGGACTGTCTTCAGAGCTCTGAGCCTCTGGAGGCAGGAGCTGGCAAAGAAGGAAAGAAAGATGACAAGCCGACTCTGGGTGCAGGGGCCCCTGACTGTAGTGAGGTGGGGGAAGGACATGCTCAGGTGGGCCTTGGGGCCTTGCAGCTTGTGCCTGATGATAACAGGGGGAAGGAGGGCAATGATGATCAGGATGACTGGAGCACGCAGGAGATTGAGGCCTGCCTCCAGGACTTCGATAACATGACCTGGGAGATCGAGTGCACTTCAGAAATGCTGAAGAAGCTGTCTAGTAAGGTAATGACCAAGGTCATCAAGAAGAAAATCATCCTTGCCATTCAGCAGCTGGGAAATGGCGAGTGGACCCAGGGCCTGCAGAAGCGACTGAAGCACCTGAAAGGAAGCATCCAGCTCTTCGAAGCTAAGCTGGACAAAGGAGCCCGGATGCTCTGGGAGCTCGCCATTGACTTCTCCCCTCGATGCAGTGAGAACCCTGAGAAGATCATTGCCACGGAGCAGAACACGTGTGCAATGGAGAAATCAGGGCGGATCTACACGGAAATCATCCGGATTTGGGACATCGTCTTAGATCACTGCAAACTGGCTGATTCCATCAAGGCCATCTGCAATGCCTACAACCGGGGCTTGTCCTGTGTCCTGCGGAAGAAGCTGAAAGGTATCAATAAAGGCCAAGTGTCAGCTAACATGAAAATTCAAAAGCGTATACCTCGCTGCTATGTGGAGGACACAGAGGCCGAGAAGGGCAGGGAGCATGTCAATCCTGAGTACTTTCCCCCAGCCAGTGCAGTGGAGACAGAATATAACATCATGAAGTTCCACAGCTTCAGCACCAACATGGCCTTTAACATCCTCAATGACACGACAGCCACAGTGGAGTACCCCTTCCGGGTGGGTGAGCTTGAGTACGCGGTGATCGACCTCAATCCCAGGCCACTGGAGCCCATCATCCTTATTGGGCGAAGTGGCACTGGGAAGACAACCTGCTGCTTGTACAGATTGTGGAAGAAATTCCACGTTTACTGGGAAAAAGCTGAGCAGGCAGGAAGCCCATTGCTGGCCAAACAGGTCTGGCTGAAGAGAAGGTTGGAAGTGGAACCCGGAAAAGAGAGTCCAGGTGGGGAGGAAGAGGAGGAGGAAGAGGACGAGGAAGAGGAAGATTCTATTGAAGTGGAAACAGTAGAAAGCATAGATGAGCAGGAGTATGAAGCCTGCGCAGGAGGAGCCGGTGTGGAGCCAGCAGGGGACGGCCAAGCTGCAGAAGTATGTGCACCAGAACATCCCCACCAGCTGGAGCATTTACATCAGATCTTTGTGACCAAGAACCATGTGCTGTGCCAGGAGGTACAAAGGAATTTCATTGAGCTTTCCAAGTCCACCAAGGCCACTAGTCATTACAAACCACTGGACCCCAACATTCACAAACTCCAGGACCTGAGGGACGAGAACTTTCCTCTGTTTGTCACTTCCAAGCAGCTGCTTCTTCTGCTTGATGCTTCTCTGCCCAAACCATTTTTTCTGAGAAACGAAGATGGAAGCTTGAAAAGAACCATCATAGGATGGTCTGCACAGGAAGAGTCAACCATTCCTAGTTGGCAAGAGGATGAAGAGGAGGCTGAGGTGGATGGGGACTACAGTGAGGAGGATAAAGCTGTAGAAATGCGTACGGGTGACAGTGACCCCCGGGTGTACGTGACGTTTGAGGTGTTCAAAAATGAAATATGGCCCAAAATGACCAAAGGGAGGACTGCCTACAACCCTGCACTGATTTGGAAAGAAATAAAATCTTTTCTAAAGGGTTCTTTTGAGGCCCTCAGCTGTCCCCATGGGAGACTCACTGAAGAAGTATATAAGAAATTAGGGAGGAAACGGTGCCCCAATTTCAAGGAAGACCGGAGTGAGATCTACAGCCTCTTCAGTCTGTATCAGCAAATCAGGTCCCAGAAAGGTTATTTTGATGAAGAGGATGTTCTGTACAACATATCCCGGAGGCTGTCGAAGCTCAGGGTGCTCCCATGGTCCATCCACGAGCTCTATGGTGATGAGATTCAAGACTTTACCCAGGCCGAGCTGGCGCTGCTGATGAAATGCATCAATGACCCCAACTCTATGTTCCTCACGGGGGACACGGCCCAGAGCATCATGAAGGGCGTGGCCTTCCGCTTCAGCGATCTGCGCTCTCTGTTCCATTATGCCAGCAGAAACACCATAGACAAGCAGTGTGCTGTCCGGAAGCCCAAGAAGATCCACCAGCTGTACCAGAATTACAGGTCCCACTCAGGTAAGTCCAGCTCTTGGGTTTGCCTACTGGGGGTGCTTAGGCACAGACTTTGGGCTGCCTTTGAAGCTGCAGACTAGCTCTTGTTAGGTTTTTACAGCTGAAGTAAGGGTAGTATTTTGGAATTTGTTAGTAAATACGCTCATGGACAAGAGATAGTATGATTTTGGCCACTGCTCCTTAAGTTAATAATTTAAGCTGTGGTTGGGTGGCAACTGACCTTTAAGTAATTATATCTCAAGGAGTTTGCCATAACATGAATACATTTCAGGGGAACATTTAAACTGTTTGAGAACTTTCATTAAAGTACTTGGGAAGTACCTGCTCGTTCTATATAAAGTAATATACCAGTTACAAGTCATTAATCCTTGAAGCAGGTTTTCTCCCAAAGAGAAGGAAAAAAAAAAAAGGGAGGGTGGTAGGCAGTGGGAGTTAACACACACTTGGGTGCTTTTAATTTGTTTCTTAGTTTTTCCCTCTTTCTGTGCCAGGCACAATGCTAAACAGTTTACGTATAGTGCTTAATCTTCATAACACCACTGCGAGGTAAGCATCAGACCCATTTTACAAAGGAGAAACTAAGGTACACAAGTTTAAATAACAGGGTACCAATGCTGGAATATTTCCTTTATGGTTTATAGATACTAACAAATTTATCTCCTTTGGCCGACAAATATCTGTGAACAATATGGAGTATTGCTTTACATGTTTAAAAACTGTAATGGGATCATGCTGGACATATCTTTCTGTAACTGGGTATTTTTGCCTAATGTTATGTTGTTGAGATTTCTTTCTTTCTTTTTTTTTTGTTTTTTTCAGATAGAGTCTTGCTCTGTTGCTCAGGCCGGAGTGCAGTGGCGTGACCTCGGCTCACTGCAACCTCCACCTCCTGGGTTCAAGCAATTCTCCTGCCTCAGCCTCCCAAGTAGCTGGGACTACAGGCGCCTGCCACCATGTCCAGCTAATTTTGTATTTTTAGTAGAGATGGGGTTTCACTATGTTCGTCAGGCTGGTCTTGAACTCCTGACCTGAGGTGATCCACCCACCTCAGGCTCCCAAAGTGCTGGGATTACAGGCGTGAGCCCTCGTGCCCAGCCTGTTGTTGAGAATTTTGCATGTTGATAATGTGGAGTTCTAGTGCATTCATTGAGGTTCACATAGCATAAAAGGCACCCATTTGAAATGTTCAGTTTAGTGTTTTTTAATGTATTCACAAATTGTGTAACTATCACCATCATCTAATTCTAGAACATTTTCAGAAATTAAAAACCCCTCAAAACCCATAATCATAGCAGTTACTACTCATTGTGTCCTTCTTCCCACTCCACGGTGACAACTCATCTTTCTGTTTCTACGGATCTGCCTATTGTGGACATTTCATATGAGTGTAATCATATAATACATGGCCTTTTGTGTCTGGTTTCTTTCACTCAGTTTAATGTCTTTAAGGTTTATCCATGTATAGTATGTATCAGCACTTTATTCCTTTCTATGGTTGAACCATCTTTTGTTTTTTGAGTATGGTTACATCAAAAATTACTTGTCTAGTTCCCTAGAAGGCCATTTAAGTGGATTCTACTGCAACTTTTGTGCCCTTTTCTGATTCTCCTGTTAATGTAGATATATATTTGGCCCCTGCTAACTCCTAATGGGAAGGGAACCACAGTAGAAGCTTATTTGCTTAGATTCAGCAGTTTCCACTTAGGCTTATTGCTTTATATTATATACTTTTAATAACAACAGTATTGGATAGTCACATTTTCCCTTCACTATTTGGTAATAGCAATGGGGATACATATGCCCATTTCATGACGTTCTACCTAGACCATTGTATTCTATCTGGTGTTTGAAAAGGGCACCTGGCTTCTAAGAGTAGTGGAGACACCCAGGAAGGTCTATGTTCAAATCCTATCACTGGGAGATATCTATTAGCTTCTCAGACCTCAGAGTTCCTGTTTGTAAAAGTGCAATTGTCTCATCTGTCTCACTGCATTGTTGTGAGGATTTGTTGTTGTGAGGATTAAATGGGATGACTTTTTTGAAGGTGCCTGCTGTATGATAGGCATTAAGCCAATGTCACTATTAACGTCACTTCAGATATTAGAGAAGAAATGGGACCCAGGAATAAATCTCTTTGGAAAATCCTCTCTCCTGCTCTGACATTTTTTCTTAGTGTAATCCTCTCTCAACTGGGTATAAACCTGGGGGAAAAGGGTGATGGAGGCCTTGGTTGCTGTCCTTAGCTCACATGCAGCACTGTTTTTACCATGGTAATATTGGTTCTGTAAGCACCAATGGGAGAGGACAAGGCAATTCTGGTTTTCTTACCAAAGTCAATACCAGCCCCTTATGAGAGCATTCTAACAGCTCTCATTGTTTTTTTTTTTTTTTTTTTTTTTTAATTGAGATGGAGTCTCGCTCTGTCACCCATGCTGGAGTGTGCTGAGGTGTGATCTTGGCTTACTGCAACCTCCGCTTCCTGGGTTCAAGCGATTCTCCTGCCTCAGCCTCCTGAGGTCTCATTGTTTATATTACATTTTTGCCTTGACTCTTCTTTGTGAGGTAATTTTCTCTAATATGAATATAGGTTGGGAATGAGATCCCACAAAACTCTCTCAGCACAGCAACATATCTCTGCCTTCTCATCCCCTGCACCCAGAGAGCTCAGGGCTGCAGAGGTAATCAAATGGGAACTGAAAACGGGCTTGCAATTATACATACTGTAGGGGCCAAACCTGCTTCTCAGGAAAAACATGTCCCCCACCCCAAATAACCAAAAAACTCAGCCATGTTGTTAATTATCCAACTTGGGTTTTCTGTTTCATTCCAGGAATCCTCAATCTGGCATCTGGAGTGGTGGATTTACTTCAGTTCTATTTCCCAGAATCTTTTGATCGCCTTCCAAGGGATTCTGGCCTCTTTGATGGTCCTAAGCCAACTGTTCTGGAGTCTTGTAGTGTAAGCGACTTGGCAATTTTGCTACGAGGGAATAAAAGGAAAACTCAGCCCATTGAATTTGGAGCCCACCAGGTGAGCTGCTTGGGATTTTATGTTTTGAAATAAAAGACAGTTTGCAATTGAAAAAAGTTTGAGAAGCTAAATTATACCACAAAGTAGCATTAAAAATAGTCCCTGTCCCACAGTGGGTGAGTTCCAGAGATGGCTGAGTGACCAAGTGTTTCAATCTTTCCCCTGGCCTGCCTGACCATGTTTATGCTGGCCATTTCTCTTTAAAAACATTACCTATCTCCCATAGAAATAGACTGAGGCTTACTGGGGTTTTCTCTGTAGAATTTGATGTTCTTTTGTTTTTCTTCAGGTAATCCTTGTGGCCAATGAAACGGCAAAGGAGAAAATTCCAGAAGAGCTGGGGTTAGCACTTGTGCTAACAATTTATGAAGCAAAAGGCTTAGAATTTGATGATGTCCTCCTTTACAACTTTTTTACTGATTCTGAGGTATGTCACACCTAATTCTTTTCACACAATGAATATTTATGTATGAGCTGAACTTCCCTCTGGGGAAGAGAATTTGGAGTTGAGGGTAAGAGAGTTTATCACAGGCTCCTGTTTGTGTTTTAGAGCATCATTCATTCAGTATGAGGTTTTGTGTGTTTAGATGTGGGTTTTGACATTAGCTGTGGGTTGTTTCACAGTGTGTCATGGGCTAGTTCCCCCTGTGCCCTGCCCTTCTTTGGCTCTCTAGTACCCAAGTGCCAGTGTCCAGTTCTCATTAGCCACTGTTATCCTTGGCTCCCAGGGATGCCCAAGTTGGAGCAAGCTCTAAGGAGAGCCTTACAGATGAAGCCAAGGTTAGCAATGTCCACCCTGTGATGACAGAACTGGGTAAGGTCAGTTCATAGATAGAGACAATTCCAGGAAGACAAATGAGGCTTGGTTCCTGCCCTCTGGATCAGGTAATGTGGGGGACAAGAACAGCTTCCTTGCATGAGAGACCCCTCTAGCATGGCTTCACTACCACTGCTTGCAGCTCATGCAGATGATGGCAGCCAAAGAGTCCCCACATTGACCCCCAGTGACCTCTGTATTGGTCCACTGCTTTCACTTGGCTCCTGAGTCCTTGTGGGTTTTTCTCCCCAAGCTTAGTTCATTATGGGTAGAGCTACCAACTCACAGCCGTTGTCCTGGGTTTTCTAGCCACTGTTTTCTCTTTCCCACTATCTTTTGGTGGAGACTCAAGCTGGCTGCTGACTGTACTGTGGGGTCTTCTCTGGGGACTTAGCTGGCTGTGTCCCAGTCCTTGTTGCAGACTTCCTTTGCACATGATGCATGCTTGAAGGGGCTATGTTATACCCAAGTCAAGAGCACTGTTGGCTTTAACACTTTAAAAATCTGCCCCAGAACTGACCCTTTAGATAGAGTCCTTCCTTTTTTTCTTATCATTTTTTAAATGTTATTTTGCCTTAATAGCACAACTATTACAATATTGATATAGGTGCTTTGCAGTTTACAGAGTACTTTTTGAAGTCATTGTCTCACTCCACCAACCCTCTGAGGTTATATGTATTTTTATTACTCTCATTCTATTTTTTAAAATTTATTTTTATTTTTATAGAGATATGGTCTTGCTGTGTTGCCCAGGCTGGTCTCAAACTCCTGGCCTTAAGTAATCTTCCTGCCTTGGCCTCCCGAAGTGCTGAGATTATAAGCATGAGCCACCTTTATCTGTAGATAAAGCAGAAGGTCACTGAGATTAGTACATTTCTCATAGTCGTAATGTAGATGGCAGAGCCTGGAGATGAACTCAGATGCTTTGAGTTCTAAATCTCTTTCCATTTTCCTTCCTTTTAAAGCCTCGCATGCGAATTGAATTCCAGAACCTTCCACAATTAGTGTATCATTGCTGTTCCTTATGTACATTCCTTTCCTGTTAAATTTTGCTAATAAAATCAGATGCACACTCATTAACCCTGGAACCATTTTTACCTCTGAGGACTAACTTTTTTTTCTAATGATACATCCATCGGTCATGGTTGGACTGAGGCTCTCCTAAAAGAGGAAGGGTAAGACTTTGTTGTTTCTGTTCTTTATTAAGTACCAGTTGTATGCTTGTGCGAGTAAGAAGCTCAAGGAGCTCTGGACTTAAGGATCTGTAAATTGTGGTTGGCTCTATTTGTGAAAGAAAAATCCAGTTATGTGTCTTACCTTGATCCTGGAAGTGGCCAAGGCTCAGGTATCTTGACCCGGTGCTCCCACCAATGGCTCAGGGAGTTGCCTGAAACTAAAACAATCCCAAACAGAATCTTTTGTAAACATCCACTTCATCCTGTGTACACAGTAAGACTTTGGAAAATACTTTGGTTGGGGTTCTTCCCAGTGTTAATGTGACCATGCATTCCCTGGCCCAAAGCACACTCTCAGTTTATCATTTACAACCTCCAGGCCAAAGGGAGTCAGTCAGCAGATGAGAGGAAACGCTTTCATAAAAGGAGAGGAAAGACAGGTCCCATATATCCCCAGCCTCCTGTGGTCTGGCTGCTTACATGGGGTTTCTTTCAAGGTAACTGAAGGCTGCTGAACAGTGATTGCTATTTGAACTTGGGGAACTGTGGAGAGCTCCTCTCTCTCCTTGACCTCTTCTTCCATCTCATTTATATTTCAGGCAAGCTCTGTCTTTGAAGCAGCTGTTATCTGGGCTTATATGTGGGTGGGTTGAGGGGTATGGGGCTTGTTGGCCTGGTTTGTGATTCTTCTCTCTGGAGGGTTTATTGTTACCTGTTGAACCACATGGTCACCAGAGCCATCTCTTGAGATGTGAAAGGGACCACAGAATGGCTACCCCAAAGCTTTTTGTAGGATGTTGCCTTCTTTTTGGGGGAGAGGAAGTCATTCTTCCAGTCACCCTCAAGCTATCCTTCTGTGGGGACTTAGAAGGGTAACTGCCATTTATACCTTGCCCCAGTGGGACCTCCTTTCTTTCATACTCATGGCGGTGGGACAGAAGGGACTGTGAAAACTACAACCTTTATGGGTTGTCTAATTGACCTAGAGAATAGGCCCCTCAAAGGTAGGATTGCTAGTAAAATCTAAGCCTTTTCCTTCACAATTGATAGTACCAAGAAAAGAAACTGGAAGACTTTAAATTTTCCTGCTTTTATTCCCCCAAGTGCTGTAGGCCTGTATCCTTGCTACAAGTACATAAGCGCACTCCTAAAAGGCCCCACCTTGGAAATAAAATATGTTTGATTCATGAAACAGGCCATTCATGTGCCATCTGAGCAGCTTTTGCTTCTCTTACAGCTGTTTTAAAATACCCTGTTCTTCCTTAGCCCTTTCAATATTAGCCAGTCCGTATCTCATGCTACCTGCCAGGAGGATCCTCTCAAATGTCAAACACTTGTGTCTTCTGCCTACTTTCCTTGGTAAACAATTTTGTTGTCTGCATAGCTTCACAAAAAGGACAGTCACAAATATGTCCTGAAGATTGTTTTAAACCTTCCAACTACCTAAGTGATTTCATGATTTCAAAACATGGTGATTAGTACTATAATTGATTAGTAGCATAACCATTCCTATTTAATAGACAGTGTTTAAGGCATTTAACCTTGTTTACATAGTTCAAGTGATGGAGTAACTTAAGGCAGGTAGTAAACTCTATCCACTTCACCTTTTCAGCATGCTTTAAAAGTTACATAGATGGCAAGTAGCACCATTTTATAAAAAGAAAAGTAAAGGCTAGGAGAGCTACTCTCACAAGACACAGGAAAGTATGAAATATGAAGTTTCTTAAGAATTTTGAATTCTAAATTCTGCATGTAATCTGGGCACTTCAGTTTTACTGGGGTCTGTAAACTACAGCCTGTTGGCCAAATCCAGACTACCGGAGTTTTTTTATGGCATGTGGGCCAAGAAGGATTTTCACATTTTTAAATGGCCAGAAAAAAAACCCAAAGGAGAATAATATTTTATGGTATATAAAAATTATATTAAATTTGATTCAGTGTTCCCAAATAAAGTTTTGTTGGAACATGACACACTCATTCATTTACTTGTTGACTGTGGCTGGTTTAGCACCAAAATGACAGAATTGAGTAGTTGCAAAGAGAGATCATGTGACCCGCAATGATAACAATATTTATTATTTGACATTTTAAAGAAAAAATTTAGCAACCCCTGGTGTTTGTAGTCACTTTGGTTTTGGCTTTTGGGTAAAGGAAAAAAATGGGTAAAATGTCAACTATTAAACATTGTACTAGACATTTGACACTGATTATCTGTTTTTATTTTCCCAACAAAGTTGAGTATTATTATTCTCATTTTATAGAGCAGGAGAATAAACAATGTGTTCGAGGTTGCATAATTAATAAATGGAAGAACTGAGATACAAATTTGTTCTGTCTGACCTCAGAGTCTACCTTGCACACCATAGCACTGGATTTTCTTCATCCTCGGTTAAATAATTTAGTTAGAAAATTCTGCCACATGTATCTTAACGGCTGACCCTATGTGCATCTCTTAACCATGTTTTGAGAAGGGGTGGGGATTCCCCTGTCCATACTGATTGTAGAAATTCTTTCAATGAGAATAACTCCCTGAGCCCTTAGCATTCTTCCCTGGAAGTGGTCATGTGTGCCTGGCTTCTTAGCTTCTTGGTGTAGTGTGTGGGGAATTTTCACAACTTCCCTGATCTCTGCTTGTGCAAGTTAATCTCCCTCCTATCCATTCTAAGATCACAGGATGGATCTTTCTCAAAGTTGGGGTTGAAGGCCTGGTCCCCCGATGAGGCTTAGTTTTCCATGAAGCTCAGGGAGGCTGTATGCGTAGTTCAAAAGCATATTCTGTTGGTCTTCACTTTTTTGTTGTTGTTCAGGCTTATAAGGAATGGAAGATCATTTCCTCATTCACACCTACCTCAACTGACTCCAGAGAGGAAAACCGGCCATTGGTTGAAGTACCCCTGGACAAACCAGGCTCTTCTCAGGGTCGATCTCTCATGGTGAATCCAGAAATGTACAAGGTGAATTTCTGCCATTTGTCAACACATGTACTTGACATGGAAGTAGTGAAAAAGGCTTGGAAGAGAAGATGAGAGGAAAAATGGAGCTTGCACTTGGCTGGTTTTCCTCAGCAACGGGGAATTGAGGATAAGAAAGGAAGGGGCAGGGATCTCAGTTTTGGTAAATTCCATTTTTTTTAGTAGAGAACTGGGCTTGATGGGTGGATACTGTCTGAAAACGGAAGGAGAAGGGTTGTCCTTTCTAGTTCACCTCTGGAACTCAGCTTTGTTCAGAAATTTTGATGCAATCATAAGGTAGGTTTGGAGTAATTCAGTACTAGTGATAGTTATAGTAAAAGTGTATGACTGGTTTAATTTTTAAAAATAAATCACAGCAATTGTGTAAGATGTAATCTTTGGGATAAACTGAGTACACGGGGTCTGTCTGTACTCTTCCAGTGAATCTTCCACTGTAACTTTCAGTGAGTCTATAATTACTTCAGAATTAACTCTTAAAATAATTATAGCAAAAACAGGAAAAAAAATTATGGCTGATTCAAAGGTCATCCTATACAGATGGCATGCTCACTTCCTGCTTAGGTGGGAAAGAGGTGGAGTTTCTCATAGCCTCACTGGAGCCTCACTTACCTGTGCTGTGGCCACAGTGAGCTCCTGGTATCCTGTTCTCAGCTGTGCTATGCTTCTCTAAAATTTAGTTTTTGTGTTTTTCCAAAATTAGAGTAAGCCCATTGAAGTGTGTCACTTTGTAGCTATAGACAAATGGCTCATCATCTTTGTCCTCAATGTTATCTTTAGCTCCTCAACGGAGAGCTGAAGCAGCTGTACACCGCCATCACACGGGCTCGGGTCAACCTCTGGATCTTTGATGAAAACCGAGAGAAACGGGCTCCCGCATTCAAATATTTCATTAGAAGAGATTTTGTCCAAGTTGTAAAGACAGATGAAAATAAAGGTAAGATCCTGTTAAAATACTCTTAACTGATGGAGGAATCGTGTTTCTCTCAACTGTTCTTATGGTCAGGAATAAAAGGTGTGGTATTTTGAAAGTGCTTTCTTTCTTTTCCACAATCTTCTGAGAAATGGAAGTTGTTACACATTTGCCAAGGTGCATGGGAAAGTGTAGCTGTAGTGGGATTGGGAAGGTTAACTCCTTCAGGGAAGATCTTTTATTTGTCCTTTAAAAGTGGGGATTATGGACAGGGCTAGAGGAAATAGGCCCTTTTGGGAGAATACAAAGTGCTATGAGTGTTTGTACAGCTGATTAACAGTATCTATCAAAATAAAGATGGTACATACTTTGACCCAACAGTTCCACTTGTAGGGATATATCTGAGATATTTGTGTTCAAAATCTCAAAGATACCTGCGTAAGTATGCTCATCACAACCCTGTTTGTAGTTACAAGAAACTAAAAACAATCTAAGTGTCCACCAATGAGGGAAAGGCTAAATTCATTTCTTTCAGGGGACTACTATGCAACCATTAAAGAGAAAAAGGATGTGGATTGTCATTTACTGCTAAGGAAAGATGTTCAAGATGTATTGGGTGAAAGATAAATTTAAAACAGTATGGGTAGAATGATATAATTTATAAGTAACTTTATATTATGCAAATATAAAAACTTTATGCATATCAGTATATATCAGAATAGAATGTTTATGCATGCGTATGTATGTATGTGTATATATACAAATACCTACTGAAGTGTCTTTAACCATCAAACCCAATTCATTTCCTGAGTTTGTTTAACAAGAACTGGGTTTGTGAGGGTTCAGCTACTGAGTTAACAGGTTGTCTGAATCTGTTTGGTTTCCGAGTTTCACAAAACAAGGAAACTAAGAGTTCAGACAGTAAGAACTCTTAGTTCAGATAGTAAGAACCGATAGTTCAGATAGTAAGGAATTAATCAGAAAACTTATCTGTATTCAGTTCCTGATTATGGGTAACAAGGGTTTAAATAGCAAGAGTTTGGAGAGATAGCATGCATATAAATTCATGTATACACCTATTATTTCTGTTGCAAAACTGTTTATAGTGATTACCTCTCATGCTAGGATTGGTGGGTATGGGGTTGTCGAGTAGATATGGACACTTTTTACTTTTCACCTTCTTACCTCTGTGCTATTTGCAGGGTTTTTTTTTAATTGTGTATTTTTTTTTCATAATTTGCAAAGGCTACCTAACGAAGTGAAGTTCTCCTGATACGATAACTGAGAAGAGAAATAATCAGCCCTTCATGAAGGAGAAAATTGTTGTCTTTCTTGAGGGTTAGTTGTCAAGTCGTCTCCTCAAGGCTATTGTTCATTTCTATAAGGGTAGAGCAAGGAGCAGAGTTTGGCTGCTGGAGAGAGGTTTGTCCTGAGCATTCCTCAGCCAGTTTGGAGGCTATTTCTGGTTATTACTGATGGCTCGGTTGGCGACTAGGATTAGATTTCTTATCCTAAGACTTGACTATTGTGATGGGAAAAGTCAAAGGCTAGGAGTTAAAAAAACAAAACATAGCTTCTCATAAAAACTTTCTACCTGTGTAATGACATGACCTTGTTCAGGTCCCACCTTCTCTCCCAAAGGAAAATGAGTGGATTGGCCTAGCATGGGCATTCTCAATCTTTCCTTCAGCTCATCCCCCTTTATTCCCCAAGTATGTTCTGGCATCCACTATAAGAGATCATATGGCTGGGCGTGGTGGCTCATGCCTGTAATCCCAGCACTTTGAGGGGCCAAGGTGGGCGGATCACCTGACGTCAGGAGTTCAAGACCAGCCTGACCAACATGGTGAAACCCCATCTCTACTAAAAATACAAAAATTAGCCCGGTGTGGTGGTGCATGCCTGTAGTCCCAGCTACTCAGGAGACTGAGGCAGGAGAATTGCTTGAACCTGGGAGGTGGAGGTTGCAGTAACCCAAGATTGTGCCACTGCACTCCAGCCTGGGTGATAGAGCAAGACTCCATCTTAAAACAAAAAACAAAAAACAAAAAACAAACTAAAAAACCAAAGATCATAGAAGCTAAGTGACTTTTTTAAATTTAAAAATTCAAAATGAAAACAGATCACAATTTATTTTATGTTTTGGCAGCATTAAGAATGCAAGAAAAAGTGCAGTCTTAATTACAAATTTTAAGTTGTACATAGTAAAGTCTTCTAAAGCATCTGTTCCCATTGTGTTTGGATTCAGTATGGTGATTATGTAATTTGTGTTTCTTTTACATGGCATCTGCAGAGTTCACTGGCCCTATTTTGAGATAATATGGATGGGGTTTTGCCGTGGGAATTAAATGTCACAGGGGCACTCATAGCAGCACATACGGAGTCAGAACAAGATGCTAAGTCATCACTGTACTGCTACACAGCACCAGCAGAGGGCGAGCAGGGAGGGATCAGGTTGTGATGCTTAACGTGTTTTTGCACCTTCTAAACAAATCTGACCTGTCTGCCTCACTCCCCTGTTGATATCCATTGGCCTAGGTGTCTCTGATTCCTTCAGCTCTGATTTGTCTGCCAGTATTACCCTGGTATTCACTGTATTTTGTGTGTTTCATGAATCTGTGGCTCAGAACTTGCAGGGATTGTCACCCATTGTCTAGTGATACTCTGGGGGATGCAGGTGGCAGGGTGGGGGTGGGGTGCAGTGCTGAAATAGTCACCAGCAGGCTAGTGAGGATAACAGAAGGGATGGACAGCAGGTGGTGACAATGGTCTCTGTCCACCAATAGGAATGTGTCAGATTACTTATTGTGATGAGGGCAAAGTTTGCACATTTGGAAATAGTGTAAAATTTGTCACCTTTTTTTTCTTGCTGAAGCCCTGGCCTGGGAGCTTGCTAAGAGCCACTTGACTTTGGGTTTTCAAGGAGGAATTTTTAATTTCTGTCTTCTGATTTGTAGCCATAGAATAGGAAAGTAGACCAAAACTTAAAAACCAAACCACATCCTTTCTCCCCTCTACCTCCTCCTTTCAATAACCTCACAAATGTGGTTTGGTAAGTTAAAATATATCTTACATGAATACTAGAAAGACAACACAGGTCAGTCTGCTCTGACTGCCATAACAGAATACTACAGACTAGATGGCCTAAACAACAGAGATGTATTTTCTCACAGTTCTGAAGGCTAGAAGTCCAAGATCAAGGTGTTGGCAGGGTTGGTTTCTTCTGAGGCCTCTCTCCTTGGTTTGCAGCCAGCCACTCTGTGTCCTCACGTGGTCTTTCCTCTGTGCTCTCTTGCCCCTGGGGTCGCCCCGTGTTCTAATTTCTTCTAAGGACACCAGTGAGATTGGATGAGGGGCCATCCTAATGGCCTCATTTTAACCTAGTCACCTCTGTAAAGGCCCTATCTCTCTCCAAATGCAGCCACATTCTGAGGTACCGGGAGTTAGGACTTTAACAAGTGAATTTGATGGCTGGCGGAGGAGATGCAACTCAGCCCATAACAACAGTTTTAAGTGAAAGAAAGCCCAGAGAAGCAAACACACTTTTCTTTCTCATTTTAGACTTTGATGATAGCATGTTCGTTAAGACCTCAACTCCTGCGGAGTGGATTGCACAGGGAGATTACTACGCCAAGCACCAGTGCTGGAAGGTAAGGGGTTGGACTAGGAGGGGTCCTTGTCACTGGTGCCCTCGTCAGACCTCACAGGCAGGTTTCACATCATGGTGTTTGTCACCAGGAAAGGATGAGCGTAATGGTGCTTGTGCCACGTGTTCTGAAACATCAGGTCACCTCAAGATGAGGAGAGCTTCCTGTCCTGCTCCTTTTCTGGTCAGTGCAGGCATGACAACTCTTCATTTTGGCCAAGTGCCAGCATGTGCTGATAGATCATGAAGGGCTATGGCCTTTGCCCCACCAAGGAATCCTTGTATATATTTTCTTTCCCTCCTGTACTCTATGCCTAAAAGCTTTGCTATCATCATACTGCATTTTAAAGCAGTAAAAGATCTTTCATTTGATCTTTCATTTGATTTTTTTCAAATTGATCAAACAGATTTCATTGCCAATCTGAGTCTGGTGAAGATAGGTTAAGGCTTTTTATTACACTGCACTGACCAATTTCCAGTTACAAGCCGTGTTAGTGGTCCTGAGCAGTTTTCTTCCAGGAAGTGTTATCTCTGTAGCAGACCTCTTTACATTTTGAAACCAGGTTAAAGAGCCATGTTGCTTTTCCCAAAGTCAGCATTCCTGCACATCACAGGGTTTTGGGTGGGGCACCATGGCTGGGATGTGTGTCTCCCTTGAAATAGTGGTGATGACTTCACCTGCAAGTTTTAAACACCCTACTAAAAGAGTGCTTTTTTTTTTTTGCTTTAATCTAATAACAACAAGTCAGGTCTTAGGGTTGGTTCTGCAGTTCAACAAAGTCAACATGGGCCCAGTCTCATTCCATCTCTTCCCTGTGTCATCTGCAGCTTGTCTGAGATGTTCCCTTTCATTGGTTGCCTAATGGCTCCTGTGGCAGTTCCAAGTGCTCCGTTCCCTCAGCAGAATTCCAAGCAGGAATGAAGTGCAGGCACTTTCTTCTCATTGATCTCTCTATTTTTTTTATCATGAAGTCCTCAGTGGTCTTCCTTCTATATCTCATTGGTCAGTACTAGGTCACATACACCTTCCTAGCTGCAAGAGAGTCTGGGAGAGCAATCCCATCTGGCAGTTTTAACCTTTTGTGGGTGGTAAGTTCTGCCAAAAGGCAAGAAAGAGAGGAGGAACTGCTGTGGGTAACTAACAGCAGTGTCTGACACCACAGGCATGACCATACCAAATGCTCATTTCCCTAAGATTTCTCTACCCCAGGCACCTGGAGTTCCGCATGCATGCAGCTGCAGATGATGTTTTCTGAAACAACAACTGGATCTGGGTTTTGGAAAGATCACCATCTTTCTTTCTACACCTCAGTGTTCATGTTAGGAGGCTCCAGCTCCTCAAATGTTACAGGAAAAGTATCTGCACTTTCTCTTGCCGCTTTGGAACAAATGTTTTGCAACAGTGTTTTCTATGGAGGGCTTGTCCTGCTTCTCTAATGATCCTTCTTCTCATTGGAATTTCATGGAGTTGGGCCTGAGTAAAGGTTCTGGGAAGTGATGAGGACAATGAAATCACAAGTTCAGGACTTAACAGAAGCCACAGTGTGAGGTATCTGTGATCTGACATGCCTGGAGAAGGAATTTCCAATGTTTTCTCAGCTCCAGTTCTTCGAAGAGTTTTGTCTATTGTTTCAGGGAAATTGCTTTAAGTCTGTAGCATATAACTTACATCTGGGATTTATCAGTTACTTCTTGCTGCATAACAATCCTGAAACATAGTGGCTTAACACAAGTCATTTATGTGGCTCACAGTTCTAAGGATTGGCAGTGCTGAGTTCATCTGAGTGGTTCTGTGCTCAGCTGAGCACCTCATGTGTCTGCAGTCAGCTGGGCATGTCTGCTTCTGGGGGTTGGCTGGCTCTTGGCTCAGGGGACCGGGGGGACAGGGGTGACTGGGGTTCCTGGATCACATTTCTTTCCTCCTCCAGCAGGCTAGTCTGGGTTTGTTCACGTGATGCCTGAGCAGGGTTCAAAGAACGTGAACAGAAGCACACAAGGCCCCTTGAGGCCTGGCCTTGGAACTGGCCCAGTGCCGCTTCTGCTGAATTCTGTTGCCAAAGCAAGTCTCAGCCTAGATTGGACGGGAGGGTAAATAGGCAGGACTCTTGATGGGAGAAGCTGGAAAGTTACACTGTAAGGGGGTGTGGACAGATACAGGGAGGAGTTAAGAACTGTGGCCACCCTGGCAATGTATTATATGGGGTGAAAAGTACAATTTATGCTATTGTAGGTTTGGGTAGGTCTGGAAAGTATTTTCCTAAGTATGTAGTATTTAGCTGCAGAAGTTGACCAAGCCTCACAATTTTCTTCACTGCCCATCCTTGTTAGAATTGGAAAGAAACACTGAATGTTTGGCCGTTGTTATGAAACCAAGAATTTTTTTTTTTTTTTTGGTGGGGCAGGGGTTAGGTGTTAGGGAGGGAAGGGAGGGATAATATGGGCAGCAGGTATGGGTCTGAAATTGGAAAACTATATAAAATCTTACCCTTTATTCCCTTCAGAACACTGTTGCTGTTACCCATATGTGTTGCCCATGGATATCCAATTATTTATCGCTTTAAAAATACCTTTTGAATATTTGAATCTAAAATCTTTTTAGGGGAACTGGCACAGATGAGAATGTTATAAAAAGCCTTCTCTTCACCTGACTTTATTTTGACCCTGCTAAAGGACTTCAGGACTCAGGTGGTTTATTGAGTTTTTGGCTGCATGTCAATAAATGTTTCAGAACCACCACAGAAGATTCATTCATTCAACAAAAAGGGTTTTTAGAATGCCCCTTTTCTTTCTCTATGTTCCTAGTCTTCAGCAGCTATGGGCCAAGCATTATATTTAGATCCCAGGAATCTGATGGTAAGCAAAACAGGCATATAGACCAATGCACAGCTGCAGCTGTTGCAGGTGTCACAGATGAGAGACCAGCTGCTCCCAGAACCAACTGTCCTGGAAATAGAGGCGTGGGAACCCTTCTTTGAGGAACATAGCCTTGAACTGAAACCTGTAGAATGAATGAAGTTAACAAGACAGGGAAAGGACCGAAGAGCATTTCAGTTAGAAGGAACAGTGTGTGCAAAGGCCCTGCAATGGGAAGGAAATGGCACAGGTCACGGGAATGAAAGGAGACCCACACAGATAGCATGAAGGGGAGAGTGATCATCCTGTCCACCTTATCAGCATGTGCCACTTAGTCCCTCCCTTGCCCACACTGAGACCTAATGTGTACATGCTGGGCAGAATGTGAACTTCCTGCCCATGTATTGTGTGCTTTGAGACATAGCATCAGCACCCCTGTTTTAGAAAAGCAGCTTTCTGCTGGCAAAGATCAGAGTGAAGCCTGACTCCTCTGTGACATTTGTTTGCCTACCTTATAGTCAGAGGATTTGGTAACAGATCTGCATGCCCCAGGGATCTGGATGTGTTGTGATACCATCTTTATCCCCATTTCTACCTCCAGTACGTGTACTCCAGCTGTTCTGCCAACACTGCAAAGTAGCTGTTGTACTCACCAACTGGGTCAAAGCCCAGAAGAGCCACTGGGTAACTTTGGGCCAGTTGCTCCATGGCTCTGACCTGAAGTAGCAACTATATACAATGAGAAGGATGATACTTATTGCTGTGGCTGTTGGAAGATTAAATAAGGGTGTTACTATGGTAGCTTGAAAAAATACATATTCTGTACCTTTTCGACGGGTGCTTCCAAAAGATACCACTGAATGTGAATACTGTTGGGTTTTATCCTCCAAGACTACTTTCTTTAGAATATCTGCACCTTCCTGCTCCTCCTTCTCAGATTGGGCTGGAGCAAGACTTCATGTTTTGTCAGTACAAACTTATAATGCATGCTTTAACCGTTGTTCTGTCTGTTACCTCCATTACCTTGCTGGGAATAAAACTTTTTGCCTATTCCAGGTTGCAGCCAAGTGTTACCAGAAAGGAGGTGCATTTGAGAAGGAGAAGTTGGCCCTGGCCCATGACACTGCCCTGAGCATGAAATCCAAGAAAGTCAGCCCCAAGTAAGAGTCTTGGGATCACTTCTGGTTTGCTCCGATGGGAGTAGCAGGTTAAATATTGGTGTAGGGTCAATGTTCCGTGGAAATATTATTTTGTTTTCCTTCCCCTAGGGAAAAGCAGTTGGAATATTTGGAATTGGCTAAGACCTATTTGGAGTGCAAAGAGCCAACACTGTCCCTTAAGTGTCTGAGCTATGCCAAGGAGTTCCAGCTCTCTGCCCAGCTGTGCGAGAGGCTGGGAAAGGTATGGCTCCTAGTCCGCTGCTGCTCCAGGGAAAACTGGGCTTCACTTGAGCAGATTGAGGGGTAGGCTCGACCTCTACTCATAGCAGGAAGAGGCTGCAGTCTTCCAAGGAGGGAGACACTGGCCCTGCGACTCTAAGGGAAGCCTACTTTCACTACTTGGGCAAACTTTGAGGAGGCTCTGAAGACAGTATGCATGTGCGTGTGTGTGTGTGTGTTTGTGTGTTAATGTCTGTGTTAATATTCAGGGCCTAATATTAACCACAGGGAAGCCAAATGCTCAAGCCAAAGGGCAGAAGGGTTTTAGAATACCCCTTTTCTTTCTCTGTGTTCCTAGTCTTCAGTCACCTTGGCTGAGTGGCCTGGCATTTAGATGGAGGTTCCTCGGCTGTGTTCCTAGTAATCACTCTAGATCTGCACTATCCAATTCAGCAGTCACATGTAGCTATTTAATTTACAATTTAAATTAATTAAAATATAATAATATTAAAAATTCACATCCTCAGTCTTACTAGCCACAATGGCAAGTGCTCATTGTTAACAGAACATTTCCATCATTGCAGAAAGCTCTGTTGGACAGAGCTGCTAGTCTGGAACACAGCTACTCACAGAGTGGTCAGCAGGCTACAAACTATTATTTGTCTGCAGCAAGATTAACACAGAAGATAAAAGTAAGCAGAATTTTTTTATTGCCATTTGGCATTGCTTTGACATCCAAGTGGTGATAATCTTCCCATCAATTCATTTTTTAACATATCAACTGTGATGGATCGGAAATTTAAAATGATTTGGTCCCTTACCACAGGTAGTTGGAGAAACTGTGCTTAAGGAGCTGTGGGCCATTGCATTTTCCCCTATCAGGTGTCAATATCCTTCAGTAGGAAAGGGGGTTTTCTTGTCTGTATGTGAAATATGGTGACTCATGGGATCCTCAGAGCACCCTGGGCATTGAGAGGGGTAGGAGTGGGACCTACTGGGAAGTTTGAAGTGTGGCCCCAAGTCAATGCGAAGAAGAGGATAAGGCCCTCCAGATGCTGCCTACCCTGTTCCATGTTTATTATGGGATGTGACTTCTTAAGATGTGGGAGAAGGGAATGGAACAGGGATACAACGCTGCTCTCTAGAGGCAAGAAGCAGGCAAGGCACAGGAATCCCTGAAAGGAAAGCTTTCACTCTTGTGGCACCTGCATAAACATTTCTTTCCGTGGATAGAATGCATTTGGGAACTGGGAAAAGGCAGGTGATGGATCCTGAGGATCCAGAAGAAGGCTGCTGCCAAGTTGGTTGATTTGAACCTTGCTAGTCAGTTTGGGTGAGATGACCACAAGAAATGGTAAATGAGTAAGAGAAAGTGGCAGGGCCAGATCAGTAGGGCCTTGGTGACTGTGGCAAGGACTGGGCTTTGTTCAAGCATGATGGGAAGCCAGTGGAAGACTTTGATGGGAAGACTGACATGAAGCTAATTATCTGGATGCTCTGTGAAGAGGTCTATAGGGCAGCAAGAGCTGAAGCAGAAAGGCCAGTTAGAGTCTAGCATCAGCTTAGGCTGAAATGATAGGGCCTGGACTACCATGGTGGTGGTGGAAGTGGTGGGATGGTGGCATATCTGGGAAATGTTAGGGAAACCGAGCAGACAGGATTAGCTGGTGAACTGGATGGGAGCTGTGATAGGAAGAAGAGTCTCGTAGACTCTTCTGTTCATGGCAAGCCCACCATTGGTGGGTATGGGGCCCAATCATTGCATGTTATTTTGTTTATCCTCTTCTTCACAACCAGTTTCCATTCTCATTCTTTTCTCATTGGTAGTCATTCTAATACATTTTTATATGTGCTCAAATGCATGCATTATTGAAAAATGAATAGTGGTGTCTTCTATACATATATATATACTTTAGGCTTATCTAGAAGACATCTTTCTCTGTGTTTTACCTTTTCCGTCCCTTGCTATATAGTGTTAGGTCTGGCCATGCTTCTGACAGCCATGTATTCCTGAGTGGGCATTGACTGCATTGATGAATTCATTTCCCTGTGAGGCACTTCCAGGTTGCCACTGGCTCCTGGCTCCCACACATAGCACCTTGGCACAGTATGTCTTTTTAGGGTTCTGTGAGATACTTCTTCAAGATGTATTGCCAGGAGCAGGCTTGCTGGCCTAGGGTATGCACATGCTTCACTTCACTAAGTACAGTCCCTTCGCTTTCTGGGATAGCCATTCCACTTTGTGCATGAGGGTTCTGCATTCCCCACATTCTTGACCACAGTCAGCAGATTGTGATTTTCTAATTTTTCAAACCTGGTGGATGTATTTCACTGTGGCTTTAATTTGTATTCTTCTGATTGTCAGTAAAGTTGAGCATTTTTATTTATTTGTTAGTCATTCAAGTTTACCCCACTGTAAACTGCCAGCTTATATCCTTTGCCTAGCTTTCTGTTGTGTCTCGAGGAAAGTCTTTTTCTTGTGGTTGCAAGAGTTCTTTTTGTCTAGACAGGCCCAGTCTAGTACAGTAGCCATTAGCCATGTGTGACTCTTTAACTTTAAAATAATTAAAATTAAATTAATTTAAAAGTTCAGTTCCTTGGTTGCATTACCCACATTTTAAAGGCCCAACATTCAGATGTGACTAGTGGTGAGATTGGATAGCAAAGAAACAATACATTTTCGTCTTCACAGAAACTTCTATTGGACAGTACTGATCTAGGTGTTATTTTTTTAAAAGTTAGCTTATTTCATGTGTCTTTTGTTGAGCAGTTTTGATGTATCAGTTTGATCCATCAGTTTTTCTCCTGAAATTTGTGTTTTGGGTTTTGTTGATTATGTTATTTTTGGAAGTTACGTGAAGACTCCTTCCACTTGAGTGTGACCTCAAGGTCACAAAGATATTCTCACATATTTTCCCACAGTAGTTTCCACATTTAGATCTTTAATCTACCTGGGGCTTACCTCTGTGTGTGCTGTGAGGTTGGGATTTAACTTTATTTTTCTCCCCTTAAATAATTGGTTTTCCTAACATTATCTATGTTACAGGGTTTTTTTTTTTTTTTTTTTTTTTTTTTGAGACGGAGTCTCGCTCTGTCGCCCAGGCTGGAGTGCAGTGGCGGGATCTCGGCTCACTGCAAGCTCCGCCTCCCGGGTTCACGCCATTCTCCTGCCTCAGCCTCCCAAGTAGCTGGGACTACAGGCGCCCGCCACTACGCCCGGCTAATTTTTTGTATTTTTAGTAGAGACGGGGTTTCACCGTTTTAGCCGGGATGGTCTCAATCTCCTGACCTCGTGATCCGCCCGCCTCGGCCTCCCAAAGTGCTGGGATTACAGGCGTGAGCCACCACGCCCGGCCTAGGGTTTTTAACTGGATTCTAACAGAAAGCAGACATATGACTATCCTCTTTATTACTTGTGGTATTGGTTTAAGATTAGAAAGTTAATCATGAGTACTCTAAATAAAAGTAAAATTTACTCCATCCTAGATAAGAGATGCTGCCTATTTCTATAAGCGAAGCCAGTGCTACAAAGACGCTTTCAGATGCTTTGAGCAGATTCAGGAATTTGATCTAGCACTCAAAATGTACTGCCAAGAGGAGCTTTTTGAAGAAGCTGCTATTGCAGTGGAAAAGTAGGTGGTTTTATTCTCTCCCTTTCTCCCTCTCTTCCTCCCACTTCTCTCTGGGGGCAGCCTGCTCTGGGTGGTGCTATCCTGCTGCTTCTGACATGGTTTGACCACATTGCTCCCTTTCCACTTAAGCGATGGCCTCAGTGCTGGGTCAGCAGCTCTTTGAGAGCAGGACTCTATTTTCCAGTCTCTTTATAAGCTTTGATGCAGTGTCACAAAGAGAGGGGGCTGAGGGGGATGGGAGTATGTTATGAGTGTGTATATAATGACGTATTCTGACTTCCATCAGCAGAATAAAGGGGAGTCCTTCAGAGCCTCATTAATCTCACAGGAACCCAACTAATGCACACCTGCTAAAAGAGAAGAATCACAAGTTGGGTAATAAGGGGAAGACTGGTGTAATTGCTGATGCATGTGCAGCCCCCATTTCATCCTTTCTCATTTTATCAAACTGAACAGAGTTGTAGACCCAGATGATTATGATGCTTTTATGAGAACCAAAGAGATGTTTTTCAAGGATAATTTAGACTATGCATAACATTTGCCCTATAGATTGACTTTTGGATTTCACTCCCACTTGTTTGAGTTACACCTCCACTATATTTCATTAATTAAGCACACCAATTCCTGATTGAAGCATAAGGAATTTATTCATTATTATTATACTGGTAACAGTGTAAAATAAGGCCTTTGTAAAAATACTTGAATGCTTGACAAGTTTAGGTTTTATTTTGTAATATCTACATGTGGGAGTTTTATTTAAGTTGCTCTGCACTGTATTTTGGAGGAAATTTTCTATTGATTGGGTGATGGCAAGTTGACATTTGTGTCCTTTGTCTTTGCAGGTATGAAGAAATGCTAAAGACTAAGACCCTTCCCATTTCCAAGCTCTCCTATTCTGCCAGTCAGTTTTACTTGGAAGCTGCAGCAAAGTATCTGAGTGCAAATAAGATGAAGGAAATGATGGCTGTCCTCTCAAAGCTAGACATAGAAGACCAGCTGGTGTTCTTGAAGTCTCGGAAACGCTTAGCAGAAGCTGCAGACCTGCTGAACAGGGAAGGTAGGAGAGAAGAGGCTGCCCTGCTGATGAAGCAACATGGCTGCCTCCTGGAGGCTGCCAGGCTCACTGCCGACAAGGACTTCCAGGCCTCATGTCTGCTGGGGGCCGCCCGCCTCAATGTGGCCAGGGATTCCGACATAGAACACACCAAGGACATTCTGAGAGAAGCACTTGATATCTGCTATCAAACTGGCCAGTTGTCTGGCATTGCGGAGGCCCACTTCCTGCAAGGGGTAATCCTGAGAGACTTTCAGAAGCTCAGGGATGCCTTCTTCAAGTTTGACACGCTCAACCACTCAGCTGGAGTGGTGGAAGCACTCTACGAAGCAGCCAGCCAGTGTGAGGCCGAGCCTGAGAAGATTCTGGGCCTGGCTCCAGGGGGCTTGGAAATCCTCCTCAGTCTGGTCAGGGCTCTCAAAAGAGTGACCAACAATGCTGAGAAGGAAATGGTCAAATCTTGCTTTGAGTTTTTTGGGATTTCCCAGGTGGATGCCAAGTATTGCCAGATAGCTCAGAATGACCCTGGGCCCATATTAAGAATAATTTTTGACCTGGATTTGAACTTGAGAGAGAAAAAAACAAAAGATCATTTTTTGATAATGACTGACCAAGTGAAATTAGCCCTAAACAAACACCTTTTGGGCAGGCTGTGTCAGATCACACGGAGCCTGCTTGGGAAGACCTACCGAGGAGTCTGCATGAGGTTTATTGTAGGCTTAAAATGTGAGGATGAAAACTGTGAACATTTTCACAGGCCTCTGCGGCGTTGTGAAGCCAAGTGTTTAGTTCAGTCGAAAATGAACTTGGTGGCAATCAACGGGTTGCTTTTGGAAGCCAAAAAAGTATTCCCTAAAATCTTAGCAGAAGAACTTAAAGAAATTGATTATATTTTGTCTACAGATATGTATGGCCTTTGCAAGTCCATTCTGGATGTCCTTTTCCCTAAGCATTTCCATCAGAGAGTGTTGTCAGAAAACCCCATGGCATGCAAAGAAATCCTCAAACCAAATTACAAATCCTTCCGGTTCTACAGATTTGCTTTGAAGGAGTACATCCACTTTCTGTTTGAAAATGAAAGCGCACGCAACCGCCGGGAATCCACAGACCTGTGGCTGAGTGCCATGCAAGCTTTCCTTCTCTCTTCCAACTACCCGGAGGAGTTTGAAAAGCTGCTCCACCAGGAGGAGGACAACTACAACAGGGAACTCAAAGCTCTAGAGTCTGAAAAGGATGAAAGGGGCAGGGGGAGAGGCAGCAGGATAAAAGGAATAGAAGGGAAATTTGGCATGCTGGCACCCAACAGGGATGATGAAAATATGGACAAGACCCACCTGTGCTTCATCCGGCTTCTGGAGAATTGCATTGATCAATTCTACGTGTACAGGAACCCAGAAGACTACAAGAGGCTCTTTTTCCGTTTCATGAATGTCCTCATCAAGAGGTGCAAAGAACCACTCATCCCCAGCATTGGAAACACAGTAGCCCTCCTGGAGTTCCAGTTCATCCACTGTGGGGTGGTGCTGGCCCGCCTCTGGAAGAATGTCATTCTATGCCTCCCCAAGAGCTACATTGCACTCTTGCACTACTGGGAGTTCCTGTTTAGCAAGAAGGACAAGGAGCTTGGGGATGTGTTCTCCATCATTCAGGAATACAAACCCAAGGACGTGACAAGAGCCATTCAGGATTTCCGGTTCCATCTCTCCTACCTCGCCAAGGTGCTATGTGGCTATGAGAATGTGAACTTCAACGTCCTGCTTGATGCCTTCAGTGAAATAGACTATGTGGTCTCGGGTGAGGCTGAGCGGACACTGGTGCTGTGCTTGGTGATGCTAGTGAATGCTGAGGAGATCCTGCAGCCATACTGCAAGCCTCTCCTGTATCGCCACTTCCGGGAGATTGAGTCAAGGCTGCAGCTCATGAGCATGGACTGCCCTGGCCAGGTTCCCGAGAGGCTCCTGAAGGTGGTGAAGCGGGTCTTGGTGGCAGTCAATGTGAAGTCTGTGGCTGAGGCACTGCAGGACCTGCTCTTTGAGCGGGATGAAGAGTACCTAATGGACTGTGACTGGCGGTGGGACCCTGTGCACACCAAAGGGTCCATAGTCCGTGGCCTCTATTATGAGGAGGTCAGACTAAACCGCCTGCTCTGTTTGGACCCTGTGGACTACTTTGCTGAACCTGAGTGTGAGTTTGGCCAGGATGAGATGGATGAACTGGCATTAGAAGACCGAGACCACGTCCTGGCCACCATTCTTTCCCAAAAGCAACGGAAGGCCTCCATACAGCGGAAGTTGAGGAGGGCATGCCTGGTGGTGTCTCTGTGCATCAGTTGGAGGAGAAGAGTGGGCACCCAGATGGAGCGTGTCAGGGAGGAGGCCAGGGAGCCCAGGGCTGGGAACTTCAAAAAGGCAGACGTGGACAGGACCCAGTGTGACCTATGTGGAGTGAAGTTTACCCGTGGCCCAGAGAACTATTTCAGCCCCAGCAAAGCGTTTGAGGGGGCAGCTTCCGAGGTGGCAGTCCTTTCCAGGGCTGAGCTGGAAAGGGAGGAGTGTCAGGAGAGGAACAGCGAGTCTTACGAGCAGCATATCCATCTAGAACACCACCAGAGGCAGCAAGTGGCCTACCAGAAATACTCAGAATTTTTCCACGAGAAGGTGGACCCGGCCATTGATGAAGGCAAGCTGGTGGTGCAGGACATCGAGCAAAGTGTATGGATCCACAGTCACGTGGGCTCCAAGGAGCACAGCCACATGCTGCAGAAGGTCCAGGAGCACATCAAGAGGGTTTCGGATATGGTGGAGGACCTCTACAGGCGGAAGGCCTGGGCTGGCGGTAAGGGTCTGCAGAGATGGGGGCCCAGGCAGAGTGAGACCTGGGCTCTGAGGACATTTCTCAGGGTTAAATTCCTTGTCGTGGCTTCTGACTTGGGGATGGTGGAATCTTGGCCTTAGAAGAAATACAAATGAGGAATATATATTCTCAAGTTATAGCGAACCTCATTGGTTGGATTACCCCTCCCCCAGTTAAAAGTTTGTCATTATCCTTGGCTTGGGATGGTTTCCCCAGGTACTCCAGAAACTTGCATGCCTCTTCCTACAGAGGGTTAAAAGCTTGTGTAGAATGAATCGCTTTCTCTCCTGGCAGTCAGAATGATTCTTGCCAGAATAATCTTCTGTGGAGAAGATACAGGGAAAATGTTTAAGGTGTTAAGAAAACTCTTTAAGGTTCTCTTGACCCATTCATCCCCTGACTAAGATCTGGAAGTGTGTAGCTGGTCTAGCTGGTCTCTTCCTTTTAGGAGGGTCTTTAAGTCATACCCAGTGTGAGCCTTTAATAGAATTCTTATGTTATTTTAGAATCAGATTTCCCGTTTTTTTTTTTTTTTAAATAGAGATGGAGTCTCACTGTGTCGCCCAGGCTGGAGTGCAGTGGCGTGATCTTGGCTCACTGCAATCTCCGCTTCCTGGGTTCAAATGATTCACCTGCCTCAGCCTCCCAAGTAGCTGGGATTACAGGTGACTATCACCATGCACAGCTAATTTTTGTATTTTTAGTAAAGATGTGGTTTCACCATGTTGGCCAGGCTGGTCTCAAACTCCTGATCCCAGGTAATCTGCCTGCCTTGGTGTCCCAAGGTGCTGGGATTATAGTTCCTTGGCTTTTTTACTAGCTACTTCTTATCAACACTATGTAGAAGTTATGTATAAACTTAGTGAAATTGCATATTTTAAAATGTTCCATAATTCAGATACTCTTTCCAGTTTAAGGTTTAATGACATTTTGGACACAAGTGTCTTAGAAAGGTTTGCAGTTGTGGCAGTCTCTATAGACAGACAGTAATGGTGTCAGGCTAGCCTTTAGTTGTAGTTTATGCTTGTAGCAGCAGAAGGCAGCTTTGGGTCCCTTACCCGATAAGGAGGGCTCTTTTCAGGGAAAACATAGAGACCAGCTCTTGGGATGTGGGGACTCTGGGTCTAGTAATTGGTGTTCTAGTTCCTGCAATGGCATCTTTACTCAGAGCCATGTTCTTTGGTTTCTGAAGCGGAGGAGGCGATGACTCGGCTGGTCAACATTCTGATCCTGTCAGTCAGGGATGCACGAGACTGGTTGATGAAAACAGAGACCCGCTTAAAGAAGGAAGGTAAGGAGTCTTGATTGTGGGGACAGGTAACACTTTGGGTCCTGTGGTTCTTATTACTGCTGGCTCCCGGGGGGAATCTGAAGTGGGGCAGCCCAGTGATGTCAATAGTGGACTCTCACTGTCTAGGAGCATCACCTCCAGTGACTCAAATTACTAGCAACATAATATCTGAGTTTTCTTATCTGATTATGAGGGCCATTATTCTGGGCACATGTTAGTTGCCATAAACCTCTTGCTGCTCATGAGCTGTTACTGATAATGCTCAGTCACTGCACATACTCAATGCAGTGACTCCCAAGGATGGACAAAGCATTGTGAAGCTATCCCTTGAGAAATGTTTTCCTGTGTCGATCAGTCATTTAAGTCAGTGGATAGTTATTGAGGTTCTAGTACATATTAGTGTTGTTCTGCGCCTGGGGATATACTTCTGAATAAAACAAACAAAATCACTGGGGAAACTTAAATGCTTCTTCCTACAGAGGGTTAAAAGTTTGTGTAGAATGAAGCACTTTCTCTCCTGGCAGTCAGAATGATCTTGCCAAGTTATATGTGATCCAGAATGTTTTTTCTTTTGCCCATTCCAGCCACAGGACCACATTCCTTCTTGCTCTGAGTATTTCATCAACCGCAGATGCCCCTGGAAAATCCAGACCCCAGAGGTGGGGAAAACTTGAAGGGACTTGGCACAAATGTCTGTGCCAATAAAAAATCTTTAGCATTTAGTCCCTTCTGGGGTCTTGGATTTTGTGATGTGTATTTCAAAGGGAAGAGAATTGGTATACCAATTCAAGTGTATGGTTGAGTTTATTTTTTGCTTGATTTCTTTGTTATTTAAAAGGCCTCTAAAATAGGGCAAGAGGAACCAGCCTATAAAGGAACTTAATTCTGGAGAAGGGTGTTTACTTTGACTCTTTTTGGGAGTCATCAGTACTCAAAGGAAATCTCTCTTTCTCTGGAACCCTGGCAGAAAGTTTTATTTCATTAATTTAAACCAATGATTACGGAGACACTAGGTTTTACTAGGATGCTATATTTTACAGTGGATTGGGAAAAAAAATCACCATTCTGCCCTTCCTTCCTTTCTTCCTTCCTCCCTTCCTCCTTTCCTTCCTTCCTTCCTTCCTTCTTTCCTTCCCTCCCTCCCTCCCTTCTTTCCTTCCTTCCTTCCTTCCTTCTTTCTTTCTTCAGGTATTGTTCAGGAAGATGATTATGAAAATGAAGTTGAAGACTTTGGTGAGCTTCGGCCTAGAAGGCGTTCTCGGAAATGTGGAAAGCAGAGAAAATACTAATGTCCACACAGCTGCAGCCTCCTCATCCTTCGGAACATTCCATTCTGACTTAGAATTCTGAGCGCTGGGGCAGAAGACAAAAAGAATGTGAATTAGCATTTTAAAAATAGGGGAGTCTAACAACACCATTGCTTTTTATTCTCATTACTTCTCTTTCAGTGGCTTAGGATCTGATTGCTCCCTCACCTCTAAAGTGTTTCCAAGTAGAGTCTGGCAGTATTAGTTTCCCCCACAAACAAATTCAGGTAGAGAAGTTGTAGTCGAAGGGAATGTTGGGACTCCTCACTGCATGGTCCCTGGGGTGTCTGGCTCATCCCCATCATGACATGAGTTGGTAGCAGAGGACTAGGTGTTAGGACAGACTCTCCTCACCTCAGTTGCTGCTGCTCTGGGCCAGGAAATCTCTCTATGGATTCCCTCATCTCCTGCCACACTGCTGCAGCATCAAGTGTGCTATGAGAGCTGTATGTGCCCAGGGGTGGGCCCTGCCACTGGCCACCCCGAGCCCAGGACGCATTCTGGTCATCTCTGAGCCCACTTGTAGTGTAGCTTCTTCTGTTAGAGATGTTAGCCTTTTCTCTCTGTGGCGACTTTTCTGCCTTCCCTTCTTCTGTTTTTTGTGATCATTCTTAGCTACCTGTGCCAAGTCACAGTTAGACTACCTCAGAATGTAGTCAAGAATTCACCCAGTGTTCTTTGGATGTCCCTTCCCTAGGGGGAAAGGCTGGGGAATGTTGCTGGGAGCATTCCCAGCTGCCTCTCCAAAGTGGTCCTAACTCTGCCTTGGCTATGGTGCAGACATTCCAAAAAGTGTTTTGTATACAGCCCTGTACATCTAGTTTTCTTGGTTCTCCCTGGCAAGTTCGCTACCCTAGCTTAGGCTGACGTTCTGATGAGTCTCTGCTTGCTGAGCTCATCACTGTGGGATGGTGACCTGCAGAGCTGCAGATTGGAGCAAGTGGACAGAGGAGGGAGCCAGCTAAGCCAAATCCGTCACTGCCACTTGGCTGGCAGGCCTTATAAGAGGGCGGATCTGGGCCCGTTTGCAGGAGGCCATTGCCTACCCTCTCCCCACAGTGAGCCAGCAGCCATCAGCTGATCCCACCTGGGAAACCTTCATGCCTCTCTGATGGTTACTGCCCACCCTTACCCCACCCCTCAGCTCAGCCTGGTATGGAAAGCAAGGTGCACGTTGGTCTTTGATTGTTCTGTCCTCACAGCAGAGCCAGCTTTCCCCCCATGTTGCTGCTGCTTTTGCTGCTCATGCTGCTTGTTGTTTTCTCTTCCTTATCTTTCCAAATTGTTTCCTTGAAATGCTTGTTTCCAATTTTTCTTAGATTATGTTTCTAATTTTTATTCCAGGTGTTTTTTTTTCTTACTTGACAGAAAAAAAGAAAACCCCAACAATATCTTGCTGTATTATCACATTTTTTATAAAGTTAAAGCATTTCTCTTACATGCTGCCGTTTTATTTCCAGTCTCTACTCAGAGTAAGGGGGTAAATCTTGGAGCTGGTTCCCCCTGGTCAGCTGATTGATGCTGGCCAGGACAGAAGCTTTCTGTGCCTTCAGAGATTCAGAAATCAAGGGATAGAGAAAAAGCCCAGCCCAGGACTCCCAGCTGGTTGGTGTTCTCGAGGGCCCACCTCGTGCACATTCTTTCCAATCTGGATGCTCCCAAGCATGCACGGTTTGGACAGTAAGGAGTTTTGTCTGTACCATGTACTGGGGCTTTCCCAACAAGGAACATTGCCCTGGAAGGCAGGAGACCTGGAATCAAATTCCTCTCCTGTTCCTAACGAGCTGTGTAATGCCGGGTGAGTCAGGTCTATTCAACCCTGAGCACCTTCATGCCGCACTACGTAGGAGCCTCATGATCTGGTGTAGGAGAGAGATGGAAATGTGAGAAAAGAGTGGTGACAGACATGTGTATTGCATGGGTGGAAAATGCATTTACATAACCCAGCTGGGCCTCAGTTTCCCCTTTTGGGAAAGTGGTGTAAGGTCCCTTCCTGCCTGCTGCAGAGTGGTTCTGTAAGCTGTTGCCATGGTTTTACCTACCCTCCAGTCTTGGTGCTGGGATGCCTGTGTTTGCTTGCATCAGGTGAGCTGGACAGCTCTGAGTCTTAGCAAGCAAAGCACTTGATCTTACCCTTTAAAATTAAAGAGGTTAGAAATGGGACAGGTGATCCTGCTGTCATATCTTTATTAGCACTGTCCAGTAGAACTACCTGAGAGATCCACCCCCAAAAATCTGACTCCTCAACTCATAAAGCTCCTTAGAGTAGGGGCGTGGAGGTTGGGAGAGAAGAATGGAATTCAGCAGAAGAGTCAGTAACTTCCCTTAATGACCAGAATCCTGGGCCCAGTTCAGTAGCAGTGGCTTTGGTGTCTTGGACTTGCCTGGAAGTCCAGGATGGGGGATGTGTATCTGGGATCCCCCAAGACCACCACTCTCAGGCTTGGTAATTCATTAAGAGGGCTCACAGGACTCAGCATGTAGTTGGAGTCATGGCTCTGATTGATTATAGCAAAGTCATACCAAGCACAACTGGCAAAGGGAAAGGCCCATGGGGTCAAGTGTAGGGGATACCAGGTGTAAGCTTCCAGAGCTCCTTTCCAGAGTCACACACAATAGGCTTCATTTCCCAGCAACGAGTTGTGACAATTTGCTGGGTGAAATATGCCAATCTGGGGAGCTCATCAGAGACTCAGAGCTCAGGGTTTCTACTAGCAGCTGGTCATATGAGTATTTTCTGCCTAGCATATACCAAAGTTCCAGAGTCTCAGAAGGAAAGTAGTGTTCAGCATAAACCACATTGTTTATACAAACCGCTTAGGCACTGTGAGCCACGTTGATCAGTTCTGAGGGTGTAGGGAGCCATCTTGAAATCCAAGTTCCAAGACTCAGTAAGCAGACCTTTCAAAGGGCAGCAGTTAGGCCTGCTGGGCCATTTTCTGCACAAGGGGTCCCCCCAAGTTGGGGCTTTGTCATGATCATCCCACTAGCTTGCCTCACAACCACCCCTATGTATCCAGCCACTGGATGAGCACCTATGTACCTCCTGTCTATCTCCCCAGTCAAGGGAGTGAATCTTCAGGGATAGTTCATTTTCTAAAAATCCATCATGGTAAAGAAACTGTTTTTCTGAGTGCCTTAGACATTGACTTCATTTCCTTGCAATCAGTGTTAAGCATTCAGAATGATGTTTCGGTTCTTTGAGGCCTGCTGGGGAAAGGGAGAGGGCCCTATAAGCCTCTGGTGTTCCCTCCTTCTACTAACACACACACACACACGCACGCACGCACGCACGCACACACACACACACACACACACACACACACACTTTGGCCTGACCATTCTTAGCCAAAAACTCTTGTTCTCCTCACATTCTCTCTGCAACAAAAATCCAGTCTTTCAGGAAGAACAAACTGACACGGGAGCTAGCAGCACCCTAAGCTCTGTGCTATCGCCTCAATACTTTAGCAAATCACTTGTGGGGAAACTGAGGCCCAGATGATACAACTTGCCCTGGGTCACATAGTTGGTTTGGGGTAGGGCTGATACATGGACCTGGGATTTCCAATTCCAGCTAGCACCCTTTCCACTAAGGACTCAGGCGCCAAGGTCAACAGCAAATGCCAGCAATTCTTTCTCCGAGCCTATCACACTCTTCTCACTGGCAGAGTGTGCCAGCCCTTCATTCTCTTCAATCTCTCACTCATCTTTTGGCAATAGTGTTTTCCTACAGAAAAGTGGAAGGCCCAGCAGGGAAACTGTGTGCATTCTACTGTCACCCATCTGGAGCAGCTTAGCCTCTGACCCTCAAGAACGGGACAGAGCAGCTGCCCAGAGTCATTCCCAGTGGATGGCACAGCACAGTGTGCACTGCTCCCACAGTGGCCAGTTTTAGTCTCTTCAGCACCCTCAGCCTTCACTGCCCTGAGTATTGTAGTTTACATACAGGAGTCCCATCCACTGCACCACTACTCCCAAGCCTAGGGATGAAGATGCTGTAATTCACCTTTTCCTGGGGAGCCTGCCTCTGTTTCCCTGGAGTGGTCACTTGTAGTTCAAAATGAGCCCCAGATTTGCTGCACATCCTGGCCAGCACCAACTGCCAACGAGCTCCGTGTAACTTATAGCTTATGTTGCACCTGCTCTCAGGTTGTGTGGAAAGAGGAAATATTGGTGTTCATAATAGGCTCTGGTTGTTACCAAGGTCTCCCACTGGTGGCCAGAGTGTATCAGCTATTAATCTCTCTAGTGCTGTCGAAGAGACTTTTCTAGGCTCCTCCCAAGGGGCTGAGTCTAGTACTGCCAGATGGGCTCACAGTTCATGGATATGTGAGAGGGATGAGGCTGGCAGATGGACAGGGCTTGTACTTTGCACTTTGGAGCTCTCAGAAAGAGCCCTCCAGGCCTGGACAGGAGGATCACTCCTGTGGCCTAAGAAAATGACCAAGGCTATAAATATCCAATCTCAAATCTCAACAAAGCAATTTCCAGGTTTTACCTTATATGCACATGTGAGGCATTCCATTTTATTTGTAAATGTTGGTGGCATTGGATATTCCTCTGTTTCCTTCTAATTTCAGTATGGTTTTAATAATGTTGGGGTTTAATGGTCTAACAGTAATATAATACATGTTAATCTCAGTCATGTAAGAAATGTCACATTTTATTTAATTCAAATCCTACTCTGGACCCTATTCTTGCTTTGGTGGGAAATGTGGCCTAAGTAATTATTGGAGGACCCTCTGCTTCTTTGGAATCTCTGAAGTATTAGGAGGCCAATCTGGTATGGGGAAAATGAAGGAGGCCCTCTCTCCTTCAGTTCATCACGGCTGCTGCTAACCCATTCCTGTCCCAGCTGATAGGGTATCTGAGAAGATGGGTGATTCTTCTCCCTCCAAGCCAAGCTTGACAAGACTAGAAGCTGTGAGGTATCTGATCTGGCCTCTGTAGATGAACAATTGAGCCACACCCTGAAGTTTTCTCACCTCCCCAATGTATTGCCATGAGGATAAGGACAGGTCCCTATTGGTCATGACATCCCTTGCTGCCTCACCCCTGAACAGAGAGAGCCTAAAGTCCTAGCTACTTTCTTGAAAAAAAAAAAAAGGGTAGAAAAATACACAGAGAGCAAACAAACACAAATTAATAACTGAATAAAGAGTTGAACTAGCCTGGGCAACGTAGTTGAGACCCTGTCTACAAACAACAACAACAACAACAACAAAAAAAAACAAAAATCCCCCAAAACCCAAAAAAACAAACAAAAAACTAGCTATGTGTGCTGGCATGCGCCTATGGTTCCAGCTACTTGGGAGGCTGAGGTTGAAGGATTGCCTGAGCCCAGGAGGTTGAGGCTGCAGTGAGCTGCGACTGTACCACTGCACTCCAGCCTGGGTGACAGAGCAAGACCCTGTCTCAAAAAGAAAAAAAAGGTGAGGGCTAGGTAGACTTCAGGGATGGCCACTATCAATTCCTTCCCATCTCTGTGTCACTTTGCCCATCCAGAGGTGGAGTCTGTCTCCTCTACGACTAGACTTGCTTTAGCCAACAGAATGCAGCAGAGATGATATGGTGCCCTTTCCAAATCTGGCCTTTGAGAGGCTTGGAAGCTTTTGGGGTAATCCAGCTGCCACATGAGAATTTGAATACCCTGAGACCAACATGCTGTGCAGAAGCCAGAGCTAGCCATGTGCAGAGGCCACATAGAGGAGCCCCAGGCACCATTCATGTAAGTGAAGCCCTCCTGAACATTTCGGCTTAGGTGACAGCAGGATGCGGCTGAGTCAGTGACCCCAGCGAAGGCCAAACGGAGCAGAAGAACCACCGGCTGAGACCTGCCCAAATTTCTGACCTCCAGAATTGTGAGAATTAATAAATCATTATTGTTTTAAGCTACCAAATTTTGGGGTGGTTTGTTATGCAGCAAAAGATAACCAAAACAAGGACTTCCAGCATGTCTGGTACTCTTAGGCATGTTGCATCTGTGACCTTTCAATCTTACAACAATTCTCCAAAATACAGAATGAGAACTACTCATTTATATATTGTGAAGTGAGGGGTGTTCCTGAGGTCAGTGAGCAGGTAGGTGGCAGAGCAGAACTACTGGATCCTATGTATTACACAGTTGGCCTTGGAAGAAAGGGCTTAATCCACCTCATTCATGGGCCTGAGTGGGATCTTATTACCACAGTACCTAGGAACCTAGTGCCCTGAAGGGATCCTGGAACCCACCCCTAGAACCAAGTGTTTGTCATTTACCTCCCATGTGCACTTTGGCAACTACCTAGTTGTGCAGGCCTTCACCAGCAGCTGAGACTTGGTTGCTGGGACAACCTGCAGGAGGGGTGGGTCCCTCTTATTAATGTTACGTTGTTCTTTCCACTGAACTCCTGGGTTCTGGTTCCCCTGGGCCACTGGCAGCCAACACTTCTGGCTGTCACAGACGGACAGGCTCATCCCTAACATTTTTGGGGTCTGGGGTAAGATATGGTGTCTTCTTCCCGCTCCTTCTCTTCCCACCCTTTGCTTTATCCTATACCATGAACAACCTCCCTGGCATGTGTGTGAACATTTCAGCCATAAATCTAAACTCATTACATGACTGCACCCCCTTTTCCCCAACCAGCCATGCTTGGCCTCTGCTCGGGCCCAGTACATCAGCGGCTGAGGGCTATTTGGACACGGGGCTCCTGGGTACTGAAATATGATTGGCGGGGGCCTTGAATGTGTACTTTTATTGCAGGTCTGGGGCATGGTATGTAGCTAACGAAGCAACATTGTGCTACTCTTCTTGGTCATTTCTCCTTGTGCATTTTTCTCCTTCATTTTTGTCCTTGCAGGACAAGAAGCCAGCTTTCAGAGATTCTCCAGCCATAACCATCATCATCTGCTCAATGCCCAACGTCTCTCTCCCATGCTGCCTCCCTTTCTCTCACACACACATAAAGTAAATGAAATAGTAAGTTCTCCCTGGCCTTCTCCAGCAGCCTAATCTGGCATCTGGGATGCCTTAAACATGTTCCTGGATCAATACCATGTAGTTGTGTCCCAGGTCTACAATACCATGTAGAAACCTGTGTCCCGGGTCATCTGTAAGATCATGATTCGAAGGATGGGTAAATCAATTCAGCAGGAAATTGCTCTCCTTTCTGCCACAAATATCTCTCCTAGACAATGGATACTGGCTTCCCCTGATCTTGTCACTCTAAATCTGCTTCAGAGATTTTGATTGGAGAACAAAAGCCCAGGTGGGCGCTTGAGGAGCCACCTTCCCCTCCCCCAACAACCACCATAATGGTGCAAAGTTTAAGAAGAGTTCACTGGAAAACTCTGTTTAACCCGATAGACTTTAATTCCTTTTGGTAGCAGATAAATCAGGCCTGCCATCAACAGACAGCTGATCCTTACTCCCACCCACCACCCAGGAAAATGCATTTCTCTGCTCAGTAAGAAGGGATAACCCATCAGCAAGGTACCAGGTGTTCTTGAGGTGGGTTGTTTAGAAACCTTCCTCCTGGTGCTGCAGAATTCTAACCCTGTTCAGGACTTTATGTCCTCTGTTTAAGACTCAGAATGTATCTTCTTATGGATGATGTGACCTGAATATCTGACAGGACATTTTAGGGGGATGGGCTGCAATGGGGAACAGGGTACTGTCATCACAGTATCTTTGGAGCAAGATCTAAGATTAAAATGTGGCTTCTCATACTGACTGTGTGAATTCAGACGCCTTACTTAAATTTTAAATTCTCTGAGCTCTGGGAATTTATAAAATGGAAATAATGGCACAAACGCATAGCTTGGTTGTAATTGCATTATTCTCCCTGTATTCCGACTTCTGTTTCACAGATGGACCAAGGATGTGAAAAGATTTCAGGCAGGTTCTCTGTTTCCACGGTGGCAGGGAGGGTCAGGATTGATGAGGAGCCCTGGGGCCACATGGGTCAGCTTTTGTGTTCCCTCTGTGGTGGTGGGAGCATTTCTAAGAGGGCTTTGTTCCAGGGACCCAGCCTTCTTTTAGAGACTGAGACTATTTTTAACCCAAGTTTTAGTGATTCTGTAGGACAGCTGTTTAAGGGAAATATGTAGGCCAGTCTGTGATTTTTGGAGTCATCATTTTAAGGTTAGGGAGTGGGATGGGGGAAGAGAACCAGAATAACTCTGGAGTTTCTGGAGGCATCGCAGAGATCTGCACCTACCCTGCAGAAAGCTGCAACCCAATTTACTTTGTGGCCACTCTTGAGGATCAGGACATAGCTGAGCAGACTAATATTCTTTTGTTATACTTCAAGTAAAGTGTATCAGTTTCTGCCCATTTTCTCTCCCATGTGCTATTACCAAATCATTATGGAGAAAAAGTGGACAAGAAAGGCCCTCACACACTGTAATGAGAACAAAAATCAGTCCAGCTTTTCTTGAGTGCACTTCAACAATATCTGTTAAAACTGAAAATGCACTCACCCTTGGATCCAGCATTCCCATTTTTTGTTTTGGGCAGTCCTTTTCTCTTTTTTATTGTTAGTTTTGATTGTGGTAAAATACAAATAACATAAAGTTGACCATCTTAATCATTTTTAAGTATACAATTCAGTAGTGTTACGTATGTTTGCATTGTTGTGCCACAGATCTCTAGAACTTTTCCATCTTGCAAACTGGAAACGGCACCCACTGAACACCAGTCCCATTTCCCCTTACCCACAGCCCCTGGAAGCCACCCTTCTACTTTGTCTCTGTGAATTAACTACTCTATTACCTCATGTAAGTAGAATCATATGTTGTTTGTCCTTTGGTGACTGGTTTATTTCACTTACCATAATGCCCTCAAGGCCCGTCCCTGTTGTACCAGGGGTCAGAATTTCCTAACTTTTAAAGGCTGAATAATATTCCATTGTATGTATATAACCAGCATTCCTACTTTTAAGAATTTATATTAAAGAAACATTTCTACAAGTTCCCAAATAAACGTTTACTTCAGGAGTGTCTGGGAGAGTGCAAGATGGGAGAAAATCCATGTATTCCTCAGGGGCATGGCTGAATACCACGAACATGGGTTGGTTTCTACCTAAATTTGCTGGTATAAAAATATGGCAAAGATCACTTGCTCATTGAAAACTCAAGCCACAGAGAAACCTTCTTGGTTCAATTTATTTCTTTACTTTGTAAAATGGAAACAAAAATTCAGTGCCAAATTGTTGTTGCTGGTGTCCTTAATTATTTGGTAAGAGTTAGATTTTTTAAAATAGTTTGGGTTATGTTTGTGGTCACAAAAAACAACTAAGAAATTTTTAGACAGCAAAATAGAGAGTTTCGAGAGGGAAAACATTTGTGGCCCAAAGAGGTGGTCAGAAGAGAACCCTCTGTCTGCACTCAGGTGTTTACCAAGCAATATTGAGAGCCAGTGTTGTGGGTTCCACAGCAGTGGTAGCCTGGCAGGAAAGGATCCTCCTCTAGACGTCCTTTGAGGTCTCACCTGGGTCTGGCTTGGCCCTGTGCTTCTCATCCAGTTGACCTGAATCAACTTTATTTCGAAGAGCTTTGAAACAAAATTTTTGAAGAAGCAGAAATCCTGCTAAAATAAATGTAGACTCTGGAGTTGCTGGGCTGTCAGGCTATATGTGCTGGAGGAGGTGGATCGTGGCCTGGGTCCCAAGGGCATACCTGGTATGCATCTCCACCCACCAGTAACTAAAAGGGAATCACTTAAACTGTTTGTTATGTACAACTTGAACATTATCATCAGATCCTTTGGTGTCCTGCTCTTCGTAATCTTGGCTTTACACCTCCTATTTTACTCCATGAGAGCATCCTTGTCCTTGAGTCTTGGGACTGATGGCATCCTCCTGCTTCCTTCCCTGACTTCTTTCAGTAGTAACAGCTGTCATGTACTGGGTTGAGTCCTTTGGTACTGGTGCATACAGGGACTGGCCCTGCATGAATACTCACGACACTCCCATGAGAGAGATGTCTGAGTACATCCATTATGCAGATGGAAACTGAGGCCCTGAGAGCTCTGTCTAGCTTTGTCCCCCAGGACCTCCATTCCAGTAGTAGCCCAGGCATTGGTAAGTTCGTTTGAACTGCACAGAAATAGAGAGGACAGAGGTTTTCTTGAGGATGAGAACACCTTTTTTCTATCTTCTACCCCACCACTTTCCTCCTTTCAGTTTCCCTTCAAGCAGATGTCAGCTTACTTCCAATGATCCAGAGTCCTTTGGCTGTTTTGACTGCAGGTCTGGCAGGTGCTAATTTGCCAATGGGAAGGAGCTGGAGCCGCCCCACAGCTGTTACCTGTCAGCTGCAGGCTGAGCTGCTCCCAAAGTCCATTTTCCTGAGTGAGAGCCACGGTGGTGAACCCAGTGTCAGGGATTCTTTCTCACTGTCCCATCTTGTCGGCCTTAGAGAGGGACCCCTGGGACAACAGAGGGCTTAGTCAGATCCAAGGAAGGGAAGGAGTCTCTTGCATGGATATTCCTAATTTCACAAGGCAGGTGGGCAGAACTACAGATCAGGTTGGTGACTTTTTCAACTTCGCTCAGAGCTTGGTCAGGGCTAGGGGTAAAACATGGATCTCCTCTGGCCGGGGCGTCGAGATGTCAGAACAGCTGGATGAAAGGCAGAAGATGCACCCTGCCACCCTGGGATTTGGCGTGCCTGATGCCAAGCATTGGAGTCCTTGGAGCTGCCCGCAGGACTGCTGCCCTTGATCACCAACTCTCCTCACTTGTCAGAACTCAGCTATTAGGACCCCAAGTCAGGTCAGGGCTGTCAGGGAGACCTCGGCTTGTAACTGACAGATGCTGGGCTGTCAGGCTGTATGTGCTGGAGGAGGTAGGAGGTGGCCTTGGTCCCAAGGGCACAGCTTTTGAGTGAGAGGACAGTTGCCAGGGAAAGGGGATGCATGCCCTCTCCTGTCTCTCTGTGTGTGTGTGTGTGTGTGGTGTGTTTTGGGGGCTGAGGCACAGAGGAAGAGGATGCATGTGGCTGAATTTCTTATCCCTCTGTTTCTTCTTTGCATTTAATTCAAAGGCCAAAAAAAAAAAAAATGCATAGGCTGCCTGGGGGTGTCCAGGTGGAGTTAAAGCAACTGCTGTTTAGTGCATGTGAACTTCAGTCTGGGAATATATCTGAGGAGTCTTTGCCAAGGGACAAACACTGCTTTTTCTACGTATATTACAAGAGATATTTTAAAAAAGTGAGAGACTGCAACCTGAAGGGCTCTAAAATCCTTTTATCACCCTTGTTGGGATGAGAGTAGGTGTGTGGGAGTGGGGTCCTGTGGGAAAGGGGAAGGGGAAGGGAAGTTCTGCTCAGTGGGGAGGGCACTGCCTGTTTGGCAGAAGGAGAAGAGGATTAGAGGCCTTCTTGCCTAAAGCTGTCACCCACTGAACAATGGCCAGGTGTTTTAGTTTGCTAGGGCTGCCATACAGTGCACTAGGCAGACTGGATGGCTTAAACAGCAGAAAGTTATTTTCTTATGGTGGTGAGGCTAGATGTCCAAGACCAGAACATTGGCAGGTTTAATTTCTTGTAAGGCCTTCTCCTCGGCTGGGAGGTGCCTGTCTCCTCCCGTTGTTTTCACAGGGGCTCCCTCTGAACCTGTCTGTGTCCTAATTTCCTGTTATAAGGACATCAGCCATATTGAATTAGGGCCCACCCTAATGGCTTCATTTAACTTAATTACCTCTTTAGAGACTGTCTCCAAGTACAGTCACATTCTGAGGTACTGGGGGTTAGGACTCCAACATATGAATTTTGGGAACACAGTTTAGCCCATATCATTGGTAAAGGTGTTGGTTTTTTTGAGCAACACTTAAAGGAGAATAGGTTTAGTTGAGTCCATTAGTCCCGCTTCACAATCACAGAGACCAGAACCTGTGATGTGACAGGGGAGCATGAAGCCTGTTCTGTGGGCACTGCCTTCTGCCTCCATTTCTGATTCTACTTCCTGGACACCTCTACCCCTCCTGCTCCCTCAGTTTCTCCACTGTGCTCAGGACTGCACAAGCAAAGATAGTGGCCCCAACACCTATTCCAAGGACCAGCTGGGCCTCTCCACCCTGATTGTCTCACTGGCACACTGAACTTAGCATGCCCCAAACAATAATGCTCTGCCCGACCTGCCAGCTTTTCTTCCTGACTTCTCAAATTTCATTAAGGGCCATCCTCGATTCAGACAGGAGCCTCAGAAGCTGATTGCCTCCCTCAGTGAGGCTGTGACCTCCCCGAGGACAGGGCTGGGGCTCTTTTATGCCACATCCCCCATACCTATGTGTGCAGCCCTTAGTAAGCACCCAAGAGCTCTCTGGAGTTCAAGGGAATGAATCAATATCTCTGTTTCAGCCCCAAGGATACATTCTAACCAATCATCATACCTAAGAAATTGCTCGATTTCATCCTTCCCCCCTGCAAACATTTATTGGCCACTTACTATGTGCTTTGACTTCCTTTTATAGTCTGAAACTTAGCTGGGTGCTAGGGGTGCAAGACAGAGAAGGTGCTAGGAGTGGCTTCGAGGGTACACTCACACTCCCCCTTTCCCAAATCCTTGCGTCTGTACCGACTCAGGTCTTCATTCCCTCTTGCTTGGATAACGGCACCCACCTCCCAGGGCTGCCCAGCTTGCCCTCTTATTTGTCTTAGACACAGCTGCCTGCTTCTTTAAGCTTACCTTGACTGTATCGTTTCATTGCTCAAAGGCAGCAGGGTGCCCGCAGCGTGTAGCCTGACAGTCAAGCTCTCCTCAGCCTGCTAGTCCAGCCTCATGTCCCATTTCACTCCCTTTACCCCTAAGGAACTGATGTACCAGCCTCCCCCTTTCCTAACAGCCCCCTGGAGACATGCCCCACTTCCGGCTTCTGCGCCTTTGCCCAGTGCTAGTGTCTGCCTGGAAGTCCGTTTCCCACCTAGACTCCCCTGTTGAAATCCTCTGCCTCCTTTAATCCTCTTCTGCCAGAACACCACCTCCAAGAAGCCTTCCCTAACCCTGATGCTCTCCTGCTGTATTGTAGGACTTTGGAGTGGAAGGTAGAAGAGAGCTCTCATGCACACACCTGCCTCTTTCTAGCCTGCATTCTCCAACGTAGCAATCACTGTCCACCTGTGACAATTTAATTAAAAATGAAGTTAAATGGACAGTTTGGTTCCTCAGTCGCATTAGCTACATTTTAAGTGCAGTGTAGCTATATGTGGCTAGTGGTTACTGTATTGGATGGCCCAGGTTTAGAACATTCTCATTGCCCAGAAAGCTCTGTGGGGCTGTGCTGCTCTAGCGAAGAGCTCCTAGTGGCCTGTCCTGGTATTAAGCAGGGGGCTGGCCTGCAGTAGGTGCTCAATTTTTTTTCAGTGTTTATTGAATTTTTTTCAATGTTTGTTGAATTGAATTGGACTTTCGTTTCCAAGGGAGTAAGAGAACCAGAGGATCGTCAAAGAGAATTCTTTTGAGCCCTTGAACCAGTTCTGCAGACTTCCAAAGTGAACTTACAGCTGGCCCTGAGGGGCAGAAGGCAGGAGAAAAAAGAGGGGAAGGCTGGGAATGGAGCACCTACTGCTTGCTAGGCCTAGTGTACAGTCAGTCCAAAGTTTGGTGGGGCTGGTAGGGTGTGTGTGTGTGGGTACAGACAATGCTATTCTAGACACATTTTCCCGTCTAGATGAGATGTATTTTTGGCTCACAGCTTAACACAGAATCAGGGCCAAGAGTGTGCACTTGAGTGGGTGCATCTGAGACTGTCAGCGTTTGAGTGCGGCCTCCTTTGTTCCCTGTCTCAGCAACTCCTCTGCCCTGAGAGCAAGATGGGTGAGGGGCCAGGCCACCTGAGCTAAGCCCTGAGAGGGGACCTGGGGAAAGCAAAGAGAACAGGGGGAGGCCCATGGGGAGGAGGGAAGAGCAAGGCTCCCGGCCTTTTTCCAGCCTGAATCTGGGGCTGTGTGTCAGTCTTAGCTTCAAATAGAGGCACCTCCCTTGCAGCAAGAAGTAGCTGGTTTCTCTGGGAAACCCAGTCTGCAGGTCCTCTGCTGTGAGTGGGAGGCTCTGAGCTGTCAGGCTCAAATCAAGAAGTGGATCATTTCCCCTATCAGACTCTGTTGCCTTCCCCGTAAATGCTCCCAGGAATTAATATTGCGAGATGATGTTGACGCCTGGGAGTCAGTCTATTTCTGGACAAAATATTGGCACTTAGTTCCTTTTCCTTTGAGAAGGCTCATGAGAATCCAAGCATAGCAATAATGGCCTCTATGTGGAGTGTCCACTAACTGGCGTTTGTAATCAAATGTCTCAGGTATCCTTGTACTTAATCTTCCTGGTAACCCTGAAAAGTAGGCAATGTCCACTTTGCAGATGTGGAAACTGAGGTCAAAGACATTAAGCAACCTGCCTTTTCCTCACCAGCTTCTAGTACACTGCTCCATGCCTCCCTAGCACTGTACAAATAACAGGGATTTTATTTGCTGCCCCCACTGTGTCCATGATAGCTTTCAGATTTGCCCCTCCTGCTAGCCAAGCCTGAGCCCAGGACACTCCTGATGCAGCATCAGGTCCCACTGACTCCTGCAACTTCAGCCACACTTTTAACCTCCCACCACACCCTGGCATCATTAGTCCTAAGCAGCACCCAGCAGAGATGCCACTAAAGAAAGGTGACAACTGTCAGGCAGGCCGTGAAAGCTCCTTGCTGCTTACCAGCGTCTCCAGCTCACTCTCTACCACAGGCAGGCATCGCTTGCCTGCTTCTCCCAGGCTCTTCGCAGCCAAGCTTAGTCATGCCCCTACTCGCTTCTCTCACCTCAGAGACACCGCCTACCTCATTTTTACTGTGCTCCCCCATCCCCTGAGGCAGACTGTATTTTCCAAAAACAGACACAGCAATATTTCTAGTCCACATGCTGTCCCAGCACTTTTACACTCTTCATCAAGAGATGGAGTCTATTTCCCCCTCCTTGAACCTGAGTGGGGCTTTGTTACTAACCTAAGGAACAGAATATAGCAGAAGAAAAACTGCATTATTTCCAAGGTTAGGTCATAAAAAATGATATGGCTTCCACATCATATGTAACAAATTTCATGTTGTTAGATATTTAGATTATTTACAATATTTCCTATCACAAGGGTCTGGAGAACACAGCTGCCATGTTATAAGGAAGCCCATGTAGCCAAATGGAGAGGCCGCATGTAGGTGTTTTAGTCAACAACCCCAGCTAAGGTGTCAGCTCACAGCCAGCTTTGACCACTAGACACGTGAGTGATCAGGACTTCAGATGGCTCTAGCCCCTGGCCCTTAGGCTGCCCCTCATAGATGCCAAATAGAATGGAGACAAGCTGTTCTCACTGAGCCCTACCCAAATGGCAGATCTGTAAGCAAAATAAACCAGTGTATTTTGGGGTAGTTTGTTATGCAGCCATAGCAACTGGAACACCCTCAATGGAGTTTTAATCCAGATAATTAATAATTGATATACCCTGTATCTGATTTTTTCCCCAGGATGCCTGCCTCTAGCTGCTTCTTACTACATATTCTGTGAGAAAAAAAAAAAATCCATAAGGCCACAGGGACTATGAACTTGAGTATTATAGTTTTCTAAAAATACTGTCTTAATCCAGGGTTGAGGCCCTGGCTAGACGCTGGTCAGTTCTCTGTCTTGAGCATCCAATTAAATCCACATCCTCAGCTACCTCCTCTACTAGGCTCTCACACTCAGGGCTACCATACACCTGGACTGCTCTACCCCTGCCCTAATCACCCCAGGGCCAGGTATCAGGTGACTAGGGACAACCCCCATGCCCCAGAAATTATTTGAACTAGCTAATTCTGGAATGGCTTAAACTAGTCAAACTAGCTTGCTTACCCTGCCTCACGCATTCCTTCCCACAGAAACCATAATAAAGGCACCTGCCCACAGGTGCCCTTTCTCCCTCTGCCTCATGATCAGCCTGGAGCTTCACCTGAGCATCCCTGCATGGTGTGCTGTGTTCTCCCAGGGACCTGTGAGTACAATAACTGTTGAATTCTTTCCTGTTTCTCTCTTGTAATCTGCTTCTGGCCTTACCACACTCCATTCAAGGTAATATGGTTAAAACACCTTGACACCATCCCTGTTGGCTGGCAATTGTCATGTAACAAACCACCTTAACAATTATTTATTTATTTTTTAATAACAGACGAGCTTTATTTTATTCTTATCCATTTCACAAAGAAAGAAACTGAGGCTCCTTTGCTTCTCTGCCCATTTGCATTTTCTCGCTGCACTGCACAACTTCCTGGCCAGAAGTCAAAATGATTGACAGGCAAGAGTTAAGGTGTCAGGGAAAAGACCACTACATGATCTATAGTTTCATTTATGTATCCACAGTCAGTTTTCCAAAATCCCCCAGGTAGTCCTAAACTTTCTGAATCATCCAATTATTCTAATAAGCATTTATTGAAAATCTGTGTGCTTAATTAGGCTATAAGAATACAAAGAATTGAGATAGAGTACACCTTGGAACACATTGGGATTTTTTGATTGACACTGGGTTGTTCAAAGGGCAATTCCTCTTCCCTCTTCCTTTTTTAAAAAAATTTATTTCAATAGCTTTTGGGGTACAAGTTTTTTTTTGTTACACGGATGAATTATATAGTGGTAAATTCTGAGATTTTAGTGCACCCATCACTCCAGTAGTGTACATTGTACCTAATGTGTAGTTTTTTATCCCTAACCCTGCTCCCACCCTCCACCTTCTGAGTCCCTAAAGTCTATTATACCACTCAGTATGCCTTTGTGTACTCACAGCTTAGCTCCCACTTGTAAGTGAGAACATATGGTTTTTGGTTTTCTACTCCTGTGTTACACTTAGAATAATGGCCTCCAGCTCCATCCAAGTTGCTGCAAAAGACATTATTTCATTCCTTTTAAAGGCTGAGTAATATTCCATGGTGTCTATCTACCACATTTTCTTTATCCACTCGTTAGTTGATGGGCACTTAGGTTGGTTCCACATCTTTGCAATTATGAATTGTGCTGTTATAAACATATGTATGTAAGTGTCTTTCATATAATGACTTATTTTCCTTTGGGTAGATACCCAGTAGTGAGACTTCTGGATTAACAATTATTTAAAACAACAATTCATTATTAAAGCTCACAGGTTATGAGGTTGAACTTGGCTGATCTTAACTGGACTTGCTCATGTGTCTGTAAGTCCCCTGGAGGTTCTGCTCAAGGTTGGGGTTGGCTCAGGCTGAGAATGGATACGCAATCTTAGCTGCAATCAATCTGGTCCACATGACTCTTATTCTTCTCCTGGGACAAGTGGGATCCTTAGGCATGTCCTTCTCATGGAGATAGCAGAAGCATGAGGAACAAGCTGAAACACACAGTCTCTGAAAGCCTAATCTTACCACTGACATCTCATCACTTCCATTTTATTGTATTAGCCAAAGCAAGTCACGTGGATGTCAGGGGTAGAATTATGTCCCTGCTACAGCGAGAAACCACTGAAATTTACCTGACAACAACAAAGGGCATGGATACAAGGACTGAAAAATTGGAGTCATTACTACAAATATACAATATTTCCCAATAGCTACTGCACTTGGAGAGTTTGGTCTGGTCTTGGTTTGGATTGGTTCTCAAATAACCTCCTCTTATTATTTTTCATTGAGCTTAAAGTGGATACTTTGGATAATATATTTTAAAATTAATTATTTTTGACTGGCTTTTTATTTATAGACATATCAATTATGCTCATAAGGTAAAATATTAAAATAACACCAGAGAGTATACTATGTAAATTAAGTCTTCTTTCCTCTTCTCACTGCTGACTTCCTAATTTTCCTTTCAACACTATTACCTTTGAATTTTTCACTGAATAACTTATCTATATGTATGAGTATATAATGATCTACCTCATTTTTTCTACATTTACAACATATGTAACAAATCTTATGTTGATAGACATTTACATTGTTTCCAATTCCTATCACAAATAATGATGTAGTTAATAACCTTGCGCATTCATCTCTGCATACATATGAGAGCAAATCTACAGGATATATTCTTAGAAATAGAATTGGTAGGTCAAGGTACATGTGCATTTGAGATTTTGATAAGTTTTGCAAATTACCATCCACCGATGGTTAATTTCTGCTACCTTGTACAATGTATGAGAAACATATTTTCCTATTTCCTTGCCAATGTGTTATTTTGCTTTTTGACCTTTGCCAATGGAGTAGTTATATCTAGCAATCTGAGTTTTAATATTCACTTTTTATACTATCAGTTTGTTTATGATAACTTTTTCAGACATTTAAAATCCATTTGTGTTTATTTTTCAGTGAGCTGTCTATTCATATTCTTTGAGGATTTTTCTTTTGGGTTTCTGTTTTTTTTTCTTATTTACTGTATATATTTGCCATGGACTGAATGTTTGTGTCCCCTCAAATTCATAACCCCCAGTGTGATGGTATTAGGAAACGAGGCCTTTGGGAGGTGATTAGGTCATAAGGGTGGAGCCCTCAAGAATGGAATTAGTGCTCTTATAAAAGGGACCCCAGGGCTCTCTCATCCCCTTTCCTCCATGTGTGAGCAGAGTGAGCAATGTGGCCTTCTGCGACCCGGAAGAAGGCCCTCACCAGAGCCTAACCATGCTGGCATCCTGACTTCCAGGCTACCAAACTATAAGAAGTAAGTTTCTGTTGTTAATGATTCACTCAGTCTATGGCATTTTGTTATAACAGCCTGAAAGTACTAAGACAACATTCTTTTTGTTTGTTTGTTTGTTTTGAGATGGAGTCTTACTGTTGTCACTGAGGCTGGAGTGCAGTGGCATGATCTCCACTCACTGCAACCTCCACCTCCTGGGTTCAAGCGATTCTCCTGCCTCAGCCTCCTGAGTAGCTGGGATTACAGGTGCCTGCCACCATGCCTGGCTAATTTTTGTATTTTTAGTAGAGTCGGGGTTTCACCCTGTTGGCCAGGCTGGTCTCAGACTCCTGACCTCAGGTGATCTGTCCGCCTCGGCCTCGGCCTCCCAAAGTGCTGGAATTACAGGCGTGAGCCTCCGTGCCTGGCCAGCATTCTTTATATGAAGGAAAATTAGCTTCTTACTCATCATGTCTTGCAAATATTTCTTCATAGTTTGTAGTTTGACTCTGTTTAGTTTTTAATTTGCCTTGCAGAATTTTCTTTATTTTTTTCTCCCTTCTTTGTTCAGTCTTCTCTGTCTTTTTTGCTCCTTCCAAATTGGTTTATATTTCTGCAATTGCTTTATTTCCTCTTTCCTAAGTTTTGATGTTTTTTCATATTATGTTGAAACATCTTCTAGTGTTGTTTCTTCCTTGAATATTTTATTTGGCTTAGTGCTCTTGTTTTAAAGAGGTGATTATTTCATTAATTTCTTAGGTTGTGGTCAAATATTTGGTCACAATTTTCATTTGCTCCATGGCAGTATGTTTCTGATGTATGTTGTTTTTTGCCCTGTCCTGTTCCTCATATTTCTTGCTCTTCTTTGCAGCTGTTGTCAGGAGAATCAAATGGTGGGTCCCAGCTGATGGGTTCATAGTGAACTTGCTTATACAGCAGTGTGTGTGTGTGTGTGTGTGTGTGTGCATGAGTGCATGTGTGTGTGTGTGTGTGCATGAGTGCATGTGCGTGTGTGTGCGTGTGTGTAATTTGTTAAGCTAATAGAGACTGGCAGCTGCAGAGATGCTCATAATTCAGTCTTTCCTGTATCCACCTTCAACCACAGAACTCTTCCTGCAAGATAATGTGTCTCTTTATTCCTGTCTTTGTCTTCAGCCTATTTCCCATGCCAAACAGAACCCAGGGAATCTCCTATAGCCAGCCTATAAGCTGATCCCACTGTTCCAGGGACAGAGTGTTGATTCTGCTTTCAGAGATATGCCACCAGCATTAGATCTCTGTTTTGCAGGATTTGTCTGGGAAAGCAATAGCAGGTGTTTTTGCTCAGTGTCTTCCTGGTGTAAGAAAAATAGAACTTCATTTACTTTCTGTATTGTAATTTAATGGCCAGCACAATCCCCTATCCAACCAGTTAGTAGGAAAATTCAACTTCAGTTCTTTTTGCATGTTTCTCCACATTTTCCTGAGATTATGTCAATGTTTGGAGTTATGCAGATGTTAGATGCTCCAGCAACACTTACTGAGTCTCAATCCTTATTAGAAAGAGTCCTAGGAGTGGAGTGGCGAGAAGAAACTTTAGAGCAAGTGAAAATCATCCATGAAGCAAGCTGTATTCTTCTGAGGTCTTCTTCTTCTTCTGTATTTTTATATACCGGAGCATTAGAGAGTACAAGTGATTCCTCAGTATTCATTTTCCCCTTCTGTTACAGCAATAGAATCCCTGGTGTTTACGCATGTTCTCACTATAGATGGGAACTGAACAATGAGAACACATGGACACAGGAAGGGGAACATCACACACCGGGGCCTGTCGTGGAGTGCGGGGAGTGGGGAGGGATAGCATTAGGAGATATACCTAATGTTAAATGACGAGTTAATGGGTGCAGCACACCAACATGGCACATGTATACATATGTAACTAACCTGCACGTTGTGAACATGTACCCTAAAACTTAAAGTATAATAATAATAATAAAAAAAAGAATCCCTGGTGTTTAACATTCTGGTGTCCTAAGTTCAAATGCCTATTCCAGCTGCATAGGTAAGGTCAGTGAAGCTGGTTGGGTGGGGAGTGTGATAAACAGGACAGCATGTGACCCTTCTAAGAAGGATAGTTATGGCCACGTTCTGGCAGCCCATTTCCAAGTAGTAGTAACCTGGTCAACATTGCTAATAAAGAGTATATTTATGCCTTCCTTTTATCTAAGGGTAGCCAAGTGGTTACGTTCTGATCAGAACTGGATGGAAACAGGATTAGTGTGTTTGTTTAACTTCTAGAAGTCGTTTAAGAAAATAAAAACCTAATGTTCTTCTTTTCCTCCTTCTTACTGTCTGGGATATGGACAAGATTGCTAGAGACAGGGGGACATCTTGGATCATAAAGTGGCATGGCAGAGTTCTAGATAGAAGGAAACTGGAGACTCACCATGAGGAGTGTCATACCAGCTCTGGATTGTCTGCTTCTGAACTTCCAGGAAAGAGAGAAATAAACTTCTGTCTAGTTAATTTAAATATGCTTTTGAGTGATGTGTTATTTGCAGCTGAACTTACTCTTAATTATTATATTGGAATCAAACTTTTAGCCTTTATCAGTCTCCTTCCTAGGTCCTTCTGTGAAGGGCACAATTATTATGTACCAGGGAATCTAATGGGAAAATTAAATATCTTTATTTCTTCCAGGCTTACCACGAAGGCAAGTAGATCTTTTGTCTTGGAAATTGAGGGTCTCCTTTGGATTGGAAAAGGTTGTGTTTTCAAAAGCCAAAACAGGTCCTAGGTTTCAATGCCTATTCCAGCTGTATAGGTAGAGTCAGTGAGGCTGGTTGAGTGGGGATTGTGGTGAACAGGACCGCATGTGACCCTCCTAAGAAGAGTAACCATGGCTGTGTTCTGGCAATCTGTTTCCAAGTAGTAACCAGTGTTGCCAGCTCTGGTTGATCGAAAGAAGCCAGAAATTCATATTTGTCAGTGAAATCTCTTAATTATAAAATCTTGGCACTAATTGAAAAAAATTCATTGTACATTCCAGACAAAAGATGTCAGAGGGATGAATCTGGCCTTTTGTCCTATGGGAGAAAGAGAAGGACAGCAAGAAGACAGAGAGGGAAGCTTGCTGGCTCAAGTTGGGAGGGATGATGAGGGGCTCTTTTAGTGAGGGGATGTATTCCATTCCCAAAGAGCCATATATAGAAGGTGTCTGGACTTCTGTTGGCTTAGTTGGAAGGTACACATTGGGTGCTATGAGCTCATTTATTTATTTAGTCAACACATATTTATTGATAATTCACTATGTGCCAGACATATGCCAGATAATATATGTGCATCCAGTAGATATAGGAGAAAAAGTTTCCTGCTCCATGTAGTTTGTATTCTGATGAATAAGATAAGTAATAGCTAAGCAGAGAGACAATGAGCAAAATGGTTTGAGTGTGGTGTGGTTTGTGAAGAAACAAACAAGGTGGTATAATGAAGAGTATTTAGGGTACGATTTCTGCTTCTGATCAGGATGGAGTAAGAGGAACTGAATTTACTTTCCTACTTTAACCAAAAAACATGAACAAAGTAAAAGACACAATGGTATACCATACTAAAAATCAAGAGAGTGATCCTTGAGAGATGAAAAACAAATGAGGTGAGCCCTATGATTGCCCCAGCTCCCTGCCTGGAAAAAGTTCTCAGGTGCTTTTTATAGCACCCAGAATTTTCATCTTGTTTTTAATGTAAACATAGTAAGCAAAGTCATTCTAAAGTCTGTGTTTGATATTCCAGAATCTGGAACTCCTGTGGGTCTATTTCTATTATTTGTTCTTTCTGCTAGTTCTCATCCTTGCTTTCTTATCTTCTCATCTGACTGATTATCTTTGATTGTATACAAGAAAAAACATTTGAAAAATTGTTTGTAGAAATAGGTGAAGCCTAGAATAATGAAAGTTTCCTCCAGTGTGGATTTTAATTTGTTTTGGCCTGGGGCACTAAAAATCCAAGATCACCTTAATCTGCCATAAGGGATTGAATTTTTCTGGATCACTCAGATGACTTCTGCACAATGAATGTTTTACTTCTGATTCACTCTTAATCCTGGGATCTAACCTTTTGGAGCCCCAACTTAAAGTGTGGGAGTTTACCAGGGACCTCACCCTTGGTGGGCTCTAGACTCTATTTTGTGCCCCTACATCCATGAAGGTGCCAAAGTGCAGCTTACCCTATTGATAGGCTCTTTTGGAACTGGCATGTGCTACCAGAAGAAGAGCGGTCCCAAATTCTGGGTTCCCCTCTGTTTTCTCTAGTCTCTTGCCAAGTATTCTCCACTAACTCCTTAGCTCCCTTCTGCTTTCATACTTTAACAGCTCTGGACAACCAGGAGGGATAGATAGAGATTTTTTTCTACATAAAGATCTAAGGCTGATGGCCACATGACATCAGAACTATAACTCTTGAATAAGAAAATAAAGAAATGTTGCCCCTTGATCTCTGAGAAGGCCCAGGCAGTCGGCAAACGCACCCTTAGGCTGGCCAGGGTGGCAGCGTCTAGGATGTTGATTTATCATCAGTAGCAAGAGATTCTCTGAGTAGCACCTCTCATGTGTTCCTTTACTGAAGCTGAAGAAGCTACCTGAGAGGCTTGTGGTTGAGGGTGTGTCAGAATTAAAAAGGGGCAGGAGAGGCATCCCCTTTACTCAAAACAGGTCTCCATGTCTCAGGCCAATAAACAGAGACAGCTAGTGAGAGCCCCTGCTGCTAGGTGCTTCTGTGACTGTGTGTCAGTTTGTCAGGCAGGGTGTGGGGCTGGGGAGCTCAGTGAAGACACAAGGGCTGATCAGCTGAAAGACAGGCTATGAATAAGAGACATCCAGTTATTTTTCTGGTTAAGATTTGCTTAGTCTAGTGTTAAGCATAGTTGCTGTTGGCGTTGTTTCTTTTAGTCTTGTCTTCTTCCAGGTACCAAGAGTTAGAACAGCTGACTCTGCCCACTCACAAGTGCTTTTCCTCCTCTCTCTCCTTCAAGGACCTACTGGCCAAGACCACCTAGGCACCAAGATCCTCTGGGTGAGCACTTTCCTGCTCAGCAGAAATTGGCTTTGTTCACCTGGGCTCTAAGCTCTCCACCAGCTTTTCCTGTGGCATGGCTGGGTTGCCTGGCAACAGGGCTCAGATGACAACAATCTGCTGAAATGACAGAGGGATCCACCCCCACTCCACCCCCACTTCCCCAGGGTATTTCTCTTCTTCCCTTGGAGGATGAGGATTACCATCCTCAGCTGCTGAGACCATGCTGGGCCAGGGGCAATTGAAGGGCTCCCGCTTCCTAGTCCCTCAGTCACTCTGTCACAGAATCTGCTTTATCAAATCTTATACCGTTTACTACAATCAGAAATTATTTATTTGTTTTATTCTTTATTGTCTGTATTCTTCCACTGGAATGCAAATTCCGTGGGCATTAGACTTTTGTCTATTTTATTTACCTCCACATCCTCAGCACCTGGAGCCTGTCTAGATGACCCTTCCTCCTTTTCCAAGTGTGCAGAGAGGCTGGGTTGTCAAGGCTTAAGAATGAGAGGCCATATCAAAGAAGAGGAGGAGGCAGAAGCTGGGGAGAGGATGCCAGGTCAGGTAGAGGGGTCTGGATTGGCCAGGATGTGATGACCAGTAGGCACAAGGGTCAGAATGATGGCAGTTGACAGTCCCAGCAAATAGCTCGGTGTTGGCTGCTCACACAGCTTACTTTTCTAACATTCCCAGTTCTATTTGGTCTCCTCATGCCCTTCCTAATTACCTTCCACTGGAATAGATTGGGTATAGCCCCCATGATCATAGACACATGTCTACATTTTTTTCTGAACAAGGTCCCATAGAGAATTTAGTGCCCCATGACTGGCATGCTGTTCCTAACAAGAAAACTGGGAAGACATTGTTGCTGTGGAAAGAATGTTTCTGTCTTTTTCTTATATGGACCAAGAGTTAGAACTGCTGACTCTGCTCCTCTTGCTAAATGAAACCATGTAACCTGGGTTGCAAGACTGCACTGGGTAGGCTCCAAGCACAAGCTGTGCAGCAATTTCACATGTAGGAAGCCTCAAAGTCTTGAGTTCATGCTGATTCATGCACAATTACTCCTTAGACTCATTAAGCTTTAACTTGTTAATTTAAGACAAAAGCTTATCCCTGTATATTATAAGTTTCTTTCCCAAATTCTCTGGCTCTTCCTCTTTTTCTTGTCTCACACATGACATATCAAGTCTCCATAACTACCACCTCAGCACAGACCTCTGCAGTTGTCTGGTCCCAGCACAGCCCCCATGGGGGCAACATTCTGGACAGCATGGGTGCATAGCAAGCGGCTTTGGAAAAGCCTGCCGAGATGCACGCGGTTGGCAAATGCCTGTAGTGTTGTCTTAGCAACTGTTTGTAAGACAGCGCAGATAGATCCCCAGAGCATTACTTTGTTACTTTTAGAAGATGGCTTTTAGCCTAACAACTGTGCCCACTCCATAGGATGGGGAAAGAAGAATGAGTCTGCTTTACTGATAATTAAACAATACCTGGTGTCAACTGGGTGTGGTGGCTCCTGCCTGTAATCCCAGCACTTTGGGAGGCCAAGGTGGGCGGATCACCTGAGGTTAGGAGTTTGAGACCAGCCTGGCCAATATGGTGAAACCCCGTCTCTACTAAAAATACAAAAATTAGCCGGGCGTGGTGGCGGGCGCCTATAGTCCCAGCTACTTAGGAGGCTGAGGCAGGAGAATCGCTTGAACCTGGGAGGCAGAGGTTGCAGTGAGCAGAGAGAGCGCCACTGCACTCCTGGGCGACAGATGGAGACTGTGTCTCAAAAACAACAACAACAACAACAACAACAACAACAACAGCAGCAGCAGCAACAACAAACAACAACAACAACAACAACAACAAAACCTCCCCCAAACCCAACAATACCTGGTGTCCTGGGCTGCTATGACAAGAATACTGTAGACTGGGTGGCTTATAAACAACAGGAATGTATTTCTTACAGTCCTGGAGGCTGGGAAGTCCAAGATCAAGGTGCTAGCAGATTTGTTGTCTGGTGAGGGTTTGCATCCTGGTTCATAGACTGCTGTCATTTCATGGTGTTCTAATATGGTAGAAAGGGCAAGGGAGCTCTCTGGGGCCTCTTTCATAAAGGCAGTAATCCCAAAGTCTCCACCTCCATATACCACCTAGTCATCTCCCAAAGGCCTCAATTCCAAATGCTATTACATGGGGAATTGGATTTTAACATATGCATTTGTGGAGGGCACATTTGATCTACAGCACCTGGAGGGACATCTGTAAAGTAAACATTGTTGCTCTGGTCAGATACTTGCCACATCAGATTGATGACTCCAGAAGGTGCTTAGATTTTAATATTAACTATCCCTGAGTCAGACAACACATAAAATACATAGTTATGAACACTTTAAATCACCCTCCTTTCTGACATTTTGCTCAGTCTCTGGATATTACATCCTCTGGGAAGACTACTCCATACTCAAGTCTGGGTTGGAGCACTTGTCTGTGCCCATAAGACATGCTGTCACTGCCTCTTACTTGTCTATAGCCTTAGCTCATCCATTGATTTCTGTGGATTGGGGATCATGCCTACTTTGCTCACTCTTATATCCTCAGGGCACAGCCTTTACAGGCATATATTTGGACATGGTGAATATTTGTTGTAGGAAAGAATTAATGTCATCCATTTAGACATCTATTTTAGCCAAACCATTGAACACAGAGATGACCTCTAAAAGCAGATCTTGTTCCTCTTTTACCCCCTTTGTAAATCAGCATGCTGAGATTTTTTTCCCAGCTTCCCTCACTCTGGTTTTATTTTTAACACTTTTATTTTGAACAACCTCAAATTCACTGAAGAGTTGTAACAACTGTGTAAAGAACTTCTTTTCCTGAACCATTTGAGAATAAGTTGCTGACTACTGCCCATCATTTTCCAAAAACTTTAGCGTGTATCTACCACAAAGAGGACATTTTCCTACATGACCTCAATATAGCCATCAAAATCAGAAAATTAAATTGATACATTACTACCATCTAATCCTCTCATCTCATTCAAATCACCAAATGCTGCTGCCACCAACCCATTCAGATACTCTCCTTGGCCAGTTTGAGCTCTGAAATCCTGTAATGAACTATTCCCAATGTGGATAGACCCTACTCCCAGCTGACCCCTGGCACCGAGTTACCCCTTCCTGCACCTGCTCCCTACTCCCTTACACAGACAACTTTCTTCACTCTGCTTGAGCTCCATGACAGATCCCCCAGCCCCAGCTTCCTCCATGGTTTCTTTCTGGGTCAACATGCCTTACCCCCAACCCTGACACACACATGCAAACTCCCATCTTGCTTGGCTCCATCTAATGGTTTTTGTATTTAATTATTCAGAGAGGGAAGATAAGTGATGGGAAGAGAAATAAAAGTGGAAAAGGAAACCCTCATTTGACTTTAAAGCAATTTTTAATTTTTGAAAAAGTAATATATGCACATGATAAAAATTCAAAATACTGCTCTGGCACTGTCTCTTTCATAATTGCCCTTGTTAATCATATTTAAATTTTTTTCCTATATTTTATGGTGCTTTGACATCTTGAGGGCCTTGCTAAATGGAGAGAGACTGCCCCTCCCAAGACTTGCTAATTCCTAGAGATGGCAAAAAACTTGTCTGTGAGCACACCTTTCATATGCAAACCAACCAGTCCAAGGCCCACATCCTCAGCACCTCATTTATCTAACTCTCATACACCAAGCCAATATTTCTCCCGTCTTAAATCACCTCTGGGCCAGGTACCATACAACTAGAGACTGCCCCTACAGCCCAGAACCCTGGAAATACTCATACTATCTAATCCTAAACTTGTTCGAGCTTGCCTGCCCTAGCTGCTCCCATTCCTTCACACAGGCATAACAGTAAAGCCTTGGGGCCACATTTTTCCCTTTTCTCCTCCTGTCTCCTGACTGATCCTGGTGCTTCCCCATATGGCCCTGCATGGCATGGTGTGACCTCGTCTTGTAGGAACCATAAAACTTCTTTCAATGACATTGACCTCTCCAGGTTATCACTTGGTCACTTTTATAAATTAAATCCCAGGTATAATCAAAACATGTCCTTCTCCCACTTTAACAAAGCTTACCTCTCACTCATCCTGTGTCTTGTTCTGCTGCATTGCCCTAAGGTGTAAAAATATTTAGGGCATCACTGGCAGAGACACAACAAAAAAAGAGAATTTTAGACCAATATCCCTGATGAACGTCGATGCAAAAATCCTCAATAAAATACTGGCAAACTGAATCCAGCAGCACATCAAAAAGCTTATCCACGACGATCAAGTCAGCTTCATCCCTGGGAAGCAACGCTGGTTCAACATATGCAAATCAATAAATGTAATCCAGCATATAAACAGAACCAAAGACAAAAATCACATGATTATCTCAATAGATACAGAAAAGGCCTTTGAAAAATTCAACAGCCATTCGTGCTAAAAACTCTCAATAAATTAGGTATTGATGGGTCGTATCTCAAAATAATAAGAGCTATTTATGACAAACCCACAGACAATATCATACTGAATGGGCAAAAACTGGAAGCATTCCCTTTGAAAACCAGCACAAGACAAGGATGCCCTCTCTCACTACTCCTATTCAATATAGTGTTGGAAGTTCTGGCCAGGGCAATCAGGCAGGAGAAAGAAATAAAGGGTATTCAATTAGGAAAAGAGGAAGTCAAATTGTCCCTGTTTGCAGATGACATGATTGTATATCTAGAAAACCCCTTCGTCTCAGCCCAAAATCTCCTTAAGCTGATAAGCAAATTCAGCAAAGTCTCAGGATACAAAATCAATGTGCAAAAATCACAAGCATTCTTATACACCAATAACAGACAACAGAGAGCCAAATCATGAGTGAACTCCCATTCACAATTGCTTCAAAGAGAATCAAATACCTAGGAATCCAACTTACAAGGGATGTGAAGGACCTCTTCAAGGAGAACTACAAACCATTGCTCAACGAAATAAAAGAGGACACAAACAAATGGAAGAACATTCCATGCTCATGGATAGGAAGAATCAATATTGTGAAAATGGCCATACTGCCCAAGGTAATTTATAGATTCATGCCATCCCCATCAAGCTACCAATGACTTTCTTCACAGAATTGGAAAAAACTACTTTAAAGTTCATATGGAACCAAAAAAGAGTCCACATTGCCAAGTCAATCCTAAGCCAGAAGAACAAAGCTGGAGGCATCATGCTACCTGATTTCAAACTATACTACAAGGCTACAGTAACCAAAACAGCATGGTGCTGGTACCAAAACAGAGATATAGACCAATGGAACAGAACAGAGCCCTCAGAAATAATACAACACATCTACAACTATCTGATCTTTGACAAACCTGACAAAAACAATAAATGGGGGAAGGATTCCCTATTTAACAAATGGTGCTGGGAAAACTGGCTAGCCATATGTAGAAAGCTGAAACTGGATCCCTTCCTTACACCTTATACAAAAATTAATTCAAGATGGATTAAAGACTTAAACGTTAGACCTAAAACCATAAAAACCCTAGAAGAAAACCTAGGCAATACCATTCAGGACATAGGCATGGGCAAGGACTTCATGTCTAAAACACCAAAAGCAATGGCAACAAAAGCCAAAATTGACAAATGGGATCTAATTAAACTAAAGAGCTTCTGCACAGCAAAAGAAACTGCCATCAGAGTGAACAGGCAACCTATAGAATGGGAGAAAATTTTTGCAATCTACTCATCTGACAAAGGGCTAACATCCAGAATCTACAAAGAACTCCAACAAATTTACAAGAAAAAAACAAACAACCCCATCAAAAAGTGGGCAAAGGATACGAACAGACACTTCTCAAAAGAAGACATTTATATAGCCAACAGACATATGAAAAAATGCTCATCATCACTGGCCATCAGAGAAATGCAAATCAAAACTACAATGAGATATCATCTCACACCAGTTAGAATGATGATCATTAAAAAGTCAGGAAACAACAGGTGCTGGAGAGGATGTGGAGAAATAGGAAGACTTTTACACTGTTGGTGGGACTGTAAACTAGTTCAACCATTGTGGAAGACAGTGTGGCGATTCCTCAGGGATCTAGAACTAGAAATACCATTTGACCCAGCCATCCCATTACTGGATATATACCCAAAGGAATATAAATCATGCTGCTATAAAGACACATGCACACGTATGTTTATTGCGGTACTGCTCACAATAGCAAAGACTTGGAACCCATCCAAATGTCCAACAATGATAGACTGGATTAAGAAAATGTGGCATATATACACCATGGAATACTATGCAGCCATAAAAAATGATGAGTTCATGTCCTTCGCAGGGACATGGATGAAGCTGGAAACCATCATTCTCAGCAAACTATTGCAAGGACAAAAAACCAAACACTGCATGTTCTCACTCATAAGTGGAAATTGAACAATGGGAACACTTGGAGGAAGGGGGACATCACACACCAGGGCCTGTTGTGGGGTGGAGGGAGGGGGGAGGGATAGCATTAGGAGATATACCTAATGTAAATGATGAGTTAATGGGTGCAGCACACCAACATGGCACATGTATACATGTGTAACAAACCTGCATGTTGTGCACATGTACCCTAGAACTTAAAGTATAATAAAAAAATATAAAAACAAAAATATGTTTAGGGCATCAAACAAAAGGTTAATTCGCCATTTCCCCTTGAATCTCATTAAGAGATGCATTCTCAATAAAAGTTTTATTTTTTAGTTTAATAATTGCTTATCAAAACTAATAGGACCATTTATGCAGTTTTAAACAACTGTGTCCATATAATGTAACTATCTAATATAATAAAATTGCAAAATAATATTATATTAACCATTAAATTACATATTAGATCACTAGTTACATATTACATGAATCATTAACATAATTAAATTTAAAAGACTGATTTCATATTATATATTTTTATTGCAGAAAACTATGATGGAATGATCAGTTAAAGGTTTCCTAGTATAAAGGTAGAATGGAATTCTCTGGGGATATGAGATGGAAGTATAAGTTCAAGGAGAAAAAGGAATGATATAATTTCCAATTGTTAACAAGACATTTGTTCATATATATATATTTTTAAATGTTGATGATGGGTCTTAAATTGCTTTGGTACTTACACTCTTTTGGATATTTAAAAGACCAATGTGATAGTTTTATTTTAAAAGTCAGTATCTATAATGCACTAAAAATGACATTCCTTACAGTAAAACCGACTCATGTTGAAAAATTTTAGATGACATTAAAAATGTATGAAGATGTATATAATTTTTCAAAATTCTTTTAGGGGTATATATGCAGAAAAGTTCAAAGGAGAGACAGAAACTTGTGCAGCACCAGGGATCTTAGCAGCAAGAATTCATGGACTATTTGAGGTATTAATATCAGATGATTCAGCTTCAACAAGCTTCAGGCATTGTGCTTTTCCAGTTAAGAGTCAAATACCCAGGAGAGAGAATCTGGTTGTCCAAGCATGAGTCATTTTCCCTGTTCTATGGTCATAAAGGCAAGGTCCTGTGACTGGCAATTCACAAGAACCAACTACAGTGGAGAAAGGTGGGTGTCCCTAGAGGAAGTGATGTTGGTGGACTAAAACAATATATCAATACTGTATGGGATTTCTAAGAAGATTCACTTTTTCCCTTCTCTCTCTCCACTTCCCAGGACCTGAGCAATTACATGACTTTGATAAGAGTATTTTTATCTTAATGGCCATAATGTATGACTCTCCCATCACTATGGTGAAAGGAAATGAGGATATTTAATAAAGTCTTTTTGACCCACAAAAGAAAATATAGAAGGAAAGAAAGAATATGGCTTAGAAAAATCTGTGGTTCATGCTGAATGTAATGCCTTCATCAATCATAAAACATGCAGGCATGTTCATGGGCCATTTTATAATTACCCGTGATAAAACCACTATTTAACTCATTCCAGGGAGGTTTTTTAAAAAAATTACTATTATTATTTTTAATTAAAGGAATGTAGTCCAAGCATGCTGTTTTCTTGGATCTAAATAATTACAGAGAAAGAGATGAGAAATATTTAGAGAAATGGAGAGCTAAGAAGTTCCTTGGGCCAGTTTTCTCAAACATCTGTTGTCTCAACTGTGCTTTTGACAAGCAAGTCTGAGAAGGCAATTGGAGAAAGAGTTTTCTGGCAAGTGCCTCAGAAGAGGCATTACATTTTAAGTAAAAAATATTTATGTTCAGGGTCCAAATGCTTTTACACACTTACTGAATCTGCCTGCTGGGATGCTTCTTATAAATCAGTAGTTTTCACTGAGGGCTTATTTGCTCCACGGAGGACTATGTCTGGAGACATTTTTGGTTGTCATAACTGGGAAGGCGTTACTGGAATCTTGTGGGTGGAGGCCAGCAATGCTGTTAAACATACTGCAATGCACAGGACAGCCTCCACAACAAAGAATTGTCCAGCTCAAATTGTCAATAGTGTTCAGGTTGAGAAAACCTTTTGATAGTCTTGGTTTTGAGTGACAGGGGGCAGTAAGATCAAGAGGAATCATCTATTAATTCTATTATATACATGTATCACTGGTTTTCCAAGTTAGTTTCTGTTGCAGGTTGGGTTCCATGAGAAACTGACTCTGAGATAGAGTTTAGCTTGCAGGATATTTATTAAGTAGAGGCCTGGGGATCAATGCTTATGAAAGGGAGAGGCAGAAAGCAGAAGTGAGCCAAAGGAAGGTCCAATGACAGCCATGGCTCTCTAACTAGAACGATGCTTCAAAGTTGTCCAAAGTTGGGTCAAGAAGTCCAGGCCTTTTATACCCTATCTTGATTAGTCATTGAATGTTGGCTATCCTGGGAAGAGTGTGACCTTGGTTGAGGGGACTCTGAAGCTGAAGCAATATCTGAAGGGGCTGAGGGCTCAGGACTATCCACTGACAGGCCCCCCCAGCAGTTGGGGCAACAAGTTATTCCCTGGAGGGGCTTCTGGGCAGGGCATCACAGTCTCCATCACAAAATATGGGGGTTTCAGGATCAGTAGGAAAGATAAGGAAGTAGAGGAATTGTGCAGGTGAGGGCAGGAACTGCTAACACTACCATCTCCTCTTTCAGGGAAGAATGAAATCAAAAGGCTCTTTTGGAAGCTGGGGCCGTTCTTGCTGGGTAGCAAAGAGAACAGCATTTCCAGGTGAGGAGCTCCCACATTCGCCCTCCCTCGTGGAACCGGAGCCTTGCTCACAAACTGTTGCAATGGTCACCTGCTTAAGGCACAGTAGATGTTTGAAAGATTAGGAACTGTCGCCTTCTGTGGGAAGGGTGGGGTTACTTGAATAAGGTAGCAGTTGGGTGCACCAAATTGAAAGACACTGAAGTGAATGAATATGGAAAGTGAGGATCCATTAGAAAAAGAGACTGAGTGAGGAAGGGAGGGAGGTTCATCCACAGTGGTCATTCCTCTTGAAAAGGCCAAAAACCCTTTCAGATGGAGCTCCTCCTTTGTTTCTCCCTCGAGTTTCTATTACTCTGAGGTTGTTCAGACCATTTGGTACAGAAACTTACATGTGTGTTGTGATGCTGTGGTTTGGTCTGGGTGGGGTTAGCAAAGTTGGATGGCTTAAGGAAGGATGGATAGAATCTGTCCTAGTCATATCCTCATGGCTGTGAGGATCTCAAGGGGAGTCACCAGTAATTATTAGCAACAATGGATGAAACCAGGAGCTGGTTGTGTTAGCAGATGCTGATGTGTGAGGGGCAGTAAGCCTGAATTTCCTAGTTGCCTCCTTAGGTGAGCAGGACTACTTTTGAGTCAGTAAGAGATGGGGAGACAAGCAGGGGGCACTCTGCTATTTCAAGTCACATGTAGAACCAATGACTTATCTTTGTAAAGCTGGGAATGGTTACAGGATATGTTGTACATGGAAACTATCAGTCTTAGGTGTAAGGGGAAAAAACTGAAAATAGGTGGTGTATGTTAACTGTTCAGATTAGTGTGTGAAGAGGGATTGAAATCTATGGTTCTAAAACCCAGCTGGACAGGCAAGAGGAGAATTCAGGTATTGGAGTGGGACTGTATAAAACTGGAAAGAGCCTTAGAGGTTGACTCCTTTTAGCCCTGCACCCTGACACACACACACACACACAAACACACACACACACACTTTACAGCTGAGAAACTGAGGCCAGAGAAGAAAGAGCTGAGCCAAAACTTTACACCCATTGTGGTAAATCAGATGATCATTCCCAACTGTTGGCTGCTGCTCTCCACTGGGTTTATAGCCACAGTGTCCCTCGCAGGTGCCCCTGTCTGTGGATGGATTATATTTCTGCTAAGGACGTCAGGGTTGGCCATTTTGACTTGCTTTGGCCAATACACTGTTCTATTTACCATATGTAAATATAAGCTCTAAGTGCATCAGAAGGCCCACCATTGCTCTTTCCCCTCTGCCATGAGACTGGTGTTCATCTCAGAGAGGGGCTGCACATTTAGCCTAGATCTCAGAATGAAGAAGACATGTGGGCCGGGTGCGGTGGCTCACACCTATAATCCCAGCACTTTGGGATGTTGAGGCGGGCAGATCAATTGAGGTCGGGAGTTTGAGACCAGCCTGGCCAACATGGTGAAATCTTGTCTCTACTAAAAATACAAAAATTAGCTGGGCATGGTGGCACATGCCTGTAATCTCAGCTACTCGGGAGGCTGAGGCAAGAGAATCACTTGAACCCAGGAAGTAGAGGTTGCAGTGAGCCAAGACTGCGCCACTACACTCCAGCCTGGACAACAGAGCTAGACTCCGTCTAAAAAAAAAAAAAAAAAAGACACATGGAGCAGATCTGTAGTTGACTCATGGCCCACATGTAATATGAACAAGTAACAATCCTTTGCTGATGTAAGCCACTGACATTTTGAGATTTTCTTTTATTTTTTAAAAAAATCACAGCATATAACTTAACCAATGCTGATTATTCCTAAGAGTGGGCTAGGCAGGCCAAAGACAGGATGGGGCCAAGGCAAAGGGCCTAGTTGAAAAGATGTCTCAGAAGAGACTAACTAAAGTTTGGTGAGGGAGAGTGTCTTTGCCATTATATAATACAAGAATAAAAAAGACAGCATCTACATCACCATTGCAGACATTGCTAATCAGCTATGGCACTTTTCCTACTGAGTGCTCCTGAGAAGGTTCAGAATCCTTCTCAGTAGCACCACATGTTAATCAGTGTTTCAAGCAAGATTGAATCCATTTGCTAAGAGCACAGACTTTGAGGCCAGTGCTCTGATTTCACATTCAGGCTTCACTGCACACTCTTGTGTGAGCTATGTGAGTTGAGTGAGTTACTTAGCCTCTCTGTGCTTCCTTCTTTGTAAAATGGGAATCGTGCTAGTGTGTACTTCCTAGGGTTGTTGTGAGGATTAAGTGAGTTAGATATATAGAGTACTTACAACAATGCCTGGCACATAGCGAGTACTGAATGATGACGATGTTGATGAAATTAGAGAAGAAGAAACTGAGACCTAGTCATTAGTGGAGCCTAGCCTGGCTGTCGCTCATATGTACCTCCCCATTCCCAGCCTGCCTTATTAACAAGGGGTGCTGGGCAGAACCAAGACAGTGATGGAGAGGTGTTCCCCATGCTATGGGAGATCACCGCTGAGGAAGATTAATATGGTCAGGGACTGATATGTAGGCCTGAATGCTGTGAAATCACTAAACCATGTCAGAAAGTGACATTAAGAAAGGACCCTGCTGCTTCCTTTGCTTCAACATCTTCCCTTTCTAGGAGCCATCTTTTTAGATTGAAGTATCCTGATCAATATAGTCGTTTGCTGTTTAATAATAGAAGTGCATCTCCATTATCCTCATCCCCTAGGATCCCTAGGCCCCTTATAGGTCTCTTGCTTCCTGGGGACTGACACCGGCCCTGTTGCTTGGCTGGCGGGGTGGGGGTGGTGGTGCTCAGGGTCTGCCTATCACTCCCCCTCCCTTGAGCTATGGGTATCCCTATGGGTACCAAGGCATCCGTAGCCTGGGGAGATGCCTCTTGGTCAGCAGGTCTTGAGCTCCCCCTGTGGGAGAAGAAGATTCCCAGGCTGATCTAGAAGGGCCCCTCTACAAATCAATGCAGATGGTGCAGGGAACTGAGCCTGCAGGCGAGTTATTTCTTAAGCTTTCCAGGTTTTAGTTTGGAAACTGTTGTCTGGATCCAGGTGGGAGCCATCTCCCTTCCTCCTCTGGCTATGCCCTGGATCTGCCCTCTTCTGCCTCCCTCCATTTTTGCTCTTACTTCTCTTTTTTAAAGTGTGCTCTGGAAAAAGACTATAATTGTCTCATCCACACTGCAATGTAAGTATATTCATTCAAGGAGTGTTTATTGAATGTATTCCATACCCTGGCTAAATCCTGGGGACACAGATGCTCTAGAATGTAAGGACCATGCAGTACAGTTCTCCTTGGACTGATCTAGTTCTTCCTCCTTTCTCACTTGCAGTTCTCAAGAATAACTGGCATGTGCTGGAAATATAACATCTTGAAATAAGGAGGAAGTGGCCAGAATACTCTGGGCTCTGATCTTGTCCCTCCTAGAACAAGGTGTCCTTCAATGCCTTAGCCCAGCATATCATGTTGTTCCCAGGGTATAAAACCCAGGAGGACTGCTTTCCCGGCCCTTCAGCTGTTGGGCAAGTGGGGCACGTGAAGACAGGATTCCATCCACTCAGGACAGCTTTTCTGAGCCTTGGGAACTGACTTGCTATGAATTCTAGGCTTTTACTCTTTCTTGCTGTCTATCTGTGAGTAAAAACGTTGCTTCACTTAACTTGCATGAGTGTTCTGTCTCACTGGACTCAAGCAAGTAGTAGAAATTGCAGCCCAAGATGCAGTGGGCTAAAGTGGTAACCAGTGCACAGTGAGCCAGCTTTGCAGTCCATGGAGGCAGAGATATTCACTGTTCTGTTCACTGATGACTCCTAAGGGGCTAGATCAGTGCCAGCCATATAGAAGGAGGTCTATAAGTATTTGTTAAATGAAAAGACATAAAAGAACTATGGGAAACAGATATACAAAGAGCTAACTGTTGCAAGGGAGCAACAACTATTTGGGCTGGTGGAGCGGGGGTAAAAAAATTTACCAAGACAGTTGTGGATAAAGAACGGCAGATTTGTGAGAGACAGTAGAAAATACTTTGTTGTGATGAGGCAATGGGCAGAATCAGCAGAAGAGGAGTGGACTGCCAGGAAACAAAAGCTTGCTGGGGATTTTCTAGAAGAGTGTTTATGCTGTGTGCTGAAGAGGGCTTTGTGCAGTACCGATGATGCCAAGGTTGCAATGGATAATTTGCAGGTGCCTGGTGGCAAGTTGTGTGCAGGAGGGCTGCATATCCAGGACATTGAAGAAAGGCAGACTTGCCCCTTATCTGCTTTCTCTTTCCTGCTTTCCCCTGCTCCCTCTAGCCTGCTCCCTTTTCCCTTTCCCTTTCCCCTGCTCCCTTTTCCCTAATTAGGACTCTGCACTAACTGCCACACTGTGGCAAATACACAGACGTTGTAAGGATTGGGGATTATGGAATTCTGGCTGCCTAGTAGGAGGTGTTAGGAAGGGCTTCACGAGGAGGAGATGATTAGGTTGAATCTTAACGAATGAGTCAGAGTGGAGCTGGGCACAGTGCTATGCACCTGCAGTCCCAGCTACTTGAGAGACTGGGATGGGAGGATAACTTGAGCACAGGAGTTTGAATCCAGCCTCGGCAACATAGTGAGATCCTGTCTCTTAAAAAAAATGAGTCAGAGTGACTTGTGAGAAGTCTGAGGCGAACGGGAAGAGCATTCCTTATCGAGGACCATATAAGCAAAGGCCCACAAGTGAGCAATTCATAGGCTATGGGGGCTAAGGAAGAGGGAGGCATCAAAACTGACTCCCAAATTTTTGATTTAGGCAATTGAGTTGATATTGGTTCCATTCACTGAGCCAGGGAGCACTGGAGAAGAAGCATGTTAGATTTGAGATGCTTGTGTGACAACTAGATGGAGACCCTATGGGTGATAAGCTGAAGGATGAGTATCCAGCTTGGGGGAAGGGATGGGATGCAGGTAAGGGCATGAGAAGGTGGCCTGAGGAGCATGACTGCGGGATAGAGCCATGGAGCAAGCAGCACTTAAAGGATGGACAAGGAAATAAATTCTGTGAAGGAGGTGAAGAAAGAATGGCTAGAAAGGCAGGTACCTACAAATGTCAAGGGTATGGAGGGATTTTAGGAGGTGAGAGGGGTCACCTGTGCCAAATGTAGGAGTGTATGAGGCACAGTGATTGGAACATTCCCACTGGGTTCAACAGTTAGAAGGTCTTGAAACACTTAGCAGGAATTGTTTTAGCAGAAGAGCAGAAGCCATTGGGTTGAAGAGTAACTTGGAGTAGAGAAGGTGGCCCTGAGCAGTGTCAACAACTCCTTTCAAAGGACTGATGAAAAGCTGGCAACAGCTAATCCTTCTCACCATCCTGGACAAATTAACATTTTGATAAGGGCAAAACTTGTTTTACTTTAAGTTCATGGAGTGCAGGTCCTGTAATAAAGCATGAAGTGTCAGTGTGTCTGTGGGAGGTGAGTTTTCTACAGGGTGAGGAGGAGGGACTTGATTCCAGTGCAGTGGTTCTCACAGTGTCTAAGTGCTGAACCAGTAGCATCAACATCACCTGGAAACTTGGTGTAAATGCCAAGCCTCAGCCTCATCCTGAGGAATTCTGCATCAGAACTCTGGGGGAGACCTAGGAATCTGTTTTTATAAACCCTCCTGATGATTCTGATGTACACCAAAATTTGAGAACTGCTGGTCTGGAACCCTCTTTGAGAATCACTCTTCTAAGTATTTTATTGGATTTATACATTATTGGGTAAGAATTGGCAGCTTTGCCATGTTAAGTTACCCTAGCGATGAAGATTGCGTAGCTCTCCTTTTAGATACTTCTTTTATGTTCTTCATAGCAGTGTAAAATTTTCTCTGCAGGTAACGTGGTCATTCCTTGTTGTTAACTCTGACTCTTGAGTGTTTCTGTTGCTAGTATGAATGGTATTTTATCCCCTACAAGATTATCTGATTGATTTTTGCTTATGTAAAGAAATGGGGCTATTTTGAATTTACCATACAGAGAAGTGAACATAAGAGGACAACTCAGTGAAGTTCCACAAACTGAGCACTTCCTGTAACCAGCACCCCAGATCAAGAATCAGAACGTGACAAGCACCTAGAATCCACCTTTTTGCCTTCTGTTAGTCACAATGTCCCCAAGGGTAAATACTACCATGACTTCTAACTTATGTTTCTTTTGCCTGTTTTTGTTCTTTATATAAATGTAATCATATGGTGTAAAATAGTTTGCATCTGACTTATTTTGCTCAATATTGTGTTTTTTCTTTAATTTGTAATGGGCAAAAGTTATGTATATTTCTGATGTACAACATGATGTTTTGATATATGTACACATTGTGGAATGGCTAAATCATCTCCATTCAGCCTGTGTCCTGCCCTTTTGATTTCCCTGGTGGGAATCAGATAAGAGCCCATTGTATCTCCCTAATTTTAGGATAGTCAGCTTTCTGAAGTCCTCTTTCTTGTCTTGAAGCAAAGTAAAAATTGCAATTCACCTTTACCTCCAGGAGCCAGATATGAGTTTCAAAACCACTCTCTAAGACATACTCCTCAATCATACTGTTTATAAATTGAAGTAGGTGAGGACTTACAAAGGTCATGTGTTCCACTGTGGGATATCTACTTTGAAAGGGGTGGTCTGTCCCTCAATTCCATTTCATAGCTTGGGCACTCATTCCCAACTTCCATTTTAACATGCTGACATATAACATTACTTCAACTAATCCTAAAACTCTGCAATAAAGATATTTTCATCTCCATTTGATGAGGAGACTTCCTGAGCCAGAGGCTAGGAAGCTAGGAGTTCAAATTACTTTCCCAAGGCCACCAGGTTGGTGAGCACCAGTGCTAGGATTCCAGCCCAGGCCTGTCTGACTCCAAATTCTGTGTTGAATCCATAATAATACAAAATAAATGTTGCAGGTTGGGTTCTCTAGAAGCAGATGCTGAGACAGAATGCAGGGCTCATGGTGTTTATTAGGAGTCAAAATATGTAAAGGGAAGGGACAGGAAACAAGATTGGGAAGACAGAGAAGTCAAACTGCAATGCAGGCTAGGCACAGTGCTCATGCTTGTAAGCCCAGCACTTTGGGAGGCCTAGACAGGCAGATTGCTTGAGCCCAGAAGTTCAACACCAGCTTGGGCAACATGGTGAAACCCCATCACTAGTAGTCTCAGCTACTCTGGAGGCTGAGGTGGGAGGATCACCTGAGCCCAGGAAGTTGAGCCTGCAGTGAGCTGAGATTACGCCACTGCACTCCAGATGGGAGTGAGACCCCATTTCAACAAAACAAAACAAAAAAATTACAATGCAGGCCTGACAAGGCCTTGCCCTACATGGCAGGGTGTTCTGGAGCAAGAAGAGCTATCTCCACATGTGCTGAAATGCCTGGGCCTTACTGCCCCCACCTCACTCAGTCTCTGATGTGGGCTGCCCCCAGAAGGGCATGACTTCCACCAAGGTGGCTTTCTGCAGTTGAGCCTGATCCTGAAGGAACTGGCAGCTGGAGGCAACAAATCCTGCATTGGTGGGGGCTCTGGGTGACTCATCTCTATGCCTGAAGCACCATGAAGATTTGAGACTTCTCCTGGACCTGACTATTCCCTTCCCAGTGAGAGGCAGCACCAGTTCTGAGTAGGGCAGAGGGCAGAGGGCAAAAGGCAGATGGCAGGATATTATGGGAGCTATGTCTGTAACAGTCATCAACTGGGAGACGGTGAGGGGAGAGGTCCATTCTGAGGAGCCTGTGGTGGGCTCTATGAGGGGGTTGTGGTGTCTGAGAAGTGGGCAGCCTCTGTGGAAGGAAAAGTGGAAGCAAGATGCAGGGGTGGGTGTGGGCAGGGTCAAGAAGAGTCTCTCTTTGAAAGAAGAAGCAGCCTCAGGAACCCAAGCTGAGGGAGGAGCCTCCAGCACTTGGCTGTGGTAACCCTCTATGGGAGTGGCCTCTTTTTTATTAAGCCATCTTTTAGCTGACATGTGAAGAGTGAGCAAATGCTGGCTGGATGAGGAACTGGGAAAGAGCATTTGAGGCATATGGTGCAGCATGGCAAAGTCTCTGAGGCTCAGAAGAACTTAACCAGGTCTTAGAATGAGGCTATAGTTATCAGATCAGAGCAAGTGTAGGAGAAAAGGCCAAGAGGTACACAGTAGACCAAATCATGCAGAGGCTCGTAGGCTGTGGGGAATTTTGCATTTCACTCGAAGAGCAAGGAAAGCCATTGCTCTGCTGATCTGAAGCAGGGGAGAGCCCTAGAAGAAAAGTCCAGGAGTGTACAATCAACATACAGACTTAGGCTTCTTTCAACAAAGGACATGTTTGTTTTTTCTCAATTCTGAAAAGTGAGTAGGAGTTAGACAGATGGGGGTAGAGCAGGCATGTGAGAATGTTCTAGGCCAGGGGTTGGCAAGGCTTTTCTATAATGGGCCAGATAGCAAATATTTTCATTCTGTGAACCATATGATCTCTGTGGCTGTTATAGCACCAAAGCAACTGTAGACAATATAGAAGTGAATGGACATGGCTGGATTCCAGTAAAACTTTACTTACAGAAACAAATGGCAGGCAGGATTGGCAGAAATGCCCTGTGGGCCATAGTTTGCCAGCTGCTGTTTTAGGCCAGGGGACAGCAGGTACAAAGGCCCTGAGATGGGAAGGAATGAGGTATATTTAGGGAACTGATTCATGGACAATGTGGCTGGAGTTATTAAGCAAGGGGGTTAGCAGCTCAGAAGAAGTATGGAGTTAAGGGCAGGTGCTAGATGATTTTACAGTCTTGTAGCCCATGTTAATGATTTTGTATTTTACCTTAATGGGAAGTCATTGAGTAATTTAAACACTTTCAATTTAGCTATAAACATATACAGAAAAATGCACATATGATAAGTGCATAGTTTACTGAATTTCCACAAACTGAATATCCACATAAACAGCACCCAGACCAAGAAACGGAATATTATCAGAAGCCAAGAAGGACTCACTTTGTACCCCCTGCCAGTCCACACCCGTCCAGTAAGCACTATTTTGACTTTGCACAACATATATTTGTTTGCCTGTTTTTCTATTTTATGTATATGGAATTATCTGTTATCTGGCCTCTTTCACTCAAAGTAATGTCTATGAAATTTGTCTGTAGTAGTTGTAGATTGTCCATTCTCATGATATGAATACACAATTGGGTTGTGAATAAGCATTTGGGATGTTCTCAGTTGTGGGCTGTTATGAATTGTGCTGCTCTGAACATTTATGAACATGTCTTGATAAATATGCATTTCTGTTGGATGAATATGCTTAATGGTATAATTGCAGGGTCACAGGATGGTTGTATATGCAGCTTTAGCAGATATTATAGAATCATTTTCCAAAATGATGATACCATTTCACATTCTCACTAACAAGGTATGAGAGTTCCAATCTCTTCTCACACTCACCTACACTTGATATTCTGCACTGAAAAATTTTAATTTTTTAGCTATTCTGGTTGTTTTGTAGAGATATATCACTGGGGTTTTAATTTTCATTTTCCTAATGAGTGAACAGGGGAGCATCTTTTCAAAATTTTATTGGCCATTGTAGACTTTTCCAAGAGCATAAAATGATCACATCTGCATTCTAAGTAATCCTCTCTGGCTTTTGGTGTGGAATATCTATTTGTGGATGCAGCAGGAATCCAAACAGGGATTTGAGTTAGGAGATTGTGGCAGTGGTCAAGACCAAATGTGATGATAGCTTGGACTAGGGCAGAGGTAGTTGAGTTGGAAAGATGTAGATGAATTTGAAGGCCGTTTTGGAGGTAAAATTGTCAGGACCTGAAGGTGGATTAGATGCAGGGACTGAGAGAGAAGAAGGTATAAAAATTGTGGCTGCAAAATTTCTGGTTAACACACCATTTCTTCCTATTCTGAATTTTAGGTTTGAGATCATTTCATATATTTTCTTTAGGGTTTTTTGGTTACTTTCAAAAGCCTGGAGAAGAAAATTTTAATTGGAAAAAAGAAACACATCGAATATGGTAATTGAATATGACCTTTTTATTATTCATTTTTATTTGACATTTCTTTCTTATTCTCTCAGGTTTCTGAATTCTTGTTCCAGATGGCTCAGAAATGAAATAATCATAAGAACCTAGGTAAGTATTATATTGGTTGTGAGAAAATTCTCAGAAGCATAGGGCCCTTTAGAGACTGCTGGTCTGGCTGGTGAGGTAAAGAGTTTTGAGACATTTTTTATGACCTGCTCTTTCTGTGGCTTATTTCCATGCAGCTTCTGGGAAGGATGCAAATCTTGTGGAAATCAAAAGAGTCACCCAGGATCTTAACTAGACCCATGCTCAGAAAGCCCTCCCCAGAACTGGCAGGGACTGAGATGGATTCCTCTGAAAGATCTCTTGAGGCCTGAGGAGCAACCAGGGAGAGGAGAGCTACAGCCTAATTCCTGGCCAAAGCTCAAGGAGGCTATGGCCATGAGTGGCCATCAATTTCTTTAACATTTTTTATTCTTTTAAATAAGCCAAAAATTACTGTTTCTTTTCATGGCATAAAGCAAGTTCTTAACCAGGGCAGAAAGCCCTATCTCTGGCTTTCAACAAGGGAAGTAGGAACCTAAGCGATCGTGGGCCTTCATCTCTAGATCAGCATGGCAGGCATCAGCTGTGATTCATGGTGGTCTTGTCCACAGAGTCCATATTAGAATGGAGACTGTGGCACAGCAGCCACATCTATGAATTCTTTCTTGAGTTCTTTTTTTTTTAAGGGAGCTCCTTGTTACCCTGGCCTAACTACCCAGAACACTTCAGCAACTCTCACTCACATTAGCCAGCTTCCTCTGGGTGGTGTAGGCTGAACAGAAAGCAGGTATCTTGGGAGTCTCATTAGCTGGTCCCCGGAATGTCCCTGAGTCATGTTGAATGTTCCATGATTTAAGTCTCAGAAGAGTCATTGGCGTCTGTTAACAGAGCAGCATCAATTTTATGTCTCTAGAACACGTTTTTTTCCATGGAGCTGATTTCCTTTGGGCAATTCCCATGATGCACTGACTTTGTCTCTAACACACTTAAAGAAGAAAAATTTCATTGAGCATTGGGAAGTTTACAATAAACTCCCACACTTACACTCTTGGGATTTTCTTGGAATTTCCTGTCTGATCCAGATGTTTTCCTCTAACAATTTCCCAGATGTAAAGATAACCAAATTTCATCTGATGACATTTGCTTGGAATTTAATCAGTATTGTTCAGCTGAGGGCTCAAGATGTGTCTCTTAAAGCCCCAAATTCCCACTCAACTTCTCATAGCCATTATGACTGATTTAGCTGAATAACCTTGGGTAAGTCACTTAACCACTTGGAGTGTCTGATTTTTTTTTTTAAACATGTAAAATGGTGATAATAACTTCTCTCTCTGCTTTACATGTTTGCTTTGAGGATGAAATAAGCTAAGATCTGGGAACTTGCTCTGTGAAGGACTCCTCAAATGAGAATCATGACTGAGGCTGGCTTTACCTTCAGATCATTACCAACTGGACTGTGAAATTTGGTGAATTATTTGAAAACTCTTAAGCCTCAAATTAAATTTATTAGTCCCACGTTTTGCATTCCAGTGCCATTTTTTTAGGTTCCAGGCATTGCATTTAGAAATTTCCTTTAAGTCAATAAGATAGGTATGAATGTTAACCTGATTCACTTATTTTTCTCTGCCTTTAGATTGGAAATTCTACTGCTGCTAGGTAAAGAGTAGACTCACAAATAATATCTCTGATTTCTTGTGAACAGTTTCCTTAAGTCCAGGCTCACAGTAAAATGAGAAGGAGCCAAGTAAGTAGTATTTCCATAAACAACAGCAACAAAAAGATATTTACTTTGATTAAAAAAACAAGGATTACATACTCACATACTCAAAGCAAAAAACATCTAAACAGTGAGATCCAAAGATGTGTTATTTCCATGTCTATGGAAACCAATTACTGAGACAGATTAAGTATATGCATTGTTCATAATGTTTATATTCTCTTTGGCAATTATTCTTTAGAGTCTACATTTTGGATGGCTATCTAGCCTTGGCTTTGTATTGAAATGGTTTAAATGTTTTCCATCAGTTTTTTTATTACAAGTCTTTCATTCATGTCCTGTTGTTGGATTTATCACCATGTACCTCCACCAAGAAGGGCTCATAGATACTATTAATATATTTCTTGAGATCCTACATGTTTGAAAATGTCATTGCCTATATGCGTAAATGTCATTTGGAGTGAACATTGTCAAGTGGTCATGTCTCCTTTCTCTGAAGACTTTGGAAGTTTTGTTCCACTTTCTCAAGCTTAGAATGTTGCAGTGGGAAAGTGTTATCTGATTTGCTTCCCTTCATTATGAGTCATTTAATTTTCTTTCATATGTCCATTCTTTCTTTACATTTCAGGGCCAGTAACTTTACCAAGATATGGCTCAGTGTTAGTGTTTCTGAACTTTTTCAATCTAAAGATTTGAGGTTTTTAAAAAATAGGAACGTTTCCTTCCATTGTATCTCTGGATATTATCTTCTTGCTTCATTTGCTCAGTTCACTTCAGAGATGTAAATTATTTTCATGATGGATTTCCTATGCATGGCTTTTATTATTTATCGTTTTTCTAATACTCTTTAACATTTTTTGGTTTAACTTTCTTTCTCAAGTCTGTCTGAATTCTACATGCTTAACTATGTTTCCATTAATGTCTGTTCGTGGTTTTGCTCCTTCTAATATGGCTTTTATTTTTATAAAAAATTTAGTTTCCACTTTCACATATCTCCTGAGTTCTGCCAGCTTCTCTTTTACTTCTTTCTATTATATCATCATGTATTCCCTGAGCATTTGCTTTAGAAAAACCATAGATTCTTCAATTTGGTTGATATGATGGACAATCATTTGTTCAAAATTTCCCTGTAATTCATGGTGAGCTTCTGATGCCTATTCTTCATCTGCTTCTTCTTCTTTTTCTCCTATATTACCTAGGCTAGATCCTAAAGTGGTTTGTTTCTCATTATTGCTCATCTGTGAATGTAGACTGTTCTTTTCTGGTTTCTACCCTCTAAAGAAGAGCAAGGCTAAGAGATTTGAGAAGTGAACTAAAACTGTATGCACCTTAGATTGAAGATACTGGCTTAGAACATTTTTTTCACAAACCTTACCATACCCCAAGGAAATACTTCCGCCAGGGCTGAGCAGCGGGCCTACTTGGCTCATTTAGAAACTCATGTATAGAGATTTAGCATTTGCCTTCAATTTTAGCTGTTGAATATCAGCACTTGCAGAGCTAATTTTTACCCTGTCACATTGACTCCAAAGATCCTACAAAGATAATGGTCTGTGAGCCTTCTTGTCAGCTCCCTTCCTCTCCAACCACTCCGTGAAGAGTATAGCACAGGGATGTTCCCAGCCCCCTCTGCTCTAAGCAAGGGCATAATGGTTTAGTTTTTCAGACCATTTCCCTGTTTTCTGCTATGGGTCTGCAAAGACATAAGTCATTTTCCAGTAGCTCCCCTCTTTTTGGTTCAGCTTTCGTTGCACTTGGCAGCTGATCTTTTTAGATTGAGAATTTTGATATTTATTGTTTCCTAGTTTCACCAAAGGCAGAGCTATTTTACTTACTATTTTTTTTTTTTGGCTTCAGAAGAGAGAGTGGGATAGAAAAGGCTTAATTTTGCCAAATTTAACTGAAAGTCAAAAATGCATATTTATTTCTTTCTAAAGAGACCCAGTTTTGCATACAAATTCTTTGTGGCAAAGAGAATGGTAAAGTGACATCTAAACCACTAAACCACTGCTGTGTGCCCTATACGTATTGATGAATACTCACCTCTAGCAGTTTGGAACATTACGATGTCTTAGTGTGTTTACAAAAAGATCCTCCTTCTAAGAAGATGAATTAGAAGAAGACACTGAGCAGATGCAGCCCAAGAGCTCATAGTTGGGTCAGCTCATTAAACATTTATGTGCAAGAAATAATAATTTTCTTTGGTTGGATATGGCCCTGACTCAGAGCTTATGGTTTAGGGGTATGTTGGCTGGATATCATCTTCCTTTTACTTCTCTAAGAAGACCAATGGATCTCAAGCAAGACAATTAAAAAGAAATTCATGCCTAGACCCATCATAGTGAAACTACTGAACATTGAAGAAAAATAGATCTTATAGTCAGAGAAAGAAAGTAAATTATCTTAAAATAATGGCAATTAGTATGACTACTGACTTTTCAGTAGCAACAATGAAGCCAGAAGACACCAAACAAACATACTAATATCTTTGTATTCAATATACTGAGGGAGAAAAACTATCAACCTAAAATTTTACCCAGTGAAACTATTATTCAAAATGAGAATAAAATATGACACTTCTGAAAAACAAAAGCAGATGACTTTGTAACTAAAAGACGTTTGTTGAAGGAAATCCTAAAGGATGTACTTCAGAAAGAAGGTCCAAAGAAAAAAAAAACCAGAAAGAAGGTCTATAACCCCAACAAAAGTAAACCAAGATACTAGTATATCTATCTATCTATCTATCTATCTATCTATCTATCCATCTATCATCTATCTATCATCTATCTATCTATCTATTATCTATCATCTGTCATCTATCTATCTATCATCTATCTATTATCTATCTATCTATCATCTATCTATCTATTATCTATCTATCAATCTATCATCTATCTACCTATTATCTATCTATCATCTATCTATCTATCTATCTATCATCTATCTATTTTCTATCTATCATCTATCTATCTATCTATCTATCTATTATCTATCTATCATCTATCTATCATCTATCTATCTATCATCTATCTATCTATCTATCTATCTATCTATCTATCTATCTATCTATCATCTATCTGTCTATCGTCTATCTATCATCTATCTATCTATCTATCTATCTATCTATCTATCTATCTATCTATCTATCTAGATGTGACCGTGTAAAATAACAATATTGACTAAATCATAGGGACAATAGGCTATAACTAAAATACTGGAAAACAATGTAAGCCAAAAGCGGTTGATCAGAGTTAAAGCAGTCTAAATTCTTTATATTAATCAGGAGAAAGGTAAAGTATTGATTAAATTTAGGCTGTTAAAAATGCATGCATATTCAAGTTATAAGGATAACTTGAAAATACTAAAGTATAAGCTTTAAGTGTAAGCATAAAGCCCATAACTCACAAACAAGTACAGAGAAAATGGAATAAGAAAAAGAAAAAAAAGAAGACATCAATCCAAATAGAGCAAGAAAGGAGGGAAAAATAAACTTAAAATGGGACAAGTAGAAAACACATAATGAGAAAGTGGAAATAGATTTAAATATAAGAGGAAACACAGTGTATTTTATAGTTTAAAAGATTTTCAGATCAAATAAAAATCTCAAAACTTGGCTGTCTGATATTTATAATAAACTTTGAAACATAGGAACATAGAGAAATTTAAAGTCAAGGATAGTAAAAAGCAAATATTGATCAAAAGAAAGCTGTAATAGGTGTGTTAATATCAGGCAAAAATACACTTTAAATTAAAAGCACTATCACAGATAAAAGGAGCCACTATGTAATGGCAAAATGTATAATTCACTAGGAAAACAATCCTTTAAAACTTGTATGCAGCTAGGCCAGGCACAGTGGCTCACACCTGTAGTTCCAGCACTTTGGGAGGCCGAGGCGGGTGGATCACGAAGTCAGGAGTTTGAGACCAGCCTGACCAACATAGTGAAACCCTGTCTCTACTAAAAATACAAAAAATTAGCTGGGCATGGTGGTGGGCACCTGTAATTCCAGCTACTTGGGAGGCTGAGGCAGGAGAATCGCTTGAACCTGGGAGGTAGAGGTTGCAGTGAGCCGAGATCGCGCCGCTGAACTCCAGCCCGGGCGACAGTGCGAGACTCCATCTCAAAACAAACAAACAAACAAACAAACAAACAAATAAATAAAAAAACTTGTATGCAGCTAATAACATGATATCAGAATATATAAAGTAAAAATGGACAGATCAATAAGGAAAAGTAGGCAAATCTATTACAGTGAGACATTAAAAATATAACTCTCAATAATCAATAGATTATTGTGCTGCAGAAATTAAACAGAAACTAAAAGGACATTATGAATTACTTTTCGTCAATAAAATTTAAAATTTAGATGAATGAGAGAATTCTTGGAGACACATAGCTTGTGAAAATCAACTCTAGAAGAACCAGAGAGTCTGAATAGTTTTTTGTTTGTTTGTTTGTTTTCTTTTGTTTTGTTTTGAGATGAAGTCTCCCTCTGTTGCCCAGGCTGGAGTGTGGTGGTGTGACCTTGCATTGATCTGCAACCTATGCCTCCAGGGTTCAAGTGATTCTCCTGCCTCAGCCTCCCGAGTAGCTGGGATTACAGCCGTGAACCACCATGCCCAGCTAAGTTTTGTATTTTTAGTAGAGGTGGGGTTTTGCCATGTTGGTCAGGCTGGTCTCGAACTCCTGACCTCAAGTGATCCGCCCTCCTCAGCCTTCCAAATTGCTTGAACTGAGTAGTCTTATAGTGACATAATAAATTGAATCAGGTGTTCGAAATCTTCCCACTAAGAAAATACTAGGCCCAGACGGCTTTACAGGTAAGTTTTATAAAACATAGAACAACTAATTTTAATCTTAAATTTACTGTTCCAAACAATATAAGAAAATGTAATAGTTTATTTTAAGAAGCAGCCTGTCATAAATTTGATATAAAAATCTCAACATATTAAAAACTTAATATAAAAGGAGAGGATGAGTAAGGTAAATTATAGACCACTTTTACTCATAAATAGAGATTCAAACATCCTAAAGAAAATATTATCAAACCAAATTCAGCAATGCATGAAAACCACAATAAATTATAATCCAGTTCGGTTACTCTAAGAACATAAGATTGTTTTAATTCCAGAAAACCAATTACATACATTGACATATGGTTAATTATTACCATATCAAGGGATGAAAACCATATGATTGTTCCAGCAGATAAAGAAAAAAATTTACTAAAAATCAACATAAATGTATTATGCAAAGCTCTTAGCAAACTAAGAATAGACAGGAATTTATTTAACCTCAATAAATGTCATCAATTAAAACTACAGCAAATATCATGCTTAAAAATGTAATGTGGAAAGCATTCCTTTCGGTTAGACAGGAGTAAAGTAACCTTATAATTTATCCAAACCAGGGCACTTTATTTTTTAATAAAACTATAGACTTGGTTTAGATTTAGCCAGTCTTTCTACCAGTGTCCTTCTGTTTCAGGATTCAATTCATAACCTTATGCTGCATTAGTTGTCATGTCTGCTTGGTTTTCCCCTTCAATCTGTAACAGTTCCTCAGGCTTTCTTTGTCTTTCATGACCTTGACACTTTTGAAGAGCACTGGCAGGTACCTTGTAGAATATGTCTCAAATTGGGTTTCTCTGGTGCTTTCTCATGGTTAAAGAGAGACCATGGGTTTCAGGAAGAAAATCACAGAGGTAATTGCAATGTGGTTTGCAGTTCCTCTCTTCAAGAAGTGAAGTCTGTATCTTCTACTTAAATCTGAGCTAGAATTGAGACTTGCTTTGGACAATAGAATGTGATGGAAAGGATGTTGTGTTAATTCAGAGCCTAGATCTCAAATGGTCTTACACACTGCTGCTTGTTCTCTTGGGATACTGCCCAGCTACCATGTGCTCAGGCTTGGGCTCACCTGTTAAATGACTAGAGACTGCTTGGAGCAGAGGCAAGTCTGCCAGCCAAGGCTGTCTTAGACCAGACAACCCCCAGCCAACCTATCAGCTGACTGCAGGTGCGTGAGTGAACACAGTCAAGACATGAAGAACTGCCCATCTGAGCCCTGCCTAAATCATTAACACCAACTCATTACCTAAGTAAGTGGTTTTGATTATAAGTCACTAAGTTCTGGGGTTATTACACAGCAAAAACGAATACACTTGCATTCCAGCCTGCAACAGTATGGTGTAGTAAATGAACATAGACTTTGGTGTCAAGCAGACCTACCTTTGTTATTAGCTGTGTGCTTTGGGGGACTCACTCCATCTGATTCATTTTTGAAATGGGCATAACAATTTCTACACAAAGATCAGAATAACTAAGACAATTCGAATAAAGCTAGCAACACAGAGCTTAGCACATAATAGATGCTGTATAATTGAGGTTCTGTCTAAGAACCAAGGTGATACCTTCTTAAAATTCAAGGTGTAGGAGGTACCATTCTTCTGGGAACCAAGTCTTCTGTCACTGATTGTGTGTCATTTGCTTTCATTTGTCAGAGAAAATATTCTTTAAACTATACCTTGACTATTTTCATTACCAGCAATTTCACTTTGCACTCTTCAACTTCTGTTTTCCTAAAGACTAAGATAAATAGTGACTATCTCTGCAAGACATTTGATTGACGATAACCTTGTTGTTCTGCACCAGAGATCTCTAGAGATCTGGGGCACAAAGTTCTGTATGCACAAAGGCATAAAGTAAATCCTACCCATTCTTTAAAACAAAAGTTATCATCTTGCCAAATGCTGTGGAATTACATAATTATCAGTTTTGCTTGTTAGATAATTGTGCTTTTTAAATGCTTTCCTGAAAATAGCCCTTTAAAATCTACATTTGCTACCTTCTCTGACTTAAGTATAATTCAAGGGGGTTTGTCCACATTTTCTTATTGCTAAAATACTGTGAAAAACGACATTACTAAAAGTGAACCAGAAAAAAGTTAGGACATTTTTTTTTCTTCCTTATTCTCTTCTCTGACACAGAAGAGGCTGTTTCATTTCCCTGGGTCTCATGTTCTCCACCCACTCTCAGTGTAAGTGGGATGGTCTAAAGATTCATGCAACACTTGCAGAATTTTTGAAATTTCAAACTAGGAAGATTCTATGCAAGTGTAAAAGACAAAGACAAGGACTCATACAAAAGACAATGGATATTAAGACGGAGCCATGACTGCCTTGCTCTCAGATTGCAAAAAGAGCTGTGCTTCAGTTGTTTTTCTTTTTAACATGCTTATTCAGGAATTTATTCTGTTTTTCAATTTAAACCACTCATGGGGATTTGGACCAAGCAATTTACCAACTTTAGTTAAATAAATAATCACAATTTTTAAATATTACAAAGCATGATATTAAAATCAAGACTGATAATAAATAAAATAGATCAGCACCAAGAGGGAAAAGAGTATACATATTTTTTTTTGTTTTTTGTTTTCTAAGCTATCTATATCTGTCAGCTTGAGCAACAGATCAGGCTATCTGACTAGCTGTTTTCTTCCTACTCTTTTTAGGCACTCAGGACACAGGTCCAGGATCTAGCTCTGCTATTTGGTTTGGATATTGGAATTGCACTATCACATAGAAGTTATGGAGCAATTTCTTGCTGAAGACCACACTCACTCAAAGTCTGTTAGATCGACAGTTGCATTGCACTCAGAGTTCAGAAGGGTGAATGTTTGATTTTGGAAGAGAATACTACTTGCTTCCCTTATCTTGTACTTGATTAATTTGGCCTGGGAAAGAATTTCTTCATGGTCTGGTACGGTGTTTGAATGTGACTTTTAAACATGCCCAATAATATGATATTGACTTCTTTCTGTGATGAATGGAGAAAATAAAGTGTTAGAAAAAAAATTCTACTCAGTGATAGATTCATTTGCACCACAGCTCAACCTCCTTATGAAATTCTGATAACTTATCTTTGATATTTACAACTGTGATATTTTAGCCCTGAAGTTAAAAGCTTAGCCTCTCTAAGATACTGAATATATCACTGACACTTGCCACTTGGAATCATAAAAGAAGTCTTTTCTTATGGCATGGGAACACCATTTTTATAAGCTCATCTTTGTCTCCATAGTTTATGTAAACACACTTCTGACTGTAATCATACTCGAGTGTGGGGAAACCAGAGCTATTCTTGTTGCCCATTTCTTCTTGGAGCAACTGAGAAGGCAGACACTTGCTGTGATTTGATCCAGGATTTTCACTGGCTCCTTTGATATTATACTATGGCCAAGAGGTCACACTTTTGACCACTGACTGTTCTCTGTCACTAAAGCTGTATATGGGTGGGCCTGCAGGAGCAGACTCTTAACTGTATAGGAATATTCTTTTTTGCTTTTTGTGTGGCTGATGTTCCATCAGCCCTGATGTTAACACTTATTTTCCAGTTTACAACACAACACCCCAATCTTTTCTTGTGGAGCACAAAAGTCATTCAGCACTTCTCCCTTATACCTGTGGCATACATGTCAAGTGTAGGATTATATTTTGCAATGCTTCGTTCAAATCTAAGCTGAAGTCACTTCTGTCACACACACTCATAATACAGATTGCTCTTTCCTATTGTATTCCACTGATTTTATGTGACTCTCCATATTGTCATTGGAAGTCACAGGGGACTTTTGCCAATAGCATTTTCTGCTTTCTCTCCACGCGTGATTCTTTCATGATGGTTGTGACTGGTTTTATGGGATACTTTCTTCTGTTTTTGCTGTGAGGAGTATAACTTGGAGTGATGCACCCATTGCTTTAGTCTTTTTTTTTTTTGTCCATTAATTATTAATTTATCAGTTTTATGCTGGAACACATGCTTTATTCTGGGGGTTGGGGAAGTCATTGGATTGTCTATAACTATGGCTGTGTCAATGTGCTTAGTTTGAAAAATGACAAAAAGTATAGGTGATTTCCTGCAAGTTTTTGACAGAGTTTCAAGATAGACAGCTCTTGAGGATCAGGGTTAGGAGACTGCTGATCCAGGGATTGTCAGATTTTATTTCTTATCTGTTGAACTTCCAGTTGGCTTTAAAAAAAAACAAAAACAAAAACAAAATCTTATAACTATGTGAAATCACACATTAGTTCTAGCATTATTCACTTGTTCTGGCACAGACAGATTAATATTTACTACTTCTACTGGAATCTTCTTCACTATGTACATTTAAAACATTATTTAGAGTTGCAATGTTTATAATACTATTTTCTTTACTACTTTCAGGTTTCTAGAAAAGACTTCATGTGGCTGTGAAAATTTAGTGGAAATAATAATATAATCATCCCTTAAATAAACAGAGCTCTGTTGGAAATTTGAGATGCTCTGTCAAGATGGCAAACTTCCAATTTTTAAAACTTAGGCAAAAAAGATTACTCAAGATTATATTAAAAAGTCATAACATCCAAGTTAGAGACTACAGCATAGTGACTGAGTGTGACTAATCACAATCTGTGGGTTCCACGTCAATGTGACGCCGGAATTATGTCTGGTATGGTGGCTAACAGAATTTAAAAATATAATAAAGATAAAATAAAAACTAAATTGGCTTGAGAAATTGCCTTAAATTTTATGAGCCAGGTAACTTCTCTGATATCATATCAACATTCTATATATCACACATATACTTTAAGGTTATAGTCTAATTAATCAACACTACATCTTTTAGAAAAATAAAATCATAGAATAATCTTTCATAAAGATACTGTTATTCTTAATTTTTTTTTTTTTTGAGACAGAGTCTCGCTCTGTCACCAGGCTGGATTGCAGTGGCACAATCTCGGCTCACTGCAGCCTCTGCCTCCCAGGTTCAAGTGATCCTCCTGCCTCAGCCTCCCGAGTAGCTGGGACTACAGGCACGCACCACCATGCCCATCTAATTTTTGTATTTTTAGTAGAGATGGGGTTTCACCATGTTAGCTAGGATGGTCTCTATCTCTTGAACTCATGATCCGTCCGCCTCAGCCTCCCAAAGTTCTGGGATTACAGGCATGAGCCACCGTGCCCAGCTTATTCTTAATTTTTTAATTAGTTTGTGAGTAAGGATTTCTGGGGTGGGGGTCACATCAATCTTATTTAAAATTTATCTGGCTGGGCATGGTGGCTCATGCCTGTAATCCCAGCACTTTGGGAGGCGGAGGCAGGCAGATTGCTTGAGCCTAGGAATTCCAAGACCGGCCTGTGCAGCGCCGTGATGGAACCCTATATCTACAAAAAATACAAAAATTAGCTATGTGCAGTGGTGTGCACCTGTGCTACAAGCTACTTGGGAGGCTGAAGCGGAAGGATTGCTGGAGCCCAGAAGGTCGAGGTTGCAGTGAGCTACCAGCCTGGGTGACAGAGTAAGACCCTGTCTCAAAAAAAAAAAAAAAAAAAAATTGATCTTACTCTGGTGTCAGTCTCCATTATTTTTAATGATCTTTATGTCCTTGGTGCCTGGCATAGCATCTAGAACATAGAAGATGCTCCTGAAGCCCTCAATAATTATTTATTTGATGAATAAATGAATAACTGATCAGGCAGCAAGGTGTGGTAGAAGAAGCGTGGGCATTCCAGCAAATAAGGAGCACTGTATTCCAATAAAACTTTATTTCTCAAAATTGTCAGTGAGCCAGATTTGGCTGCAAGGGTCATACAGTTTGCAGACCCCTGCCCTAGAGCAGCAAGTCCTAAAGCTAAATTCAAGAACCAGGAAAGCTCTGTTCACTTTCTCTCTGTTGTTGAGAACACCACCCATATCTGAGGTGACTTCCTATCCTTTGACATTAAGATGAACAGAAAGAATTTGTCCAAGGCCAACTGAATCATAGATAAATTTATTTTGAATTTTTATATAAGAGAATTTGAGCCCCTAAGATAAACATTTCTTCATAGCACTTTCAGTTTCAGTGTGTCCCATATATAGTCATGAACCATACATATATATTTTGAAAATGGGCATGTACATATGCATGACTCTTAACTTTGTATGCACACATGCCTTATTCTTATTGTTTACTTATTATCTCTTCTTTGTTTTGTGTTTTGTTTTAGAGACAGCCTCTGTTGCCCAGGCGGGATCACAGCTCACTGTAGCCTCAAACTCCTCAAGTGATCCTCCTGCCTTGGCCTCTCAAAGCACTAGGATTTCAGGTGACAGCCACCATACCTGGCCCTCTTCTTTTTTTTTTTTTTTTTTGAAGGCAGGCTTGGTAATTCAATGGAGATCACATATATTGTTATACTATGGTCTAGCTTTTTCATATTTAAGTCCAGTTCAGTTTTCTAACTGTATGTCTAAGTATAGGAAGTGTTTTGAGAAATGCTTATGCAGTTTTTAAAGTGTTATAATATCCTATGATACTTGAAATCTTGCCTTGAATCTATTACTGTACTTAAGGACTTGAGAATATTTCAGACTTTCCTCTTATTACTATTCTGCATTTGAAAATTGATCAGTAGTTTTGCAAAGGATTTTGTTTTTATTGCTATAATACAGAAACAATTATCTGCCTCTTGCTTTTACAGCATGGAGTGCCATATTTGTGGGCATCAGGAGGGTCCAGATGGCAACTTTACCAGACACTGGAGATAAACTGATTTGTTTAAAAGCAGGAGCTTGCATCCAGGAAAAGTGGTAACATTTTTAGATATATTTCATAAACCACATCTACACACAGGCTGACACACAGTTATCTGAAAAAAAAGTAAGAAGAGAGATTACATGGATCAGTGATATCCACAGGAAATCCCACATTTTATCTCAGGTAGGAGATTTGACTTTTTCCTTTTGAAACCTTTCACTAGAGTAAACTCAAGTCAAACATGAAGAGTCTGCCAAACCAGACTGAGAGATTTTGGCTGACTTCAAGGTAGGTAAGAATCACTGCTGGAGAGAATGTACCACTGTCTGGGTCAGTTGTCAGCATTGGGGAGAGATCAGATTGGCCATGATGTAGACATTTTAAGCACATTGGCCCACCCTATTTTCCCATCCTTCTGCTGGTGGTGGTGGTGGGGCAGGGGGACAGAATAGTTAATGGTGAAGATCATGAGCTTGAATCATGGCTTGGCAGTTTACTTACCTAGAGGAAGTAATGCTTGAGTGAGGGCTGCACAGCGGCAGAGTATGGAGCAGGGTATGGAAGAGATAGTGGCCAAGATCAAGCAAGGAATTTGTACTAGCTGGAGCCCAGAGTATCTGTGGGAAAATGGCAGGAGATGAAGGTTGAGTGGTAGATAGGACTCGAGGTGGAAAAGCCTTGAAGATCCTACTAAGGAGTCTAGCTTTTAACTCTCAGGAGACATAAGGCCACTGGAGGATTTTTAAACAGGGAAATTATATAATTATATAGATCAGTATGGAGAAAGATTTCCTTGACTCTAGTAGGGCTGATAATCTGGAAAAAAGGATGGAGAGGATGCAGCAATGTAAGAGAGGAGATGCTTGGGGTGGTCTAGAGGGATGCAATGGGAGTTTCAACAAGGCAATGGGGGGAGGTAGGAAGGAAGAGTAGAAAACAGAGGATTTGGTGACTGAATGTGGGGTTGACAGTAATTCCTGGATTTGTGGCTTGGGAAACTAAGTTATATAAGACTGAGAATCCAGTAGGAGGGACGGATATGGGGGAAAGATGATGAGTTTTGTTTTGGCTGTATTGTAAAGGGTAGCTATGAGATATCTATGGGAATTTTCTAGTAGGCAACTGAATTGGATTTGGGAGAGATGAGATGAGATCCCTCTGAATTTACAGCTGAGGGATTAGATAAGATCACCCAGGTTGAGTCTAGCAAAGTCAAGAATAAAACTGAGAGGTAACATGTAAGGACAAATGGAGGAAGAACCACAAAGCAGGAAAAATGGTTGCCTTGGGAAAAAGGGGTAGAATCAAAAATGACTGGTGCTATAAAGATCAGGACAGGAGAGAGTTTCAAGACTGGTCACAGCTGCAGTGAGATGAAATAAAATAAGACTGAATTGTGTTTACTGAGTTTGGCAGATGAAAGGTCTTTAGCAATCCAGTTAACGCAGCAATGTGGAGAGATAGGGAAATTTGTCACATTGTAGCTGGTCTGAGGAGCTCAACAGAGGTTAGGGAGTATAGTTGGGGAACATAAAGTAATCTCTCAAGAAGTTTACCTGGGGAGGGAAGGAAAGAGATGGTGACATCTTGGGGTGGGGAGGCACGTAAAGATGTTCTATCAACATGATGACAAGAGTGAAGAAACACATTGCAAATTTGTTAGAATATCAATTTATAGAAAATTAAGAATTTTTCTCTTTTCTTGAATTTCAATCTGGAGTCATCCTGGCTGATGCCATGAGGTAGGGACATTTTTCTTAGAGGCTTCATCATGCCTCTTGTCTAGCTCTCTCCTCCAACCACTCCTACAAACACAATGGTATCCTACCCAGGCTTGAATTCCTGGAAACGTTTTCTTTCTTTCCTCAACAAAGCTTGCTGGGTGTCTTGGATATGCCAGTCAATTTGCCTGCCATATGTAACTTCCCCTCCTGGCTTAAAATGTCCCATGCAGAGCTTCAGAATGACTGTCATTCAATGCTTCTTCCTCTATCTTCTTTCCCACTGAGCCACAATTGTTTGGACCAGGGATGAACACCCATCCCAAAGCAGCCAATCCAGTGCTGGCTAATGATTTAAGTGGCCTGGTTAGAATAAATAGTCTGGGCCAACTATATTCTCTCCTTGGAGAAACTGGATTCTGAAACAGCTATTGTGGGGGACATTTGAGAGTAAGGTCCTGAGGTGGTCACCAATCAGCTCTTGGATGTGTTTGAGATTTTTTCAGATATCTTTAAAATGCCCTGTGCTCCCTGCCACTTAAAATAAGCTGCTTGAGTGAATTTTGCTCACCTGCAACCAAAATAGCCCTGACACCTTGGCTAGACCACAATGGCTATTGTTCCATTCTTTTTAGCTATGCTAAATGAGTTCCTAGTTAAGTGGCTTACTGTAAGCATGATGGTCCTTTTCTTCTTCTATTTTACATTTAAATGTTGATACTGTGTGTGTTCAATGTTTCTCTTAATATGAAACAAAGTGTTTTCTTTTTTGAGTGAATTGATACAAATCATCATTTGACAGGTAATAACAAGGGATGACTCCTACTATAGCAGCTTAATCATATAGGGATTTATTCTCTCTTAAAAAGGAAGTGCAAATTTAATACTTTGGGGTGGTGTGGTGGCTTCATGATGTCAAGGGACTACGGGTTATTCTACGTTTCTGCTCAGTGATCCTTAGGGCTTGGCTTCCACTTTTAAGGCCACCACATGACCTAAGTAGGCTGCTGGGGCTTCAATCATCATCAACCATCATGTTAGCTAACTTTTGCTGCAATAATCCTGAGTAACAAACCAGCCCAAAACTCAGTAGCTTACAATAATGGGCATTTTTTTTTGTCTCCTTCCTACAGGTCTGCTTCAGGCTGCAGGTTGGCCGAACTTAGCTACCTGTTGAAGTTTAGGTCTGCATCATATTTCTCCACATTTATCTCGGACCAGCAGATATTTAGGCTATTGGCAGAAGCATACCCGGGCAAACCAAACCATGGGAGTACTTTCTAACCCCCTGTTCACATTATGTTCAATAACATCCTACTGGCCTAAGTAAGAACGATGGTCACTTAGCCAGGTGTCGTGGTGTGCGCCTGTAGTCCCAGCTACTCAGGAGGCTGAGGCAGGAGAATCACTTGAACCTGGGAGGCAGAGGTTGCAGCAAGCCGAGATTGCGCCATTGGACTTCAGCCCGGGCAACAAGAGCGAAACTAAGTCTTAAAAAAAAAAAGGCCTCACTCACTGCCGACCTGCCTCGCCACGCCCCGGGCATGCCCTGCCACCACCTCACAGAAATGCTTCGGTTCCCCACTGTCTTTAGATAAGACCATTGTCCAGGGTATTGGTTCCTCATCTCACTCGGGCTTATGCCAAAGATGTAAAATTCAGTGCAGATGCCTGAGCCTTAATGCTTCAAGGTGTAGACCTTTTAGTCGATGCTGTAGCCATTACAATGGGGCCAAAGGGAAGAACAGTGATTATTGAGCAGAGCTGGGGAAGTCCCAAAGTAACAAAAGATGGTGTGACTGTTGCAAAGTCAATTGACTTAAAGAATAAATATAAAAATATTGAAGCTAAACTCGTTCAAGATGTTGCCAATAACACAAATGAAGAGGCTGGGGATGGCCCTACCACTGCTACTGTACTGGCATGCTCTATTGCCAAGGAAGGCTTTGAGAAGATTAGCAAAGGTGCTAATCCAGTGGAAATCAGGAGAGGTGTGATGTTAGCTGTTGATGCTGTAATAGCTGAACCTAAAAAGCAGTCTAAACCTGTGACCACCCCTGAAGAAATTGCGCAGGTTGCTACAATTTCTGCAAGTGGAGACAAAGAAATTGGCCATATCCTCTCTGATGCAGTGAAAAAGGTGGGAAGAAAGGGTGTCATAACAGTAAAGGATGGGAAAACACTGAATGATGGATTAGAAATTATTGAAAGCTTGAAGTTTGATCGAGGCTATGTTTCTCCATACTTTATTAATACATCAAAAGGTCAGAAATGTGAATTCCAGGAGGCATATGTTCTGTTGAGTGAAAAGAAAATTTCTAGTGTCCAGTCCATTGTACCTGCTCTTGAAACTGCCAGTGCTCACCGTAAGCCTTTGGTCATAATCACTGAAGATGTTGGTGGAGAAGCTCTAAGTACACTTGTCTTGAACAGCCTAAAGATTGATTTTCAGGTTGTGGCAGTCAAGGCTCCAGGGTTTTGTGACAAAGAACCAGCTCAAAGATATGGCTGTTACTACTGTTGGTGCAGTGTTTGGAGAAGAGGGGTTGATCCTACATTTTGAAGATGTTCAGCCTCATGACTTAGGAAAAGTTGGAGAGGTCATTGTGACCAAAGATGATGCCATGCTCTTAAAAGGAAAAGGTGGCAATGCTCAAATTGAAAAACATATTCAAGAAATCATTGAGCAGTTAGATGTCACAACTAGTGAATATGAAAAGGAAAAACTGAATGACTGGCAAAACTTTCAGATGGGATAGCTATGCCAAAGGTTGGTGGGACAAGTGATGTTGAAGCGAATGAAAAGAAAGACAGAGTTACAGATGCCCTTAATGCTACCAGAGCTGCTGTTGAAGAAGGCATTGTTTTGGGAGGGGGTTGTGCCCTGCTTTGGTGCATTCCAGCCTTGGACTCATTGACTCCAGCTAATGAAGATAAACTAATTGGTATATAAACAATCAAAACAACACTCAAAATTCCAGCAATGACCATTGCTAAGAATGCAGGTGTTGAAGGATCTTCGATAGTTGAGAAAATTATGCAACGTTCCTCAGAAGTTGGTTATGATGCTACTAGGGTCGGAGATTTTGTGAATATGGTGGGAAAAGGAATTATTGACCCAAGAAAGGTTGTGAGAACTGCTTTATTGGATGCTGCTGGTGTGGCCTCTCTGTTAACTACAGCAGAAGTTGTAGTCACAGAAATTCCTAAAGAAGAGAAGGACCCTGGAATGGGTGCAATGGGTGGAATGGGATGTGGTATGGGAGGGGGCATGTTGTAACTCCTAGAATAGTGCTTTACTTTTATTAATGAACTGTGACAGGAAGTCAAGGCAGTGTTCCTCACCAATAACTTCAGAGAAGTCAGTTGGAGAAAATGAAGAAAAGGCTGGCTGATGTTTAAGAAATCATTATAACCATCAGTTACTGGTTCAGTTGACAAAATATATAATGGTTTACTGCTGTCATTGTCCATGCCTATCAATACTTTATTTTGTATTTTTGAATAAAAAGACATTTGTACATTCCTGATATTGGGTACAAGAGTCATGTACCAATGTACTGCCTTCAACTTAAATAACTGAGGCATTTTTACTACTATTCTGTTAAAATCAGGATTTTAGTGCTTGCCACCACCAGATGAGAAGTTAAGCAGACTTTCTGTGGAGGGTGAGAATAATTATGTACAAAGTAGAGAAATATCCAATTATGTGACAACCTTTGTGTAATAAAAAATTGTTTAAAGTTAAAAACAAAACAAAACAAAAAAGAAAAGAAAGAAAAAGAAAGATGGCCAAGCCTAAAGTCAAGGTACAGGGAAACACACTCCAAGTACCATAAAGGGTGGATTGTCCAATTCAATTGAGGAATGGAGTGAATAACTGAAATTAATAATCTCACCTACCACATCATTATACCTGGATTCCAGGACGAAGGAAAAGGGACAAAGGAGTGCATCTGTCAGCCAAATCAGCATCTTTAAGGCATCTACTGAAAATCCAATACAACACTTACAATTATATTTCATTGGCCAGAAACTTTTCATATCATCACTCCTTGCTGCAAGGGAGGCTAGAAAATGTATTTTTTTTAAATTGCAGGTGGTAGTATGCTTAGCTAAAAAACATTTTTTTTAAAATACCGGATCAGAAATGAAAATAGGTGTTGAGTAGGCAATTAGCAATTTCTTTGCCAATATTCAACAAGATATATCCCTCACTCTTGTGAAGTAATCTGATAACTTAAGGTGTTCATTGTGATTGCTTGATATGTGTATATCTAGTTCGTATTTAAATCATGATAATCCAGCCAATAATTAAACACTGTGAGATTGCTGCTTTTGCAAGGAAGAAAACACAAGTCATCTGATCTCTCCTTTACAAAGCTTAAACCTTTTTACTAAAACTCAGTTTATTTAACTTTTATTTTCTCCTAAAATATAGGTGATAGGGCCAGGAAGAGTGGCTGTTAAAGAGAAAAGTAAGTGATTTTAAAAAGAAAGTGTGTAAGTATCTCAAGGACACTTGTCTCCCAGAGAGATTTCCAATAGGTTCTTCCTTCGGGTTTTTACTCAAATGTTACCTTTCCCAACCACTCAACTTACATAATCACATTCCCTTTTTCTTGGTTCATTTTTCTTCATACTATTTATCACCATACTTGTGTATTTTATTATCTGTCTCCCCCTACTAGAAGGTGAGTGACTTGAAGGCAGGGCATTTGTTGTGTTCACCATTGGTGAACTGGATTGCTGAAAACTGTCCTTGATGATGACTTCAGAGTACCTGGCCAACAAACCAGCTAGAACCAGGAGTTATTTTTTGCACAGCAGCATCATGGCATGGCTGTTGCAGCCATTTTGGAACCTTGAGGCAACAAGTCTGAGGAGAAAAGGCAAGATGTTGAAGGTGGCCATGTGGAATCATGGAAAGAGACTGAGTCCTTAACGTCATCCCTGAGCAGCTGAACACACACAGAGGAGCCTTCTTCCAGGCTTCTTGTTATGTGTGATAAAGAGAAAGACAGCCCCTGCCATCTGGGAGCTGGTCTGGTTCTATCAGCTCGGCCTTGGCGTTCTGTTGAGCATAAACAATTTCACAGAACAGCAACATCAGACCCAACAGACAAGACCACTTTGTGACTTGATTGATAAAGGCAAAAGCCAGACCACTCTGTAATCATGTCAACGGCCCTGTGGAGAGAAGGGTATGGCTGATCCAGTGAATTTATTATCTGACGCAGGAGAGATCTGGGAGTCAGTACCCGGGAATATGGGTCCCCAGACCCCGCACTGCAGACCTGAGGGACCTGCAAATATGAGGAACAGGTGTGTGGTGCTGGGAAGAGGTACAACAAAGCAAGGGGCCATCGAGCTGCCTTCAGATGGTACCAAGAAGCCACTAGGCTGGAGGAACGTTTTGCAGCCTAAGTCTTTGAGACCATGGGTGTGGACCAGAGTGTAAGCAGGTCTCTGAATCTGGGGGGCAACAAGGGTGTTAGAGTAGAACGGCCCTGGGACCTACGGTCAGTGTATCCAAGGAGCGGGAATGGGATAGGAGGAAGGAAGTGGTGTGGAAAGTCTGGCCCCTGCCCTGCAGGGAGGCACGAGGATGGCTGGTGGTCCTGGGGTCGCCTTTGGGCTGCCACCCACCCACAGAGAACAGGGGCAAAGCGCACGTTCAAAACCCAGCGCAGCCAGGTTCCACCGCGGAACTGCGCGGGGAAGGAGAGCAGAAAGGCTGGACTCCGCTGACCGGGGAGAGGCGGGACCGCCTTTGGGCGCTCACTGGAGAAGCAGGGGGTGTGGGAGCAAGTTCAAAGCCCGGCCCCGCCCGGCCTCCAGGGCCAGGAGCGGCGCGCATGGCGGGACCGGCGCAGAGAGGGCGGCTGCAGCTGGTGCGCGGTTGCTAAGTCCCGCGCCCCCGGAGACGTTCCCGGTGGCTGTCGCCGGGCGCTGCGCGGCGCGGGGCTGGCAGGCGGGCGGCGGGCGGCGGGAGGGAGAGAAGAGGGAGAGTCGGCGCGGGCTCGTGGCTGCTCGTCTCGCCCCGCCTTCCCGCGCCTGCTCGACCGTCGAGCCGCGTCCCCGCGCTGCCACCTCTGCTCCAGGCTCTCCCCGAGCCCGCCGCCGCGCCATGCCCGCCGCCACTCCAGCCCCGCAGCCGCCGCCGCCCCCGGCCCGGCCAGCCCCAGCCTGCCCGGCGCGGCCTGCCCCGGGTGAGTACCGTGCGCTCCGGCACCGACCCGTTCTGGGCGCCACCTTGGCGGGGGCGGGAGGACTCATTCGCCCTAACTCTGGACCCCGCTCCGTGCGGGATGTAGCAGCAGTGCCAGACCCCGCGTGGGTGTACGGAGGACTGTGTGTGTGTATGTGTGTGTACGTGTGTATGTGTGTGTACGTGTGTGTAAACGCGCGCGCGTGCGGGTGTACACCACCTGAAACCTGCTTTCTAGGGGAATAACGCTCTCCGGAGCTGATTTTATTTCCCTCGCCAGCAGGGGGGCCCTTCCTGGGAAACGCACTGGGTGTCTTTCAAGGTGCAGGTGCGGTGAGGCTGCAGAAGGGAGAAGGCGCAGGGAGGGAGCTGACATTTATTGTGCAACTCAACATGCCAAGCGCTTCACCTAGAGTTAAGCGTATTTCATCCTCTCCACAAATCTGTAAAGAATGGAATTATCCCCATTTCTCAGATGAGAAAACTGAGGCCCACAGAGCTCGTGCCTTGCCCAGGGTCACACGGCTCCATAGCAGCGGAGCTGGAGTTGGATCCAGGTCTCTAGAGGTCTCTGACCCATCTAAATGACAAGAAACCCTCCTTAGAACTAAAGAAACACAGAAGAACCAAAGATGATTAGGAAAAAGGATACAGGCAGAGCATTTGGGAATTAATATAAAAAAATCTGAGCTCGTGAAATATCCTATCAATTAATTTCAAATATAGGATCACATTTACACTCCTTTCCATGTCTGGCCCTGGGGGCGAGGTGTGGTGAGGAAGGGAGAAGGCTGTGCCAGTCCTTGGCAGAGGCGTCTGGGGACACCTTTTCAGAGTATCTGCCTGCTGGGAGGGGGGAAGTGTGTGAGAAGTTGTGGAGGGAACTCCGTTGTTATTCAATCCTAACAGTTAGTCATTCCTCCACCTCACCCCCTCCTAGTTGATTCCATTTCCTTTCCTTGATGTATTGTCCAAGATGACAGCTGTTAAATTGAAGCAGGGTCCCACCTTCATCATTGGCTGTCATAAAACCTCTTGGCATTAATTAGGTGGCCCTGCACTTTGATGATTGTATTAGGAGCTGTGAAGTGTCTGTGTAACTGCTTACAGTGGAGATCTGTTGGGCTGATGTTGAGCTAATGATCTTGATCAATGAGGCATCTACAGCAATAGGCAAGCATTGTGCTTATCCTTAGGATAAAGTAGCAAGAAGCAAGACCCTCAGGAAGAAAAAAAAAAAGAAAAGAGTATTGGGTTTGCCTCACAGCCCAACTTTAGAAAAGCATTTCAATTTAATATTTAAATTGCTTCACTGAAGAAAGAACAAAGAGGGGCAGAAAGTGTTTTCTGAAAGATGTTCTGTAACTCCTTTCATTTAGGTTTGAAAGATTTTTGAGTCATGTTCTTTTATGGTGAGCTTTGCCATCTTGGTGCGTATTGGTACCCTGGGTGCCTTCACTTCCAATTGCCAGTCCCTCCATCTCTTTGTTGGAGGATGACCCTTGGGCGGCAGAGCCTATGTTTGTAGGGACTCAGAACAGGGAGTGCCTGGGAATTTACATCTCCCCTGGGGCAGCCCCTCCTCAATGACTGATGGGTGCTGGAGTATAAATAGTCCAGCTTCTTTGCCCTTGATTGGGACACTCTGAAGCATGACATCCTTTGTTTCCAGAGATCCAATGTGGAGTTGTGTCAAATTGACCTCTATGGTTCTTTGCTTGGCTTGTTTCCCTCGCTTGGCTTGCTACTTTTTCTTGTTTTACTTCTTCACATCCCTACCATTTTTTCCTAGGAATATCTCCTAATACACTTTCATAGGAATTCTTATCTCAGGATCTGATTCTAAGGAATCCAGATAAAAACATGGACCCTTCTCACTGTCAATGTTTTTATTCTTCCTATGTTATCCAAACATGACTAACATCGGTAATAGGTAGCCCATGCTAACCTGTAGGGTGCCTTTGTATGAATTCACAAAAGGTGTTCCCTTCTGGGCAGATGGATCCCCATGCCCAGGCAACGGATTGGCAGACAGGTGTTCAGTGTCCACTAGCCCCCTGATCAGTGCTTCTTTGGCAGTGCACACAGTACTCAATGATCATGGTGGCGTGGTGCTCAGAAAAGCAAAAAACAGAGTTGCTTAGTTGTCCCAGGATCTCATTTCTGGCTTCTCTTTTTTCCCAAGAAAAAATCCCCCAAAGAGGGATTTTCCCCTTTTTTCCCCTAAATATTTGAATATTTCAGGCAGATGTTTTGGTTTTCTTTGGACAAGCCAGTCTTAGTTTCTTTCTAAAGCCAACAAAGGGGAGGAAAAGGGCTGCTTTGGCTGGTGGAATCTCAATCCTGCAGCCTGCAGGCGGGTGGTGGTGCCTGGTCAGGGAGGGTGGGTAGGTCTCCACCAGCCTCCAGAAGTTCTCAGAGGGGTCTTGTCTTGACGGTGAGGTTACTGGGTAGGGGCTTGGATGGGCTGCTTTAGTTGGAGGCTCTTGCTTGAAGACGTTTTCCTTTCCTTGGATCCAGGAGGGTCATTGTATCTGATCTGGCATCCTGAGTTTCCTCACCTTTTCCTTTGGTGGCCTCTTGATAATGTCTAAATTTTGCCCGTCTGCTGGTGGAGCAGAGCCCCTTTTGAAGATGCATACGTGGGGGAGTTCTTTGAAAAGAATGTTTTTGTTAACTGCTTGGTAATGTAGGTCAGAAGAGAGAAATCTAGGGAAAGTGAAAGAGTGGGAAGAAGACATCTGTACTGGGAATTGGGGAGGGGAGTTTGGCTCCATCCTCAGAGTTCTGAAGCCTCCTGGTGACCTGGGGCAAGTCACTGAACTTCTCTAGGAACCTCAGTATCTTCACCATTCATTTAATAGCAATTGTTCAGCCAGCCTCAGAGTGTTCTTTGATGGTCAAAGGGGAAATATTTTCATGGACTCATCCAGTGATTATAGGGGAAGCCCATAAAATCTTTATACAGAGACAACTGGCAATCTCTTGGGGACAGTGGTGTATGTAGAGGCATCATGATGTGGATAGCAAGTGGTAGAATAGAGATAATCACCAGATCAGTGGCTGCATGAAGGGACAGGGAAGTCTCCAGAGCTGCTTGGGCTGGTTTTGAAGGCTAAATGTTGACAGAATTTGCAAAGGGCAGGGTGTCATGTAGTGTGTAGTTATGGAGGTGAGTCCATCAGAATTGCTTTCACATTTGGGCTCTGGCCCCTCAAACCCATGTGATCCTGAGCGAGATACCCAACTACTCTGAGCCTCGGTTTCCTTATTGGTAAAATGGGCATATTCAAATTGCTCTGAGGATTTAGTGATGTAAAGCAATTACCAGATATTATTACAAATGAAAAGTATTGTTATTAAAGTTACCTTTTAGCTGAATGGATTCTGTTTGGCTGCCTGGGGCCAGTACTTTTTGAATATTGCTGGACATATGAATCATCTGGGGATCTTATTAAAATATAGATTCTGATTCAGGAGGTCTAGGGTGGGGCCTAAGATTCTGCTTTTCTCCCTAGCTCCTAAGTTCTGTAGATGTTGTTTCTTTCTTTTTTTAATTATACTTTAAGTTTTAGGGTACATGTGCACAACATGCAGGTTAGTTACATATGTATACATGTGCCATGTTGGTGTGCTGCACCCATTAACTCGTTATTTAACATTAGGTATATCTCCTAATGCTATCCCTCCCCCCTCCCCCAACCCCACAACAGGTCCCGGTGTGTGATGTTCCCCTTCCTGTGTCCATGTATTCTCATTGTTCAATTCCCACCTATGAGTGAGAAAATGCGGTGTTTGGTTTTTTGTCCTTGCGATAGTTTGCTGAGAATGAAAATGTGGCACATATACACCATGGAATACTATGTAGATGTTGTTTCTTTAGGGACCACATTTTGAGTACAAGGCCCTAGGCTACTCCCTCTTGGGTAAAGCCTGAGTCCTTTGTGGGACCTGAAGAGCACTGTGTTTGGAGAGATGATGGGGAGGGTTCAGGCCTCCTAGGCAGGTCTGGCCTGGAGCTGGGGTAGAGAGAGCTAGGAATTGCTGCTGTTGAGTAGGATGTTCCTACTGGGTAGATAATGGATCAAACCCAGCTTCCTTCAAATGCCCTAGGACCAGCCTCCTGGAGGAAATTCTTCCTGGCCAAATGGCCAAATACTGCCTGCTCTTGCATGCTGGCCCTGAGGATGTAGAGATGAATAAGCCATTGGCCCATCACTGCCCCTGCCACAGTGTGATTGCGGGGAGTGGGTGAGGAGGTGTGAGACATAGAAATGTACGATTATGATATGGTGAGATGAGCACTCTGTGGCGTTAGGGTAATGGAGAGGCAGGTAAGAGAGTTAAGAAAGGGAGGAACCCTTCCTGGTGGTAATTAAATCTGAACTGGGTTTTGATGGATAAATCACTGTGTCTGGGATTGGAGGAGGGCAGAAGAGTGTGTGGAATAGTATTCTAAGACTGAGGAACAGCATGTGCAAAAGTAGGCTGCCATGATGAAACAGCTTGGTGTGTTCAGGTCACTGAACTAAGAGTTGTTTGGAGCATGGAGTGTGATGGGGAGGACTTGATCAGGGAGCAGAGCTCAGTTCATGAAGTGTATTAGTCAGGAGGGTTTTCTAAGCTTTGCTGCAGTAACAAATCAACTTCATCATCTTGGTAGTTTAACTCAACGAAGGTTACTTCTCACACACAATGTGTGTCCCTCACAGGTCAATTGATAGCCAAGTAGACAGAGCTTCTCCCAGTTTTCAGCCTTGCCATCTGGAAAATGTGGCCACTGTAGTCACCAGTGCAGGAAGAGATAGAGGGAGAGTGTCTCTCTGGCTCGTCTGGAATGAATGCAATGTTGCTTTTGTCCACAGCCCATTGGTCAGAACTAATTGTGGGCGCAGGGGGCTGGGAAATAGGGGATGGCGGCTGGGATGGAAGAAAAAGTCAGAGAATATCAACTCTCCCACATATGTCTTGTTATGAAGCTTAAGCCTCATTCTGAGGCCACAGTTTCTCAAATAAGAGTAATATGGGAATTCCTTTAAAGGAAAAAAATTCTTGTAGATTCCTAGTGTTGCTTAAATTATTTTTATTATAGTGCAGTTCAGATATGTAGTAGTTTTACATGGGTCTAAACTCTTTATACTTAGAGCTTTCATATGACCACATAACCAAAACAAATATATAAATAAAATATCAACACAGCTACAAGTCAAATACATTTGGATTAACCTCATGAATTTAATGTTCTGGATGAAGTTATTTTTGCTAAAATGAAATCCCTATTTCTGGTTATAACAGCTGTTGTTCAGGTTCTTATGAATTTGGTGTGCAGTGTGCCATGCCACAAGGTTTTATGATGGCTCAATTTTCTCATCAGTTTCCTTTCTATACACTAAACCTGATTTGTTATTTTCTCATTGGCCTGTGATAATTAAAATAATGTTTCTTGATGCCAACTGTCTCAGTCTGTTTGTGCTGCCATAGGAAAACACCTGAGCCTGGGTAATTTGTAAAGAACAGAGATTCTTTCCCAACAGTTCTGGAGACTGGCAGGCCATGATTAGGGCACCTGCAAGCTTAATGTGTGGTGAAGGCTTATTCTCTGCTTGTTGCTACACACTCCAAAGGGGATGGACCTTGTGTCTTCACACAGTGGAAGGAACAGGAACCAACAAAGGGCCTAAGCTATTTCTTTTCAGCCCTTTTGTCAGTCACTCATCCATTCTTTAAGGTAGAGCCCTCGTGACTTAATCACTTCCCCAAAGCCCCCACCCTTCAATATCACCACAATGGGGACTAAGTTTTAACATATGAATTTTCCGGGATATTCAGACCATAGCATCAACTACAGTATAAATGCAAGAGTATATATGGTGAAATTATGTGGTAGCACTTAGTCATAACATGGCCATTCAGATGATCCAGAATATGTTTCTATTGATTCTTAAAAAAAGGTGATCATGAAAGTGAAAACAGAAAGTTAAACAAAACACAATTTTGAGAACTCATGGACCCTCCTAAGATAGGTTTGAGGATCTCCTGGAATTTGAGAAACAGCTGGAAAACTACTGGAGTGTTTAATGAAGGGGACATAGATGACCAGCTTTATGGTTCAGAGACATCACTTTTCCCAGGGTGTATGGGGTGGCTGAGGGGGAGAGAGGAAGGCTGAGACAGCAGAATCTGGGGAGGCTTGCAGGTAGCTGAGCTAAGATGTGATGAGGGCAGGTGCTCAGATGTAGTTAAGGTAATGGGAGAGAGGAAGCATGGATTTGAGAGACACGCAGGAGCTGGAATCCACAGGACTTTGAGGTTGACTGCGATGTGGGAGGGGATGGAAGGGAAGAGGAGTCAGGGATGACTCTTGGTCTTGGAGGTCGAGGGTGGTTGGTGGTACCACCGACCAGGATGAGGACCGCAGGTGTCAGATGTCCATGGCAAGAACAGAAGAGCTCAAGACCAGAACTGTGTTCTGCCGTATTCACCATCCCATCTTTTCTCACTGATGTGACTTTTCCTGAACCAGTTTCTGAGAAACTGCTACATCTTGCAGTGTCTATTTTTCTTCTATGGGACATTAATTAGTGCTCATTAAGATGATTTGAATGGCTTTATTAGCTTTTCTATTGTGCTTGCTGCTTCTGTCCTGTAGGAGCAGATTCTGGCAATATTACCTGATTAAGCACATACTTTTTTTTTGTTTTCTGTATGTTCAAAGGAGGTGAAAAAAATTGAGAAAATTGTGGATGGTTCTGAGCTAGAAGCTGTCATGCCATATAATGTGAGATTAGTTTTCTGCCTTCAGTTTTTATTTTAAGAGCACAAACGATCAACTTTCCACTCTGTGTTTTTGGATGGAGATACTGAAAATTCTTTGAGGAATGAGTAGAGGTTAAATGATCTCTAGGTAATTACATAAGAAGTAAAATGGAAACACTGCACTTTGGGGAAGTGGAGGGCAGAGAACACAAAGCCACACAAACAGACAAAAATTTCACAAACCGAAAATAAACCCCTGTGGTTTCTAGAGTAAAATCTCATGTTAATTAAAATTTTGGCATTACATATTTTAAAATGTAACTTGGTATTTACTTTTTGTATAAATAATTAACCTAATGCACCAACTGATGGAGGGAAGCAACATGAGCAGATTGCCAGAAGTGGCTTTTACTTTCCTGTTCCCACTTGAGAAACTTATGCTCTCTCCTGGTCTCAGGCATTGTTTTCATAGCAGAGCCTCTGAGGCCCTCCAGGGAGATGTGTAGCCTCCCCTGGAGGGCCTCTGAGTCTATCTGGAACTTGTGATAAAGGTTCTGTGAGCGAAGGCATACCTGTCACCCCCAGACACCACATGCCACTTGAGGATGGCACCATGTTTTTTCATCCCAGAATCCCCCCAGACTAGCAGGGCATTTCCCCTAACAGCAGTTTCCATACCCACAAGCTAGTCCAAGGCACCCTACAGGAAGTATCTTTGGGTCTCAGGGTTGGTTGGAGCAGCAGATTTCCTAGCAATAACAGCCATAACTTTTTGGGAATGTCTCTTCCAGGAATGGGTTAGACAAGGCTGGTTATTCATTTTAGTTCAGATGTTGTTTCGGTTTCAGAGGGCTACAACCAAAGTCCCCTGGAGCTTGGGTCTCTCCATTTGTGCCAGAGGCAGTGGTTCTTGCCAGATAACCCATGTGCTCCCCTTCTTTAGCAGATGCTATCAGTCCCTGTCCATGGTCCCTGAGCACACATCTTTCCTGTTCTGGTGGTTCCCACTGCAAGCCACTGCAACACTGTTGGATGACTTTCTTTGGTTGCAGGGGCATGGTTGGCCCCCATCTGGTGCACACACCCAGAAGTGCTGGGCAGCTAATGTCCTGGGAGCAGCCCTCAACCACCAATGGAAGGGAATGGATGGGTGAATATCACAGTTTCCTTGCCCCTCTGGAAGGATAACTCTGAGGCATGTTCTACTCAATCTCTCCAGAGGTTCCCAGCAGAACTGAGCCCAGGTTGGCCATAGCAGTAACCTACTCTTTCATGCCACTGTCCTACTTCACTTTTCCACTCTCCTCTAGTGCTGTCTGAGATCACCTCCCAAATCAACCCATATCCTTGCCCTAGGCTGTGCTTTTGAGAGAGACCAACCCAGGAATCTTTTGGGGTGGTTGGGGTTATGTGACCAGCTCTGGCCACTGGACTGTAGGTGGAAGTGCCATGTGTCACTTCTCATTCCAGGCAGTTGAAAGCCAGGATACCACTATTGTCTTTCTCGTCTGCTGCTGGGGCCACCTTGGAGGCCATGTGCTTTGAATGGAGGATCAGAGATGGAGAAAGCTGCTAGGTTTACACTGGGATTCATACAAGCAAGAGTCTTTTATTGTGGTAGCCCTAGAGCTTTTTGATATTTATCAGTTGGGGCACCTATCTATCTGATAAACAGTGTCACACTGTCGTTTTTTGGGTGCCACCACTGATGTCAGCCCATCCTCCACTTCTCCATCCTACACTGGTCCATAAGAACTCTTGGGATCTGCTACCCATGACCTCCTTTAATGCTTCTCATTTCCAAACTCCCCTCCTCTTCAGTAGTTTGATTAATATTAAAGTAAAATTTATGTTTCTCTATGGTTTTTAATTCATCTGGAAGTTATTTTGTTATTATTTGTAAAATAAGAATCTAAATTCATTTTATTTCCAAATTATTAACCAGTTGTTCCAATATTGAATAAGAATCATTCTAACCTTCCTGGCTAGTTTGTAATCACCTTTCATTATACGTTAAATTCTCATATAAAGTAGTATCTATTTTGGAACTATAGTTTTTTTTCTTAAATTCTTGTGCAAGTACCAAGACATTGTAATTGTAGCTCTGTAATATATTTTACTATCTTCATTACTCACTACTCATCTCCTTCCTGTCCTCCCTCAAAAATTGTATTAGTGTTTCAGTTGCACAAAACCTACAAATTACAAATGGGAAGAACTGATATGTCTATTAGGCTTTTACATTCTGGAATGGACAGTCATTTAAACGGCTTTTCTAATTCCTCTCACAGTTTTGTAGTTTTCCTTATGTTGCTCATACACATTTTTTGTTAGTTATTCCTAGCAATTTTCTATATGTTGACATATAAATGTATAAATTTTTTCATGTGTTTTTCAATTTATTGCAGTTATGTCAAAAGCTTGTATGTACATATAAGCTTCACTATACATATAGAAAATTCATAGATAGTTAATATATGTAATTAATGATTTTTTTTGCCTTATAGCTGACTACTTTCTAATTATATTTGGAAGTAAAAACATATAAAAACTATTTCATGAGAGTCCATGTACTCTAATTGCCTTTCCAGGTGGCTCAGAACAAACACATAGGTATGTCCTAGAATTGAAATAAGTTCATGGAGACAGGGAAAGATGGAGAGAAAAGATACATGAAGGAGTTGGCTATGTGGTAGCAATCATAGGTTTTCTCCATCACAGAACATGTGCAGAGTTACAGGAGCCATGAAAACAAATAGCTTGGGTTCATTGTGGGTTTTCTCTTTGAGATATAATCTCTCACACATTTAAAACTTACCTGTAAGTGTCTCTGACTGGTCCTAGACACTACTAGCACCAAATCAAAGTCTTCTCCTAGATGATTGAAACTTGTCAGTAATAATGTGTTTACGTTTTCGGTCTGGATAAGAAAAGATGATGTCAGAGGATGCCACCTCTTCAGTAATGTTAAAGACAGGCCTGGCAGGTCAGACTGTTTAATGTAAAATAAAAGGTGACTACGTCCCTAACAGGGGTCTTACCTTGTGTTCAAGTTAAGAAAACCAAAATCAGTGGGCTTATTAATTTAAAAAGAAAAGAGAAACAGAAAGAAATGAAATACATTAGGTTGAAGCTCCTTTTTCTTGGAGTCAACTGATGTCCAAGGATTGTAGATCTCCAAGTCATCTGATTTATAAGGAAGCTCCTAGTATTAGCATATAAGTTTGCTATAAGCATAAAAGCCATGCATTGGCTGCTGGGAACTTTTAGTGCTTTTTCTTTAATGCCATTGATAATATTAACTTAGAATCCAAAGAACTGACCATTTTCTACAAAGACTGCATAACTGAAGATGTTTTACTGGTTTTGAAGATTATATTTTCCAAAGACATTCTGTAACATGAATGAAAGACAGGAATACATACTCATATTAAGAAGTGGGGAACAGGCTGGGCATCGTGACTCACACCTATAATCCCAGCAATTTGGGAGGCCGAGGCGCGAGAGGTCACTTGAGCCCAGGAGCTTGAGACCACCCTGGGCAACATAGTGAGACCCTATTTCTTTAACAACAACAATAACAACAAAAATTAGCTGAGTGTGGTGGCTCATGCCTGTAGTGTCAGCCACTTGGGAGGCAGAGGTGGGAGAATTGCTTGAGCTGGAGAGTTTGAAGCTGCAGTGAGCCATGATGGCACCACTGTACTCCAGTCTAGGCAGAAGACCCTATCTCAAAATAAATAAATAAATAAAATAAAATAAAGCATCTGAGAATCAACTGAAAGACCTCTGGAATTCCTGTGTTCTCAGGAATGCTTGTTAGTTACTTGCTTTTTTCCAATTGCTTTGTCTGCATTACAAGGCAAAAACGGCAGAGGCTTCTTGGTTCTCTTTATGTTTCCTTTCTTGCTCTTTTTTCATCGTGAGTACAAAGTGATGTCTTTATTAAGCTGTTTCCTTAGAAAGGAAAGTGGTGTTAGTGTTGAGGTGCAGAGGGCTAGGTAAGGAGACAGACTGGGGTCTTTGTATTTTGCTTCCAACATGTTCACCTGGCCACAAACGCGATGTGTGGGCTTTTAGTCTTAAGTGAGCATGTTAACAATCAAAGAAAAAACATACATGTTGGATTTTTATTCTATTGGGAGGAGGGAGTGGGACTTTAAATATCTGCCCATCTCAGAGGGGAAAAAAAGGAAAGTTTTATATTTTCTATGCTGCCTTGAATAACTGTCAAAAAACTCTCAGCAGTTTCTGGCTAGCTAGCTGTCTCCATCTGGAGGTTGGCATTGTGTTTTTTTAACCTACAATTAACTACCATCCACTAAAAATTCAGCCAGTAATAGTCATATCCTTTCATAGCTTCTTAAGAAGTTTTTCTTAAATGTTCTTACAGTTCTTTTCCTACCCTTGACAATATCAATTTTTAGTATAAAAGCTACAAAATTAGATACCAGGGACATCACTGATGATTACCATGAACTATTTGTTCATTGGCTCACATATATTTGTTGTCTGCTACATGCCACTGTGGTAGGCTCAATACTTTTAATTAATTTAAATTTAAATGGAAAATAGCCGTATGTGTCTAGTGGTTATGGTATTAAGCATTGCAGAGCTCTAGAGAGTTGGGGAAACAGGTTAAAGCTTCAAGTAAATTGTCATATCAATGGTGATATGTGCTATGCAGAAAGAAACCAGACTGGTGAGGGAGGGGGATGGAGCAATTTGAGGGTCTTTCAGGTAAGGCCTCTTGGAGTAATGATATTAGATCCATCACAGACCTGAACAAAGGCAGGAAGGATGTTCATGAGGGAAATAGTTTCAAGACACTCCAGCCACCTCTGGGTAATTATATGCCTTTTGTTTTTAATGAAACAGGAGAGAAGGAATGTCTTCTACTTATGAATTCTAAAAATTCCACAAAACCATCAGTGCTCATTCTTACTGTAAAATATAAAGACCTTTCATAATTTTGGGCAATGGTGAGGGTCTGGTTTCCCTAGAAGCAGAACCTGAGATGTGGATTCTTGTGCATGTAATTATTCCGGGACAGCTCTCAGGAGAAGGGAGTCAGGTGGGTGGGGAGTGCGGCCAAGCAAGGAAGTGGTCTCAGCTGGAGTCACATCTCAGCCCCAGCCATGAGAAGCTCTGGAACATGCATTGTACCATGGATTGTCCCACCATGGGGTAAAGGCTGGGTCTTTGGTACCCCTCCCCACACCCCTGTCCATCAGTCATTGATTATGGGCTGTCCTTGTGAAGGCAGAGTTGGATGTGTGACCTCCTGGGTAAAGTGGCTCCAGTCAGCCAAAGTAACTCTTGGGAGACTTGGGCAGCGATCAGCTGCCAACACGTGTAAGAGCTGGAGGAGAGGGGCAGCCCTGGTAAAGGAATCTGGGTGGGTACCAATGGAATCCATGACAGTGTGCTGGCCCTACAGAATGTTGACAGCTGTGTAGCTTTAGATAAATTTGGGGGCAGAAATAGATGAAAAATCCTGACTGCATGCTTGGATGATCACCCAGCGCATTCTGATGACCCAACCAATAGTCTGTTTTCATTGAACACTACTGTGGATTTATTGGGTTCTTCCGTGCAACACCTGTTCATTGCCAGCCTACCACATACCTGGCACTAGGGCTCTGTGTTTAGAATCTTGCCACGCAAGGCCCATTTATTTAGTAGACTCCATCCCAACAAATTGTATATATTTGGCAAATGCCATGATATAACATCATAAGAAATCCCAAAGAAGCTTAACCACAACTCCTGCAGAAGCTAAAAGCTGCTAAGGTTTATCCTTATAAAGCCTCTGAAGGCAACAGTCTGTGTTGAAACATTTGTGTCTGATGCTTTCAAAAGGCTTAGATGCAGCAGTTGGGCTGTTAGAGGGAACTGTGTCAGTTTCTGCCCAGGAGGTTGGCTTCTCAGCAGAGAAGCAGTTCTGCTTTAGTGCCACCACTGTCAATCTGGTTTAATCTGAGTGCTGACCATATGTGGGCAACCTTATGCCTGTCATCTCATTACAATCTTTACAGCTATCCTGGGAGGACGGGCTAGTGGGGGCCATGCAGATTCCCACAGCAGTGAGGACTGCTTGGTGCTCCACCAGCAGAGATGTGTTGTACTCAGGGTGGGTATTAGGGCCACTGCTGAAGCTTTGTGGGTCCGATTGGATGCCTGGCTTCATCAGGGTGTTGGTACCATGCCTTCTCTTCTTTTGAATTAGGGGAAAACCAAACCCAGTCTGAATTCCCAAAAAGAAGAAAAGTTTTCACTTTAATGTGCTTTACCCAAACATCACTCTTCTTCGTTTGGAATCTTAATACACTTCGGGGAGTTTTTTTTTTTTTTTTTTTTTTTAGATCATCCCGTCTACAGGGATATCAGGGAAAAGCTCATCTGTTTATTGCCAGCTGCAGGAACACTGTGTGACTTAATTTTGCCCAGTTGGATGTTGGCTGGCTTAACAACTAGGGCAGAACTAAGCTGAGGCTGCTTTGCTTCAGTGTTGGTGCCTGTTGACGCCTCTGAGTGCTGCTCTGTTTTCTCTGGATGACTCCATGAGTTTAACATTCCATGTTATAAATGACACCTCTAAATCTGTCCATGTCATTGTTCAAAAACATTCACGATCTGCGGAAGGTCTGTTTCAGTTCTTACTAACTAGCTGTGTGGCCTTGGGCTAGTTACTTACCTTCTCTGGCCTACAGTTATATCTTACAGTTGCGGAAACTGGGCTACTATCCTTGCAGTTCTAAAATGCAAAGATCTGCGCCCACACAGCTTTTGCATCCCACACACATGTCCTCTTTAGATTGGATCTGTGGTGTTACTTTTGTTTACAAAAGATGCATATTTCAACACAAGCAGTTTGTGAGAATTTTTACCAGCAAGTCTAATCATCGTATAAATGATCATGTCTTAACTATTTATGGAAAGTCCTTTCTTAGTCTGGTGGATGTAAACCTCCAATAAACAGCACAGTGGAGCTATTTAGCTTATTTATTTCTTCTTGAGAAATAAATTGAAAAGAACTTAAGAAGGCCGGGTGTGGTGGCTCATGCCTGTAATCCCAGCGCTTTGGGAGGCCCAGGTGGGTGGATCACTTGAGGACAGGAGTTTGAGACCAGGCTGGCCAACACAGCAGAACCCTGTCTTGACTAAAAATACAAAAAATTAACTGGGCGTGGTAGTACATGCCTGTAATCCTAGCTACTCGGGAGGGTGAGGCAGGAGAGTCGCTTGAACCCGGGAAGCAGAGGTTGCAGTGAGCCAAGATTGCGCCACTGCACTTCAGCCTGAGTGACAGATCAAGACTCTGTCTCAAATAAGTAAATGAAAAGAAACAAAGAAGAATTAAACGTTAAAATAATTAAATTAAGAAGTAAAAGAAATTTATTTCTTCTTGAGAAACTTGGGTAATGTGTCTTTCATGGGATCCATCCATTTCATTTAAGTTGTCTCCTTTGATGGCATAAAATTAATCATACTATTCCCTTATTATTATTTTACATAAACAGCTCCAGTGTTTTGCAACTGTATCATCTCTCCTGAATATGAATGAAGGCTATATATTTTAAAAAACATTTCTTTTCAAATTATTTTACTGGCTTGCCATTTAATTATGTGTTGGACATGGAGGTTGTCTTATCAAGAAGTCAAAATCATTTAAAAACCACTTTCTGAAGAATCTGCAGGCTGTTTGCCTCCTCGTTCCTGTAGATGAATGGATCGTGGAAGTTTCCACCTCAGATCTCATTTATTAGACTGACCCCTCATCTGGTAAACGAGGTGTGAGAGTCTTCAGATCCAGGCACTGACAGATGGTTTAGATATTCCAAGTATCCTTACACCTATCTAAGATCCATTGAAGCCAAAGCATGAAGATGTAGAAATGAGATCGATCTGCTTCATCTCTAGAAAAAAGGAGATGGAGTATGCTTTTAGAATGATTTCTGCAACCTCACCAGTAGGAATGGAATGTGGTGAGGGTCTGTCTAGCCTAGTGTGTTTTAAAGTATTGCATGACACAGGTCAGTGGACATTAGTGGGGCGGGGAGGGCCCCTAGGGTTTGATAACCAAGGAGGGAAAGGAAACTATGAAGTCTTGTGAGCATCCAGTCAGCTGAAGGGAAAGTAGCCCCAGAGTACTTGAAGGCTCCCCTTCCAAATGAGCACATCCGAAGAGCCGCCCTGTATATAGCACTGAGAAAAGCGAAACTCAGCCCCAATCAAGGTTACTATGAATCTCCTCACCGCAACAGACAATTGGGATTAAATATTCAGGCCGTAGGAAACAGCAGCCTGGCCTGGGAGCCATGCCCTCTTGGGATTTTACTGAGTGAGCGATGAAGCCCCAGGGATGTGATCATGGGTGAGTTGGGAGAGTTGGGAGGAAACATGAAACCTAGGGTGAGACTGAAAGAGAAGCTGTCCCCAGGGGGAGGTCTGGTCAAAGCCAACCAGCATCGGATGTCTCAGAGAAAGACAACGCAGGGACAGGGTGGCAGCATCTGGAGAGGCTCCCCATGCATTGGCACAAAGAGCTGCGTGTGAAGAGAATCCTGTTGGAAAAGGAAAGAGGGTCAACCTGCTTCAGAATTTATGGAAGAAAAGAAAAGCCCAAAGGCACAATGTGACAAAATGACTGGAAAGCAGAAGGGTTCACCTGGAGGAAAAGTGGTCAGGTGGTTAGAGAGAAAGGTTAGTGTTATGGTCGCTGGCAGGTCCGAGGCCTCACGGACCCTGGGAGCAAATGAGGCCATGTTAATATTAATGCCTGGTGTGCCCTCCGCCAGTGTCCTCAGAGTCCCCAGGGCAGGATGTTATCTGTGCTCATGTGCACTGTGGCTCCTGTTCTGAATCCTTCCTCCTGTTCCCTGCCCCTGCGGCCCTCCTGCTGTTGCTGTCTCCCCAAGGCCCCTCATCAACCTCCTCTGCTGAGGCTGCCCTGGGTCCTGGGGCCTGTTCTGGGGAAGGCAGGTGGCTGGTCCTCCTCTCACTCTGCTGTGCCTTGTCACCTGGGTCCCAGAGCTTCACACAGTCTTTGAAACACAGCTCCTTCAGCATTCTCACTCAACCCTGTGTTCCAACAACACTTAAACCAGCTGTTCTGGGATTGGGAGCACAGGGGGAGAGGCCATACTGTCCCCTCTTTCTCATTGCTCCCCAGGCCTGTTATCTCCTCCTTGGGAGCTGCAAATGCCTGTGCACAAAACACCTCCTTCCCCATTCACCCACACCCTTGTCTGCCTATTTGGCAACTTGTACAGATAAACAGATCTTGGAAAAATAAACCCACTGCTGAGCTGAATGTGATCCTGGGTCTCAGTTTGGGTTTAGTTGGGTCATGCTGCCATACTTTAAGGGCTAATGAAATAGATACATACAAGTCCAAGGGCTTTATGATCCCCTCACCCCCACTGAGGGCTGCATATTTTGGTTTCACTAACCACTTTGGCAAAGCAAGAGATATTCTATGGCAGTGCATTTCAAGCAAACGTGCATCACACCACCTGAGGGTCTTGTTAAAATGCAGAATCTGTTTTTGTAAATTGGGGGTGGGGCCTGAAATTCTGCATTTCTAAGATGCTCCCAGGTGATACTGATGCTGCTGGTCCACTTTGGGTCGTAAAGGGGATCAAAATATGCTACCCCCAAATATGACACTTTGTCACAAGAATTATTTTAAGCTGAAGGTATTTGAGGAACAGCAGATGCAAGAAAAGATCTCTATCCTCCCCCTATTTATGTAAAAGCGGACATAAATTTCCCTTTGTGAAGTTGTTCCTTTCACTTGCCTTGTAACAGGAAGGGCTGAACAACCGTTAATCACCAGAGAGGACTCTAGACTCATATCAGCCCAGAGATGGCTCTGAGAGGAATATGCATAACAAACCTTACTAAAATAATCTTTATCTTCCACTAGTTTCTCATATATATACATATATGAGAAATATATATATATGAGAAATATATATATATACCTTTTTTCCCCCATATAAGCTCAAACCTTTTCCCTTTGTTTTATTACTTCTACAAGTTTATCATTCTTTGTTAAAATGGTATATAAGTCTCTGAGTCTGACTACCTTTTTGGGATTTTCACTTCATTTCTGTGAGGCCCTTATATGCATATGAAAGAAACATTTTTCTCCTGTCAATCTGTCTTTTGTCAATTTATTTTGCAGGACCCCAATCATTTAACCTAAAGAGTAGAGGAAAAAAGGTTTTTCCCCTCTCTAACAGTGGGCAAATTCTAGATCATTTCCTTTGCCACTTCTATATACTGTACAGAAAATCTTTTGTCAAAGGAACCGTGGCTGGACTTTGTGTTTCACTGCACTGATGCCATGTTTTTATAACATATCACAAATTACTTATTAACTTTATGAAAATAACTACTTATAGGCAACTTGCACTCCCAAAAGGATACTCTGGAATTTCACTGTATATCTTTGGTGCTCAGAGTGCATCCAGGGCCCAACAGCATCAGCATCAGCATCATCTGGGACCTGGTTAGAAATACAGACTGTCAGGCCCCACCCAGACTGTCTGAATCAGGACCCGCACTTCAACAGGACTTACAAGTGATTTGTGTGCACATGAACATTTGAGAAGCTCTGCTCTGTAGCACATAGTAAATTGGAAATGGGACTTCCAGTTTAACCACTTCAGCAGGATCCTCTAAGGAGACACGTCAGTGACAGCAGGGAAAAACTCAGACCTTGTCTGTTAGTCCTCTTTGTTGTCATGGGGTGTCTGTAGGGTATAACCCAATGTCCTGGGATCTCTGGAAAGAGAGGAAAATGCTCTCTGGTTTGCATGAAGCATGAGGGTTTTTCAGACATAATAAAGCCAGCAGTGGAGGAAGTGTGAACTGTGATACAATGATGAGATGGGTGGCATATACTAGACAAGGGTAAGTAGGAAAACTGAGGGATGAGGGATGAGGATTATCGTGTGGTCAGGGATAAGCTTTAAAAGTGAGAAAAGGAATGTCCACTTAAAAACACTCTTGTAAACAACTGATGCAGTACGTAAAACTCATGATAACTCCAAAGTTATCATGAGATGGAGCAGTCAATCCCATCTTTAAATTTGCGAGTAGCTTAGAAAAAAGTATCAGGCATCTGTTAGGTGGGTTAGAACAAGGCCTGGCCAATATCTCTCAGTCAGAGACCATACAGAGTTCTGAGCCAGTATGCTGGGAGGCACTAAGGGAAATTGTCATGGGTAAGTCAGCAGATAAAAGCCAACCCTGGACAGAGGCACTTCTGAGATAAGAGCAGGAAAAAGTCTCTTTAATTACTTTGTTTCTGATGTCTCAGTCAATGTCATGTTGGTAATAAAGAGGATAGGTAGTGAGGATGTTAATTAGAGATTGGAGTGTCATCAGTGATGACAGCCAATAAACAGCATGGCAGTTTCATTTTATTACCTTGCTCTTATTAATTTCTACAGCTCTGATCAATATAGACATTGGCCAGGCTTCTGAGTTACGAAACAGTAGCATTTTTGAGGCTTAGTGAGAGAGGCTTCATTCCAATTTTTTATTCGTTTACAAAACCTTCCTTGGGGTGTTGGCATAATCAAATGTAAGTTCACAAATGTTTCTCCTGCCTCATCTCTGCATATGAGCAAAATGAGTTTATTCCCAAACAGCCCCTGGAAAATGCCCAGGACAAATGATTATGCAGTGAAAAGTAAAATTATTTCAGCCAGTCTTTCTCTATCTTCCACAGAAGAATAGACATGAATACTCTCTCAGCACTGCATACTGAGGCCACAAGTGATTAATCTGCTGAAACCACAAAGAAATAAAAAGTTGATAAAAAGGAAAATATTTTCAGGGGCACCTTTCTGCTAGGAGGAGGGGGTTAATAATGTGGTGTTAGATGCATTGACCTTTCTTTTTTAGTCATCTTTTTGTTGTATTGAATATGACCAGATAGTTTAAAACACCGAATTCATTTTGTTGAGTACACATAATTTGTAAATGTTTATAGAGAAAGTATGTATTACTTGAGTCCTATAGCAATTTTGATTATCTGTCATTATTTTTCTTGTGTTATTATAGCTTTCTAGGAGCCAAGATGAAAATTCTGACGTTAATACTGACCACAGACATAGGTTTCTTTGCATTTTAATTAGACACGTGAGTTATTTTAAAATGACTTGGAAAAGGTAAAATCTCTTTAATTGTGATTTAAAAAGACAATATAAAAGAGAAATCTTTTATTTTTTTCTTGATGCTAAACTTGATTAGCAGCTAATCTTATAACAGAGAAAAGTAATTATAAGTAAATTAGACAGGAAACTTGGTTAATGTGACTTACAGTCACTCTGGTAGCCTTTCCAGCCTAATAAGGTGGAGAGCTGATCATCGTGGAATCAGGTTATGTTACTTTATCTGAATTGTGGCAGCAGATAAGAGACCCACTTTCTGAGCATCAAACCTATTAGAGGCAATAACGGCATGCCATGCCGGTGCAGTTACTGAGTTTATTGGCTCACCCCAGAATCAGAGCATCCTAGGGTCGATGAGCAGAAATTCCGTTTATCTCCCCAGCAGACCTGTTTGCTTAGGTTTGCTGGAGTGTTTCTTTTATGATCCCGTCCCTACTGGTTTTTTATTTCAATCACTGTGTGAATGACAAATGCATCCTGCTGGGTCACATTTAGCATCATATTCTCTTTGGCCTTGAGATGTACATGTACTTGGAGGAAACTCAAGGTTACAGGACTTATTTTCTTTATGAACATGTGAAAAATAAGCACAAGTTGAGTGCTCACTCTAGGCAGAGCAATGCACTGGACATCCTCAGCAATAAGTAAGACATTAATGCCATTTGGCAGGTGGTGAAACTGAGGTTCATAGGGATTAATTAATGTTCCCATGGTCACACAGCTAATAACAGCTTGGCAGAAGTCCTCTGACCCATGGTCAGTGTTCTTTGCGCTAAAACAAAGCTTTCTCAACCTGAAGCAACGTACTGCTGTCCCCTACCTCTATGAGTTGTTCTTCAGAAATGCTACTTTGTCAAATTTCCTGTCGCAGATGGATGTTTGTGATTATATTTTCTTTTCACCTCACTTATCTAATGTATTCAGGAGGTCTTTTGTGTGATGTTTGCTGGAGCTGCAATTAGCAATGCTCAGTTATTTACAGTGAGAGCTGGAAGACTGAAGCTAGATATTTGTGTTTGATGTTAGGGTTGGGAATTTGTTCTCCAAATCTTGTGTGCTTGCTCTCTGTACTGGGGCAGAGTTGGGGGGTTTGCATAAACCCTGGTCTCTGCTTTTGGAGAGCTTACAGTTTAGTTGAGAGGGAGAATGTTTACACCTACTAAGATGAAGTAACAATTAGCTGAGATGTGCAGCAGGCAAAACCATATGTTCCACATTCTGTGCTAGGTATTGGTCTCAGGCATTTGTGCTAAATTTTGCTTTAATGAATGAGCAGGTCTTCAGGGGAGGGAGCTATCACTGCGAACTTACGAGGACAGAGAAGGTTTGGGAGTAGAGATGGGTCTTAGGCTTTACAAGATGGTGAGGCTTGGATTGGTGGGGGAGTGGAGGTGGAGTGGGTTGGAATTGTGAAGGGCCTTATGTGTCAAGCAGAGGAATTTGGGTTTGGAACTCAAGGAGGCTAATAAGGAGCTACTGTAGGTTATTGAGCAGATGGATGGCTTATCAAAAGTAGTGCTTGCTCTTCTGTATATGTGGGGTTAGATTGGCATTGAGGAGAGACCCTGTAAACATTTGTATTTTGGTGTAATGAAGTAGAAGCAGCAGTTTTGTCAAGTCCAGGTCAATTTATTTTGCTGTAGCAAGTTAACAGAAAAATAAGGTGTTAATAAGAAAAAAATAAGATGTTAATAAGAACATATTTTCCCTGTGTTACTTCCTGGGACATGGTTGCCTTGGTGGCTGAAGACAGAATTAGCATGTTTAATTTTTACTATCTATGGCTTCATAAACAATTTACTGTTGATATAGGGACAGAATATGGATTATTATCCTAGATTATACAGGTTGAGTGAGTCTCCCTTATCCAAAATGCTTGGGACCAAAAGTGGTTTTTTATTATTTTATTTTATTTTATTTTGTTTTATTTTTTTATTTCAAGGAGTTTTTTTTTTTTTTTTTGGATTTTGGGATATTTGCATTATACTTACCAGTTGAGCATCCCAGCTCTGAAAATCTGAAGTCTGAAATGCTCCAATGATCATTTCCTTTGGTAGGAATGTCAGTGCTCAAAAAGTTTGCAGGCTTTGGAGCATTTTAGATTTTGTATTTTTGGTTTTGGGATACTCAACCGGTATGAGGGTGAGCCACATGAAATTTGTTTTTTTATGGTTCAAAATTGGTAGAACTACCAGCAATTTCATATGGTTCCATTTTACTGATTTTGTAAGTAAAGGTGTTGCTGGAGCTGAGTGGACTCGGGCAGGCCTGTGGCTTTCTAGTAAGGTTGATTGGGTTAGGTTCTGGACAGTGGTGCTTAGTGGGAGACTGAAAGTACTCTGTGTGCAGTTGTCCTGGGGCATGAGCACGTTCCCGGAGACTGAGCCCCAGGCCTAAAGGATATGCTGTGCTCTTTCTGCTGTTTGCTCTCCCTGCCCATGGACCAGGCATTCATAGTCTTCTTATTTTTTTCCTCTTACCTGTAAAGAAGAAAATTTTGCTCTAGACTACTTTAAAAGAGGAAAGAGGTCTTGTGGAAGAGAAGATAAAAATCAGTGCATCCGAAGGTTGCATTTTCCTGGTGCTTCCCAGTAGCTTGAAGCAGTCATAGCTAGAAGAAGTGCAATTTCAGTAGGACCCAGTTATGCTGAGGAGGTGGAGACTGAATTGTCACTTTTGCTGCAGACCAAGGAGCTTTTGAATAAGCTTGTGAATGCCCAGGCAGTGGAATGAGCATGTCTGATGTTGGTGTGATGGAGGCTGAGCTGTTCTCTCTTTACATCCTTTTACGCCATGCCCTGGGATGGAGGCTGTTCTTATGGAGCTTATTCTTTGTTCAGGGATGGGATGTTCCCAGATTGTTCTCCTAACCACTAGGGATCAGGGCAAGTTTTGAGGTAGGGTCTGCTGAAATTGGCTGAGCACAGAAATCCCAGAGAACACATCCCCTCTTCTCCCTACCCAGCTCTGGGTACCATTGTGCCAAGTCATCCATTACCACACTCAGATTCTACAGTTCCAATGTTTGGGAACTTGAGGCCACTGGTCCTATTGTAATTTGGGCCTCTTTGTCACTCTATGTCAACACTCAATACATAAAGCCCATTACTGTCAGTCCTGTTTCATGAACACTGCTTTATGCCTCCCTGACATCCCATCTTGGACCTTTTAGGAGGGTTCAGGGGCTTTCCTGAACCTCCTTCTATGCTAAATGTTCAAACATCCTTAAGGTATTCACTGAATGTTCCTTTGTCCTATTGGTTCTCCCCTGAGGATCCCTCTCCTATTTCTTCCCTGTAATGGATAATTCTTCCTTTCCAGGGACTATAGATTTTGAAGGTAGAGCTCAGAATTTAGCTCCCCAGGTCTGCTTCAGAGCTATTATTTTTCTTCCCTCCTATAACACCTTTCCTTAGCTGAGGCTTATATCATCCCATGATACAATATACACCCTTGCTTTGCCACTGTCATATAGTGGCTGACCATTCATTTCTCCATGTTACCAGTGTCTTCCTCTCCACATTGAGTCTTACCTTCATCTGTGCTGACCTCAGCGGCCGTGTGGACAACTGGTCCAGCCCTATGTCATGGTTCCTTTGCTATGTACTGGGTGGCCTCTACCTCATTAGGTGTTGAAAACCCAACTCAAATCTTGTCTTCCTAGCACTCTTGGTTGCTCATTCTCCTGGTACTTCCATTGGATTTCATTACATCCTCTTTATGCCTCTAGGTTTTCCTGGTAGGTCTGCCCTCTTGTGACCACAGCCAGCAGTTGATCCTTTGGGCCTGCCTATCCTTTTCCCACATCTGCTTGGAAAAGCCTCAGTCCAGGATATAGGCTAAAATCTCTTTCTCTGTCCCTATACAGGGTCTTCTGAGAAAATAATCAGGACTTCATTTACTTAGTCTGACAGTATGTATCAAGGATCCTACTGTGTGTGAAGCACATAAGAAAAACCAACAAGAACACCAGCCCTTTTGTGCACATGCGTTTGACAGTCACCTTCCTGACACCCTTCCTCAGTTCCCCAATGCAGGAAATACAAACTAGTATTCCTTCTGTAGCTCTCTTTCTTTCTCTCAACATCAGCTATCTCAGACAAAAATGGAGGCAGATTAATTAAAGAGGCTGTGAGAAGAAAGGGATAACAGATGTCCATATGTAGTTTAACTGTAAATGTGATTGTTAAGCTCATAAATTTGTGGTGTGTGGGAAGATCAGTATCAGCCACTACCTTGTCATCTCATCTGACACCTGCGTCTAGATGGAAATCATCTCAGAACAGATTGTACATTATAATTAAAAAACAAAAAACATTCTGTGTAGATTTGCTGGGCCAAAATCTCATCCTGGCACAACTGGAGTTTCTGCTACAGTTGATTCAAATACACGTATAAATGATTATTTTAAATTTCTTTTTAAAGGAAGCATAAACAGCAGATTCTTCCATGTAGGATATGACATATGGGTCCTGCAGGGTAACTTTAATAATTGTCATCCTACCATTGTGGCTTAACTGAGTTATACTTTCTGTTCTTTTCCAATTTCTCTTCCTGACCTGGATAGAAATTGAGGAAATTAAACCACTCCTGCCTCACCTGTTTTACTCTGGCTGGGTATAGTCAATTAGGAAATACAAAAGTCTTGTTTTATTCATGTACATTCTCATTATTTAAGCTCTGAACCTTGGTTTCTTTACATTTTTTAAATAAGAAGAGGGAAAACCATCTGGACAAGGAAGTTTTTACACCTAGATTGAAACCTTCTTCAATTTTCCTATACTAACTCTAATGCAAGTGAATCTCAGTCAGAGCTTTAAGAAATACCTACCACATCATGTGGGTCCATGAGTTCTTGTGATGCCAGAAGAAGCTGTGCACAGTAGACTTCTACCTTATTGATAGATTATACTACTAATACAGTGAAATTATAATATAAAATAGATATTAAGATCACAAGGACAGTGTTAATAACTAGCAACTATTATGTCCTTACTATGTGTCAGGCACTCTCTTAGGTAAGTTGTAATTTGATCATTTATTCTTCACAAAAACCCTGGGAGGGAGGTGTAGCATTCTTACTTTATAAATGAAAAAAAAAAAAAAAAAAAAAGAAATGCAAATAATTTGTCCAGGTTCACACAAGCAGTCCATGGCCATGCCAGGATTTAAATCCAGATCTGTCTCAAATCCTGTGACCATAACCTCTTCGCATACTGCTCCACCTTGAGTGAGTTCAAAGTCAAGCTGAAAAAAAATGTTCTTGGCAAAGAGATGGGTAAGATTGGGTTTTTCAAAATTCTGGAATGTTCCTGCCTCTTGTTGGTGTTTCATGGGCAGCAAACCTGGCCCTTCAAAGTTCTAGAATGTTCCTGACTCTTGTTGGTGTTTCATGGGCAGCAAAACTGGCCCTTTTTATCTCAGCTGTAGATCCTTGAAGGTCAGTTCACTTTGGGGTAGCTGGAGTTGTGTTTACAGAGTCAGGCCTCACCGTGAGAGGGCTCCTGTATTAGTCCCTTTTCATGCTGCTTATAGAGACATACCTGAGACTGGGCAATTTGCAGAGAAAGGTTTTCTTGGACTTACAGTTAGTTCCACGTGGCTGGGGAAGCCTCACAATCATGGCGGAAGGCAAGGAAGGGCAAGTCCCATCTTACATGGATGGCAGCAGGCAAAGAGAGAATGAGGAAGATGCAAAAGCGGAAACCCCTGATGTAACCATCAGATCTTATGAGATTTATTCACTACCATGGAACAGTATGGGGGAAACTGCCCCCATGATTCAATTATCTCCCACTAGGTTTCTCCCACAATACATGGGAATTATGGGAGTACAATTCAAGATGAGATTTGGGTGGGGACACAGAGCCAAACTGTATCAGCTCCTGAGGTGTGGCCCATCCTGGGGGCCCCTGTGAGGCCTACAGGAATCACTGCAAGCCCAATGCTTACTCTGTTCTGCACTCCTGGTGTAGAGGAGACTGGGAATTAGACCTAAGTATAAAGGCTCTGTCATTTCTAACAGACTCTCAGGAACCACACTTATAAACTGTAATGCTAGAGTCAGTCATCTTTAGTAAAGTTTTGGTGAAGGCTGAGGGCTCTCTGAACCCATCTTAACTAATACTCTGTTGTCCTTTTCTTGTTGCAGGACAGCAAGGCCTATGTGACCATTCTCTAAAATATTTAAGCTCGAGAATCACAGAGCGGAAGCTGCAAGGCTCCTGGCTGCCTGCCAGCCGAGGGAATCTGGAGAAACCATTCCTGGGGCCGCGTGGCCCCGTCGTGCCCTTGTTCTGCCCTCGGAATGGCCTTCACTCAGCACATCCTGAGAACAGCCCTCTGAAGCCCAGGGTCGTGACCGTAGTGAAGCTGGGTGGGCAGCGCCCCCGAAAGATCACTCTGCTCCTCAACAGGCGATCAGTGCAGACGTTCGAGCAGCTCTTAGCTGACATCTCAGAAGCCTTGGGCTCTCCCAGATGGAAGAATGACCGTGTGAGGAAACTGTTTAACCTCAAGGGCAGGGAAATCAGGAGCGTCTCTGATTTCTTCAGGGAAGGGGATGCTTTCATAGCTATGGGCAAAGAACCACTGACACTGAAGAGCATTCAGGTGGCTGTAGAAGAACTGTACCCCAACAAAGCCCGGGCCCTGACACTGGCCCAGCACAGCCGTGCCCCTTCTCCAAGGCTGAGGAGCAGGCTGTTTAGCAAGGCTCTGAAAGGAGACCACCGCTGTGGGGAGACCGAGACCCCCAAGAGCTGCAGCGAAGTTGCAGGATGCAAGGCAGCCATGAGGCACCAGGGGAAGATCCCCGAGGAGCTTTCACTAGATGACAGAGCGAGGACCCAGAAGAAGTGGGGGAGGGGGAAATGGGAGCCAGAACCCAGTAGCAAGCCCCCCAGGGAAGCCACTCTGGAAGAGAGGCACGCAAGGGGAGAGAAGCATCTTGGGGTGGAGATTGAAAAGACCTCGGGTGAAATTATCAGATGCGAGAAGTGCAAGAGAGAGAGGGAGCTCCAGCAGAGCCTGGAGCGTGAGAGGCTTTCTCTGGGGACCAGTGAGCTGGATATGGGGAAGGGCCCAATGTATGATGTGGAGAAGCTGGTGAGGACCAGAAGCTGCAGGAGGTCTCCCGAGGCAAATCCTGCAAGTGGGGAGGAAGGGTGGAAGGGTGACAGCCACAGGAGCAGCCCCAGGAATCCCACTCAAGAGCTGAGGAGACCCAGCAAGAGCATGGACAAGAAAGAGGACAGAGGCCCAGAGGATCAAGAAAGCCATGCTCAGGGAGCAGCCAAGGCCAAGAAGGACCTTGTGGAAGTTCTTCCTGTCACAGAGGAGGGGCTGAGGGAGGTGAAGAAGGACACCAGGCCCATGAGCAGGAGCAAACATGGTGGCTGGCTCCTGAGAGAGCACCAGGCGGGCTTTGAGAAGCTCCGCAGGACCCGAGGAGAAGAGAAGGAGGCAGAGAAGGAGAAAAAGCCATGTATGTCTGGAGGCAGAAGGATGACTCTCAGAGATGACCAACCTGCAAAGCTAGAAAAGGAGCCCAAGACGAGGCCAGAAGAGAACAAGCCAGAGCGGCCCAGCGGTCGGAAGCCACGGCCCATGGGCATCATTGCCGCCAATGTGGAAAAGCATTATGAGACTGGCCGGGTCATTGGGGATGGGAACTTTGCTGTCGTGAAGGAGTGCAGACACCGCGAGACCAGGCAGGCCTATGCGATGAAGATCATTGACAAGTCCAGACTCAAGGGCAAGGAGGACATGGTGGACAGTGAGATCTTGATCATCCAGAGCCTCTCTCACCCCAACATCGTGAAATTGCATGAAGTCTACGAAACAGACATGGAAATCTACCTGATCCTGGAGTACGTGCAGGGAGGAGACCTTTTTGACGCCATCATAGAAAGTGTGAAGTTCCCGGAGCCCGATGCTGCCCTCATGATCATGGACTTATGCAAAGCCCTCGTCCACATGCACGACAAGAGCATTGTCCACCGGGACCTCAAGCCGGAAAACCTTTTGGTAAGCCTTGACTTTTGATGATATGGGAGAGGGTGTTTTTAGAATATGGGATAAAATTGATATTAATTGTTTTATACTCTGTCACCTTTACACACTAGAATTTTACTTTTATGTTATTATAACATACTTGTTCCAGTATTTAAAACTATGGTTATAGGTCATAAGTTGCTGAGATAAATTAGTTTTGATTAACTTACAGAAAAAGAAACCTTCCAATTTAAATAAAATGGAAAATGTCTCTTCATCTCTGGGAGAAAAATGCTTTTGTCTTGATAGTGACTACGTGGACTTAATTTCTTGGCACTTAGGTACTGGGATGCCTACTGATGGCAGCTTCCCCTCGAGGCTTTGTGTGCATCATCCACCCTCCCACTGAGATGCCACTTTGGTCTTTTTGAAGATAATGCTTTGCTAAGCAGCTCAAAAGGTGAAAAGGTGCAGCACTGTAAGGGTCTGTGTAAGGAGTGCCGATGAGGCTGGCTCTGTGGTCAGATAACTTGGGTTTGAATCCTGGCTTTCTTAGTTGCTTGCTCTTAGATAAGTCCTTTATCTTGCTGGACCTTAGTTTCATCATTTTGTAAAAGAGAGATGGTAATGGTGCCTGTTTTGGAAGGATGCCTGCAGTTTGAGTATGGGAAAAAGAAAAGCAACCCTTGACAGCTGGGAGCTGGCCTGACACCCTTATCTCAGCTATGCCATTCTTCTGTTGAGCATAAGCAATTTCACAGATCACAACATCAGATAAGGCCACTCTGACCATAATGGATCAAGACAAAAGCAAAACCCCTTTATACTGATGTCCAAATGCAGATAAAAATAAGAATATTGTCCAAACCACATATAAGGTCACATGTCCCCTTTGTGGCTGCTGTGAGTGACTGACTGCGTTGCTTCATCCTTCCTACCTTCATGTAAGAATTATTAAGATACCTGATTATAGAATTACCCCCACGTGCTGACACTATCCAGCCCAGAGCAAAACCCTGCTTTCATGAATCCTCCCCCAAAATCATCTAACACAGCCCACATATTATCATGAGTCCTTTAAACACTCTCTTACTTTGATTCCCAGATTCCAACAGTACGTGTTCTCCCTTATGACAATGAGTCGGTAAACTTAGTGTGTTTGAGTACAAGTGTGTGCCAGGAGGTCTTTGTCAGGATGACACTGTCACCCTCTGGCACGTTCACCCACTTTCTTCTTTATCGCCCCAATCACCACTTGATAGAGTCTATATTTGCCTTTCTGTCTCCCTCCTCTTATTGGAGAGAAAGTTCCATGACAGCATGGACTTTGTTTCATTCAGATTGTGCTCCCAAACCTAGAACAGTTCTGTCACTTGGTCGACATTTAATACATGTGAGTTGTATGAATGCCTAAAGGCCATACCATGCTGCCTGGGAAACAGCAAGAACTCCATCAGTGGCAGAGACTATCACTATTATTACATTAAAAACAACCCTGATATCAAGGTGAGTATCATGAGTAAGCATTCAAAGTCACATCATTGCAGACAAAGCAATAGTGAATGAGCACAGTGATTTTGATGGGCCATATTTTGGCAGGAAGCTGGGAAGGTGGGGGAAGGGATTTACACTGTTTTCTTTAATTTCCATGGCTGTAAACTCAGCCTGGGGACACCATCCCAGTTGCATTTGCCTGTCTGTAAACTGGTCTCACAAGCAGGTGAAACACTGAGTGAGTCAAGCTAATTATCCAGTGAAATGAGGTCTACATTGACCACTAAGTCGAGCAACCTTGTTTTTGTGTTTTTGTCCTAACTCATAGAATTACAGAAGCAGTTTGACTGGTTGGATGAGGGGTCTGAATTACCATCAAATAACTCTCTTTGAACAATTTCATTTTTTGCATTAGCTGGATGTCTTTTTCCTTTCTCTACTCGCTTTTTGATTCTTCCCGTCTTTTGGGTCTGAGCCCAGATGTCTTCCATGTGCAATGTACTGTACACTCTTTATTATGGACACTTTGCAATTGCAACAGAGCAGTGTTCTTTAACAACTCTCTGCTTCTTTCACCGAATTGTCTAAGCAGGAGAGATCCCTTTCGAGGCCTGAGGAGGTCCCACGAGCTGAACATTTCAGTCATGTGCCTACTATAGCATTAAAACAGTTATACAAGTTCTCAGCTATGTGGAATGAGATGATTTTCTTTTGGAGACAGTTAGCTTAGTTTGCATTTTCTAACAAGATCCTGGAACCAGTTGGTTGAGTCCACCCATCTCTTGGGCAATAGAAGCTCTCATTTGTGTGAAGGGATTTATCAGTTATTTTTGAGATGGAGAAAGTCAGCACTGTTATAGATCACATGGAGGGTGGTTTGAGGAAGTAGGAAAACAGCAAGGAATATGTTTAATATGGACAAGCTACTTGCCTCTGGGTAGTTCTTCATGGTTTAAATGTCAGTACATGCATGTTTTAGTGCTCTGGGGCAATGGAATTGTGTGTGTGTGAGAGAGAGAGAGAGACAGAGAGAGAAAGAGAGGGAGAGAAGGCAAACTACAGAGTGGTTATAATTTTTTCAGCCTAAATGCATGAGCTTTTGTTTATTGGAATTGATCCCAATTGATATGTAGACCCTTTCTTTTTTGTGATTTTGAAGAAAGTCCATATATATATGTGTATATGTGTATACATACATATATATGTATATAGTCCATATATATATATTTCAAATAAAATAACTTTTTTTGTGGTGGTATGGCTTCTTCAGAAACTGTAGAAAGCTGCATATTTGAGCCATCTTATGTGGAATAGGTTAATATATTTGTTTTCCTGTGGATAATTTGTCAGCTTGCATTTATCAAAGTGGACAGGTCTGGCACATTTATAAAACATGTTTATCCTTTTTCTGGGTGAGTAAAGTTTAACATATTGTTATGTCAGAAGTCTAAATGCTATCTGATGTCAGCGCTTTTTGGTTTTTCAGACAGAGGTAGAGATAATGTTGGATTGACAGTTGACTCATTGTCTGGGTTTAGCAAGGTGTTATCTCTAAAGTTGCTGATATAATTACATTGCAAATTTGTTTGGCCTTCTAAGATTTAAAATATTCATAAATATCACATTGGTGACTGCTGTCCATAAGTTGGTGTTCTTCAGTTGCCTTTAATTTAATGTTTTACACTTGTGATAAGCTTTATATTGTCAAACTAATTGTTTCTTCCTTTAATGGATGGCTGCTGTGTCCATTAAGACCTGTCTTTGTTAAGCTTCGGGAAGTGATTATGTCAGAACTAACTTTTGATTACATGGCTGATTGTAAGTGTTGCTGCTTTTAGAGACTATCTGTATGTGCTAAAAGCTCCTAATGAATATAGTAAGCTTTCATGTTTTAATCAACAGAAATATTTATATCTGATAATTGTGCCCTAGAGTAAAATTTTAGGCCTATATTCCTGAGTTTATCTATTTCTACTGATTACATTTCCTGATAAGATGATGGTGCTCTTCTTCCCTTAGGGTTATTTAGACTCCTGAGATCTTACAAAAGAAGTTTTAATTATAAGAATTTCCAGCTTGCAGAAATACCAGTGTTAATTGCTGCTTCTGCCAGTGTGTGCTCCTTGGAGGAGTTGGAATATGCTGGGTGGTGTTGGCTGGGCTCTGGGGAAGGAAGTGGGGAAGCAAACAGGAGCTGGAGTAGTGATGATGATGATTAGACCAGCTCACAGAGGGTGGAAGGGCAAAGGCCAGGTTATTTATAGCTGATGGCTGAGAGATTATATCCAGCAAAGAAAGCTGGGTGAGCAGGATGGGGGAAGGGACTGAAGAGGTGTCAGACATGAACATTGAGCACGGTCATTTGAGAACATTTCTTCCAGAATAAGGGGAAGAGAAGGATGTGTTCCTGCACTGGAAACAGAGTGGAAAGGAATGAGCAGGGTGGGCATGCTGCTACACCTCCACTAGCATATAGGATGTTCATGTCTCCAATTCTGCTACTGCCCCCAGACTAGCTGTTACAGCCCTGGAGTGCTGGGAGCAGAGATCCCTGAAATCCAGGAGAGATGGTGGTGGTGATGGTGGGAACAGGTCTCAGCTTGGTCAAGGACAAAGGTTGTACCCTCTTTCTGGCCTCCTGCTGGTTCTAGGAAGAAACGGGCTTGTCTGTATATTTACTGGTGAATATGACTAGGACAGGGCAGTGACTGGTGTCCCTAAGGGTGGCAGGGAAAATCCAGAAGGATAAAGAGTAGCCGGCCACACTTCCTGCTCATTCTCCCTTTACCATGAACCTGTTCAATCACTTTCTTGGTCTGAATTCTGTAAGTTCTTTTTCTCTTCTATTTTGCTATACAAGAAGGAGTCACTGATTATTGCTATGGTAGTCACTGGTTCTGCAATGCATAATTCTCCTTGATCAGCAAGATTTCTCTTCTAACAGCTTCATTTTCAATCTCCTTTCCCTTAGCTTCCAAGACAGAGGTATTCATGTCTTCTCATTAATAGTCCAAGTATTCATGAATGCATTTATACCCCAATCACATTAATTTAAAAAACTAGTAACAACTATGAAGTATACTTAAGCTCTACTTAATAAAATAAATAAATGTGAATTTCAGCAATAACATGAAATTACCAAAGAAAAAGTACAGTGACACAAGTCTTTAGGTCATTGGCCAATTTTGATCGAGTCAGTGAGAATGCTGTTATGTAAGAGATTGAACTCCTCTGGAGAACTGCGGGGTATATTCTTGTCAGAAATCATTGCAGTTATGACTGTAGGTTTACATTGGTAAGACAGGCTCTCAGTATCCATTTCAGCAATTTCCAGGACAATAATAGTATCTGTACACTCAGTGAACTTATGTATTTCCAGGGTTTGGCCACATAGGCAGAGGTTACAGGAAATTTCTCAAAGTCTTCAAAATTATAGATACTGGATCATCTTGAGGACTGAGGTTTTCTTTCCTCTGTAAGTTACTTTCGAAACATCCACCTAAAAGGATAGGCGTCTAATAAGTTACTGTCTGTAGTAAATTTTCAGCAACAAAAACAATTTTAAAGCATGGTTCCTATTTATCAACTTGGTGGATATCTTCTAAAACTGTGACCTCATTTCATCAAGGAGGCCTGAAGTTCAGGTCATTTGGTAAATGAACATAACAGCACCTTCCTTTAGTCCGCTTAATCCCTGTGTTCATGTATGTTATCACCTGTCTAAAAGAGTATATTCTTGTGAGCCATTTGAGGGTCTAAGATTAACTTTCTTAAAAGTCTTTAAGGGCATTCGGAAAATGCTCTTAAGCTAAGGAAACAGCTTAGTAAATCTCAAGTTTCTGAGGTCTCAGGTCTAGTTGTCTAATTGCAACAGAAACCCTCAGGTTCTGGTTCATCTTGTGGAAGTCCCACATGTTAGGGTTTATGTGAGGGGAGGGAGAAAAGAAGGAGTGAGGAGTCCGCAGCCATGGTCCCAGCAAGAGATGATGGTGGCTTGGTCTTGGGGACCGCAGTAAAGATGGGGAGAAGTGGTCATCCTAAGGGTAAAGACAAGACTTGTGAGTGGATTGAATGCTGTGGATGAGGAAAGAGAAGACTCAAGGGTAACAGATGTTTATGACCTGAAGCTGGATCAGTCGTGGCCCCATCTTTCTAATGGAGGAGGGTGGTTTCTGTGTAGTTATGGGGATAAGAGACTGACTGAGTTAGGATAGAATGGAAGGTGGAATACTGTAGACAGTGTGTATAGACACCTCTTTCAAGGGTGTGTGTGTGTGTGTGTGTGTGTGTGTGTGCACGCACGAAGGAGATCATAGAATGGACAGTAGCTAAAGAGGGATGCAGAGAAAATAAGGGTTGTCTTTTTTTTAAGTTGGGAGATATGACAGCATCTTTATGTGATGATGGAGCCATTCTCTGGGTTGGGGAACTGTGGGAGAGAAGCAGGGTCGAGGTGAAATCAGTTTCCGGCATGTTGAATTTGAGATGATCATCTGATTGGATGACTAGGTGGTGAAGTAAAGTGTACTGTGAAATATGAGGCTATCAAGTTCAGGAAACACCTACAGTCCAAAGTCCATTCCTTCATCAGCTGGGCTGGCCACCTCTGACCAGACACTGGGTTAAAAAGACAGTGCATTACAGTGACTTCTTTGCTCAGAGCTGCCATTAGCTTCCCTTCGCATTCACATTCAGAATAAAAGCCAAGGTCATTTCCATGGCCTGGAAGGTCTTATATGATGTGGACTCCATCTTCCTCTCAAAGCCACTCTCCAGCCATTCAGCTCCTCACTCGCCCTGCTCCTGCCCCTGCTTGCTACATCAAACCATGCATGCCCCTCGGCCTTCACATTTGCTGTTTCTTCTACCTGAAAACTTGCTCCTCACATCTTAATATGGCTCACCCTTGCCTTCTTTCAGATGTTGCTTCCTCAGTGAGTCCTTCCTTAACCACCTTATTAAAAAAAAAAGAACTCCTGCCACTGTGCCAGCATTGCCAGTAGAATTTTCTGTGATGATGGAGATACAGATTTCCTGTATCTGCATAGCCCAATGTGGTAGTCTCTAGCCACATGGGCAGTTCCTCCTGTCTAAGGAACTGCATTTTAAGTTTCATGTAAAAACCAATAGCCATGTGTACTTAGTGGATACTGTACTAGACAACGCAGCCCTTATCCCACTTTTACTTTTTCATAACGCTTATCACTGCCTGAGATTACATATTTATTTGAATATTGTTCATTAATAGAAAGGAGGCTTCATAAGAAAAAGAACTTTGTCTGTTTCCTTCACTACTTTATTCTTAATATTTCAAACACTGCCTGGCAGATGGTAAGTGTGTAAATATTTGTTGAATGAACATGAGATTTTAATTAAGTAGAAATAAGCAGATGCAATAAACAGACACCAAAAGCATCTTATCTTGTGAGCATGCCATGTGACAAGTCCCAGGGAAGACTTTGTCCTCACTGATTTTTTTTTTCAGTCATACTTTTGTATTATGGTATGTTTATGTGTTTGTGTGTGTGTGTGTGTGTGTGTGTGTGTGTGTGTATATATGGTGTATGTACATATATTTTGAGACAGTCTGACTCTGTCACCCAGGCTGGGTGCAGTGGTGTGATCTCAGCTCACTGCAACCTCCGCCTTCCAGACTCCCCCCACCTTAGCCTCCCAAGTAGCTGGGACCACAGGTATAAACCACCACACGTGGCTAATATTTTGGTATTTTTTGTAGAGATGAGGTTTCGCCATGTTGTGTAGGCTCACTTCAAACTCCTGGACTCAAGTGATCCACCTGCCTTGGCCTCCCAAAGTGCTGGAATTACAGGCCTGAGCCACTGCACCTGGCCTGTGTTATGGTATATTTTGCTGTCGTTGAAATATAAACGGATTTTAGGTATTGGCATTTTAATGTGAATTGGTTTCTAAGATCATTTCATTCTTCACAGCCAGTTGAAAATGGACCTTGGAGGGAAAAAGTACGAGAAACCATGAAGGATCAAGTAAGAAGGTGGCAAAGATAAATAAACTTTATCCATGTCTTAATCCTTAAGGGAGCCACTTGTTGTTTGGTCTGTACTCTGCTTCCATCTTCTGTTCAGAGATGAGAATTGCAAGATCACATTTAAATTGAGGTACCATTGAAGGAGAGAGCAGAGTTAATTGTTCAGAAAAATAAAGATTCTTCTTGAAGCTTTCAGATTATCCAGATGCTATCTGAATGCCTACGTAAATAATGTAGACCACTTGAATTCCAAGCATGACACTTTGGTGTGGCTGGAAAAGGATGATAGATGCAGACAGATAACAGTCATTACAGTGCCATGTAAAGCAACCTCTTACACCCTTTCAGTTAGGGAACAACCGAAAATGAGCCCCAGCAAGAACATGGCCCAGAGCAGCGAGTTTAGCTAGGCTGCAAAAGAGATACAGGGAGATGTGGGGTGAGGGCAAAGTGAGATGTGTGTAAAGGGGGCTTTTGTACCCCCCCCCCCCACACACACACACAACCCGGGAAAACCCTGAAAGGTTTTCTCAGGCAGGGACACTGAAGTGGGTCATTTGATGGGGTCTTTGGCTGTCTTGATGACCACCCAGTGCCTGGTCAGCCGAGAGTCCTGAGGTCCTCTGCTCTGATCGAATCACACCTGGTGTGTGGCGTTTGGTGCTGGGCATTCTTGGTTAAGAAAGGCATCATGGGGGCCATCCAGAACTTTACTGTGGACACAGACCTCTCTGAGGTTGTGAGGAAATGCAGATTCTGTTTCAGGGGCTCTGGGGCAGCTGAGAGCTGTAACCAGCTCACAGGAGATGCTGATGGTGCTGGTCCAGGGTCCAGGGGCTGCACTTGGAATAGGGATGAGTGAGGGAGGGTGACCAGGAGAACAGGTCCTGTAAGGATTCACCAGAGCATCCTTGGTTGTTGTATTAGCCAGAGTTCTCTAGAGAGACAGAACCAATAGGATATATGTTTATAGAGATGTATGAGAGGGGATTTATTAGGGGACTTGGCTCACATGATTATGGAGACTGAGGAGTCCCATGACTGGCTGTCCACAAGCTGGAGACCCTGGGATACCAGTAGCGTGGCTCAGCCCAAGTCTGAAGGCCTGAGAACCCAGGGGTTACTGGTATAAGTCTTGGAGCCCAAAGGCTAGAAAGCCTGCAGTTCTGATGTCCCAGGAGGAGGGGGAGGAGGGAGTGCAGAGAGAGAGAGACAGAGAGACACCAATTGCCTTTTCCCTACTTTCGTTCTATCCAAGCCCCCAGCCGGCTGGATGCTGCTCATCCATATTGAGGGCAGATCTTCTGCACTTGGTCCACCTGGATTCACACACCAATCTCCTCTGGAAATACCTAACAGACACCGTCCCCCCACCCCCCACCAATGATACTTTATCAGTACTAGGTATTCCTTAATCCAGTCAAGTTGTCATCTAAAATTAATCATCACAGATGCTAGCTTGGAGAAGCCAGAGGCGAGCTGGGGATCACGATACTTGCTTCCCGTCTTTGGAGGGATGCGTTCTTATTCAGCATCACTGGAGAGGGCAGATTTAGAAAACAGGAGTGGGAAAGGAATTCTGAATCAACATAGGGGTGAATCTCCTCACAAGCTAAGCTTGCCATAAATGGGATGCACTACAGCACAGAGTTGTGGAGTCTTTTCCATTTTGAGATTTCATTCAGACATGAACGATAGTCTGGTGGGAGGATGTTTGAGACACGTTTTTTGTTTGGGTGGAGGTTTGAGTTTGATGGTATCAGATGTCCCACAGATTCTGGGAAGAAGAATTATTCTAGGACAACATCACTCATTTAATTTCAAGGTTTAAGATAGGAACTGTTCTGAAGCCAAATATGTGAGGTGCTTGTTGCAAAAATAAGCCAAAAAACTTGCAGACAGTGTGCGACCTTAAATGTAATTAAGCTGCTTAGGTAGAGGAAATAAATGACAACACTGAAGAATATTAAATAACTCTTGACAGCAGAAGCTGGAGACAGAATAATTAAAAACATCGGGCCATCTGGGGCCACTTTCTGGAAGAGACAAGTGGCACCACTGATCTTAACCGCTGCCCCCCACCAAGTTCTGCTTATGCAATTGTTGATGCTCAGGGGATGATCCTGAGATTGAAAGAGAAAAGCTCTAGTGTGAAGAAACTAGAAGAGGCATAATATATCTCACATAGGTCCATATCATACTCTAAAAACAGATTTGGCATTTTGAAAATATATCCTTCAGTCTCTGGATAGTTAACATAATAAATTTTCAAAGTAAAGTGTGAGTTTCCAAAACATTTAATCTGCTACAAGCTCAGTGGAGCCAGGTTTTGGAATTGGGGGCTTCCATGAGGAAGGTAATGTTTCACTTATTTCACAATAGGAACACACTTCTTACTTTGGTATACTAAGTCAGCCAAATGCTTTATTTGTTTTTAAGACTAATTATTTTAAGATGGAGCTTCATCCTTTCACCCAGGCTGGAGTGCAGTGGCTCGACCTCAGCTCACTGCAACCTCCATCTCCGGGGTTCAAGTGATTCTCCTGCCTCAGCCTCCTGAGTAGCTGGGATTACAGGGGCCCGCCACCATGCCCAGCTGTTTTTTTTTGTTGTATTTTTAGTAGAGATGGGGTTTCACCATGTTGGCCGGGCTGGTCTCAAACTCCTGACCTCAAGTGATCCACATGCCTAAGCCTCCCAAAGTACTGGGATTACATGAGCCACTGTGCCTGGCCAGTCAGCCAAATGCTTTTATGCCACTAATTTATAAATATTTGTGAGAGACATATTTTTCCAGCAGTCACCCAGCAACTACGATTAATGTATATGATCCATCTGGTCATTTTGGTATCACATTATTTTGTTTTCCTTCCCTTCCAAACAAGGTTTTCTTAAATTATTCTGGTAATTACCCTGTTGTCTCCTTTTGGGCTATGTCAGTTTCTATATGCAGACTGAGCAGAATTTCATTTTAGTTCTAAATTTATGACTTTCCATTTGGTGAGGTTAATTATGGAGACATTGATTAGATTGTCTGGTGGTGACTGGGGCTCAGCAATTAAGACACATGCTGCTTATGGAGATGTAAGCTCACTGGCAGAAACCAAAGCAAGTGGGGAGAATTTATTCTGGTCTGGAGAGACAGGGGAAAGGCCGCTCCACCCTGCCATTCTAGGTGTTGCCCATGGCTGTGATGGGTCCCAGGGAGAGGCAGAGTTCCTCTACTGCCCACCTGTCCAGGCACTGGTAGGAGCATTGAGAGCCTTTGCCCCAGTTCCAGGAGAGATGTGAGGGTGTATGCCTGCAGACAAGTTGATAATTTCTCCTACAGCTGTGGTGGCACTAATGAGTCTCCTGCTTGGATAAGATTGCCCAAATTTATTCTAGTAAGTTTTCACACAGTGGTCTAATTAACTGCTTAGTTCACCTTTGGTCTGAGCAATCAGCTTCTACCATGAGAAACAGGGCCTTACGTGTGTGGGTACAAGCTAGTTTGGAAGGAGGCTGGAGTATTGACTTGTGTCTGATTATTTAACCTTCCCTCAAACTGGAAAACTTATTTAATGGCAGGCGGCACCGATGCATCTTTTACTTGCTGCAAGATATGCTGGGTTTGCGCCCTCATGGTTTGGTTTTTCATGTGAAATTTAGTTTTATTTTTTCTAGCATAGTGACCTAAATACTTGCCACACTTACCTCTTGTGATTAGTTTCTTTTAGGTTAAGATCCAACAGTCATAATCTTGTATCAAATCCCTTGTTGGGGGAGGAGGACAGGACATACTAACTTGGCAATGGGATTTGGCTTACCAGAGATGAGAAAGCCAGTCACTTGGACTTGTTTGAAAGAGTGAGACAGGTGGGATAAGTTTTGAATGGGAAAAAGGAAGGAGCATTTGAGATTCTGTATTCATTCAGAGTGAAGGTGAGTGTGCCTTTTCTCTATTTTAAAAATTGACCAATTCTACCCTTTTCTAAAACCTGGTGGAGGTCCAAGGCAAACTGGGCCTTTTGGTCACTCTAGAGCTATTACTTTGCTAGGCAGATTACAGACATTGAATGAAACTTGTGACATAAGCCTATTTGCTGGAAACTGTCACTCCCATTCTCCCCTCTTTTATTTTGAGACAGGGTCTTACTCTGTTGCTCAGGATGGAGTGCAGTGGTGCAATCATGGCACACTGCAGCCTCGACTTCTCAGGCTCTAGTGATCCTCCTACCTCAGCCTCCCAAGTAGCTGGGACCACAGGCATGCACCACCATGCCTGGCTAATATTTTTACTATTTGTAGAGGTGGGGTCTCCTCGTGTTGCCCAGGCTGGTCTTGAACTCCTGGCCTCAAGTGATCCTTCCACCTTGGCCTCCCAAAGAGCTGGGATTACAGATGTAAGCCACTGCACCTGCCCCACCCCCCGTTTTTTTTTTTTTTGAGACGGAGTCTCGCTCTGTCGCCCAGGCTGGAGTGCAGTGGCGCGAGCTCAGCTCACTTCAAGCTCCGCCTCCTGGGTTCACGCTATTCTTCTGCCTCAGCCTTCAGAGTAGCTGGGACTACAGGCGCCCGCCATCAGGCTGGCTAATTTTTTGTATTTTTAGTAGAGATGGGTTTCACCGTGTTAGCCAGGATGGTCTTGATCTCCTGACCTCATGATCCGCCCGTCTTGGCCTCCCAAAGTGCTGGGATTACAGGCATGAGCCACCGAGCCCGGCCCATTTTTTTTTTTTTTTAACAAATGAGAAAACAGAGGCTCAGATGAGTAAAGAAATTTGTCCAAGACCATCCAGCCTCAAGTCTTGGAGTTGGAATTGTTCAAAGACTCCTGGCCTGTTTGATTCTTAATCCCCCACCCCTCCAAATGAGGGCCTGTATTTAACATCTCTCTCCTGCTTATTAGTTTACTTCCTCATTTTTCATAATTTTTAATTTTTGTGGGTATGTATTAGTCTGTTTTTATGCTGCTGATAAAGAGATACCTGAGACTGGGAAGAAAAAGAGGTTTAATAGACTTATGGTTCCACATGGCTGGGGAGGCCTTCCCACAATCATGGTGGAAGGCAAGGAGGAGCAAGTCATATCTTACATGGATGGCAGCAGGCAAATAGAGAGCTTGTGCAGGCAAACTCCCATTTTTGAAACTGTCAGATCTCGTGAGACTGATTCGCTATCATGAGAACAGCACAGGAAAGACCCGCCCCCATAATTCAATTACCTCCTACTGGGTTCCTCCCACAACATGTGGGAATTGTGGGAGTTACAATTCAAGATGAGATTTGGGTGGGGACACAGCCAAACCATATCATTCTGCCCTGGCCCCTCCCAAATCTCATGTCCTCACATTTCAAAACCAATCATGTCTTCTCAATAGTTCCCCAAAGTCTTAACTCATTTCAGCATTAACTTAAGAGTCCACAGTCCAAAGTCTCATCCAAGACAAGTAAAGTCCCTTCCTCCTGTGAGCCTGTAGAATCAAAAGCAAGTTAGTTACTTCCTAGATACAGTCGGGGTACAGGTGTTGGGTAAATACAGCCATTTCAACTGGGAGGAATTGGCCAAAACAAAGGGGCCACAGGCCCCATGAAAGTCTGAAATCTAGCGGGGCAGTCAAATCTTAAAGCTCCAAAATGATCTCTTTTGACTCCAGGTCTCACATCCAGGTCACGCTAATGCAAGAGGTGGGTTCCCATGGTCTTGGGCAGCTCCGCTCCTGTGGTTTTGCAGGGTACAGCCTCTCTCCTGGCTTCTTTCACAGGCTGGCATTGAAAGTCTGTGGCTTTTCTAGGTGCATGGTACAAGTTGTCATTGGTCTACCATTCTGAAGGCTGGAGGACAGTGGCCTTCTTCTCACAGCTCCATTAGGCAGTGCCCCAGTAGGGACTCTGTTTGGGGGATCCGACCCCACATTTCCCTTCTGCACTGCCCTAGCAGAGAGTCTCCATGAGAACCCCTCCCCTGCAGCAAACTTTTGCCTGGACATCCAGGCGTTTGCATACATCCTCTGAAATCTGGCAGAGGTTCCTAAACCCCAATTCTTGACTTCTGTGCAATGGCAGGCTCACTACCACTTGGAATTGACCAAGGCTTGCTTCCTCTGAAGCCACAACTCGAGCTCTACGTTTGCCCCTTTCAGCCATGGCTGGAGCGGCTGGGAGGCAGGGTACCAAGTCCCTAGGCTGCACACAGCATGGGGATCCTGGGCCCAGTCCACAAAACCACTTTTTCCTTGTAGGTCTCTACACCTGTGATAGGATGGGGTGCCATGAAGACCTCTGACATGCCCTGGAGACATTTTCCCCATTGTCTTGGGGATTAACATTTGGGTCCTCATTACTTAGGCAAATTTCTGCAGCCGGCTTTAATTTATCCTTGGAAAATGGGATTTTCTTTTCTATTGCATTGTCAGGCTGCAAATTTTCCAAACTTTTGTGCTCTGTTTCCCTTATAAAACTGAATGTCTTTAACAGCACCCAAGTCACCTCTTGAATGCTTTACTGCTTAGAAATTTCTTCCACCAGATATCCTAAATCATCTCTCTCAAGTTCAAAGTTCCATAAATCTCTAGGGCAGGGGCAAAATGCCACCAGTCTCTGCTAAAATGTAGCAAGAGTCACCTTTGTCCCAGTTCCCAACAAGTTCCTCATTTCCATCTGAGACCACCTCAGTCTGGACTTTATTGTCCATATCACTATCAGCATTTTGGGCAAAGCCATTCAACAAGTCTCTAGGAAGTTACAAACTTTCCCACATTTTTCTGTCTTCTTCTGAGCCCTCCAAACTGTACCAGTCTCTGCCTGTTACCAAGTTCCAAAGTCACTTCCACATTTTTGGGTATCTTTCCAGCAGTGCCCCACTCTACTGGTACCAGTTTACTGTATTAGTCCATTTTCATGCTGCTGATAAAGACATACCTGAGACCAGGAAAAAAAGGAGTTTAATGGACTATGGTTCCACATGGCTGGGGAGGCCTTCCCACAATTATGGTGGAAGGCAAGGAGGAGCAAGTCACATCTTACATGGATGGCATCAGGCAAAGAGAGAGCTTGTGCAGGCAAACTCCCATTTTTAAAACTGTCAGATCTCATGAGATTGATTCACTATCATGAGAACAGCATGGGAAAGACCCACTCCCATGATTCAATTACTGCCCACCGGGTTCCCCTCACAACATGTGGGAATTGTGGGAGTTACAATTCAAGATGAGATTTGGGTAGGGACACAGCCAAACCATATCAGGGTACATACTAGGTGCATATATTTTTGGGGTACATGAGATGTTTTGATACAGGCATGCAATGCATAATCATTACATCATGGAGAATGGGGTATTCATCCCCTCAAGCATTTATCCTTGTGTGATTACTTTTGCACCAACCTAATACAAGCAATCCAATTATACCCTTTTAGTTATTTAAAAATGTACAATTGAATTATCATTGACTATAGTCACCCTGTTTTTCTATCAAATAATAGGTCATATTCATTCTTTCTAAGTATTCTTTTTGTACCAATTAACCGTCCCTATCTCCCCCTCACCCCTGCCCCATACTTCTTCATTTTAATTCCCAGTCTTTTTCCTTTCTTTTTTCCCTCTGCCCAGCCTCTGCATTGCCCAGAGGCATTTTCTAATGCTCATGAAAGCTAGTCTGTGCTCAAAGTATCCTTGATCCTTGTTCTAAGTCAATGCTGTCTAATAGCCCTTTCTGCAACAATGGAAGTGTGTCTATCTGTGTTTCCCAATATAGTAGCCACAAGCCACAAGTGGCTTTTGAGCACTTGAAATGTGCCTAATGCAGCTGAGAAGCTAAATTTTAAATTTAATTTTACTTAATAAACTTAAGTAGCCACTTGTGACAATATGGTGCTACCATATTGGACGGCCTAGTAAATCTAACTCATTGGTTCTTAAGTTGAAAATGTGAGCCCTTGTCATTGAGGTCAAGTTAGCTTTGTCAGTGTTGGGCTAAGCTGTAATCTCATATAGGTTTATGGTTTGCTTTTCTTGACCTTGCATGGCTGTTGTTTCATTAGTATCCCTTCTTTGTTCTAATCACAATTTTGGTGGTTTGGGGATTTTGGTTTCTTACAGGTTCAGCGAAATGAGGACAAATCTACTACCTTGAAATTGGCTGATTTTGGACTTGCAAAGCATGTGGTGAGACCTATATTTACTGTGTGTGGGACCCCAACTTACGTAGCTCCCGAAATTCTTTCTGAGAAAGGTAAGTGTTACACATCGATCTGTGGGACTCTAGTTCCCTTACTAACAAATGTTTCATTTGTCATATTTACTAGTTTTCAATATGGAATAAATCTCAGAGAACTGACACTTAGGCTTGGATTTGGACTTCAATGAAAATATTTGAAGTAGGCTTGACCAAAGCATGAGAGCTTTCTCCTCATTAGGGCTGCCCTTGTTACAGTCAATGGATCAGTGTGTGTGCATGTGTGTGTGTGTGTGTGTGTGTTTATTGTGTTTAGGCAGGACAGTGAGATGAAAGATGATGGAGAATTGGGTGGGGAACTCAAGCAAGCAAGGCTACTTGACCCAAGGCTATCTCTAATAGGAGAGAATTGAAGCAGTCCTTATGGTACTTGGTTTAAAAATTTCTTCACCAACCTTGCATTTAAAGGAAAAGGATCCCATTTTCCTCCATGAACTCTATGAATATTTATTACCTACTTGTATATTATGCAAGGATCCAATGAGCTGTTTTAGTGACAAACTTTCTAAAACATTTAAAAAGGAAATAATAGTTATGATATGGCTCTAAATATATGAATGACTATTTGACTACTGTGGCACTCCAGGAGAAACCAATTTACCCACCATTGGTAAGATGGGAAGACTCTCATTGGGTTGCAGGGTTGGTGACAGGGAGAAGGGATGGACGGATAGTTTCCCAGCAGCAGAAGCATCAGGATAATTAAGATGAGGAGATGGCCAGGGATGGTGGCTCATGCCTGTAATCCCAGCTCTTTGGGAGGCTGAGGCAGGTGGATCACCTGAGGTCAGGCATTTGAAACCATCCTGGCCAACATGGTGAAACCCTGTCTGTACTAAAACTACAAAAAAATTAGCTGGGCGTGGTGGCACATGCCTGTAATCTGAGCTACTCGGGAGGCTGAGGCAGGAGAATTGCTTGAACCGGGGAGGTGGAGTTTGCAGTGAGCCAAGATCGTGCCATTGCACTCCAGCCTGGGCAACAAGAGTGAAACTTCATCTCAAAAAAAAAAAAAAAAAGATGAGGAGATGACAACATGCATGAGGTCAGGTGTTAGAGACATGGAGAAGACTAGCCTCAATGGACCAGAGAGAAACACAATTGGTTGGTATATTAGTCAGGTTTTTCTGTTGCTATAGAAATAACGAAGGCTGGGTAATTTATAAAGAAAAGAGGTTTAGTTGGTTCAGGGTTCTGCAGGCTGTACAAGCATGGTGCCAGCCATCTGCTCTGCTTCTGATAAGGGCTTAAGAAGCTTACACTCATGGTGGAAGGTGACAGGGAACCGGCATGTTACATGGTGGGACTGGGAGCAAGAGAGAGAGAGGGAGGTCCCAGACTTCTAAACAACCAGATCCTAAGTGAACTACCTGAGTGAGAACTCACTTGTCACCAAGGGGATGGTACTAAACCATTCATGAAGGATCCACCCCCATGATCTAATCACTTCCCGCCAGGCCCCACCTCCAACATTGGGAATCACATTTCAACATGAGATTTGGAGGGGACAAATATCCAAACCGTATCAGTTGGGTAGGTTGAGCTTAAATTCTCCACAAATGGGAAGACTGGTTAGAGATGTTTAGACTTGGTGTGGCATCGATGAACTGGATAAGAGAAGAAAAGAAAGCAAATAGGCAACACAAACTCTTGGGAAAACCACATATTGGTGGTAGCACCAACTAAAACAGGGTGTTGGAAAGGATAGCTCTTTTGGGAGATAGGGGGATGGGCTGAGTTTAATTTTGAATACACTGACTTTGTAGCGATATCAGGATGGATAATGGAGTTGTCCACTTGGCAAGGAGGTGAAGCTGTGAGCTGAACATGTGGCTTTGAGACTCCTCAACACAGAGATGGTTGATAATGGGCTCCTTGGTGATGCCAGGAATGAGAGCCAAGGACAGATTCTTGAGGAGGCCAAGAGCTCAGGGATGAGAGAAGGAAGGAGGGATCAGCAGAGAAAAGGCTGAGCAGCCCAGAGAGGATCTGAAAAGTGCATTGTCACAGAGGCCAAGGGACATTTCTAGGATTGATGAGGTCCAGGAAAATCAATCCCTCTCAACAGTGAGATGGTTGAGAACTGAGAAAAGACCAAAAGAGGTCATTAGTGACTTATTCTTTTAATATTTTCCTGCAGATTTGTATTTTGACAAACTTACTCTGGGGCTTAATTATGAATATCTAACTTCTAAATTACAGTGGTCAAGTGTTTTCTTTTTCTAACTGTAAAAAGTTAGTTAGAAAGTGTTTGAAAATGTCTATATTGCTGTGATAAGTTTTGGGAGGACAATGTGTAATATGTATCAAAAACCTTTACTGTATATTGCTTTGTCTATTTCATTGCTGGAAGGTTATTTTAGGAATATAATCAGACATGTGCACAAATATTTAATAAATGCTCATCAGAAAATTCCTTACAGCTGTAAAAAAATTAGTAAAAACTTAAATTACAACATAGGGATTTATTATGTAAAGGGGATACTAATAGTTATTAGAAATCATTTTTGTAAAAAATATTTTTGGTATTTTTCATAGGAAATTCTTATGTTGGAAATGTCATTGTATAATATTCAGTAAATAAAATAGAGTATAGGTGCAATGTGATCCTATTTTTATTTAGAAAAGTAAATAAACATTTTATTTAGAAAAGTATACATGTCTCTATATAGGTGTGTGCGCGTGTGTGTGTGTGTTGTATACCAGTGTGTGCACACATGGGGATACAGCTAGTAAACATCAGTCTTTTAAAAATCATTTAAAAAGCCAGTAAATGATATTTTTTAAGTGAGAGAGAAGACAATGGATATATAGGAAGCAGAGATTGCTAGTGTAGACTGGGGCTTCTCTAACTACCTCCAGTGAAGGGTCAAGTTTTAAAGTTTCCAGTACAGTGTGGACTCACGGTCCTGCTGCATGTGACTAGAACACATCTCATGCCACATGTGACTCACTACATGTGTTTGACAACGCCTGAACTGATGTATGTGCTGTTCAACAAGATGTGCCCTTCAATCATGCAACTGAGCGTCACAGTCTTGTTAAATTGCTATAAGAGTTTCCAAACACTTGCTTTCAATTTCTCTGCTCATTCTATTACAGACCAGTAATAAGGCATTGCAAAGTGGCAGTGATCCATGGACCACACTTTGAGTAATGATGGTGTAGAGTCCTTATGTATAGGAGTTAGCAGGGAGCTGTGTTTGGAAGTGGCTCTTGGTTGCTGAGAGCTGGGATCCTCTATGACTTAGATCTATTTAGAACCACAATACTCCATCATTTATTTCATCACCTTTGACCCTGCCTGGTCTCAGGTTTGCTTGTGTCTCTGCCTCTGTCTGCGCAGGTTATGGACTGGAGGTGGACATGTGGGCTGCTGGCGTGATCCTCTATATCCTGCTGTGTGGCTTTCCCCCATTCCGCAGCCCTGAGAGGGACCAGGACGAGCTCTTTAACATCATCCAGCTGGGCCACTTTGAGTTCCTCCCCCCTTACTGGGACAATATCTCTGATGGTGAGATTTGGGGCTTCCTCACACAGCAGAGGAGCGGATGGGTTTTTCAGGTCAGATGTGTAGAGGACCCACCACTGTGCCTGGTGCAGAGTTGGACTGTCAACATGTCATGTCTCAGCCTTTACTTCCTCAGTAGCTTCATGTAGGTTTGTGTAGCACTCTGAAAACATGGCTTGCTTTCAGATTTAGTGAAAAAGCCCAACCACCAGTTACAGTCACCAAGTACTTTTCCTTAAGGCAATTCAAGAACCTCAGAACAGAAAAATATCAGAAACATTGTAACTCCCCTTTGGAAAGAGAAAGGCCATCTTATATGCAGAAGTGTTTGTGAATGGAACAGACTGAAAATGCTTATTTTACACATGCATAATCAAGGGTCCTATAGCAGCACACTTGAAGCACAGGGGCTCTGCAATGAAGATCTCAGTTATTTTTTAGTGACTTGGAGCATGCATGGTCCTCCCTGCTTTTGGCCCTCTGTTCCATTTGATTCCAAATGAAATCCTTCCCCTTGTCTCTACTGATTTGTCTGTACTACTCACTGTCCTTGTAAAACTGGGAACTAGATAATTGGGGATTTTGAGTCTTTAGCTTAAAAAGTAGAATAGGAGGCTGGGTGTGGTGGCTCATACCTATAATCCTAGCACTTTGGGAGGCCCAGGTGGGAGGATTGCTTGAGACCAGGAGTTTGAGACCAGCCTGGGCAACTGGCGATACCCCTTCTCTACAAAAAATGAAACAAATTAGCCAGGGGTGGTCCCAGTTGCTCTGGAGGCTGAGGCAGGAGGACCACTTAAGCCCAGGAGTTTGAGGCTGCAGTGAGCTATGATTGTGCCACCACACTCCAGCCTGGGTGACAGAGACCCTGGTTCAAAATAAAAATAAAAATAAAGTAGAATAGGAGTGATAACATTTTGTTTTTCAATTTTCCCTAAACATGCTATTGAATTTTAGTTATTGAACTGCCTCCATCCCTAGCCTCTATTTCCTCACTGGGATTGGAGGATGAGGGAAGGGAAAATCTTCATTTTCCCCCCTTTAAATAAGGTAGGGAGAGGGTGGCTTGTCACAGTAGATGAGGATCTTGAGCTGACAAGGCAGTGGCAACTGGGAATTGAGGGACTAAAAATCATTTTAGAAAGTTCTATGCAGCACTCCTTAGATTTGGGCATGGGTGGCCCCTGTCCTGGGCCCTGCTGTAGTCACACCCTTCTCTACAGAGTGAGGAGAGTATGGGGCCTAGGGGATGTGCCCCCAGAGCCCAGGTCCCCTCTTCTAGATCACTTCCTTAGGGCCCCTGAATTCCCTGTCCAAATGGCCCAAGCCCACATCCAAGGTTTGTGAGACCTCTTTCCAGCCTCTTCCCACTATGCCATAAAGTGGCCAAGGAGTGGCCATCTGGAGGGGTTAGACAGAGCTTGGACATGTTGCCTGGGGTGTCTGGTTGTCCACACTTGTACACAAGAGTCTGAGGATTCTCAACTTAAATCTGGCCTTCCAGCCTCTGAGTCATTTGAGGACCCTGAGGGAGTGATGTGGCAGTGGTGGGGCTGGGGCTTTTTGGGGCAGAATTTTCCCAGCTTGAATTGGGTGGTGTAGGAGGAATCTGGGCCTTCTGTGCTCAGGAGGTGGCTGGACATCGGGGGAGGGGAGCGGTGATTGGTGGGTAAGCAGCTGGTCTTGAGTAAGAGACAGCCTTCAATAAAGGCAAAAAATAACAACAACAAAAAGTGGATGTTTTCTTCTTGTGCATATCTTGAGTGATTGGAAGAGCAGTCTCAATGAGCCAGGCTGGGAGAGCCAGCAAGCCAGGGGGAAATCTCTTCTGCTTTCTGCCTGCTGCTGGGCCCACCAGTTGGGCCCTCATTTCTCTAAAATCAGTCATGGTCTTGGGCAGAAAATAAAATTATTTTTGAATTTGCACTATTTACTTTTTAGATTTCTTTACACGGTTTTCAGTTTTGTCAATGTGAAGGCATATGTATTGACTTGGAAAGATTGAACATATTTTATTTAACAATGTGTTAGTTTCGATTTGAAACCTTAAAGTATGTAGATGTATAGCATGTGTTCTCCATTTGTTCCTTTGCCCTGAGTGCCAGGGATGTTAAGAGTGGGTCTGGCCCTGCGATTCCAGAGAAATGAAGGAACGTCCTCTCGAGCTGTGCTGTCCAACATGGTAACCCCCCTCCCTGCTGCCACACGTGGCTATTTAAATGCAAATGTAAATTAACTCAAAGTAAATCATATAAATATTCACTTCCTCAGTTTCACACGCCAGATTTCAAATGCTCAATAATCGCAGGTAGATAGTGCAGATAGAGAATGTTCCTGTCTTCTATTGGACTGTGCTGCTCTAGAATATGAAGGAGGCTTTCAGCCAGCCGTGGTGCTGACGTGAATGTTTATGTTCTTATTTCATGTGTGGGGAAGAAAAATTCAGAACCACCTGCATTCATCACATTTTCCCCTTCTCTCATTCCAACAGCTGCTAAAGATCTGGTGAGCCGGTTGCTGGTGGTAGACCCCAAAAAGCGCTACACAGCTCATCAGGTTCTTCAGCACCCCTGGATCGAAACAGCTGGCAAGACCAATACAGTGAAACGACAGAAGCAGGTGTCCCCCAGCAGCGAGGGTCACTTCCGGAGCCAGCACAAGAGGGTTGTGGAGCAGGTATCATAGTCACCACCTTGGGAATCTGTCCAGCCCCCAGTTCTGCTCAAGGACAGAGAAAAGGATAGAAGTTTGAGAGAAAAACAATGAAAGAGGCTTCTTCACATAATTGGTGAATCAGAGGGAGAGACACTGAGTATATTTTAAAGCATATTAAAAAAATTAAGTCAATGTTAAATGTCACAACATATTTTTAGATTTGTATATTTAAAGCCTTTAATACATTTTTGGGGGGTAAGCATTGTCATCAGTGAGGAATTTTGGTAATAATGATGTGTTTTGCTTCCCCTTTGTAACCAAGTTTATTCTGTACTACAGGAGTGGTGCTTACCAGGGTCTAAACTCCCCCTGTGAGATTAATAAGGTGCATTGTGGTCTTTCTGTGTTAATAAAATGTGCTCTGAATAACAGAAGTGGGCCTGTATTCTGATTACTTCTTTGTGCTGGTGATGACAGCACAAAAATTCAAAAATGAATTATAGTTCAGGCATATCTCCTGAAGCTGATATGACTACATATAGATGTGAAGGACACTTGATTAGTTGACAAGACCTGTTTATTTAGGATGCACTAATCTTGGTCTCTTGCATTTCAGTCTTACCAAAAATCAGTTTTGGTGCAGTCTGAGACATGGAAAGAAAAAAAACAAACCATTGAATCATTCTTGCTCCTGCAATACCGTTATACTGCTTTTCAGCCCCAATTATCCCTGAGCCTGAGTCATTTCTATGTGAAGTCAGGCGCTCAGGCTGTGACCGTGTTAACATTTTCAGATCACGAGGGAGCCATTTAGTACATTAATATGTCAGAAATGCAGTAAATGGATTACACTGGGGCTCGAAGGAGCTCAGAGTTCAAGCACATTCCTACCTGCAGGGCATACACCCAGGACACATTCCAGATTTCTGTGCTGAAATATTGGTCTTTGCAGATGATTCTGGGAGTCTGTGTGAGCTGACAGCAAGACATATCCTAATATTTCCCAAATTGACCTTCCTAGATTATGAATGACCTGGTTAGTAGGCCACAAAATCTAGTCAAGAGTGTGGCTTTTTCACGTCTACCTTCCCTAACAGTTTTGGAGCCATCTGGGCGGAGGCGTGTGTTAGTTAGGAAAACCGGAATAGTACTAGAGAATTCAACATAAGGAATTGCTTAATCAGGTTTTGGAAAATGGAAGAAGCACAAAGGAGGCTCTGGTATAATTTAGAGATAGTAACTGCAGGAAGTGGCTCCTGTTCTTTGGAGAACCAAGGGAAGAAGTTGGGGTTATTAGAACCTATTGAAGGAGAAATTTCTTGTAGTGGACACTGTAGTATGCCACTCAGGTCCTCCAAGACTGAAGGGAATAAGCTCCTTGGGGTGCTGCTGGATGATGGCTCTCAGCTTTCAGCCCTCTACAGGAATTACCCTCCACTGGAAGAGACACCTTTCAGCTCCCTCCTGAAGCAGGCTATATCAAATGACTAGTCCCTGTAGGGTATGGTGGCTCAGCTCCTTTGTCCCAAACAGGGACAATACTGAAGGGCCATCCAACTACGGACCTGCCCATGGGGGTTGGCTGAACTGTTGGTTGAGACTGCATCATAGCCCACTTTCTCCCTTGCCCAATCCTGCTTCTTTCCTTTCCCTTCCAGAGGTAATGATCCTGAGACCACTCCCTAATAAGCCTTTTGGATGCTAATCTGGATTTTAGAGTTGGCTTCTCGGGAAACCAAACCGTTGACACCCCCTAGAAACTTGAAACCACATCAAAGAAGTACCAGCTGGTGCTTTAACCTCAGAAGCTTGGAGAAGGGGCCCTGTGGAGCAGGGACTCAGACCCCTGAGGAGTGGGTGCTGCCCAGCAGGCAGTGTAATGGGACTCATTCTGAACACGTGAAAGAGGCTGGAAGCTGGATTCAGTTGCTACTAGAACATATTTTGATAAAGACACCAGTAACCTTCATTTCACTAAATCCAAAAGAGAATTTTCAATCCTCAAATTAGCATCACTTGACCCTATTGACCACTTTCTCTTTGAATAATTTCTCCTGTTGACTACCATGATGTCACATTTTTCTGGTTTTTTTTTCTCCTATACCTTTGGATCTCTTGTATAGATTCAGTCTTCTTCCAGTTGCTAAAAGCTGTAGTTGCATCCTTAGTGGCTAGGGAAATGCAAATTAAAATCACAATGAAATATCACTATACACCCATTAGAATAGCTAAAATTAAATGGCTAAAATGAGAAGACTGACCTTACCAACTACTAGCGAGGATGCAGAGTGACTGGAACTTCCCGTACATTGCTGCTGGGAGTATAAAATGGGACTTCTCCTTTGGAGAATGGTTTGGTAGTTCCTTTAAAAGTTAAACATGTACCTACCATATGATATTCCACTTCTAGATGTTTACCCAGCAGAAATTCAAGCATATGTCCTATGAAGACTTCACAATATTTATAGGTGCTTTATTTGTAGTAGCCCCAAAGTGGAAACATCTTGAATGGGCATGATTTGGTGCATGGATAAACAGATTGTATATCCACACAATGAATAACAGCCACAAAAAAGGGATGAACTATTCATACACGAACAACATGGATGGACTGCCAAAGAATTAGGCTGAATGAAAGAAGAAAAAAAAGACTACATTTTGATTATTTCATTTACATACTATTCCAGAAAATACAAGTGAATCTATAGTGACAGAAAGTGATCAGGGGGTTTGCTGGAGATGGAAATGGGGAGAGGAGGGACAGAAGGATTGCAAGGGAACACTTGGTAACTTTGGGGAAGAGGGACGTGTTCATTTTCTTGAATGTAATAATGGATTTATGGGGGTATATATGTCAAAACTTACCAAATTGTACACTTTTGTTATGTGCAGTTTATTGTGTGTCAATTATACCTCAATAAAGTTGTTAAAAATATAGTTGCAGGTCCTCAAAGTTCAGTCCTAGACTCTATTTTCACTCTATTTCACCTGGCAACTTCATTTACACTCACTGTCTATTTGCAGATGAGCTTCTCCTTCCCTGCCCCCAGTTATGTTTCCATCCAAGGCTTCTCTAAGTTCTAGGCCCACCTTTCCAACTGCCTACAGAACATATCCCTGCACAGCCATCAGAGGTTCCTCTACAGCAGAATGCACAATTATCACCTCCAAACCTGTCCTTCCTCTATTTCTCCCTATCTCAGGGAATGGTGTTGTTCAGCAAGTTCAAAACACAGGCATCACCCTTGATACCTCACTCTCTGACTCCTGAATCAGTCCCTCCCCATTGATTTACTTCCTCAGTGTTGCTTGGATCTGTCCACTAAACTTTCTTAGTTTCTCTTCCATTGGACGTTTAGGCTGTTTCTCAGTAATTATTTATTCTTACAAACATGCTGTATTTACCATCCATCCTATATGCATCCTTTGCACATGTGTAGGAGAATTTCTTTTCTTAGATAGAAAATCTCCAACTTGATCAGATATTGCCAACTTGATTTTTTAATTTATCCTCCCATAAAGAGTGATGAAAGCTTCTTTTCTCTCATGGTTTACCACATGGTTTTGCTTTTTATTACTCAAATGATAATATTTGAACATAATTGAGAAATAACACAGAAGCTGTGTTGTTATTACAACAAAGCTGTGTTCAAAACTTTGACAATTGTGTAGCACTTAATATATAGCTCTTGGAGTGAATTCCAGTGTGTATCTCATTTCCACCCAGAACAATGGCACCACTGGCTATGATTCTCAGCCCTGCTTTACAGATGGGGAGACTGAGGCTCAGAGAAATAACCTGACTTGCCTGTCATCACTTGGTTTACAAAAAATGCCAGCTGCCAGATAAGCCCTGCAGTGCAGAGTGGCACCATCCCTTCCGTTCCCGGCCTCTGCTCTGTGTCTGATCCTGCAAGGCCAGATCCCAAATACCCATGGATAAGCAATACTAAAAAGACTCCTTTCTGCAACAGAGGTACTTTTTCTAGAGGCTCCTTTAACTCCAGCCCCAGTCCTTCCACTTCATGAGACCTGGAAGGCTGTGTTTGAAACCAGTGGCCAGTACTGTGGGGCCAGGGGCATCACATGCAACCCAATCACCTACAGATTTGTTGGGAGTTGATGGTGAATGTGGAGGTGGCTTAGGAGTCATGGTTGGTCCTTCCAAGGGGGACACTTCCAGTGGAGAAGCCCCAGGGGTGACTGTCAAGTGACTTGTGTTCTTTCTAGGGCTTGGCTCCAGTGCCTCTTGAGTTGGGCAATCATAAGGCAACAGCTTTGTGTTTCTTACCTGCTCCAGGTGGCACGGGAGTTTCTGATTCTCTCTTCCCCTGAAAACTCATGACACTGATGTGGAGGCTCTGGTTGCCTTATTGATCCCTGAAGCACCCACTATTCTGATCCTGCCCTGGGCTGAATTGAGTCTCCTCACTCAGTCATATCTTTCTCCAGGGAAGCTCACATCCGATAACAGGTTGATCTGGGTTAAAAAGGTCCAGTCCCCTTGCTTCAACTCAGGACAGCTCACAGGGCCATGCTGTAGCTCCATGTGGGATCAGACATGGCCTTGGTTTCAACTAGACCACAGTTAGCTCCTTCTTCTGCTCAGTCCCACGCTATTCATACCTTCTTCCCCAGCAAGTGCTGACACAGAACAGTCCCCAGTAAACTTCCTGCACACATGCCTCTCTTTCAGTGTCTGCTTCCCAGGGAAACCAGCCTGTGACTTTCTCATAGCCAGTGAGAATGAGCAGGAGGCCACTGAGCTTGGGGACCATCTAGCCCCTCTTGACTGGAATGGACCTGCCTAATGCTTGGCTGCCCAGACTGAGGCTGATCCCAGAGGACCAGGGCACAGATCGGCTCTGGGTCCAGGGCTCTCTGAGTGAGTGCACCCTGCTGGCTTTGAGGAAGCTTTTAGCCATGTAATCCAGGGTACCAGCAAACTCAGAGGGTTTGCAGAAATAATTCTGGTTTTCTTTATTCAAAAGAGGGATTAGAATGAGTTCCAGTGTGTGAGCAAGACTGGCTGGGCCTGTGTGAGTAACGAGGGTCCAGCTCTATAGCTGTGCTGAGGAGTGGAGAGCAGCTCACCCAGGTGGTGCTGGATGCTGCTGGCCAGAGTGGGAGGAAGCTGAGCCTACCTGGAGAAATCTGGGGACACGGGGTTCTCCCAAGCAGACCCTGAGACAAGGACATAGGTGGATAGTTTATTTGGGAGGCAAAACCAAGAAGTGTGGAGAAGAAATGGGGAAATGAGTCCAGGAAGAGAGGAAGGCCAAGAAAGAGTGCATTCACGTGTGAGGGCCGCTGTGGGCAACTGGAGCTCACGTCCACTGAGAGCGCTCTTGAACACACTTCAGAACTGTCTCATACTGGGCAAGAAAACTGGAGTTGTATCCACCAACTACTGTCCTTTGTTCTTTGAGAGTTTCTCTTGGTGTATGAACTCCCTGCCACTTCTGTCCTGTTTCAAGCCAGGCAAGCTTCCAGTATATGCCAGGTCCTTGACATTTTCTCAGAGAATCCTCAAACAACCTCATTGTATAGGTGTTATTATCCCACCCCAGCATCTCTTGCATGAATGACCATCATTAGAGTGAATTTTAAACAGAAATTTAATCATGTCGTCCTCAGCTTAAGATGGCTTTCCATTACATTTTAGAACTCAGGCTACCTCCTCACCGTGGCCTAGAGGAGAAAAATGGCCTGGCTCTCCCTACCTCAATGATTTCATCTCCAACCCTCTCCACATGCTAGCTCTGCTGTAGTCCCACAGATGCTTCTGTGGCTTCTCAAACACAGCCATCTCCTTTTGGGGCCTTTGTACTGATCATTTCCTTTCTCTAGAATGATTTTCCTCCAGCTCTTTGAGGTCTCAGCACAAATACTGCCTCCCCTGAGAGGCGGCCTCCCTCAGATGCTGTCCCATCCCCTTGTTTCGTTTCCTCCAGTGCACTCCTCAGCCTCTGAAATAATCTCGTTTATTTTGTTTGTCTACCTGTTTGCTCCCCACCACCCCCTTTCAGAATGTAAGCTTCAGGAGGACAGGAAGGAATCTTCTCTGTCTTGTTCCTTTTGTATTGTCAATGCCTAGAAAAATGTAGGCTCACAATAAATATTTGTTGTATGCATGAAGCAATTCCCAATGTATCAGTGAGGGAACTGAGGCTCTAAGTCACACATGTCATAACTGGCAGAGCTGAGATCTGAACTCATAATTATCAAAGGCTGTGGATCTTCTCTCCTTGCCACCCTGCCTAGGAAACCTGGAAAACTCACGTCTCTCCATTCCTGTATCTTGATCCTAAGTTTTAGCATCCTGCCATTAGTCCCGATGTAAAATCCCCAGGGTCATTCCTCTATGGCAGATACTAATGGCTGAGTTTCTGAGATAGAATCTCCATTGCTGTTTTTCCTTAACTGAATGAATATTTTTTCACATTTTAGAATTCCTTCAATTGGAGTGCATTTTACTGTTGATGAATGCTTAATATTGTTTCCTTTTCACCTTGAAAGACCGTATTAACCCTAGGGTGTATCTTACAGTGACGACATCCTAGAATCTGGAAATATATTGTGGTGAAAACCCTGTAGTTATTTTCCAGAAAGCAATGGTAGTTGAGATAAATAGTGGAAATTTCTCTCTTTCCCTTGGGTTGTATTCTTTCTGTTTACACAGGTACTGTACAGAGTAGCATCAGATATTTATTTTGTTGTTAATGGTATATTATTTTTTTTCCATGTCTATCTTCCTGATAGAATCTTGGAATCAAATAATAAAAGAACATAAAGATATATCTAGATTTGTTCTGACAAGTTTCATATCTCTGAATATACTCAGAGAGGAAAACTTGACCTTAAGAAAAATTACATTGAGAAATCCAGCTGCTATTAGAAAAGCCATTCAGCAAAGAGAAAATGATGTGTCTTCTATTGTGGTACCTGTGTAATTTATGTCAACAGGAAGCCAATAACTTCATCATGATCTGAAAGTAAATTTCACTTGTGAGATCTTGGGCTCTCTCCTGATCTGATAGAAAGAAGCATGCTCTATACATTCTCAACTCTAACTTCCCAAAAGAACTTTGGTGGGAGGTGAGGTTAGGGGAAGACAGATGGCTCTCAGATTGCTCTCATTTCCTGTCAGTCATCACCAAGGCTCCCAGGCATTTGACAGTGAGAGATTTATGCATGAGCATCACGGAGGTAACTCTGGAAACAGAAAGTATGATTTAAATAGGAATTCTTCCTAAACCTCGGATGTCATTTTTAACTGACATGTTTAAATTTTTATGTTTTTCCAGCAAATATAGATTCATGCAGTCTTAATTCAAGCTGCTTAATTAGCCCATTGACCTTGGTTTCCCTATCTGGATACAGCAGGTGTTAAAATTTGTCTGAAGCCACAGGTATGCAACAATTATTGCCTAATTTTATTTTCTGTAAATCTAATTATGTTTTCAGTGTGTACCTCCATCCTGCTGGCCAGCAGGCGGTGATCTTAGCTGTCACTTCACATTGGACTGCAGTCCCTGCATCTTATGAAGTGCTAAGTCATGGGGTGCATCCTTTAGTCACTAGTTCCCCTGGGGTTACTACTGACTCACTCACCGTCCCTGCCCAGTGGTTCCCTGCTGCTTCCTTGTCACTCTAGGGCCAAAGAATACTCTGTACAACTGCCCGTGGCCCTCTTTCCATGGCCACACTGATGATTCCTCCTTGCCGTCCTGACCCCTTGCAGTGTCACCACTTGGTTCCCGGGGTTTCCAGAGCCTATAGAATTCTTTTTCTCAATTTCCTTGAGCTAGGAAGGCTCTCTTTGTATGATTTCGGAAGAACCTTTTCTTCTTTTCTGTCTGTAAACCCCTTTCTCTCTTCCTACATGCTCCACAGACCTCCAAATCCTACTCTGGGCAGGGCTGGGATCAGGTGAGGTGGATCAGGTATCCTCCTCACCCGCTACATTTAAGTCTGTGCCTCAAAAATCAGATTTCTTTTGGTATCTATTTTGTTTTTCTAAACTATTGCATGAAAAAATTACTTATCTTGATTACTGAGTGTTTTGGTAGCTCCTTAAATTTTGCAGCTGAGGAGGCTAGGTGCAGTGGCTCCCATCTGTAATCCTAACACTTTGGGAGGCTGAGGCAGGAGGATTGCTTAAGCTCAGGAGTTTGGGACCAGCCTGGGAAACTTAGTGAGACCTCATCTCTATAAAAAAGTAAAAAATTAGCCAGGCATGGTGGCATGTGCCTATAGTCCCAGCTACTCGGGAGGCTGAGGTGGGAGGATGGCTTGACCCTGGGAGGTGAAGGTTGCAGTGAGCTGAGATCATGCCACTACACTCCAGCCTGGGCAACAGAGCCTGATCCAGTCTGAAAAAAAAATTTGCAACTGAGGATAGTGCCTCACTCACCTCACCCTAATTCTGGTTGTGGATTTTGGGAACAAACACAGTGATCCTATGGCTTATGTATTGATATAGTTTGGATGTTTGTCCCTTCCAAATCTCATGTTGAAATGTGATTACTGGTGTTGGAGATGGGGCCTGATGGGAGGTGTTTGGGTAATGGGGTGGATCCCTCATGAATGGCTTGGTGCTCTCCACTTGGTAATGAGTTCATGTGAGATCTGGTTGCTGAAAAGAATCCGCTGCCTCTCTCTCTTGCTTCTTTTGTTTTTTTTTTTCTCTCTTTCTTGCTCCCTCTCTCACCATGTGATATGCTGTTTCCCCTTGCCTTCTGCCATTATTGTAATCTTCCTGAGGCCTCACCAGAAGAAGATGCCCACACAACATTTTCTGGATAGCCTGCAGAACTGTGAGTCAAAGTAAACCTCTTTTCTTTATAAATTATTCAGTGTCAGGTATTCCTTCATAGCAATGCAAATGGACTAATACACGTCTTCTTTCTCTCTTGCCATGTATCCTAAGAACCAGCTTGAAATGAGAGAAAGAGGGGAAATTTAAGGTGGAAAAACTGTATAATTACTATCTAGGGATGTTATTTAGCCACAAATAGAATTAGAGGGATGGGCTTTATCTCAAGAGCTCATTCCTCAAGAGTATATATATATATAGTGCTCTCCTGCCTATGCTTCTAATACCAGGGGGAGGACGAGGCCATGTCTGATATCTTGGATAGGTATGTAAAAAGGAAGACACTTGCTCCCCCATTCACCTCAATCATCAGCAGGAATTAAAGTTGCTTTTCAGCTCAGATTCATGGCTGCGGAGACATAACCAACTGACACAGTCTCACTACTACTAAAGTTACAACAGAAATGACAGTGGGGCCAGGCGTGGTGGCTCACGCCTGTAATCCCAGCACTTTGAGGCCGAGGTGGGCAGATCACAAGGTCAGGAGTTCGAGACCAACCTGGCCAGCATGGTGACACCCCATCTCTACTAAAAATACAAAAATTACCTGGGCGTGGTGGCAGGTGCCTGTAATCCCAGCTACTCAGGAGATTGAGGCAGGAGAATTGCTTGAACCTGGGAGGCGGAGGTTGCAGTGATTTGAGATCATGCCACTGCACTCCAGCCTAGGCGACAGAGCGAGACTCCATCCCAAAAAGTAAAAAAGAAAAAAGAAATGACGGTGGCCCATGACCTGTTGATGTCTCTTAGTTTCAATTTTCCTTATTTCTTTGAGGCTCAACTCTTCACTTTCTGGCTGTGGCCCTAGGCTGATTTGTACTTTTGGACTTGTTAAGAAACAAAACCAAAAACAGTTTTTCAAGAAGAGCCTCCATTCTCCAAATTGAGATCAGTGAAGTTGGATTCTATTTTTATAAAAGGCTCAACTTCTGCCCAGTAGCTCCAGCTCAGCACTATCATTAAGTAGGGAGAGAGGAGGCTTCAAACGTGAGGGTGATTCCTTTTATTGTGCTTCTCACTTCAAACTTCCCCTCAGGGAGGAAGAAATCAAAATCAGAGAAACAATATAAGGTTGTGAAAAGTCGGCGGAGCTGCTCTCCCTCCTGGAATCAGAGGATTCTGGGTCTTTGTACCTGCGAGGCAGCCACTTTCAAGCTACCTGGCTTGACTCGTTCAGCCCTCATAAAAATCGTTGAAGGGCTGAACATCACTCTGTTTCTCCGCTTTGTCTACTCCCTTGAAAATAAACAGAAGCACCATGGGACATTTTGTCCCACATTTGCTGCTTCTGAGGGTTTTTTCCTTTACCAGGCTTCCCAACACAGACTTCTTCCCTTCCATAATCTCTGAGTGACTGAGTGTTGTTTTCCATGGTTCTGTTTTCCCAGGTTGTGCTTTCATGGCTGGCTCACATCCCTCTCAAACAGAACAGAGACAGCAGCTGGGTCTCGTCCCTCGCAGATGGGTTCCTCTTACCTCTGCTTTGTTCCTTCCTGCTTATTACACTGTTCTTGACAATGGATCCATGCCTTATGAGCTGCATCTTCATCGGGAATCAGGGATTTGCCAGGAAGATGAACAGCCCAAACAACTCAGGTGGAAAGAGGGCTTATTGAAGGGTCGTGGGGGGAATCTCCAGGAAAAGATCTTCCTGAGAATAAGACAGTCACCTGCTTGGCTTCTCCAGTCTTGCTGTCCCTCTGAGGCTCAGTGAGCTCTCGGCAAGGCCTTGGAACAGGGTGTTCTCTCTTTTCTCTGCTGCACTCCAGTGCACTTCACACCGGCTTCCTGGGTCTTGCTCACTCACATTTATGGGTGTCTTGGAGCCCGCTCTGGCCCCCAAGCCTCCATTACCTTACAGCTTGTCTCCTTAGAGCTAATCTGATTGATACTGAGTCATGTATGGATCTTTTTTAGAGGAAAGAAATTCTCAGGGTTCCATATCCGAATTCCTGGGGAAGAAACTGACTCAGCCTGGGTCAGGTGTCCACCTCCAGTCCAATTAGCTGTGTCAGCTAGTGGCGGCAGGTCACATGGTACATGGGCTGGCCTTTTTAGAGGAGAATGAGTGTGGGTAGATTTCAAAGAAGAGGAGGGTCTTGGGTGTGTAGGAAATGGTTAGAGTGTCTAGTGCCATCCCTAAGTGCTACTTCCCTACTTTCTGCCCATCACTCTGGAGCACAGCCCGGTAAGCTTTCCTTTCAAGGAAACATGATCTTCTGATAGTCTCACTCCCTGGCCTTCTGTTTTGGGTTCTGATGTTGGTAGATTGCTTAGAGAGGTCTTCCTCACACCAAGATTAAATATTAAGACACCCTCCTGTGTATACACTTATTAAATATTTAAACAGTAAATATTTCATCCATCCAGAATTTTTTTTGGTGCAAGGAGTTAAATAGGGAATCCAGCTCTATTTTTCTCCTCCAGGAGCTAATCACTTGTTCTGACACAATTCTTATTTATCTATTCATTTTTAAAAAAAATTTCAAGAATACCTCATTTATTATATACTACATTTTCTTATGCATTAAGTCTATATCTAGGCCATATTCTGTTTCATTAGCCTGCGAATCCATGTGCCAGAGTTGCAATAGTTTAGTTAGTATGGGCTTCTTCTTCTTTTTTTTTTTTTGAAACAGGGTCTCACTTTGTCACTCAGGCTGGAGTACAGTGGCACAATCACTGCTCACTCTAGCCCTGACCACCTGGACTCAATCAATCCTCCCGCCTTGGTCTCCCCAGTAGCTGGGACTACAGGTACACACCATCATGCCCGGCTAAGTTTTGTATTTTTTGTAGAGATGGGGTTACACCACACTGCCCAGGCTGGGCTCAAACTCCTGGGCTCAAGTGATTCTCCTGCCTCAGCCTCTCAAAGTGCTGGGATTATAGGAGTGAGCCACCGTGCCCAGATGGGCTGCTTCTTTTAAACTGTGGAGTCATTTCTCACATCCTGTGATTATTCCCATTGTTTATTTTCATAGACAAGACTGGTCTCATTTGCATAATACTGGACACTCGGGCAGGTCCATTGAGGGTCAGTGGAGGGCTTCCTCTCCATGGAGGGAGGCATCTTACCATAGGAGTGCCACCTTTGAGCATTTTCTCTTCCATGTCCATGTCAGCAGCCCAAGGCTGCCAAGAGCAAGGTCTTCTCACCACCCAGCCCAGTGGCCAATGGCAGGAGTCATTACCAGCAGGGCCTATGTACCCTAGGGCTGACTATCCCCATGTACAGTGTATGCAGGATGATCACCAATGAGAGCTGAGGTCACCCTCAATTCCATTCCTTGGGACCTTGGCAACAGGCCACAGGGCCACTCCTGCAAGGCATTGTTCTCCACTGACTGCAAGCACCATCCACCTCCATCTCTAACTTCTTTGGTCCCAAGCTCAGGTGAAAGCCAGGTTCCTGGCATCCCATCACTTCATGCCCAGTTGAGCCCTTCTTAGACGTCCATGTAGCAGATGGTGAAAAGGACAGCACTTCTTCCAGGTTCCCTTTATCAGTTTAACCCCTATTTCAGTTTTTAAGTTTTAGGCTTAAAGCCCTTCTCTGGCTTCCTGTTAAGAAACCTGTTAGGATTTAGAACGTTGTTTTTTTTTTGAGACAGAGTCTCGCTCTGTCGCCCAGGCTGGAGTGCGTTGGTGCCATCTCGGCTCACTGCAAGCTCCGCCTTCCGGGTTCACGCCATTCTCCTGCCTCAGCCTCCCGGGTAGCTGGGACTGCAGGTGCCTGCCATCACGCCGGGCTAATTTTTTTGTATTTTTAGTACTGACGGGGGTTCACGGTGTTAGCCAGGATGGTCTCGATCTCCTGATCTTGTGATCCTCCCGCCTCGGCCTCCCAAAGTGCTGGGGTTACAGGCGTGAGCCACTGCGCCCGGCTGACTTAGAATTTCTTACCCTGAAGTTTATTTTGTTATTTTGATGGAGATTTGATGGGGGAAGAGAATAAATTACATGGACTTAATTTACCACTTGGATTGGAGGTGCTACATTTTTTTAAAGGAAGTAGTGGGAAAGTAAATTATTCCTTTCCTTGAAAGCAGTGCTTCTAAAATGTGGATCTGCAATAGATGTATTATTTAGCCATAATTCTACCTTTCCACCTCTCCCTCATCCTAGGCAACCTTCGTGGGAGGGAATGTGCTTCTCTCCTCCATTGATGTTAGCCATGTGACTGGCTTTGGCCAATGAGATATGAGCAGAGGCTTTACATATATTTGCCTGTTTGGCCTCTCGTGCTTCTGCCGTCTGCATGTCCTGAGAACTTCTGGTTCACAGATGAGAGACACATGGAGCAGACATGAACCTGGCCTGTAGACTGATGCAGAGTGGCCCTAAGTGACCTGCAGACACGTGAATGAGGAAAACAAATCGTTGTTACTGTAAGTCATTGAAACATTGGGGTTGTTACACAGCATGGCACTATCTCAGCCAAAACCTGACTAATACTGAGTCACGTATGGATCTTTTTTAGAGGAAAGAAATTCTGGCAAACTCTCTGTGTTGATATTACTTACTAATTCATTTAACAAATAATACTGTGTGTGTGAGTGAGAGAGAGAGACAGCGAGAGAGAGAGAGAGAGAGAGAGAGAGAGAGAGAGAGAGAGAGAGAGAGAGAGGAAGACCAGTTAGAAGTAATTAAATCATTTTATACAATGAAACTTAAATATTTCAAACAATACTAGGTATACATTTCTTACCCTTGTAATCAATAATCATAAAGCAAAATAACATTGCAAATTAAGTTAAAATAAAACTACATCAATAATCTATGTCAACTTAATGGGGTAGATGATGCTTTTCTTTCTTATTTTTCATGCTACAAACAAGCTCCTAACTGCTCTGTCTCAGGTTCTTTTGAGTTAGGTGTGCTTACACCCTTGTGAACCCTGCATCACTTAAGTCTCACATCACTTTTCCGTAATCACTGTGGAGCTTGCAGCTGAGTCCTTTGGCTTTTGTTAGTATAAATGCTTCCTTAATGAGTTAGTCCACTTCTGTTCTGTTTCATTAACCTTCAACAATTAAAATAACAGCACCTGCCACGACCTCCTAGCAATATCCTAACAATGCAAAATAAAGGTCTGGAATCTGGTTTTATGATTTTCCTTTACTTTATCAGTCTGACAACCTGGCATATGTTTGGATTAACTTTAAAAATTTATTATAAAAGTGAAAAATAATGCAACAGATCACACATCTTGGACTTTGATAGCATACTCATTCAGTTTGAGACCCTCTCCATTGAAGCACATTTTGTTGATGTTGAAGAGAAAGGAAAGACAAACCAGGCTTTGCACAGCCTGGGCAGCAGGTGGTGCTCTTGACATTGGAATCACACAGGGCCTGCAGTCCTGGGTGCGTTGGTCGTCTATGAGATATAATTTACTGGTGTTGCATTGCAGTGGGTTTGTTGCTTTTTAATCTTTAAAAAATACCCTCTATGTGATGACCTTATCTGGGCCGAGTCAGCCAAGCTTAGCCTAATAAAGCACAGGCAAGTGACTGCTGGGCTGCAGTTTGGTCCTTGGGCTATGTTCTATATATATATACATACATATATATATATATATATATACACATATATATATATATATATATATATATTTTTTTTTTTTTTTTTTTTTTTTTTTTTCCTGGGCTGTAAAAGCAATGCTGGCCCCAGCCTGATAGCCAGTGGTTTGCTGGGGAGACCTTTGTACCTCCCTAGATACAGGCAGACTGGATCTTTCTAAGCTAGTCCACTCCAGAGCCCCACACTTGCAGGCTAGCTGGTCAATTCTCATGCTAAGGCAGAGGTATAAGTCCTTTCTGCTCTAGTCTGCAAACAGTCAAAAGGGTCTTTAAAATGCAAATCTGGTGATTTTACCCTTAGCAACATGAAAATCCCAGTATACATTTCTCTTCAATTGTGTGGGATCATAAGACACTTTGTTTTCAATTTGCTATGTGGCCTCAACCACGCTAAGGCTTGTTTTTCTATTTGGAATCTTGGAATAACAGCATCTTCTTAAGGATGTTCATTTATAGGATGTCTCACTTATATGATTTATAATGAAAGTCACCCGGAGTTTTTCTGGAGATATTCAACATAGAGTCATAAAGTTTAAGATGTAGCTATCATCTTGTTCACCTTACTCCTCTTACATCTGGATATCTAATGCCCAGGAAGGGGAAATAAACTTGCTCAAGGGAGCCGAGTGGATGAGTAACACAGCTTAGGTCTTTCTCTTCCAATCCAGTTTTTAAAAACACCAGAATTTCCCCCCAACCATAGTGCAAAACCTATGTACATTGTCATGCTGGCATTGTACTAGGGGCTGTTCACCTGGGTCTGTCTGGCCCAGGTAATCCCTATTGTTGAAATAGATTGAACTCATGCTGTAGACTGACAATATTATATACATTCAGTCTCCAATAATGTAACTCAATCTAGGGCATCGTCAAGTGTGGGACTTGTAGACATTATAACATCAGATTGAAGATATCTTTGATGACATACATATATCTATGCTTCCAGATTTTAGGGACTCCCATAACAAGTGTGGCTTTTTTTTAAGTTGAGGGCTAATTAACATATAATAAAACACACTGATCTTAAGTGTTTAGTTTGATGAGTTTTGACAATTGAGTAATTGCCTTTTGAGAACAAAACTGACTATACATCTAAGTCTCACATAAGGCCTGTCTGGAAAGGAAGACAAAAATCTTAGAGACCCTGCCAGTTCTCCTGGTCTTCTTAAGAAAAATATTCTGATTATGCATTCCCAGAAATTCACCAAACCTCCTATACCTTGTGAGAAATATGCCTGAGCCAATTTTATTTAGAACTCAAAGGGCAAAGTGACCACACACAACAGCTGTAGCTGCTAATCAGAGGCTCTGATTTGTGTTTCCAGGTGCCCCTCACTAAGGATCCAGTCACTCTTCACTAATGCAGGTCAAATACTAGGTTTGTCTTGGTCCACTATGGGGACTGTGTGTGGCTATGGGTTTTAAATGCTTGGATTTTAATTCCTTACTTCTGAGTCTTTGTCCTCAGTCTCCATCTTATATTTCCTCCTAGGTCCCTATAATTCTAGTAGCAGGTTTTGCAAAGTCTGGTCCTGCCCAAGTGTTTGGGGTGGTATAAACCTGAGTCTTTAATGTAGGGTGGGCGGGAAGGATCACCTCTTTTATGTTGTAATATTGTTTTGTTTTTTGTTTTTTTGTGATGGAGTTTCGCTCTTGTTGCCCAGACTGGAGTACAATGGCACAATTTTGGCTCACTGCAACTTTTGCCTCCTGGGTTCGAGCGATGCTCCTGCCTCAGCCTCCCGAGTAGCTGGGATTACAGGCATGTGCCATCACGCCCAGCTAATTTTTTGTATTTTTAGTAGAGACAGGGTTTCACCATATTGGTCAGGCTGGTCTTGAACTCCTGACCTCTGGTGATCCACCCGCCTTGGCCTCTCAAAATGCTGGTATTACAGGCATGAGCCACCGTGCCCAGCCTTTTTATGTTGTAATATAGAAGCCCCATGCTGCTAGGCTGACAGGAAGTTTCACCTCTGGTATAACTGTGGGCATCTCTTCACCCTGGGGTTGTGCCAAGGTCCTGGGGGTCCTTCATGGAGATACACAAAGGGGAAAACCTCTCCAGTCATGAGCCATGGGTCCACACTGGCTAGTGCTGAGGCCTGTTTATGTTTCACTTGAGACACCATAATCTTTGGTGAGGCCAGGAGGCCTGGTGCTTTGGGTCACTGGTCCAGCCCCCTGACCCCAGTATCCCCTCGAGGTCTTAGGACCTACTTGGAATACTGTCCCCATAAACTCATGGGGCTCATAGACATTTTTACCATCAGGAGTTCTGCCCTGCACTCTCTCGTTGCCAGCATAAGAGCCCTCTTTCCATTGTTTATGGGACACCCAGTATTTCCTCATCAGAGGGTTGTTACAGAGAACAGAACAGGTTTCTGACCTCAAGTAGCTTCTGTCCCTGGCTCTGCAAAAATGCCCTGAGGTAAAGAATTACAAAGGCTGCTTGCATGAAATCCAATGAGAGGAAAACAGTGCTGAGCAGAACACAGGTTAATATCTCAAAGGAAGTATTCTCTTTCAAGTGTTTATAGTACCTTGATGGCCTGCTTTGCTTATGATGCTCCACGGTTCTCTTTCCTGCTCACTTTCAGAACATTCTGTGTCCCCTTTGTCTGCTGGAGTTCCCCTGTAAGACTAAGAGTTATCATGGCAGGGACTTCATGATACTTTTACCTGGAAATAGTCATTTTCTGTACCCAGCTGGGCTGAAAGAACACCTCTTGGCACATTCCAACAGTGGTCCTGGCTGATTTGATGTCTAATGCAACCCAACAAAGAAAATAAATAAATTGCTTTATTTCAAATTGAACTTGGGTATGTCTGAGTTTTTCCTTATTATACTCATTACCAGGACTGGATAAATATTGGCAGTTGAACAAGAGTGAGCAGGTGAGAGAAAGAATTAAAAGCAGGGTGAAGCTTTGACTTTTAGGGTATACCCTTTTGGTTTAGGTTTTGCTGGTGTCTTCAGGCTCTGCATTTTGGCACATCATCAAGGAACCAGGATATGGTGCTGTGGGCAGTATCATGTTCCTTTTACGCCAGGCGAGGAGAGAATCTATCCTTGTCACCAGGGGACACTGTGTGTCTGGCCTGGGGAGCTAGCTTGGCTGTGATCAGGGAGCGACTGACTTTAGTTAGGTGCAGCAATGCCTGGGCCTGCATCCTGCTCCCTGACCCTAAACCTGAGGGATTGGAACTATATTGGCTTCTGATAAATGCTTTCCCTGACAATCTGTGTTTGGTATCTTTCTCATTTTCTGCCATGCTACGTTTAGTCTCTCAAAATGGGATATTTCTGTCTGACGAGATAAGGGTTATGTCATCATAACAAGATATTCTTGCTCATGGCAATGACAAGCTTCATGGATAAACTCTAAATGTGCAGACCTGGTCCCTGATCCTCACCCAATCTCCTTGGCTTAGCTTCCCTCCATCCCAGAGGTCAGCGAGGGAGAGTGTGGGTGGACCAGGCTCAGGGATGGACTGATGCTTTGACAGGGAGCAGGAGAGGGATAAGCTGAGGCTGTCGGGGGTCAGAGGATGGGGTTGTTGATAGGAAAGGGCTCAGAAGCTGAGTGACGCTGGGGGAAGCTGTGGGGTTGTGGGAGGGGCTTATGCACATTTACAAAAAAGCATAAGAGTGCTTTTTACACTTTGATAAGGTCTATTTTGTTATAGATGCTATAAAAAGCTAGATTAAAAGTCCTGAAAGTCAGAAGGGGTTTGTTAAATTGCTGCTTTGAGATCTTCTGATTCTTCCTATGGACAGTGCCAGCCATGGAGAGCATGTTTTCCGGGATTAACCAGGATGTGAGCTGAGCTGAGCTGCATCTGCTGTAAAGGGATGTCTGGAAGGACAGGGCCTGGGGGCCTGGAGACAGCTGTGAGGCTGTGGCCACACTTGAGGGTTGCAAAGCACTCAAGGTACATTTCTGCCCCATCTCTGTCTGTGAGAAAGAGAAAGTTTGTTAGGGTTTGAATGTCAGTCCTGGGGACAACTAATTCTCTCTCTCTCTCTCTCTTTCTCTCACCAGCTAAAAGCCTCAATTTCTCGATCAGGGTAGTAATAAATGCATAGGGCTGCTTTGCCCAAGCTTGCCTGGAACTAGCTGTCGTGAAAAGAAGATAAGGTCTTGGGACTGAAATGTTCAAATTGTACAATTTTTTTTTCTAATAACAGAGTTGCTGACAGTTGTGAGGACTATACCATTTTAACCTTTTAAAATAGTTGAGGTCAGCCAACATTTTAAAATCAGAGAACTAAAATGAGTTAGACATACCCAGGACATGTTGGGCATGTTGATTATGACTTCAGATATGTGGGTTTTCAGATGCTGAAAAAGATCAATTTGTTATAAACCAAATTTCCATTGATATGATGAAAGTGTGTTTTTTATGGATGCAAACTGCAAAACCTCAGCAATATTTAGGTTTGAAAGTTGTGTGGAAGGTTGTCAATGTTTTGGTGACTTACAATATTTACTTTTCTAGGGCAGTTTGCTTGTCAACTCTCCAGGATTGGTTGAACATTTCCTAGAACCTTCTAGAATACTCCTAACTTCTAAGAATTTGTTTTTTTCTAGAAGGTTTGGGAGAGTTAGGCTAGGTCAGATACATAGGAGGCGTATGAGCACATTGTCTTACCCAGAACCATGACTTCTCCACAGTTGTTTCCAGCACTCTCCTGCCCTTCCTTCCACAAAAAAAGGAGGGAAATACTTCCTAGCCTTAACCTCACAAGTACCCACGGTTGATCACGGAGTGATTAGTTTCCTTGACAAAGTATTTTTAAATTTTTTTGGAGGGAAATATGGTAGTGTGTTAGTCAGCTATTACATGTAATGAGCAACCACAAAAATCTCAGGAATATACAACAGGAACATTCATCTGCAGGTTAGTGGATGTGTCTGTTGATCTCAGCTGGGTTTGCCCATGTATCATGAGTTGGCTGAGGATTGACTGATGTAACACAGCTGAGTGGATCTGCTTTGACTGCAATAGCTGGGGAAGCTCTACTTCTCACTGCAAGTCTGTAGGTCTCTTGGGCAGTGTCTCTCATGCTTCCTGGGCCAGCAGTCTATCCAGGGCATGTCCTTATTATGGCAATGGCAGAAGTACACAGGAATACTCCACTACAAAAGCATATTTCAAGCCTCAGCTTCATGACATATCTGCTCAGATCCCATTGGTAACTTTGAGAGCTGATCCCAAAATCAAGGGGTGGTGAAATACACTCCACTGGTGTCAACACAGGGAACTGGAAAATCACGTGGGAAAGGGTGTGGACATAGGGAGGTGTAAAAAATTGGCCTTCAAAATGTAATCTACCACAGTGCATATGAGATACTTCTCTGTATTGCTCAAAAAACCTCAATGGCTTTGCAATACCCTTTGCCTGGCACTGAAGTCTAAAGGCAATCCTTTACCTTCCTTTATAACCTTCTTTTCTATCACCTTTCAGTAATACCTCCCACCTTCACCTCCCAGCCAAACACATCTTAAACATGCCTACGTTTCCTTGGGCAGCCCTCTCTAGTTGTTTACCTAAGCTCCATTCTTGCTTCATAGTGAAATGTAGGGTCTGCTTCCTCCTTGCAGCTCTTGGAGGGCTGGACAGGTCTATTGTACCTCCAAATCTCTGGCATCCAGCCTGGCACCTAGCATGCTGTCGAGTGCTTAGTAAGTTATTTTTTATTTTTATTTTTGCCCAGGAGCTGGGAGTGAAAAAGGAAGGAGAAAGGAAAGTTAAGAGGATCCAGAGCCTCTGCCTCATCCAGCTTCAGGGTACCCTGTCCCTGTCATTCTCACATTGGAGTTAGGACACAGCTGAGACAGAGCAATTCATGGGGTATTTTCAAGTCCTACTTTCATTTCCCTGGATACTCAAACTGATTGTTCTTCTATTCCAATACCTGATTTTCAGCCTCATTGATCTGCCTCTATTAGTTTATTCAGGGTTGATTAGGTGATGAGACAATTGGCTTGTATTAACTGGATAATAAAATATATATATTTATGAGCTGTGAAACCATCTCCTTATACTGTTGGTCCCATCTTGTGGGTCTTATCCTGGGGTTTGTTCATGTTGCTATCCTCCTGGAATATTTTTACCTTCCTAGAAGTCAAAGAAAAATTCAAATTCCATCTCTTGGGGCCTTTTTTAGAGTCAGAGAGCTCAAGGGAAATCCTATCTTCATCACTCTTTAAGTAAATTACTTAATCACTCTGACTCTTGGATTCTTCATTTTTAAAGATTAAACAATATAACGTGCCAAATGTTTAAGATGGGCATCATACACAGTGTATGTAAAAATCTACCCTTTTATAATGAAAAATTTCAGATATATTCCAAAGTAGAGAACATTATAAACTTCTAGGTACCTAAGACCCAGCTTTAATAGCTAGCAACATTTTGCCAATCTTGTTACATCAGTCCTCCCGCTTTTTATGTTTTTGGAGAGTTTTTAAGCAAACCCCAAACATTATATCATTTTACCCTTAAATCCATGTAGTAGACTGTTGAAAAATGTTCCCCTTATATTTTCCAGTGTCCGTGGGTCTTTGGGCTCCTAAAGCTCTCTAGTTTCTGCTCGGTATACTTAGCAATTAATCATGTAGCTTTGCCATGATTTTCCTTTGTTTCCCAAGGAAAATTGAAAGCAAGAGCAGAAGATTTTGCTTAGCCTTGTCCTTATGTTCAGCTATGTGATAAGAGTCATGGGGGTGTTAGAATAGGCAGACAGCCAGAAATGAGCAGGCAAGGGAGTCCCTGGGAAAATAAGTCCTAGAGATGCTGCCCACTGACAGCAAAAAAAGACAGTGGCTACACTGGCTGCTTCTGGCCTTGTGGTTGGGCTCCTCTGACCCCGAAGGGGACTTATTTGGCCCTTGCTGGAGATAACCATGGTAGGGACTTTCCCTGCTGTCAAGCATGCACACTCCTCCAGTAACTCAACATAGAGTACCCTTTTGCCCATTAGAGTAGTAAAAACACACCCCTTGGTGGAGATTTTAAATGCTGGAGAGACATGCGATGTGTGTACTAGCACGGACAACCACAGAGCATGCATGTCCAAGGGGACTTCCTAAAACGTGCTTGCAAGTGACACCCTCTCATGCCCTTACATGAATAATCATGTAGGATTCTCATAAAGAGAGTCCTGTGGCACTAGCTGCTACTGGCTCAGTCTCTCTTTCAGGCAGCCCACTCTGACTTCTTCTCGTACTGTCTCTTTAAACACTTTCTTGATGACACTGCTACTGTTATTTTTCCAGCTGGGCCAGCCTGAAGCTGTTTTCCAGCTGCATCAGCCCAATCCTCTTTGGGAGTGTACTCTTATGTCTTTAATAAACCTTTTGCTTGCATTACTAATTGTCTCTTGGCTGAATTCTTTCTCCCAAATCTCCCAGGATCAAGGACCATGCACCCCTGCTGGTAGCAGGGGGACAAGAAAATGTGTTTCAACAAATAAACAATAAAGGAGAGTAGTTGTTACAGCAGGTGCTACTGATGCATGGGGACTATGGAAACAGTTGAGTTTTGTATTTGAAGGATGAGTAGGATTAGCTGTGAATCATGTTAGCAGGGTTGGGGCTAACCTTCAATCAAAGGTTGATATATGAAGTATTTCTACAATGTAATAAAGAAACTGGAATCCTAGCGCCAAAGGAGCACCATCTCATAGATAAGGCAGCAAAACCCTGAATGGTGACATGAATAGCTCAGTGTAACAGGCTGATAGAGGTCAGCCTGGTGTAGGTGCCTAGAACTCCAATATTCTGTTATTTACTCCTGATTTACTTCTGTGCTCTATAGAGTCCTGGGCATTCCTGGAGGGGCCTCAGAAGCTGACTGAGGCCATGGGGTACGTCTCAAGTAGGGGAAGCTCTGGACTTTCATCTGTGCTATGTGTTTCTCATAAGATTTCCCCTGAAGAAGAAAAGGGTTCCGCGACTAAAAAAGAGTTTGCAAACCATTGCTCCATGTGATTCTGCATATTCCTTAAGATGGCTTGCAGTAGCAGGTAACTCACAAACCCCATTCTACTACTTGACAGGGTGAGAAGTGGGACTTAACACATTCCCTCTTATTTACAATATCATAGAAATGCATCTAACAAAAAGAGCAAAAATGTGTCTCTGACAGAAAAATTTTAGCAAATAATTTTTTTTTTCAAGAGAGGGTTTCACTCCGTTGCCCAGGTTGGAGTGAAGTGGCATGATTATGGCTTGCTGGAGACTTTACCTCTCAGGCTCAAGTGATCCACCCCACTCAGCCTCTGGAGTAGCTGGAACTACAGGTGCATGCCACCATGTAGCCACCTGGCTAATTTTTATGTTTTTTGTAGAGACAGGGTTTTGCCATCTTTCCCAGGCTGGTCTCAAACTCCTGGGCTGAAGTGATCTTTCTGCTTCTGCCTCCCAATGTGCTGGGATTACAAGTGTGAGCCACCATGCCTAACCTCAGCAATGCTGGTTTTTTTTAATATTGAGCAAACAGCTATGTGGCCTAGTTCAACACTTCTAATCTCTTTGAGTCTTGTTTTTTGTATCAGTAAAATCATGATTATCATGAGTACCAGGACACCTGTGGCAGAAGTTTGCATGGCACCATACCCCCTTGGACCACCTAGTATTGGGACATGTCTGGTGGACAATTCCATGCACTTCATAAGACCCACAATGAGTGTACTAGGAGCACAACTCAAGGTGTTTCTCTGTGTTCCTGTCCCTGGGAGTCCTCTGATGCTGTGAAAGGTCACTCAGCCTCAGGCAGGCACAATCCAAAAATGTAGAGGAGTTAATGCCCCAGGAGAAACTTTCAAGTAAAGGAGAATGGGAGTCCCAGATGGATTCTTCAGTCTCTCCATCTTCTGGTAGCACAATTCTGGGATGTGTTCTAGGCAGTTTCTCCGTGGTCCACATGGGATTGATCCCCAGTTGCCCGCATTGGTGATTAACTCACTAATATACTCACAAATACACAGTAGTATAAACGTCCATCAGCCAAAGGCCACAGGACCTATCTGAAGTCAAACAAGGTAAGGGTTTACAGTTTGCTGCAATGAGGGAGAACCATACCATGGGGAGTTGTAATAAAGAGTTAAGGTAGACTTGTGCTGGGTGATTTTGAAGAGGATTGTAGGCAGTAAGTTTTTTTATTCCCTGAATTGAGTGCTGAATGGGGTATTAGGGGAATTTGATGACTGGATATTTTAATAATTTTTATCTAAGAGGCAGGACTGATGAAGTGGAGCTAGGGTTGTTGTTGATAAAGAGGCCGAACACATTCATATTAGAAAGAAGGAGATATTTGATTATTTCTGTGGCTCCTCGGTGTCCTTGTCTTTGTGTTCAGTCATGATTGTGGGTGCTTTCCTTTTATTTTGTTCCACTATAAGTGGCTGGTCTGATTATTTTTGATATTCCGTGGAGATTGTCATCAGCTACCAGTTGCCAGCTATCAGGCCCTTTTACCCTGCTGCTGTTGGCCTTCCTCCTTCTCCTGCCTCCCTCGCTCCCTCACTTCTGCTTCCTGGGATCACCTCCCTAAAACACTATGCTCCCAGGTCTCACGCTTTGCCCTCCTGAGAACCCACAGTAATCCCACACCCTTTTCAGAAGCTTGATTCCTTGGGTTCTTGGAATGGCGTAGAAAATCTTAGGTTCCTAGTATCTTAAGGCATTTTTAGAATGCCGTGATAAGCATTACATCATGGAAGTCTGGATATAGTTACCTCCTTCTTACCTCAGAAGTATTCACTCATGATGATACGCATACACATTAAAAGACAAAAAAAAAAAAATAACTGTGAGCATGTCACAGCCCTTCCCAATTTCTGCTGACTGCTAGTGATATTGTCAGGGAGGAGTCTTCTTGCTACCATGGCCTTTGCCCTTAATTTAGAGGTGTTTCATCAGGAGGTTTACTGCCCCCTTTTTCATTGAGTTCTTAGTATATTGTGACACTGAACTGTAGCTGGACACTTTAACATTGGGCCATCCCCATGCTTGGCATGTCCAGATCAGCCAAATAGACCTAGCTACAATGCCTCCTATACCTCCGATGGGAGAAGGGCAAGATGCACTCCAAGGCAATAAAGATGGGTAGGTGCTCAGTGGGTGGCATTATCATCACCATCATCATATTTTATAACCAATAGGCTGTTTTTAAGTACAGTTTTAGATTTACAGGACAATTGAGCAGATAGTATAGAGAGTTCCATATACTCATCCTTCCACTCCCCTCCACCCAAAGAACACAATTTCCCTACTAGAAACACCTTGCATTAGTGTGGTACATATGTTACAATTAAACCATTATTAATACATTACTATTGACTATAACCCATAGATTACATTAAGGTTGACTCTTTGAGTTGTATAGTTCTATGGGTTTTGACAAATGCATAAAGACATGTATCTCCCATTACAGTTTCATAGAGAATAGTTTCACTGCCCTTAATATCCCCTGTGCTTCACCTATTCACCTATTTATCCTTTCCCCGCTTCCGTCCCCCAAACCTCCTTGCTGTATTTTGTTAAATAAATTAAGTAAGGCAGGATAACCTTCTATGACCCTGGAATATTAACCAGGATGGCTTTGCCTCTTGATGCCTGTTTCATCAGGAAGGTCAGTGGCTCCCTCTGTGTATATCTATCCTTCGGGGTAATATAGAGTGTCATCTTTCACGAAAGAAGGTGTGTAAAGTGCCCAGCATGAGGCAGGAGGCTTGGTGCAGGTCACCCCTCTTCCCCCTGCCTCTATTGCAGGCTAGCGGAGGCTCTGAAGTTGGAGAGAAAGTTGAGGCAGCCCTTGGAACCCAGGTAATTGAATATTTTTTTGTAATAATTCTTTTGCCTGCCTGCATCCTGAGGGGCTGAACAACGGGCTTTTCTGTCCCCAGGCAGGGGAGGAATCTAGTGGGAAATTTAATTTTCCTTGTGAGTTTACAGGAGTCAGGGGCCAAGACTTTAATTAATCACCATGAGAATCCTCCTCTGCCCAATTACTTGTGGGCATCACCTATCCTGAACTATCTTCTTGGGGTCGGCCATTCAGAGCAACCCAAATTAACCTCTCGCAATTGGTTCTGACCCTCCCTGACACCACCTGCTGAAGGCTGGCTCCCTCCAGTGGGGCCTCTCTGCCACCCCTATTCTGTTTTTATGTTGGAATAGCTCTTCTTTTATGCAGACTCTGCCGTCTGTGGCAGGATCTCACAACACAGATCTCTTTAAAGTTTCTGTTTAGCACAAGCTTTCATAATACAAATTGGAAATGATGCGATAGATTAATTAGGAAGCCTAGTATGCAATGTGGAGACAGATATTCATTCTAACTTGGAGCTTGCTCCATGAACATATGAAAAAAGTTGTTGTTTGCTACTCAAATACTTTGTTGAAGTGGCTTTGTGCTCAGTTTATCTTAACAGTGGTGGATTGGTCAGAGTCCTGCAGGGAACAGATGGTGCAAGCAATTATAATTTAGGAGAATTTAACGAAGAGGTGTTTGCAAAGATGTAGATAGGGTGAAGGGCACTAACAAAGAGTAGCAAGGCACTATAGGATCAAAATCAGTGGGAAGACATTGCCTTTCCTGACAGGCAAAGGGTTAGTGGTGATGTGAAGTTGGCAAGAGCTATAGCTGCTGGAGAGGACCTTCCCAAAAGGCAATGTGACCTTGGGTAGAAAAACAGAGACCATGTCTAACTATTGTCCAGTGGGGATGGAGCCAGGGAATAAACACATAATTTCTTCCCTCTGCCCTTCAGTTGCTTGCTGGTAACTCCATTTGTCAAATCCAATCAGAAGCCAGAGGGCAAACGAACCTGGGAAATGCATTCCACAAAGTCCAGCCTGCTGGGGCCCAGAGCAGGACAGAGAAGGGTGGACAACAGCTGGAGAGGAGTAAGTGGAGCAGCACAAAGTAGATTATAAGCAGGATAAAGGTGATAAGAATGTGTGGGAGATCAGGCCTAATAAATGTGCCAGTAGTGAAAGGAAAACATGCAGTAGTCTTGTATAATAGCCAGGTGGAATCAAATCTTCCACGTGCTCACTGATGTTTGATTTTGCAGCTATACGATGTAACTGTGAAAAAAACTTATTAGGTGCCACCCCCCACCCCAGTGTTTTCTCCTACTCAATCATTTAAGGGAATATCAAGTTGTGGTATATTTTTTTCCTGGATTTTATTTTCCTGTTTTTTTTTTAAAGGACAAAAAGAATGATGTCAAAATAAATAAACTTATTATTTTCTGGTACATGCTATAAGATTATGATAAATATTTTCAGTTCAAATAAATAACTGGATTTTTCTACCTAAAAGCCACTAAGTATTAAAATACTCAAGGAAGAATAAGTTGTGAATCTAAACTTCTCAAGGCCCCACCTCTTTACCATCTCTTCCCCTATTACCAGGGAAACAACTATTTTTTAAATTGGGATATCTCATTGTTGTTTTAATTTCTATTTCCCTGATGACTTATGATGTGGATCGTTTCATATGCTTATTTGCCATCTGTGCATCTTCTTTGGTGAAGTGTCTATTAGAGTCTTTGCAATATTTTTAAATTGGGTTGTTTGTGTTCTTACTGTTGAGTATCTTTGTTATGTTTTGAACGACAGTCCTTTATCAACTACGTCTTTTGTAAATATTTCTCCCAGTCTTTTGGCTTGTTTTTTCATTCTCTTGACAGTGTCCTTCATATCAAAATTTTTTAACTTTAATAAAGTCCAGCTTATAAATTCTTCCTTTCATGGATCATGCCTTTGATGTATCTAAAAAGTCATCACCAAACCCAAGGTTATCTAGATTTTCTCCTATATAATCTTGTAGGAGTTTTATAGTTTTGCATTTTAAATCTAGGTCTATGAGGCATCTTGAGTTAATTTTTGTGACGGGTGTAAGGTGTGTCTGTAGATTCATTTTATTTTATTTTTTGCATTTGGATGTTCAATTTTTCCAGCACCATTTATTGAAAAGACTATCTTTGCTCCACTGTACTGTCTTTTCTCCTTTGTCAAAGATTAGTTACTTATATTTATGTGGGCTTATTTCTAGGCTTTCCATTCTGTTAAATTGATATATTTATCTATTCTGTCACCAGTACCACACTGTCTTGATTACAGAATCTTTATAATGTCATGAGGTCAGGTAGTATCAGTCTTCCTTTAATATTGTGTTGGTTATTCTGTGCCTTTCGCCTCTATATGTAAACTTTAGAATAAGTTTGTTAATAGCTACAAAATAACTTGCTGGAATTTTGACTGTGATTTCATTAAATCTATAGATCAACTTGAGAAGAACTGACATCATGACACTATTGGGTCTTCCTACCCTCCAAAACAAAAATATCTCTTCACTTCTTTAGCTCTTTTGATTTGTTTGATCAGAGTTTGGAAGTTTTCCTCATATAGATCGTATACATATTTTATTAGATTTATACCTACGTATTTTATTTTTAAGAGGTGCTTATGTAAATGGCATTATTTTTTAATTTTTAATTTTACTTGTTCATTGCTGACATAAAGGAAAGTGATTGACTTTTTTGTATTAACCTTGTATCCTGCCACCTTGTTAAAATTGCCTTTTGGTTCCAGGGTTTTTTTTTTTTTTTGTGAGTTTTTTTGGATTTTCTTCATAGACAGTCATGTTACCTGTGAACTGGTTTGACTACTGTAGCTTTGTAACATGCTTTGAAGACAGGAAGTGTGAGGCCTCCAGCTTTTCTTCTTTCTCAAGATTATTTTGGATATTTGGGGTCCTTTGAGAGTTCATATTAATTTTAGGATATTCCTTTTTTTTCCTGCAAAAATTATGATTGAACTTTTGATAGGGATTGCATTGAATCTGTAGGTTACTTTGGGTAGTATGGACATTTTAACAAAATTAAGTCTTCCAATTCATGAACATATGATGTCTTTCTATTAATTTATGTCTTCTTTTATTTATTTCAGCAAGACAGTTTTATTTATTTACTCTTAATCAGTGTAGCTTTTATTTCCTGGTGTAAGGTAAGAGTTCATCTTCATTCTTTTTAATATAGAAATTGAATTTTTAAACTGCTATTTGTAGTTAGTTATTTCCTTTTCTTATTACACTAGTTAGGACTTTAAGTACAATGTTGAAACAGAATGATGAGAGGGGACTTCCTTGGCTTGTTCCTGATCTTAGTGAGAAAACTGACATTTTCTCACCATTAAGTATGTTAGCTGTAGAGTTTTTGAGGAAGTTCTATTCCTAATTCACTGAGAGATTTCAAAAAATCATGAATGGGTGTTGGGTTTTGTCAAATGCTTTTTCTACATCTATTGTGTGTTTTTTCTTCTTTAGCCTGTTGATATGATGTATTGCATTAATTGGTTTTCTACTGCCAAACAATGTTTGCATACTTACAATAAATCTCACTTGGTTGTGGTGTATAATTCTTTTCATACATTGTTAGGTTTGATTTCTTAATATTTTGTTGAGGAATTTTGCATCTATGTTCATAACAGATATTGGTCTGTAGTTTTATTTTCTTATATCTTTGGTTTTTGCATTAAGGTAACACTGACCTCATAAAATGAACTAGGAAGTATTCCCTCTGCTTCTGTCTTCTGAAAGAGATTGTAGAGAATTGGTATTTCTTCCTAAATCCTTGCTAGAATTCACCAGTGAACCCATCTAGGCCTGGTTCTTTCTGTTTTGGAAGGTTATAAATTATTGATTTAATTTCTTTAATAGATAAACGCCTATTCCAATGGTCTATTTCTTCTTGTGTAAGTTTTGACAGATTGTGTCTTTCTACGAATTGATCCACTTCAATTAGGTTATCAAATTTGTGGACATAGAGTCATTAATAGTACTCTTTTATTATTATTTTAATGTTCATAGGATTTTTAGTAATGTCTTTCTTTCATTTCTGTTATTAGTGACTTGTGTTCACTCCATTTTTTTTTTTCTTAGTTAGCCTGGCTAACTAAGTATTTTTTAACTACTATTTGTTGAAGACAATATGCTTTCTCTGTTGTGTTGTCTTGGCACCCTTGCTATGATTTGACCTATGGATTTATTTTTGGGCTTTCTTTTCTGTTCCATTGGTCTATATGTTTGGCTTTATGTAAATATTTGATTATGTTATTATGATAATATACACTTAAAATATTATGTAAATATTTGATTACTGTAGCTTTGTAATATGCTTTGAAGTGAGGAAGTGTGAAGCCTTCAGCTTTGTTCTTCTTTCTCAAGATTATTTTGGCTATTTGGGGTCCTTTGAGATTCCATAGAAATTTTGGGATATTCCTTTTATTTCTGCAAAAAATGTGATTAAGCTTTCAATAGGGATTGGATTGAATCTGTAGATTACTTTGGGCAGTACAGACATTTTCACAAAATGAAGTCTTCCAATTCATGAACATAGGATGTCTTTCCATTTATTTATGTCTTCTTTTATTTATTTTAGCATCGTTTTATAGTTTTCATTGTGCAAGTCTTTTGTCTCCTTGTGTTTTTTTGTTTTTTCAAAAGAAAGGCAGACTGCTATATGCAGCACCTCATTTGGAAGTGTCTGGAGTCTTGGAAGCTTGACTACCCTACATTCTCCTACAAATGGACCTTGAGAGCTTGTTTGGAGGTTCTAACAGGAGAATGCAGCTTCTTGTATACCCTTGACTGAAGACCAGTACTTCTCTATGGGTGATGGTCGTCCCCTTCGACCAGTGCGCAGCTTCAAGAGAGATGCACATGGAGCAGTGAGGGAGAAAAGAGACACCTGCCTATCCAGCTGGATCAGCCAAATCAACGCTGGCAATCAATGGGGTGACAGATGTTGCAGTGAGATCACCCTCACATCCTTTTTGTCTCCTTGTTAACTTTATTTCTTTTTGATGCTGTTGTAAATGGGATTGCATCGATTTTTAAAAAATTTATTTATTTATTTATTTAGTTTTTTCATAAGTTGTTGGGGTACAGGTGGTATTTGGTTGCATGAGTACGTCCTTTAGTGGTGATTTGTGAGATTTTGCTGCACCTGATTGCATCAAATTTTGGATGTGTGCCCTAGAGGTGGCATTGCTAGTCGTGTGATAGTTTTATTTGTAATTTTTTGAGGAATGTCCACACTGTTTACTAATTTCATTTTTGAAGTGCTTATTTCCTAATTTCTTTTTAAATTTATTTTTTTAATTGCTCGTTTTTAGTGTATAGAAACACAATTGATTATTGAGTGTTGATTTCGTATCCTGCAACTTTGCTGAATTTTTTTATTTTTAATTCTAACAGTATTTTTGTGTGGAATCTTTAGGATTTTCTGCATATAAGATCGTGTCATCTATGAACAGAGATAATTTACTTCTTTCTTTCCAATTTCTGTGTCTTTTATTTCTTTTTTCTGTCTAATTGCTCTGGCTAGAACTTCCAGTACTGTGCTAAATAGAAGTGGTGAAAGTGGGCATCCTTGCCTTGTTCCTAATCTTAGAGGAAAAGCTATGTTTTTCACCATTGCATATGATGTTAGCTGTGGGCTTTTCATATATGATCTTTATTATGTTGATGTAATTTTCTTCTATTCCTAGTTTGATGGTTATTTTTTATCATGAAATAATTTTTAATTTTGTTAAATGCTTTTTATTCATCAATTGAGGTGATGAGTTTGCTAGTATTTTGCTGAAGTTTCTGCATTAATATCCATCAGAAATATTGCTCTATAATTTTCTTTCTTGTGGTATCTTTGTCTGACTTTGGCATCAGGGTAATGCTGGTCTCATAAAATGAGTTTGGAAATCTTCCCTTCTCCTTATTTTCAAGAAGAGTTTGAAAAAAATTGACATTGATTCTTTGAATGTTTCATAGAATTTTCCAGTGAAGCCATCTGGTTCGGGGCTTTATGTTTGGAGGTTTTCGATTATTGATTAAATTTCCTTATTAGTTATAGCTCTGTTCAGATTTTTTATTTATTCATAAATCAGTCCTGGTAGATTGTATATTCTAGAAATTTATTCATTTCTTCTAGGTTATCCAATTTGTTGGTGTATAATTATTGATAGTAAGCCTTTATAATCTTTTTTATTGCTGTGGTATCAGTTGTAATGTTTCCTTCTTTATTTCTAATTTTAGTTATTTGAATCTCTCTCTGCTTTTCTTAGCTAATCTAGCTAAAGACTTATCAATTTTTTGGTCTTATAAAAGTCCAACTCTTAGTTTTCTTGTTCTTTCCTATTGTTTTTCTGTTTGCTCCTTTATTTCTGCTCTAATTTTTATCATTTTCTTTCTTTTGCTAACTTTGGGTTTAGTTTGTTCTTTTTTTTCTAGTTTCTTGAGATGTAAAGTTAAATTTTTGATTTGAGATTTTTTTCTAGTTTAAAGTAGACATGTTATAAACTTCCCTTTTAGTGCCGCTTTTGCTGTATCTTGTTTTGTACGTTGTGTTTTTGTTGTCACTGGCCTCAAGATATTTTCTTGTAATTTCTTTGACCCTTTGGTTGTTAAAGTATATTGCTTAATTTCCACATATTTGTAAATTTTCCAGTTTTCCTACTACTTTTTATTTCTAGTTTTATTTTGTTGTAGTCAGAAAAGATACTTAATTTGATATCAATCTTCTTTAATTTGTTAAGACTTGCTTTGTGGTCTGACATATAATCTAACCTGGAAAATATTCCATGTGTGCTTCACAAGAATGTATATTCTTCTGCTGCTGGATGGACTGTTCTATATATGTCTGTTAGGTCCAATTGATCTGTAGTTTTATTTAAGTCTTGTGTTTCCTTATTGATTATCCACCTGATTATTTGAGTCATTGTCAAAAGTTGTGGGGTATTGAAATTTCCTACTATTACTGTGTTGCTGTCTATTTCTTCCTTAAATTTTCATCAATTTTTGCTTCATATATTTGGATGTCGTAATATTAGTTGTCTGTATATTTATAATTGTTTTATTTTCCTGTTGAAAGACTTTAATTCTTATATAATAAAATAATAATATAGTGTTCTTCATTGTCTCTTGTGACAGTTTTTGACTTAAGTTCTATTTTGTCTGATATAAGTATGATTACCCTTGCTCTCTTGTGGTTACTATTTGCATGGACTATCATTTTTCGACTTTTCACTTTCAGCCTATGTCTACATTTAAGGTAAGTCTCTTGTAGACCGCATATAGATGGATCTTGTTGTTTTTCTTTAATTCATTCAGTTATTCTGTCTTTTGATTGTGGAGTTTAATAATTTACATTTGAAGAAACTATTGAGAAAGTAAAACTTACTATTACTATTGTTTCTATCTGTCTTGTAGCTGTTCTGTTCCTCTTTTCCTCTCTTGATACTACACTTTGTGTTTTGTTGATTTTCTGATTGTCATGCTTTGATTTCTTTTTCATTTTATTTTGTGTATTTTCTATAGGCATTTTCTCTGTGGTTACCATGGGCTTTAAATAAAACATCTTATAGTTATAACATTCTTATTTTAAGCTGGTAACAACTCCAATTGTGTACAAAAACTACTCTTTCACATCTCTCTACCCTCACTTTATGTAATTAATGTCATAAATTACATCTTTATGTATTGTGTACCCATTAATATAATTTTATAACATAATTTAAAAAATGTTATTGTTTTTTAACTTCTATACCAGAATTAAAAGTGCTTTAGGCATCACTGATATGGTTTGGGTCTGTGTCCCCACCCAAATCTCATGTCAAGTTGTAGTCTCCATGTGAGAGGTGGGGCCTATTGAGAGGTGATTGGATCATGGGGCTGGATTTCCCCCTCAGTGCTGCTGTTGTGACAGTGAGTGAGTGCTCATGAGATTTGGCTGTTTAAAAGTGTGCAGCACCTCCCCCTCTCTCTTTTCTCCTGCTCTGGCCATTTAAGATGCGCCTACTTCCCCTTTTGCTATGATTGTAAGTTTCCTGAAGTCTCCCCAGCCATGCTTCCTGTAGAGCTTGTGGTACCATGAGCCAATTAAATATTTTTTCTTTATAAATTACCCAGTCTCAGGTATTTCTTTATAGCAGTGTGAGAACAAGCTAATACAGAAAATTGGTACCTAGGATAGGGGCATTGATATAAAGATACCTGAAAATGTGAAAGCAGCTTTGGAATTGGGTAACAGGCAGAAGTCAGAACAGTTTGGAGGGCTCAGAAGAAGACAGGAAGATGAGGGAAAGTTTGGAACTTCCTAGAACCTTGTTGAATGGTTTCAAACAAAATGCTGATAGTGATATGAACAGAGATGGCCAGGCTTATGGAGCCTCAGATGGAGATGAGGAACTTATTGGGAACTGGAGCAAAGGTCTCTTTTGTTATGCATTAACAAAGAACCTGGCAGCATTGTGCCCCTGCTCTACGGATGTGCAGAACTTTGAGCTTGAGAGAGATGATTTAGGGTATTTGGCAGAAGAAATTTCTAAGCAGCAAAGTGTTCAAACAGTAGCCTGGCTGCTTCTAAAAGCCTATTCTCATATGCATGAACAAAGAAATGACCTGAAACTGGAAATTATATTTAAAAGGGAAGAAGAGAGTAAAAGTTTGGAAAATTTGTAGCCTAGCCATACGGTAGAAAAAAAACCCCATTTTCAGAGGTGGAATTGAAGCAGGCTGTAGAAATTCGCATAACTAAAAGGAAGGGAAGTACTAATAGCCAAGACAATGGGAAAAAGGCCCTGGAGGCATTTCAGAGAACTTCATGGCAGCCTGCCATCACAGGCCCAGGGGCCTACGGTGGGGAGAATGATTTTGTGAGCCAGGGCACTGCCCTGCTGCCCTGAGCAGCCTTGGGACATTGCTCTTTGCATCTTGGCTGCTCCAGCTCCAGCTGTGGCTCAAGGGGGCCCAAGTACTTGGGCTGCTGCTTCAGAAGGTGAATGACATAAGCCTTGGTGGCTTTCATGTGGTTTTAAGCCTGCAGTTGTTCAGAGTCCAAGAGTTGAGGCTTGGGAGCCTCTGCCTGTATTTCAGAAGATGCATGGAAAAGCCTGGATGTTCAGGTAGAAGCCTCCTGTAGGAGTGGAGCCCTCATTTTGAATCTCTGCTACAGAAGTGCAGAGGGGAAATGTGGGGTGGGAGTTCCCACACAGAGTCCCCATGGGGGCATACTGCCTGGTGAATCTGTGAGAAGAGGGCCGCTATCCTCCAGGCCCCAGAATGGTAGATTCATTGACAGCTTACACCCTGTGCCTGGAAAAGCTGCAGGCACTCAACAGAAGCCCATGAAAGCAGCCATGGGGGGGTGTACCCTGCAGAGCCACAGGGGCTGTCCAAGGCCTTGGGAGCCCACCCCTTGCATCAGTGTGCCCTAGATGTGAGACATGGAGTCAAAGGAGATTATTTTGGAGCTTTAAGATTTAATGACTGCCCTGCTTTGAATTGGACTTGCATGGGGCCTGTAATGACTGACTTTTTTCCAATTTCTTCCTTTTGGAAAGGGAGTATTTACCAACTATCTATACCCTAATTCTATCTTGGAAATAACTAACTTGTTTTTGATTTTACAGGAAGGGACTAGTTTTGTCTCAGATGAGACTTTGGACTTTTGAGTTAATGCTGGAATGAATTAACTCATTGGGGAACTGTTGGGAAGACATGATTATATTTTCAAATGTGAGTAGGACCTGAGATTTTGGAGGAGTCAGGGGCAGAAAGATATAGGTTTGGTCTGTGTTCCCACCCAAATCTCATGTCAAATTGTAATCCCCAATGTGGGAGGTGGGGCATTGTGGGAGGTGATTGGATCTGGGTGTTGGTTTCCCCTCAGTGTTGCTCTCATAGTAGTGAGTGAGTGCTCATAAGATTTGGTTATTTAAAAGTGTGTGGCACCTCCCCCATCTCTCTCTTCCTCTTGTTCTCATCATGTAAGATTTGCCTGCTTCCCCTTAGCCTTCTGCCATGGTGGAGTTTCCTGCAGTCTCCCTAACCATGCTTCCTGTAGAGCCTGTGGAACTGTGAGCCAACTAAACATGTTTTCTTTATAAATTAGCCAGTCTTAGGTATTTCTTTAGAGCAGTGCAAGAATGAACTAATACAACCACTAATAAAGTATTACAGCATTCTGTATTTTTAAAATATATTTATCTTTACCAAGAAGCTTTATATTTTAATATACCTTCATGTTGCTCTCTACAGTAGTCCCCCATTACCCACAGTTTCACTCTCTACAGTTTTAGTTACCTGCAGTCAACCACAGCCCCAAAATATTAAATGGAATATTTTAGAAACGAACAATTCATAAGTTTTAAATTTCACTCTGTTTTGAGTAGCATGATGAAATATTGTGTCATCTTGTTCAGTCCTGCTTGGGGTATGAATCATTCCTTTTTTCAGCATATCTACACTGTATATGCTCCCTACTGCTTAGTCATTTAGAAGCTGTCTCAGTTGTGATAATGACTGTTGTATTGCAGTGCTTATGTTCAAGTAATTCTTATTTTACTTAATAATCACCTGAAGAACAAGAGTAGTTATGCTGGCAATTCAGATTTGCCAAAAAAGCTGTAAAATGCTTTCTTTAAGTGAAAAGGTGAAAGTTCTCAACTTAATAAGAAAAATATTGTACACTGAGATTGCTAAGATCTATAGTAAGAACAAAACTTCTATTCATGAAATTGTGAAGAAGGAAAATCAAATCTGTGCTAGTTTTACTGTAGCACCTTAAATTGCCAAAATCGTAGCCACAGTTCATGAGAAGTACTTAATTGAGATGCATAAGGCATTAAATTTGTAGGTAGAGGACATGAACAGAAATGTGTTCGATCAACAGCAATCAGATTTGTTACTATCTATGGTTTCACATGTCCCCTGGGAGTCTTGAAATGTATTCCCCACAGAAAAGGGGGGACTACTGTAGAAATCTTATATTTAAACTAGTAGGACTTCCTGTAGCATTTCTTCTAAGGCAGATCTAGGATAATAAACCTCCTCACATTTTATTTATCTGGAAAAAATCTTTATTCTTCATTTCCACTTGACAGTTTTGCTGGATATAGTATATTGCCTGCATTTTTTTTCTTTCAGCTCTTTGAATATATTATCTCACTCCCTGCTTTCCTGTGAGGTGTCTGCTGAGAAATCCATTGCTAATCTTAATAGAATTTTCATTGAACATCATGAGTCACTTTTCGCTTGCTGCTTTCAAGAATCTCTCTTTATCTTTGACTTTTGACAATGTGATTATAATGCATCCTGGTGGGGACCTCTTTGGGTTTATGTTAGTCACGATCCTATTTCTTTATGTTTCTTGCATTTGGATGTCCATTTCCTACCTTAGATTTTGGAGATTTTCAGCAGTTATTTCTTTGAATAAACTCTGTTCTTTTCTCTCTTTCTCTTCTCCTTGAATTCCCATAATGCAGATGGTGTTCTGCTTGATGATGTCCCATAAGTTTCTTAGGAGTTATTCATTTTTCTTTATTCTTTCTTCTTCTGTGACTCAATAATTTTTTATGATCTATTCTCACATTTGCTAATTCTTCCTACTTGATCAAGTCTGTTGTTGTATGTCTCTAGTATATTTTTCAATTCAGTTATTGTACTTTTCAGCTCTATAATTTTTGCTTGGTTGTTTTGTATAGTTTCTACTTCTTTGTTGATATTTTCATTTTGTTTATGAATTGTTTTTCTGATTTTGTTTAGGTATTTATCTGTGCTGTCTTATAAATAATTGAGCCTCTTTAAGACAGTTATTTTGTATTATTTGTCAAGTAATCAATAGATCTCTATTTCCTTTGGGTTGGTTCCTGAAAATTTATCTTTTTTCTTGATTTGGCTATGTTTCCCTGTTTCTTTGTATGCCTTGTGATTTTTGGGGTGGGGGGGGGACATGGGAGCTGACTTTTATGCATTTGAAAAAACAGTGACACTTCCCAGTCTTTATGGACTGGCTTCATTGAGGGAAGAACTCACTAATCATCCTGGCTATAGATTCTGGGGACCTCTGAAAACTTTTTTGGGGGGATGCAACTTTTCTGGGCTTGTACACATAGTTTCCCAATTAGAGAGGTTTGCTAGTTTGTTTTTCAGGAGCTTGTAATCTCTTACTTTTTCTAGTGTCTGTCTCCAGTACTGCAGGTTCTGTGGTGCAGCAATGAGCCACTCTCTTCTCCTTTGTTCTCAGGTCCCCAAGCATCCAAAGTATGACAGCTCCCTGTATGCACATAGAATCAGGTGAGATAGACACTAATCTTTTAGGTAGCTCTCTGCAAAGTTGGAATGCCAAACATATGCTCATTCTTCTCACTACATCCCTAGGGAGAAGCCATGAGTTTGGTGCCTTCTTCTGATTGTTTTGAGATGACTCAGCTTCTCTATGTGGTCATGTAGGCTCTTTGGTGCTGCAGCAAGCTGCCTCATCTTTTCCTTGCTTCAGTGGCTCCCAGGCATGCAAACTATGTCAGTTCTGTTAGTGCCCCAAGTTAGTCAAGACTGAAACCTGTCCTTCAGGAAGCTCTCTGAAAATATTAGAACATTGGATACACGTTCTACTCTTCTTACCCACTCCCCAGAAGCTGTGAGACAAGCTGAGCTTTGTTGGTTTCGGGGAGGGGAAATTAGGAATAAAGTGAAACAGGCTCTTATTATCCAAAGCCTTTCACTCCCTTGGGGCTGCTGCATGTCTTCATTGGTTTCCGGAGTTCTCATAAAAGCATTTTTGTCTGCATATTGTTAAATTGTATTTTCCCTGGGGAATAAGGGCTGGGACTTTCTATTCTGCCATTTGTCTCTGAAACAACTACTTTTATGCCAAGATTTTATTTAATTTGAGACTTTATTTTATTTTATTTTATTATTATTATACTTTAAGTTTTAGGGTACATGTGCACAATGTGCAGGTTAGTTACATATGTATACATGTGCCATGCTGGGGTGCTGCACCCATTAACTCGTCATTTAGCATTAGGTATATCTCCTAATGCTATCCCTCCCCCCTTCCCCCACCCCACAACAGTCCCCAGAGTGTGATGTTCCCCTTCCTGTGTCCATGTGTTCTCATTGTTCAGTTCCCACCTATGAGTGAGAATATGCAGTGTTTGGTTTTTTGTTCTTGCGATAGTTTACTGAGAATGATGATTTCCAATTTCATCCATGTCCCTACAAAGGACATGAACTCATCATTTTTTATGGCTGCATAGTATTCCATGGTGTATATGTGCCACATTTTCTTAATCCAGTCTGTCATTGTTGGACATTTGGGATGGTTCCAAGTCTTTGCTATTGTGAATAGTGCCGCAATAAACATACGTGTGCATGTGTCTTTATAGCAGCATGATTTATAATCCTTTGGGTATATACCCAGTAATGGGATGGCTGGGTCAAATGGTATTTCTAGTTCTAGATCCCTGAGGAATCGCCACACTGACTTCCACAATGGTTGAACTAGTTTACAGTCCCGCCAACAGTGTAAAAATGTTCCTATTTATGCACATCCTCTCCAGCACCTGTTGTTTCCTGACTTTTTAATGATCGCCATTCTCACTGGTGTGAGATGGTATCTCATTGTGGTTTTGATTTGCATTTCTCTGATGGCCAGTGATGGTGAGCATTTTTTCATGTGTTTTTTGGCTGCATAAATGTCTTCTTTTGAGAAGTGTCTGTTCATGTCCTTCGCCCACTTTTTGATGGGGGTTTGTTTTTTTCTTGTAAATTCCTTTGAGTTCATTGTAGATTCTGGATATTAGCCCTTTGTCAGATGAGTATTTTAAAATAATACTATACTTTAATTTCTTTTAAGCCAGTTGTCCCTGAACTAGTTTTTTGAGCTATTTTAACCAAAGAAGGTTAAATGACCAAGTAAATTTGGGAAATGCTGGTTTAAACATGGTTAAATCGATTTCCATTTTGAAAGAAGACCCAGAACCTTTAATATGCTAATGAGCACTGTGACTCTCCGAGAGAGCAAGTAGTTTCACAACCCTATTTGATTGTGGAAACCCTTTTCTTTTTCTTCCTACAGCATTCAATAATATCTAAGGAACACACAAAACATTTCAAAACAGCAGACAGGATACATGGTTGAACCTGCCCTTGGTGTGTTCAGCATTCCATGACATGCTTAATGAGAGCTTATGTCTTTGGTGAATGTAATGTAATAGTCTGAGATTGCTTGGTGGGCTTGGGACACTTTTAAGCTTGACTCCCTTGGAAAAGGGTAAGTCGGTTCTGGATTTATAGAGTAGTAACACATAAGAAGACCGTGAGTTTTGATGGGAGGCCAGCTTTTCAAGTAAGTAAAAGCAGGAAGGAGTGTGTAGCTTGGGTGACACAGGAGAGGCCAGCTGATGGCATGAGTTTATAGAAGCAGACCTGATACTCTTGCAGGGCTAAGAAGAAAGTTCCTGGGCAAGACCTCAGCAGGCTTTAGTGAAGTGGCAACAGCTGTAGCAAGATACATTTTATGATGACCTTTGGGTGTCAATAAACAACAGTCTTAAAGCTTAGAGGACTGCTTTCTGGAGTTCTCATGAAGGCATTTTGGTCTGTATATTGTAAATTTGGTCATAAAACTGCCATTACAAAATTGTAATTGAGACAGTGAAAGAGATCTGACCTAACCAACTCCAACTTGCTTCTAACCTCCAAGCTGTCCTTGTTCATTCCTGAAAGTAGGCTGAACTATGGGAGGAACTTAGTTTATAGTTTAAAACAAAGACAATAACAGCCTTTCCCCATGTACCAGGATGAGCCGCAGACAAAACCTCTCAGACGCCGAGTTGCAGAAGGAAGGGCTTTATTCAGCTGGGAGCATCGGCAAGCTACAGCTTTAAAATCCGAGCTCCCTGAGTGAGCAATTCCTGTCCCTTTTAAGGGCTCACAACTCCAAGGATTTCACATGAAAGGGTCGTGATTGATTTGAGAAAGCAAGGGGTACGTGACAACGGCTGCATGCACCGGTGGTCAGAGAGAAACAGAACAGGGCAGGGAGTTTCACGATGTTCTTCTATACAATGTTGGAAATCTATGAATCACATTGGTTTTTGAGTTATGAGTTGATTTTTAACTACTGGGTTTAGACCAGGCAGGCCCAGGCCTGGTTTCGGGCCTAGTGACGGGCTGCCTGTCTTTGGTTTTACTTCCTTGTTGTTTTTTTAAAACAGGTACTGAGTATAAAACAATATAAAACAATATGAGAGGGCCTCTCTCTTCCCTCACTCAAAACAAACCTCCTTGCCTGGGGACTAGATTACCTTTCTAGGCCTAATAAATTAGCCACAAGATTAGAAATTATGGTTTAGAAGTCATGAAGGTAGAAGTGACAAGATTCTGACCCTTCTCAAATTGCTCCTGGGGATAAAATCACTTATTGTAAAACCTAAGATCAGTGCTTGAGATATTTTGCAGACCCTGCACCACCCAGATTGGTAAAATGACTCTTCTAATCTTGTGGCCCCGACCCAGGAACTGACTCAATGCAAGAAGATAACTTTGACTCCCTATGATTTCTTCTCTGACCTGACCAATCTGTACTCCCAGCTCACTGGCTTTCCCCCATCCGCCAAGTTGTCCTTAAAAACTCTGATCCCCTAATGCTTGGGGAAACTAATTTGAGTAATAATAAAACTCTGGTCTCCCACGTAGCTGGTCCTGCATGAATTAATCTTTCTCCTTTGCAATTCCCCTACCTTGATAAATCGGCTTCTTTCTAGGCTGTGGGCACAGTGAACAAGTTGGGTGCTTACAGTCACACCATGTGTTTTTTGGGTTAGTGGGGATGATGCATAAATTCAGTTATAGCTACATGATTTCTCCTGCTACAAAAACTGTGGTATACAGTAGTTCACCTAAAAATGAAGGCCCTTGTTTGGATTTTGAACTTGAGGTGTTGGGTAAAAGAAGTTTGTAAGGTGGATGGCAGTGGCCAGTGCAGTTAAATGGGGATACACAGCTTTGAATGGGATCCCAAATGGACTCTTGGTATATGACCCATTTGCATGGAGCCCATGTCCTTACTGCTATCTAGAAGAATGCTTCCTACCTGTACACTATTTACCCGGGATCTTGTTAAAATGCAGATTCTGCAGCAGGCCTGCAGCAGGTCCTGAGATTCTACCTCTCTAACAAGCTCCAAGTGTGGATGCTGCTGGTCCACAGAACGTATTTTGAATAGCAAGGATCCAGAATACCACAGAGGAAAGGAATCTGCAGCACTGTTTTATACACAGTAACTTTTCTTTTCTTTTTTTTCACCCCCTTATGGACTTAATTAACCAAGGCTGAACCTAGAATATCATTTTATAGAAGGGGGGAAGCTAATACCCAGAGAATTACCTGGGTCTTGCCACATCACTTGATTCATCAGTGATGCTGGAAGCAGAATACATGCTTTCTAAAAAAAAAAAAAGTTTGAGAACAGTTTTAGATTTACAGAAAAACTACAAAAACAGTATTACAGTTGCTTGTTATTGCTGGGTTTCTCACCTTCTCCCAATAGGTACCAACCAAGGGAGAAAGAAACACATTCTTTTATTTTTAAAGTTTTGTTTTTTGTTTTTTTTTTGAGACGGAGTCTCGCTCTGTCACCCAGACTGGAGTGCAGTGGCACAATCTCGGCTCACTGCAACCACCACCTTCCAGGTTCAAGTGATTCTCCAGCCTCAGCCTCTCAAGTAGCTGTGATTACAGTCACTTGCCACCATGCCCCACTAATTTTTGTATTTTTATTAGAGACGGGTTTTCGCCATGTTGGCCAGGCTGGTCTCAAACTCCTGACCTCAGGTGATCTGCCCACCTCGGCCTCCCAAAGTGCTGGGATTACAGTCGTGAGCCACTGCGCCAGGCCTAAAGTTTGTTTTTATAGATTTAGGGGGTACAAGTGCAGTTTTGTTACTTGTTACTGCACTTGTACCCCCTAAATCTATAAAAACAAACTTTAAAAATTTTATATTTTGTGTAGTGGTGAAGTCTAGGCTTTAGTGTAGCCATCACCCATGAAGTAATTTCTCATCCCTCACCCTCCTCCTACTCTGCTAACTTTCTGGGTCTCCAAGGTCTATTATTTCACTGTCTATGTCCATGTGTACACATTATTAGCTACCACTTATACATGAGAATATGCAGTATTTGACTTTCTGTTTCTGAGTTATTTAAGCAAAAATTACCAGTGAAGAAGCAAAGAAGATATTTGTATTTGTTCTTTTGAAAAATATCTTTTCATGTCCTTTGTCCACTTTTTAATGGGATTATACTTGTAGATTCTGGATATTAGTCCTTTGACAGATGCAGAGTTTGCAAATATCTTCTCCATTCTGCAGGTTATCTGTTCACCCTGTTGATTATTTTTATTTCTTAAGATAATGGCGTCCAGTTCCATCCATCCATGTTGTTGCAAAAGACATGATTTCATTGTTTTTTTATGGCTTAGTACTATTTCATTGTGTGTGTTTGTATATATATATATAAATGAAATTATATATATTTCATTGTATGTATATAGACACATAAATATGTATATCACATTTTCTTTATCCAGTCATCTGTTGATGTACACTTAGGTTGATTTCATATATTTGCTGTCGTGAATAGGGGTGAAATAAACATACCAGTTCAGGTATCTTTTTAATAAAATGATTTCTTTTCCTTCAGGTAGATACCCAGTAGTGGGATTGCTGGATTTAATGGTAGTTCAATTTTTATTTCTTTGAGAAATCTCCATACTGTTTTCCATAGAGGTTGTACTACTTTACATTGCCACCAATGGTGTATAAGCATTGCCTTTTCTCTGCATCCCCACCAACATCTGTTACTTTTTGACTTTTTAATAATAGTCATTCTTTCTGACATGGGATGGTATCTCATTGTGGTGGTAATTTGCGTTTCTCTGATGATTAATGACATTGAGATTTTTTTCATATGCTTGTTGAACATTTGTATGTATTCTTTTGAAAAATGTCTGTTCGTGTCATTTGTCCACTTTTTAGTGGGGCTATTTGTTGTTGCTTTTGTTGTTGGTGGTGAGTTGTTTGAGTTCCTTGTAGATTCTGGATATTAGTCCTTTAACAAGTGCAGAGTTTGCAAATTTTTTCTGAATTCTGCAGGTTATCTGTTCACTCTGTTGATTATTTTTATTTATTTATTTTGCAGTGCAGAAGATTTTTAGTTTAATTAAGTCACTTTGTCCTTTTTTGTTTTTATTGCATTTGCTTTTAAGGTCTTAGTAATGAACGCTTTGCATAGGCCAGTGTTCAGAAGAATTTTTCCTAGGTTTTCTTCCAGTATTTTTATAGTTTCAGTTTCAATACATCTTGAGTTAATTTTTGTGTATGTTGGGAGAAAGGGGTCTGGTTTCATTGTTCTGTGTATGGTAATTCAATTTTTCCAGCATCATTTATTGAATAGGGTGTCCTTTCCTCAGTGCATATTTCTGTCAACTTTGTTGAAGATCAGTAGGTATGTGGCTTTCTTTCTGCATCGCTCTTCTGTTCCATTGATTGAGTGTGTCTATTTTTATACCAGCACCAGGTTATTTTGTTTACTATAGCCATGTTGTACAATTTAAAGTACAAATGCCTCTAATTTTGTCCTTTTTGCTTTAGATGGCTTTGGCTAGTCAGGCTCTTTTTTAGTTCCATATAAACTTTAGGATAGTTTTTTTCTAGCTCTGTGAAATATGATTTTGGTATTTTTATAGGAATTGCATTGAATCTATAGCTTACTTTGGGAAGAATGGTCATTTTAACAATATTTTTCTCCTCTGATCCACAAACATAGGATATTTTTCCATTTGTTTCTGTCATCTACAATTTCTTTCATCAGTGGTTTGTAGTTTTCCTTGCAGAGATCTTTTATCTTGGTTAAAAATATTCTTAGGTATCTAATTTTTTTTATAGCTATTCTAAATGAGATTCACCTCTTGATTTTGTCCTCAGCTTGACTGTTGGTTGGTGTATAGAAATGCTACTGATTTTTGACGGGTGCAGTGACTCATGCCTGTAATCCCAACAGTTTGGGAGGCCAAGGCAGGCGGATCACCTGAGGTCAGGAGTTTGAGAGCAGCCTGACCAACATGGAGAAACCCCGTCTCTACTAAAAATACAAAATTAGCGGGATGTGGTGGCGCATGCCTGTAATCCCAGCTACTCGGGAGGCTAAAGCAGGAGAATCACTTGAGCCTGAGAGATGGAGGTTGCAGTGAGCCAAGATCGTGCCATTGCACTCCAGCCTGGGCAACAAGAGTGAAACTCCATCTCAAAAAAAAAAAAAAAAAAAGAGAGAGAGAGAGAAATGCTATTGATTTTTGTATGTTGATTTTGTACCCTGAAACTTTACTGTATTCATTTCTCAAAATTAGGAGTCTTTTGATAGAGATTTTAGGGTTTCCTAGGTACAAGATTATATTATCAGCAGAGATGATTTGACTTCCTCTTTTCCAATTCGAATGCCTTTTATTTCTTTCTCCTGTCTGATTGCTCTAGCTAGGACTTCCAATACTATGTTGAATAAAAGCGGTGAAAGTGGGCATCCTTGTCTTATTCCAGTTCTTAAGTGTAATGCTTTCAGCTTTTCCCCATTCAGTATGATGTTGACTGTGAGTTTGTCATGCATGGATTTATTATTTTCAGGTATGTTCCTTCAAAGCCTAGTTTGTTGAGAGTTTTTATTACAAAGGGATGCTGAATTTTATCAATTGCTTTTTCCACATCTGTTGAGATGATCATATGATTTCAGTTTTTAATTTTGTTTATGTGGTAAATCACACCTATTGAATGTGCATATGTTGAACCATCCTTGCAACCCAGGAATAAAACTCACTCGATCATGGTGTTGTGAATCAATATTGATATATTATTATTAAATAAAGGCCATATCTTATTTGGATTTTCTTAGTTTTTACCAAATGTTATTATTTTGTCCCAGGATCCCTTCCAAAATGTCACATAACATTTAATCATCATGTCTCCTTTGTCTCCTCTTTGCTGAGACAGTTTCTCAGACTTTTCTTATTTTTGATGATCTCGACAAATTTGAGGAGTACAGGAGTACTGTCCAAGTGTTTTGTAGAATATCTCTCTATTGGGATTTCTCCGATTTTTTTTTTCTTGAATAGATTGGGAAGGAAGTCCACAGAAGTAATGTGCCATTTTCATCATTTTATATAGGGGTATACCTACTATCAACCTGACTTATCCTTGATCACCTGGCTGAGATCAACCTGACCTTGCACCTGGCTGAGATAGTGTTTGTTGTCAGGTTTCTCTCCTGTAAAGTTACACTTCCTCACCACTGTCCCCCTTCCTTTTATACTGTACTGTTTGTAAGAATATCATGTGCAGCCTACACTTAAGGAGTGGGATGTTATGCTCCACCTCCTTGAGGGTGGAGAGTCTACATTAATTCTTTGGACTACTTCTGCATGGGAGATTTGTCGCCTTTTACTCATTTATTTATTTAGTCAGTCATTTACTGATAGTATGGATTCATGAATGTTTATTTTATATTTTGGGTTATAATCCAATGCTACTTTATTTCTTGTTGCTCAAATTGTTTTTGCTTTGAATATTCGGAGCTCTTTCAGTTGGCTCCTGTAACCCTTTGACACACCCCCATCATTGTGAGCTTTTTTATTTTGAGTATTGACATTCTGGCACTTTAAGATGATCCAGGCTCATCATGTATATTTCCTGCCTCATTCTTACAATTAGCTATTTTCCCAAGGAGTCCTGGTTCCTATTATTGGAGAATGATATTAGGAACTGTGATGGTTAATTTTATGTGTCAACCTGATTTGGTCAAGGGATGCCACAATAGCTAATAAAACATTATTTCTGGATGTGTCTGTGAGGGTGTTTTTGGAAGAGATTAGCATTTGAGTCAATAGGCTAAGTGAAGAAGATCCACCCTTACCAGTGTGGATGGGCATCATCCAATCCATTGAGGGCCTGGATAGGACAAAAAGGCAGAGGAAGGGTTAATTCTCCCTCTGTCTTTAAGCTGGGACATACATCTTCTTCTGTCTTTGGACATCAGAGTTCCTGTTCTCAGGCCTTTGGACTTGAACTGGCTTTCCTGGGTCTTCAGCTTGCAGGGGGCATATTGTGGGACTTCTTGGCTTCCATGTTTGTATGAGTCAATTCCCATAATACATCATCTCGTGTGTGTGTGTGTGTATGTGTACACACGCATATATATCTTCTGTTGGATCTATTTCTCTGAAGAACACTGGCTAATACATAAACCAAGATCTGGGCATGTTTGTTGCTACTGAGGTATTATTGCTTCTAGGCCCTATCAGCTGACAGAGCAAGAACATATATGTTTATATACTAACCCATGTATATACACATATTTATAAATATTTCTATATGTAACCATCTGTATCTATATAAGCTAAACCTAAGCTCATATTGATGTCTCCAGCTCTAATCTATTGCCACATAAGTCATTCTAACCTCCTCCCTTACTTAACTGTAACTTTCCATTCCAACAGTGAGAAACCTGGCTCCCATCATCTGCCACCCGTTTACTTAATTGTTTAATTCCAGCACCCATGTATAGCAGTACCAGAATTGTTTATTTGCTACTTCCTTGTTTGTTTACTTGCTACCTCATTGAGAAACAACTTTATAAACCACAGTACAGTGCCTATGTATAGTTTTTTCTGCCTTTAGTTTTATAGACACTATTCATTTGCAAAAATATTGGGTCAATATTATTTCCTCGCATCCACTTTAGTAAGGTTATTTCATATATATATATATATTTTAAAACTATGTTCTACATTCTGTCCTAGGATTTTCCTGACTTCCTAAGTGATTGTTTTTCTTTTTTTTTAATTTGCTTACATTAAAGTCCGCTCTTTGTGCTGTAATGTTCAATAGGTTTTGACAAACGCATAGTGTTATATGTCCACCGTAGCTCCCATAATCCCCACATGTCATGGGAGGGACCTGGTGGAAGGTAATTGAGTCATGGGGGTTGTGTTTTCCCATGCTGTTCTCTTGATAGTGAATAAGTCTCACAAGATCTGATGGTTTTATACAGGGCAGTTCCTCTGCACAGGCTCTTTCAGCCCGCCACCATGTAAGACATGCCTTTGCTCCTCCTTTGACTTCCACCATGATTGTGAGGCCTCCCCAGCCATGTGGAACTGTGAGTCCATTAAAACTCTTTCCTTTATAAATTACCCAGCCTTGGGTATGTCTTTATTAGCAGTGTGAGAATGGACTAATACATCTACCATGACAGCATTGTACAGAATAGTCGATGACATCCTAAAAATCTCCTATACTTTATCTATTCATGTCTCCTCACAGTATAATCGATGTGGGTCTGTTTTTGGACTCTCAATGTCTGTATTCTTTTACCAATACCATGCTGTCTTGATTACTGTAGTTTTATAATACTTCTTGGAGTCTAGCAGTGTGAGTTTTTCAACTTTTTTCTTCAGAATTGTATTGCTATTCTAGATATTTTGCTTTTCTATATAAACTTTGGAATAAGTTTGTGGATATCTACAAAATAATGAGTTGGGATTTTTTTTTTTGAGATAGTCTCGCTCCATTGTCCAGGCTGGAGTGCAGTGGCACAATGGCTCACTGCAACCTCCACACCCTGGGTTCAAGTGATTCTCGTGTCTCAGCCTCTCGAGTAGCTGGGATTATAGGCACCTGCCACCACACCCAGATAATTTTTGTATTTTTAGTAGATACAGAGTTTCACCATGTTGGCTAGGCTGGTTTCAACCTCCTGACCTCAAGTGATCCACCCACCTCGGCCTCCCAAAGTGCTGGGATTACAGGTGTGAGCCACTGTGCCTGGCCAATAATGAGATGGGATTTTGATTGGGTTTCATTTAATCTATATATCAAGTTGAGAAGAATTGACCTCTTAACAATATTGAGTCTTCCAGTGCGTGAACACGAATCTCTTTCCATTTATTTAAATCTTCCTTGATTTCTTTCAGCAGTTTTATAAGCCTGCATGTGTAGTAGATATTTTGTTAGACTTATACTTAAGTATTTAATTTTGTTGGGTGCCAATGTAAATAGTATTATTTATTTATTCTAAATTCCAAATTGTTTATTTCTGGTATGCAACATAGCTTTTGATTTCAGCCCATCTCATGATTTTTCCATTGAAGCTTGATATCTGGACAGCATCAGGAGGAAAAAGACCCTATGTTCTTAAATACGAAAATAACATTTGATATTTTCAATGCTATTAGAGTAAGAGAAAGGCTGGCACCCTCTTCCTCTAAGCTTTTGGAAGGCAGCTTGGCTTTGGTCCTTGAGTTCACCTTTGCAGAGGACTGGGTCTCTTATCACCTTGTGATCTGCACTTGTAGAGATATTTTTTCTTGTTAACATTTCTCAGTGACACACAACATTAGCACTACATGGAAGGTAGCAGCTGGCTCAGTGCCTATGTCTGAGTTCTTTTCTCAGACCCCACATTTTGCACATAAAAAATTGGCGTGGCTTTCCACTAGAAGTGACACTGAGATTTATGCTGGTTCATAAAGTTTAACTTTACATTTCTTTCTCCAAAAAAATATTGGAATGGGAGCTATGTCACGTTCCCCAGAAACAGACCTCCAGACAAGGATTTGTGTATAAGTGATTTATGAAGAAACTGTTCCCAGGTCAAGCAGGAGAGGGAGTGGGGGAAGCCAACCAAGGATGGGATTTCAGGGCAACTCCTCACTTAAGCCTAATTCTGGGGTGTAAACCACACAGCAGAGTTTATCCAGCCTGAAGACAGAGAACTAGACTTTGATGCTCCTGCACATGCCAATCACTGGCCATGGACCACCTCAGGAGGACGTAAGCTCCTAGGAGCTTCTGGCAGCTCTAGAAGCCTAAATATACTGCTCTGAAGAGATTGCAGGTGTGAGCTGTTAGGAATGAGGAATGAAGAGGCTGGGGGCAGGGCATGCTTAATCAGTGAGAAGATCCAGGGGATATGGGCAGAACATTGACAGCAAATGCCTCCTTTAAGTCTTACATATAGAGAGTGCATGGTGGGTTGAGCAGTTAAAACAGGGTTTGCCATTTGATAGTCCTTTCCATTTTCATTTCTCCCTTCTGATCTGAGGCTGTGCCCACAGCCTTTCTCCTCCGATTGTCTGATATAGAAAAGATACGTTTACTATGTGTTCCTTTGCATGTTTACTCTGGAGACAGACCATCGGTCCATATTTCCTTTTTTTTTTTTTTTGAGACAGAATCTATCTCTGTCATTGAGGCTGGAGTGCACTAAAGTGCAGTGGCGTGATCATAGCTTACTGCAGCCTCAAACTTTTGGGTTCAAGTGATCCTCCCACCTCAGCCTCCAGTATAGCTGGGACTGAAGGTGTGTGCCACCAGTCTTGGCTGATCTTTAAATTTTTTGTAGAGACGAGGTCTTGTTATGTTGCCTAGGTTGGCCTTGAACTCCTGGCTTCAAGTGATCTTCCCTCCTCGGCCTCACAAAGTGCTGGGATTACAGGCATGAGCGACCGCACTCGAACCCTGCTTCCTTTTCTTTATAAGGTCATAGGGCTGCACACTCACTGTATCACAGCCCAAAGTTGTAGCAAGTGAGCATATTTCCAAAAATATATAGCCACTTCTCTTTTTACTGGAAGGTGAGGATTTAGTTTTTCAATTATCCATGCAGTTTGATACCATTTTACTTTTAATTATCTCATCCATAGGGAAACTGGGAAGTGAAAAGTGAGAAGCTGACACTCAAAGGGACCTAAAATTCCAATGAGCCAGGTTAGTAATGCCCCCTTATTATTATATGTTGACCCCTTCTCCATGGTGTTTGCATTAATATGACTCATTTTTACAGGACACATTTCCCTAAAAGTAGTTATAATTTGCAGTGATGTTATTAGCAATTTTCTTATTGATTTTGGATGATGAGAGCCAAAGCACATTATTGATCAATTCTAGAAGCTAAAATTAGTAGCTGAAGGGAGTGGACAAATGACTCCTTTTCTGTTGGGAGTAAGGGTAAGGAGGTGGCAGGACCTTCAGACCTTCTCTCATTTTTGCCTCCTTCGGCTCTTCCCTCCTGCAGGTAGGCAAGATGTTGACAGGGCGGGCTGGGCTGATCCATCAATTCCACTCTCCACTTCTGCTCAACATAATTTATATTGGTGATACATTTGTAGCCACCGTCTTTGCCATGTTACTGCCTACTATGCCTGTATTAGTCCATTCTCACCTTGCTATAAAGAACCACCAGAGGACTGGGTAATTTATAAAGAAAAGAGGTTTAATTGGCTCATGGTTCTGCAGGCTGACAGGAAGCATGGTTGGGGAGGCCTCAGGAAACTTGCAAACATGACGGAAGGGGAAGGGGAAGCAGGCACATTTTCACATGGTGGAGCAGGAGAGAGAGAGCAAATGTGGAAGTGCTACACACTGTCGAACAGCTAGATGTCTTGAGAATTCACTCACTATCATGAGATCAAGGGGGAAATCGCCCCATGATCCAATCACCTCCCACCAGGTTCCTCCCCCAACGTTGGGGATTATAATTCAACATGAGATTTGGGTGGGGACACAGAGCCAAATTATATCAGTGCTTCTATCATTTTGGATGCTTCAGGTGTTTTTCAGCAACTAGAACAAACACAAATTAACATATGTGTATAATATCCTGGGGTAATTTCAATGCAAAGAATGATTGTTCTCTTAAGTACTTGTCCAAGACATTATGGATCAGTTTAACATTTTCTTCTTCTTCAAGAAATCAGACCTCATGCCCAAACTCTGCCAGTAAGTGATTCTCAAAAGGCAGTTTAAATGTGTCCATTGATAACTATAAATCATTGTGTTTCCTTGAAGATAACATGAGTTATGCCACAATATTAAAAGCTGTGTTAAGTGGATATCTAATCCAATTAAATTATTCTGCTTTACGTTTACTCCTACACTTACTTGTAATGAATGGTTGCAAGCTGATGTATACAAAGACAGGATTGATGGAGGATTGAGGGGTTTCCCTAGACTTGAGACTTTCAGTGCTAAAACTGGGAAATTCCCAGGTAAACCAGGACTTGTTGGCAACACCAGATTACACAGTACATTGATTTGTAGCACAAAGCCAAAGAGGCAGGTTTCTGAATTCATTCTGACTCCACTGCTGTGGGCCAGTGGATGACTCAACTCTTTCCTCATTTTCCACTGTTCAAACTACTGTGAAATCTTTGTGCAAGCGGGTTCCAAATTTACCTCCAGCAGATTCAGATGTGAAAAATTAACTTCTTTACTTTGCTTACCTATTATCTAAAGTAATAGATCCAACTTTTCTCCAGAGCTTCCACCCCTACTAGGGACTAAGAAATACCTGGGTCTTCCAGGGCTAATTGGGTTGGCTTATTTTTTCTCTTGTTGGGCACAGACTCCTCTCCATTATGTTCTCCTCTTGGCTGAGACAGCATTTGCCCTGGTCTCTTCTCAGGCTGTGATAAATACAGTGCAGGCAGAGAAACTGGCTTACTGCTAAGAGGACATGAATCAGAAAATATTTAGAAAAGTTAAACTTATATTCATTCATTGTGCCAGGATAAATTTTTCATATTCAATGTGTCGGTATACATCTTTGCTCTTGGGCCAAATTCAAATATAAATATAACAACGTGGTACAAAGACATATTTTTTTTTGCTGGTGTTTTATTACTGAGTAGCTCTAGTAGAAGAAAGTGAAAACCAAGAAAGATTAGAATGAAAATTTTGGAAAGTTCTTCAACCTCAGTGGTAAATATCCTCTTCCCCGCCTTTGAGGAAGGCACAGCTGGGTTATCTGCCTGTGATCCAGCAAGCTTGCTCTTGTTATGCTGTTTCTGGATCTGGGAAGCTGGTACAGGCTCCTTTTTCTATTGCCATTGTGAAAGCATCTTGACTATAGCAGTATATCTGTTGTTACTGATAAGGAACCTTCATCTCTCTCATCAGCTGTATGCTAGTAATGTATGAGTGGTTTTAAATTCTCCTCCAATGGAATAAGTGTATGAAGTTTCACACTTCCTAGAGAATAATTTTATAAAGCCATTTCTTTAAGAGGCACATTTTTACAGTTAGTTGAATGTATTATCCCAGCAGCGACAGTTAAAGATATTTTTCAGGGGATATTCATCCTTCCTGTCATTCGTGCCCAACTGCTAAAACTGTAGATTTACATTTGGCATCTTGTGTTTCTGGCTTTTACATATTTAGCTTTCTCTTTTAGCAGGCGAGCGTCTTCCAGAGGAGATACTATATGAGTTTTGGATGCAATCATGACAAGAGGGATGCTCCTAATGACCCATTTTTCAAATGCAAATTTGATATATAGAAAACCCTTTCCTTTGTTCTCTTTGGCTCTAGAAACATTTACTACTCCTTTTTGAGACTTTTATTCTCCATTCAAAAGTTCAGTATTTGTAACTTTAAGAGTCAGATGGGGGTGACTATGAACTACATGTACTATTTGAAAGCAACTTTGTTTTCTCAATAGATAAACCCTTCACCAAGCCAATCACAGCATGTTCTGCACACATAAATTTGTGTCCAGTCATTTAATTGTGGGATGAAACAAAATTTGTCCTTAATCTTATTATTTAGTGTTTGTGAATATTTTTATTTTAAATCCAAGACTGGCATATTCATTTTCTATTGCTGTGTAACAAATTTCCACAAATTTAGAAGGTTAAAACACCACCATTAATTAGCTCGTGGTTCTGTAGGTCAAAAGTCTAGCAAAGCATGGCTGGGTTCTCTGCACAGGGTCTAAAGTGCCTTCCTATTGGGATGTTTTGGGAAGAATCGGTTTCCAAGCTCATTCAAGTTGTTGGTAGAATCCAGTTCCCTGTGGCAGTAGGACTGAGGTCTTGTTTTCTCACTGGCTGTCGGCTGGAGGTCACTCTCAGCTTCTAGAGGTTGCTTTTAGTTTCCTTTCACATGACCTCTTCTACCTTCAAAGCCAGCAGTGGCAGTACATTGAGTCCTTCTTATGTTTGAATCTCTGACTTCTTCTCCCATCAGCTGGAGAAAATTCTGATTAAGTTAGCCCCATCTGGACCATCTCCTTTTCTTAAACTTAACTGTGCCATATAACAAAACTTAATTGTGAGAGTAATATTTCATCATATCACAAATTCCACCCTTTCCAAAGGGCAGGGCTTATAGAAGGGCGAATGTTATTGCAGGGTCATCTTAGAAGTCTGCCAGCCCCAGCTGGTGATAATGATTAAAAATGATGATCAGTTTCTTGTGCATTGAAATAAATCTCTTGAGTATAGAGATCAGCTGTTCAGAATATGGTAATAGGAATAAAATGTTTAATTTTTATAAAGTAGAAAGGCACCATTACATTCTCTCCATAGAATAAGAGAGAGAACTAGAGAAAGGCAAGATCAAAGAAAAAAAAATTGCTGAAGGAGTGATAAACTTCTGATGTGTGATTTTTCTATATTAATTTTATGATCTTGGAGCTTACAAAAATAATGCATGTCTACTTTGTACTCTTTGTGCTTACCTCTTTGAGCTGAGACAGGTAACTTGAACTCTGGTCTCTTGGCTCTTACCTGAACTTAGAGACCCTGGACAGCCTGGTCTTCATTTGGTTCATGAAGATAATTGTAGTTCACTTTCTTAAAGATAGCAACCTTGAGGACCTGTCTCACTCTAGGATGTAGGTACTTAGATGTGACTGAGATGTGAAGGATCCACTCACTTGTGCAGGATGGAAGACGTGTGGTTTGAGGTGTTTAACAGATGCATATTGTATTTCCTCTCAGGGTCTTCTCTAGTCCAGGAAACTGACTGGCTCTCTGGACTGTTGTTGGATCTCAGGCAGTTTCTATGGGTGGCAGGCCCTTCTCCCTCCTCCATCTGGAAAAGGGAAAACTTCAGACTTAACTAAAAATTTTCGTCTCTTTCCAAATCATATGTATGTTGGAAGCAGAACCTAAATGCAAGTCTATTTACAAAGCCATTAATATGTGATGGGTAGGATAGCAAGGTCGCATAGAGGAAGAAGACTTTTCTTAGTCCATCCGTGATACAGGAGTTCCAGAAGAATGTTCAAAGCACTTAATTATTTCAAACTTCAATCATCTTCTGTAATCCCCACAGAGAATCCTCCTGGAGTGGAGAATTGGGAGAGGAGGTGGGCTTTGGCTTTCCCTCCTTTCGTCCCCCTTGTTACCAGCTTTCTTTTTCTCAGCCCCTAGAGGAGCTTTCCTCCTCAAGACTCCCAGTCTCTCTTGCCACACTCCTTTCAGTTCCTTCAGTTTTAAACTGTCTGCTTCCTCATCCTTCTTGCCAGCTTTCAATCATTCTGTTTAATTTTCATTTTTTGTTTTCTTAGTTGGAACTCTGGAAGGCTGAAGATCCATGAAGATAGGGGAGGGGATTAAAAAAAGTAATTTGCTGATCTCTGGTCAGACATTTATAAGATAATCAGAGGTTTACACTGCCAATGGAGGCTTAGCAAAATTCTTGTATACCATTTTTACATTTATAGAGCCACTGATTCTTCTCAGTGTGATTTGAGTTATTCTTTTTGGTTACTCAGCACATGCCCAGTCCTACCAATGAGTTGTTTTGGGCTTTTGTTGGGAATAGTATGTAAGTTTTTCTACTCACAAGCTGTTTCAATAACTGGGCAAACATCAGCTTTAGTGTTAATGTCTGTGGTTTTAATCCTCCTTGGAGTTGGGAACACCATTTTATTTACAAAAAAACTTTGGTTTCCAAAAGTTAATTCACATTTTGCATGGACCATTGGATGATACCATTCAAATGGTCAATATTTTTTTAATATGAGATGATAGTTGATATCAAACTACCATGATACTTAATTTCCCTTATAAATATTTAAATGAGTGATAGTTAACAAGTCTGATTTTAAAAAATATCAATACTTATATGCTGGATGTTGTATCTTTTGCACTATTTAAACTTCTGCAGAAAAATGTATGACTGGGTACGTTGTTTTTCAAATTTCTGTTAAGGTATATGTGAAAAATAAGTTTGAAGACCATCACCATATATAAATACAGCCGGATGGTATCTTAAAGACCCTTCAGTTAATAAAAGACCCTTGAAGACCCTAAAGTCCCAAGTCCAAATTTTGTCCTACATATGAGGCATCTGGTCTACTTTCTGGGCTTACTCCACAATGTCCCTTCCAACCTTTAGTTCCACTGTTAAGAAAGAGATATAAATAAAACTCCAATTATCTACATATTTGACCCATGATTTACTAACAGTAACAAAAAGGCAACGTTTCTTATGGAACTTGGCAAGAATATAGGGGAATGGCTTAATTTACCTAAGAAAGGAGACATTTTATCAATTTCTCCCATTTTTGATTAAATGAAACTGTCTCTATTTAGAGAATTCCCTAAAACTGAGAATGTTAAAGTTGGCCATATAAACCCTTAGGGCTTCTCAATGTCCAGGATAAATATGATTCTTCTTCCTGGTGTATCAATTTCACTTGACGCAAAGCTTCTGTTTTTGTTTTAATGCTTCAATCTCTTTACTTTTATTTTGTTTAATAAGTAACTCGATTTTTTCATTATTTTTCAACTTACCACAAATAATGCATGCCTATTTCAGAGAAGTCAGGACATGAAATCAAAAGATCTTTCTTTTAAAATTAATTTTTATTTTAATAGGTTTTTTGGGAACAGGTGTTATTTGGTTACATGAACAAGTTATTTAGTGGTGATTTCTGAGATTTTGGTGCACCCATCACCCAAGCAGTGTACCCCATACCCCAATATGTCATCTTTTATCCCTCACCTCCCTCCCCACCTTCCCTCCGAGTCCCCAAAGTCCATTGAATCATTCTTGTGCTTTTGCGTCCTTATAACTTAGCTCTCAATTATAAGTGGGAACCTACAATGTTTGGTTTTCCATTCTTGAGATATTTCATTTAGAAGAATAGTTTCCAATTCCAACCATGTTGCTCTAAATGCCATTATTTCAATATTTTTTTATGGCTGAATATTATTCCATGGTATATATATACACCACGTTTTCTTTATCCACTCATTGATTGATGGGCATTTGGGCTGGTTCCATATTTTTGCAATTGCAAATTGTGCTGCTATAAACATGCGTGTGCAAGTATCTTTTTTGTACAATGTTTTCTTTTCCTCTGGGTAGATACCTAGTAGTGGGATTGCTGGATCAAATGGTAGATCTGCTTTTAGTTCTTTAAGGGTTGCCACACTGTTTTCCACAGTAGTTGTGCTAGTTTACATTACCATCAACAGTGTAAAAGTGTTCCCTTTTCACCACATCCATGCCAATATCTATTACTTTTTTATTATGGCCATTCTTGCAGGAGTGAGGTGGTATCACATTGCGATTTTGATTTTCATTTCCCTGATAATGAGTGATGTGGAGCGTTTTTCCTTATGATTGTTGGCCATTTGCGTATCTTCTTTTGAAAATTGTCTATTCATGTCCTTAGCTCACTCGTTAATGGGCTCATTTGGTTCTTTCTTGCTGATTTGTTTCAGTTCTTTGTAGATTCTGGATATTAGTCCTTTGTCAGATGTATAGATTGTGAAGATTTCTCCCACTCTGTGGTTGTCTGTTAACTCTGATGATTATTTATTTTGCTGTGCAGAAGCTTTTTAGTTTAATTAAGTCCCATCCACTTATCTTTGTTTTTGTTGCATTCGCTTTTGGGTTCTTGGTCATGAAATCTTTGCTGAAGGCAATATCTAGAAGGGTTTTTCCAGTGTTATCTTCTAGAATTTTCACGGTTTCTGGTCTTAAATTTAAGTCTTTGATTCATCTTGAGTTGATTTTTTGTATAAGGTGAGAGATGACAGTCCAGTTTTATTCTTCTACATGTGGCTAGCTAATATACCCCAGCATCATTTGTTGAATAGGGTGTCATTTCCCCAGTTTATGTTTTTGTTTGCTTTGTCAAAGATCAGTTGGCTGTAAGTGTTTGGCTTTATTTCTGGGTTCTGTATTCTGTTCCATTCATTGATGTGTCTATTTTTATACCAGTACCATGCTGTTTTGGTGACTATGGACTTCTAGTATAGTTTGAAGTCAGGTAATGTGATACCTCTAGATTTGTTCTTTTTGCTTAGTCTTGCTTTGGCTGTGAGGGCTCTTTTTGGTTTCGTATGAATTTTAGAATTTTTTTTCTAGTTTTGTGAAAAATGATGGTATTTTGATGGGAATTGCATGGAATTTGTAGATTGCTTTTGGCAGGATGGTCATTTTCACAATATTAATTCTACCCATCCATGAGCATAAGATGTGTTTTCATTTGTTTGTGTCATCTATGATTTCTTTCAGCAGTGTTGTGTAGTTTTCCTTGTAGAGGCCTTTCACCTCTTTGGTTAGGTATATTCCTAAGTATTTCACTTTTTTTTGCAGCTATTATAAAAGGGGTTGGGTTCTTGATTTGATTCTCATGTTGATTTCTTTTGGTGTATAGCAGAGCTTCTGATTTGTTTACATTAATTTTGTATCCTCAAACTTTGCTGAATTTATTCGCCAGTTCTCGGAGCTTTGTGGATGAGTCTTTAGGATTTTCTAGGTATACAATCATATCATCAGCAAACAGTGACAGTTTGTCTTCCTCTTTATCAATTGGGATGGACTTGATTTTTTTTCACTTGTCTGATTGCTCTGGCTAGGACTTCCAGTACTATGTTGAATAGAAGTGGTGAAAGTGGGCATCCTTGTCTTGTTCCAGTTCTCAGTGGAGATGCTTTCAACTTTTCCCTGTTCAGTGTAATGTTGGCTGTAGCTTTCTCATAGATGGGTTTTATTACCTTAAGTTATGACTCTTCTATGCCGATTTTGCTGAGGGTTTTAATCATAAAGGATGCTGGATTTTGTCAAATGCTTTTTCTTCATCTATTGGGATGATCACGTGATTTTTGTTTTTAATCCTGTTTATGTGGTGTATCACATTTATTGACTTGTGGATGTTAAAAGATCCCTGCATCACTGGCATGAAACCCAGTTGATCATGATGGATTATTTTTTCAATATGCTGTTGGATTCAGTTAGGAAGTATTTTGTTGAGAATTTTTCATCTGTTTTTATCAGGGATATTGGTCTGTAGTTTTCTTTTTTGGTTATGTCCTTTCCTGGTTTGGGTATTAGGGTGATTCTGGTTTCACAGAATGATTTAGGGAGGATTCCCTCCTACTCCATCCTGTGGAATGGTGTCAATAGGATTGGTACCAATTCTTCTTTGAATGTCTGATAGAATTCAGCTGTGAATCTGTCTGGCCCTAGACTCTTTTTTTTGAAAATTTTATTTTTTATTTAATTTTAATTAATTAATTAATTTTTTTTGAGACAGAGTTTCACTCTTGTCATTCAGGCTGGAGTGCAATGGCACGATCTTGGCTCACTGCAACCTCCACTTCCAGGTTCAAGTGATTCTCCTGCCTCAGCCTCTGAGTAGCTGGTACAGGTGCCCACCACCATGCCCAGCTAATTTTTGTACTTTTAGTAGAGATGGGTTGGCAATTTTTAAATTATCATTTCAATCTTGCTACTTGTTATTGATTTGTTCAGAGATTCTATATCTCCCTGGTTTAATCTAGGATGTTTGTATATTTCCAAGAATTTAACCATCTTCTCTGGATTTTCTAGTTTATGCACATAAAGGTGTTCATATTAGCCTTGAATAATCCTTTTTATTTTTGTGGTATCAGTAGTAACATCTCTCATTTTGTTTCTAATTGAGGTTATTTGGATCTTCTCCTTGTTTTTCTCACTAATGGTCTATCAATTTTATTTATCTTTTCAAAGAATCAGCTTTTTGTTTAATTTATCTTTTGTATTTTTTTGTTTCAGTTTCATTTAGTTCTGCTCTAATGTTTGTTATTTCTCTTCTTCCACTGAGTTTGGGTTTAGATTGTTCTTGTTTCTTCACTTCTGTGAGGTATGACCTTAGGTTGTCTATTTTTGCTCTTTCAGACTTTTTGATGTAGGCATTTAATGCAATGAACTTTCCTCTTAACACTGCTTTTGCTGTATCCCAGAGGTTTTGCTAAGTTGTGTCACTATTATTGTTCAGTTCAAACAATTTTTTAATTTCCATCTTGATTTCATTGTTGACCCAATGATCATTCAGGAGCAGGTTATTTAATTTCTATGTATTGGCATAGTTTTGAGGGTTCCTTTTGGAGTTAACTTCCAATTTTATTCCACTGTGATCTGTGAGAGTACTTGATATAATTTTGATTTTCTTAAATTTACTGAGATTTGTTTTGTGACCTCTAATACAGTCTATATTGGAGAATGTTTCATGTAGTCACGAATAGAATGTATATCCTGCAGTTGTTGGGTAGAATGTTCTGTAAATATCTATTAAGTCCATTTGTTCTAGGGTATAGTTTAAGTCCATTCTTTCTTTGTTGACTTTCTGTCTTGATGACCTGTTTAGTGCTGTCAGTAGAGTGTTGCAGTCCCCCACTATTATTGTGTTGCCAACTGTCTCATTTCTTAGGTATAGTATTAATTGTTTTATAAATTTGGGAGCTCCAGTGTTAGGTGCATACATATTTAGGATTGTAATATTTTCCTGTTGGACTAGTCCTTTTATCAATATATAATGTCCCTCTTTGTCTTTATAAACTGCTGTTGCTTTAAAGTCTGTTGTGTGTGATATAAGAATAGCTACTCCTGTTTGCTTTGGTGCCTATTTGCATGAGATATCTTTTTCCACCCCTTTACCTTAAATTTATGTGAGTTCTTGTGTGTTAGGTGAGTCTCCTGAAGACGGGAGAAACTGGTTGGTGAATTCTTATCCATTCCGCCATACTGTATTTTTTAAGGTGGGGCATTTAGGCCATTAACATTCAACGTTAGTATTGAGATATGAGGTACTATTCTTTTCATGTGCTATTTGTTACCTGAATACCTTGGCTTTTTTTTTATTGTGTTATTGTTATGTAGGTCCTGTGAGATTTATGCCTTAAGGAGGTTCTATTTTGGTGTATTTTGAGGAGTTGTTTCAAGATTTAGAGCTTCTTTTAGTAGTTCTCATAGTGCTGGCTTGGTAGTGACAAATTCTCTCAGCATTTGTTTGTCTGGAAAAGACTGTGTCTTCCCTTCATTTATGGAGCTTAGTTTCGCTGGATACAAAATTCTTGGCTGATAATTGTTTTGTTTAAGGAGGCTAAAAATAGGACCCTAAACCTTTCTAGCTGTAGGGTTTCAACTGAGAAATCTTCTGTTTCTCTGATTTTCCTTTATAGGTTACCTTTATAGGTTTTCCTTTATAGGTTACCTTTATAGGTTTTCCTTTATAGGTTACCTGATGCTTTTGCCTCACAGCTCTTAAGATTCTTTTCTTCATTTTGACTTTAGATAACCCGATGACTATGTGCCTAGGCAATGATCTTTTTGCAGTGAATTTCCCAGGCATTCTTTGAGATTCTTGTATTTGGATGTCTAGATATCTAGCGAGGCCAGGGAAGTTCTCTTCAATTATTCCCTCAAATATGTTTTCCAGACTTTTGGATTTCTCTTCTTCCCTGGGAACACCAATTATTCTTAGGTAGGATGCTTAACATAGTCCTAAAATTCTTGGAGCCTTTGTTCATTTTTTAAAATTCTTTTTTCCTTGTCTTTGATGAATTGGGCTAATTCAAAAGCCTCGTCTTCCAGCTCTGAAGTTCTTTCTTCTGCTTATTCACTTCTATTGCTGAGTCTTTCCAGTGCATTTTGCATTTGTCTAAGCATGTCTTTTACTTCCAGAAGTTGTGATTGTTTTTTATTTATGGTATTTCACTGAAGAATTTTCCTTTCATACCCTATATGATGCTTTTGATTTCTTTAAGTTGGAGTTAACTCTCTGGTGCCTTCTCGATTAGCTTAATAATTGACCTTCTAAATTTTTTTTCTGGCAATTCAGAAATTTCATCTTGGTTTGGATCCATTGCTGGTGAACTGGTGTGATCTTTTGGGGGTGTTGAAGCACCTTGTTTTGTCATATTACCAGTATTGTTTTTCTGGTTCCTTCTCATTTAGGTCGGCTATGTCAGAGGGAGGTTATGGGACTCAAGGGCTGCTGTTCAGATTCTTTAGTCCCACAGGGTGCTCCCTTGATGTGGTGTTCTCCTCCTTCCCCTTGGAATGGAGCTTCCTGAGAGCTGAATTGCAGTGATTGTTTTTGTTCTTCTGGGTCTAGCCATCCAATGGAGCTACTGGTCTCTGGGCTGGTACTGGAGAGTGTCTGCAAAGAGTCCTGTGATGTGAGCTGTCTTCAGGTCTTGCAGCAGTGGATACCAGCATCTACTCTGGTGGAGGTAGCAGGGGAGTGAAGTGGATGGACTCTGTGAGGGTCCTTGGTTGTATTTTTGTTTAGTGTGCTGGTTTTGTATTGGTTGGCTTCCAGCCAGGAGGTGGCACTTTCAAGAGTGCAGCACCTGTGGTACTATAGGAAGGAAGTAAACTTGCCCTAGGGTCACCTGGTTAAGTATTCAAGTTTCTCAGGTGGTGGGTAGGGCCATAGAGCTCCCAAGAGAGCTCTATTATGTCCTTTGTCTTCAGCTACCAGGGCAGCTAGAGAAAGACCACCAGGTGGGGGCAGGGATAGTTGTGTCTGAGCTCAGTTTCTCCTTGGGCAGGGCTTGCTGCAGCTGCTGTGAGGGATGGGGGTGTGGTTCCCAGTCCAGTGGAGTTATGTTCTCACAGGATTTATGGCTGCCTCTGCTGAGTCACACAGGTCACCAGGGAAGTTGGAGAAAGCTGGTAGTCACAGGCCTTGCTGTGCTTCCATGTGTCCTGCAGTCCTAAAGGCTAGTCTCACTCCCACCATGCCCCCACAACAGCACTGAGTCTAGTAGGGCAGCCAGTGACCAGGGCTGAGAACTTGCTGCAGGCCACCAGCCTCCCCACTGAGAAAGCAAGCCAACTCACCATTTTTCAATGTCTCAAGGAATCTGCAGTGGTGATACAGTTCCTTCAAAGGGTTATGGGTTCTCTCAGTTTTCCTGGTATGTTGGTGTCATTCTTAGAGCAAAAGTTCACTATGTGAGTCTCCGCACACTGCTTTGTCTGTCCAAGTGGGATCTGCAAGCTAGTTCTTCCTCCTATCTGCCATCTTCCAATAGATCTCCAAAGCTTCCTAAATACTAAATTAAGCCTAGACATATTGTAAAATAGGATGCAAGGTGTATAATAAAAATCAAAAGATATTATACAAGATTTCTAGGACATTTTGAAATCATAGTAAGATCTAGAAGCCATGCCTCCAAGATCCTTGAGTGTATGAGTTTATTCTTTACTATTAGAAGGTCTTCAGTGAAAATTAAGAAGCCTCTTCAAAGAGCTTCACCTGTTTAAGGTGGTCCTTGCTGCTGTGAGGAAAGAAAGAATCCCAGACATCATCAATGCCTACATTTTATATTGCACAGATGTTGCCCTTGTCATTTGATCATGTCACTGGCCCTTTTCCTGAAGACTTTCTGGATATGGTGTTTGAGAGGAGGTTGCAGAGTTTGCAGAAGTTCTGGAGGGTTTTTTCTCCCCTGGCTGACATTCAAAGAGAATTTTTTTTTTTTTTTTGCTTGGGTTACAAGAAGGTTGATATCTCATTAACAGTGATGACAGATTGCAGGGGCTCTAAGACAGCCTCATGCCAACTTTGAAACAACCAATATGTTTATGAAATCATTTAATCCATAATTACGGCATGTAATGAAAGGGACTGGTAGCTTGGCATTGGCATTTACAAGATGGTCACCATGATATGTTTCTATGAATTACAGATTCAGCAATGTGTGTAGTTTATGAGCAATGAGAGAAAATGATCCATCTGGCCAGTTTCTGAAACTTGTTGAGGCAAGAGTAATGTCTTTAATCAATCCAAAAATAAAAATTATACTATTGAGTTATTTTGCTGTTCTGCAAAATATATTAGTTAGTGTCATATTCCTCTGTTCCTTAGCATTTCCTCAGGGATTTGAGAAACAGAGGGGGCAACACTCTTCAGTTTTGCTGATTATAAATTTGTTAATTTGCAAAGATGTGACAGATGTGGTACAATTATTTTTCTGTTGCAATTCAGAGACAACAGAGCCAGGGCTTTGAGTGTACTGCTTGCACTGACTTTGAAAAATTACTTGAGTTACCTTTTATTGGTTAAGTCTAGAGCCACAATTTGGCCCTAAATAAGACTGCAGACAGAGCGTCTGTGAGATTTCTATGAACTCTAGGTTTTTCTATCACTTTTCATGGTAGAATGCAACCCCTCTCTGAACTCTTGCTGCATTGATCTCTGTTTCAGTGGGTCATTAACTGTGCTCACAAGCTATTTATTCCTTTTTGAGCACCTTAGAAAGCCCTCATGTGTCAGCCTTTATAATCACAGGTATGTGTTATGTTTGGGTTTACAAGTCAATATATATTTAACAAATTCATGTTTACCATGACCTTTGGTGTTTTTATTTGGAAGGCGATGATAATAGTATTAATACTTACGGTGGTCATGAGGATTAAATGGTCAGCAAGTGTGAAGCACCAGCACATTGATGCTTAGTCACTGTCAGCTTGAGTGCCTTCTTTCCATCACTGTACATATCCGGCAGGTCCTCTCAGGGCAGGGAAGGGGTCCTGCATGTAACTGAGACTCCCTTGGTTTTTATGGGTGTGGGGTGATGCCCAGACTTAATCAAACCAAGACTGTGAACTTGTACATTGAGCATCAACAGAACCAGACAAGTATTAGCTGACTATCATTGTTGTATGGGTTACGTACACATTTTCTATTAATATTTCATATTCTTTAAAAATCCACATTTTGAGGAAGAAAGTTATAATTTTGTCTGTTGAATTTCAGCTACTCTTATGGCCCTCAGGTACACTGCTCTTTGCATTTTATCTATATGATTCTGCTAGATTTTAGTATTAGAGCTAAGATGTGTGTATTAAAGATGCTGTCTGTGGGTAGCCAGAATTCATAGGGGTGGTAGGCTTGGCACTGGAAACCAAATCTGTTTCTTCTACACCTGCCTCACCATTCTCTAATTGTCTATTTGGGGGATGTTTGAGTGATTTGGGCTGGATCACATGTGGCCAGGCGATCTGCAGATAACGCATTTTTTTTTTTTTGAAACAGGGTATCTCTCTGTCACCCAGGCTGGAGTGCAGTGACGCTATTATAGTTCACTGCAGCTTCAACCTCCCAGGCTCAGTCAATCCTCCCACCTCAGCTTCCCAAGTAGCTGGGACTATAGTCGTGCAACACCATGCCTGGCTAATTTTTTAAGTTTTTGTAGAGATGAGGTCTTCTATGTTGCCCAGGCTGGTCTTGAACTCCTGAGTTCAAGTGATCCTCCAACCTCAACCTCCCAAAGTGTTGGGATTACAGGCATGAGCCACCATGCCTGGCTTGGAGATAACACTTAATAAACTTTAGTATGACCTCAGTATTCATGAATACTTTTCATTCCAGCATAAGATAATGTCTAATAGTCATGACCTAGTTCTGGAGTTTATAAAAATATTAGGTCAATTGATATTTTTAGAAAGAGCCACTTCCTCTGTTATTCTTAGAGAAATAACTATGATGTCAGCACAGATAGTATGATAAATATGTTCATTGTAGCTCTGTTTATAATAACAACAACAAAGATTGTAGTTATGCATAATTGTTATTGAGATATCAATCTCTTTGGAACCTATGCAAGAAAAATTATTCCACTTCTCCTTGTCAGTCTAGAAGAAAATCCTGTGAAACCACATCAGCCCTGCAAACTTCTGGCAGGCACAACATCTGGAATACCTCATGAAAATGGTCAGTGGAAGGGGCAGAGGAGAAAGGGCTGCATCTATAGAGTATGAAAGTTACTCCTGGCCCAATAGTAACCCCCTTTAATGATAGAAAACAACCATAGAGGCATGTCTCTCTGACGTTCTCAGTAATAACTGCAAGAATAAATGTCTACACCTACGTGTTGAGGAGGTAATGTGAGGGTGGTCTAGAGTCAAGCTGATATTTTCCACCTGAATTTAAAGATTTCCTAGAGGTCTTAGATTTTATCTTTAAATATTAATATACATTCTGTATTTTACTCCACAGTAATCCATCCTTTATTCTAATATATAAGAAATTTGAAGTTACTGCTTTTAAGTGAATTTGATGCCCCAAGAAACTCTGCTGTTTATTTTGGGCTTTAAGGAGCCTATTACCTTAAAGTTTAATACCTGAAGTTGGGTGCAATTTCTCTTTTGTTAGACATACTCTCTGTCACTTTATCTTAGAAATAGGTGCTCTGATGATTCCTGAGGAAATGGTAGCTCCTGATGAGGAGGTAATGCCAGATATGCAGCTTCCTTGGAGGTGAAGGGGAGCCCCCAAGAGTAGATGAAGAGATGAAGAGGGAGGATGGGGGTTGCTCTCAGGAGCACGGAGGCAACATGTCATACACACAGTGGCCTGGGTCCTGTTGAGGTCCAGCCTACTCAGCTCTGCCATAGCAAGAACATGGCCACTCTCACTGAAGCCAGGCATGGACCTTGGAAGAGAATCTGATTCTGGGAAATGAGGTGGGTGCAGCACAGATAATATGTAAGGATCAGTTCACCATTCTGGCTGTAATAACAGATGGAATGAGGAGAAACAGGACTTCTGTAATAACATATGGAATGAGCAGAAACAGGACATAGTCCAGGTATGTAGGGCTGTCTTGAAGGCAGTAAGAAAGCAGGGCTCAGTCTGTGTGTCACTTGGGGCCAGAGAAGAATTTCTCTCTTGGTTCTGGATACCTCAATGGAATAGAAAAACCGAAGCACTCAGGAGACCCTTACACAGGGGACCAGATGGGCAGGCTGGCCTTTGCTGGAGGATGGGATACCATCCATTTTTTGTGTAAAATCAGGGTTTCCTACTTTAAAATGAAGATCTGGAAAAGATGATTTCCCAACTCCATTGGCTGTTGACAGCCTCTGGATTTGTCTGATGTTAGGAGAACTAATCAGGATGGCATTAGGACTGAGATCAGGAACTGATGCTGTGTGCAAGGACTAATGAGGGCCAACAGAAAGGGGAAGAGGAGAGAACCAATATTAAAAGCATGAGCACAATCTTATAGGCAAAGGAGTTTGAGAGTAATCACTAGCCAAGAAGTAATAAAAAGATTACTCATAAGTGACATTTGTGGCTGTCTGTGTTGTCAAAAATATGTGCGAGTTGGCAGAGCTTTTAGCATACTTTCAGCTTGGTCAACATTTGGTTAAGACTAAAACTGTTCGGGCATAGATTTACTGTGAATGAGTCACACACAAATGAATGAGTTTGAAAAGGGGTTTAGGATTTTTCAGATGTTGATAGTTCATAGAATGGCTTGATCTTTCAAGGAGGTAGATAATTCTTCACTTTTTTTTTAATAAGAAGAAAAATGTGGGTTCCTTTTTAAGTTCCCATCCCTTATTGCTATAATTTTTAACATAAAACATATTTAGACAACTAATGATGAGAAAAAATGAGATGCATGAGGTAGGCAGTCAGAGTCTTAGGAATTCATGATTTCGTGAAATTCCTTTGAAGTCTCATAATTGCATTTCTCAATATTACATAAGAAAACTGGCTATGCAAAAAGATGCGAGAATTCTGAAGTTTTTTAGATGTAAGATAAACATTCAAATACTGTATATGACACTACGTAAAATAGTATATTTTGTTTCTAAGTCTTATGTAAAAGATTCATTTAACTAAAAATGGGATTTTTTTTGAGACAAGCATGAAAAAAAATTGTACATAAGTTCCTTGATGCTCATTGTGAATGTCTAACTGAACAATTTTCTGTGTTTTCACATTTCATTCTTTAGAAATCTAGCATCTGATTCCAGGATAAACACTGTAACCTTTATTGAGCAGAAATATTTGATGGTCCTGAAACAGCTTTCATTCTCCTCTGCAAGAGACGTCTGCTGGATGTACAGACTTTCCAGCTCACCTCTCTCAGGGCTGGCTTAAATTTGGAGAGTATGAACCATATTCCCTAAAGAAAGGTTCAAATTATATAGTTTCCTCTTTTTGCTTTCTGTAGGAAGCCAGTAAATTGCTTGTTCTGCTCTGATGTTGTGGGGAGAGGCATCATCATTGTCATTATTGTGATCATAACATCAACCTTCATAATTTTAAAAACTGGACAGATTTGTTTACTCATATGTTTATATATTGATGTAGTCTTGTGATATATGTTGACTGGTCACAAAATCAGCTTTAAGTAGTTGCTGACATCATAGGGATGATGAAAGTGTCAGGCAATTCTGCAAGCACACCAAGAGAAATATGATTGGCGCAAGGCAGAAGTCTTGAGCCAGCTCAAATGCTTTCTAAACATAAGCGGATAAATACAAGCAAACAAACAAGAGTCATAGTAGCACGAGATGTACAAAAACAAAACAAAACAAAACAAAAAACAACCCAGGGTTCTAACAGAGATAGGAAAGGTGACAGTTTCATAATATTATGTGGGGGAAACCAACTCTTAAAGTTTTTGCTAAGTAGCTGATTAATGTCACATTTAAAAAACCCAAAGAATAATTCTGCCTGAGATTGTTGCTGATATTTTCATTGTGTCAATATTTTGCTATTTCCATGCTCAAAAGAAAGCCATCTTTTAATAAACCAAAGCTACTTCCCACACTTCAATTTCAATTTGTCTTGCTCTCCTATAAATAAGATGTGACCTGAGTACTGTACCAGGAGTGAGTTTTAGCTAGAATTGAGCTTTAACACAGTCATTTGCTGCATAGCTTTTCACAAGGTAATCTTTCTGAGCCTCAGATTCTTCCTGTATACAATTACTGTTTGGTTTATAGGGTTGATTACGTGGATCAAATGAGATACAAAATGTAAAGCATTTGGAAATCTCAAACAGTATTCACACATGAGTATTCACACATAATTATTTGTCTATTCTGGTAGATAGATATTTTTAACATTCCTTATTATTCCACTTAAAAATTTTCTTGAATATTCTCCAGATTAATTTGAAATTATTTGGTTAATTTTTCCAAAATATTTGTTTCTACATTAGAGTATGTTAAATTTGTATGTTAATTTGGGAAGGATTGACATCTTGACCACAATAAGTGTTTTAATTTAGTAACATGACATATTGATCACTTTTATATCTAATGATACAATTTTTCTGCTTATTTATTTTATACTTGAAATTGATAATCTTTGTTTTTAAACTGGAAATTTAATTCATTTACATTTACTATATGTACGGATGTATCTGAGTTTAAATGTGCTATCATATTTTGTATTTTTTATTTGTTATAATCATTGTCCTATCCCCTATTTTTTCTTTAAGAATATTTAAAATTCCATTTTCTCTTACTTAAAAGTGATAGAGTGTTTCTGTTCTTTTGGTGGTCACTCTAAAAATCATTACTTTATCAAATTCTAAACAATACTGTTAGCTTATTCCAGAAAAAACAAGAACCTGAGAAAACTTTAACTCTGCTTACCTGACTGATAGTGTTATAAGAAATATTGAACACTTCTCATCCCTCATTGCACATTTTCTTAATCCTCTCACCTCCTTCTTGTGGGAACCGGCTCAGCACTCATGCACTCATAGTCTGAATGCATGAGTGTGAGGAGGCTAATGATCATTTAGGGACAGAAGCTACTGAATTATTACTCCTGTTTTCTGCCCTTCACTTGCACAATTCTGTGGTGCATTCATTTTACTTCGCTTCTCAGAAAGCCTGGTGAGATTGAGATACAGTTTTTCACAGAAGAAACCTGGTCAAGAAGAATCCATCTTTTGGCTTTCTCTCCTTTCCTGTTTTGCTCTCCCTAGTCTCCTACTCTCCTCCCCTGAAAATAAATTGCATGCAAGCCTGTGTTTCAGGCTCTACTTTCCAGGGGGCATTATAGGCTAAAACACTGTGTGTTTTAGATGTATGTCTTAACTTCATGTATTGACCTTTGTTCTTCATTTCTTTTGCACATCTAGGACTGACCTGGGGAATTTTGACATTCACAATTCAGAGAGAGAAAGAGGAAATTTAAAAAGGAAATAGTAAAGAAAGAATATAAACTATCTTTATTTCCAGATGACGTGGTTCTATACATAGAAAATTCCAAATAATCCACATACACACAAAAACTACTAGAGTCAATCAATTAATTCAGCAAATTTGCAGCATGCAAGATAAACAGACAAAATTACTATACACTAGAAATGAACAATCTGAAAATAAAATTAATAAAGCAATTTTATTTACAATAGCACCCATAAGAATAATATACCCAAAATAAATTTATTCAAGAAGGAAAAATTCTTGTCCATTGAAAACTATAAAATGTTATTGAAAGAAATTGAAGACATAAATAAATGGAGAGATATCCTGTATCTAATAAATGGAAGAATAATTATTGTTAAAATATTTATGCTGCTCAAAATGGTCTATAAATTCAATATGTCCCTATCAAAATTTCAATAGCATTTTTCACAGAAACAGAAAAAAACAACTCTAAAATTAGAATGGAACCACCAAAAGCCCAGAATAGACCCAGCAATCCCGAGAAAGAAAAAGGAAGTTGAAGGTATCACACTGTCTAGTTAAAACTTATGTTACAGAGCTGTAGTAATCAAAACTATGTGGGATTGGCGTTAAAAGAGACCAGGGGACCAAAGAGCCGAGAAATAAACCCAAGTAGATACAGTCAACTACTTTTTGACCATGTCCCCAAGAACACACAATGGGGAAAAGATAATCTCTTTAATAAATGATGTAAAGAAACTGGATATCCAGATGCAAAATAATAAAATTGGATCCTTAGCTCCTAGAAGAAAAACACAATGGGCTGGGCACTGTGGCTCATGTCTGTAATCCCAGCACTTTGGGAAGCCAAGGCTGAGGAATCACTTGAGCCCAGGAGTTTGAGACCAGCCTAGGCAAATCCTCAAAATATTGAAAATATGACCCAGCAATCCCTCTTCTGGGCATATATCCATAGGAAATGATATCAATACCTAGTAAAGATATCTTCACTGCTATGTTCACTGCAGCATTACTCACAATAGTGAAGACATGGAAACAACCTAAATGCCCATCAACAGATGACTGGGTAAAGACATTGTAGAATATAAAGTGAAATGTTATTCAACTTTTACAAGAAGAAGATCCTGTAATTTGCACCAAAATTGAAGCTGGAGGACATTATGTTAAGTGAAATAAACCAGACACAGAAAGAAAAATATTGAATAATCTCTCTTATGTATGGAATCTAAAAAAGAAAATAAAAAGTCAAATATATAGAAACTGAGAATAAAAAGACTAGTTATCAGAGCCTAGATTGGAGACATGGGGTGGGGGGGGGTAAATGAAGAGATGTTGGTTAAAGAGTATAAAGTAGTTATTATGTAGGATGACTAAACCTCAAGATATAAAGTACAGCTTGAGGAATACAGTTAATAATAGTGTACTGTATACCAGGAAATTTTTAAGAGAGTATATTTTAGGTGCTCTTACTATACACACATAAGGTAACTATGTGAGTTGATGTATATTCAAAATTGTTTATCTGTAGTTATCATTTCACTAGTATATGGATATCAAAATATCATGTCATATACCTTAAATGTATATAATAAAAATAAAAGAGCCCAAAACCTCTCAAGTTAGATAATAGACTTAAGTATAAACCTTGAAACTTTAAACCTTCTAGAAGAAAAATAGTAGAAAATCTTTAAAAATATTTAAATGACCAATAGGCATATGAAAACCAAAGTGGTATATTACTACATATGTAGCAGAATGGCTAAAATGAAAAAGACTAAAAATAGTAAGTGTGTGAGAATGCAGACCAACTAGAAATGACCTACATTTTTCATAGAAATGTAAAATAGTAAAACTACTCTGCAAAACTCTGTTTCAGCTTTTCATTCTTTCAACCAAGCAATTCCACTCTTAGCTGTGTATACCCAGGAGAAAAGAGTGCATATCTTCACTAAAAGAATTATACAAGAATATTCAAAGTTATTTTGTGCATAATAGCCAAAAAGTAAACCTGTCTGCCATCTGAAAAAATGATAATAAAATTGTGTGCCAATCATACAATAAAGTATTACTTTGTCAAAATAAAATTAAACAAAAGAAAAACACAAACAAACAAATTCATGGCATACATAACCCCCCAGAGATTGAATCTCAATTGCAGATGCTGAGTAAGAGAAGTCAAAACAAAAGAGAGCATATGATATGATTCCATGTTTATGATGCATAATAAACAAAATTATGGTCCCTGCTATAGTTTAGATATTTGTGCCCTCCAAATCTTGTGTTGAAGTTTGATCCCCAATGTTGGAGGTGGCCCAATGGGAGGTCTTTGGGTCATGGGGATCCTGCAGGAATAGGTTAAGGCCTTCCCTGGAAGGGGGTAGTAAGTTCTTCCTCTTTTAGTTCCCATGAAAACTGGTTGTTAAAGAGCCTGGTACTTCCTGTCTCCCTCATGCTTCCTCTCTCACCGTGTGATCTCTGCCCATACCAACTCCCCTTTGTTTTTCACCATGAATGGAAGGAGCCTGCGGCCCTCATCGGAAGCAGATGTTGGCTCCATACTTCTTGCGCAACCTGCAGAATGGTGAGCCAACTAACCGTCTTTTCTTTATAAACTGCCCAACCTCAGGTGTTCCTTTACGGCAACACAAATGGATTAAAGACTTGGAAAATTCAGAATACATTCTTTATTCAGGGGATGAGTATCGACTAGCAAGGAGAATGTCAGAACTTTTGGGCATGGTGGAAAATGTTCTCTACCTTGATCTCGGTGGTATTACACAATGCATAATTATGTTAAAATTAATTAAGCTGTATTCTTAAGCTTTTTGCATTTTGTTTTATGCAAATTATACCTCAATTAAGAACTGTTCTTAGAAAAAAAAGATGATAAAGACTCTTGAAAAGTGACAATTGAGAGAAGTTAGGTAACAAATATTCAGTATATAAATAACAGGGATTCCTTAAGAAGAAACCAAAAGCAATGGAATAGAAGAAACACAAAAAAGCATAATGGAAAAAGATTTTGAAATTTGAAGGTTTGAAACAATATTAAAATGACACATTATTTCCCTGGGAAAATCAATCTAGAACCACAAACTGAGACTTCTTCCCACAGAAGTACTGTCACTCAATTTGATCTAATGGTACAAGGTTAGTTTTGAAGGCCAAACAGAACTGGTTTCTAATGCTTATTCCTCAACTCGCTAAATTTGTGACCTAGGAAAATTTTGTAACTTTTCTGAGTTTTTTCCTCATCAGGAGAAGGATAATAACTGTAATAAAATAGTTTATATAACAGAAAGAAATATGATCACATGACAGTGTACATGAGCCATAATTAGTTAAGAATATATGGCCGGGCACGGTGGCTCACGCCTGTAATCCCAGCTCTCAGGGAGGCAAGAGGTGGGAGGATAGCTTGAGCCCAGGAGTTCGAGACCTGCCTGGGCAATATAGCGAGACCCCGTTCTCCAGAAAAAGGAAAAAAATAATAAGCGTAAGAATATATTTACTCTGAGTTCTCTTTTACCCACTTAAAAATGTAGACAAACAATGGAAGAAAAACAGAAAAATGTTCAAAAATAAATATTCTTCCATTATTTCTAGAAAAAAGTCACAATACACTAAAAAGAGTTAGAGAGGACCTAGTTTTACTGAGCAACCTTCCTCAAACCCTGAAGCAGCTGTAATCTCTATCTAACACCAGAGATGAAAGTCTTGACTAGATCCAACCCCTCCAGTCCCCTTTGTCTAGCACTGACTGAGGAAGTCCACTCTAGCCTTAGAAAAACATGGGTTTCCAAGCATTCCTCAGAGACGCACTCAACTGTTCAGCTCTGAAGGTATGGAGGAATATGTCAAACTGGTTTGGTTGAAGGCCGGGCTGAACTACATGACCAGGCCACTCACCTGAATCAAAGTCAGTGAAAGGGTACCATTCCCCAGAGCTCTGTTGCAGGACATTGGATGCTCCAGAGAGGGGGTGGTGGGCATAGGAATATCAATCAGAAGAAACATCAGACAATGGACCCAAGGCATAATTAAATAATGTCCACCTTTCACTAAAACCCAGGAAAGTTCTCATTCAAAAACTGATATTTTAAAGAAAACCCAGGTATAAATCTTTATGACTTTGGATTAGACACTGATTTCTTAGATATACACAAACAACCCGAAGTAGATAAATTCAACTTTATTAAGATTAAAAAATTTTATACTTCAAGGGACATTATCAAGGAAGTGAAAAGATAATACACATAATGGGAGAAATATTTGCAAATCATATATCTGACAAGGGTCCTGTATCCAGAACATACAAAGAATTCTTATAACTGAGCAACAAAAAAACCAAATAACTCAATTTAACATTGGGAAAAGGGGTTTGAATAGACATTTCTCTAAAGGATACATATAAATGGCCAATAAGCACATGCAAAGATGTTTAATGTTATTTGTCAGTAGGAAAATGTAAAGCTAAACCAAAATAAGATACCACTTCATACACACTAGTATGACTAAAACAAACAAAAAAAGACAACACACATTGGGGAGATTGTGGAGAAAATGGAATTCCTGTAATTGCTAGCAGGAATATAATATGGTGTGGCCACTGAGCTTGGAATACAGTTCATTAGTTCCTCAAAAAGTTCAATATAAAGTTGTATAGGATGCAGCAATTACATGCCTAGGTATATAACCAAGAGAATTGAAAACAGATGCTCACTCAAAAACATGTAAAAATATTCAAAGGAGCATTATTCATAATAGTTAGAAAGGGGAAACATCCCAAACAATGATCACTTGATGAATAGATAAAAAATGTGGTATATGGTCCATAAAAAATGGAATATTATTTGGCCATGAAAAGGATGGAAGTACTGACACATGCCACATCAAGGATGAACCTTGAGAACATTATGCTAAGTGAAAGAAGCCAGATGCAAAAGGCCATATAATGTATTATTCCATATATGTGAAATTTCCAGAGCAATTAAATTTATATATAGAGAAAGTAGATTAGTGGTTGCTATAAAGTTATGGATTGCAAGAAGTGGAGAATGGAGAATGACTGCCAATAAGTACGGGCATTCTTTTTAACGTTACAAAAATGTTCTGGAATTAGGTAGTGGTGATGATTGCAAAACCTTTTAAATATAGTAACAGACACTGAATGGTATGCCTAAAAATGGTGACTTTTATGATATATGAATTATACTTTAGTAATAATAATAACAACATAATAACGCAAGTTGTCCTTCCACGTTTCTCTGCCCAGTATTTTCATGGAAAAATTGCATCTCGCTTTCACAGTCAGTGGCCAGAATATGATGCTGACAGCCTGTTGTGAGGAAATACATTAGATTAAAAAAAGCGTTTTTTTTTTTTGTTTTTGTTTTTGCAGAAATAAGGTATAGGTGAGAGAAACACCTACTCAGAAAGAACTGACACAATTGAATTGGAAAATGTGGAAAAGGGTGTGGGGGAGAGGGGACTACCTGAGATCTGGCTGCAGTACTTACAGTGAGGAGAACTTGGACAGGTTACAGACTCTGTGCCTTGGTTACTTCATCAACAAAACAGGGCAAAGTAAAGCTTTCCTCACAAGTCGATTGTGAAGATCACAAGTGATAATATGTAAGAAAAATCATCTCACAAACTGTAAGATTGATGATATCAGTGGGTGCCCAAACTGCCTGCACATCTGAGTAACATTGACAAATGCATTCCAGGCACCAGGTAAGGCCACTGAATCAGAATCACTGCAATGGGGTTGATGGACTTGTAGTTGCACTAACTTTCCCAGGTGTTGTTTCTTACTCTGATCAGCTTGGGGGTAGGAACCACTAAGCTGCATCACATCATCCCAAAGCCACAATACAAAAGTAAGCCAGAGCAGAACAACAGGATATGTTCATTGCAGCCTCTAAAGCCCAGAGAAACTGGGGGACTCTAAGAGACCTGGATCCTTCGGCCCCATTTTAGCTTTATCTGGAGTACAGCAGAGACACAAGCCCTTGGAGACATGTGCTTGAGACACTGACCTTCCACGTTGGAAACAGTGAAAGCCCTAGTTTCAAATTCAAACTTGCTTTGAATAGAATTTTTTTTTACCTTTTCTGCACAGTGACAAGACCGGTCTTCTCCAAGCCTCTCACCTTACAAGAAAAGGAATCGTTCGGCTAAGAATTCAAACTTCAGTAGAGATATGTAAGTAAAGAGGACTTATAAATAATCTAGCTGCCTAAGAAGAAACTAGAAAGTTAGCAAGTGCATTCATATTTCGGACAGTTGTGCTCACTAGAACAGAGGCATTCAGACATGAAGAAAAGACCCCTTAGTAAAAGAGAAGTAATTCCTTCCTGTACTAGGACATTATCTCCAACTTCAGGCAGGTGGGATCACAGCTGCCTGCTCTAGAGCATGGGTCGCTTTTGCATTTAGGATGTGTTTGACATCCTGACACCTGCACCCATTTTGGGGAGGCCAAGGGAGAGCTGGAATTGCTGGTGGTGTTGGACAGTGCATGGAGATTGTTCAGCAGGAGGAGGGTAAGTGCAAGGAGAAAGACCAGGACATGCTGAGAGACAGTGAGCAGCACAAATAGGGACAAGTGCACGATGAAAACAAAAGTTAGTGCTTCATCTTTAAAACTCAAACCAATTATTTGTTCTTATAAGTAATAAAAAGTATTTTTCTATTTACAGGAGAATTTAGTTGCAATGTAGAAATCAGAAAAACTTTAAGTCCAGGCGTGGTGGCTCACACCTGTAAGCCCAGCACTTTGGGAGGCTGAAGCAGGAGGATCACCTGAGGTTGGGAGTTCGAGACCAGCTTGACCAACATGGAGAAACCCTGTCTCTACCAAAAATACAAAATTAGCTGGGCATGGTGGCACGTGCCTGTAATCCCACCTACTCTAGAGGCTGAGGCAGGAGAATTGCTTGAACCCGGGAGGCAGATGTTGCAGTGAGCTGAGATTGTGCCATTGTACTCCAGCCTGGGCAATAAGAGCGAAACTCCGCCTCAATAAAAACAAAAAAAGAAAGAAATCAGAAAAATTTTAAGTTCAGGTGTAAAACCCTAAACCATAGCTTCAATTTAATCTTTGTAAACAGAACAGAGTAAAAACTCCATAAAACATACATTGTGCTATAAAAACCACAATGGATTATGACCTGCACCTTCCTCTAGGGTATTACACATGTACCCAGCAGATCACCAACCACCACTGACCATGACTGATCTCACCATGTTCTTTTAGTGGAAGACAATCACAGATCAATGGTATTAGGCCAACTCAAAAAAACATCTAACAAGCAATATTCCATAAAAACTGCTCATGGGCCCTGTTCTGTTTAATATATAGGGGAACTAAATGAAAACAACAAAATAGCCTCAGTTTTATAAGATTTCCCAAGATAGGTGGTCTCTGCATATTTTCAGGAGGTATGCGTAAATGATTTTGATCACTTGAAATCTTGAAAACAGCAATTGTGAATCTAGAATGACATCCATAACTGAGATGTATGAAATGGAGTATTTAGAGACATTAAAATACAAATCAGCCTACAGATAGTGGAAGAGCTTCAGCAATAAGGATGTCAAACTGGTTGTAAGTGTAGTGAAAAGCCAACATACTGCCCCAGTAAGTGAAAAGAAATCAACATAACAATGGGATGCCGCAAGAAGAATATTGAGACAATAAAGAAAACATTTTGAAAATGAATTATTCACTCACATAGTATTATATTCTGCTTTTAGTCCTACACTTTTTAGAAGACACAGAAAAAACTGCAGAAGACCCAGAAAAGCACATCATGGCAGTCTAAAACTTCCACATCTTTCACTTGTAGAAAAGCCTTCAGATCTGTTTTTACTTAAAGAGAAGGGGGGCAACTTCATCACAACAATTGAAAATAAAACCTGTTGGGAAATTATTTCTGCCATGATGATTTTATACACATAAAGGATGAACAATGAGAAATATGCTTAGATTTATTGGGAAAGAGATAGGTCTGCGGTACTGTCACAAGGGTACACAAATACCCAGAATGACAGCTGAGGGAGTGGTCCCCATCGGTGGTGACCCTCAGGGGAGATCAGGAGGCCTTGTGTTTCAGCATGGCCTAGGCAAGTAGAAGGCAGGGGCTCCAAGATGCCATGACATCCCCACCTTCTAATTCTGTAATAGCGACGGCAGACCGTTACCTGACCCACTGGGCACTACTTCCCTCACTCCCTTCAGAGTCTAAGCTACAGGCAGTGCCTTCTGCTCCAAGCTCTGGCTCCTTAAACTTTGTTTTTGTGGTTAAGGACTTTCAGGTGTTGTGGGGTGCTGATCAAGTTTTTCTGAACAGTAAGGTAAGAATTCCAGTTATAGTCATCCCTCAGTCTTGGTCAAATCTGTTTGATTTCACTAGTTTTTAACCCATCTTGGGTTGGGTTTCTTCTCCCCAGTCCCTGGCTCTACCTCTTCTGCCACAAATGTCAGCATAGCAGAATCTGTCAGCCCTTTGTCCAGTGAGAGAGCAGAAATGAACATCCTAGAAATCAACCAGGAATTGCTCTCACAGCTGAAAATGAGCGAACAGCAGTTCCGAGACCTCAAAGAGAAATTTCTTGTCTCTGAAGCTTCTGCCAGCTACAGAAATACAGTAAGTTCTTTTTTTTTTTTTTTTTTTTTTTTTTTTTTTGAGACGGAGTCTCGCTCTGTAGCCCAGGCTGGAGTGCAGTGGCGCGATCTCGGCTCACTGCAAGCTCCACCTCCTGGGTTCATGCCATTCTCCTTTCTCAGCCTCCTGAGTAGCTGGGACTACAGGCGCCCACCACCACACCGGGCTAATTTTTTGTATTTTTAGTAGAGATGGGGTTTCACCGTGTAAGTTCTGCAGGTTCACTATCACCAAAGTGATGAGTGATCACTGTCTTCTCTCTCAGAAACTAAACACTCTTTAGACCCGATTCCTCTCTTCTCTACATCAAAATAAATTTCATCCTTCCCTTACTCCCAGAAAGGTAGAAGTAGATATTTTAATCTCATTTTGCTGAGGACTGAAAAACTGGACACAAAGTGTTTAGCAACGTTTCCGCATTTGCAGTGAAGTGTAGGGTGGGGTTAGAGTTAAAATCCCAATTATTGATGCCTGATGCAGACACAAAACTTCCTGTTTTTCTCAGTAACAGCCTAAACCATTTTTACCAGGATCCTCTCTGTACCATATAAAATCCTGCAGGCAAATAACGTTTAGCCTGTTGGTGTAAATGTCTGGAACTAATGAACTTTTATTCAATTTAAGCGTCTATTGAGGCCCAATAGGCAAAGCCCCGTGCTGTCCGCACTGGGGGAAAGATGGTGATAGTTCACAGTCCCTGCTTTCCAGGAGCTTAATGAGGAGTATGCTCTGAATAGAACCTGTGGTATCCATACGTGACAGCATCAGGAGCAGGGACGACCCTGATGAGAGGGAAGTCCTGCTTCCTGGAGCACAGGCTCTTATTCCTAAAGAGGAAGAAAGGGAGTGCCCAAGACTCTGCTGAGGTAACAGTGCAGTGTGGAGAGGAGGGACCCTGGGCTAGTCTCCTGGGCTCCAATCCAAGTTGTTTGTCTTCTCTTTGTCTCAGTTTCCTTATCTGTTAATAGGGTCCTATAATAATTCCTACCTCTGTAAATTGCTGCAATGAATTACCGGAACTTGTTCTTGTAAATCTCCTGGAAGAGTCCTTGGCACAGAGTAAAAACTATTTATTAGTTATTTGTGCTACTATTTCTAATTTAACACAAACTTTATTAGCATTTGGGCATATTTTTTTCAGGGCCTTATGGTCTTATGCCTCATATTTTACTTGTGTCCAGATATGATTTTAAAAATCTCTGTGGTATTTGTGCTTGAAATTCCCAATACAAGGGAACCACCAGTCCCATAGTTCTAGAGGCCTTCCTGACTGTACAGGAAATCACTGCTTTATGTTCCAGCCTAGTGTTTTACAGGAGGCTGCAAGGCTTGGTAAAGTGGCCCATGATTTTGAGTCACACCTTAGTGGATGTGAATTCTGACTCTGCCTCATTCCAATTGAGTCATGTTTTCTAGTTATTTCATGTGCCTTTGAGTTTCTCTTTCCTCATTCACAAATTGGGGAGTATCAGCGGCCTTGTATTTGGGAGGTTGGTAAAGATATGGAGGCCCAATAGGCAAAGCTCTGTGCCAGCTGCACTGGGAGAAGTGATGGTAGCACAGAGCACCTGCTTTAAAGGAGCCTAAAGAGGAGGCTGCTCCTGCCAGAAACTGTGGTACCCGTAAGTGACGGCATCAAGTGCCACCGAGAGCTTGGTACTGGGGATCCTTGTGTCCTTGGGGTGGACCCTGACTCCTCCTGTGTCCGGAATTGGTGGGTTCTTGGTCTCACTGACTTCAAGAATGAAGCCTCGGACCCTCGCGGTGAGTGTTACAGCTCTTAAGGTGGCGCATCTGGAGTTTGTTCCTTCTGATGTTCGGATGTGTTCGGAGTTTCTTCCTTCTGGTGGGGTTCGCGGTCTCGCCGGCTCAGGAGTGAAGCTGCAGACCTTCGCGGTGAGTGTTACAGCTCTTAAGGCGGCACGTCTGGAGTTGTTCGTTCCTCCCGGTGGGTTCATGGTGTCGCTGGCTTCAGGAGTGAAGCTGCAAACCTTCGTGGTGAGTGTTACAGCTCACAAAGGCAGTGTGGACCCAAAGAGTGAGCAGCAGCAAGATTTATTGCAAAGAGTGAAAGAACAAAGCTTCCACAGTGTGGAAGGAGACCCGAGTGGGTTGCCACTGCTAGCTCGGGCAGCCTGCTTTATTCTCTTATCTGGCCCTAGCCGCATCCTGCTGATTGGTAGAGCCGAGTGGTCTGTTTTGACAGGGCGCTGATTGGTGTGTTTACAATCCCTGAGCTAGACACAAAGGTTCTCCACATCCCCACCAGATTAGCTAGATACAGAGTGTGGACACAAAGGTTCTACAAGTCCCCACCAGAGTAGCTAGATACAGAGTGTCGATTGGTGCATTCACAAACCCTGAGCTAGACACAGGGTGCTGATTGGTGTGTTTACAAACCTTGAGCTAGATACAGAGTGCCGATTGGTGTATTTACAATCCTTGAACTAGACATAAAGGTTCTCCAAGGCCCCACCAGAGTAGCTAGATACAGAGTGTCGATTGGTGCATTCACAAACCCTGAGCTAGTCACAGGGTGCTGATTGGTATGTTTACAAACCTTGAGCTAGACACAAAGGTTCTCCACATCCCCACCAGATTAGCTAGATACAGAGTGTGGACAATCAGCAGGATGTGGGTGGGGCCAGATAAGAGAATAAAAGCAGGCTGCCTGAGCTAGCAGTGGCAACCCACTCGGGTCCCCTTCCACACTGTGGAAGCTTTGTTCTTTCACTCTTTGCAATAAATCTTGCTGCTGCTCACTCTTTGGGTCCACACTGCCTTTGTGAGCTGTAACACTCACCGCGAAGGTCTGCAGCTTTAATCCTGAGGCCAGCGAGACCACGAACCCACCGGGAGGAACGAACAACTCCAGACGCGCCGCCATAAAGGTTCTCCAGGCCCCCACCAGACTCAGGAGCCCACCTGGCTTCACCCAGTGGATCCCGCACCGGGGCTGCAGATGGAGCTGCCTGCCAGTCCCGCGCCCTGCGCCCGCACTCCTCAGCCCTTGGGTGGTCGATGGGACCGGGCGCCCTGGAGCAGGGGGCGGCGCTCATCGGGGAGGCTTGGGCCGCACAGGAGCCCAAGGACGGGGTGGGAGGCTCAGGCATGGCGGGCTGCAGGTCCCGAGCCCTGCCCCGCGGGAAGGCAGCTAAGGCCCGGCGAGAAATCGAGCTCAGCGCTGGTGGGCTAGCACTGCTGGGGGACCCAGTACACCCTCCGCAGCCGCTGGCCGGGGTGCTAAGCCCCTCATTGCCCGGGGTCGGCAGGGCCGGCCGGCCGCTCCGAGTGCGGGGCCCGCCAAGCCCACGCCCACCCGGAACTCCAGCTGGCCCGCAAGCGCCGCGCACAGACCCGGTTCCCGCTCGCGCCTCTCCCTCCACACCTCCCTGCAAGCTGAGGGAGCCGGCTCCGGCCTTGGCCAGCCCAGAAAGGGGCTCCCACAGTGCAGCGGTGGGCTGAAGGGCTCCTCAAGTGCCGTCAAAGTGGGAGCCCAGGCAGAGGAGGCGCAGAGAGCGAGCGAGGGCTGTGAGGACTGCCAGCACGCTGTCACCTCTCACTCCCCTGTAGGCAACGACCGCAGCAGCATGTCCAACCTCCCACCGAGACAGGTGTGTCTTTTCTTAGAGTGTGAGGAGCACAAAGGCATCACAGAATCTCAGCTGGGGGAGAAGATGCAGTTCAAGGAGGAGAAGCTGGCAGAGAAGTCGACACAAGCTGAGGAGCTCAGGTGAGGGAGGCTCTGTGTGGTGGGGCAGGCAGGTGAAAGGTGTGTGAGTCTCGGAAGCGGGGCAGCTCAGCTGGAGAAATAAGAGCTAACCTGGGCCAGGAGAAGGGCAGGAATTTACGTAGCAGGCACATGTCGTGCAAACATTTATAAAACAATTACAGAACAACAATGCTAGTAAATTATGGGCTACAGTTGTTACTCGGAACAAGTAATTATCGAGGCAAAATTTGTAAAACACAAAATTAACCAAAGGAAAGTGAACAACTCAGCAGCATTTAGTACATTCAAAATATTGTGCAATCACCACTACATTTTCTCTTTCTAAATGTTTTATTTTAATGTTTGTGGGTACATAGTAGGAGTACATATTTATGGAGTGCCTGAGATATTTTGGTATAGGCATACAATGGATAATAATGACATCGCATAAAATGGAGTGTCTATCCCCTCAAGAATTTGTTGTTTATGTTACAATTGATTATACTCTTAGTTATTTTTAAATGTACAATTATATTATTAGCTATCATCACACTGTTGTGCTATCAAATACTAGGTCTCATTCATTCTATTTTTTTTGTACACATTAACCACCCCCATAACCTCAGCTCCCACTATGCTTCCCCGCCTCGGGTGACTATCCCTCTACTCTCTATCACCATGAGTTCAATTGTTTTGATTTTTAGATCCCACAAATAAGTGACACCATGCGATGTTTGTCTTTCTTTGCCTGGCTAATTTCACTTTGCATAATGACCTCCAGTTTCATCCATGTTGCTGCAAATAACAGGCTCTTATTCTTTTTTATGGCTGCATAGCACTCCATTGTAAATAAGTACCATATTTTCTTTATCCTTAGTTAGAATCACCTCCTGACTTACTGGCTTCTCATTCTTTCATTCATTTGAATGTTATTATCTTGACCCTGTCATTCTTTCATTCTTTCATCTCTCTGAATAACCTCAGCTGTACTTGGCCACATTTCTATGTGTGGCTTTGTGTCCAGTCACTGCATATTGTGCTATGTGTGCTATTTTTACATGGAAATGTCCATGTAATGAGGAACTAAAGGGACAATTTTCTGAAACAAATTTGGGAAGAAATCTAGTTTTCTTTACACAGGAAAAAGTTGAATGTTGAGGAATCTTATAGGAACACTCTAATACAGAGGAGGGCTTTTAGTAAAAAATTATATTTTGGCTGGGCGTGGTGGCTCACCCCTGTAATCCTGGCACTTTGGTAGGCTGAGGAGGGTGGATCACCTGAGGTCAGGATTTCGAGACCAGCCTGGCCAACATGTCAGAAACCCTGTCTCTAATAAAAATACAAAAATTAGCCCGGCGTGGTGGCATGTGCCTGTAGTCCTAGCTACATGGGAGGCTGAGGCAGGAGGATATCTTGAACCTGGGAAGTCAAAGTTGCAGTGAGCCGAGACTGCATCACTGTACTCTAGCCTGTGGGACAGAGTGAGATCTGTCTCAAAAAAAACTTTTTCTGTTTGTCAGAGCCATTTCCCCAAAACTGTGCTAAAATTCTGCTTGGAGGGCTTCTTGAGGATATTCTCACATAAATCTCTGTTGCAATTCTTAGAACTGATCACTGATCCCTCTCCACTCTTATATTTTCTCTACTATCCTACCTTAGGTGATACAAAGCCCTAGTTCACTCTCAGGTGTGAGAGCTGACCCAGTTAAGGAAGAAGTTATGGGAAGGGAGAGATGCCTCCCTCTTACTCAATCAGCATCTGAAGGCCCTTCTCACTGATGATGACCCTGACAACCACCAGGGGCAGGACCTCCGAGAGCAGCTGGCTGAGGGGCGAGGGGCGCAGGCTGGCAGAGTGCCTTGTCCGCAAGCTCAGCCCAGGTAAGGCAGTCACAGGCCCTGATGATGCAAAATCCTAGGCTTATGAGAAGACTCCAGACCTCCACACCTGCATAATGACAATTTTATTGGTGGTCTTTCTTTCCACTAGGCATTAGTACCATGACATGACCAGGACTTCCTGTGTAGGAAGAGAGATGAGAAACCCATGGGTTGGAGGTCACAGTATGGCAAAATCCTCCTTCCTCCTTGATGGAACTGGCCTTTGGAGCAAGAAGCATCATCCATCCAGTTTTAAAGGACAGGAAGGAGGATGTGACAGGAAGCAGCTTGTAAGAGTGGAGCGAGCCCTGGACTAAGAATGGAAGTTCCCAGGCTCTATTCGCAGCAATGTCTTAGTAACTGTGGGCCAGTGATTTATCCTTCCTGAATGTCTGTGTCTAACTGGAAATGGGGACAAATTATCTCCTGCATGGTAGATACAGCATTCAAATGTGGGAACACACATGAATGAATTTCAGAATAAGGCAAAGACCCTCACTGTGTGATGTTAGATAAGGTAGTTGATGTGGTAGCATGTGGTGTTAGGAAAGTTGTTAAGACTGGAACACTCTTCATAGAGAGAATTTTCCGGGACAACACAGCAGAAGCTACTTGAAGGGTCTTTGAAGTCCCCTGATGTATGGAGTGGTGGGTGACAGGGTTGTTTGTCATTTCCTAAGAGAAAGAAATAGGTTTTAGTGAGAGCTGTGAGGGGATGTGGAGTCTGTGCCTGGGAATCAGATCTGCGGCCAGAAGGGGAAGACAGCTGCTGAAGTCCAGAGAGAAGATGGACAAGGCTCCAGTGATATGAGGGGAAAAAGGCCTTTTTAATTTGTTCCCATGTCATGATGGTGGTTCTCCAGATTAGAACCACATTGCCAGGGCAAAAAACGTGAGAGCTAAGGATGAAACACGAGGGCTTTCAGTGCAACACTGACTTGTACATAGATGTTCATGTCTCAGTGCTCATATATCTGACTGTGTTTGCAGTGGGTGAAGTGGGAAATATCTGAATGGACACTACTGCATTTGTTTGCAGAAAATGATGAAGTTGGAAATGAAGATGCTAAAGATGAGAAAGTTGAAAAAGTCCAAGGACCACTTGCCTCCAGGTAACAATGAATAATCAGGAGCTGGTAATGGGTAGGTAAAATATGGAAAAGGCCTCAGAAAGAAGACAAGAGAGGTGTAGGTTGTCATGGATTCTAGATGCAAGGAAAAAATTGCAGATTGTATTGATTTAGTGCACTCACTCAACAGTGAAATAGCCCTGTTGACATGGTTGTCTGTTTTCTTTGTGGTACTTGGAAGCATGACCTGAGGAGAACTTACCAGCCTTAGGGATTTCCTGCACACACAGATGAGACCCGTTCTCTTCTGTAGTGAAAACCAGGAGGAGTTTCATATCTGCTTCCTACATAGTTGTCATTAGGTTCTTATTAGTTAAGATAAACAGCAAAGAGTTAACAAGGACAGGAATTAGGAAGTAACTGGCAAAGTTAAGTACCAAGAAAAGTACCTAGACCAAAAGTACTCGCTTTTCAAATCACAATATTAGAAGAAGAAGGCCTAGAAGTCACACCATTTCTGGAGTCTACAATGGCTCAGCATGTATTTTCTTGGCCATAGTATGTTACATTCAACCCAACTGAGCCACATGGTGTAGCAGCTGTTAGGGTTCTTCATGTGCTGTGTGTTACATCTACACCATACAGGGATAGCTGAGTCTCCTCCCTCCTCAGATCCTACCTGCCCAGTGCAATGAGCTCCAGCTGCTCTCTTCTTCTCAGGCCCCTGTGGCAGCCACACTCTGTTGCAGAGAGGAGGATTGCCTGTTCCCTCTTCAAGGGAACCACCCCTTTGCTTTTTGGGACCACTCACTTATGCCTCCTGTCAAAACAGGTTTAATCTTCTGTCATCTCTGTTATCTCTATCCCACCTGGCTCATCGGTGGAGGTACAGGAGGCTGAAGAAAAGGAAGTCCCTTAGAACTCACTGGAGGAATATTCTGCCACTTGCTCAATTTGCCATGACTCTTCGGATTCCCACCAGCCTCAGAGGTGTGCCAAAATCACACCTGAGGAAGAGAAAGTCGACTCTGCTCTGGATGTAGGCAGTGAATCTTCACATTATGAAGGGGAGGAGGAAGTGCTAAACATTCTCCCATGTAGCCTCTATATTCTTTGTCCTTTGTACCTCTGCCTAGGCTAAGAAAGTTCAACTCTGAGGACAGGGCCTATAGATACATGTTGGTTTGAATCAGGAAGTGTAGGATTAAATATTAAACACAGATATCAGGTGGGTCAGGGGGCTTCCCTCTCCTCCTCAGCCCATGTCATGCCTTAGTCTCTCTGGCCCCAGTATCAGGTTATTGGACCTCAAGTAGGTGTGATAAACTCATACCCACCTGTGTACAGGAGGTATACAGGAGGCATCTGTCAGACCTCCTATCTTGGATCCAATGTCTTTTGTCTCCTGCAGTGATGTAATTTGTGTCCCTGAACAATGTCCTTGGAGTATGCCTGTCAAAGGTCATTGGCAGCCTTGCCTTTAGATTTGGGGACGTCATTACCTTGGTTTTATTGCTCTCAGCTGCAGTCTCCATTCTCCTTTAAGTTGGCTTATCTTTAAATTGGCTAATCTTAGCTTAGCATTCACCTCAAAACCTGAACATAAACCCTTCTATCTTTGCCTTGCTTATAAGTTCCCGTAAAGCAAGCTGAGGCCTGAGTTCTCCACCCTACTAATGGCCAATTTTTCTGTGTAACACTGTAGAATATTTTTTATTATGCGAGGATTTTTAGAATTTATCCTTCATTTCAGTCTTGTGTATAAATTCCTCTAAACATTCAACAACCATGACATCCACAGAGACAAGTCAATATTGTAGCAACACTTCTAGAAAGTAGTTAATCCAGTTCCTGAAGATCTTGGGGAAATGTTTTGTTTAACTGCTTAACAGACACAGCCCAGAGAATATGCAATTATGATGTACCAGAAGAGGAAGATTCTGCCCCATGGGCCTGGAAAGCAGGTTCATCTACTTCTTCCAAGACTTAACCTAGGGCATCCTAGACCTTTTCTCTAAGAATACCATATTCTTATGCTGAGAATGTTAATGCCCTTGTGTTATGATTGGACACTAATTTGGTCATGTGTGGAGTATGATTTGCTTAATGTGATCCTCTCTTCTGAATTTATTTGCAGAAAATCAAAATGATAATGAGGAAGAGGACGGGAAACAGCCAGTGTCCCCCAGGTAACTCTGATTTTTGAGCTGGTTGTTCAATAGTGACATCTCTAGGATGACATCAGGGAAAAATAGGAGTTTATGAATAGGACTATTTTATCCATTCAGTTAACTACAAGTTATTCTTTTGAACAATGTTTTCTTTTTTCTTGTGGTACTCATATACATTTCAATCTCTTTTTTCTTGTGGTACTCATATGCATTTCAATCTCTCTCTCTCTTTCTTTCTTTCTCCTTCCTTCCTTCTTCCTTTTCTTTTCTTTTCTTTTCTCCTTCCTTTCTTTTCTTTCTTTCCTGACAGGGTTTCACTCAGTCATCCAGGTGGAGTACAGTGCTACTATCATGGTTCACTGCAGCTTTGACCTTCCTGGCTCAAGTGATCCTCCTGCTTAGCCTGGTTTCCATTGCTTAATCCCTCTCAAGCATAGTAACCTACAATCAGTTGACCCAAGTGAACTCACCAAACTCATGGATTTTTTGATATCACTTGTCCTCTTCTGTGTGGTTAAATCCAGGGTGAGATACCTGTTAGGTGTCAGCATGTTGGCAAGTATTTGACCACAAGAGAAGAAAATTGAGTAAAACCCCAACTCCATATTATGTCAAAATATGTTGCTTCTTTTTTCTCATGAACTTCTAATCTGGGCAATTCGCTGAACATGAGCCATCTCTATCTCTCTATCTTTCTCTTTCTCTCACTATCTCACGGCAGCCACACTCTGTCCCACCAAGAAGAGAATAATTTGTACCTTTTATTAGGTCAGCCCTTTTGCTTTCTGCAACCGTTGCCTTATGCCTTCTGTCAAATCCATCTAGGACTCTGTGGTCCCTGACCCCCTTGAATCAACCTTAGACCTTCCTACCCCTCCAGTCTCAGCTGGGAGGTGCCACAGGTGGCAGAGCATGAAGTCCCCTGAGAGCCACGGGATGAATGTTGTTTGACTCCTTTGATTCCTGCTGACCTGTCTGACTCCCATCTGTCTTACAGAAGCACCTTGTACTCATTTGAGAAACAGCAAGTTTGCTTGGCTCTTGATGGGGGAGGAGTACTCCACTGTGAATGTGATAAACATCCAAATGATGTCTCAGGTAGACCTCATAATCCTTGCACCCTGAGCCCCAGAGTGGGGCTTAGAGATGTCATCAATGTGCCCAGGAATCATAGACATGAGTTGTTTTGAATAATTTTTGTTTAATGCACATCTGATGTCTGTGCTTTGGCATTACCATATGTGCAAGTATTTGATAGCATGAAAGTGAATGAAAAAATTCATATCTTGCTACAATATTGAGAAAAAGAGATGTGGGGGATACAATATCTCTAAGAGTCTAGGAAGACTCAAGAGCCCATGTTCATTTGGCCACTGCATGCTGCTATGAATACAATTTATGCAAAAGTGCTCAATGCACCATGATGTCCTTCTGCATGCACTGTGTGTCATGGCTGTTTTGTACAGGGATCGTTCCATCTCCTTCATCCTTAGCTCATTGTCTGCTCAGTGCACCGAGCACCTGCTGCTCTCTCTCTTCTGCCCCATACGGGGAAGGATTGTTCTATCTCCCTGAGAGGCCTGCCCTTTCCTTCCTCTGGCCCCTCCTGTAGGCCTCCCTTTAGAGCCAGCTGAGCACTGTGGTTTTGCTTCCCTCTGGTGTTTATCTTCAGTCTTCTTCATCCACCAGGCCCAGCAGGCAGCTGCTGGAGATGGAAGAACTCGATGTCTCAGAGGACGCACTGGATGAAAGTTACTTGACTCCTTCAATTGAATATGACCTATGTGACTGCCACCAGGCTTACAGTAAGTAGCACCTTGTGCTTATTGGAGGAACAGCTCACCTGCTTTGCTATGGATGTAGTCTGTGAGTACTTCATCCCAAAGGTCATAAAGCTCTACTTGTCTCCCTTCCAGGCAGCCTGTTTATTTTTTTGTTTCCTGCAATTTGTGCAGGCTAAGACATGACATCCTTGTACTTAGATTGTCTTGAGTCTGGCTCTTGGATCCAGTTTTAAACACAGACATCCAATGGGTGGAACTTTCCTCTTCTCTTGTCCTAGGTGACTCCGTTGTCACCAGGCACTTTCTCACAAGAGTGGGATGTGGGTATCAAGATAGGCCTGAGAGGGGGAATGGTGAGGGGCAATTGCAAATGTTCAGCCACCTGTAGCTCAGCTGAAGACATTTGTATGAAAGACCTCCTTCTTTAAGATAAGACATCTCTCTTTGATGAAAGTATGTTGCTAATTGCATTTCCTGGACAGTACCCTCCACTATTCTCTGGTCATCCAGTTGTGCTGGCAGTTTTGCCCAATTATTTTGGAGGTCTGTTTTCATGATTCCTATGTCCCAGGCCAGATTCTTAACTTCTTCTGAGGTGACTTCCCTCCAGCTGAAGCAGGCTAGTGTCCCATCCTGCCTGCATGGCCACGGCTTTCATTCTCTGTGGAGCACCAGTGATTTTTTTCCATGTGTGGGTTTATAATTTCAATCATGTATCTGGTCTCAGTGTCATAGTGTCACGTAAACCATCACCAATGAGTGTCCCTGATGAGGTGCTGGCCTAACTGATGAGCAAAGCCCATCATGTGGTTGGAACCATGTGGTTCCCATCCCCATGATCTCCAGAAGATCCTTCCTGTTGAGTGGGCACCCTATGGGGCAGCAGCTTCACAGGTTGTGTGGAGAAAAAATCCAATTTTCATTTCTTCTCACTCATTCGATATTTTTGAGTTCTGAGAGTTGCATGTGGATTTTTGAGCATTTTACCCATCAAATCATCTTGCGGTAGGAGCAAGTAACTCTGTCATGCTCTCCAATATATCTCACTATGTTCTAATGAAATTAGCAATTAACATATTGGTCCTGGATTGTGTTTTCGTGGGTAAGTGTCTTTTGTGCTAGGATCATTCTGTTTCCTGTTTTCCGTTTCTCCTTGAGGTTCAAAGAAGCAAAGGCTTTTCTCAGGATCACAGGGATTCATGATACAGAGAAAATACGCATTTACCTTGTCTCTGTTGTGTGCCATGCCCCTTGCCAAGTGAGCTCTGTCTATGCTTGTCTCTGGCCCATTCAGTGCTCAAGGGACACTCCCAAGTAGGTGGTGGCATCACCATGTTAGAGCTGAAGGCTGTGTTGAGGCTCAGCAAGATCCCTAACTTGCCTCATAGGTGATGGCCTGACTAGTATTGGTCTCACAGCGCGGTCTCCATCTACTTCTCTGCAGTGGCTTCTTTCAGGGGCTGAGCTTGGATGGGTGCTCACCCTTTTTCCTTTTCCTGATTTCAAAATTATTTCAAATCATTTTGAAATAATTTCAAGTTAAACAGAAAAGCATCCAGTCTGGTACAAAGAGCTCCTGTAGCCCTGATACAGATTCCCTAAGAAGGAAAACCTCGTGCAATGGGTTCGAACTTCCTCCTCTGCGCCAAGAGGACCTATAGACATCTACAGAACTCTCCACCCCAAATCAACAGAATATACATTCTTCTCAGCACCACATCACACTTATTCCAAAATTGACCACATAGTTGGAAGTAAAGCACTCCTCAGCAAATGTGAAAGAACAGAGATTATAACCAACTGTCTCTCAGACCACAGTGCCAACAAACTAGAACTCGGGAGTAAGAAACTCACTCAAAACCACTCAACTACATGGAAACTGAACAACCTGCTTCTGAATGACTACTGGGTACACAACGAAATGAAGGCAGAAATAAAGATGTTCTTTGCAACCAATGAGAACAAAGACACAACATACCAGAATCTCTGGGACACATTCAAAGCAGTGTGTAGAGGGAAATTTACAGCACTAAATGCCCACAAGAGAAAGCAGGAAAGACCTAAAATTGACACCCTAACATCCAATTAAAAGAACTAGAGAAGCAAGAGCAAACAAATTCAAAAGCTAGCAGAAGGCAAGAAATAACTAAGATCAGAGCAGAACCGAAGGAGATAGAGACACAAAAAACCCTTCAAAAAATCAGTGAATCCAGGAGCTGGGTCTTTGAAAAGATCAACAAAATTGATAGACCGCTAGCAAGACTAATAAAGAAGAAAAGAGAGAAGAATCAAATAGATGCAATAAAAAATGATAAAGGGGATATCGCCACTGATCCCACAGAAATACAAACTACCATCAGAGAACACTAGAACACCTCTACACAAATGAACTAGAAAATCTAGAAGAAATGGATAAATTCCTCGACACATACACCCTCCCAAGACTAAACCAGGAAGAAGTTGAATCCCTGAATAGACCAATAACAGGCTCTGAAATTAAGGCAATAATTAATAGCCTACCAACCAAAAAAAGTCCAGGACCAGATGGATTCACAGCCGAATTCTACCAGAGGTGCAAGGAGGAGCTGGTACCATTCCTTCTGAAACTATTCCAATCAATAGAAAAAGAGGGAATCCTCCCTAACTCATTTTATGAGGCCAGCATCATCCTGATACCAAAGCCTGACAGAGACACAACAAAAAAAGAGAATTTTAGACGGATATCCCTGATGAACATCGATGCAAAAATCCTCAATAAAATATTGCAAACCGAATCCAGCAGCACATCAAAAAGCTTATCCACCATGATCAAGTGGGCTTCATCCCTGGGATGCAAGGCTGGTTCAACATACACAAATCAATAAGTGTAATCCAGCATATAAACAGAACCAAAGACAAAAACCACATGATTATCTCAATAGATGCAGAAAAGGCCTTTGACAAAATTCAACAGCCCTTCATGCTAAAAACTCTCAATAAATTAGGTATTGATGGGACATATCTCAAAATTATAAGAGCTATTTATGACAAACCCACAGCCAGTATCATACTGAATGCGCAAAAACTGGAAGCATTCCCTTTGAAAACTGGCACAAGACAGGGATGCCCTCTCTCACCACTCCTATTCAACATAGTGTTGGAAGTTCTGGCCAGGGCAATCAGGCAGGAAAAAGAAAGAAAGGGTATTCAATTAGGAAAAGAGGAAGTCAAATTGTCCCTGTTTGCAGATGACATGATTGTATGTTTAGAAAACACCATCGCCTCAGCCCAAAATCTCCTTAAGCTGATAAGCACCTGCAGCAAAATCTCAGGATACAAAATCAATGTGCAAAAATCACAAGCATTCTTATATACCAAAAACAGACAAACAGAGAGCCAAATCATGAGTGAACTCCCATTCACAATTGCTTCAAAGAGAATAAAATACCTAGGAATCCAACTTACAAGGGATGTGAAGGACCTCTTCAAGGAGAACTACAAACTACTGCTCAACAAAATAAAAGAGGACACAAACAAATGGAAGAACATTCCATGCTCATGGATAGGAAGAATCAATACCGGAAAATGGCCATACTGCCTAAGGTAATTTATAGATTCGTGCCATCCCCTTCAAGCTACCAATGACTTTCTTCACAGAATTGGAAAAAACTAAAGTTCATATGGAACCAAAAAAGAGCCCGCATTGCCAAGACAATACTAAGCCAAAAGAACAAAGCTGGAGGCATCATGCTACCTGACTTCAAACAATACTACAATGCTATAGTAACCAAAACAGCATGGTACTGGTACCAAAACAGAGATGTAGACCAATGGAAAAGAACAGAGCCCTCAGAAATGCCACACATCTACAAACATCTGGTCTTTGACAAACCTGACAAAAACAAGAAATGGGGAAAGGATTCCCTATTTAATAAATGGTGCTGGGAAAACTGGCTAGCCATGTGTAGAAAGCTGAAACTGGATCCCTTCCTTACACCTTATACAAAAATTATTTCAAGATGGATTAAAGACTTAAATGTTAGACCTAAAACCATAAAAACCCTAGTAGAAAACCTAGGCAATACCATTCAGGACATAGGCATGGGTAAGGACTTCATGTCTAAAACACCAAAAGCAATGGCAACAAAAGCCAAAATTGACAAATGGGATCTAATTAAACTAAAGAGCTTCTGCACAGCAAAAGAAACTACCATCAGAGTGAACAGGCAAACTACAGAATGGGAGAAAATTTTTGCAATCTACTCATCTGACAAAGGGCTAATATCCAGAATCTACAATGAAATCAAACAAATTTACAAGAAAAAAACAACCCCATCAAAAAGTGGCCCAAGGATATGAACAGATACTTCTCAAAAGAAGACATTTATGCAGCCAACAGACACATGAAAAAATGCTCATCATCACTGGCCATCAGAGAAATGCAAATCAAAACCACAATGAGATACCATCTCACACCAGTTAGAATGGCAATCATTAAAAAGTGAGGAAACAACAGGTGCTGGAGAGGATGTGGAGAAATAGGAAGACTTTTACACTGTTGGTGGGACTGTAAACTGGTTCAACCATTGTGGAAGATAGTGTGGCAATTCCTCAAGGATCTAGAACTAGAAATACCATTTGACCCAGCCATCCCATTACTGGGTGTATACCCAAAGGATTATAAATCATGCTGCTATAAAGACACATGCACACTTATGTTTATTGCAGCACTATTCACAATAGCAAAGACTTGGAACCAACCCAAATGTCCATCAATGATAGACTGGATTAAGAGAATGTGGCACATATACACCATGGAATACTATGCAGCCATAAAAAATGATGAGTTCATGTCCTTTGTAGGGACATGGATGAAGCTTGAAACTATCATTCTCAGCAAACTATTGCAGGGACAAAAAACCAAACACTGCAGTAAACTATCGCAAGAACAAAAAACCAAACACCACATATTCTCACTCATAGGTGGGAATTGAACAGTGAGATCACATGGACACAGGAAGGGGAACATCACACTCTGGGGACTGTTGTGGGGTGGGGGGAGGGGGGAGGGATAGCATTGGGAGGTATACCTAATGCTAGATGACGAGTTAATGGGTGCAGCGCACCAGCATGGCACATGTATACATATGTAACTAACCTGCACAATGTGCACATGTACCCTAAAACTTAAAGTATAATAATAAAAATAAATAAAGAAAAAAAAAGAGGACACCATGACAACAGCAAGGGAAGGACGGAGGACGGACCTGGGGAGTGCAAAAGGCTCCTTTGCGTTCTCATGGAGCCCACGATGGTGTGCAAAGGACGCATGGAGGGAATGAGACCCACTGTGAACCACTCATTCCCAGCCATTTGGTACTGACTCACCCCTCTTTAGTGGTCGTCCATCCACTTGCCCCAATATGGACTTATCCGCATCTGTTGCCTGTCTTGACCTGAGAACCCTCATCCAGTGCCGGGGCCTGTGTGAACTCTCTTATGTGGCCTTCTATGCACTGGGCCCCTAAAGACAGCTTTGCATGGAGAAGAAGCTGAAAGTGCAGGATAAGAAGAAAGAGGAATTTAATTCCTAGCTTCATCTTGAATCACCTTCACTTACTGCATCGAGAAATGATCAGAGGTAGCCTTCCCAATCTTTGACTCAGTTTCTGAGGGTGATCATTCCATTACAGGCATAACCTGGGAGACATCGCAGGTTGGATTCCAGACCACCACAATAAAGACAATATGGCACTAAAAAAAACACAAACAAACAAAAAAAAAAACCAAACACTGCATGTTCTCACTCATAGGTGGGAATTGAACAATGAGAACACCTGGTCACAGGAAGAGGAATATCACACACTGGGGTCGGTCGTGGGGTGGGGAGAGGGGGGACGGATAGCATTAGGAGATATACCTAATGTAAATGACCAGTTAATTGGTGCAGCACACCAACATGGCACATGTATACATATGTAACAAACCTGCACGTTGTTCACATGTACCCTATAACTTAAAGTATAATTAAAACAAACAAAAAGAAAACCTTGTGCACTTTGTCTGTCCCCAGAGCCAGCACCTCCTCCAGTCCCTCCACGGGGAAATCCAGCTCCAGTAGGCTCTCCCTGGAAAGTCAGGAGCAGAAAGGTCCTGCTGTCCTCCACCCCCTGTCCTCAGAGGTTCTGCTCTGAATTGGGCTGTTCTGGTAAGGCTGTGGGGCTCTGCCTCAGAAACACCGCAGCCAAGATGGGGCTCCTCTGAGGAGGAAGGGAAATGCTCAGACACATGTCTCAGAAGTGTGATGTGTGCAGTGTGGGACGGCCCTGCCAGGGCATCATGAAACATGGGCTAGAGAGGCCAAATGCTTCTTTTCAGATGATTGGGATGAATGAATGCACCATGCAGACTGTACAAGGATGTATCCTGTGTGTGGGTTCACACACTATGTGTGAATAGTGTGTATAGGGCACAGCCTTGACCCCAGCAGCAGTGACACAGGAGGTCAGCTCTGCCGCATCCTCTCTCGGCAGGGAAAACATTGGTAGAATCAGTGAGAAGACAACCTAAATTATAACTTGATCTTTTATTGGGGGCTTTTCCCTACCTGCCCAACTAATAAAATGTACAGTACTTCAGAAGTTTGAGAAAATATTTTATCTTTTCTTGTGCAAATTCTAGGAATATTCAAAGTATAAGTTTAATAAGACTCAGTAGTCTGAAAAATAGTGATAAAATGACATGATGAAATTAAGTAGTGATGATTAATAACATTCCTAGAGCTTGATTTTTGTCCAAATGCAGAGGACAAGAATGGGGAGACCTGCGTTTGAACAGTCTTTACCAACCAGATTTGCTGTTTCAAGATGTTTTCCCTGTCAGCCCAATATAAACTATCATTAAATCTTACTGATGTCCTCAGTGACTGATGGGTGATGATTAGTAAACTGTGTCCTGAGTAACTATGGAGGTCACACCAAGCCGAGAGTAGGGCTTGTGGACAAAGACCAGAGGCTGGAAGGCACCCAGTGCAGGGCTGGGGCCAGTGAGGGGCCATCCTGACTCCAGCAGATAATTTGTATGAGGGAGTGGTAGGAAGGGGTATTGGATGAGAATATCAGCCAGAAGTTAGAAGGAGCACAAAGGCAGGGTGGGGGGTGAGAGTCATGTAGTGGGCAGTGGAGAGAAAGTTTTCAGAAGTGAGTGGGAATGTGATAAGAACAGGGTGATAAAACTGGTGAGACAACTGCCAGTACAGAGATGGCAGAATCAGAGAAGGCAGTTAGGGAGACTGTATGAAGCCAGGCATGAGTGATGAGAGTCTGATATAACTGCTCTCAGGAAGGTGAAGTAGAGTAGATACGTGAAAGACATTTTACGAAAAACTTAAGGAAATCTTGGTGAGAATGAGGATGTGTAGAGGGAGGAGAGGGAGGAGCTCCACAGCAATGTGGAGCAGGTCCTGAAGGCTCCGTCCCCTTCCTGAGCTGACCTTGGATTGGCGGAGGCCATTCGAAGTCTCTCATTAGGTCACCTTCTGAGAATGTGTGTTTTTCTCCCTATGGAAATATAAATAATTTTTATTAGGGAATGCAGCCCAGACCCCACTGGAGGAGTGGGTAATATGAAGATTGAGCCTTGTGTTACCTCCATAAAGGACAACAAATTCTGATCTGTAGCACTTCTGGCACCTAAATTTTCATAAAGAGACTGATTCCTCTACTACATTGCTTAAGGCTGCTAATAACCACTGTATGACAATAGAATGTATATGTGTGGGGAGGTGATAAAACTATTATAGGCAACAGGAAATTCAAAATGCCCTAGGACCCTGAAAAGTTCACCTCACTTAGTATTTGGTCTATAATATTCCAACTCCCTTTTTCACCACTCCTTCCCAAAGCCTTGAGGCTCTAAATCTTCCCCTGTTCTTATTCTCCTATGTGTTTAGATAAACAACTCTTCCTCTCCTGTGTTCTGGAGGCTCTCTAGAACTTTCACTGTAGGACACAGGAAAAAGATAAATAATAATGAATAATAGGCATGACCTTGTTAGACAATGCAAGCCCTCAGGGGTCAAGTGGGGGTTTTTCAGTAAATGGATACTCTAGCCTGGGCACCTGTGGTCTCAGCATCTCCAGTCACAGACATGAAAGGTGACATCGTCTTCGTTTACATGTCTGTCTTTGTGGCCTGGTGTACTGGGTGGTTTTATGGAGAGGCAGGGACATCAGAGATGGGCATTTTGGGAATGCTTAGCAAAGGGGAAACTGAAATTGTTCCTACTGAACCCCCTTCTCCTTTCAGTTCCCATGCAGGAGGTCTGTCCCCAAGGGTCTTGGAGTGGAGACTTGAGCCACCGCCTGTCAGAGGTGCAATCTTCACATGCACAGCTGGAGCCAAGTACCCTGGTGCTCAGTTGTATGCAATTGCAGCTGGATCAACGGTTTGATTATGGCTATGGCATAGTCAGGTGGTGCATTTCCTCCACCACCCGGACCTTCACAGCCAAATCTGATTCTGGGAACCAATGGCCCTTCCAAGGTAGGGAAGGAAAGGGGAATAGGAAACTCTAATCCAGGTGCTGGCTGTCATGGTGTTGTGGGTGGAGGAGACAAGGGGGCCTCTGCATGCTCACTGAGGATCAACTTGAAATCCACATTGCTCTAATGTAGTGAAGTGAGTAAGGACCTGGGATTTATGAACAAATCTGCTCTCAGGTCCTGGATTTGCCACTTACAGTTGTTCACCTTGGCCAAGTTATTTGTCTTTTTGGTATTTATATCTCGTTTCCTCAGAAATTATATCTACCTGTAATCATTGTTGAGAGAATTAATTATGAGAATTTCCAGAGTGCTGTGTTCAATAAGAATTGCTCATAAACCTATGAATAGATGTTATCTAATTCTTTTATCTTTCTGGCAAATTAACACTTAGAATGTGACTTCACATGTGTTTTTTCATCTGAGGTAGAACGATTTTTAACATCTCTGCTTTTAAGGGACCCCTCTTCCTTTGCTTTCTCAGTAAGTCTCATTTGCCAATTTCCTCCCTCTCCTTCACCATCCCTTATTAAGCTAATTTCCCCCCATTAGGCACTTTCAATAACAATGTATTAGCCACATTTAATAAAAATAGAAATTCTGGTCCCACAAGTCAGTCTCCTGACATATCCAGCTTATTTTTTTTTCTGTTTTTACACTCTCTTTGAAATAAAGGGTAACTTTCATATGTAAAGAGTGCAAATCAGTTTCTTTCATGATACTCCATTTAATTCACCATCTCCACAGCTATGTCCTCTGTTTTCTTCTCACGAGGATCCACTTCTGCTCAGATTTTCATCATTCTGGGTCATGTGCATCCTCACTCTCTGTCCCTCTCACTCTCTCCTTCTGGAGCCTCTGGGGCTGCCTGATGCTCCTCTGTCAGGTGATGCCCCCATCTGAGACATCAGGAGATGCATGTTCTCAGGAGCCGGTGAGGGTCATGTGAAGTGATGAGTACCAGTCTGGCTCCAAGGAGAGGTTTCATGGAAAGTGCTCAGTGAGTGTCAGGGGTGCATAGTTCCTGACATGTGCTATGATAACTTGTAGTATTTAATCCTCTTTTCTTTCTTCCTGTCTCTCTTTTACTTCTCCATATATTCCAACAGCTCCAACCGGAACTAACCTTACTGCTTCAGACACTGTTTCTCCTGCTCACTTTTTTCCAGAGTCCTGAGCATGAACCAAGCTCTAGGCAAGAAGATAGAATGAATGCTTTCTGTTTTATTCTCCTTCACCTGGTGATTTCTTCTTGCTGTCTAACAGGTCATTTGTTTTTCAGCACACCTTCTATCTCATTCTTCTTATGTTTCTAATTGGTTTTTCCAACTTCAACAGAGCAGGATAATGATTATAATGTTATGTTCAATATCTCCTAAGATATTGAACATAATTATGTAATTATTCAATTAGATTAATATATATTGGTATGTACACTTACATCATTTGTCATATACATTATATATATTTGGTTTGTATATTATATGGAGTGTATATATATGAAATATATATTTTTGCAAGTTTTATAAATTCACCAGGTTTAGTCTTCCCTAGTTCTTTTCTTTCATGAGATGTTCCTTCAGTTTTGATTTTGCTTGATTTTTATAATCCCCCCTTTAAAAAAGCACGGCCTATATCCAGTATAATTTCCTTGCCTTTGCCTTATACTCTTGGGAGCTATTTGTGTTCACTAATTTAATTTTTCTTGAATATTTTTATCAGTTGGGGGCACTTTTGTCTTCCAATAATCTTATCATTAATGTAAGAAAAATCAACAAATAAAAAATCAAAGTGTCCCTACTGGCTTCACCTCACCTCTTGGACTTTTACATCTAAAGCCACTTTCTTTGATATTACTCTTGGGTAAAAGAGTAAGTTACAGTAAGATCATGGATAATAGTGGATCCTGATGGCTGTGGTTTTATTTTCAGAGCTGGGTTTGGAGCCTTCCCTTAGAATGAAGAACCCTCCCCAACTGGAGGATGATGATCTTGAAGGTCCAGCTGACAACATGCATGAGTGTCAAGTCATTGGCCACATTCATGCCTCAAGTGTTCTGAAACAGATTATCAAAAGAAAACTGCTGTTGAGCAAGTTCAGACTGGCATGCAGATTTCCTTGCCTTCAAGCTTAAGGTACAGAGGTAATCACATCAATGGCTCTTAGATGCACTAATTCCTTATTTATTTCTGTCTATGATGACAGCTCATTCTCCCAATACATTTTTTTGGTCTTACTTCTGTGTCCCATGGGCTGCCACCCTGCCAAGCCCTCCCATCCTCATCTCCTGTTTGCTCTCTGAGCTCTACTCTGTTCCTACTGTTGTCCTGATAGTCCCTCTCCTGGCAACAGGAGAGACTGGCTCCACTCTCCTGACCCAAAGAGCATATTTTAAACTCCTGAACAGCAGTTCTTTCCCTGAAATCACAAATTTCTTTTTTTTTGGCGTATTTGCTTTTCCTTCCCCAAACTCCATTACCTCTTTCTAGAGGGAGCATTGCCTTAATACATCATTTACATGTAGACTTTCCTCTTGGGTCTGATTCTGAGCAACCCAATAAAATCAACCCTTAATCCTCACCTTATACAAGTGAATGAGAAGTGTTAAAACTGAGCACAAGGAAGTCCAATTAGAAATTAAATTAGAACCTGGGTGACAGGTGGGCATTCCCTACTGGCCTGGAGTCACATTTGTCTTCACCCTTTAGTCAGATGTGCAGCCTAGTGCCAAGGTGGATGGAGTTTTCAGGGACTCAGTGTCTGCACCTCATGGACTCATTTGACCTGACATAAACTGGAGGACATTTATGGCACCCTAAGGGGAAATCAGTCCAAAAGTAGATGCAGAGGGCAGTACTTCAGAACTGCACAGATCATGAGGTGCATCCTAATCTCTCTTTAAAAATTTCTGATTTAAATTCAACTCAGGTGAATTTTGAGGCCAGAGAACATAAAAGAGCATTTTATGATCTAACTTTGGGAAAGTGAGTCTAGGGCCCAGCTTTATGAATACCCAGGATGATAGACAATAATAGAGGACAATCTGTGCCTTGGACTAGCCCAGTTGACAAGACAGTAATTTAACTGAAATCATTAGAAGGAAGAATAAAATCCATAGAGCTGCTGGGAGTGAAGCCAATTTTGAGAGAAATGGAGAATGGAAAGAAAATGATGGGGAATTGGTTTGGTGCATTTGGTATCTCTAAATCGTGCTGCCATGCAATAAGCACCTGGTGAGATTTCATTTAACATAAAATCCTTGAACTCACACCTTGAGATTCTCACTTAACTGGTCTGCAGCATGGTTTGGGTGTCACTAGCTTTCAAAAGCTCCCATGTGATTCTAATATGCAGCTAAAGATGACAAGGACTTTTGGTCTACTATGATCTCAGGCTATCAATGTGGAAGTGCCCCAGATGTGTGACTACTTCTTAGAAAAGGCTAATCCATCAGTCATTGATGAGATTTGTGTTCCCATCTCCATAATACCATTTGTATAACGTGGTTAAAAAAAAATGAGAAAAAATCCCAAGAGAAAATGGATGAATTAGACCTCTCTACTTGAAGCACTTTTGCTCAAACTCTTTTGAATACAAGATAAAGTAAGAAATAATTAATACATTTAAATGAAGCATGCAGAAAACAATTTCTCCTTTTATCACACATAATGAAACTTAGTATTTTCCTTTTAACTTGTAAAATAAAACTTGCAGTTTATATTTCCCCACATTGATTTCACAGTCCACTAATTGGTCTAGCACTACAATATGAAAACTTTATTTTGGTCAATTATTGTAATTCAGTAAAATCCTTAAAGAGAACTCTTAAGTCTTATTCCCCTGAAGAGAGTATAATAATAAATCCAAACTGAAACTCAGGAAGTGATTGTATATATGTACTTCCTTATGCCACTCTTGAAACTGGCATAAAATACTAAAAAGAAATCTTTCCCAAAAAAGTACATTGGGAAAAAAAAGACTGGGAGGGGAAGGCGAACGTAGTAAAAATATAATCCTTTTCAATTTCTGCTTTTGAAATTCATTGGTCTAAATATTGAGAATATTTCTAGAAATGTCTTAAGGTGTAAGTAGGTGTGGAATCAGTTTCCCAGAATTAGGGAAAATAAGTTGGGCCTTGGTTACAATACCTGCTCTCTCTCTTTGTTAATTCCACTTTGAGTCTCTACTTTTTCCTTTCTTTCCTTGTCCCCTTTGGAATAACACTTACAATATTTCTTTGTTAAACCTTATTCCTGTCTTAGCCAAGGTCACCCAACAGGCTCTAATGACTGTTGAGACCTCTAGATTGAAGCATCTCCTCTCTCTTCCTCCAAAATTTATGAAAAGAACCTGAGGCCTGGGTTCTAGTTCCAGGCTTGTCAGTAGGCAAGTCATGTCACATTAGTTAAATGTTAGCCACATGGCATCAGTGGCTTCTTTATTGTTAAAGGCAGAACTGGACTTAGATGTTGTCTGAGGTCCCTGCTGGCTCTCACATGTAGGGCTCTTCTCATAGACTACCCACTTCTCTCTAAAAGGCTGATACATAAGTTATAAGGGGGTGGGTTTCTCTGTAGAGGCTCCTCTCCTTCCTGCAGCCCTCTGTTCCTGAGTGTGCATGATTGATTCTGAGCACATCCTCACTGGGAGGTGTAAAAAGACATCACTTTGCTCCAGACAAAAGGGATGAGGAGGAAAGTGGTTGATGTTACAAGCTGCTGGTGGGGCGAGGGCAGGGTCCCTATAATCTTTTTTTTAAAAAATTTTATTATTATTATACTTTAAGTTTTAGGGTACATGTGCACAATGTGCAGGTATGTTATGTATGTATACATGTGCCATGTTGGTGTGCTGCACCCATTAACTTGTCATTTAGCATTAGGTATATCTCCTAAGGCTATCCCTCCCCCCTCCCCCCACCCCACAACAGTCCCCGGTGTGTGATGTTTCCCTTCCTGTGTCCATGTGTTTTCATTGTTCAATTCCCACCTATGAGTGAGAACATGCAGTGTTTGGTTTTTTGTCCTTGCGATAGTTTGCTGAGAATGATGGTTTCCAGCTTCATCCGTATCCCTACAAAGGACATGAACTCATCATTTTTTATGGCTGCATAGTATTCCATGGTGTATATGTGCCACATTCTCTTAATCCAGTCTATCACTGTTGGACATTTGGGTTGGTTCCAAGTCTTTGCTATTGTGAATAGTGCCGCAGTAAACATACGTGTGCATGTGTCTTTATAGCAGCATGATTTATAATCCTTTGGGTATATACTCAGTAATGGGATGGCTGGGTCAAATGGTATTTCTAGTTCTAGATCCCTGAGGAATTGCCACACAGACTTCCACAATGGTTGAACTAGTTTACAGTCCCACCAACAGTGTAAAAGTCTTCCTATTTCTCCACATCCTCTCCAGCACCTGTTGTTTCCTGACTTTTTAATGATCGCCATTCTATCCAGTTAATTTTTGTGTATTGTAAAGCTCTGGGGTCCAGTTTCATTCTTCTGCATATGGTTAGCCAGTTATAACAGCACCATTTATTGAATCGGAAGTCCTTTCCCCATTGCTGATTTTTGTCAACTTTGCCAAAGATCAGTTGGTTGTAGGTATGTAGCTTTATTTCTGGGTTCTCTATTCTGTTCCGTTGGTCTATGTGTGTAGTTTTGTACCAGTACCATGCTGTTTTGGTTGCTGTAGGCTTGTGGTATAGTTTGAAGTTGGGTAATGTGATGCCTCTAGATTTGTTCTTTTTGCTTAGGACTGCTTTATTTTTGGGGGATCTTCATATAAATTTTTGAATAGTGTTTTCTAATTATGTGAAAAATGATGTTGGCAGTTTGATAGGAATAGTGTTGGATTTGTAAATATCTTTTGGAAATATGGACATTTTAACAATATTGATTCTTCCAATATCTGAGAATGGAATGTTTTTCTATTTGTTTGTGTTGTCTCTAATTTCTTTCAGCAGTGTTTTGTAGTTCTTCCTGTAGAGATCTTTTACCTTTTTGGTAAAAACTAAAATCCCAGGTATTTTAGTTTTTTGTGGCTATTGTAAATATAATTATGTTCTTGATTTGGCTATCAGCTTCAATGTTATAAAGATATAACATGGTATATAAAGATGCCACTGATTTTGTACATTGATTTTGTATCCTGAAACTTTACTAAAGTTGTTTAAAGTTTACTAAAGTTGTTTATCAGATCTAAGAGCCTTTTGACAGAGTCTTAAGGGTTTTCTAGGTGTGGAGTCATATTATCAGTGAAGAGAGATAATTCGACTTCCTTTTTTCCTATTTGGATGCCTTTTGTTTCTTTCTCTTGCCTGATTACTCTGGCTAGGACTCCCAATGCTGTGTTGAACAGGAATGATAAAAGTGTGCATCTTTGTTTTTTTTAATTTTATTATTATTATACTTTAAGTTTTAGGGTACATGTGCACAATGTGCAGGTTAGTTACATATGTATGCATGTGCTATGCTGGTGTGCTGCACCCATTAACTCATCATTTAGCATTAGGTATATCTCCTAAAGCTATCCCTTCCCCCTCTCCCCACCCCACAACAGTCCCCAGAGTGTGATGTTCCCTTTCCTGTGTCCATGTGTTCTCATTGTTCAATTCCCACCTATGAGTGAGAATATGCGGTGTTTGGTTTTTTGTTCTTGCGATAGTTTACTGAGAATGATGATTTCCAATTTCATCCATGTGTGCATCTTTGTTTTGTTCCAGTTCTTAGGGGGAATGCTTGCAACTTTTACCCATTCAGTATGATGTTGGCTATGGGTTTGTCATAGATGGCTTTTATTATTTTGAGGTATGTTCCTTTGATGCCTAGTTTGTTGTGAGTTATTATCATGAAGGAATGTTAGATTTTATCAAATGCTTTTTCTGTGTCAATTGAGATGATCATATGATTTTTGTTTTTAATTTTGTTTATGTGGTGAATTATTGATTTGCATATGTTGAACCAAACTTGCATCCCAGGAATAAAGCCTACTTTAGTTGATCAGGGTGAATTAACTTTTTGATGTGCAGTGGATTTTGTTTGCTTGTATATCTTTTTTCTATATAAAAATTAAAATAAGCATATATACTTCTAAAACTACCTATTGATATTTTTATAAAAATACTGTTAAATTTACAAATTAATTCAGAGAGATTTGACATCATTATGATGTTGAATCTTCCCATACAGTAAAATGGTATGCCTTTCAATTTTTTCAAATTTTCTTTTGGGTTAGTTACTAGAATTTGAAGATTTTCTTATTGTAGTTATAGAATATTGCTTGCTAAGACTATGAGTAGCTATTTTATATTATTTCTCATGTAAATGGAGTAATGTCTTTCATTATATCTTCTAACTGTTGAGTATTTATGTACCTGAAAGCCATTGATTTCTATATTTTAAATTGTTCCTTGTTAACTTAGTAAAATTCATTGTCATAGTTTTTCAGTCAATTTAAGGCAGAAGATACTCCAGGTATACAATAAAATGATTTGTACACAGTGAAAGTGTTACATCATTCTTTCCAATTTTAATCCTGCAGTATCTTTTGTTGTTTGATCACACTGGGCAGGACCTAGAGTATGATGTAATGTGCTAGTGGTTATAGTAAATGTCCTCACGTCATTCTGACTTGGTGTTTCTCTATAAGCTTGAGGCTGGCATGTGGGTTGAAAAGAACATCTTTAATCATGTTAGAGTAGTATACATTTAGACATTTGTATGGAATATTTTTGTTATTTATTCATTTATGCATATCAAGAATGGTTGCCAAATTTTGTCAAATGCCATTTCATTGTCTACAGAGAGAATCGTATGTTTTTTCTCTTTACTTATACAAATATGGTAGAATATACTAACAGATCCTAATACTGAACCGTCCTTGAAAAAACCTACATAGTCAGTATGTATTGTTCCTTGTGCTGCTAGATTGTCTTTCCTAATATTTTAATAACAATTTTTATACTGATACACATAAGTAAAGCCAGCTAAGTTTCTCTGTTTTGGGCCATCTTTATGATCTGTATCAAATTTTGCTATTAATATTATAATCACATAATTTAAAAAAAATGTGAATATATTATTTCTTTCTCTTTTGTTTTTTATCTTTTTCATATTTTGAAACAATCTCTGTAAATGGCCTGGACTTAGGACTCTTTTCAGAGCTGGTAAATTAGTTGTTTATTTTTTTCCAAAATTTTCTTTGAAAATCAGTCTATATAGAATTTTTTCATTTCCTGACACCAGTTTTTATAAATTATACTCTCTTAGGAAAATACATATTTCATTCATCGTTTCATAGAGTTAAGCAATGAAGTCTAGTGTTATCCTTTAAATTTTTTCACTTTCTTTGTTTATTTACCCTTTTTTATTTCTTTTTTTTGGTAAAGCTATTTTTGTAATAAAAATGTTTACAAAGTTTTTATAATTTTTATTAAATATATTCTCTATCTTCAGAGTATAGAGTTAGATCTGTCACAGTCAGGCCTATCTTGTTAATTCTGTCAGTCAGTCCTCTTTGGCTCCATTTGTCTTTGGCCCAGAAGAATTTTGTGGGGTGGTACAGTAGGAGGGTCAGACCAGGGCCTTCCAAAGCCTATGGCGTAGAGTAGCTTATTGTTTTGCCTGGGTCTAGGATAGTACTGTCATCCACACATCGGAAGAGTTAAAGACTGACAATATAAAGTATGGGTGATAAGGCAGGGCTTCTGGAACTCCAAACACTGCTGATAGTAAATTGGTATGTAAATTGATATAAACACTTTGGAAAACTCTTTGGCAGCATCCAATGAAGTCTGTGACAGAAATTCAACTCTAGGTATCTACCCAACAGAACTGTATACATATATGTGCTAAAAGTCAGTACAATAATATTTGTAGCATTTTTGTTCATAGTAGTTCCAAACTGCAAATACACCAAAAATCCATCGGCATTAGAATGAATAAATAAATTATGGAATACTCATTTATTAATTCATTCATTAAATGGAATACTATACAGAAATAAAAATGAATGAGATACATGTGACAATATGGAAAAGTCTCACAATGTTGAGCTAGAGAAATGTGACCCAAAATAATATGTTCTGTGTAATTTTATTTATATAGAATTCAAACATAGACAAACTAATGCCTGGGGAAAGAAGTCAGGTTTCTTTCGAGGAGGAGGAAAGGCTGCTAATTGGGGGCACTTGAGGGGGATTTCTGGAATGCTGGTAATGTTGTATTTCTGAATCTGGGTGGTTGATAGATGGGTGTGTTTTTCTGTGATGAGCCATCAACCTGTACGTGTGTAATTTTGAACTCTTCTATACATATGCTATAGTTCAACAAAAAGAACATTTGAAAAAATCCTGGGCTCCCATATCTGTTGGATTTTCCCTGTCCTGGGAAGATCAGCCTTCTTTTGCAACTCTTTTGACTCTTACTCTCTTGTGTTTTCTGCTTAAGGAACTGAGAAAGTGGAGGGCTCTGTGTCCACACTCTGAGATGGCTGAGTATGGATGCTGCAGCCCCATACAGATGATCTGCCACATCTTCCCTCCTAGTAGCTCTGGGAGGGCCATGTAGTTTAGGATAATAGGGCCAGAAGTTGACTGGGTGGACTCATTGAAAATTAGACAGATCTTCAGAGCAGGTACAATTTTTGTGCAGAAACAGCGACAAACTCCAAATTGGAGTGGCTCAGTCAGGTATAAAGAGTGGGTACTAATCTGAACATGGGAAATGAAGCCAGCAAGTCAGGAGCCAGAACAGATAGAGCTGCGGTTGAGTACAAGGGTAAAGCATGAGGGTGAGGATTGATTGAGGCACTCACTCTGCCTCCTTGTAGGTACACAGACCATTCAGGGAGCAGGCTGGGAGAGGATGCAGGGGACAAGCACCTGAGCAGTGACACCTTCCGTATTTTAATCTGCAAATGGTCTTGAAACAATATTTGTTCTAAGCTCAGACTTCAAAATTTATAAAAACAAGCGTATGCTCATGACAGCATGCACAGTATCCGTTGAATGGAACACCTGGAGGTTAGCTGTCTTCTCTAGGGAATTAAAATAAAGGTTTTCTGGCAAGGTGCTTATATCAATTGCTACCCATGGTACAGTTAGAGCTTAAAATAGCAGAAGGGGCAGGAGTGGGAGTTGTATTGAACTTTGTTTGTCTTTGAATTTTGTTAGGGTCAGAATAAAACGCAAGAGAATGTTTTGCAAAAACCAGGAAGTCAGAAAGTATTTTTATTCCAGAACAGTTCAGTTGGTGTTAAAATGTCAATTAAATCAGCAGATGGTTAGCTATCCTTTCTAAGGTCAATTATGTAATTTCAGAATTAAAAGGCTGACAAATTGAGCACACATCTATTCCATTTCTTCATCTAAATATATGAGACTTGTCTTTAAGTCTATTTAATAAATATTTGCCACTTGTCCTCCCCCCTCATCCTCCAAACCCTCCAACATACTTGGTAATGAAATAGCCATGGGGCTAGGGCATGGGAATTACTTCATTTAGTTTTTCTTGGCCTGACTGTATTATTATCTCAGCTTTTCTACCTGATGGATGATGTTTCTTTTTTAAATGGTGTTGCAAAACGGAAGAAATGAAAACAAGAAACTTGTCCAAAGTCACTCAGATAGATATTGGCAGAACTAGAACTAGAATTCAGGCATTCCTGTTGTAGCCACTGAGGATTTATTCATTGGATGGGTTTGACACGGGGTCTTGCACAGATACACCTGTTCACTGCTTAAATTGTCAAGTCACAGAAAAGCATTTAACAGTCACAAGGAAAGTCCAATCTGGACAGGACACACAAACAGAAGCCAGTGTGTCTTATTTATTGGTGTTTAGACCTAATCTGGAGATAGCAAGGAAGCAATAGAGGCTCTTATCTCTGACAGAAGCTTGGCAGGGCAGTTCAACAAATTATGAGAGAGATAGAAAACAACAAGGGCTACTGGCCTCATCTGGTTCTCTTTTTATTTATTCTTGACAAACGTGATTTATGAATCCCAGATCTCTTGTCCCATTATAGGATGGAGCTATCTGCTTTGTGCCCTGACACTGTAATTTTGTTCTAAGCCATTCTGTCTACTCTTGTGCATTTCCTGGCCACATTTGTACACCCACTTGTCAGTTCCATAAATCATTATAGATAAGCAAATCCTTCTCTTAACCTTTGTAAAGATAACATGACCAATATTTTCTGAACACATTCTTGCCAGGCTTGCTTTGGGGAGATAAATGTGGCCTGTCTTGATGGTGCATCGCTACACAATAGAGTGATTTATGAAGAAGGAGTGGGGCTCGTTCATTGTGGCTTACCTGGAGACTTTTCAAATGTCTTTTTTTTTTTTTAAAGAACGCTGGTGAGTTGTAGACATAGTAAGGATATTTGACAAAGACTCTGTGATTGGAGTTTTTGCAGCTCTTTTTATGTATCAAAATGGTGGTAGAATGTGAAAGTTTTATTACAGTCACTTGAATTATCCAGATATTCTTTTTGAAGGATATGAATGTTAGTTATATATTTTTTCTATATGTTTACATAGACACCACCAAAAGTAGCCTCTTTCCAGCTTCAAAAGCCACATGTTTGCAGTCTGCCTCTAGAATGAAGAAAACTCAAGTAAGATTCAGAGAAAAAATGAAATGTATGTGGCCCATGGGAAGAGCGCTTTACTACAACATAACCATAATATTGCACATCAATAGAAAACCACATGCAGCATAAACTTCAGAAAAGAAAGTTGTATTATGGTGGAAACACAGGCTGTGGAGCCAATAGGGATGGGTTTTCATCCCTATTTGTCAATGGAGTGAACTTACACAAGTACCTATCTTGAGTTCACCTTTTCTGCTCCCTAATAAAATGAGGATAATGTATATCTCAGTCTTGTAAGGATTAAAAGAGATAATATCCTGGCTTTCAGTGAAGAATATTTTTTCTACCTAGGTATGGAGAATGGGAATGATCATCCCCATTCCTCAGTTTGTAGTACATGGTTATCCTTATTTACTGCACAGTCTCTCTTGTATTATTTTATTTATTGTCCCTTCATCTCCCATTCCCAATCTTGTTTCCTGTTCCCAATGGACACTCACTCTTGTATGTAATTCCAGAGGCTCACCCGGCTTCTGATATAAGCTCTTATAAGCAAGGGTAAATCGGAGGCAACTGCATCATGATCTTCAAATCATCCCACCTGCTGCCCTGTGCTCAAGAGCTGGGAAGCTGAGTTTCAGCTCCAGGGCTGTCTTTAATTCAGTTCAATCCACAGAATCTATGGAATGCCAGGTGATACACTTCAGTGTTGGCAGAATGAGGTGAGGGCTTTATTTGTTTCAAGATATAAATACACATACACATACGCACTCACACACAGAGGATATACATATGTATGTACACATATAAACATATATTATAAATATATATTCTGAAACAAATAAAGTATGTATATGTAAACACACACACAAAGTATACACACACATTCATATACATATATATGCTTTTTTTCTTTTCCTTTTAAAAGGATATCATGGTGTTTTTTTTTCATAGCATTCACTTAGGCTTCTCATGTAGATCTATAGGGTTATTTTTTATAGTGCACCCCCCCTCTTTTTTTCCTTTTTGCTGCTGGAATAAGGAAAGCCCTTTCTGAATATGATCTTTGCCACTTGTTGGAGTGGGAACTGATGCCGTTGGTCCTGTTCTAAGTCCATGCAGGTTCTGCTGGAATTTTCTTTGAAGGTGGATGAATGTGAATAATTCTCAGCCTGGTTCATTCTGGGTCCCTTGGCAGGGGAAACATGGAATCATGGAATATTTTTTTTTAACTTCCACTGTCTTTTTTTTTCTTAAACAAATGGGGTTCATAACAATCTTTAGTCTGCATTATCTACTGCTATTAGAGCATACAGGGCTTCCTTTTTGGGGACCCTTTCTCTGCAGACTGTCAGTTTCCCCCTCTTTTCCTCTAGGGTTGTTTTCTTGGAGTTGCAGGTGCAATTAGGTATAGAAATAAAGATTCGGAGGGATGTGGGAGTTGTGAGAGTGGGTGGGTACAGCACCCTGATTGCCACAAAACCAGCTACAGCAATAACAGAAGTTTTGTTTTGTAAACTTTGAGGCTATTAACAGATAAAGTTTCCCAATTTGGTTTAATTTTAATTATAGAGACTGCTTCATAAAATGACGCTTTCATGCCTTTAATTCTGTTCAATTAGATGTTTATATTACCAACATTTTTCTTTATTATTATTGTTTTGTCAATAGTTTAACTTTTAGTCTCTTTGTGCCATTTTGTTTCAGGTGTTCTTCCTTATATGTAGGACATAGTTGGGTTTACTTTCTAAAACAATCCGAGAATTTTTCCCCTTTGATAGGGGAATTTAACACAGCAATTTATTTTTCAAAATTATTATTTATTTTTATAGGTACCTAGTAGGTCTATATATTTATGTGGAACATAAAATATTTTGATATAGGCATACAATGATAATAATCCCATCAGGGTAAATGGGTTGTCATCACCTCAAGTACTTATTCTTTCTTTATGTTACAAACATTCCACTTATACTCTCTTACTTTAAAATGTACAATAAATTATTGTCGACTACAGTCACCCTGTTGTACTATCAAACTCTAGATCTTACTCATTCTATCTAACTGTATTTTTGTACCCATTAACCATTTCTGTTCCCCCCACCTCAACTACCCTTCCCAGTGTCTGGTTACCATACTTCTACTCTCTATTTCCATGAGTTCAATTGTTTTAATTTCTAGCTCCCACAAGTAAGTGAGAACATGAGAAGTTTGTCTTTCTGTGCTCGGCTTATTTCTCCAGTTCCATCTATGTTGTTGCAATGTCAGGATCTCATTCTTTTTTATGGCTGAATAGTATTCCATTGTGTATATGTACCAGATTTTCTTTATCCATTCATCTGTTGGCAGACACTTAGGTTGCTTCAAAATCTTAGCTATTGTAAACAGTGCTACAATAAACATGAAGAGTGCAGATAGCTCTTTGAATTACTGATTTCCTTTCTTTTGGGTGTATACCCAGTAGTGAGAGTGCTGGGTCATATGGTAGTTCCATTTTTAATATTTTGAGCAACCTCCAAACTGTTCTTCATAGTGGTGTACTAATTTACACTCCCACCAACGGTGTATGAAGATTCTCTTTTCTCTACATCCTTGCCAGCATTTGTTATTGCTGGATGAAAGTCAGTCATTTTAATTGGGATAAGATCATATCTCATTGTAGTTTTAATCTGCACTTCGCTGATGATCAATGATGTTGCACACCTTTTTATATGCTTGTTTGCCATTTGTATGTCTTCTTTTGAGAAATGTCTACTCAAATTTTGTCCTCATTTTAAAGTCAGATGATTCTTTTTTTCCCATTGATTTGTTTGAGCTCCTTATATATTCTGATTATTAATCCCTTATCAGATGGGTAGTTTGCAAATATTTTCTTCCATTCTGTGGGTTGTCTCTTCCGTTTGTTGATTTTGCTGAGCAGACACTTTTTAACTTGATATGATGCCACATGTCCATTTTTGCTTTGGTTGCCTATGCTTGTTGGGTATTACTCAATAAATCTTTGCCTAGACCAACGTCCTGGAGAGTTTCCCCAATGTTTTCTTTTTGTAGATTCATAGTTTGACGTCTTAGATTTAAGTCTTTAATCAATTTTTCTTTCATTTTTGTATATGGCAAGAGATAGGGGTCTAGTTTCATTCTTCTGCTTATGGATATACAGCTTTCCCAGCACCATTGACTGAAGAGACTGTCCTTGCCCCAGTGCATGTTTTTGGCACTTTTGTTGAAGAAGATAGCTCAGGCCATTTTTGTTCTAATCAAAGTATTTAGTCTTTTAACAGCTTTCTTATCTGCTTGTTCATCTACATACTTTCTTTACTTTTAATTTCCCCCATCACTTGTTAATAATATGTCATGCTTTCAGTTTTGCTTTTGTAGTTCATCTTTTCTAAGACACATTAATCTCTATTTTTTCTTTAAAATTTGAGATCAGTTCAATGATTATGTCTTTCCTAAGTTATTCTTGGAATTAAAATTGCTTATATTTATCTCATTTATCATACCATTTCCTGATTTTTGACACTCTAATTTGGTATTATAAGTCAGACTATTAGTACTGTTTAATCATATTTTAATATTACACTGTCGATAGATTTGATCCTGTTCTTTATGAACATCAAAACAGAAATCAACTCTGACTTTGTGTTTTTGGTTCCTTGGCCTATTTTCTCACATGAAACAATGGCTTCTTCATTTTTCCAGTTAGCTTTTAATTCCAGCCCATATTTTAGCCTATTAATTTTCAAGTTGATTTTGCACTTTTAAAACAGAGTTGATACATTCTTATATTTTAAAGCACAAATCAGACTTATATAAATTTTTTTTTTACATTTTTTATCAGCTTCTTCCAAGTGTTTGCTATGCTTCTGAATCATGTAGGTAATAGAGGAAAAGATGAATGAAAGATGGCTCCTAGGTATTTGGTGGGGGTAATCTAGTGGACTGTTTTGCCGTTAGAACATTCCATTTTGGACACGTTAAATTCCTGATATCTCTTAGATAATCTTCTAGTGCCATCTAAAGTTTAAAGCTCACAAGAGTTCAAAGCTGGAGATGTAAATGTAGTTGTCACCTATATGTAGGTCCTACTAGAAACAACAAGACTTGAGTTTATCAGGGGAGGGTATAAAGAGAGAAGTAAAGATCTGGTCCTGAGGAATGCCAACATTTAGATTTGGGGTAGAAGAGGAAGGGTGTACAAAGAAGCAGAGAAGGAGCCAATAATGTAGGAAGAAAATGAGGAGATGATATATTACAGAATCCAAGAAAGGATTTTCCAAAGATTCAAGGAATCTGAAAAAGATTCTATAATAGGTTTCTGTTAAAGGCTACTCTTATTCATTTAGGTGTATCATTAAATTAGCCATTTAGATAATATAGATTTGCTAGAGTAAGTCAAATTCACTGAGCCACATATAAAATTGAACATAAGCTTGCTGGAATAAAGTGAACAGCCATCTAGTTGATGTTGGAATAGCAGGAAAAAAATTAACCTGCCTTATTTCCAGAATTCGTCATTCATCCTGTGAGAACAGGCAGCATCATGTTTTTGGACTGAAGGGTAGAGCAGTTGCGATAAGGATTTAAAAGACTTTATATTGTGTCCAAACAACTTCTACTCTTGAACAATGTATGGCTCATGCTTTAAGCTAGTTTAGAGAAAAGAAAGTTATTGAATGCTCAGAGAATCAGGCTTGGGGGATAAATAGGAAGAAAAACCAAAATGGTATTTTCTAGGACTCCTTCAGGCACAATTTCTGTGATGATGGGCACACGCCCCATAGTTTTCACTGAGCACAGTGACCTACATGGCTTCGAAATCCCCCAGCATTCCGGATTCTGAAAGCTTACTTTTTCTCTTCCAAGCTCTCTCTCCCTTTTCAATAAGATGGATTCAGTGCTGCATCTTTTCTTGTCTTGTTTTCTTCATTGAAATCTGTGTCTGTTTTGCCTCCTTGTGCCCTGATTGTAAGGGAGGTGGGGGAAGCAAGTTCTCTGGTTTCTATCTTGCACAGGTGGGTCTCACAGTCTGAAGAATTACCAAAGTACAGGATGGGTGTTCAAAAGATTCTGGAAATCCATAGATATGACAAATATAGAAAGTAGAGTGAACCCTAATAAGGTCACCTAAAGCTTCAATTGTGGGAAAACTAAAGACTGCTTAAGAAAATAGGTCCTGATGCAGTTCTGTAATCATTTTGTGATGTTTCCCCTCATGAGATTTTGAAACTAGGCTCTATCTTGCTAAAAAGAAAGAAAAACATTAATTTCTAAAGTTTGATTTTTCTAAGAACTTGAGAATAATAAATAAGCATGAGTCTTGTTTTTTCTAACTTGCCTTATGTGCATTTGCTTCTTTTATTTAGTTTTTTAAAATGTCACTGTCTGGAATGGACTCTGAGATGGTAATTTGAGTGCTGGAGGTTTTCTGGTGGTTCTCTTGGAAGGAAGAACTTTGGCACAACTTTGGGAGTGGTCATTCCCTGTGGCTGAGGGCAGTTCCTCTCAAGGGACATAAATGAGCTGTCAACAGCCAACACTCCTGACAGTTGGGTTGGGAGTGGGGAATGTACCTTGGTTCTACAGGGGAGATCTTGACAGTGTACCACAGAATCCTCTACAGTCTATCAAAATAAATCTGCTTATACAGATTATATAAGCAATTTATAGTGCATAGCTGCAAGTAGTCCATCAAGACTAGGAAGGAATGTCAAAGTTCTTGTTTAATCAGAACAAAAACATTGGAGGACTTATCTGCAGTGGTATAATCAGCAAGTTTCTCTTCTTTTTTTCTTGCTTGCTGTCACACCAATGAGAATTGAGTAGGTCAATGTGGTACCTAAATTTTAGCGCCACCTAACAATTTAATATGTCTTACTGCTCTGTATTCAGGTGTTCAATTCGTATTCTAGACTGACCAGTGGGTGGCATGATGCTTAGAGAAACTTTCTGGGACTCCTCTTTCTTATTACAGAATTGAGGTCATGTGATCTCCACTCACATGTCACTTTCCTACTCCATTAATAACATCATCATTAGCTCGAAAACATTCCTGATTGTTGTTGTAATGTTTGGAAAATTTTGAAATTTTAAACTTTAGGCTGAGAAGTTAGCTTTTACTTGGATAAGAATGGCTTATGTTTTCAGAAGTCCCTGTTGTTAGTTGCAGCAAAAGGGTAATTTCAAAAACTTATTTTATGCTTAATATTTTAAAAAAATCTTTTAGCGGCTCAACTAGAAAACAAACTCTGAAATTAGCATTCTTCTAACAGCAGCAGTCAGAGGTATTTATTGCATTTCCTGTGCCCAATTAGCAGCTAGTCTTCTAGGATAGTACAATTTTAGAGAAAGAAAATAACAAACATTTATTGAGCACCTATTATGAGGCAAAAACAATTAACTTGGTTCTCATAAGGAGGCTGTTTTGTGTTCACCTTGAAGAATCAGAATAAATTCTCACCTGGAATTTGGTTTGAATATTGAGGCTGATGACACGGAATACCAAGAACACTTGAGAGAAATGGGGGACTCCTAGAGGAAACTTGAAAGGCACAAGCAGGTCTGGGCTGGCTTAAGAAAAGTAAGAGTGGATTGGGCCATTATAGTGGCTAGCAGGTGGGACTGGGGTAAATTTTCTGCCAATTCTATAGGAGGAGTTGCATGCAGGTGCTTTCTTACCAGCCTGACCATATGTGGGGCAAAAGGAGGAGTGGGTGACGCTTAACAAAAAGTCAGTAGTCAAACATCAAAAATGGAGTCACACTCTATTACAGAGCTTGAAATGTATTTAGTGGGAGCTCCGTTTTAAAAAGGAGGTTGCTTAGGGGTCACACAGTCAGTGAATACTGGAGCAAGAAAGATTCAAAATCTGTGAAATTTCCAAATCCCATTTTATACATATATATGTGTATATATGTATATATGTATACATATGTGTGTATATATGTATATATGTATACATATGTGTGTATATATGTATATATGTATACATATGTGTGTATATATGTATATATGTATACATATGTGTGTATGTATATATAAATGCTCTATAAGGATTGTATATTTATATAAAAATTAACTATAATTATACATATTAATTGTATAATATATAACTTATATATATCTATAATTATATATAGAGAGCATTATATATATAATGTTCTATTAGAGTTTTTATATATATATGTAATACATTGCTGTATAAGGGTTGTATGCTTGATAGAAGAATTAGTGATGAATAAAACTATGGTTTCCAAAATGTGTGAGCATTTCTTGAACTATAAATCAGTATTTATTTATACTTTGTAAGTATAAATAAAGGAGTTTCATTTAAATAAGATTGGGAAATGCTGGGTTAAACCCATTAAACTGTTTTTTCTTTTTAAACAGAATTTATGCATTGTGAATCTTCAAGAGGAGCATGCAGAATGTCCCAATTTATTTGACCATGAAACACCCTTTTTCTTAGCAATACGCTTTTGGGAAATGCTGGGTTACACTAATTCCACTTGCTTTTATGTACATGGAATTAAGAGCCCTCCAGAAACATGATATCAATATGTAGATAATCCTACGTCTACTTTATTATTTACAAAATAATATAGCTATTCTTTTATGGAAAAGCAATTCATTTTTATTTTCTAATTTGCATAAATAAAAGGGTAGTCAAAAAGAACCTACAACCTTACGTTTGCAGATCACCATTAACACTTTGATGCAAATTCTTTCAGAAATTTAAAAAACATATATATTTATAATTACCAAAATATGAGATTATACTTTATTTTGTGTCCTGATTTTTCACTGAATAATCTATGATAGGTTTTTATTTCAAAACCATACACCCAGTAGATTATTTTTAATTATTGTTTAGATGTAATTTATTTAATTCATTCCATAGTGTTGAATATTTGCCTGCATTGTGACTATTAAAATCTTACCAGTGTTAAAAACAGTGGCTATAATAAACATTCCTGTTGCTAGGTCTTTACATATGTCCTTAAGAACATCTTTAGGATAAATCTTGGGGAAATTAATTAAACTTTGTCATTCTTCAGTTTTGTCAACTGTAAAATGGAACTTCTAATAGCATCTCTCTCAGAGAGCTGATAATGAGGGTTCAAATAAGTATTCTGTGTGTATGTTTAGATCACTGCCTAGCACTTACTCATCACTCAGGAGGTGTTGGTGATTATTATTTTATTGCCACACTTCGTAATTTGTAATCCTGCCTGGCTGTGCTCATCATTCTCTTGATTTACCTGGTTCTTCAGCAGCAGGTCAGCTGCACTGGCCCTCTCTCCCACAAGGCCATTTTCTGTGCCAAATTTAGCCTTGTCCTGTGTAAGTCCAAGTAAGTCCAAGGTCTTCAGAGGCCTGAAGAGGGAGATCTGGGGAAGTTGTGACTGTTATGGGACATACCTCAGCCTCACAAGAGTCAACAGAGACTGAGCCAATAGGATAACTCCCCAGTCAGTTCCCTATCATGATTTTTCCATTTCCCAACCCAACAACCCACAGATTTCCGAACTTATACCCTGGAAGGATAAGTATTAGGTGGGTGCCTTGCTTGCATTAGCCTCTTTCTTTGTAAAAGGAGAAATACGGTGTGTTTGTGAATACTTTTCTCATTGGTACAGAGTTCTCTTTTTCGCCACAACTGAAAAAACATAATTGGGGTGTGGAGTGAAAGGCCATTTTACCTTTAAAGCCCAGAACAATCCTGTGTTTGTTCTGGAATCTCTTCTTGTGAAATATCAGAGTTGGGGGGTCTGGGGTTGGGGCCCAGCAATTCTAGTTGTGATCAGGCTTGCTACACTGGAAACAAATGGAGGGCTGGCCCCAGGCTGGCTTTAACAAGGTGCCCTTTGGGTTGAAAAAGTCTCTTACTCACTCTCCTGGGATGACTTGTCAGAACACTGATGATGTAATCTCTCCTCTAGTGGCTCAGGTCCGCCTGGTAATCCTCTTCCCAGTGCCATTGTTTGATCAGCTTTGCTACAGCCCTTGTATTTATTCTTCCTTTAGACATAACTTCACAACATGGAGGAATTTGGATAGTGCCTCAAGTTTTTGGTCTAGCCCGTGTCTGAACTTACTTTAAACCACTTTAACACTGACCTGTTCGGCCTGGATTTGTCCCTTCAAGCTGCTGCCCCCCAGCCACCATATGACTTGTGGGAAGCCCCTCCTGTCTGAACAGAGGACCTCTTGCCTTTCTGTCCACTTGTGGTCATCCTGGCCCTTCCCCTCTTAGCTGGGAACTCTGTCCTGGGCATAAACGTTCAGCTATAGACATAGAACAACCTTAACCAGTGGCTCCAGTTCCCTTGGATCCTCCCTTTCACGCCTGCTACTCTGTGTATGATCATTTCATGCTATTTTTCCCCATGGCAGACTGGGTTAGATATCCACCTATGAGCCAGTAGTTGGTGGTCAGGGAAGCTGACAGTTTCAAATATGGCAATACCCGTGGGAATCATGTATGTGAGAGAGGGAGGAGAAGGGGGGAGTTCTGTGAAGAAGGGAGATGGTCCTTGGCAGATCATCCCTTATTGATCATTATAGTGATAAACTTTTAGATTGGCAGGAAAACAGGTGCTAGATATTAGTCATCTTTTGCTGCAGTAACAAACAACTCAATTATCAACAGAATAAAACTAAACACTTATTTCTTTCTGACATTACATGAAATCCACAAATTGGCTGTGATTGTGGAGACCTTTCCTGGCTTCCAGGCATCTTCTCATCCCAGGACTCAGGCTAAAGGAGTAGCCCCTATTTTTCATACTGCTCTTGTAGAAAAAGGCAAAAATGCAAGAGGCTAATCTGGCTGAATAAGCACATTTAAAGTTTCTGCTCACATGTGGCAAATCTCATGTTTGTCCACATTCCACTGTCCCACAGCAGTCATGTGGCCAACATGAGGGGAGGGGCCCAGGAGGACTGCAAGTAGAGTAAAGAAGTGTATCCTGCCAACTTGGGAGCACTCAATGTCATGTGGCAAAGGTTGTTGATGAGTGATCGTCATTATTCATTACAGGGGAGGGAGCAGGAGGTGTGAGTTAATGGGAGTAAGGGCAGGACAACGCATGGAGACTTTAAAATAACTTGGCACTTAAGGAAATGGAGTTGTGGTAAATTGTGAGGGTGGTAGATCAAAGTGGCGTATTTTTCCCCCAGTGGAGAATTTTCTGCACAGAGGTGCAAGAGAAGCCACAAGAGAGAATATAATAACTTAATACTTTTAGCCTACATTCATTGAGAGATTACTCTGTGTGGTCACTTTACATTTGTCAACAGTCTTCAAGAACTTCATGAGGCAGGTACTGTCATTATTTCTATTTTAGCAATGAGGACAATGAGGCTGATAATATATAACTTGCCTAGTCATAGAGCAAGTGAGTGACAAAGTTGGTATTTAAGCCTAGTGGATGGACTGTAAAGTCTTGATTTGTTTCTTATTTACTAGATAAAGGTGATAGGAACACCTCCTTTCGCCCACTCCCGCTACCCTGTACCTCCAATAAATCCAATAGGCATGTAGGTGGTATCTTGCATGTACTGGAGCAGATGGTAAACGTTTGATGTCATTGATCAGTCAGCTCACATAAACATTTGCCTTGAACCTGTGCTTTGGGTGTGCTACAAATGTTGCAGTGAATACTGGACCTTTGGTAGGATTTTTCTGCTTCTTGGCTAGATGTGGCCAAAGCAGCCAGAACTCCTAGCAATTGCATCCAGATGTTGCTTTTAGCTAGAAAACAAACAAAATTTACCTCGGTCTCTCTCTGGATCCAACAGAAGAAGTTTTGGGTTTACTGTACTCCTTGGTGGATTTGCTGACACATTTCTTTTTATTTAGGGCCAAATGTTCTGAAAGCAGAGCTTGCATTGTATTTGCCAAACATGCATAAGAACACAAACAAAACTCATGTTCCCAAGCCCCAAATAAATGCTTATTGTGCCTTAAATGTCTTTTGAAAACCATCCAGTGCCACAGTATGTAGGCTTTTTGAACAATTGTATATGCAGAGGATGTATATTCACAATTGCATGAATGTCTTTAATTGCCTTTGATTACATGGCACACTCTGTCCTGCCCTCTTAGAATAAGTGTTCTTTACGCACCAATGGCTTCCTAAATTTGAAATAGATTCCTCTGGAGTGGAATTTTGTACAATAAAATTTTCTAATTGGAGCTGGGGTGAAAGGAGAAGGAGAAAGGGAAGGGGACACCACATTCTACACAAATAAAGAAAAAATTCAAGTATAAATTGTTACATCCCACTGCTCGTCTCCCAAACAACTCTGTGGGCAGAGTAGAGTGGGCACATTGGCTGAGTTCCCTCTAGGTGGTGGACTTGTGCAGTCCTAAACAGCATCTAGTGTTTCTTGGAGTCTTGTGTAAATGTAGAATTCAAACGGGCTGATCATAGGCAAGACAGAAGAACATGTGGGGGGAGTGTATTTCATACCTTCCACTCATGTCACCATGGTCCCCAATATTCATCCCTATCATCCATGATGGGGACAGGGGTGAAAAAGACTTATAAGGAACCCAGGCTATCAGATTGTGGTAGTCCACATAGAATTGTTTGGATGGAGGCTGGACAGAATTTCCAAGATCTGACAAGTATTACTCCACACAGATGACAAAGAGTAATGGATTGGCTGTAGGTAATTTGTGGTCCTCATCAGAAGGCAATGGGAAGGATAACAACTTAGCACCATCTTGGTTTACTCAAAGCTCTTCTTTGCTGGTAATGCAAGCAATAGCTTGCTGTGGTTTACAAATTCTCCATTTTATCCTCTCTATTCCAAAAGTTTTCTTCCTCCTCCTTTCCCCAATGCTGTGTGTCTTTTAAAATTGTCTTTTAGGAAGAGAATGTTGCCCTCTATAAGAATGCAACCCCACTTTTCTGACCTGTGCTCTGGTGCATGGATTTTTTGGCTAACATGTGAGTATTTATAGTTTTTTTGGGGGAAGTTCTGTAGTGCGTAGGCCCAATCCAGTTGTTTGGACTTGGGGAATGAAGTTCAGTGGCTGCAAGTAGGCGGCATAGATTAATTCTTAGAAATATATGCCACTGCAATAACATACTATTTATTGAGCTGTGCACACAATGAGCCAAACACTGCATAAGTGACTCTTCAAACATTTTCTCCTCCAACAAATAGGAAAGATGCATATTACTATTCCATTTTAACCAATGAGGAGATTGTGAATCTGAATGTACCAGTAAATTCCCAGGCCTGAGAATGCAATTGGATATGTCTGACTCTGGAACATGTGATCTTTCTGATAACATCAGAAGGCTAGCCTGCATCATTATGAAATTTCCAAGGTCTTTTTTTTTCATGTCCCATTTTTCTTTTGGTTCATTTTCTCTTGTCCCCAGCGTTCAGTGATAGGTCCTATGTGATCCTCTAGCATGTCAAACCCAGATCTGACAGCGTTTGTTTATAATGTTACATTGCTGCTGTTGTTTCTTTTTTAGACGGCATTTCTGAAATTAGGATTTGGAGGTTAGTTCCATGTAGAGGAGCTATTCCCAAAGAGCCTTGCAAGGGTCTGGAGGTGCTGGAATAAGATTTTTCTAGCATTGGTTCTTATACAGTTTTGCTAGACAAAAATTAGGCCAAGTAAGACAATACTCTGCAAAGAGACTGCGTAGTAGACACTTTAGTGCCTCCCCCAGTTCCCCTGTGTTGTGCACCCATCTTCTCAGCTTCTGTGAACGTCAGCTGCTCATGTTTCACAGACACCCATCTTTTCTGGAAAGTTACCCTGGAATGAGGGAAACTATCTGGCCTGCAAAGTTATGGGGTATAAGCTTCTTTTCCTTCAGAAGGGATGCCTCTGAGGTGTGGATTTCTCTCCAGACCCCTCTATATATCAGGGCTAGACCAGACTATGCCTGAGACCACATTCTTGCTCAGCATCTTCCTCTTGCTCTTCCTACCATCCTTCCTTCACAGGTTTCTCATAAGAGTGCTTTCCCAGCAAACCACATGTACTTGATTCTTGTCTCAGGCTCTGCTTCTAGAGATGTTGACCTAAAATAGGCTGCTGATATCAGTCTGGTCTACTCTCAGCACAGAATCTTGAATTTGATAGCTAAGCAAGATCTATTTTATTTCCAACAGCTATCCCTAATTGTATTTGAAGGAGTTATTTAATAGATTTTGGAGACACTAAAAAGGCTATTTGAGAACAACTGAACCCACTTATAAAGTAACAACCGTATAGACTTTTCAAGAAAGTTGACTCAAACATAAGTAATCCAACAACTATGGATACCATGTAATGGGTCCGTGTACTAATTTCTGACCTTTTCCCCCTTGACTAGATAGATTTTCCCCCTTGACCAGATAGATTTTCCCCAAGGGCTTATTCTCTCTTGTCATCCAGTCTGCACTTTCTTTTCTTCCATTTGTCTGTGTTTTGCTGTGAGTAAATTGCTACTCTTGTCTCACACTATTTTTATTTTTTGCTGGCATGCAAGGAAAGTGGGGTTTTCATTTCAGAATGCTGAGTCTCAGTCTCTCCTTACATACTTGTTTGAAGCTTATTTTAAATATTTTTAAGTGCTAAGTCCTAAATATTTAATGTTGTGGAAATGCTTCTTTGTTTTGAGGTCTTTTGCTGTCTGCCTAGGGCCTGCATCTGTGTGCTGCAACTCTGTTATTTTGCTCTTCATTATACCCTGCCTTTTTCCTGAAATGATTCTGATCAGTGTCTGAGCTGAAAACAAATCCCTTTTGGGGATGAATCAGGGCACCACGACAATTCCTGTGTAACCTCACCAAACATCCACTCTTGTTGCAGATTAGAGGCTCTAACTGTTGAGTTACTTCATGTCCAATATACTTTGAGTAAATGATTTAGTCTGACATATATTCTTTGAAGTTTGTGGTTTCTGATAATGTTGCCCATAAAGGTTTTTAAGTCAGTTTTCCTTCTGAATATGTCGTTCTGAGTTTTACAAAGTGGGCCTTAAAATCCTTCAAGGAGGGGGAAAAGAGTAGAATCAGAAACTACTATTTATTGTATCTTCTTTTTGATATAGGAAAGCAATTATTGAGTTAGGCAATAGGTTGGAAAACTTCTTATTTGCAAGGTCTCTTCACCATCCCATATCCACTCAACCGATACTCACTGGCATACCTTTGTTCACACCATTCCCTCTGCTTGAATGCTTTCAGCTTTCTGTCTACTAAGCTACATTTCATTCGTGTTTCAAGATCATGTCCCACTGTCCTTAAAAAGTCTTTTTTAACTGTACTGTCCCATTCTTACATGACTTTACTGTCTTTTGAACTCCTAAAGCATTACTTGTACATGAATGGCAAATAGATGTCATTGCATATGCATACTCTGACTCCTGGTGGCTACCAACTATATTGTGTTGAGAAGATATTAAACTCAGGCTCTATCCAGGCTCATTGGGAAAAGGAAGTGGTATAAACTAAATGGTTGTGACCACCTCAAATTCGTATGTTGAAGCCTAATCCCCAATGTGATGATGTTAGGAAGTGGGCTTTTGGGGGTGGGGGCGGGTAATTAGATCATAAGGGATTAGAGCTCTTATAAAAAGAGACAGGGGAGAGCCTGTTTACAAGCCAGGAAATGACCCTTCCGAGACACTGGATCTGCTGGCACTTTGATCTTGGACTTCCCAGCCTCCAGAACTATGAGAAATAAATGTCTGTTGTTTAAGCTGCCCAGTCTATGGTATTTCTGATACAGCAGTCCTAACTAAGACAAAAAGTATGATTGATTGGGAATGTCTCCCATAGATATCAATGGTAGGAGTGGCCCTATGTTTGACATACTTGTTTTATACCGTTCATATAACAATTTTTAAAGTTATCGTTTAGAAACATAATCTATCTCTCTAGCTAGATTGCACATTCACTGAGCAAGTGGACCATCTACTTCTCTATAGCCACAGAGCTTAGCTTCTCACACAGAAGGTATTTGTCATAATGAACCATTAATGATTTGTACCACACAAATAATATCTATAGGCTCCGGCAGCTTCATTGTTCTTCAGATAGTTAAGAACTCCTCTTGGAGCTTCTCTTGAGTGCTTAACTTAAAACCAGGTGGAAATGCACAATTCAAAGAATCATAGGCATGAAACATGGTTTCACAATTAAAATTGAGAGAAAGAAGGTGAAGCTCCATTTGACTTAGAAACACTAAAAACACCCTTTCATTTACCTGTGGGAATTTTTGTTTTTAAAAATTTTCCATTGCAAACAATTATTTTCAAAAGGAAACCCCCTTATTAAAGTGGGCTTAAAACTTAAGTTGGATCCTTTCATGGAAAACTAATTATGAATTATATCTTTATTAAATACATATCCATAAACATGCAAAACTTTCCAGATTGGGAACATATTTCCCCACTAAATCTAAATCCTAGAAGAGTTTGCGTCATTAAGGGAAGAAAACGAGCATATATTCAAAGTCCAAATTCATTAAACAACTTAGAACAAGGGTCAATATATGAATGAACGATCTATTTGTTTAACTTTCAAAACATTTCTGAAGTTTCTGACGTACCATAGGGATTTCCATTTCTTCGGAGGTGAATAAGTAGAATAGTTATTACCAAGTCCTGGACCTCAACACTTGGTTTATTTATAATGAAAAAAAATCAGAAAATTGTGTGACAGCAATCAGCATGTGATCACTAGTGGAAAGTATAGAATTTACCTGAGGGTAATTTTCAGACTCATTCAGCAGCTTGAGAAGCCCAATAGACTATAAAGACAAGTTTTTAGAATGACATCTTCCAGTGAAGGAATTAACAGTACAATTTTTATTGTAATTGAAAGCCAAAAGGTACACATATAAAGTGTCTAATAGGTGTCAGGCATTGTGCCACACATTGCATACTTACAAAAATGAATAGTTCGACAGTAATTAGAAAGAGTATGGGTCTGACACTTCATTATTACGGATTCACATCTGGCAGTATAACTAATTGTAGAAGCCTGGGGAAGTTACTGATCTTTTCTGAGCCTCAGCTTCATTATCTATAATCTAATGATGTTGACTTCAAATGCTGTTATGTGAAATAGGTGAGATGAAATAGATCTAAAGACAACTGGGAGAGAAACAGAAGCTGCTTGTATAAGACTTAGGTGGGAAGCTGTCTGTTGTTGGGAGATAAAAGACTACATGATGTAGGATAGAAGCCTTTCTTGAAAAAGGAAGAATATATTAGAAGTTCTCCAGAGAAACCAAACCAACAGGATCTCTCTCTCTCTGCCTCTCTCTCTCTCTAACCAAATATATGATGGTGGTCTCATGAGATTATAATGAAGCTGAAAAATTTTCATTGCCTAGCCACATCGTAGCCATTGTAACATCATAGAGCAACACATTACTTATGTGTTTGTGGTGATGCTGGTATAAACAAACCTACTGTGCTAGCAGTCATATAAAGGTATAGCACATACAATTATGTACAGTACATAACTGATAATTATAATAAATGACTATGTTACTGGTTTCTATATTTACTGTACTATACATTTTATCATTATTATTAAGTATACTTTTTCTACTTACCAAAAAAGTGTAAAACAGCCTCAGGTAGGTCCTTCAGAAGTATTCCAGAAGAAGGCATTGTTATCCAAGGGAATGATGGCTCCATGCATGTTATTGCCCCAGAAGACCTTATTTCAGGGTGAAATAAGAATAGGGGTAGAAGACAATGACATTGATGATCCTGATGCTGTGTAGGCCTAGGCTAATGTATGTGTTTATGTATAACTTTTAAAAATGTATTGTTATTTTTAAATTTTTATTTTTATGGTTACATAGTAAGTGTACATATTTATGGTGTGCATGAGATGTTTTGATACAGGCATGCAATGTGTAATAATCACATCATGGAAAATGGGATATCCATCCCCTTAAGCATTTATCCTTATGTCACAAACAATCCAATTATATTCTTAGTTATTTTAAAATGTACAATGAAATTATAATGACTATAGTTATGCTGCTGTTCTATCAAATACTGGACCTTACTCATCAATTCTAACTCTTTTTGTTGTACCCTTTAACCATCCCCATCTGTCCACCACCCCCCTCACTACCCTTCCCAGTATCTGATAACTCCCCTTCTACTCTCTATCTCCATGAGTGCAATTGTTTTGATTTTTAGATCCCACAAATAAATGAGACCATGTGATATTTGTCTTTCTGTGTCTGGCTTATTTCACTTAACATAATGACCCCCAGTTCCATCCATGTTGTTGCAAATGACTGAATCTCATTCTTTTTAATGGCTAAATAGTAGTCCATTGTGTATATGTACCACATTTTCTTTATCCATTCATCTATTGATGGACACTCAAGTTGCTCCCAAAACTTGGCTATTGTGGACAGAGCTGCAACAAACATGGGAGTGCAGATATCTCTTCGATATACTGATTTCCTTTCTTTTGGGTATATACCTAGCAGGGGAATTGCTGGGTCGTCATATTTTTAGTTTTTTGAGAAACCTCCAAACTGTTCTTCATAGTGGTTATAATTAAATGTACATTCCCAGCAGTGTACTAGGGTTCTCTTTCCTTCATGTCCTCATCAGCATTTATTATCGCCAGTCTTTTGGATATAAGCCATTTTAACTGGAGTGAAATGATATCTCATTGTAGTTTTGATTCGCATTTCCATGATGATCAATGATGTTGAGCACCTTTTCATGTGTCTCTTTGCCATTGGTATGTATTCTTTTGAGAAATGTCTGTTCAAATGTTTTATCCATTGTTTAAATTGGATTATCAGATATTTTCCTATAGAGTTGTTTGAGCTTCTTATAGTAGTCTGGTTATTAATCCCTTGTCAGATGTGTAGTTTGTGAATATTTTCTCCAAGAATAGGAGAAATTGTTTGTCTCTTTATTTTATTGATTGTTTCCTTTGCTGTGCAGGAGTTTTTGACTTGTTGTGATCACATGTGTCCATTTTTACTTTGATTGCTTGTGCTTATGGGGTATTACTCAAGAAATCTTTGCCCAGACCAATGTCCTGGAGATTTTCCCCAATGTTTTTGTGAAGTAGCTTCATAGTTTGAGGTTTTATATTTAAGTCCTTAATCCATATTGATTTGATTTTTTGTATATGGTGAGACATAGGGGTCTAGTTTCATTCTTCTGCATATGGATATCCAGTTTTCCAAGTACCATTTATTGAAGAGACTGTCTTTTTCCCAGTGTATGTTCTTGGCACCTTTGTCAAAAATGAGTTCACTATAGGTGTGTGGATTTGTTTCTGGGTTCTCTATTCCGTTGCATTGGTCTATGTGTCTATTTTTATGCCAGTATCATGCTGTTTTGGTTACTATATCTTTGCAGTATACTTTGAAGTCAGGTAAAGTGATTCATCCAGTTTTGTTCTTTTTGCTTAGGATAGCTTTGGCTATCCTGAGTCTTTTATGGTTCTATATAAATTTCAGAATTGTATTTTTGTATTTCTGTGAAGAATGTCATTAGTATTTTGATAGGGATTTCATTGAATTTGTAGATCGTTTTGGGTAGTATGGACATTTTAACAATATTGATTTTTCTATTCCATGATCATGGAATATTTTTCCATTTTTGGTGTCCTCTTCATTTTCTTTTGTCAGTGTTTTGTAGTTTTCATTATAGAGATCTTTCACTCTTTTGATTAATTCCTAGCTATTTAATTGTTTGTGGCTATTGTGAATGGTATTAGTTTTTTGATTTGTTTTTCAGATTGTTCACTATTGGCATATAGAAATGCTGCTGATTTTTGTATGTTGATTTTGTATCCTGCAACTTGACTGAATTTGTTTATCCGTTCTAAGAGTTTTTTGTGGAGTCTTTAGGTTTTCCGAAATATAAGATTATATCATCTGCAAACAAGGATAATTTGACTTCTTCTTTTCCAGTTTGGATGCTCTTTTTATCTTTATCTTTTCTGATTGCTCTAGCTAGGACTTCAAGTATTATATTGAATAACAGTGGTGAAAATGGGAATCCTTGTCATGCTCCAGATCTTAGAGGAAAGGCTTTCAGCTTTTTCCCCATTTAATATGATACTAGCTGTGAGTAGGTCATATGCAGCTTTTATTGTGTTGAGGTATATTCCTTCTATACTCAGGTTTTGAGGGTTTTATCATGAAGGGATGTTGAATATTTTCAAATGTTTTCTCAGCATCAATTGAGATAATCTTTTTTTGGTCTTTCATTCTGTTGATATAATGTATCACATTGATTGATTTGTGTATGTTGAACCATCCTTGCATCCCAGGGATAAATTTCACTTGATTGTGATGAATGGTTTTTTAAATGTATTGTTGAATTTGGTTTGTGAATATTTTGTTGAGGATTTTTGCACCAACATTCATCAGGGATATTGGAATGTGGTTTTCTTTTTTTGATGGGTCTTTGTCTGGTTTTGGTGGTAGGGTAACACTGGCCTTGTAGGATGAGTTTGGAAGTATTCCCTCCTCACGATATTTTTCTGAATAGTTTGAGTAGGATTGGTGTTAGTACTTCTTTAAATGTTTAATAGAATTCAGCAGTGAAGCCATCAGGTCCTGGGCTTTTGTGTACTCAAGGACTTTTTGTTACAGCTTTAATCTCATTATTTGTTATTGGTCTGTTCGGATTTTTGATTTCTTCCTGGTTCAATCTTGTTAGGTTGTATGTTTCTAGGAGTTTGTCCATTTCCTCTAGATTTTCCAATTTATTGGCACATAGTTGCTCATTGTAGCCACTAATGATCCTTTGAATTTTTGAAGTATCAGTTGTAATGTCTCCTTTGTCATCTCTGATTTTCTTTATTTGTATCTTCTCCCTTTTTTCTTAGTCAGGCTAAAGGTCTGTCAATTTTGTTTAACTTTTCAAAAAACCAACTTTTTGTTTCATCGATTTTTTGTATTGTTTTCTTCATTTCAATTTCATTTATTTCTGCTCTGATCTTTATTCTCTATTTTCTTCAATTTTGTGTTTGGCTTGCTCTTGCTTTTCTAGTTCTTTAAGATGCATTGTTAGGTTGTTTATTTGAAGTTTTCCTTCTTTTCTAATGTAGGTATTTATGGCTGTAAATTTGCTTCTTATTACTGGCAAGGGAGTGTTTATCCTTGGGATAAATTTATCCCTGGGATGCAAGGATGGTTCAATATACACAAACACAGCATACCATAGGTGTTGGTATGTTGTGTTTCCATTATCATTGTTTCAATAAACTTTTCCATTTTCTCCTTAATTTCTTTATTGACCTACTGGTCATTCAGGAGCGTATTGTTTAATTTTGATTACGTGTATAGTTTCCAAAATGTATATTGTTATTGGTTTCTAGGTTTATTTCTTTGTGGTTGGAGAAGATGCTTGGTATTTTTTTTAATACTTTAAAACTTGTTTTGTGACCTAATATATAGTCTGTCCTTGAGAATGATCCACATGCTGAGAAAATAATGTGTATTCTGAAGCTGCTGAATGAAATGTTCTGTAGCTAGCTATTAGATCTATTTGGTCTATAGTGCAGATTAAGTTTGAGGTTTCTTTTTTGATTTACTGTCTGGAAGATCTGTTTAATGCTTAAAGTAGGGTGTTGAAGTCTCCAGCTACTACTGTATTGGGATCTCTCTCTCTCTCTTTAGCTCTGATAATATTGCTTTACATACCTGAGTGCTCCAGTATTGAGGGGATATATATTTAAAATTGTTATATCCTCTTGCTGGATTGACTCCTTTATCATTATATAGCGACCTTCTTTGTCTCTTCTTACAGTTCTTATCTTGAAATGTATTTTGTCTGATATAAGTATAGCTATTCCTGCTCTTTTTTTTTTCCCTTTATTCCATCCCTTTATTTTCAGTCTGTGTGTATCTTTATAAGTGAAGTGTGTTTTTAATAATCATTGGGTTTTGTTTATTATTTTAATCCATTTGGCCACTCCATATCTTTTGATTGATTGGAGAGTTTAGTCCATTGATATTCAATGTTATTATTGATAAGTAAGGACGTCTACCATTTTGTTATTTGTTTTCTGGTTGTTTTATGGTCTTCTCTTCCTTATTTCTTCCCTTCCTGTCTTTTTTTTTTTTTTTTTTTTTTTTGACAGAGTTTCGCTCTTGTGCCCAGGCTGGAGTGCAGTGGTGCAATCTCGGCTCACTGCAACCTCCGTCTCCCAGGTTCAAGCGATTCTACTGCCTCAGCCTCAGTAGCTGAGATTACAGGTGCCTGCCACCGCACCCAGCTAATTTTTGTATTTTTAGTAAAGACCGGGCTGGTCTCGAAATCCTGACCTCAGGTGATCCCACCTGCCTCGGCCTCCCAAAATGCTGGGATTAGAGGTGTGAGCCACTGTTCCTGGCCCCTGTCTTCTTTTTAGTGAAAGTGACTTTCTCTTGTGTTATGATTTAATTTTTTATTATTATTTTTATGGATTCATTGTATGTTTTAAAATTTGAGGTTACCATGAGGCTTGCAAATACTATCATATAACCCATTATTTTAAATTAATGACAACTTAATACTCATTGTATAAATAAACAAGCAAAAAGATAACTGGTAAAAATTCTGCACTTTATCCCCCAATTTTTAAATTTTTATTTTTTAATTTATATCTCATTGTACTCTTTGTTTCCAATTTTTTAAATTTTACTTTAAAATTTTAATCTATTTATGTATTTATTTATTTGGAGATTGTGTTAAAAGACTGGCTAATTTTTGTATTTTTGGTAGGGACAGGGTTTCACCATGTTGCCCAGGCTAGTCTTGAACTTCTGGACTCACATGATCCACCTGACTCAGCCTACCAAAGTGCTGGGAATACAGGTATGAGCCACCATGCCTAGCCAGTCATTGTACTCTCTTTGTCTTAAAAAGCTGTTGTAGTCATTATTTTTCATTGGTTCATCATTTAGTCTTTCTGCTTAAAATGAGTGGCTTACACGCCACAGTTACAGTGTTATAATATTCTGTGTTTTCTGCGTACTTGCTATTACCAGTGAGTTTTGTGCCTTCAGATTATTTCTTACTACTCATTAATGTCTTTTTCTTTCTGATTGAAGAACTCCTTCAACACTTCTTGTGTAGGATAGGTCTGGTGTTAATGAAATCCCTCAGCTTTTGTTTGTTTGGGAAAGTTTTTATTTCTTCTTCATGCTTGAAGGATATTTTTGCTGGATATAGTATTCCAGTGTAAAAGTTTTTTTCTTCAGCACTTTAAATATGTCATGCCACTCTCTCTTGGCCTGTAATATTTCCACTGAAAGTCTGCTTCCAGATGTATTAGAGCTCCATTTTATGTTATTTGTTTTATTTCTCTGTGTGCTTTTAAGATCCCTTTTTTATCTTTGACATTTGGGAGTTTGATCATCAAATACCTTGAGGTAGTCTTCTTTGGGTTAAATCTGCTTGGTATTCTATAACCTTCTTGAACTCAAATATTGATATCATTCTCTAGGTTTAGGAAGTTCTCTTTTATTATCCCTTTGAATAAATTTTCTACCCCCTATATCTTTCTCTGCCTCCACTTTCAGCCTAATAACTCTTAGATATGCCCTTTTGAGGCTATTTTCTAGATCTTGTAGGCATGCTTTTTTGTTTTTTATTGTTTTTCTTTTGTTTCCTCTGACTGTATTTTCAAATAGCATTTTTTCAAGCTCAGTAATTCTTCTGCTTGATCAATTCTGCTATTCAGAGACTCTGATGCATTCTTCAGTATGTCAATCACATTTTTCAACACCAGAATTTCTGTTTGATTCCTTTTAATTATTTCAATCTATTTTAAAAATTTATCTGATAAAATTCTGATTTTCTTCTCTATATTATCTTGAATTTCTTTGATTCTTCAAAACAGCTGGTTTGAATAATCTGTCTGAAAGGTCACATATCTCGGTTTCTCCAGGACTGGTCCTGGTGCCTTATTTAGTTCATTTGGTGAGGTCATGTTTTTCTGGGTGGTCTTGGTGCTAGTAGATGTTCTTTGGTGTGTGGGCATTGAAGAGTTAGGTGTTTATTGTAGTCTTCACTGTCTGGGCTTGTTTGTACCCATCCTTCTTGGGAAGGCTTTTCAGATATTTGAATGGACTTACGTGTTGTTTTATCTAAACAGTTTCTGCTTTAGGGACACTTGAAGCCCAGTAATGCTGTGGTTCTTGCAAAGTTGTAGAGATACCACTTTGGTGGTCTTGAATAAGATACAGAAAAATTCTATGAATTACTGGGCAAAGACTCTTGTTCTCTTCCCCTACTTTCTCTCAAACAAATGGAGTCTCTCTCTCTCTGTGCTGAGCTGCCTGGAGCTGAGGTCATGGGGACCCAAGCACTCCTTTGGTCACCACCACTGGGACCTCAGTGGTTCAGACCTGAGGCCAGCACATCATTTGGTTTTGCCCAAGGCCCAGTGTAACAACTATCTGACTGTAACCTTTGTTTGGTTAAGGCTCTAAGGCTCTACAATCAGGAGGTGGCAAAGCCAGTCAGATTTTTGCACTTCCCTTCAGGGCAGCAAGTTTTCCCAGCCTCTAGGTGGGTTCAGAGCTGCCATCTGGGAACCAGCGACTGGAGTCAAAAACCTTAAAAATATTCCTGATGTTCTATTATATTGTGGCTAAGCTGGCACTGTAACCATGGGACAAAGTCCTTTCCACTATTCCCTTCCTTTTCCATAGGCAGAGGAGCCTCAACCCATGGCCGCCACCACCACAGGCCCATGGGGAGTACTGCCAGACTACAGCTGATGTTATCTTCAGGCCCAATACCTCTTAAGTCAGCTTGTGGTGAATGCTCCCTGGCCTGGGAGTCACCCTTCAGGAAGTCTGCTCCTCTGGTCCAGGACAAGTCCAGAAATAGCATTCAAGACCCTAGGCTTTGATTTGGGGACCTCAAGAGCCCAATGGTTGCTCTATGATTGAGCTGGTACTTAAGGTACAAAACAAAGTCCTATTTACTTTTCCTTCCACTTTTGTCAAACAGAAGGAGTCTCTCCCTGCAGCAACCATAGCTGGGAGTGTGCTGGTTCTCACATGAAGTCAGGTCTTCTCAGTCTCATCCAAGGCCTATGGCATACTACCTGGGTATTGCTGCTGGTTATCCAAGGTTTCTTTAGTCAGCAGGTGGTGAATCCTGCAAGGACTAGGTCCTCCCTTTAAGACGTCTGTTTCCTTTTGGCCTAGGGTGTGTTTACATGTGTAATCCAGGAACTTGGGCCTGGAATGAGGGCCTCACAACTCTGTCTAGTGCCCTATATCCAAGATGCAAGGCAAAGTCCACTTTACTCTTTTCTCTCCTCTCTTCGAGCAGAAGTAAGGAGTTGCTTTTTTTATTGCTGCAAATTGCACTCCCTGGTATTGGGAGCGAGGTGGCACAAGCACTCCATTAGCCATCTGGCTGGTATCTCAGAAGGTCATGTGCCCTCCAAGTCCACTGGGTCTGAGCCCAGCACAGCACAAAGACTTGCATAGGAATTTTCGTCCTTGTGGCTTAGATTGCCTTTCAAGTTTATTTAGGACCCCAGAGCCCTGTGGCCCACAGTGGTGAGGCTTGCTGGTACTCTGAGTTCTGACCACTGGGATGGGTGATTCCCCTCTGGCTAGGGCTGGTCTAAATACTTCCACCATGGATGGGTGTCAGCTGAGTTTAGCCTGGTTTTGCTTTTATTAATAGTTGTGACAGGGCAGCACTGAGTTCAATGCAGGGTCCCACAATTACTGTACTCTCCCTTCCCCAAGCACATAGATTCTCCACATCACACGGCTGCTGCTGGAGGGATGGAGAAGGGTGGCATCAGCAATTCAAGACTGTCGTTCCTATCCTTTTCAGTACCTCTTTCAGCAATATAAAGTTAAAACCAGGTACTGTACTTGTTCACATGATTTTTGATTCTTATGAAGGTGCTTTTTTTGTGTAGATAGTTGTCAAATTTGGTGTTTCTATGGGGGAGCATGATTGGTGAAGGCTTCTATTTGGTCATCTTGCTCCACTTCCTCTTCCTAATAAACTCTTGACCAAGGTTCACACATACGAATGCTATTGATAAATAGGGCATGTCAGTAGAGGGAATCTGATTTTTTTTTAGTAGCATTTGCCATCTTTGTTTTTTCCTCTTAGGGTTTTCTCTTTTTATTTTGAAATAACTTCTGATTGCCACTACTATCTTTCATTCTTCTTCACTTCCAGGACTCTAATACATGCCTTCTTATTGAGGGCATTCTTGTGTTATAATCTGGTTAGGCCAGCAATCTTAGGTGGTCATTTTCAATAAGAATTAGTGAGAGGGTGCATAAAGAATGAGAAGGTTGACACTGATATTTTGGAGATGAGCAAAAATAAGTTGCTGAGGGAGGTAAAGTGGTAGAGGAAAAGATAATTGAAAGTAAGGCAAGGAACAGTGTGTCTATGACATTGACCGGATTTTCAGTCATGTTGAAATAACCAAGAACAATGACAAGAATTGAGAGGAAAACAATGAAATAAGAACGATGTCTGAGGAGTTAGGAGGTGGCTGTAGGATGTGGGAACAGCAGATGACATAGGCTTTGAGCATGCATCTCAAAGGAGCTGAGGTTTTTGGAAGTGAAGAGAGGAAAAAGTTCTGGAAATAGCAATGAGGATCTGGAAGGACATGTGTCAACCTCATTCTGCTCATACAGAGTCACTTAAGCTGTGGGATAAAAACAGCAGTCTCATGAGAGGACAGGAAAAGAAGCAGTGTCCTTGGGTTCAGCCAGGTGTCAGCTGGTACAAGAAGCTGAATGAAACTTTAGCCCGTAACTTTCCCATAATGTTAACAGTTTCTCCTAGTTTGGCACTTGCCACAAAATTGAAATAGAATATTAAATCCATTTTAATATGGAACAGCTACAATTTCCAGTTATCAAAAAATGTTGATAAAGATACAGACATCAGGTCTAAGGCACCAACTTATTAGTTGTACAAATTTCCAGGAACTCTTTTTATCCATGATGAAAAGCCTAAATTAGAGTTGTTTTGAGTGAATGTTCAAAAGAGAATTACTCCTCTATCATATTGAAGACTCTTGCATATATATATGCATATATATGTGCATATATACATATATGAATATGTATTTTATATATTCATATATATATATACATGTATACATATACGAATACATATATGAATATATATATACATATATTCACTTAGAGGTTTTTATTTTTGTTAGAATGTAACTTTTACATCAAATGCGTATTGATTTTATTTTCTGAAAAAGTATTAGAACTAAAGCATTTTAATTTCTATTTTTTTGGGGGAAGCCAGTTTTTTTAAACATCAAGTTTTGGCCTATATATCCTTTCTTTTCCTTTTTTTGTAACATTGCAATTCAATCACACAGAAATGTTGAAAGTTTGAGAATCCCTGTAAATGGTAAGAAAAAGGATCAGTGTCCTACAGGGACACAGACACAAGGCTAGCACCTGCTTGTGAGAGTTGGCAGGTGTGCTGCAGGTTTTTCTGGGTCATGTTCAAGAGAATAATTGGCATTCACATGTCCATAGGCTACGGGTTTTCCTTCTAGTTGTTGAAATATCAGAATAGTTGTGGGCCCCAGAGACTGAATGAGATTGTTAGTCATCAGTGACCCCACAGTAACAGCAGAACTTGCTTAATTAGAAAATCATGGGCACTTATGTAGTTTGTATTTTCTTATTGAAGAAGTTTCTTCAATAGAAATAACTTACTAAAAATCATCCAAAACAAAACCAGGTTCCTGGTATCCCCAATTCAATCTCACTCCCTTCAATGAAGGACAGCTTGGGAGCTAAAGTGGAACAGAAATATGAGACAGATTTTCAATATGGTACCACAGGAAACCCTACCATTCCTTTAATTCTAGAAAACTACTCAACTTCAGAGAGTTGGCCCAATAATGACTTGATTGCTTTACAAAGTGAGATGAGCTCACACATAAAACACAAAGTAAACATTCAGGACAATGCTCTTGGTGTTATAGTACATCATGAATAGGAATGAAATAGAATTTACCAATAATAAAAGGCTCTTGGGTAGAAGGACTAAATGACAGGCATTATGCCTTTCAGACCAGGGTTCCCAGTATAGTAAACTCTCAAATGAAAGTAGAAATTTCTAGAAAACTGACTTTCACTAAAAATGCAGTTTATGGGAAAATAGCAACTTTTTTTTTTCTTCTGTGGTCTTGATTGCTCTAAAACATACTGTGGCAAGGGTCTCAGTTTTGTATGAACCTCCTTTAAGAAATAATTTAGAGTCATAGACCATTAGAATGAGTTAAAAGCAACCCTAGTAAACCCTATTTATGTTCAGATGCTCCTTGACTTATGATGGGATTATGTCCTTATAAATCCAATTGTTGTGGGAAGTCAGGGACCCTGAACAGAGGGACTGGCTGAAGTCATGGCAGAAGAACATAAATTGTGAAGATTTCATGGACATTTATTAGTTCCCCAAATTAATACTTTTATGATTTCTTATGCCTGTCTTTACTGCAATCTCTGAACATAAATTGTGAAGATTTCATGGACATTTATCACTTCCCCAATCAATACTCTTATGATTTCCTCTGCCTGTCTTTACTTTAATCTCTTAATCCTGTCATCTTCATAAGATGAGGAGGATGTATGTCACCTCAGGATCCTGTGATGATTGCATTAACTGTACAAATTGTTTAAGCAATATGAAATCTGGGCATCTTGAAAAAAGAACAGGATAACAGCGATGTTCAGGGAACAAAGGAGATAACCACTAGGTCTGGCTGCCTGAGAGCTGGGCAGAACAGAGCCATATATCTCTTCTTTCAAAAGCAAATAGGAGAAATATCACTGAATTCTTTTTCTCAGCAAAGAACATCCCTGAGGAGAATGCTTTCCCAAGGGGAGGTCTCCAAAATGGCTGCTTTGGGAACGTCTGTCTTTTATGGTTGTAGATAAGGGATATAAGGGATGAAATAAGCCCCGGTCTCCCAGAGTGCTCCCAGGTTTATTAGGACGAGGAAATTCTCTCCTAATAAATTTTGGTCAGACAGGTTGTCTGCTCTCAAACCCTGTCTCCTGATAAGATGTTATCAATAACAATGCATGCCCAAAACTTCATTAGCAATTTTAATTTCGCCCCAGTCCTGTGATCTCGTCCTGCCTCCATTTGCCTTGTGATATTTTATTACCTTGTGAAGCATGTGATCTCTGTGACCCACACCCTATTTGTACACTCCCTCCCCTTTTGAAAATCACTAATAAAAACTTGCTGGTTTTGTGGCTTTGGGGGCATCACGGAACCTGCTGACATGTGATGTCTGACCTGGACATCCAGCTTTAAAATTTCTCTCTTTTGTACCTTTTCCCTTTATTTCTCAGACCAGCCGACGCTTAGGGAAAATAGAAAAGGACTCACTTTGAATATTGGGGGCTGGTTTCCCCCGATACACAATAAGTTTATAACTTGAAAATATCATAAGCCAAAAATGTATTTAGTATGTCTAACCTACTGAATATCATAGCTCTGCCCAGCCTACCTTAAATGTGCTCAGAACGTTACATCCTTAGCATGGTTAACTGGCGTCAGTGGTGCTGCCCCACATTACCAGGAAATATTATACTGCAGCCTGGGAAAATAGCAAAATTCCAAATTCAATGTTCAGGCTCTACTGAATGTGTATCACTTTCATGTCATTGTAAAGTTGCATAGTTGAGTTATTGGAAGTTGGGGACTCTTTGTATCGGTAAATGAGAGTCCATTTGTTAATGGTAGAACTGGAAAGAGAACTCCATCTTTTTGCCTTTTCTCCTCAGTCACCTCCTTCTTCTTCACAGCCCAGAGTGTTTTCTCTTCTAGCTTGGATGTTTTATCACTTTAGTTCAATGTTGAAGCAAAGTTAAACATGATACTATATTTCTGCTTATAGAAATAGAAGTAACTTCTGTTTCAAGAAGTCAATTTGAAGGCAAATACATATAAATGGGAACATAAGAGTGATTTTGCATCTATAGATACAGCCTTTTTGAAAGGCAAGAAGACAGAAATAATCAGTTATCACATATGAAATGTTCTTAAATTGTGTATTACAACTTTTAGGAAAGAAAATAGAAATGTGATCTGTTTACCAGGTTTCAATTTCCATATAGCTTTAAACTGTTTTGAAAAATAAACTTCTAAAAGCCAATGTAAGTTTAAAATGTCGTAAATCAAAAATGTATTGAGAAGGCAGACCTTTCTCTGCATTTGCTACTCAGGTTATCATATGATTATATGTTTTGGAGCAAATAGATTGTACTATAAGTGTGGGTGAGCTCTATCTGAATTGCTGGAAATTCTCTTAAAGCTTTATTTGAAAAATATACTGTAAAGATAAAGACTTAAAAGTTTACTTATTCTGTATATTTGTAATTTTGTGTATTAATCCCTGTCAAAATTCTTATAGAAGACTCATTTTTAAAGAGTAATAATTGTAACAGTTTATAATTATTGAGCTTGTGCTGCATCTTTTATGTTTTAGAGGCTTTCTTGGGAGATTCCAAATAGTTAGGTTTTATTGTAAATATTCTTTCTCATTTTACAAATTCACTTTTCTTTCACTAGCTACATTAGTTATAAAACAAAGGAAATCATCCTGGTTTTCTAAGCATCTGGCTTATATTATTACTCATCAAAGGAACAGGTAATCAGTTTTTTCCAAGAATAGTTAAGAATACTTCAGAAATGTAGACAGAAAAGAAAAGAAGAATTCCAAGCCTCTTGAATTTTCATCTTCATTACAGAGCAAACAAACCTTCATACTTCTATAATGTTATAAAATCATTCATAGCACAAATGTAAACTGATGTGTTCCTTTAGACCAGAGGATGAGTTATAAAACACCTGTTTTTTATTATGCACTATTTTTCAGAAAGATGATTAATTTTTAATGAAATTGTGGGTTGATCAAATAGAGAAGTGAGGACATGGCTATGGACAAAAATAACCCCTAAGCTATGTTGACTCAGTATTGGGAGATCAGTGAGGAATCTTCACAACCCTTGAATACTAGGATGCTCTGATGGATTAGAGTAAATCTAAAGGGCATGAATGTAATGAGCTCTCTACAAAAAGTAGCTTAAACATTGGCCTATCTTCTAGTATTAACACATCTAAAGAGGCAGTCAGAGAGCTAGAAAGCATCTGCAAGGTCTGGAAGAGGGGTTCTGAGAGGAAGCTTTGTCTAAGCACAAGTGTTCTAGTCTGCTTGGCTACTCTGCTGCTCTTAGAGATGTGAGCATCAGGAATTGGGATTGGTTCCAAATCCCAATTCTATTTTCCCTGCTTTTCTTTGTATTATACAACCTTATGGCTATAATTTATACTGCCATGCAAATTTGCATGTGTGGTAAGATGTATCTAACTGTGAATATAAATAATATTAATTTTAGCAGTCACCATTTATAGAAAGCTTGCCATTGTACAGTATTATGTCAAGCACTTAATATATATTATCCTAATTGTTCTAGTACATTTGTGCTGCTATAACAAAATACCCTAGATCGGAGACTGAGTAATTTATAAAGAACAGAAATTTATTTTCTTACAGTTTAGGAGCTGGGAAGTCCAAGATTATGGCACCAGAAGATTCCGTGTCTGGTGAGGGCCTGATCTCTTTGTCTCCAAGATGTTGCCTTGTTGTTACATCCTCTGGAGGGGACAAATGCTGTGTCCTTACATGAAGGCAGAAGGCAAAAGGACTGATTCCCTTCAGCCATTTTATAAGGTCATTAATCCCATTAATGAAGGCTCTATCCTCATGGCTTAATCAGCTCTCAAAGGCCTATTTCATAATATTGTCACATTGACACTTAAGTTTCAACATATAAATCTTGGGGGACACATTCATATCATAGCCCTAATTTATCCCATATCAACCTTCTAAGAAAGGTATTTTTGATGTCCCCATTTCACTTTGGAGTCATTAAATGTGTGAATGAGAACAAAGAGTTTCTTCCCCTTGCATCAATATTCCCTCCTTCGTTCTGATCTGATTTTTTATATTTAAGAACCCAGCATCCAAAAGGCTTATTTCTGGAGTTTTCATTGCCAGGATCAGAAATGGTGTTGGCAGAGCCCTAGCCTCCTGGCAGTCCTCCCTTCTGGAAAAAGCTGTATGAGACTAACGATGTTGGGTGGTGGGTAAGCACTCCTGCCAACACTTGTAAACATTGCCTAGGCCCACTGAGCAATATCCAGTGGGCCTGCCTGGGGGCTTTTTCTCTCATCAGCCATAGCCCCTTCACAGTCACTCCTTCATGCTGACCTCATTCTTCAGAGGATGTCTAACATGGCATAAAAGTGATGAGTTCCTCAGCCCGATCTTCAACCTTGTAATTACCGAGCTGTCTGTGCCTATGAATAGATTTGAAACTCAAGGCTATGGTCTGAATGTTTGTATCTCCTTCAAATTCATATGGTGATACCTGATCCGCAATGTAATATATTAAGAGGTGGAGCCTTTAGGAGTCAATTAGGTCATGAGGGATCTTCCCTCATGAATGGAATGAGTGTCCTTATAAAAGAGGCTTGAGGGAGACTGTTTACCCTTTCTACCACATGAGGACACAGCAAAAAGGTGCCATCTGTGAGGAATGGGCCCATCACCAGACACTGAATCTAGTGGTGCTTTGGTCTTAGGCTGCACAGCCTCCAAAACTATAAGCAATAAATTCCGTTGTTTATAAATTATCCAGTCTAAGGTATTTTGTTATAGCAGTCTGAACATGCTAATACAGAAATTGATGCTGAGGAGTGAGGTGCTTCTGTAACAAATACCTAAAAATGTGGAAGCAGCTTTAGAAATGTTAATGGATAGATGCCGGAAGAGTTCTGAGATGCATGCTAGAAAAAGCCTATATTCCTGTGAATGGATCATAAAGAACAATTCTGGTGAGGGCTCAGAAGAGAGGAGAGCTGTGGAGAAAGCCTTAATCTTCTTAGAGGTTATGTAAGATGTTGTAAACAGTGTTCATAGAAATATGGACACAGAGTCCATTCCAATGAAGTTTCAGATAAAAATGAGGAATGTGTTACTGGATAGTGAAGGAAAGGTGATCTTTGTTATAAAGTGGCAAAAAACTTGGCTGAACTGTATTCATGTCCTAGTGTTTTGTGGAAGGTAGAACCTCAGAGAAACAAAATAAGGTATTTGGTGGAAGAAATGTCTAAACTAAGTGTGGAGGGTGTGGCATGGCTTTTCTTGACCTCTTCAAGTAAAACGCAAGAAGAGAGAAACAAGTTAAAGACAGAACTTAAAATTAAGGGAAGTAGAACTTAAAGATTTGGAAATTTCTTAGCCTGGCTATGTTTTAAAGAATAAAAAACATGCTTGGGAGAGAACACCAAGGATGTGGCCAAGCTACCCTTTGCTAAAATTAGTATGAATAGAAGGAAGTCAGATATTATTCATCAATTCAATGGAATGATGGCCATGAAGGCATTTCAAAGATCATCAGGCCTGTTACTCCCATCACAGGCCCAGATTACCAAAACCTGGGGGACAGAATGATGTTAAAAGAGGTATCTCAGGTGCCCAAGGCACCTCATAGCTTGCTGCCCTATGCAACCTCAAGTCTCTGCTCCCCACATTTTGGCACAGCACTCTGACCACCCCAGGTGTGGCTCAAGCAGGTCCAGATATGGCTCAGATTGCCCCTCTGGATGGCATAGGTGGCAAATCTATGTTTACCATAGGTGTCCAAGCAGTGCCATTTCCATAAGTGTGCAGAGTGCATGAGCTGTGGGGGCATGGCTTCCTCCACCTAGATTTCAAAGAATGCTTGGGAGAGCCTTGGGTCCCAGGCAGAGAACTTCTGCTGGGATGGGGCCACCACACCATTGCACCACTGGAGCAATACCTACTGGAACATGAGGGTGGGGCAACTGAAGAAAGCTCCCACTAGGGCAATGCCTTGTGGCGCTGTCAGGGTGTGGCAGCTTTCAATATCTCAGACTGTTAGAACCACTAAAGTGTGATTCCAGCCTGGGAGAATCATGGGTACTTGATATGGTTTGGCTGTGTCCCTACCCAAATCTCACCTTGAATTCTAATAATCCCCACATATCAAGGGTGGGGCCAGGTGGAGATAATTAAATAATGGAGGCAGTTTATCTCGTACTATTCTTGTGGTAGTGAATAAGTCTCATGAGGTCTGATGGTTTTATAAATGGGAGTTCCTCTGCACAAGCTCTCTTGCCTGCCACCATGTAAAACGTGACTTTGCTCCTCAGTCACCTTCTGCCATGATTGTGAGGCCTCCCCAGCCATGTGAAACTGTGTGTCAATTAAACTTCTTTCCTTTATAAATTACCCAGTCTTAGGTATGTCTTTATTAGAAGCATGAGAACAGACTAATATAGTACTTGATTTCAACCTGTGATAGATGCAGTGTGGATGTCACCTGGCAAAACCATGGTAGTGGGATCATCTATAGTTCACAGGAGCCCACTCCTTTCTTTATTGTGTCCTGAAGGAAGAATATGGAATTAAAGAAGATTATTGTCAAGGGTTAGGATTAAATGTTTTCCCTAGTGGGCTTTAGATTTGGTCAGGTAGTGGGTAGAAGTCCAAGTTCCCCATTTAGTCTTAACTGACACATTGGTTGGAGTGGTAGGCCTCATTACAGGTTGGAGGGAATACAAGTCCTACCTCCATACTTGGTATTCCATTCTTCTTTCCTATTTCTCTATTTTGGAATGACAATGTCTAACCTATGCCTGCCCCACCATTGTATTTTGGAAGGACGTAACTTGTTTGATTTCACAGGCTCATAGCTGGAGTGGAATTTGCCTCAGGATGAATCACACCCTTGAGTCTCACTCATATAAGATTTATATAATATTTAAATGAGACTCTGGGCTTTTAGACTTTTGAGTTGGTGCTTTGGGAACTTTTAGGATGTAATGGATGTATTTTGCACATGAGAAATACATAAATGTATGGTCTGAATGTTTGTGCTCCCCAAACAAAATTATACTTTGATACCCAATCCACAGTTCAATAGTCTTAAGAGGTAGAACTGTTAAAAGGAGGAAATTAGGTCATGAGGGTGGAGTCCTCATAAGTGGGATTACTTATTTCATAAAAGAGACTTGAGAGAGCCTATTTGCTTTCTCTACCATGTGAAGACACAACAAGAAAGTGCCATCTATAAGAAACAGGCCCTCACTAGATACTGAATCTACTTGTGCATTAATCTTGGACTTGCCAGCCTTCAGAACTGTAAGCAACAAATCCTGTTGCTTTTAAATTACTTAGTGTAAGGTATTTTGTTATAGCAGCCAAAATGGACAAAGACACTCAAAAAATTAGAAAAATGATTGAGATGAAGTAGGGGATCAGATACTCTCAAAGTGACAAATGTTCTTATTGGTCTTTTAAAAAAATTGATACTATGTTAATAATACCATGAAAATCCCTAGATTTATGCTTCTGGGAAGATGAAGTAGACATACTTCTCTCTGTTGCTCTCACCAAGTACAAATAAAACACTGCACATTTATATAAAATAAACATAAGAAGGTACTGGAAAATAGGAGAAGGTAGAATAGCTAGAGACCTCAGCACCTGAGAAACAATGTTGTAGTAAGTTATTTGGGTCTCATTTTTGCCTCACATATCTATAACTTGGAGATGAAGAATCTGGCAACCTGGAAACACCAATGGGTTCATATTTACCCAAATGAATGTCTTCTCTCTATATCCAAAAGACAAGAGGCATCCCAGCAAGATAGAGCACTTTTTAGATAATAACTGTTATACTCCAGCCAAATTTCACAGAAAAAACTGTGGCTCAACCTCCATTTCCACCAGCAAAGGCTGAGTGGGTAGGCTATACTTTTCCATATGTGAGCCTGTAATAAAGAACTCCAATACCCCTGTCTGGGTAGTGTAAGAGAAGACCAAGTATGGAGGTGGGACTTTCATTCCTTCTAGCCTGTAATGAGGCCCATTCCTTCAATCACAATATCAGTTAAGACTAATTGGGGATCCTGGACTTCCACCCTAACCTGGCCATGATGACTTGTCTTTTCCTTTTCCTGCTGGGATGGTGTTAGAGGAAGCCTAGTGAAGAGTCAGGACTTTAACTATCACCCAGAAAGAGACACCACAAGCACTGTGGCATCAGTGGATCAAGTGGGGAGTTGGAATACTTAGCCTTGCCAAGAAATAACAAGGAGCCAATGGAAGCTGAGTGGGGAACCCAGCTTTCTACTTTCATTTGTCAGCAATGAGGTGATGCTCTATTTTCCCCTGCCAGGGTCAGAAAGAAAACAGCTTAAACAGAGGTTTAAATAAAATCTAGAGTCTCATAACGTAATACAAAAATGTCCAGGTTTCAACTGAAAATCTTTTGTCATACCAAGAATCAGGAATATCTCAAACTGAATAAAAAAGACAATGAATAGATGCCAACACAAAGAAAACAAATGTTAGAATTATCTGAGAAATATTTTAAAACAGCCACGATAAAATTCTTCAATGAGCAATTATGAATATAATTGAAACAAGTCAAAAAATTAGACTCAGCAAAGAAGTGAAAAAACCTCAGAAATAGAAGATATAACTCAACTATATGTTGTCTACAAGAAACTCACTTCAAATATAATGATACAGGGAAGTTGAAAGTAAAAGAATGGAAAAAGGTATATCATGCAAACATTATTCAAAGGAAAGTTGGATTATATTAGTATAGGACAAAGTAGACTGTAGAACAAAGAAAATTACCAGAAATAGAGAAGGACATCATACAATGATAAAATGATCAATCCATCAAGAAGATACAGCAACCCCAAATGCATATAAACTAAATATATAAACTGTATACATATCTCTGTTTCTACCTTTATCCATCTATCTCTATCAAATATATATAATTATAGTTGTGGACTTCAAATCTCTCTCTCAACAATTGATAGGACAAACATACAGAAAATCACCAAGAATAGAGAATAACTCAACATCATTATCAACCAACAGAATCAAATGGGTATTTATAGAGTACTCCACCCAACAATACCAGAATAAACATTCTTTTCAAGTGCCCATACAACATATACCAAAGTAGGCCCTATCCTAGACTATAAAACAAACCTCAACAAATTAAAAGTAATTAAAATCATACAGAATGTGTTCTCTAGCTATAATGGAATCAAACTAGAAATTAATCACTTTAAGATAACAGGAAAATTTTCAATTACTGGAAAACTAAACAGCACATTTCTAAATCATCCATGGGCCAAAGAAGTCTCAAGAAAACAAAACAAAATACATTGAACTAATGAAAATGAAAACACAATGCAGCAACAAATGTTGGACACAGCTAAAGCAATGTCAGATGGAAATTTATGGCACTAAATGCAAAATTTATTTAAAAAAAGAAGGGGAGAGGTGGGCATGGTGGGTCATGCCTATAATCCCAGCACTTTGAGAGGCTGAGGTGGGGGTGGATCACGAGGTCAAGAGATCAAGACCATCCTGGCCAAGGTGGTGAAACCCTGTCTCTACTAAAAATACAAATATTAGTTGGGTGTGGTGGTGCTCACCTGTAGTCCTACCTATTCTGGGGCCTGAGGCAGGAGAATCACTTGAACCTGGGAGGCGGAGGTTGCAGTGAGCCGAGATCATGCCACTTCACTCCAGCCTGGTGACAGAGTGAGACTCCGTCTCAAAGGAAAAAAAAAAAAAGGAAATCTCAAGTCAATAATCCAATTCTCGCCTCAAGAATCTAAAGAATGAAGAGAAAAATAAACCCAAATAAAAGGAAGGAAATAATAAAGATAAGAGCAGAAACTCATGAAACTGAAAATAGAAACACATTAAGGAAAATCATTTCCAGTCTTCTGCATTTTCTGAGGAGTGTTTCACTTCCAATTATGTGATCAATCATTGAATAAGTGAGATGTTGTGCTGAGAAGAGTGTGTATTCTGTTGATTTGGGGTGGAGAGTTCTGCAGATGTCTATTAGGTCTGCTTGGTCCAGAGCTGAGTTCAAGTCCTGAATGTTCTTGTTAATCTTCTGTCTTGTTGATCTGTCTAATATTGACAGTGGGTTGTTAAAGTCGCCCAGTATTATTGTATGAGAGTCTAAGTCTCTTTGTAGGTCTCTAAGAACTTGCTTTATGAATCTGGGTGCTCCTGTATTGGGTGCATATATATTTAGGCTAGTTAGCTCTTCTCGTTGCATTGACCCCTTTACCATTATGTAATGCCATTCATTGTCTCTCTTGATCATTGTTGATGTAAAGCCTGTTTTATCAGAGACTAGGATTGCAACCCCTGCTTTTTTTTGCTTTCCATTTGCCTGGTAGATCTTCCTCCATCCCTTTATTTTGAGCCTATGTGTGTCTTTGCACATGAGATGGGTCTCCTGAATGTGTTAATATTGTTATGTGTGAATTTGATCCTGTCATTATGATGTTAGCTGGTTATTTTGCTTGTTAGTTGATGCAGTTTCTTCATAGCATCGATGGTCTTTACAATTTGGTGTGTTTTTGCAGTGGCTGGTACCAGTTGTTCCTTTCCATGTTCAGTGCTTCTTTCAGGAGCTCTTGTAAGGCAGGCCTGGTGGTGACAAAATCTGTCAGCATTTGCTTGTCTGTAAAGGATTTTATTTCACCTTCACTTATGAAGCTTAGTTTGGCTGGATATGAATTTCTGGGTTGAAAATTCTTTTCTTTAAGAATGTTGAATATTGGCCCCCATTCTCTTCTGGCTTGTAGGGTTTCTGCAGAGAGATCCACTATTAGTCGGATGGACTTCCCTTTGTGTGTAACCCAACCTTTCTCTCTGGATGCCATTAACATTTTTTCCTTCATTTCAACCTTGGTGAATCTGACAATTATGTGTCTTGGGGTTGCTCTTCTCGAGGAGTATCTTTTTGGTGTTCTCTGTATTTCTTGAATTTGAATGTTGGCCTGCCTTGCTAGGTTGGCGAAGTTCTCCTGGATAATATCCTGAAGAGTGTTTTCCAACTTGGTTCCATCACTTTCAGGATCCCTTCCTTACACCTTATACAATAATTAACTCAAGATGGATTAAAAACTGAAATGTAAGACCTAAAACCATAAAAACCCTAGAAGAAAACATAGGCAATACCATTCAGGACGTAGGTATGAGCAAAGACTTCAGGACTCAAATACCAAAAGCAATGGCAACAAAAGTCAAAATTAACAAATGGGATCTAGTTAAACTAAAGAGTTTCTGCACAGCAAAAGAAACTACCATCAGAGTGAACAGGCAACCTACAGAATGGAAGAAAATTTTTGCAATCTATCCATCTGACAAACGGCTAATATCCAGAATCTACAAATAAGTTAAACAAATTAATAAGAACAAAACAAACAACCTCATCAAAAAGTGGAAGAACAAACAGTTCTCAAAAGAAGACATTTATGCAGCCAACAGACACATGAAAAAATGCTCATTATCACCGGTCATCAGAGAAATGCAAATCAAAACCACAATGAGATACCATCTCATGCCAGTTAGAATGGCAATTATTAAAAAGTTAGGAAACAACATATGCTGGAGATGTTGTGGAGAAATAGGAACACTTTTATACTGTTGGTGGGAGTGTAAATTAGTTCAACCATTGTGGAAGACAGTGTGGTGATTCCTCAAGGAACTAGAACTAGAAATACCATTTGACCCAGTGATCCCATTACTGGGTATACGCCCAAAGGATTATAAATCATGCTACTCTAAAGACACATGCGCACTTGTGCTTATTGCAGCACTGTTCACAATATCAAAGACTTGGAAGTAACCCAAATGCCCATCAATGATAGACTGGATAAAGAAAATGTGGCACATATACACAATGGAATACTATGCAGCCACAAAAAAGGATGAGTTCATGTCCTTTGCAGGCACATGGATGAAGCTGGAAACCATCATTCTCAGCAAACTAACACAAGAACAGAAAACCAAACACCGCATGTTCTCACTCATAAGTGGGAGTTGAACAATGAGAACACGTGGACACAGGGAGGGGAACATCACACACTGGGGCCTGTCAGGGGCTGGGGGGCTGGGGGAGGGATAGCATTATGAGAAATACCTAATGTAGATGACGGGTTGATGAGTGTAGCAAACCACCATGGCACATGTATACCTATGTAACAAACCTGCACGTTCTGCACATGTACCCCAGAACTTAAAGTATAATAATAATAATAATAATAAAGAAAATAAATAAAATAAAGAGTTGATTTTTTGAGAAGATTAATACAATTGATGAAATTCTGGAAAGATTGACAGAGAAAAGGAGGGAATACACAATGAGCCAATTCCTCTAAAAGCACAAGCTCCTACAACTCACTCAACTTGAAATAGATAATGTGTTAATACTAGCTTAATAAAATGAATTGGGAAGTGCTCTCTCTGCTTCCATATTCTGAAAGAGATTGTGTAGAATTGGCTATAAATCTTTGATGGTAGTTTGTGCTTTTTGAGGAATTGGTTCATTTTATCTAATTTGTCAAACTTATGTGTATAGGGTTATTTGTAATGTTCTCTTATCCTTCTGTGTATAGAGTTATGTGTATAGAGTTATTTGTAATGTTATCATATCCTTTTGATGTCTGCCAGGTCTATAATGATATCCCTTGTTTTTTTCCTGATATTAGAAATTTGTGTCTTCCCTCCTTCCAAGGATGGAAGTGCTTGTGTCTTCCATCCTTCCAAGGTATGGTTCAAATATTGAATCATCCTTACATCCTTTGTATAAGCCTAGCTTCATAAAATAGCTCACAAATGCAAAGTAGGTATGGTGGCTGATGCCTATAATTCCAGCACTTTGGGAGGCTGAGGCAGGAGGGTTGCTTGAGCCCAGCCTGGGCAACATAGCAAGACCTCGTCTCTACAAAAACAAACAAACAAACAAAATAAGCATGATGGTGCATGTCTCTAGTCCCAGCTACTTGGGAGGCTGAGAAGAGAGGATTGCTTGAGCCCAGGAGCTTGAAACTGCAGTGAGCTATGATCACTCCACTGTACTCTAGGTTGGGTGACAGAGTGAGACCCCATGTCTAAAATAAAGAAAATAAAATAACAAATGCAATTTTATGAAGCCAGTCTTATCCTGATACCAAAACTAGACAAAGGTAGTACAAAGAAGGAAGACTACAGACCAATATACCTTGTGAATATAGATGCAAAAATCTTTATAAAAATCTTTAGATAAATCAATAGGATTTAGCAATATGTAAAATAATTATACACTATGTCCAAGTAGTTTTATACAAAGGATGCAAGGATGGTTCAATATTTGAAATACATGAAAACCAATCATTATAATCCACCATATTAACATGCTAATATCAATTGATGCAGAAAAAGCACTTGAAAAAATTCAACATCCATTCATGACAAAAACTCTCAGAAAAGTAGAAATAGAGGGGAACTTGCTACATCATAAAGAGAGATTCACAAAAAACACCTAACTTTATACTTAATGGTGAAAAACTGAATGCTTTCTATCTAGGCAATGATATCTACTCTAAGTACTCTTATTCAACATAGAGCTGGAAGTTCTTGCCAGTAAAATATGGTAAGAAACGAAAACCAAATGCATATAGATCAGAAAGGAAAAAATAAAACTGTCCATATTTGTAAATAACATGATTTTCTACATAGAAAACCCTATGGATTCTAATACTAAACAAGTTCAGCAAGGTTACAGGATTAGAGACAAACATATAAAAACCATTTGTATTTCTACATACTAGCAATTAACACAAAGACACTAAAATTAAAAAATATGATACTATTTAAAACCACTTCAAATAAAATATTTAGTGGAAATCTCACAAAACATGTAAAATTTTTGGATCAGATACAACATTGATTAAAGAAATCAAATGAGATCTAATAAATGGAAAGCCATACTGTGTTTATGGTTTGGAAGACTCAACATGGTAAAGGTGTTAATTCTCCCCAAATTGATATAAAGGCTGAATGCTATTCTTATCAGAACACCAGAAAGATTTTTACAGATATATAGTATAGACAAGATTATTCTAAAACTTATATGAGATAAAGCTAGAGTATCCAAAATGATTTTGAAAAAGCAGAATAAAATGAGGGAACTTGGTCTACTCAGTTGTAAGACTTATTATATAGTTATAGTAATCAAGGCAGTGCAGTATTGGTAGAAGTGTAGACACATAGATCAATTAACAAAATAACCCACAAAAATAATCTAAAATTATGCCCAAGTGTTTTTTTCACAAAGGTATAAAAGGCACAAAATTCAATGGAAGAAAGAGAGCCTTTTCAACAAATGGTGCTGGAGCATTTAGACATCCATAAGTTAAAAAAAAATGAACCTTAAAACGTAAATCTCACATCTTACACAAAAATTGACTGAAAAAGGAGCACGAACTTAAATGTACAATGTTAAACTATAAAATTTTTAGAAAAACACAAGAGAAAATCTTTGAGATCTGAGGCTGGACAAAGAGTTTTTGATTTGACATGAAAAACATGATCCAGAAAAGGAAAAGTTGACAAATTGGGCATTACTACAATTTAAAATCTTTTGCTCTGAGAAAGACCCTGTTAAGAGGATAAAAAGACAAGCAAATCACAAAATATTTGCAAATCACAAATCCAACAAAGGACTAGTATCTAAAATATTTAAAGAACTCTCAAAACCAAACAATGAAAAAACAAACAATCCAATTAGAACATGGGCAAAAGACATGAAGAGACATTTCATCAGAGTATACACAGATAGCAAACACATGAAAACATATTCAATATCTTTAGCTATTGGGGAAATGCCAATAAAAGCCACAATGAAATGTCACATTGTGTATATAACATTTTACATTCTATGCATGTAATGAAATTTCACATGTACTCCAAAAATATGTACAAATATAATATATCAAAAAAGTAAATATAAAAGAAAATCACTAGACACGTATAAAAATGGGTAAAATAGAAAGTAGTGCTCACACCAAATACTGACAAGAATGCAGAGAAATCCCATCACTTATTAATTACTAGGGGGAACGTAGCATGGTACCATCAGTGTGAAAAACAATTTATCAGTTTCTTAAAAAACTAAAAATACAACTACCATATGATTCAGTAATCATGCTCTTAGGCATCTATCTGAGAGATAAAACCTTATGGTTGCATGAAAGCCTTTACATGAATGTTTATAGAGGTGTTATTCGCAATAATACAAAACTGGAAACAAACCAAACGTCTTTCAATGGATGAATGGTGAAACAAACTGTGGTACATCCAGACCATAAAATACCACTGAGTAATAAAAAGGAACCAACTGTTGATCCATGCCACAACCTGGATGAATCTCCAAAGGATTATGCTGAGTGAAAGAACACCAACTCTAAAAGGTTATATACTATATTATTTCATTTATACAACATTTCCTAGATGACAAATTCTAGAAATGGATTAGTGATTGCTAGGAGTTAAGGTGGGGATTTGGGCTGAAGGGAATTGGATGTGGTTATAAAGGGGAACATGAGAGATGCTTGTTGTGATGGAAATGTTTTTTATTTTGACTCCATATCAATATTCTGTTGTGACATTGTGCTGTGGTTTTGCAAGATGTTACCACTGGGGGAAACTGGGTAAAGAGTATGTGTGATTTCTTTCTACTATTTCTTACAAGTGCATGTAAATCTATAATTTTCTCAAAATACGTATAGTTTTAAAAATTCCTTATGAAAAAGCAATAATGTAATTTTCACCAGGTTAACCTAAAGTGAAAGGATACAGACCTAAATGTAATGTCTTAAAGACATCAAGGTTAATTTCTTGTTAATGTAACTATCCCAGGTAAGTGTTCAAGGGAAGTCGTGGGTTCTTCCCCATGTGATAATTCAGAGACAAGGGTGTGATTCCAACATCCACTAGAGTCTTGCTATCAATGATTGAGGCTCCAATGTCATATCCATGGTCCCACTGGTAGAAGGAGAGAGTACAAGAGTAGATTGGCCCTCCGTGTGTGCGAAACCTTGACCTGAAAGTGGTTCATATTTCTGCGCACATTTTGTTGAAATTTGGCCACATCTAGCTCCAAGGAAAACTGGTGAATGTAGTCCCTGTCAAAAAAGCAGCTTCTGAGATACAACCATGAACAGGGAGAACAGATTTTAATGGACAGATTTCTGCTTGAAATCTAAAAAAATTCAAGGAATTTGAAAGAATAAAAAAGAAGAAAACAAATGCCCTGGCTTTCCTGTTCCATTCTCTCTACTCCCAGAGGTCACCACTGTTAGGGTTTGCAGTATTTCTTTTCAGACTTTTCCTAGGCATCTACACATGTATTCATAGATAAAGAGCCCCCACAGGCAGACTCACCAAAATGAGTGCGTGCTCTACATAACATTGAACAACTTTCTCTTTCACTTACCAATATTTCTATTGTTCTCTGTCACTGCCTCTCTGTCTCTACCCATACAGACACACACACACTTCATTTTAAAGAAATGCTTCTATTATATCCATGGTAGAGATGTATTGCACAGATTATTTATATTACTATAGAACCATTACCTTTTGCCCCATATATAGACTGTTTCTAATTTTATGCTACTATAAGTAGCATTTAGTTAAAGTTTGGGTAAAAAGCTGTTTCTCAGTTTAGTATTTTTCCAATTATGAGATTCAGAAATAGAACAAATTCCTGGGCCCAAGACCACTGGGTAAAAGGCCTGCAAGTTTCATTTTTTAAAGTCTTGTCTCTTTTTTTGGATACCTTCATGTGTTTGTCAGCTAAGTTTTCCTCTGCAAAGGTTTACCAAATTTACTGAGTTCAAAAAGCCAAATTTTATTTCTGGATTTGGTTTGAGTTTTATTTTACTTTTTGGTGTTCAGGTTTCTCATGTTAGTATGTATGTGGAAAAATAGGGACAAGACACTGTCTCATTCTTGGAAAATTGCAATTTCTCATTCTCAGGAGATTCTCTAATAAAAGGCAGATCCCTGGGTCAGTCATCCTGGACTGTGCTCTGCAAGGGGAGAAGTCGGTAGTGTTAAGGTCATTCATACACACAATTTATGCTTCTTAATTTAGAAAAGTTTCAAAAAACTTATCAATTCCTTTCTGGCTGGACAATTCTCTTGAGTTTGCAGGTCCTGACACTAGGTATATCCCTTGGGCTTCTGGCTGTCCTCAGCCTCAGATCCTGGTTTCAGGAAGTGTAAGAACTTCTCTCTTGGTCCTATATCTGCTGATTAGCTTTGCATTGGAACAGTTTTTACTGCTCAGTTGACTCAACGAATAACTCTGCTCTGGTCCTTCTGGTTCCTCTTCTCCAAGAAATCCATATTTTTTCCCTCTCTTATCTCCCTGTTTTATGACCTGGCCCTTTCTCTTCTCTCTGTATAAAAGTCACAAAAGCATTTCCCCCCCGTGGGAGTTTATTTCTGCCTTATAAGCGTTCACTGGGTTCTGCCCTGCTCCTCAGTTAAACTTACTTTGGCTTGTTTGCTCAGCTTCCCTCCCTTGTCCTATTTCTTTCCCATCTGGCCTGTGTCCTTCTGTGTGCTTTACAGTTGATCAGTTTGATCACTTATTTTACTATTACAGGGTAGCAGGCGTAGAGCCCTGGCAGCCCCCAGTGGGAGATGGCAGAGATCTGGGTTAGCAAAGGAGACTGATGATGAATCACTGTCAGGCAGACAGTGTGGTATAAAGAAAGAGCATGCAATTTGGAGCTAGAATGACATGGTCAAACCTGTGTGTGCGTGTGTGTATGTATGTGTGTGCATGTATGCATGTATATGTGCATATGTGTATGGCAGACAGTGGAAAGCAGAAAAGCTGGGAAATAAAACAGAAAAGAAACTTCAGCACAGCCAAAGGAAAGGAATAAGGAAACATATCAGGGGCTTTAGGGAGGTCTAGAAGAAGAAGGATGGAAGAAAGTTTTCTGAGAATAATTTTTTAAAGTATTAAGGGCATTCTTTTCTTAAGAAAAAAAGAAAACTGGTGAGAACAAAAGCTAGACTTCATGGAATTAAGGAAGAAATCAGTACAGAGCTGAAACTCAGGCTCTGGAATCTGACTGCCTGGGTTTAAATCCCAGCATCACCACATACCAGCTAATTAATATAGGATAATCTTCTTGTTTCTCAAGTTCTTCACCTGTGAAACGAGGATAATAATAGTGCCTGCCTTCTAGGACTGTTGTGAGGATTAAATAAGACAGTATGTGTGTATCACTTGGGGTTCCATCAGAAAAGCAAGGCTACTCTAAATAATAAAGAAAACAAAATTTATTATAAGGATGTGATTTTGTAGAGATTGGGGGAGGAGCCTATGTTACACAGACTGTGTATCTCTTCATCTGGTGTTGGGCCTAAAGTAGCATGAGGGTACCCAGGCCGGCAGCTAGATAGAAAGGTGGGTATGAGAAAAAGCAAAGACAAGCTGGACCCCATGAGGATGAACTGGAACTCAAGTCTGTCTCTTCCCACCAGCAAATTCGATGCCATGACTAACATGCAGGAGCAGCTGTGCCCCTTAACAAGACGCTGTGTACATGTGTGAAGAAGCTGAAGGAGGAGATAGAGCAGGAATTGGAAGAACAGCCAGTGACAACGTGAGTGAACTGTCAAAGTGCCTCGTGCCTCCTGTTTATCTTCAGAGCATCAAAAACATGCCTGGGGCTTCCTTTCTGCTTTTTAAATCTCATGCAATATTTATCTTGTGACCTTCACTGACATGGAATCATTTGGGGATGGGAATTCTGGGAAAAGCATTTTGAGCTTAGCTATGTTGTCATGGTGTAAAGGAGGGTGATGGTCCCCAAGGCCCACTGTGTTTGTGGTGGAGGTGGTTGCCATGAGGTGGAAATCTTTCTGCTTCTTCCTGTCACGGTTACCGACAGTGTTTCAAGCTGGTAGGTTGGAGCTCTGTCCTCTCACAGCTGCTGATCAGAGCCCTCTAGTCCTCCCCATGCACAAAGGCCCTTCTTCTTAGGCCCTGCTGGAGCTATTCTTTCCTCCTGACAAGAGGTTTACTGTAGCCATGGAAACTTGGTCCAAAACGGGAACTTTTTGTTTCCCATGAGAGGTATCACACTGCACACCTTTGGAGTTCCAGCTTATCTACTTGTCCTAACCTCACTGACTCAGACTGTTTACCCAGTTCAGGCAGACCCTGCCTCAGCACCCCTCGACCCCAGTACTGTAATCCTCTCAGCTACATTAGAATGGTGGGCTGCCTTCTCCAAGAAACCACAGCCATTCTCTCTGGGGATTCCTGCTGGCTTTCTGTGCACCCCTGTGAAACATTGGTCTTCATATATAAACTAAAAGTGTACACATAAGGAATGAAGAATCCATAACAAGTCCTCTGATTTATCTGCTCCATGCCTCAGTTTATTTGTATGGAAGATAAGGTTGTCAACCACCTTCCTCAAAAGGACATTCTGAGACTTCACATTGAAGACTTGACATTTATTAACCAGGGTCATATGAAAGCCCCAATTTAATCTCTGGAAAAATGCTTTGAGTGTTTCAGACACAGGGACCATATAAGCATAAAGAATTTTGCCCATAGCTTTTGAAGGAGATGGCAGTCAGTCAACAGAGGCATGGGTCAATCCTTGGTTTACCCTGCTTTGCACTGTGCTCAGGCAAGTTAAGTGGGGAATTGGAGGTGATCAGCATGTACTATGCTGGTTTATTAACTATTCACATACTGAACAAAAGATATTCTGAAAATATTTACCATAGGAGACTAAGTCACTATCAAAAAACTACTTACTTGTGCAGTAAGAATTTTTATTATTATTATTTATATTCAAAAAATTACTACAGTGCAACTGCCTCTTAATAGGATAATACCACTCTTGGGGGACAAAAATAGTAAAAAAAAAAAAAAACAAAAAGTGACCCTTCTATGTGCCACACATTACAATATACGCTTTCACATAAATATCTCCTTTAATTTGCTCAACATCTTTTCAGGTGGATATTATTATCTCTGAGGATCAGAAAGGTTAAATAATTTGTCCGAGGCCACCAGCTAGTAAGGAACTAAATTAGGTTGCTTGTATTAAAAAAAAAAAAAAACTATGCTCTTCTCACTATCTTATCAAACGCTAATAGTTGCTTTCTAGCTTAACAGCTGTATTATTTAAGATTTACTATTTATGTTCTTTCTTGTGATGCAGTGGCAATATAAGTAAAATAAATATAAAATAAGCTTGTAAATACTATAGCTATTATATTTTAGAGCACACTATTACATTTGTAGTATATCTAAACTTATGCAAGAGCAAATAATGTTGTTACTGTTCTTGTGCACTTAGGAAACAGATTAGACTCCTTCAAAGAATGATTGTGTAAGTGGGAAACAAATAACAGCTGAAATCATGCGAAGGGAAGGCCAAATGCATTCAGTGCTGGGAAGCTCTAGGGAACCGAAGCAGGTGAATATTTCAGAGAAAGCAGAAGCATTATTAAAAAACTACTGACTAGTGCAGTGAAATCATGGCATTTTGGGTCATTCTGTTTCTGCTGTTTGGTGTGGGGTATGATTTCTATTTTTCCAAGAGTGAACAATCACTAAGAATCCCTCATTGTTTCTCGTCTGTGATGTGTTGGAAAAGTGACTTTCCAAAAGAAATCTATTTGCTTTAATTATCCAAATCTCAAACCATGAGCCCAATAAAAATCATTTTGTGTTCAGCATGAAGGGAAGGCATAAATAAATAAGCACACATTGTATTCACGTGAGCAGACAGCTGAGTTGAAATAGTGAAACTTTCAGAAGTAGGTGTCAGAAACATGACATGGATACAGTGAAAGACAATCCCAGTTGTTTTGCCATGTCACAGAGATTGATAGTGTATGAAGAAGTATACTGAGATGCTCGGCATGGAGATGTGTCCTCTAGGGCAGGAACCAGGGAAGGGGTCTGGATGGGAGAAACCCTTGGAGCTCCTCTAAGTCAGTTTTAAATGGAGGCTTTCCTTGGTAATTAAACATGGTATTTGTATAATTTTAACTGTAATCTAAGTTCTTCTGCAGAGAGTAAGTCTTGTCAAAAGGGAGATTTCTAGTCCTGTTGAGCACTGTAGTGTGTTTGATTGTGCAAAGGGAAGGAAGGAGCTGGAGAGAAACACATTGTTTAAAAGAGTGAGAGGAGTTTGGAGCTCCTGGGAGCATGGTGGGAGGAATCAGAAGGGATCAGGAAAGAAGGGCAGGGAGATAGTGAAAAGCCAAGTGCCAGGACTCCTCCTGAGACTCTTTGTTGATATCATCAGGTCAAGTCTACTAAACTCAACACATGATTTATGGGAGTGGATTTCTCGTAAACAATGGTGAGAAGACTGAGTTTTGCTTCCAGCTTGAGCTAGCGCAGCTCAGAAACAGCTTGCAGTTCCTCCTTCTGTGTGCTCGCAAAAGTCCTACAGTTAATCTAAGACACAGATTTGCTCAATGCTCTTTACTTTTAAGACTACTTGTAGTTTGAGACTTAAAAATCATAACATGCAAATAATTCCTATCCTTTTCCCCCAATCCCTACCTGAGCTGAGCTGTCTCTAAGAGCACTAGAGATTGGAGGGGGTGGATGCACAAGGGGACCTTGTGGAGCAGCCTGTCAGCGAGTGCTCTTTAAGTTGCTTTTGTGGAGGTGGCGATGGATCTGCAACATCACACCCACACCTTGTGACTGGGGCTAAAGCTGGAGTTTCTTGCCAAGGAATAGAATATAATCATATCTCTAGCCCAGGGTCTTGGATTTGATCTCTATCTTAGTGGGCTTTGTTGACTGATTTAACCTCCTATAGACAAAAGTCATGGTCATCTAGTACCATGACCTGGATATGTAAGAGGTGAGAGAGTGTACTGGTAACAGGGATTTTTCTGATGATGTCAATACTCCATGGCATTCTGAAATGATCACAGAGATAGTTTCCCTTGACTCCCACCTGCAAGGCAATCAAGCCTAGCATTCTGCCCTCAAAAAGTCTACTCACTGAAATCTACTTTTAAAATCATCACTAGTCAAACAGGAAGTGATAGATGCCGCTTGAGCAGTTCAGAGCAGGGCTATGCAGTTTCAGAAGAGCTGAGTTTGGTCTGAGGCCTCTGGAGAAACCTCCACTGCAGAGGCTGGACTTGCTTCTGTATCCCTGGGGAAGCCCTTGGAGGGTTTTTAACAGGGTGACAACAGGATCAAAGTGATACTTTAGGAGGATGATTCTGGCTTTGAGGTTGGCTCTGGGGAAGAACCACCACCAAAAAAGGCATTGCAATGGTGGAGGAGCTATGAGCACACGGTGCCAGCAGGTTGCTGCCAAACAGGCTGCCTGACCTTGCTGTGCTGCCATGGGTCTCTTGTTGTTGCCCTATATGGCTACAGACTGCCACTCAGTCACAGCCTCCCTCATTGCTAGCCTGCTCCTCTCTTGTTCCTAAAAGTGTCTTCCCTTCTGTTTCAGCTCTCCCAATACCAACTCTGTCTTCCCCCCAACACCAGTTAGAACCCTTACTGAATGTCACTTTCACCTATACTTCATGATGTCCCATAAACTTCTTCTTGGGTTCCTTCACCTACCTATATCACCCCAAGCATGTTATATTCTTGTTTCCCGCAGTCTTCTCTTGCTTAGAGACCTCTTTCTCTCATGCTTTATCAGTTACTCATTGCTGGTAATGATTGATCTGTGTTGAGATATAAATATATAATGTATTCGAGAAATAAATTACAGGCTAAGGTGGAAATGCTCATATGTCATCATCTCCTTATCATCAGACCAGAGCTTATCTTCGGCGCTGCTTTGCTTTCCCAGGTCACACAAAGCCAGCGGTCACTGCGACCAAAATTTACGCCTTCCCTGCTGAGAAAAACAAGAACTGGGAGGAGAAAAACAGATTTTTAATATTCATCTCTGGAGGCTATGAAGTTTACAAGACATAAGAAAGGTATTATTTCCTCAAGGAGGTGGAATATTTCTGAGTGTGGTAGTCTCTGGATGGTGGTGGAGGTGGGGACAGAAGGGTTAAAGAGAGAGGTAAGAAAAGAGAGGCCTAGGCACTGAGACTGCTTCTTGTGTAAAAAACAGGTAGGGACTGGCTTTGAAATCAATCAACTGACTCAAAGAAGAAATAACTGCTTAAATCTTTATCAGAGTGCAGTATAAATTCCATCTGAGTGTGTGTGTGTGCGCGTGCGTGTACGCGTGTGTGCATGTATGTGTGTAGACACACATGCTGGAATTCCTTGCCTTCTGATTAGAACATGCACTGCAGTAGCATCCTCAGTGTAGGCTCCAAGGTGGCAGGGACAGTGTGCCCTTGGATATAGTCCTAGTGGCCAAACTGAGGAATCTTTCCCCACTTCTCTCATCCGAGGCTACCTTGGCCAAGGAGATGATAACTTTCCTACACTGGTTACACATTACCACCATGCTATTGGATTTTTTCCATTCTCCTTAGCTGGCTTTTTCTGAGCTTTGGGAGCTCAATATTCTTTAGGCATAACAATGGGGTTCAGTTAAATTTCTCTTGTTATCTCTCCACCTTTCCAAGTGGCAGTGCAATGCTGTATGTTTCCTGTTGGTGCTGTAACAAATGACTACAAACTTAGTGGCTTAAACAATCCAAGTGTGTTATCTTAGAACAATGGAGATCAGAGGTCCTTAATGAGTCTCATTGGACTAGGGGTACAGGGGGCTCTCTTCAAAGTTTCAAGAAAGTTCAGCTGTGGTCCAGCTTGCAGGCTCCTCAGCAAAACCAAAGCCCTAGAGGTAACAGGAACTACCCTTTCTAGAAGTCAGGTTAGCATCAATCTGCTGTTACTTCAGCTGGTGCATTGAGGGTCTCACACTTCAAACCAAGGGCTCTTCAAGTATTTCTTCCTTCAGTAGACACAGAGCTGAGTACAATCTGCTCAGTCTTGCTACATTTTTGGTGATTCTTCATTGCCTGGTGCTGCCCCATCCCCACACGACAGCTTGCTGTATCTGGAACCTCATCTGAATCCTGCTACTGCCCTCTTGGCTGAGTCCTTGGACCCTCATTGTCCCATTCTTTTTATTTTACTTTAGAGGCAAGGTCTCACTATGTTGTCTAGGCTGGAATGCAGTGGACCAATCATAACTCATTGCAGCCTCAAACTCCTGGGCTCAAGTGACCCTCCTGCCTCAGCCTTCCAAGTGGCTAGGACTACAGGTGCATGCCATCATGCCCGGCCTAACCTCCTTGTTCCACTCTTTTTCTGCAGAGTACACTATACTCCTCAGATGGCTGATTCTCCTGTGAGTGCAATAGATGTTTCTTGGTCTTGAAAGCTCATAGATTTATTCCCAGCACTGGATCAACACAATTTGCCCTGCACTGCTTCATTGCATTGAATTTTATGTTTTTAATATCACATCTGCAAAAGTTGTAAACTAATTTCTTAGTATTTAATGTCTTGGCTCTCCCCCCATCCCCCAGCTGCCTGTGATTGAAAGGGAGAAAAACAACTTTGGCAGCACTAGGGGTGAGCAGTTTCATGTTTGGGATCTCTCTATACCACGAAGGCTCTTGTGAGATCCATCATGAATGACAGGAATTTGGCCCAAATCACAAGATGCCTGTGATTTAAAAAAACAGACAAACCTGGTTCCCTTGGTTGTGAAGAAGCATATATATTTGTTTCCATTTTGGTGATGTTTTAACCCTTATTATTCTATAAATAATTTTCTTCTGGGGTCCTAAACATCAGGACAGATGTGGGAAGGATGGGGCCTTACCTGGATGGATTATTCTTCTTAGGACATTTCTCTAGAGATGAGACATGAACCTAAACCCTCTTTGGAATTATATGTTGCATAAGTCAGCAGCCTCTTTCTCCTGTGGCCTCCATCATGCCTCTACCTAATCCCATCCCCTCTTCCTCACCAGCTCCTCTATCCCTCTCCCAATCTTCTGGTAATACTGCTAATATTGCTCAAATACTCAAACACTCCAGCATGAAGGGCCCACACAATTGGAAATATTTGTGTTAAAAAGTAAAAAAAAAAAAAAAAACCCACAAAAAAACCCTTAGCCCACAAAATCTAACTCTGCCCAATATCCACAAAATACCCTCCTTCATCATCCGTAAGTTCTAGTGAAATTAAAGTGCTTCAAGTGTTAGGAAATTATATGAGAAAGAGCTGAAAGAAGGCTGCCTTACCATACTTCCAATATAAAATTGCCTTTTTGGAAAGTGAGAACATTTTTAGCATGAGAGCTTTGAGCTTTGTAGGTCCTATTCCTAATGAAACCAGTAAATCCCAGCATGCTCTTATGGTTCACTGTACTTTCTCTATTGTAGCACTAATCACACATTTTTAGTATTACTTGTTTGATTGATTACCATCTTTCCCAGTAAACTACAAATACCTGTTGATTTTACCACAAAAAGAACAACCATTGTGTCTTAGTTCATTTTGTGCTGCTATAACAGAATACCACAGACTGGATGATTTATAATAAACAGAAATTTATTGGCTCACAATCCTGGAGGCTGGGAAGTCCAATATTAAGGTGTTAGTATCTTGTGAAGAACTTCTTGCTGCATCATCCCATGATGAAAGGCAGAAGGACAAAGGGCAAAAGAGAGAATGAATCCACTCCCAAGATAAAGACATTAACCCATTCATGAAGGCAGTGCCCCCGTGACCCAAACACTTCCTATTAGGTCCCACCTCCCAACACTACTGCATTGGGGATCAAGTTTCCAACATTTGAACTTTGGAAGACACATTCAAACCATAATACATTGTCATGACCAAAGAAAAGTCCATGTCTTGAAACCAGCAGCTTGTGATTCACCATGTCCAGATTTAGATACTCTTAGGTATGAATATATTTAATCAGTTCATTATGTGATTTTCACCCTTACCAGTCTTGTAGGTGGCATGCATTGGAGCTGTGATATGAACCCCATCCAAAGACTCAATCTTTGAGAACCTGGAAATAAGGGCATACTTGCCTTTTGAAAGTTAAAATTTCAGAAAGTTAAGCACAGACTAGATAAAATTGGAGAGATTAAAACTCTCTTTGAAAAGAGGCACTCCCTGGTTAGGGCAAGACTTACCTGAAAGTAAGAAATGTGCCTCTGAGAAGGGGACATATTTCTATGCTATGAAAGCATAGACAAAGTGAGATCACTAATGCAAAAGTGAGCATTGGCCATTTTAAGCACTTGGTGAAGAGAGGAACTCTTATCCAATTATCCAATATGATGGGTACCATTGTCAAGATTATTCTTATCATGCATGTGGCTCTTTCAGGTTATGTCAGTTGGAGGCTACCAAACACATCTCTAACCTCCATAGTCATTGAGTGCCCTTCCAAGTACAGAGGAGATTTAATGCAGTTGCCCTCAGGGAGACCAAGTAGTATAGATATGCCAGTAAAGTTTGTCCCTCAACATAGTGACTGTATTATTTTCAATGTGAGCTCATAAATTATTATTTTTGGGACTATGTGACTTTTTGAGGTTGGTAAATGTAAGTCCTACTCTGAGAAGTGAATTTCTCCTCCATGCACCAACACTTCAGTTTCCTCAGTCTGCAAGGCTGAGGGTGTGTCTCATGGATCCTTGGAAATTCATAAGTGTAATGCAGACTCTTCTGGCACCACCTCTACATCATTGTATGCTTTTTGCTATAATCATCTATAAATCCATTAACTTGAAACTATTATTATCATCAAGGAAATAATTACAATAAACTATATAGTAAGGCATGGCACCAATAATAATTATTGCCTGCGTGTTATTCTGCAACTCCAACATTTAATTTTGCAACCAAATGCTCTCAGAAGCCAGCCACTTAGGAGCACTAGGGATGCTGTTACAGGTGCAAAACCTCATTCCAACTTTTATCAGTTGTGTGACCTTGGGCAAGGGATCTAATATTTATGAGTCTCAGTTTCTCCATCTGAAAAATGGAGACAATAAAACTCAGCTATCAGGATTATTGTCAGGAATAAATGAATTCTTACGATGCAGCAAGTATTTATATTAGGATAAGATTGATTATCCCAAACCTACTTTATGCACTCTTTAGCTATGTGCTTCTAGGAATACCACTCCAGTAGAAGATATATTTCGGTACTTCATTTGTTATATGCCTAACATGAAGGAAAGAAAAGCACCCCAATACCTTAAAATTAGGAACTTGTAAGTTTCTTTGAGTTTATCAGAAAAACCCTTAACAGCTTTTCAATAGTGATGGTGGGTTTCATTGTAATTTATCTTTCTGTAAAGATTCCATGACCCAAATACTCTTCATTTGAAATTGAAGTTTTCTAAGAATATCTTTGGAACATCTTCATTTAAAAGTGGTTCCTTTACAGTTTGCTCCAGGGAGCTAAAGAGAATATTTACTTAGGAAATGACCTGAGCGATTCATCCTACATGTATTATAGAAAGGGAGACTGTGGCAGAAAGAACTGGCTGCTATTTCCTCCCTGCAAGGCTGGCTCTAAGGAAGTGATTGGAGGGCCTTGTAGAATATCTTTTATTGCAACCCCACTGTTGCTTGTCCTTGTCTTTGACGGAGCACATGAGCAAAAATAAATAAGAATATAGATATTTAGGCTGGGCACGGTGGCTCACACCTGTAATCCCAGCACTTTGGGAGGCTGAGGTGGGCGGATCACCTGAGGTCAGGAGTTCAAGACCAGCCTGACCAACATGGTGAAACCCCATCTCTACTAAAAAAAGTTAGCCAGGCGTGGTGGTAGGTGCCTGTAATGCCAATTACTCAGGAGGCTGAGGCAGGAGAATTTCTTGAACCCAGGAGGTGGAGGTTGCAGTGAGCCGAGATCACACGATTGCACTCCAGCCTGGGTGACAGAGTGAAACTCTATATCAAAAGAAAAGAAAAAAAAAAGAATATGAATACTTAAAGGATTTGTTTAATAGATACATGTTGAACTCTGTATATTAAAGATATGACTTTTCCCTCAGCATCCATTGAACATTTATAAAGATGAATAATATATTAGAGCACAAAACAACATGCCAATAAATTCCTCAAAGCAGAAATCATATGTACCATATTTTCCGACTATAGTGCACAATGTTTTAATTAACACACACTAAAAATCAAATAAAAAATAAAAACTACAGTTAAAGATAATTTATAAGTGAATGAAAATAGAAACAGCTATCTAATGTGGTCGAAGCTGAACTCAGAGGAAAATTTATAACCTTGGATGCTTTTTCTTACCTAAAGAAGGAGTAAAAGTAAATAAACTAAGCACATAATTTTCAAATAGCTGATAAAGACAAAGAAAAATTTTGCCATGTATAGAAAAAGATGGATTCAGGCAATAACCTGAAAACCTGAGTAAATAATGCCAGTGGAGGAATTCTAAAGATGATCCATGATCTTGGAAATAGGTCTTGTACTTTTCCTAGGTGTGTTTCCAGGACTTTGGTATGTCCTTACTTCCATGAAGACACGGAGGATGTTCAATAATTGTGTAAGCTTGACAATGAGCTGACAAAAAAAACCCTGCCATCTTTTCATTTGCAAAAGGGGACTGTTAAAATAAATGGCTATTATCTTGTTAAAATTTCAAGGTATGGATAAATTTGTATTATCCACAGGAAGATTAAAGACTATTTAAAACTTCTCATTGAAATCTAAGAAAAAACATGCTCTAAGGGTCAAAACACCAGGTGTTGTATGAAACACACAACAGAGTGGCAACTTAGCAAAATCTAGGAGATAGTTACAGGATGTCATTAAACTAGTTTTAATTTTCTGTCTGAGTTATTTTTAATAATTTCTGTTTTGTGATAAATCTGTGGAGCACACCTGCTCACTCAGTTTCCTGGGGATGCTATTTTGGGCAATGATGAATTTTCTTTTATTCCCAGATTTATACAGCCTACTCCATGCTGGTGTTTGCTACAGCTATCAGTGTGATAAAACTAATCTTTCTCTGGAGTTTTTCACTCTTGGAGTATACAGATTCATACTTTAGCTTATTCTCCTACCAACTCAGATCCCAGAATAGATTGTCTTCATTCTTATCATTAGGATTGAGTGCTTTTGCCCTTTGTAAGTATTTCAGTGAGATGTAGGAAGAGAGGGGATAGTAGAAGCATAGGGGCTATTGGGTGATCTGATATGAGAATGCTTTACTGCAGAATTTCCCAAAGTATGTTCCTTGGAATGTTGTTTTAGGAGAGTCTTATAGGTGATCCACAGTTTTAAATCTCCTTTTTGGAGATTTACTATGAGAATTAGCAAATTAAAGGCTCTGAGAAGTCCTGAGTAAAGAAGTCAAGTTCACTTTATTTAAATCTCAGCTTTTTTCTCCCACACACCACTTTTTCACAGCTGCATTTCTGACTGGACCTGGCTCTAGGCTTAGGCTGGCCAGTAGATTTCCTTCTTGGCTCTCTCCTCCTTGGAGTAGCCAATTTCCTGGACAACTGGCTCTTTTGTCTTTTAACAGTACTTGGCACCAAGGTGTTGTGATCTTCCCACTGGTTTTTTCTCTCTTTAATAGCAAAGAACACTAACTCTAATAGATCCTGCCATATTCTCTCCACTACCTGCTCTAAATATGCAACCCAAATGCTGGACCCTTCCTCTTAATGGGAGTGAATTAGTGTGTGTGTATGGGTGGTCGTGGTGGTGGTGGTGTTTGTTGTGTATTTGGGAAGGAAAAGTGGTCTGTGAAATCAACCATCTGTGAAATCTAGCCATGTGGGTATCTGTCTGTGAAATCTAGCAATCTGGATATCTACACATGGGCTCTCTTTGCCACCCTGCTGCCCATGTGAGAGGTGCTGTAGATGTCTGCTAGTGATGGGAAGTAAAGGGAGTTCTATTCTCCACCTTCTGGAGCCCTGAGGAAGGTTCACTCAGTTCTTCATTTCAAATTTACTATAATAGAAGTAAAGTCTTATGGCACTAGTGATGAAGTATAGGGCATATCTTCCCTGGTGCAGCTAGGTATGTACCATCCCTTGGCTATAGGCAGGGGCAGAGGTAAGGGGGTACAAGGCTGTTTTCGTACACTACAAAGCATATCCCTCAGGTCCCCTTTTTATTCTTCATATGGACACTTCCCCTCCTTCCCTGTCTCCTCACCAGAGTATCTCCTGAGATCTTCATCTCTTCTCCACTCAAAAATTATGGTCCTTCTTTTAGCCATTTTCTGAGTCTTGCAAACCTTTAAGACTTTGGTAGGCCGTAGCTATCCTTGTGCTTTTAATTTCTGCAGACAGGCAAGAAAAAAAAAGCTGTGGCTCCTAAAATCTCTGTGTTTGTGTAAGCACTCATGGAAATCTATACTATGAGGAACATCTTGCTTTTTCCCTTAGGTCTGGATGACTCCAGATCTTTAGGGAATACTACATATCTTGTATTTAGAGGGATAATTGCCTGCTAACACTTGATGTTTGCAACGCTTTTGGGCCTGATTGTGTAGAAAGAGCATTTTTCTCTTCTAACATTGACTTAAATTACAAAACCCCTGCTTCTGTTATCTGTTTCTGTATAACAAATCACTCCAAAACATAGTGACTTAAAAAATCCCCACATAGTTATCTTGCTCATAAATCTGTAACTTGGGCAGGGCTCAGCAGGGACGACTCATCTCTGCTCTGTGATGTCTGCCACCTCAGATGATGAAATATGTAGTCTTTCCACAGGGTCTTTCCTGCATGGTGGCCTCAGGGTAGTTGAAATTCTTATGGTATCTCAAGGTTCCAACAGTGAGTGTTCCAAGAGATCAAGGCTAAAGCTGCTTTTAAAACTTAACCTCAGATGCAATTTGAGATGGGGTCATTACTATGTTTTGAATATAGTTTGTCCCCTCTGAAACTCATGTTGAAATTTGATTGCCATTGTGGCTATATTGGGAGGTGGGCTGAATGGGAGGTGTTTGGGTCATGGGGAGAATCCATAATGAATAGATAATGCTATCCCACGGGTGTGAGTGAGTTCTTGCTCTCTTGGGACTGGGTTTGTTACTTCAAGAGTGAGTTGTTAAAAATCAAGGCTGCTCCTTGTGTTTGGTCTCTCTCTATTTCTTTGCACATGCCTACTTTCTATTCTGCTTCTCTGCCGTGTTATGATACAGCACATGGCCACCACCAGAAGCCAAATAAATGCCAGCGCTATGCTTCTTGGACTTCCTAGCCTCTAGAATTGTCAGCAAAATAAATCTCTTTTCTTTATAAATTAACCAGTCTCAGATATTCTGTTATAGAAACAGAAAATAGACTAAGACAGCCTTGTAGTACTACTTCTGCTGTGTTCTATTGGTCACATAAGACCAGCCCTGATTCAGTGTGGGAAGGGACTACACAAAGGAAAGAATATGAGGAGGTAGGGATCTTTGGGAGACTACCTTGGAGGCTAGATACCACATCTTCCTTCTATTCAACTGTAAAAGGCAAACTCATTTTTAAGATTCATCTTAATTAAACATGCATATGATGTGACATCATTGTACCAAAAAGTTAATGGATATCATGACAGAAAGAAGAGATCAGGACACATGTTTCTGATGCTCCTTTCCAGCCACTGTATTGTTTTTATTAAATGGAATACTGAATTAGAGGCAAAGAGCATTTGTACTAGGCATCCAATTTTACAGAAAGGCAGTCATATGATCTACCCTGGCTCTCAAAGAATCCATCTTGACATCGTACACCTGGTTTTGCATGTGGCATCAGAGAGGGAGGAAATTCTGGATGCTGGCTTTAAGATAAGAGTAAGGCATCCAAACTTCTGTGAAACCAGCAGCCATCCCCTCTCAGTTCCCAACTTCACACTGAGCGGGAACAAAAGAAATAAATGGAGATGAATGATGCTTTGGTTTGGGAAATAATGCTTACATGCATAGGATGCATCCACTTAAGTCTTTTAAAAACCATTGTTCTAATGATTTTATTGCTCTGTAACAAAATAAATCAAACTGACATTGATTCCAAGGTGATTGTGAATTGAAGTTTAACCATGTTAATGACTAATAGGATGGAAGTTTGAATGCTAGGAGGCTTGAGTAGGAAGGCATCACAGTATATTGCATTCTTGTAAACATTAGTATAAGTACAGAGTAATAGAGATTCCCCTAGATGATGCTAATTGGGCCCCTAGTTCCTCTACTTTCTGAAGGAAGAAGCATTAGGATTCTTTTCCATTTTACATCTGCTAGGATTTCATATACTGCCCTAAAGAAGAATGGACTCCAATTTGGCTACATTTCTTCTAAGATGCTGTTGTTGGTTCCCCTCCATGTTCCTAGTTCCCTGCAACGTAGGCACAACCTTCAAAGTGGAGTCCTATAGGACAGCATGAGGGAAAAGTGCTGCCTCCAATAGAGAGGATGTAAAATGAAAATGGAGACTTTTTGTGATAGTCTCTTCCCCAGGTCCATTGCCTTCAAGCAGGGACTTCATAACCGAAAGGGCTGTATAATCTTCAATAAGTAAGAACTCTCTGCTCCACCTTTCCCCACTTCTCCTCCCCACTGTATCTATGTCTCATGTCCTGCTCTGTCACCCAGGCCAGTACCTAGAACAGCAGGAAGGATGGCCTGTCATCAGTCTTTAGGCAGGTCAGGTCTTTGGAGGTGATGCCATGTCAACATAGCCCTCACATCTAATGCACACCACCAGATGTACTCAGAGGACTGAAGAGAAAGAAAGAACAAGCTGGACACTCTGGACAGCACAATCACAAAGAGAGGAAGCCTGGAGAGCACTGGAATGCTGGGGGCTGGGAAGCAGGTCTTTCTGATGCTTTGCACAGAGATTGCTTGGGGCCTGAAATGTGATGACACTGACTGATTGGTACTGGTGACATAGGTCTGGAAGCAGGATAATACTTAGCTACATGGATCTGAACCTTGCACTGGGCTACCCTGCAAACTGGAGCACACTCCAGTGTGTTAACTTACACCACACAGACAGGAAAGGAGTGGGATCCTGGGGGACAGCTGTGGTTTATAGTCCTACTGCTGCTGCCAAGCATGGCATCTGGCTCTGCCTGCTGACTCTCTCAGCCTCGTCCCCACCTGTGGCAGCCTGGATATGCTGTGCAGTGGGCCCTCTGTTTTGTGGCTATTACTCCACAGTCTCAGATACTTGATTCTTGTCTCACTGTTTCCTGGGGGGCTGGGTCAGTGCGGCAGCTCCTTTGGGTTGACGCAGTGTGAGATGAGGCAGAGGCATCGCAGCAGAGCTTGCCTACTGCAAACGGAGGAGGAGCCAGCAATCAGATGTTTTCTAGTACATCAAGGGGGATGAGGCCTTTCTTTTTTCCACTGAGGACTCTGATAAAACCATCTTGTTCTTCTTCAGAACTCACGCAGATCTGAATGCCAAGGAAGAAAAAAAACAAAATACTTTACTGTCAGCAAGAACGAAGTTAGAACCTGCAGCTTGAATCCCTGCTGACTGAGGTTGCAGGAGCAACAAACTGGAAAAGGGAGAGCAGTTTTAGGGTGGGAAACCAGCACAGTGAGAAAAAGGTTTGATAAAAAATTAGGCAAAAACCTAGGTTTGGAATGAGGCCCAGGCATTGAATGTTTTCTGAAATTTAGCTTTATGAATGAGGATCAATAAAATGAGGATTAATAGTACTGTGACCCTCTGAAGAGTCACTGTGAGGACAGAATGAGATAATAATGTTTGTCAAGGAGCCTAGCATGTGGCATGCAATGAATTCTCAGGACATTATTTTAAAGGACCAAAATAATAGCTATCATTCAGCAGACTCCTGTCATGTGCTCAGAATTTTATATGCACCTCATATAACATCAGGAAGTCAAAGGGAACTATTTCACTCCTGGCCTCAAGCAAATAGATGCTAACATTTCCCATATTCTAAAGTAAGGCCACCTATGCTAGACTTTAAAAAGGGGTTGGTAAACATTCATTTGGATACTCTTGCCACTCACCACTCATTGGCCACTGAAGGGCATAGAAGGGTGGATGTGGGCAGATGAAAATTAGAAGAGGTTTATGAACAGAACTATTGTTGTGTTGTGAGTTTCTCTTGCCTCACCTGCTTCCATGGATGACAGGCCTTGTCTTAGGTTGGATTCCCCAGAAACAGAACCTGACACAGGGTTCCTTGTACAAGTGACTTATTGAGTGGGTGCTCTCAGGAGGTGGGAAGTGAGGGATGCAGGATGGGGCAGGGGAAGGAGCCCAGCAATGAGAGGTTTTCAGCTGGAAAGCAGTCTAGCTTGGTTCGCCTGGGAGCTCTGGAGCATGAATTGCATCACAGAATTGTCTCACTTTGAAGCTAGGGTTTCAGACTTTTGAACCCCATGTCAGTCAGTCATTGGCCATTGGCTGGCCTGTAGTGTGATGGGCATAACCTTCCAGGAGAGAGGGTCCTGCTGTCTCATAAGGCCCTCCCTGAGAAGGGCAGCTGTGAGTTGTTCGTGGCCAACATAGCAACTGGGAGATGAGTGCACCCACCTGGTGAAAGGGATCTGAGCAAGGCTCCAACAGAAGCCACCACAGTGGGCTCTTCCATCATGTAGAAGAAGGGGCTTGAATAGGACACTCAAAGAGCTTGATTTGTGACTCCTGGAGCTTGGGACATACAATGGACTGGTATCTGACTCGTGCTTCAGAGATCTACTGTGTGAGAAACTTGACTAGATAGAGGCTCAGACAGTGAAGTGAAGAGAAGATAATTTGTAAGAGTAGTGGATGTGTTGACTGTTTCATGAAGAGCAGATGTGGGTCACTTGTGAGAGAAGTAGCTGATGGGTCATGTTAGGTCCCTTGACATGACTTCAAAAGGGATGGAATACTTGATTTTCAAAAGCTGAGACCTACAACTTTTTTCATATGTTTGTTAACAAACGTGCACGTTCTGCAAGCGCATCCCAGAACTTAGAGTATAAAATAAATAAATAAATACATGCCCAACATAGTACCAGATGACCTAGGTGATACAAAGGGAGCACAAAACATAGTTTTTGCCCTCAGAATAATAGGGTCTAATCAGAATGAAAACTTGTACCTCCACAAAATAAATAAATAAACAAATAAATAAATAAATAAATGCAGACACCTGGCCGGGTGCGGTGGCTCATGCCTGTAATCCCAGCACTTTGGGAGGCCGAGATGGGTGGATCACTTGGGGTCAGGAGTTCATGACCAGCCGGGCCAATGTCGTGAAACCCCATCTCTACAAAAAATACAAAAATTAGCTGGGTGTGATGGTGCATGCCTGTAATCCCAGCTACTCAGGAGGCCGAGGCAGGAGAATGGCTTGAACCTTGGAGGCAGAGGTTGCAGTGAGCCGAGATCACATCAGGGCACTCCAGCCTGGGTGGCAAAGCTGAGACCTGCCATTGCCCATGCCAGTAATACTGAAAGGGGGAGGCTCCAGTGATGAGCAGGGAGTGTGTCTTGGAAGAACACACAAAAATGCCTTGAGAGGAGGATTTACCTTTATAATTTGCCAAAGAGTGTGTTTTCTCACCTACTTCTACGTGTCAAAATTCAACAACCCTTAATATGAGTCCTACCAGTCAGCATCAATAAAAATATAAACACCCGCCCTTTGAGTATGCTGGTTCTAGGTGAAACATGAACCATGAAAACATGTTGAATTTAAATATTTAAATTAAAAAATCAAACTTGAAAACAATTTATTGACATATACACACAAGAATGCTGTATTGTGGTAATGTGGAAGAGTGAGAATACTGGGCAAGGAGTCAGAACATTGAAATTCTGGCCAGAGCTAAGAGCCTTACACCATTACTCCATGCCTTGGAACAAACAAAACCTGGACTGACCCAAAAAATGTCTTTTGGGTCATTTTCAGAGCATTTCATTATCTCTGTGAAGAACGAATTTCAGTTCTTGGAGCAAAAACACCACTGAGGTTCAAATATGTGCCTATATATAAGATAGACCTTTGCTTTTTTCTCTTCTCTTTCAAGGTTTTTATGTAGAAGAGAAACATTGCTTGCTAGAGGCTGTGGAAGAGTTGTTCGGAAGTGTCTCTGAAATAGGAAGCCAAGAAGCACAATGGTTCATGCTTTGTTGAATGCACTGGCTTATTTTCAACCTTCCTGTTTGGCATCTCTAAAGTGCTTTGATTTTGGGAGACCTTTTTACGGATGAGAAGTTTTGAAGATGATGAGTACAAATGGCTGAACACAGGCTTCAGCCGCTTTGACTCTATCCAGAAATGAGGAATCCAGAATTTAAAATTCTGATGGTAAAATACATAACCTCTCAGCCTTGAGAATCTACCATTTTAGGAAACAATGGCAGAGCCTGAAACATTTCCATTCATTTAGAGGCAGAATGGAAATATCTTCCCAGAAGATTAGTTACAGGTGGAAAAGAGTGGAAAGTGAGGACAGGGGAACTCTTTTGGTTTGGAGGGCCATAAATAGAGGGTGACCAACTTGTCTCGGTTTGCTCAGGACATTCTCAATATTAGCACTGAAAGTCCTAAGTCCTTCAAAACCCTTCAATTCCAAACTGTAATTGAACAGTTGATCTCCCTAGCAGAAATGTTTTACTCATCAGGTACAGTTAGAGATATTTTCATTGCCTAAGGATCCTCAATTTCCTGCTTTCCTTATTTATTCACTCATTCAACAACTCTTTATTGAGTACCTACTATGTGTTAGATACCATTATAAATGCTGGGGAACTAGTGCAATACAAGACAGACGGATCCCTGACAGAGATTTCTGGGTACAGCTGTCCCAGCTGACATTTATTGAGAAATCAACAATGTGGTGAGTGCAAGGGCTGTGGCTGTTTTGATGGCTGATTGTCCTGTGGACAACATTTAGTAATCTGACTGACAACATAAAACATAATATTTTTTTGCATGACTTAATGAATAAAGAAAAGAGTACTAATGGAAATACTTATGGAAACCTGATCTAGCCAATGGGGTAAGAAACACCTTCTTGAAGAAGTGATATTTAAAGAAAGAGAAAAAGGTGTAGGAAGGAGGAAAATAAGACTAGAATCAGAAAAATTCCAGCCTCAAGAGACTGGGACACTTTGAAGTAATGGAAAAAATTCAGTGTACCAGAACAGAGAGATGGAGGGACTAATGGGTGTAAGATGAAGCCACAAAATCTGTCAGAGCCTAGAGTATGCAGGAAATGCAAGCCACGCTAAATTCTGCTAAGACCTTTGGCTGACCTTCTGATCTGTCTCATGGACTAGAATTGGGCCACAAGCAAACCACTAAAGTCATCACCGACAAGGAGAATGGGATCAATTCAGTTAGCATTGCCTGAGTCATTTAAGATATAGGTGGACAACAGAACAAAATCAGGGCTCTGCAGCATGGGAAAAGGGCAAACAGGTGTTAAAAGGTTTTAATTGGAGGAATAAGGTGATCAGATTTATTTAAAACAATTCTTTCTATTCTCCTTTCCCCTCCCTTCTCTTCCCTTCCCTTTCCTCTTCTCCTCTCCCCTACCCTTGACTTTCCTCCTTTCCCTTCCCATCTTTATCTGTCCTGTTTTTTTCTCCTGCCACCCATTCTCTCTCCATCCTTCCTCCCTCTCTCTAACATAAAGAGACTTCCTGAAAGCTGGACAAATTTTCTTCCCATACTGATAAATCCTGACCTGACCAGCCAGCTTGTTGACATGAGCATCATGTATGCAGCAGTGGTAAGCTGGATGTCCCAACACCAAGGTAAGTGCAGCATATGCAGAGCAGAGGCACCTCACATACACAGCATCCCATCTCTAGCCAGCCCAGCACATACCTAACCATGTAGCTCAGCTATGGCCAGCTCCTCAGCATCTCTCAGAAACTTTGCTTTCCTAGTATGGGACACAGGCAGTTTACGGTCTTCTGGATTCGAATGCCTTACTCAATTTCCTCCCAATCTCATTCTCCAGAGCCTAGACTCTTTAATGGCTTGGAGGTCCTTGCTTTGGAGTTAAATGTTAACATTCAGTGTTCCATCTTTGATATTTTAGACTCCTGATCACACATCCATGTCCTCTACATTGGTTTTTGAATTTTGTGGAAACTGAGCTGGAGCCAGACTAATTCACTCACCATTTCAGCTGGGCAACCTTAGTTCTGCATCAATCACTCACTGTTCTAGGATAACTAAAACCTTGAGGCAAACACTGATGATTGGTACTCATGGTCATTTCTGTCGTTTTCCCACGAAGCAGAGTCCTGCCTTTCATTCTGTTGCCCATCCCTATCCTATGTGACTTAGGTAAATTTAATTGATCCAAGTCCTGTTTCTGTCCTCCTTGTTAGTGATTCTTAGTGGTTTACATAGAACTTAGTTCCAGCCAATGAAGCAAGATGAAATACCTGCTAGGGAAACTCTGGGAAAGTTTTTTTTTTCTTCCCCCCTATTAAAAGAGATGCCTTAGGAAGAAAATCTTTCTTTGTCTGGAAGGATTCCTGGAGTGGCTGCAGCCATCTGTGACCACTAGGGGACGTAGCTATCATTTCAAGGATAGCTTAGCAGAAATGTGGAAGAATTTGGTTCTCTGACCAGAGGATCAAGCCACTGAATTATCAACCCAAGAACTGACCTCTATCAGACTCTTTATTATAGGAGTAAAATAGACCCTTTAAGTTTGAGTTTGATTTTTGTAACTTGAGATGTTTATTCATTTGCTATTACTGTTGTAACAAATCACCACAAATTTAGAAGCCTTAAACAACACCATTTATTATATCACAGTTTTGTAGGTCTAGCGGACTTGGCTGGTTTTCTCTGCTCTGGGTTTTATAAGGCCAAAATCACGGAGTCAAAAGGGCTCTATTCCTTCCTTTCTTTGCTTTTTCTATAGGGGATTATTTAATTTTAGGCTCATTTAGGATGTTGCTGCGTTCAGCTCCCTGTGGCTGGAGGACTGAGATGCCTGTTTCCAGCTTCTAGAGGCCACCCTCATCCTCTGGCTTGTGGTCCCCTTTCTCCATCTTCACATCCATTAATGGTAGGCTGAGTCTTTCTCATACTTTATCTCTCTTTGACTTACACTTTTACCTCATTTTTCATCTGTCCTCTTCTGCTGCATCTCCCTGACTCTAGCCAGATACATTTCTCTGTTCTTAAGGGCTCAAGTGATTAGATTTGGTCCACCTAGACAATCTAGGGTATCTCCCTATCCCAGAGTCCATAACCTTCATCACATCTGCAAAGTCCCTTTTGTGTAAACTCTGGATTAGTTTCCTGTTGTTGCTACAATAAATTACCCCAAATTTGGTGGCTTATAACAACACAAATTTATTATCTTACAGTTCTAGGGTTCAGAAGTCCTAAGAACAAGGTGCTGGCAGGGCTGCATTCTTTCTAGAGGCTCTAAGAGAGAGTCTGTTTCCTTGTCTTTTCCAGCTCTAGAGGTCATCACCTATATTCCTTGGCTCACAGCTCCTTCCTTCACCTTCAAGGCCAGGAGCATAGCATCTTCAAATCTCTCTCTCTCTCTGACCCCGGCTTCCATCATCACATCTCCTTCTCTGACGCTGGCCCTCCTGTCTCCCTCTTCTAAGAATCTCTGTGATTACACTGGGCTCACCCTGATAATCCAGATAATCTACTGGTCACAAAATCTTTAACTTAATCACATCTACAAAATTCCTTTTGTCATATAAAGTAACATATTCCAAGTTTTGGAGGTTAGGACCCGGGCATCTTTGGGGAGTTGTTATTCTGCCTACCACAGGATAAAAGGACCAAGACTATTACAATAAAACATTTTAAAAATTACAGAAAATATGCATGTATGTCTCAGAGTTCTCCTTTCAGACATACTGAATGCAGTAGGTTGAAGGAAGACTTGGCCTCAGTGTTATAAGGAGAAAATATCTCGAGGTAAAGAGATGATGCAATGAGACACAAAGAAAACATGCTGTATAGCAAAGGCATAGATTCAACCTAAATGCCCATCAATGGTAGACTGGATAAAGAAAATATATGTACCCCAAATCTGGGGTACATATACACCATGGAATACTAAGCAGCCATAAAACAACAAGATCATGTCCTTTGCAGGGATATGGATGGAGCTGGAGGCCATTGTCCTTAGCAAACTAACACAGGAACAGAAAACCAAAAAAATACTGCATGTTCTCACTTGTAAGTTGGAGCTAAATGATGAGGACACATGGACACACAAAGGGGAATAACACACACTGGGACCTTTTAGGGGGTGAAGGGTGGGAGGATGGAGGGGATCAGAAAAAATAACTAATGGGTGCTAGGCTTAATACCTAGGTGAGGAAATAATCTGTACAACAAAACCCCAGGACACAAGTTTAACTATATAACAAACCTGCACTGTACCCCTGAACTTAAAATAAAAGTTAAAGAAAAGAAAAGAAAATATTCTGTAGAAGAAAGGGGCTGACTGAGAAGAAAAGTCTACCGGGAAATAAATACTAAACTAACATGTATTAGAAGCAATGAAAGACTGAATTGAAACTTCAGAAAAATCAAAGTGAAGTGAGGACTATCTTGAAACAGTCTCTTGGGAGGAATCAGAGAGAGATAGAGAAGTGTAAAATAATAAAGACACTAAAACTATAAAGGAAACATGGTAAACCAGAAATGATCCAACCAAAGAATGATTAAGCTCCTGGAGAAAGAGGCATTGAGAGTGAAGGGCAAATGATAAACTAGAGAAAATATTGGTCACATGTGGTACAGCAGACATAAATATTCTTCAAAGGTAGAAAACTTTTTAAATAATGTAAGAAAATGGGCAAAGTACATAAATAGATTATTTTAAAAAATGCCCTATATATATGAGATAAAATGTAAGCCTCTTTAACCATCCAGAAAATGCAGATTAGCATGAAATATTATTAATCTATCAAACTGACATAACAAAAAATAATAATGTTAAATTCTTGCAAGCATGTGATGATCTGGATATGCTCATGAACATCTGGTGTGAGTGTGTAAGTTGGCACGACCTTTCTGAATGCAATTTGGCAGTATGCATCAAGAATTGTACACGTCTTGATCTGTTTTCCGCTAAATTCCAAAGTACATCCTAAGAAAATAATCAGAGTTAGAGACAAATATTTATGTTCAGAGATGTTCATTGCAGTTATCAATAACAGTTTTAAAAATAAAAACTCTGAATATCCAATAACAAGAGAAACTTAAACACATTCCTGTACATCTAGACTAAGGATTGGCAAACTTTTTCTATAAAGGGCCAAATGCTAAATATTGTAGGCTTTGCAGGCCATCTGGTCTCTGTTGCAGTGACTCAACTCAGCTATTTAGTTGTAGCATGAAAGCAGCCGCAGACCATATATATATGAATAAATTTAGCTATGTTCTAATAAAACTTTCTTAAAACCTGTGTTTTGATAAACATTTAATGACTAAATTTTTTAAATGTTAGGAAACTAAAGAGGATATGATATCAAAATATGAATTAAAAGTTTGACATGAAATATGCCAGTGTTTATGTTGGTAATAATTTAATGGTTGAATTGCTTATGGTCTCTATTTTATCTTTTATACCTCTTAAAAATATTTTCCCTCAAATTTTCTCCAAAATAAATGCATTTTGGTTTTGTAATATAAAATATTTTTTTCTGTTTTTTTTTAAAGCTTTGATAGAACACAAATAATAAATGAAAATGGTTCTATAGGTGCAATAAAACTATGCATCAATTTAAATAATTTTTTTTCAGGAGGATCTTTAATTAATGTTTGGTCAACTAGAGTAAAATAGACTGAATTCCACATAAATATTCAATTTATGGACTTAGTTAATTTTCCTAAGTATTTTAAAGTCCACTTTTTAGATCAGTATTTTTTGTTTTCTTTTTAAAAATTTTTATTTTATTTTAAGTTCCAGGATATATGTGCAGGATGTGCAGGTTTGTTAGATAGGTAAATGTGTGCCATGGTGGTTTGCTGCACCTATCAACCCATCACCTAGGTATTAAGCCCACGTGCATTATATTTTTATCCTGATGCTCTCCCTCTCACTACCCCACCACGCCCCTGCCCCAACAGGCCCTAGTGTGTGTTGTTCCCTCCCTGTGTCCATGTGTTCTCATTGTTCAGCTCCCATTTATGACTGAGAACATGCAGTGTTTGGTTTTCTGTTCCTGCATTAGTTTGATGAGGATAATGGCTTCCAGCTCCATCCATGTCCCTGCAAAGGACATGATCTTATTCCTTTTTATGGCTGCATAGTATTCTATGGTGTATGTGTACCATATTTTCTTTATTCAGTCTTTCATTGATGGGCATTTGGGTTGATTCCATGTCTTTGCTATTGGGAATAGTGCTGCAATGAACATATGCATGCATTTATCTTTATAATAAAATGATTTATATTCCTTTAGGTATATACCCAGTAATGGGATTGCTGGGTCAAAGGGTATTTCTGGTTCTAGGTTTTTGAGAAATTGCCACACTATCTTCCACAATGGTTTAATTTACATTCCCACCAACAGTGTAAAAGCATTCCTATTTCTCCACAGCCTCATCAGCATCTGCTGTTTCTTGACTCTTTAATAATCACCATTCTGACTGGAGTGACATGGTACTCTTTGTGGTTTTGATTTTCAGTTCTCTAATGATCAGTGATGTTGAGCTTTTCTTCATATGTTTGCTGGCCATATAAATATCTTCTTTTGAGAAGTGTCTGTTCTTGTCCTTTGCCCACTTTTTATTGGGGTTTTTTTTTTTTTGTTTTTTGTTTTCTTGTTTTTTTTGTAAATTTGTTTAAGTTCTTTGTAGATTCTGGATATTAGATCTTTGTCATATGGGTAGATTGCAATAATTTTCTCCCATTCTGTAGGCTGTCTGTTCACTCTGATAGTTTCTTTTGCTGTGCAGAAGCTCTTTAGTTTAATTAGATCCCCTTTGTCAATTTTTGCTTTTGTTGCAATTGCTTTTGATGTTTTCGTCAGGAAGTCTTTGCCTGTGCCTATGTCCTGAATGGTTGAGTTAATTTTTGTATAAGGTGTAAGAAAGGGGTCCATCTTCAATCTTCTGCATATGGCTAGCCCACTTCCCAAGCACCATTTATTAAATAGGGACTCCTTTCCCCATTGCTTGGTTTTGTCAGATTTGTCAAAGATTAGATGGTTGTAGATGTGTGGTCTTATTTCTGAGACCTCTATACTGTTCCACTGGCCTATGTATCTGTTTTTGTACCAGTACCATGCTGTTTTGGTTATTGTAGCCTTGTAGTATAGCTTGAAGCCAGGTAGCGGGATGCCTCCAGCTTTGTTCTTTTTGCTTAGGTTGCCTTGTCTATACAGGCTCTTTTTTGGTTCCATAAGAATTTTAAAGTAGTTTTTTTTTCTAATTCTGTGAAGAATGTCAATGGCCATACACCCTCCCAAGACTGAACTGGGAAGAAGTTGAATCCCTGAATAGACCAATCACAAGTTCTGAAATTGAGGCAGTAACAAATAGCCTACCAACCAAAAAAAGCCCAGCACCAGACAGATTTACAGCTGAATTCTACCAGAGGTACAAAAAGGAGCTGGTACCATTTCTTCTGAAACTATTCCAAACAATTGAAAAGGAGGGACCCCTCCCTAATTCATTTTGTGAGGCCAGCATCATCCCGGTACTAAAACCTGGCAGAGACACAACAAAAAAAGAAAACTTCAGGCCAATATCCCTGATGAAGATCGATGTAAAAATCCTTGGTAAAATACTGGCAAACTGAATCCAGCAGCACATCAAAAAGCTTATTCACCATGATCAAGTTGGCTTCATTCTTGGGATGCAAGGCTGGTTCAACATATGCAAATCAATACATGTAATTCACATATAAACAGAACTAAAGACAAAAACCACATGATTATTTCAATAGATGCAGAAAAGGCCTTCAATAAATTTCAACGTCCATTCATTTTAAAAACTCTCAATAAACTAGGTATTGAAGGAACGTACCTCAAAATAATAAGAGCCATTTATGGCAAACCCACAGCCAATATTATACCGAATGGGCAAAAGCTGGAAGCATTCTCCTTGAAAATTGGCACAAAAAAGATGCCCTCTCTCGCCACTTCTATTCAACATAGTATTAGAAGTTCTGGCCAGGGCAATCAGGCAAGAGAAAGAAACAACAGGTATTCAGATAGGAAGAGAGGAAGTCAAAATGTCTCTGTTTGCAGATGTCATGATCCTATATCAAGTAAACTCCATCATCTCAGCCCAAGCTTCTTAAGCTGATTCACAGCTTTGGCAAAGTCTCAGGATACAAAATCAATGTTCAATAATCACAAGCATTACTATACGCCAACAACGGACAAGCAGAGAGCCAAATCGTGAATGAACTCCCATTCACAATCGCTACAAAGAGTCTAAAATACCTAGAATACAGCTAACAAGGCGAGTGAAGGATCTTTTCAAGGAGAACTACAAACCACTGCTCAAGGAAGTAAGAGAGGACACAAACAAATGGAAAAGCATCCCATGCTCATGGATAGAAAGAAAAAGTATCATGTAAATGGCCATACTCCCCAAAGTAATTTATAGATTCAATGTTATTCCCATTAAAGAAATGTTTTATGGTATTTTAAAGTCGATTTAATAAGGATACATTTTAAAATTTAAAAATGAAGAGGCCAGGTGCAGTGGCTTATGCCTGTAATCCTAGTACTTTGGGAGGCTGGGGATCACTTGAGTCTAGGACTTCGAGACCAGCCTGAGCAACATGTCAAAACCCCACTTCTACATTAAATACAAAAATCATCTGGGCATGGTAGTGCACACCTGTGGTCCCAGTTGATTGGGAGGCTGAGGTGGGAGGATTACCTGAGCCTAGGGAGTGAGACCCTGCCTCACAAAAAGAAGATGAAGAAGAACAACAAGGAGGAGGAGGAAGAGGAGGAAAAGGAGGAGGAGGAAACAGAAAACATACTTGTATCAATGCAAACTCTCATTGTGTTCATAACAAATGGATAACTATATTTGGAAACAAGAGCTCTGCAAAAAAAAAATACAATAATTATGAGACAGATTAACCCCAGAAGTAGAAAATGTGATTTAATCAAAGATGTGCATTGCATTTATCTTTAGAATCAAATTTCTTTTATTTTCTTGTTAATGTCCATTTGTCTCTTCATATTTGTAGGGTTATAAATATCATATTGGCTATTTTCTGGTGCTTACTGGGTAAGTTTAGGTGGCATTAACCACTGCAGATGAATTCCTCATTTAGGCTTTACTCTTTAGTGATAACGGTAGCCAGGAAAATGACTTCTGCTATGCATTTGTGGTGGCCAGGCACTGTGCTAAGGCTTTATATAGGTGAGCACATTTAACTCTCACATCAAGTTCAAGAGAGAGATGCTACTATGCTGATGAGAAGGTTGACATTCAGAGGCTACTTTGTCAAAATCACACAGGATATAGATCCATTTCTGTATGACACTAGTATCTGTGCTCTTTCTATTACATACTCCCTGCAATTAACAAGCATATTTTGAAATCTTCAACCTAAAATAACTTAGGACACTAAAGTGGAGACAAATTTTGAAATTTGTTTCTAAAATTGATTTTTAAAAGCATTTTTTTCTTTGAAATGGCTGATGTATTTAAAAAATTGATACTATCTTTATTACCTGAGTGGTGAAATAATCTGTACACCAAACCCCCGTGACATGCAATTTGCCTATATAAGAAACCTGCACATGTTGTACCCCTGAACCTAAAATAAAAGAAGACAATAATTATGAGCAGACTCATTTGGTTCCAGGTTCAGGCTGAAATGCTCTGTTGCATCTTGAACGTGTCTAGCTGAAGAGGCTGAATTGTTTGCCTTACCTCCTCCACACCCCAAACCCTAGCAGATTCAGTTTAACCATGAGGGCAGAGAATGCAGGTATGAGGCCCAGTCCCAGAAAAAAAATTGTGGGGAATATGCCAAGGAATTGGTGGGAGTCACTGAACAGATGTTCTGCTTGTAGAAATTGATCAACTTGAGCAAATTTTAATTTGCCTTCTGGTTTCACTGATTGGATTTTAATAACATAAAAACAATGTTTGACCTCAAATGGGAAAGCATAAGATTATTCTGAAAAAAAAAAAAAAAAAAAAAAAAAAACATGCTAGCAAGATTATTGAGTAACACTTTGCCAATAAAGATGAACATTCTTCCCAAATTTATTTTATTCAAAGACTTTCCAAATTTTTGGAACAGGAAGGATACAGTTGGGTAAACTTGGGGAAGGTTGAAGTGTTGGCATGGAATCAAGCTGGGAAAAGTGCCCATTTGCTTTGCGAGTTGTGTATCGCATCAGAGATGGGGTGTCAGTCTGATGATGATGCCTGTGCCTGGAATCAAGAATGACCCAATAGGGAGCCCACATGAGCAAGAACTTGTATTCAAGGAGTCTTTTGGTCCCAAGACAACTTCCTTTATGACACTCTTCATCCTTGGGAACCAAGCTGCTCTTTACTGTTCAGAGTTCTTTCCACATTGTTAAGGGCACATGGCTAGTGGAAAGCCTTGACTTGGGGTTTGCAGACCTGTGTTTATGTTCCATTCTGGACACTTACTAGGCTTTTGCCCCTTGAGCAAGACACATAACCTCTATGAGTGTTTGTTTTCTCATTTATAAAATAGAAATAATGAATCCATAAAATTCACAGGGCATGTGTATAAACTTTATTTATACAGTGTGTCTGTATGACTTTAAATAATGACTAATAATTATGATTCTTATAACAATTATTATTGTGACAATGTTTAAGACAGTATTAATTTGTTCTTTCCTTTTCTGTGAGCCAGGGGCTAGAGATAAAATGTTCTCTTTCAAAAAGCAGACCCCAAAACAGGTCATCACATCCAAAAAGGAATAGTCATGTGGGGTTTGCATATACTTTTATGGGAGACAGAGTGGTCAGTGCAGTCTTCCAGGGGTAGGGGTAGTAGGTTTCCAGGGGTATTGTCATTAAGGGGAATCTTTGGATGCCACTGCTCTTTATAGGCAGATGCTGGCTTCTGCTGTTACCTCTTTGGGGAGTGTGCAGGCAAGTGATAGGTTGGCAAATAACAGCCCCAGGGGGAACAAACAACTTTGGGCAGAAAATGAAGGATCGGGTGCTCTTGAGTGAGGTATATTTCATGTCAGCACATTGATGACTTTTGATCTTTTTAAACATAGAGTCTGTCTACAAGCAACTGGATGAAAGAGAGCTTGTGCAATTTACAAAATGCAATGTGTCCTAAAGTGGGCATATCATATAAGCAATTTTTATAAAAGGGAAGTATGTCAATTTCAAGTAAAACTGTAAAACCAGGGTGAAACCATAGAGCCCAGTGACCCAATTTCCTAAGGATATTAGAGATTTTAACAACCAAAAATCGTTAGATGGCATACACCTCTTGGGGTTATTGCATCTATATAAGCAGCAGCAGATAATGTAATTCGATATAGCAATTGTTGGATATGGTGATGTGTGTGTTGTGTGTGTGCATTTGTGTACACATGTGCAAAGTTGAGGCCCAGGAAAACCACAGCAACACTGTGTACCTTTATGTTATTAGATTCAAAAGACAAAATTGAATATTTTAAATTGTGCTACTTTTAAATTTTATTTTTGTAAAATATACCATGAAAGTAATTTAAATGGAAGAGAACAAAGCCATTAAGTTTTTTACTACCATTGTATCATTAATATTTATTTGTTCATGGTTTATGATCATTTAAGATGGTGACACAATATTTGAAGATATCTGCCCTCTCTCCTAGGTCTCTCCTCACTTCTCCAAAGGCAGAAGATCTAATTGCACCACAGGTGCCAGGGGTTTCTCACTGTCTCTTAAAGCTTCCTCCTCTCTTGTTCCTTCTGGGAGGGAATCGGGCCATCTTATGCCAGTTTTGCTACAGTCCTTTCTGCTCCCTTTCTCCCATGGGGCATCTGGTACCATTAGATCCTCAGATTCAGACCAGCCCATGGTGGTGGTGGTAAGGTGGGTGGGCTGTGGTGAGACCTCTTAGGTCTCTAGATCACATCTGGTACTCTGTCTGGTTTACTATGGTTCCATGAATGAAAACAGGGCTTCAGGCCCTGTCTGCATCTCTCCATTTGTGTTTATCTTGGGAGAACAGTGACTGGGATCTGGGTTCGGATTCCACTATTCCAATTCCATAATATTATCATAACACCATCAAAATTGCTTAGGGTCCTAACGTTGTCCATTAAAGAAAATATTGTCATTGAGTTAATCACTTCCGTTGTTTGTGCAATTGTTCCTAATTCTTACCATCATGAATATCACTCTGATGACTGTCTTTTTGCATAAAGTCTCCCCCTGTTTACTTTAGGTTATTTTCTTGGATACATTACAGAAAATGGAATTACTGTATTCATGAAGTTGAGCAATTTCATGGCTCTAAATACGTGGTACCAAATCAGTAACCAAATGAGTGGACTAATGTCTCCCAGCATTTATGAAAGTGCCAGTTTCAATGACTCCATCTCCACCTTTGTTAAAATATATAGGGAAAATAATACTCAGAATTATTGGTCTCTTGTTTTCAATGATTTTCATTTACTTGAATTTAAAGGGAGGGTGAGTTACATTTTTTTAAAAAAGCTGTCCTCCATATTATCATTTTTCTTTAGATTTTTCCTTTTAAAGATTCTTTTGAATAGCCATAAAGAAAAGGTAAATTGGCCAGGTGCAGTGGCTCACGCCTGTAATCCCAGCACTTTGGGAGGCCGAGGCGGGTGGATCACCTGAGGTCCAGAGTTTGAGACCAGCCTGACCAACATGGAGAAATCCTGACTGTACTAAAAATATAAAAAAATTAGCCAGGCGTGGTGGCTCATGCCTGTAATCCCAGCTGCTCCGGAGGCTGAGGCAGGAGAATGGCTTGAACCTGGGAGGTGGAGGTTGCTGTGAGCCGAGATTGTGCCATTGCACTCCAGCCTGGACAATAAGAGTGAAACTCCGTCTCAAAAAAAAAAAAAAAAAAAGAAAAAAAAAAAAGAAAAGGTGAATTATTATTCTTTGAGGATATATTTGTTAGTTTGAAAATGATAAAGTCAGTTAAAGCTACATGTGGACTATACAATGGTTGATTAAGTGGGACAAAACAATTTTTAAAATTACAAATAGCTATAATTTTAAGGTAATGACTGATTTTCTTGTGTGACTTAGAAACTATCTTTGAGGCAATCCTAAAAAAGGCATTCAAGATGTGTTTTCGGCAACTCTGTTGAACAGAGATGTATTAAAATTATTAATGCCTTTTTCATTGTGAACTTCCTTGTAGGGCGAGCCTTATCAATTTCAACTTCAGGCATTCATTACCTTGGGAAATAATAAAATTCTTATACCAAGAATGCAGAAAGAAACAGAGGAAAGATTTTTGACTTCCAAAGTTGAAAATTAAAGTCCTCTGTGAGACTTTATTAGGAGAGGAAATAAATTTTTAATTCCCCAAATCCTCCACTAATATATCAAGAACAAACCAGGCTGGAGTGCAGTGGCACGATCTCGGCTCACTGCAGCCTCCACCTCCCTGGTTCAAGAGATTCTCCTGCCTCAGCCTCCTAAGTAGCTGGGATTACAGATGTGTGCCACCACGCCCAGCTAATTTTTGTATTTTTAGTAGAGATGGGGTTTCATTATATTGGCTAGGATGGTCTCCATCTCTTGACCTCGTGATCTGCCCTCCTCGGCCTCCCAAAGTGCTGGGATTACAGGCGTGAGCCACCGAGCCCTGCCGTAAGTCCAAGCATATTATTTTACTCTGTAGTGAGGACACAGGACATGACCTGAGGGGAGCTGCAGTCAGAGAAGAAGGCAGGGTAGGAAGGCCTCTCTCTGCTGGAAGACAAAGACAGGAAGAGTAGGCCAGAGAGCTAAAGTGTGAGAATGCTGTTTCTTTGTCTCTATCAACATTCCAGCCATGAGATGGTGGAGCTTAAAGACATACAAATGTGGGGGTTCACATTTTACTTCTCAGGAAAATTGACAGCATCAAAGAGAACTCTACATTCAACATGGCCCTGGAGCAAGATGGTGACAGGCACCTCTAGATTAGACATACAGAGATTGTTCATTTATGAGCCTGAGATAGTATCTGGTTATCTAAATTTAGTCCGTGTCTTTTGCAATGATATGAAGGTGTTATGGGCTTCAGTGAATAGGTAGAGACTTGGAGTCCAGATAAGAAAACCCAAGAGGTTCCTAATAGCAACAACTAATAACGAAGTATTTGTTAGAGAGCACTGAAGAATTAACCACACCTTTGTTGGACGCTAACTCAGAGCCCAAATGAGAGAAGCTGTCCACATCAGAGACCGGTGGTCTTCTGAGAAGAGCATGGGGGACGAGATGTCGTCGCCTGCCACTATCACGTTTCGTTTATGAACAGGTATCACCAAGTGAGATTCCTAAAATTTTAGTTTGCATGTTTAGCTCCTACAACACTGACATCATTGGAGTAAGTATATCTTTTCTCAAAGTGAATACTTTGAATGTGACCCCACTCATTCAGATTTATACATATTATTAAGTTTATTAAAATGACACCCTATTTGGCTCATATCTGGAATGTGTTTGTGTGGTTTACTCACCTGATTCTCTTTCAGTGTTATCTGCCCCTGTTCCTTACACCCAATGAAGGTTCTAACACATCTAAAAATCTTCTCATTTTGTTGTAGTCTCTGAACAAAGTTGGCTGGAAAGAAGCCAATTCTGTCTTGAATTTTCCCCTGAAAGGAAAAAGGAGGCATGCATCCACAATTGTAGCATGTATTATAATAGTTACCAAATGATTTTCTCTTTTTTTTTTAAAGAAAGAGGAACACTTACTTTCCACCAGTCTTCATTGGAATCCTCTAAAAGAGTAATTATGTCTCCTGGCCTAAAATGAAGAATGAATGAGTTAGGTAAAGGAAAAAAAAAGAAAAATAACATACTTTAAAGTCAGGAGTAATCATTTCTCATTTACACAAATAGTCTTAAAAGAAATAGAAATAAAGTAAATATAACTTTTACCAGTTCTTCCTACCAAGAAAATAGCTGTATTACACATTGAAGGCAAACATGATTTTATGCTGTATTTTAAAAATAACTCTTTTTTTTTTTTTTTTAAACAGAGTCTCGCTCTGTCGCCAGGCTGGAGTGCAGTGGCATGATCTTGGCTCACTGCAACCTCTGACTCGCTGGTTCAAGCTATTCTCCTGCCTCAGCCTCCCGAGTAGCTGGGATTACAGGCATCTGCCACCATGCCCAGATCATTTTTGTATTTTTAGTAGAGATGGGGTTTCACCATGTTGGCCAGGATGGTCTCAATCTCCTGACCTCACGATCTGCCCGCCTCGGCTTCCCAAAGTGTTGGGATTACAGGCGTGAGTCATCCAGCCCAGCCAAAAATAACTGTTACCTGTAGTTTGATACATAAATGATCATGAAGCTCCAAAATTTCAAGATACAAATCTCCCTTCTTCTCAGCCCCATGATCTACCTCCCGTCCCCTGTGTGTCCTTCTAGACTCCTTCCCACACACTTACATTTATACATAGATATGTTCATGTATTTTTTTTGTTTAGTATTGACATCTAGAATTGGTCATTATCTTTATCATTATCTACACCTTCCCAATACCCTCTCAAAACCTAGCACACTTTTGCTTAGCTCCATTTTTCCTGTCTGCCATCTTTTATGCTGGTGTAATTGGAGTTTTGTACTAGATTTGTGTATGTGTGCATGTGTGTGTGTGTGTCAACATTCTACATCATTCATCAAGAATTACTTGGGTTTGGCTGAAGACTAATGTGTTTTTGTTGTTTAATTCTTTCTATTCAACACAGCTGTGACAATTGGAAGGCTGTTATTTTTCACACTGGGAAAACTTTCTCTACTATTTCTTTCATGTTTTTCTCCCATCTATGATGTTCTCTCTTCTTTCCTTCTGGAACTTCTTGTCAACACATACTGGACCTTCTGAATCCATCCTCACATTTTTTGTCTTTCTTACACACTTACAGTCTTATTTTCCTCTATGTTCTTAAATTTTTTTCTCAATTTTATTTTCCTGATCATTTATTTTGTATTTGGGCTTGTCTTCTATTATTTATCATAATACTGAGAATTGTTTTAGAAAAAGTTTTCAGAAAACATTTTTAGAAAAAAATAGTTTCTAAGGGTTCTTTATTATTTCTGAAATTTTTCTTTCTTTCTCATTATTTCCTTATTCTTTTCTGAAAGAGTTCTGAAAGTGGCTTTCCATCATGGATGCAATGTTATAATGGATTGTATAGAGATTATTATATTTTCAAAACAATATTTCTTTCTTTTACTGAATATTTGTTTCCTCTGAAATTAGTTGGCCTATCCTTTATCTTATTACTTCTTTTTTATGTCAAGTATTTTTTCTAAAATCTAATGTTTCTTGGTTATCTCTTTTTATGAAAGACTGAAAATGGAAAATGGAGGTAGGTGGATGTGGACAGGCTTCTCCGCTATTCTATACCTATGGTCTGCCATGGGTCTCCCTTTCAAGTGCAAGGGCTATTTACAGGCTCTGTTTAAGGGAGCAGCGTGTGTCAATTGGTGCGTCTCCTCCCTTTTGGATACTTGAACGTATAGCAGATAAGCAGTATGGTGCCGCCTCCTCCTCCTATCCTAATAGCTGTAGCAAGGAGGATTTTCTTACCACTGGTGAGAGAAAAGGTCAGCTTATTTTTCTCCTAAGTAGAGCTGCCTTTTCCTTTTTTCCATGCCCTCTAGAAGGTCTGAAGGTCCAGAGTTATCTCAACACAGTTCTTATTTCCCAGGCTTCTATGCTCACATAAGAGCCCTCCTTAGGCATGGGTTCTTTTTCTTTAGAGTATAGGTGTTGGCTTAATTCTGGAGTTCAACATCATTGCTGCCAATTGTTCATTATAAGTAGTAATGCGGTGCTATGAATACAGTTGAGACTGTATCACTTATGTATTGTCACAGTAATGCTGTGTGATAAACAGCCACAAAACCCCAATGGCTCACTCACAGGCCTGGGTGTTGGCTGGCTTTTGCTGAGGTGACTGGGGTGACTTTGCCCTATTCCACATTTCTCATTCCTTGGAAGGTCAGTTTCATAGCAATGATCAAAGTTCAGGAGCAGTGCGTGGAAACATGCAAAGCACATGATGCCTCTAAGGCTTAGATCCAGAACTGACACATTGTCACTTTGCTTCATTTCATTGGCCAAAGCAAGTCTCAAGGCCAGTTCAGACTCAAGGGATAGGGTAACAGGCTCCATCCACCTCTGTTTTGGGAGGAACTGCAAAGTCCCATGACAGGGGCATGAATATGGGGAGGGGGGGTGAATAATTAGGGCCATTAATGCAATCAATCCACTGCAGACTCTCACGCTTTTCAGTGAAGTCCTGTGCATTCCGGGTCTCTTTAAATGTGCTCCCCCTTCTATAGCTGTTTTGTCCTGAGTATTCTTTGGTCTCTGGTCATCTTCATTGTTCACAATTCAACTGCATTTGCTGTAGTCTGCGAGGAAATTCCCAAGATTTCTGGTTCTCTCTTAGCATGCGTTCTTGTTTTCTAGTACTGTTATAGATGTGTTAAAAAAAATGTATTTTCTGACATGTTTAGGAATTGGAGCAAAAGTAGATTTGCGTATTCATTTTGCTATTCTGATCCAATCTCCTTTGCTGTCATTTTCAATTCTCAGTTAATATCTATCTTCATCAGGGATTCCAAATATAACAGGCTTGTCACATCTGCAGCATTAAGCACAACTGGCATTTTGGTATTTCAACAGTCACAGTTTCATGCTGATGCCGCAGAAAGCGAGGTGGCTGAAAATCACTCTTTCCCAGGTCAGGGATTTAATTAAGCAGCAAGGATGAAAGTCAATGTAGAAAAATCTTCTAAGCCCCAGCAGATTTTATTTAAACCAGTAACCTAAGAAACCATGAGTCAGTATCAAACACAATGACTTTGCTGCTGCTCTGGCAGAAACTGTAAATAGGGAATAAAGCTGGGGGAGGTACCTTTCCCTAAGAGTGAAAGAGGCAGACTGTGGGAGGTACCTTTCCCTAAGGGTGAAAGAGGGTGCTGCCTCAATCCGACCTCTATTTTTATAGTCTACTGAGAGACTCACTCTTGGCTGTGCCTAGAGGTGGACAGTCCCCAGCACTTGACCCTCATTAACTGAATTACACATTAGAATAAGGCACTCACTGGGATAACAGGCTATAATCTTATGAGAAATACCAGACATACTTCTGGAAGTGTGATGAGGGTTCTGTCCTTTCCTAAAAAAGAGCTCCACCAGGATCAGAAAATTGCTTGGTGAGTGATTTATTTATCCATTTATTATTTCTTTGGTTTTTGTTTACCCACTCATTCAACAAATATTTATAGAATGTGGGCTCTGAAAGAGTGTCATCTTACTAGGCACTGGGTTTACTCTGGTGAATAAAATCCTCACTAGAGCTAATAGTATAGTGAGAAAGATAGACAATAAACAAGTAAATAGATAAAAAAACTTAATAAATAGATACTAATAATAAACATATCACATATGTATAATTATTAAGTATATAATTGTAAATTGGCATAAGGACTATGAGGGAAGTTAGAAGATGTAGCCAAAAAGGACCAGTAGACTCCTCTTGAGATTAGCCAAACGCTCTAAGTACCTGGCAGAGATAGCTAATGCCTCTTTTTCACTATAGAGAGGATCTTGCTCGAGGGTAGCCCTTGAATCCAAGGTAGTAACTCTCTAACATCTAGGCCAGCAAATCTGTGGCTTGTGGGATTTTTTACTGCCCCCATATCCTTCCAGGCATCACCCAACAATCTCAGCACTCTTTCCCACAGAGCCTGCCTTCTGATTTAGAATCCTTTTCAACACTGGGCTCTAGGTGGTGGATCTGAGTAGGCATGCAAGATGAAACCACTCTGTGTAACATAGCTTATTATTTTTTATATACATATATTTTATTTATTTATTTATTTTTTTGAGATGGAGTTTCACTCTGTCGCCCAGGCTGGAGTGCAGTGGTGCTATCTCAGTTCACTGCAACCTCTGCCTCCCAGGTTCAAGCGATTCTCCTGCCTCAGCCTCCTAAGTAGCTGGGAAGAAAGGCGCCCGCTACCATGCCTGGCTGATTTTTGTATTTTTAGTAGAGACAGGGTTTCACCACGTTGGCCAGGCTGGTCTCGAACTCCTGACCTCATGATCTGCCTGCCTTAGCCTCCCAAAGTGCTGGGATTACAGGCGTGAGCCACCGCGCCTGGCCCGCTTATTATTATTTGTTAAAAATTAGTCTTGACCCAGTTTTGAGGCTCTAGCTGGAGGCTGGTCAGTTCCCCTTCTTAAGCAGCTGACTAAGTCCGCACCCCAACAACTCCTTGATGGGGGCTCTTGTACTCTGGGCCACTCTGTACCACCCCTAATGTCCCATTCTAGAGCCAGGTACTAGATAATGTGGGACATCCCCTGTGCCCTGGAACCTGTGAAAATTATTCAAATTAATCAATCTACAGGGAGCCCCTGGAAACCTAGCCTACCCCACAGCCTGCCATACATAATCTGCCTACTGTAGCTCCAGCTTCCTGTTACCCTGACTCCCACAGCAACCTTCTGTGTTGCCCTTAGTGGCAACCCTTCACTCTCAACTGTGAGTTTTCTTCTGAACCCTTTCTTAATTTAGTTATCTTCTCTTGCCATGGTGTTGGTGTGTTGTGCGATGTCATCAAAGAAACAAATGAAAACATTCTGCCAACTGGCTCAATTTAGGGAGAGCCGTGCCATTGGTCCCAAAGGAATGGTGGCCTAATGCTTAAAATTCTCCTTTCCCCAGGTTAGACTTGGCTAATCCATGACTCTGCCCTCAGTTGTTTCATGCTTCTGTGGCTGTCAGGCCCTTTCCATGGAATAATTCTTCATTCAGGTTATCACACTACAGGCACATTTGAGAAAAGTCCTTCTCTGGCTTAATAGTTATTCTCTTGCTTTTAGGAGACTTTATGTTCTTGATACATTACGTCTAGAGTTTACAATTTAACTCTATTTCCAAATTCTTGGGACCAACTTGATGGGCCCCCAGTTACTTAAAAAACATTTCCTTTGCTTAGTTCAATCAGAGCATTGTACATTCAGGTAAAGGTTTTGCTTACATTGTAATCCACAATTGTATACCATGATGTAAAGTATAATGCAATTCATAAACAATTCAAGCATCAGTTTCCTTTAGTGAAAAGAGGTCAGAGCACCACAGCTGGCCTTTTGCTTTTGTTTGCTCAGTAAAATTTGCCATAGGCCCAGAGGAAGATTTGCAAGTTAGTTATATAATGATTTATAGGAACTCTTGAAATGGTGAAAGGGCTGTGAGCTCACAAGAATTAGAATAAAATAACAAAAGCAACTACAGAATTATGGCTTACCAGTGAGGAGGACAGGGTTTAATTTTGAGTGTGTGTGTACTTGCACACATGTGCGTGAGAACCAATGGTTGCTTTCTGGGTTCATTCTCAGCAGTCCTGTCTCTCTTATTTCTCAGTTTTTCATATGGGCATTGGAACCATCTCTTCCACCACCAGGTAAACTGTCTGCAGGGACTCAGTGTACACAAAGGGTATGAATGATATGAGCTGAGCTTGGCCAGCTACATGGAACTATTCTGCAAGATGTTAGAAAGATGGTTTGATCTTCCAGGGTGGGGTCTTGGAGGAAGGAGTATGAGTTGCCCTGAGGCATCCCCCGCCCAGCCCAGCCTCTCTCCAATCCCCAAGTAGAGCACAAATTCCTAGGAGAGGAGACACGACACCCTCCAGATGAGGACACTGCTTCTGAGAGAAACATTTTCTCTACTATCTGAGACAACCTGAGACCTCAGATTGGCCCTACTTTGGGAAGCACATGGTAAAAGCAGAATGCCCTAGGGCCTTTGCTTTCTGAATGTTTTAAAATTCAAAGAAAAGGAGTCTTGTCTCACTCCTCCATTTCTGCTCATTTATCCTAGGAAAACTCTATGACATTCAAGTATTTTCTGAATGTTTATAAAACATCAGGTATTGGGTGTGCATTGGGGGATACAAAAATCAAAAAAATTATCTAAGCCTGGGTTTTCTTATCTGTAAGGTTAGGATAATAGCACTTACCCCATCAATATTTTTTGAGGACTAAATGACAAAATATTTGTAATGCATATTTAGATAAGCGCCCATTAGATGGTGGCTGTTATTGTAAAGACATAGTTACTGCCTTCAAGATGTCAGTAATTTCAAAGGATAAAGACAATAAACTGTTTAAAGTAAGGGTCATCCCTGAGGGAGAAGCAAATGCTAGCATGGTGGGGAGATGACAAACAAATATAGAACTGATCCCAAACAAAAATCCCAAATACATGTCTCTTTGAGGATTGGCTATCTCAATTATATTTATATACTTATATATTATGCATGATAAATTATTGTGAGCTATATTTACTTTGCAAAGTTAAATCTTTTTTTTCTTTTTTTTAAAGACAGTCTCACTCTGTTGTCCAGGTTGGAGTGCAATGGTGCAATCATGGGTCACTCCAGCCTCTACCTCCTGGGCTTGAGCAATCCTCCTGCTCAGCCTCCCAAGTATCTGGGACTACAGGTACATGACACCACTCCCAGCTAACTTTTAAAATTTTTTATAGGATCTCACGATGTTGCCCAGGCTGGTTTCTAACTCTTGGCCTCAAATGATCCTCCTGCCTCAGCATCCCAAAATGTTGGGCTTACAGACACGAGCCACCATGCCTGGCCTCAAAGTTAAGTCTTTATCACTGTGATTGATATACAGTAGGGCTTAAAATTGCTAATTTTCATGTAAACCTGCATTTTTCCACTTGTAAATTAGAAGATTTATTCTAATCATTGCCTTTTACGTTTATGTCTCATTAGGTTTTTGGCAGGGATGGTTGGTTAATGAAATAGCCTTGACTTCAGTGGCTTCAGACGCTAACATTTGGTGTGATTCGGAGCTATGGAAAACCTTCTCCCTCTCTTCATACTGTCCCTCTTCCCCTTCCTTGTCCACTCCACGTAGTGACCACAAAGGTGTATCAGGGCCCAGGAGCTGGACCTAGTATTCTATTACCCAGGTGGCTGATTGTAATGGAGATGTTGGCAGGGTTGAGCCTAGAGGGCGATGGCAATGTTCACTAAATGTTGTCATGAACAGTTGCATTTTCATACAAGTAGGCAGGCTAAGAGAGATTTCACCATTTACAGGCAAGGTTTGAATCTATAACTAACTCCACTAAATCAAGCTGCCTCTTGCACCACCCATGCCGTGTCAAAACTCATCAGAACTGCCCACTTTACTATATAGTTATTTTGAGCCTCTTTAATATTTCCTGCCCTTTCTCATTCATTAGGCAAAACGAACCTTAAATCAAGTTTATAGCAACCAGTCACTCAGCAAAAATAGATACCCTTGAAAAACCAAGCTGAAGGGGGCAGAAAAAGGAGCCAGCCAAATGGCTCCATTAATCTTAGATCTATGACTTAATTTTTCACCAGACTTATTTCCCAATTTACATTATCTTGGTCCAGAATCTTTTACAGTCTTGGCACATGGGTATGTAATAAGGAACTCCTGAATTTGCATTTTGATTTTGTCTTAAGCCTGATATCCACGAGACTGCCTGCACTTTCCCAAGTCCATAGACCAGCTCAGAGAAAAGCATTCAACTGAAGGGCAATTTGGAAGGAATTTGGTAAATGTTCTTGAACTGTCATGGATCACGCTCTCCAGAACCTAAATGAGAGAGGCATTTGAGTGAGAGGGAGGCTGCTAAACACATTAGTGACATTTGGGAAGATCTGGGTTTCTTGACATAGTGCAGCATCAGAGCATAATATGCATCAGAGACTTTCCTCAAATAGCCTTAATTGCATTTTGATGTCCTGGTGACTGTGAAGATTATTTTTAAATCAAATTGGTGCATTAGAATTACATTTAGTTTTAATTAAGTTGATGCATTTGCCAAGCAGTAATGTACTTAGAGAATAGAAACGAGACACCAAGGGAGCCTTATTCTGTCTTACTCTGCCTTGAAACCTTGCAGGGTGAAGGACATTAGAATGTACACAAGTCACAGGTCAGAAAGCCAATGCAGACCTGTGCACAGAGCATTGACAGAATCGGGAAACCTCTGTTCTGGTTTTTGAGTCTGCCACTGGCCCACTGCCTATCTTTGGATAAGTCACAGTTGTTCTCAGATAGTGCAGATAATCAGAATCCAGGAGGACATTTAACCATACAGATTTCCAAGTAGGATTTGACTCTCTAGGTCTAGGTGAAGCCCAGGAATCTCTATTTTAATAATATTTTTTAGGAGATTCTTATGGCTTGCAACAAGTGACTTAACCATTCTAACTCAAGTTTTCTCCTCTGTGAAATACTACTTGCTTGGGTAACCTCTGAGATTTATTAAAAGAACTCAAGAGGATGCTAGGAAAAATTATGAAAGACTTTGAAATGGGCAAAAAACATGACTGATCTGGATGTCCCGTCTGGCATATCCTTTCAGATTACCTCCCCTTTTTCAATGCCTTTGAGCTATTTTACATCTCAAGCAAGTCGTAGAAAACTGATATTAATGCAAATGATTTTTGTCCAAAGAAATGCAAGTGAACTTTGCCTGGTGGAATATAGTCAGTTATTACCCTTTATCCTGTGACTACTGACTGGTTTTGCATCTATTTGTAAATTCCTGTCAGCATTCCTCATTGCCTATGTATATGTGATATATTGAGTTCTCATTTGAACAAGGTGGAGCATCTTACTGGTTCTCTCATTAATTAATGAGCCATGTAAAAATTCTGACATGTGTTCAATTTATATTGCACGAGAGTCATGTTTTTATCTTAAATTTAAAAAATTATCCTTTAACCGGAGTGACTTCTCAGTAACATGCTCTGTAGATCACAAACTTCCTGGTCTTAGCAACCATACTTAACAAACCTAATGCACTTAAAATAAGTGATGTGAGGGGCCAAAAAGGGATAAAGTGTTACCTACTCTTGCTGATTAAAATAGAATTGTCAGCTTTATCAGAGAGAAAACTTAGAACAATGAACCTAGGATCAAAAGTGTGGTGGAGGAGAAAGATCAGTGGACTGGGAGTCACCTCCAAGGGTTCTAGTCCTAAGCTTCCATTTTCTACCTGTAAATTATTGGGCTTGGTTCTCCTACCTCACCTCCAGAAAGAGAAAAAAGAACCATACATTTTCTCACTGGAATATGAGCTAAACAGCCAAGCGTCCATTCACTAAGCATTGCCAAGTTTTAAGGCAGTCTTTCAGAATCAAGACTGGAATTAATGTAGTTATCTAAATATGCTCCTGCCTCTGCCATGAATTTTCACCACCTCTTTTTGTAATGGGGCTTGCCTTTGCCCCTGATTTGGCACCTCTTAAAGTAATTATCTGGTTCTGAAGTTTAACCCCATTATTCCCTTATGCTTTCCTCACTGGAGAGAGAGTGACTGCTCACTAACAAGGCTTCCCAGCCACCCATGACCCCTCTTCCTTCTGGAATCCCAGCTTCTTTCACGTCCCTTTGAGGCTGCTGTAAGTTACCTGGGCTACCTCACACCCACAGCCCTGCACACTGGATTGTAACTTCTGATCTACTCTTCTGCTGGTCCCCTGGCCCATGACTGCCTGAGCTCTTTGAGAACAGGGCCTGTGAATGGTTCTCCCAGAAAAGAGCAGATGCTTGGCTATCATGCGATGAGAGGTGAATAGATGAAGTAAATCCTGGAAATAGCATACAAGAGTTCACATCACTTTTAACTCTTTTTAAAGTAGTGCTTTGAAAATACCCCAAAGAGATGAATTCAGGCCATCCCATCTCCAGAAATTCTGGCAAATACTAACTAATGGGAGAAATGATTGCTTGCTTTCATTCAGACTTGCCCATGGAGAATCTGAGACTTGCTGCTTCCAGGAGCGGCCGTTCATGAATCTAAATTTGCACTTGGCGTTACAAAAGAAGATAGGTTTTCTTTGAAGCCCCCCAAATTTAGGTGTTCTGACATACATTGAAGTAGTAATTAATTTGTATTTATTTTAGGATTTAATAATACTGAAAGAGCAGTTCCCTCTTTTCCTCTCTTGGCTTATAGTCTTTTTTTTTCCTTCTTTTTTCTACCCTTATGAAAAATGGCCATTATCATATAAATCTGTTTGAGGAGAGCTAATAAAAACGAAAATGATTTAGATGTGGGAAGTCAAAATTAATTATTTGGAACAGGCATTGTATGATTGCTAAAATATGCATTTAAACCTTTAAATCTTTTATTTACTCTCAATCCTTTGTTACAGTGTCCCTAAGATGTTTTAGGAGTTTATGTTTACTTGAAGTCATTTATATCTGCTGATTATTTACATAAAATATCAACTCAGCAAAGTCATGAAAGTCATTGTTGATTGAAAAGTTTTTATCAGCTTAAAAAAGGTGCCTTGGTGTGAATAATAAGTGATAACTCCAAGACTCTGTTTTGCAGACTGCTGAGCCCAAAAGCAGTGAGGATAATGTGACTGGTTACGTTGTAAGTGTTGAAGGCAGGATTTAATTTCATCAAAACTAAGTGTGGGTTATCAAGCTTTGGCTAACAATGTGTGTGTGCTTGTGTGTGTGTGAATGAATGTGTACTTGAATGTGTATAAGTGTGTGTGTATGTGCATGTATGTGTGTGTGTGTGACTGTGAGTGTGTGTGGGAGGTTATTTACATGTATAAGTGTATCACACACATGTACACACCCACTTGGCCAGAAGGATGATGTGACATATGGTCTATGTTAATTCACAGAGCAGTATATGATAATAATGACAACAGTGCTGATTATAATAGGGTTCTCCAGTTTGTATTCTATTTTCATTAATTAATTAATTTAGATAGATAGATAGATAGATAGGGTCTAGCTCTGTCATTCAGGCTGGAGTGTAGTGGTGTGTTCATAGCTCACTACAGCCTCAACCTCCTGGGCTCAAGTGATCCTTCTGCTTCAGCTTCCTGAAGAGCTAGGGCTACAGGTATGCACCACCATGCTTGGCTAATTTTTTATTTCTATTTTTGTGGAGATGGTGTCTTTCCATGTTGCGCAGGCTGGTTTTGAACTCCTGGGCTCAAGCAATACACCTGCGTTGGCCTCCCACAGTGCTGGGATTACAGGCATAAGCCACTGCACTTGGCCATGTATTTTTAGCAGCATTTAAGAGCTTTGTTCATGAATTAAACTGGCAGTCCATAAAGTGTAATTTTCAGGGCTCTTCAAAAAAGTTGATAATAAGGGTAATTGGTGGAACCTGTCCAAGACTCTTAATTTCAGGAGATTATCCACTATACCACCCTGCTATACCCTGATAGGAGAACCTGGGTAGCCCTTTAATGTTATCAGGCCTCAAATTGTCAGCAATGTTCGAGACCCCATGCATGATGGCATCACAGCTTGGGTATCAGTGATAAAATTTCATATTATAGCTCATCATGTCAGCAACTGCAAAACCTGCTCCCAAGATAAATATTGGATATCACAGCCCCTTTTTGCTGGACCAGTTGGACAAGGTCTCATTGGGCCTGCTCAAAGGGAGAGTCTTTAACTGTGTTTTCTCTACTCTATATCCTTAGGGTGGTGTTAATGAGGTTGTTCAGAAGACTAGGAGAGAAAATACATTGTGAAAAGATGTAATTATGAAGAGAAGGTATCTAAAATCTACTGTGACCTCACTTTGTACTGGGCATGAAATTCCACATTTTATTTATATTATCCTGTTTAATACCCAGTCTTCCTAGGAAGGAGAAAACTGAGGCTCTAAAAGATTAAACAGTTTGCTAAAATTGACACAGATAGTGTCAGAGTTGGAAACTAGACCCAGGCCTATCTGACTGCCAGAAATTTCTCTTTTCTGTCTTGCCAGCTTGCTGTCCTGCTCTCTGCCCTTGATGGTGGAAAGATAGAGAATTATCATGGTCTGCATTACCTCCAGAGGTTTAGGTGGGAAATAGCAAATTAATTTATAAAGGAAGTTTATTTCTAATTTTTCATGGCAGTGTGAAAAAAAATAAAGGAAGTTTATTTTGCACTGGAACTGTAGCAAAGGAGACTGTATAAAGTCTCTGCCTTTATATGGGATTTGGAGACTAATGATGGGTCCATGGCACTTCTAAGAAAAGTATTCACTCACCTAAGAACAAGAGGGCAGCAACCAGCTCTTCCTCTTGTGAAAGGAAAATAAAATCTCAGGACTCTAAGCTCACTATGTCAAAGGGAAAATATGAGGGCTGGGCACGGTGGTTCGCGCCTGTAATACCAGCACTTTAGGAGGCTGAGACGGGAGGATCACGAGGTCAGGAGTTTGAGACCAGCCTGGCCAACATGATGAAACCCCGTTTCTACTAAAAATGCAAAAATTAGTGGGGCGTGGTGGCAGGTGCCTGTAATCCCAGCTACTTGGGAGCCTGAGGCAGGAGAATCACTTGAACCTGGGAGGTGGAGGTTGCAGTGAGCCAAGATTGCGCCACTGCTCTCTGGCTAGGGCAACATGAGTGAAACTCTGTCTCAAAAAAAAAAAAAAAAAAAAAAAAAGGAGAAAAATGAAAAACTGTTAAGCTTGGGATCTGAGTCACGCAACAACTGCCTTCCTTTTTGTTCCTAAACGGATAGTTGCAAAGATAGAAGGCCACATATCTCCCCAGGTGGGCTCCCTCAAATTGCTCACAAGGAAATTCCTTGTGGGCCCCAAACTCTACCCTAAAACAGAGTTCTGTTGAATCTCACCCTGACAATATAAGTTAACAGCTTTTCCTCACAGGTACAGGACAAAGACAAGACTAGAAAGCATCCCTCCACCTACCTGAGACAAATCTGACTGCTTCCTCTACTCTGTGTTTATTCATATCTTATGTAAAATGCAGATTTACTGCTGAACACCAGACAAATGGGTAACTGACTGTTCCTCTACCCGCTTTCACTTGTAACATGTGGATTCAGTGAGCATTAATCAAAGTCTCACAAGAATGTCATCACGTATCTCACTACCTACCCTCCCCACTTTTTTTCTTTCCTCCTTACCTTCCTGATGCCCTTTCCCCTTCAAACACTGAAGTCTTCAAAACCCTTTTTGGAAAAAGCACAGACCACTTATCCTACTGTAGCTTGCATCTCTTTTTCCCAGGCACATTCTCAACCCTGGCAAAATAAACCTCTAAATTGACTGAGACCTGTCTCAAACAGTTTATGGTTTATACTCTCTGAGGCCACCCTTCCTCTCAGCTGTGAGAGCTTCAGTAAAGGCTTAGCAGGGCTTCTTCCAAGTTGTCTTAAAACCATTGTTATTTGTGAATGGAACCACAGGCTACTTTTGGCCTCCCCCTTTACAATTTCTTCTTGATGAATAACATTTATCCTAGGCTCAGGCCCATCTGTTCCAGGAAACAGGCCCCCTGACTAACCACCCTCAGCTTGGTTTGCTTCCTCATTTATAGTTTCCATTATATTATTATTATTATTATTATTATTATTTGGAGACAGAGTCTTGCTCTGTCACCCAGGCTGGAGGGCAATGGCGTGATCTTGGCTCACTGCAACCTCCACCTCCCTGGTTCAAGCAATTCCCCTGCCTCAGCCTCCCGAGTAGCTGGGATTACAGGCACACACCACCATGCCTGGCTAATTTTTTTGTTATTTTTAATAGAGACGGGGTGTCACCATGTTGTCCAGACTGGTCTCCAACTCCTGACCTCAGGCAATACACCTGCCTTGGCCTCCCAAAGTGTTGGGATTACAGGCATGAGCCACTGCGCCCGGCCTACAGTTTCCATTATATTATCATAGACTTGATTTGCCCACTAAGTGTATATGCCAGGCATAGCATTAGTTCATTTAATCTCCACAATACTCATTCATTTGTCAAATAATTATTATCTACTATGCATCTACTATGTTTCAAGAATGAGCTCATGCTCTAGGGATATGAGGGTTAGTAATTACAGACTTGTTCTCATGGAGTTTACAGGAGAGATAGAGACTAGCCAAATAATTCCAGAAATATATAAATACAAGTAGAGATAAGTGTTTGAGAGAACTATGGCATCATGAAAGAATATAACAGAAGAATGTAATCCAAAGTAGGGTAACAGGAAAGGCTGCAACAAGGAAATGAAATTTGACCTGAGATCTAGTGCATGAATCAGAGTCAACTGGAAGAGTGTGCCTGTGTGTGTGTGAATGTGTGTGTTTGATGGTTGTGGGTAGGAGGATGGAGGGAGAAGCAGACTCTGCAGGAAGAAAAATCCTTTGGCAAGTGGGCGGTGTGGTCCTTTTGTGAAAAAAAAAAAAAAAAAAAAAAAAAAAAAAAGAAGGCCAGTGTAGATGGATCAGAGAGGTCACCATGGATGAGACTGTGGGTCCTGGAGTCCCCATAAATATTCTAGATTTTACCCCAGGGCAATGGGAGGACATTGGACAGTTTTGAGCAAATATGTGTGTTTCGAGCAGACTTAGGGCAGGCAAAGTGATTATCTCCTTTTACAAGTCAGGAAGCAGAAGCTCAGATGGTTAGGGTAACTTTTTCAGGATTCATGGGGGTCACACAGCTAGACAGTGGCTTGGCTAGGACTTAAACCCAGGTCAACTGATGCCCACACTTTTTATTCTTAAACATTCAGTGAATGCTCATATATTCTCTCTCTCTCTCTTCTCCCCTCCCCCCCTTTTGCTCCCTCTCTCCCTCCTTAATTCTGGAAAGGAAGCATCTACTTTTGAAATACAAAAAAGAACTGACTGGAATTAATATTATTAAGGTCCTACTATGTACCAGATATTGCTATCTTATATAATCACATCGATGCTAGATCTAAGGGCGGTAAGGGCAGGACTTATTATCCCTGTTTTCAAGATGAGAAAACAGATTCAGAAAGTTAGTTAGTAAGCCTTATTATTAGAAAGTAGAGAAGGGATGTGAATCATTCTGTGTGACTCCAAAGATGAGATGAAGCCCAGAACACTGTACTGTTACCTTAGTGCACTATCACCCATAGTAGATAGGAAGGGAGAGGAAGACTGAAAACACAGAGACCAGGAAAGCTCTTTTACAACAGTCCAGGTAAGATATGAAGGTGGGGATAGATACAGTTGATTTTAGGCAAAGAGAAGAGTAGGAATTGAGCATCAAATACATTTTGGGCAAAAGTAGAGTGAGTCCTCTCCCTGGCTGGCTTGAGGCCTGGGCAGAGGTTGACATCTTTCATCCTAAGGGGCAGGTTTGTGGAAGAGAGGGCAGAGCTGCGATGCTCTGTACATTGCTGGGGTAGGCAGGTGGGTAAGTGAATCTGGAGGTTCGGGGAGAGGTCTGGAGCATTGGCCTTTGGTAGAAGCTTTTCTTATTATTGAGCAGATATATAATGAATATTTGCTGATGTGATGATTCATCTGCTCTGATTGACAACTGCTGTCTTTGCCAGTTGGGTCGTCTTTGTCTTCAAGCTCACACTCCTAACATTTCCTGTACCCTCACTCCCTTGTTCTCTTTCCTGAGGTCAATACCCAGTGTACTCCCCTGGATCAGAAGGTGGGTGGATAAGAATGCTATTTTGTTAAAAGGAATTTTTTTCTACCTTATGATCTGAGGAGAAAAAGGTAATTCACAAAGCTCCAGTTCATTCAAAGAGTTATGCTGAATCCCAAAGCATTCCCAAAGGATTGCCTTACACATTCTAAATCAAGTGCCTGGCTTTTATAATGGGAACCTACAAACTCTTGGCAAAAAAATAAAAAAAAGTATGTGTGATTTATCACTCCAATCTTGCAGTCTATGCAATGCAGACATTTCACTCCTGGGAATGGATAGTCCTGATTGCCTTGAAGCAGACTGTAAACGTTTCATTCGTGACCAGACAACTTGACTTCTAATGGCCTGCAACCAACTAAAATAAGCACGCAGAGTGATGACCACCACCAGGCAGCTAGACATCATTCCTCATTATCCCAGTAACATTCTTTTTTTTTTCTGAAATTACTTTTTTAAAAAAATGTTATGACTTCAGAATAATCTTCTAATATAAAGCTGTAGGATCTCTATAATAGAAAGCTGTTAAATCTTAAATGTTACACACCCAAATGACAATCTCAAAAGGACCCAATATGGTGTACTTATTGCAAAGTAAATATATGCCACCCTTGTCTTCATCAGCAGATAGTTAATTGTGGGTCATCTGCTGAAGGCATGGCTTCATCCCAGCGAGGAATTCTAGGCAGGCTCTGCTCTGGCTCACAGGGCTTGTCATGTCTGTAACAGAACACGGCTTTACTTGATAAAGCCCGTCTCCTCCTCTCCCACTGATTATGCTAGACTGTTCAGGTAATATTTACAACTTCAGCCAGTGAGTTCAGCATGACGATTTTACTCAGCAATAGAGAAAACTCAGATGTACAAGACCTTAATTGTCTCTACAAATCTAAGGAGCCAGGACTCAGGCCCCCAAACTTTTTTCTGGAAAGACCCAAGAATCACCTGGCAGCAGATCTCAACCTAATTCTGAAACAAAGCTGACCTCAGGGTGTGAGCCAGGGAGAGTTGTGAGACTCCAGCAGGATAAATAAATCTGCTATGATGTCTTGCTAGATATTATATCCACCATGAGGTGTGGTGGAGCTGCTGGAACCGATCCTGATAGCATATGGAGCCTGGGAAACAGGGTCTAACTGAAGCATTTCAGTGGCTCTCACTATTTATAAGAGTTTGGGTAGGTGAAAGAGGAGAAGGGTAATTTCACTGAGGTGGTGGACCATGTGTGGGAAATGACACAAACCAGAAGAATTGGGAAAGCCCAGGTCGCTCCAGTGTGGAGAGGCAGGCTTTCCAGAAGCCATGTGAAGAGAGTGACTGGTGACTGATAATTTGGCTGGCACAGCATTCAGACAAGTGGCGTCTACCTCCAAATGTGGTCTATTTTCCCAATGCTCTGGCAATTAAATAGTTTTGAGTGCTAATTTATCTCCGCATTTTTTTTAGAAGAGGAAAGAATGAACCTCCAGGGGACCATTTGACTGGAAAAGTAGCCTTTTCTATCCTGCTCTAGGATGGGAAAACACAGAGACCCCTGTCATGAGATTACTCACATTTTGGGGTCATGAATGCATGGAAGCAGAAGTCTTTTCCTTGAGATAGGCCAGTGAACACCACATTATAAAAACTGTGATAAGTACTCGTTGCTGAGTGTTTATGATTATAGGCACCAATGTGTTTAATTTCTTTTCTATCATTGTAGTCTCACCAAATACTTTAAGGGGAAGAGATCATTATTATTCTTTTATAAATAAAGAAATCAGAGAAATGAGATGTTTATAAATTGCTTAAGGTCACACAACAAGTAGGATGTGAACCCAGAATTGACTCTAGCTTAACAACCCCTGAAACACGAGGAACCTCAAGCTGTGGTAAGAGAATGGTTTAGATTTTGAGAAGGTCACAAGGCTCACCTATTCTATCTAGTATTTCAGTTACCACCAAGTGGATAGTTCCTGATTGACTCTGATAGTTTTAGTTTGATTTTTCTATCAATGTTAATTTGGAGATTAAATATATATATATATAAATATATTTTAATTATACTTTAAGTTCTGGGATACATGTGCAGAACGTGCAGGTTTGTTACATAGATATACATGTGCCATGGTGGTTTGCTGCATCCATCAACCCGTCATCTACATTAGGTATTTCTCCTAATGCTATACCTCCCTTAGCCCCCCAACCCCCAACAGGCCCCAGTGTATGATGTTACCCTCCCTGTGTCCATGTGTTCTCATTGTTCATCTCCCACTTATGAGTGAGAACATGCGGCGTTTGGTTTTCTGTTCTTGTGTTACTTTGCTGAGAATGATGGTTTCTAGTTTCATCCATGTCCCTGCAAAGGGCATGAACTCATCCTTTTTTATGGCTGCATAGTATTCCATGGTGTATATGTGCAACATTTTCTTTATCCAATCTATCATTGATGGGCATTTGGGTTGTTTCCAAGTCTTTGCTATTGTGAAGACTGCCACAATAAACATACGTGTACATGTGTCTTTATAGTAGAATGATTTACAATCCTTTGGGTATATACCCAGTAATGGGATTGCTGGGTCAAAAGGTAGTAGTTCTGGTTCTAGATCCTTGAGGAATCACCACACTGTTTTCCACAATGGTTGAACTAATTTACAGCCCCATAAACAGTGTAAAAGCATTCCTATTTCTCCACATCCTCTCCAGCATCTGTTGTTTCCTGACTTTTTAATGATCACCATTCTAACTGGCATGAGATGGTATCTCATTGTAGTTTTGATTTGCTTTTTTCTAATGACCAGTGATGAGGATCTTTTTTTCACATGTTTGTTGGCTGCATAAATGTCTTCTTTTGAGAAGTGTCCATTCATATCCTTTGCCCACTTTTTGATGGGGTTTTTTTCTTGTAAATTTGTTTAAGTTCCTTGTCGATTCTGCATATTAGCCCTTTGTCAGATGGATAGATTGCAAAAATTTTCTCCCATTCTGTAGGTTGCCTATTCACTCTGATGATAGTTTCTTTTGCTGTGCACAAACTCTTTAGTTTCATTAGATCCCAATGGTCAATTTTGACGTTTGTTGCCATTGCTTTTGGTGTTTTAGTCATGAAGACTTTGCCCATGCCTATGTCCTGAATGGTATTCCCTAGGTTTTCTTCTAGGGTTTTTATGGTTTTAGGTCTTACGTTTAACTCTTTAATCCATCTTGAGTTAATTTTTGTATAAGGTGTAAGGCAGGGGTCCAGTTTCAGTGTTCTGCATATGGCTAGCCAGTTTTCCCAACACAGTTTATTAAATAGAGAATCCTTTCTCCATTGCTTGTTTTTTTCAGTCAAGCAGAAGAAAGAATATCAGAGATTGAAGATCAACTTAATGAAATAAAGTGTGAAGACAAGATTAGAGAAAAAAGAATGAAAAGGAATAAACAAAGCCTCCAAGAAATATGGGACTATGGAAAAGACCAAACCTACATTTGATTGGTGTACCTGAAAGTGATGGGGAGAATGGAACAAAGTTGGAAAACACTCTTCAGGGTATTATCCAGGAGAACTTCCCCAAACTAACAAGACAAGCCAACATTCAAATTCAGGAAATATGGAGACCACCACAAAGATACTCCTCAAGAAGAGCAACCCCAAGACACATAATCGTCAGATTCACCAAGGTTGAAATGAAGGAAAAAATGTTAAGCGCAGCCAGAGAGAAAGGTTGGATTACCCACAAAGGGAAGCACATCAGACTAACAGAAACCCTAGAAGCCAGAAGAGAGTATAGGCCAATATTCAACATTCTTAAAGAAAAGAATTTTCAACCCAGAATTTTATATCCAGCCAAACTAAACTTCATAAGTGAAGGAGAAATAAAATCCTTTACTGACAAGCAAATGCTGAGAGACTCTGTCACCACCAGGCATGCCTTGTAAGAGCTCCTGAAGGAAACACTAAATATGGAAAGGAACAACTGGTACTAGCCACTGCAGAAACATACCAAATTGTAAAGACCATTGACACCATGAAGAAACTGCATCAACTAACAAGCAAAATAACCAGCTAGCATCATAATGACAGGATCAAATTCACACATAATAATATTAACCTTAAATGAAAATGGGCTAAGTGCCCCAATTAAAAGTTGCAGACTGGCAAATTGGATAAAGAGTCAAGACCCATCGGTGTGCTTTGTTCAGGAGACCCATCTCATGTGCAAAGACACACATAGGCTCAAAATAAAGGGATGCAGGAATATTTACCAAGCAAATGGAAAGAAAAAAAAGCAGGAGTTGCAATCATAGTCTCTGATAAAACAGACCTTAATCCAACAAAGATCAAAAAAGACAAGGAAGACCATTACATAATGGTAAAGGGGTCAATGCCACCAGAAGAGCTACCCTAAATATATATGCACCCAATATGTAAAGCACCCAGATTCATAAAGCAAGTTCTTAGAGACCTACAGAGAGACTTAGACTCCCATACAATAATAGTGGGAGACTTTAACACACCACTGTAAATATTAGACAGATCAATGAGACAGAAAATTAACAAGGATCTTCAGGACTTGAACTCAGCTCTGGACCAAGCAGACCTAATAGACATCTACAGAACTCTCAACCCCCAATCAACAGAATACACATTCTTCTCAGCACCACATCACTCTTATTCTAATATTGACCACACAATTGGAAGTAAAACACACCTCAGCAAATGCAAAAGAATGGAAGGAAATCATAACAGTCTCTCAGACCACAGTGCAATCAAATTAGAGCACAGGATTAAGAAACTCACTCAAAACCACACAACTACATGGAAACTGAACAACCTGCTCCTGAATGACTACCAGCTAAATAATGACATTAAGGCAGAAATAAATAAGTTACTTGACAGCAATGAGAACAAAGACACAATGTACCAGAATCTCTGTGACACAGTTAAAGCAGTGTTTGGAGGGAAATATATAGCACTAAATGCCCACAGGAGAAAGCAAGAAAGATCTAAAATCGATACCCTAACATCACAATTAAAAGAACTAGAGAAGCAAGAGCAAACAAATTTGAAAGCTAGCAGAAGACAAGAAATAACTAAGATCAGAGCAGAACTGAAGGAGATAGAGACACGAAAAACCCTTCAAAACATCAATGAATCCAGGAGCTGGTTTTTTTGAAAAGATTAACAAAATAGATAGACTGCTAGCCAGACTTAACAAAGAAGAAAAGAAAGAAGAATCAAATAGACACAATAAAATATGAGAAAGGGGATATCACTGCTGACCCCACAGAAATACAAGCTACCATCAGAGAATACTATACACACCTCTACGCCAATAAACTAGAAAACTTAGAAGAAATGGATAAATTCCTGGACACATACACCCTCCCAAGACTAAATCAGAAAGAAGTCAAACCCCTGAATAGACCAATAACAAGTTCTGAAACTGAGGTAATAATTAATGGGCTATCAACCAAAAAAAGCCCAGGACCAGATGGAATCATAGCCGAATTCTACCAGAGGTACAAAGACTAGCTGGTACTATTCCTTCTGAAACTATTCCAAACAATAGAAAAAGAGGGACTCCTCCCTAACTCATTTTATGAGGTCAGCATCATCCTGATTCCAAAACCTGGCAGAGATGCAACAAAAAAGAAAATTTCAGGCCAATATCCCTGATGAACATCGATGTGAAAATCCTCATAAAATACTGGCAAACCGAATCCAGCAGCACGACAAAAAGCTTATCCACCTCGATCAAGTCAGCTTCATCTGGGGATGCAAGGCTGTTTCAATATACACAAATCAATAAACATAATCCATCACATAAACAGAACCAATGACAAAAACCACATGATTGTCTCAATAGATGCAGAAAAAGCCTTCAATAAAATTCAATACCCCTTCATGCTAAAAACTCTCATAAACTAAGTATTGATGGAAGGACAAAATAATAAGAGCTACTTATGACAAACCCACACCCAATATCATACTGAATGGGCAAAAACTGGAAGCATTCCCTTTCAAAACCAGCACAAGACAAGGATGCCCTCTCTCACCACTCCTATTCAACATAGCATTGGAAGTTCTGGCCAGGGCAATCAGGCAACAGAAAGAAATAAAGCATATTCAAATAGAAAGAGAGGAAGTCAAATTGTCTCTGTTTGCAGAGGACATGATTGTATATTTAGAAAACCCCATCATCTTAGCCCAAAATCTCCTTAAGCTGATAGGCAACTTCAGCAAAGTCTCAGGATTCAAAATCAATGTGCAAAAATCACAAGCATTCCTATACACCAGTAATAAACAGAGAGCCAAATCATGAATAAACTCCCATTCACAATTGCTACAAAGAGAATAAAATACCTAGGAATCCAGCTTACAAGGGATGTGAAGGACCTCTTCAAGGAGAACTACAAACCAATGCTCAAGGAAACAAGAGAGGACACAAACAAATGGAAGAACATTCCATGCTCATGGATAGGAAGAATTATTATCCTGAAAATGGCCATACTGCCCAAAGTAATTTATAGATTCAATGCTATCCCCATCAAGCTACCACTGACTTTCTTCACAGAATTAGAAAAAACTACTTTAAAGTTCATATAGAACCAAAAAAAGCCCGCATAGCCAAGACAATCCTAAGCCAAAAGCACAAAGCTGGAGGCATCACACTACCTGACTTCAAACTATACTACAAGGTTACAGTAACCAAAACAGCATGGTACTGGTACAAAAACATATAGACCAATGGTACAGAACAGAGGCCTCAGAAATAACACCACACATCAGCAACTATCTGATATTTGATTAAATATATTTTTTGATTCCCTATTAGGCCCCACCAGATGCCAAGTGCATTTAACGTTCAACCTTCATGAAAACTCCCATTAGCAGTTCTGTTGAGCATGTACTAAAGTGGTGCTTCCCAAAGTGTGTTCCTTGGACAGCATTGTCAGTGCCACCTGGGAACTCCTTAGGAATGCAACTTCTGAGGCCCTGCCTCAGATCTGATGAATCAAAAACTCTGGGGACAGGGCCTGTGTGTTAACCAGCCTTGCAGGTCATTAGATACATGCTAAAGTTTGAGAATCACAGCTATAAAGCATTAGGAGGGGCACAGATGGACTTACTTTTTCACATGGAGAAATACTGACTTTAAAATTTTACTCTTTTTTTTCTTTACAGAAGGTTTTTACCTCATTTCCAAATCTTCATTCTCCTGTGGTACAAATTTGTACAAGGCAACATAGGTGTTCATCTGTAATGGGTCTTTGGAAAGAGATCCCTGAAAGAGAAAATAAAAGAAAAATGAGAAAAGAAAGGTGAAATAAATTGAGAGAGGAAAGAAAGAAAACAGGAAATGGAGAAGTCATTGCAATGTAATTTCAGTGTATGGATCGTAAGTGTTATCTAACCATTATTAAAGATTTTCTGTCAACTTTGCATTTATTTTTAATTTCTTAACCGAGGTTGGTTTCACTATAAACAATTTGAAAACAATTATTTGGAACTCTTTGTCAGAAATATTGCAATTTTCTTCAAATAAATTTTCTTTGATAATATAGTTGTTCATGAAAAATGGTACAAGTTAGACTTCAGAAATGGGAATATTCTTTCTAAAGAAAGAGGGACACATGAATAGTAGTGTATAACTCTCACTTCCTAAAATTAACTGTTTTATCAGTTAGCCGAAAAGTTGGTATCTAGTATATCAAAGGGAACCAGGTATATTCATCTGGCAATTAGTTCATTTATGTTGAGAAAAAAGCATAGGTTTTGGCATGAGACTGATTTAGTTTACATCAGGGTACCACCATCTATTGGCAATGAAACCTTGCAATAATGACAATACAAGCTGCTGTTTTGATAGTTTGTTGTGTGCTAGGCATTATGTTACATGCATTAGCATACTTGAACTTAACAACAACTCCGTTAGGTAGATTCTGTTTTTGTCCCCAATTTACAGATGATAAAAGACTCTTGTAAGCATCATATAAATATTAGCTATTATTACTAACCAAATAAATGTTAATGCTATAAAAACATTTATGCTTTATAATAAACAAGTTAAAATTATATATTATCTCATATATAGTTGCATCATATATCTAACTATATACTAATATAAATACATGCTATAAATTTATAGAAAACATACACAAAAGCTGTACACAACTATATATATCTTTTTATCTATAATTCACTCTGCTCTTCAAAGCTCAGGTACATTATATAATATTATTCTAGTTTGTCTAAATTTTAGATATGTAAATGAACATAAAATATGACATATATGCTATAAAATACAGTGATAATATATTATATAATTCTATAATCTACACATTATATAACAGAAACAAAAGGTGCACAGTGCAATGCTTACTCTTTTTACCTTTTATGCACTGTGCTAGTTCTGTTTATTCCATGCTATGGTACGTTGTGCTATATTATTCTATTCTCTAAAGATGCTGGTCTGGACTCACTAAATTGATTTCATGACCCACTTGGATGGTGACCTGCAGGTCTATCTAAGGACTCCTGTCTGACTTGTCTTCTGTGACATCCATAAATACCTGGTGGTTTATGTTCTTCGCTGGATCTCTGAAATCATCAGTGCCATTTTCTGGATATGTAAACACTGAAGGAGACAAGAGAAAGCAGGTGCTCTATGAATCTAGTTACCATTTAAACAAATATTCCTGAAAGATGGCTTTATTTATTCTAAGTACCATAGCTTCTACTTTACTACTTATTGCCTTTTCCTCACCCTCTGTGACCCAGCGTTCAGGTGGTCTTCCACATGTCTCTTCTCCTGCCTCCCCATGCAGCATTCTGCACCACCTTCTCTGTGCTCCCACAACTTTTGTACATGCCTGACTAGCACTTGCCTCTTGTAATGATTGGCAGTAGTGTGTTCATATTTGATCTCATTTGGTAGTGTACCTCTCAGGAGCATTTGTCCTTGTTGAATGCATCAAACCGCTTGTTAATGGGGTGGTGGTTGAGATATAGTCCAATTTAGTTGTATTTGAGCTGCCTCTTCTAAATATGATTCTTTAATCTATATTCGGTATCTTGATTGTAGTTTCTTGAAGATATCTACATTATATTTTGAAGATTAAAGCTTTAGTTTTAAACTTCAAAATATTTCCTTGATTTCTTATTGTCAGTGCATTGGGGCTACTATTTGGTTTTTCTTTTAGTTTATTCTTGGGAAGTATAATTTTCTTCCTTTTGTATTTAAGTATCCACTCTGTAGCCTTTGATAGTGGACAAGTCTTCACAAAATGGGCAGGAAGGCTGGGCACGGTGGCTCACACCTATAATCCCAGCAGTTTGGGAGGCCGAGGCGGGTAGATCACTTGAGGTCAGGAGTTCAAGACCAGCTTGGCCAACTTGGTGAAACCCCATCTCTACTAAAATACAAAAATTAGCTGAGCATGGTGGCATGTGCCTGTAATCCCAGCTACTTGGGAGGCTGAGACAAGAGAATCGCTTAAGCCTGGTGCAAGGTGGAGGTTGCAGTAAGGTAAGATCACACCACTGCACTCCAGCCTGGGTGATAGAGTGAGACTCCATCTAAAAAACAAAAACAAAAACAAAAAAACAAAAAACAATAAACAAAATGAGCAAGAGTTTTCATTGTTCACATACCCAGCTGTGGGAGGTTCCTGATGGATAATGGGACTTCTGCCTTATCTAGTTTGGTCAGCCTAACCTACATCCATAACTTATGTCATAGCTTTATCATTCTCATCATATGTATTTTCCTTAAACAAAAATGTGGTAAATATTTCCAAGTTTATATAATAAAGCTTTGTTCTTTAAATTACTCTACCATTTTGATGACTTGAAATTTTTAGATTATACATTGCTGCTTTATTCTTCTCTTTGATTTCCCTTCAGATTATCAAAGAAATGTCAGTAGAGGGAGGGGATCACCACAGAAAGCTCTATAACCTATTTCATTAGTGCACTGACAGTCTTTACTGTTCTTAAAATAGCCTCAACAACAGTGATATAGAAAACGTGCTTCAGAACAAGAGCCTCTGTAAATGTACTGATGCTTATCAAATATCTATTCTTCTTGGCTTATAGTTCCAGAGTTTATGGATGCAATTCCATTATCCCTAGGAAGCCAATATGCAGTCATTGGTGGAGCTCTGGTTTGTAAGTAACCAGAAAACGAAGGCCCGGTTCTATGAATCTTGTCTGCCTCAATATTTGGCCACTCAACTTGATGTCTACCAGTCTAAAAAGAGTAGAGATTAGCAAAACCTTTTTCTGGTAATGTATGACTGTCTGAAATCCTGCTGTAAACACTTGATTCCCTAAGTATAAAACTGGACACCTCTGAAAGAATATTAAATATTTGAATGGAAATGTAAAGAGAATCTTCCTAGAAAATTCTTGATTTGGCCTAAAAGGGCGTCTACATAAAGTGCATATACAATGTTCAGTGTGGATTGATTTTACAATTTTGTAATTTCACATTGTTTTAATTTTTGTATTGAATCTCCCTCTGGCCATCTGGCTCAAAATGTGTATCATCTTTGTAAACTTTGCTGAAAAATATTTGAAGTGACCCTATATATGTTTTCATGTATGGTTGCAAGAAGAAATGGAAGGTTGCAAAAATAATTTTTAAACCTATTCCAACCATTTATAAGACTTTGAGTTAATGAAAGCGGAGAAAAGAAAGGTAACTACCGAAAACATATCATACACCTTTTATTTTTGGTGCTTTAAATTATTTCATGAAAAATAACTTGGTCGTTTATTTCACCCATAACAAGAATTCAAAGAATATGTCTATTATGTAGGCATAGTTTCTAATGTTACAGAAGCAAAATGAACCTTTAGTTCTTACCACATCCCCAAAGAACTTTCTTCTTTTCCTATCCTATATGCTGTCTTTTGTTTTTTACCTTGCAGACCTGTGAGGCCCAAGACCACTGTGTTTTTTAGTTAGATTATTATTTTTTTAACCTAGTAATGCAGCAAGTTACATTACTGGATTATCTGATGTGAATCCAAATTTGCATCCCTGGAATAAGTTCAACTGGGTAATTACACAATGTCTTTTAAAAATACTTTATGGGTTCTTACTGAGATTTTGCTTGAGATTTCTGCATCTGTATTCAAGAGAAAGACTGGCCAGTGATTTTCCTTTTTCATGATATCCTTGTTTGGGTTTCAAGTCAGTATATTTCTAGCCTCATAAACTGAGTTGGAGAATGCTGCTGTCCTTCCTCCTTGCTACTTCTTGTTTCTCTGAAAGAGCTTATGTAATCTGAAAATTTTCTCTTCCTTAAATGTTTCGTAGAATTTACTTATAAAGTTTTTCAGGCCTAGTATTGTCATTGTGCAAAATTTAAAATATTGATTCAGCTTCTATAAATATTATAAGAAAATTCATGTTTCCTATTTCTATTTATTCTTGAGTCAGGCTTTAATCGTTGATATCTATCTTTATATCTGCCTATTTAAAAATGTTTTAAAGTACATTGGCATGAAGTTGGTTATAAAATTCTTTGGTTTTCTTTTCAATCTCTGTTATGTTTCTCTTTTTTGTATTTATTTTTGTTTCATCTCTTTTATCTTAAAAAATCATTAGAGATTGTAATTTTGTTTAAAAAACACTCAAGATTTATTGATCTATCTTTGTAATTTAATAATTTCTGCTCTTGTCTTTATTATTGCCTTCTGCTTTTCTGAGTTTATTCTATTTTATTTTCCTTAAGTATAGTGTTTAGATATTACTTTTCAGACTTTCTTATTTTTTTAACACTCATTTTAAAGCTAAATACTCAAATCCCAACTTTAGCACTTTGGATACGTGTTGTTTTGATATGTTTTCATTCTTATTTAGCTTTAAATATATTCCAGTCTTTATTATGAATCCCTTTAACATATGATTTTGTTTTTTCTTTGTTTTTGAGACAAGGTCTTGTTCTGTCGCCCAGGCTGGAGAGCAGTGGCACAATTATAGCTCACTGCAGCCTCGACCTTCCAGGCTCAAGTGATCCTTCCCCCTAAGCTTCCACAGTAGCTGGACTATAGACATATGCCACCCTGCCCGGCTAATTTTCTTAAATTCTGTGTAGAGACAGAGTCTCCCTAAGTTGCCTAGGCTGGGCTTGAACTCCTGGCATCAAATGGTCCTCCAACCTTGGCCTCCCAAAGTGCTGGGATTATAGGTGTGAGCCACCATGCCCAGCCAAGCTATAAAAATTTTAGAAGTGTTTTTATTTTACAAATTATTGGTTTTCCTAGTTATCTTTTGACTATTGATTTCTATCTAATTTGCACTGTGGTCAGAAAGATGTATTCTATATAATAATAATTATTTGAAATTCATGAAATTGGCTTTATGACCTAGTGGGTGATCAGTATTTTAAATAATTCCATGTGTTCTTTTTAAAATTAATTTTAATTTTAATTCTGGGGTACATGTGCAGGTTTGTTACACATGTAAACATGTGCCATGGTGGTTTGCTGTATCTATCAACCCATCATCTAGGCATTAAGCCCAGCATGCATTAGCTATTTTTCCTAATACTCTCCCTCCCCTACCTCCTTCGCCTGACGGGCCCCAGTGTGTGTTGTTCCCCTCCCTGGGTCCATGTGTTCTCATTGTTCAGCTCCTACTTATAAGTGAGAACATGCAGTGTTTGGTTTTCTGTTTCTGCATTGGTTTGTTTAGGATAATGGCTTCTAGCTCCATCCATGTTCCTGCAAAGGACATGATCTCATTCATTTTTATGGCTGCATAGTATTCCATGGTGTATATGTACCACATGTGTTCTTAAAAGGAATGTGCATCTTCTACTTGTTACATGGAGTGTCCTTTTTAGGTAAATTAGATTAGGATTGTCAAATGTGTCATCAAATCCTCTATATCTGTACAGAATATTTTTGTCTATCTGGTTTGCCAATAACTGAGAGGCATCTTAAAATCACTCAAGAATTTGGAATAATTTTGTCAATTTCTCCTTGAGTTTCTATCATTTTTCAGGCTATGTATCAGGTATATGCAAGTTTAGAATTTATATCTTCAGATGAAGTGAACATGACCATGTAAATAACACTTTTAAATTCTAGTAATGCTTTCTTGGTCTTAAAGTCAATTTTTCACACATTAATACAGCTATATATTTTTTTTTGCTTAATATTTGCCTGTGGTTGCCCCTTGGTTTCTATGTCTGAAAAGTTATTTATTCTGCCTATGTTTTTCTTTCTTCCCCCTGCAGAAAGTTAAAAAAAAACTTTTGTTTTTTTAAATTTTCTACATCCTTATGTTTTAGATATTTATAAATAGTATATAGGTCATTTAAAAAATCTAGTCTGAAAATCTTTCTTTTATCTAGAGTGCTTAAATCAGTTTACATTTATTTTGATTACTGATAAATTGGGATTCCTTCCTAACATTTTATTTTGTATTTGTCCCAAATTTTCTATGCTTTTTCTTCTATTTTGCCACTTTCCATCCCTTCTTTCTTTTGAATTGATTGATTTTTTTCTCCTTCTCATCTTTCAGTTTGGTTCCCTTTCTGGTTTGGTAAGTTGAGTCTATTTTTATTCCTTTAGCAGTCATCTTAGAAATTTTATGAGATATGTTTTAACAAAATAGAAAGTGAAATAGTATATTTAATCGCCTCCCAAGCAATACATAATCTCTGAATGCCCATTTCCCACATAAAGTCAGTATTTCAGCTAATGTTTTATTAACAACTTTTTAAAAACATTATTTTAAAAAATGTGTCCAGTGTTTGCTTAGATTTAACCACATGTTTACCACTTTCTTTGCTCTTTATTTCTTCTTACATTTCCGTCTTTCCATTGAGGTCATATTTTCCTCTTTGAAGTACATCTTTTTAAAATGTTTTGAATATAGGTCTTTCTTAATTGAACTGTAAATACAATTTTTGTCTGAAAAATATATTATTGAAAGATAGTTTTGCTTCATTTACAATTCTAGGTTAAGAATCACTTTTCTTTCAGCAAACTCAAGATAGCATTCTACTGTTATTTCACTTATACTGTAATTTGTAAGAAGTAACAGTCTAATTTTCATTTCTTTGTAGGTAATCAGTCTTTTATACTGCATTTTATGTTTTCTTTTATCTTTGAAATTCTGCAGTTTCAGCAACCTACGTCTAGGTATAGATTTCTAAATTTGAGTAATGGTGTCTTTAATCAATTCTGGAAAATTCTCCACAAGTATGTTCTTACATATTGTCTCTCTCTCATTCTCTTTCTCTCTCTCTCTTTTTGAGACAGGGTCTGGTGCTGTCTCTCCCAGGCTGGAGTACAGTGGCATAATCATGGCTCACTGCAGCCTCAAACTCCCAGGTTCAAGTAATTCTCCTACCTCAGCCTCCCAGCTAGCTGGGATTACAGACAGGCACCACCACGCCTGGCTAATTTTGTATTTTTTGTAAAGATGGAGTTTCACAATGTTTCCCAAGCTGGTCTCAAACTCCCGGGCTCAAGCAATTCTCCTATCTCGGCCTCCCAAAGTGGTGAGATTACAGGCGTGAGCCACTGTGCCTGGGGCCCCATTCTCTCTTTATGTACTTCTAAATTGTCACTTAGATGCATGTTGGACTTATTCATCTTTCATGTCACTTTTAATCTCACAAATTCTACTGCTTTGGCTTCCTAACTATACCCTAACATTTCTTTGGTTCTATATTTTAGGGAACTAATTCTCTCTTTATGCCTAATATGTTGTTAAACCCATCAATCAAATTTCTACTTAAAAAAAATTCTCGAAGTTCTATTTGACTTTCCTCAAGCTTGCCTGTTTACTTCTGATAGTCTCTTTTTCCTTTGTTATGTTTTATGGTCCATTTTTAACATTTTAAATGTATACAATTATATAGTTATATATTTCTTAATTTGATAATTCTTACATGTACAGTCTTGAAAATCTGACCATAAAGTTGGTTGTTTCTGCTAATACTTACTCATCACGGCTCATTTTCTCATGTGTTTGGTGAATTTTGATTGTTAGCTTGTGTTCTTTGAGTGTTCATTTCTGAGAAGTTTTTGAGGTCTGGTTTAAAATTTTCTTCCTCTAGAGAGGGTTTATATTTGTTTCTGCCAAATGCCTGGTGATCTTACTGTACCTGGGCCACTTTAAACTACATTAAACTAAAATTTCATATTATTATATTATTTGCCCATACAGGTAGTATGAATTCAGGCCCTAAAATCCAAGTAAGAAGACTGTTTCTTTCTTTCCTCCTTTCTTTCCTTTCTTCTCTCCCTCCCTTCCTTTTTTCTGCCTGTCTTTCTTTCTTTCTTTCCTTTCCTCTCCACTTTTTTGTTTCCATTCTTTTCCACCTGAGTTAAGGCTGGTATAGCATATTCCTCTGCAGGGAATCCTGTTTGTCCAGTGATCCTAAGGGTATCTTTTGGGGTATTAATATGTTTCAAAAGGGTCTTTCATCCAACCTAATACCCTGGCCACTCCCCATTTTATTGTCTATTGTTCATAAATGGGGCCTATTATTTCCCAAGCTAAGGCTCTAGGGATGTGCATAGTAAATCCTTTACCTGCTTGTATCTCTGAATTCATGTTTTATTGCCATTCCTAGACTCTAAGGAATTGCCTTATTTTGCTGCCAGCTCAGCCATGCATTAACTAGAATTTTTTTTAGAACAATTCTTTCTCTTAACAGTTTTAGGAGTGCTAAACTGGGAAAAATTCCTCTGAATGTCCAGTTCTCCACAATGCTGGAAAGGGAATCTTCTGTTCAACTTTAAAAAGATCTTTACCTGAACTTGATACAAAGCATGTGTTGCAGAAACATACCACAAATATTTGCATCTGTAATGTAGAAATATCCACTGGAGTGGTACCAAAACCAGGGGCATCTGCCAACTTAACCAGGAAAATATCTGCTCTTTTTGACACCTTAAAATTTGAGATATTGAATTAGTACATGCTAAAGGCTAGGATATATTTTCCAGATCTGAGCTTGCCTTTTTTTTTTTAGAATAAAATTGCTTTAGTGCAAAGTGAGGTAATATTCGATTTTGTAATATCCTTAAGTGGCTGTGGTTAACCCAGCCCTTTTTGAAGAAAATTCTAGGAATTTGTATTGCTTATGTCCTCTTCTGTCTCTCTTCCAGGAAAATTATGATCACACAGAGTCATTCTGAAATGCAATTACTGAAGGCAGCCAATAACATTATTATTTGGCATTTGGAGCTGAAATAGGCAGGCCAGATTTTACTTCAGGCGAGATTTTACTTCTCTCTTTGCTTGTTACTTTGTTATGAGTGAAGCTTCTAGCAGTTAAGCCAAAGGTGAAGACCAACAATTTCCTCCATGTATATTTATGATGCATCCAGGAATAGTGTTCAAAACAACAACCATAAATACTCAGACCTGCCAAGGATCATTTATAAGAGAGAAAGGAGAGACTGTACTCTTAGCAGTAAAGAAATTAGTATGAATTGTACTTCCTTCCAAGGTGGCTTTGGAGATATTCCTCAAGGAATTTGACATAATAGCTGGCTGGAAGAAATGACACCTGTATGCACTGCATTTTTTAAGACATAAATGAACATGTAATGCAGAACTGGTTGTGACTGTAATCCTAGACACTGCTTCTGAACAGCAACACCCTCCTTGCATGAGTGAGAAGATCTGTGGGAACTTGGACCACATATGTAGGGTGTTTTCTCCATGTGGTTTCTCAAACTGCATGGACAGGACATTAAAGCCAATCAAGGGAAAGTGTTTTGAAGCAAATTGCTGCATAATTAATCCACCTAGCTTCTCAGGGTGCATTGTAGAGAAAGCTATTGCTGATCAAAAGAGTTGTTAATACATCTCCAACACTTTTTGGGAGTTTATTGCTTGCTCAGTTCTTTCACCAGATCTCTTTGAGAAAGGCTGTGAAAATGCCCCTTAACACAGAAGAGATGGAAAATTGTCAACTTGATGTCTTTGTGTGTACTACTCTGTGACTTAGTTTCCTTATCTATACGGGGGATATTGTGTGCATGTGTGTGTATTGAAGGGGAGGGAATTGGACTAAGTGACCTCTAGTCCTACTTCTTAAACTTTAATGAGCCTATGAACCACAGATTCATATGCAGATCCTGATTCAGCAGGTGTGGAATGGCCTGAAACTTGCTATTTCTAACAGGCTTTCAAGTGATGCTCACGTGAGTTGTCCATGAGCCACATTTAGGGTAGTGAGGCTCTACCTGCATCTCTGACACTTTATGACTGTATGATGGCTTTGCTAATAGCAGTGATGCTACATAGCAATGATTGCTAAATATAGCCCTTCCTATTTTAAAATCCTATTAAGACCACCTTTTGAGAGAAGAAACCCTCAGTGTAAATTGTGTTCTAACTCCTCAAGGAATTGGTGAGCAACAGCATAGACAGAGCCAGGCCAGGATGGCTGAGGCAGAGAGTTAAGCAGTGAGCACATGCTGGGCATAATTTTGAGAAGCAGCAGATAGAGTTTGCTGATGGATTACGTCTGAGGTGTGAGAGGAAGAGGGAGTCAGGGCTGATGTCAAAGACTTTGGCCTAATCAACTGGTTGAATGAAGTTCCTATTTACTGAGCAGAGACAACTGTGGGAAGAGCCAGTCTGAATGTGTGGCTGGGTGAGGGGATCAAGAGTAAAGTTTGGGTAGGTTAACTTAAAGATGACTATTCTGCATTCAGATGGCAATGTCCAATAGGTGATAGGCATCTGGAGGCAGCAAGGAAGCCTAATACTGAAGATGAAGTTTGAATCATCAATGTATGGATAGTATTTACATTCATTATGTCATCCAAAGATCATAAGAACCCTATGGATTTGGTGTTATTATCTTCATTTTAGAGATGAGGTGATTGAAGCAGAGAGAGGCTAGGTCACTGCTTTGGGATCACATGAGCATTAAGTGAAGTCTAGCACTCTGCTTCCAGAGCAACAATGGGCCAAGGACCAAATGTTTCCAGCGCAGTTAGTGAGGAGAAGGCCAGCAGTGATGTTGATGAGAAGAGTGTCAGGGGAAAGGGGAAAGCAGAGGTCAGACTCAGGACTGAGCAGCTGATCACACTTAAAGCATTATCATGCAAGTCTCTGGTGAGTCAGATATTGAGAAACTTTAGGGTTGCTGTTTAAATTCAGTTGCTGGTCTTGCAGTGCCAGACAGTTGGGCTGGGATGGCCCTGCTGTGCTGCTGACCTGCTATGAAGTTCCCCTCGAAGCCAATACCCTCTAATTTGTCTCTCTAATGGCACTGCTAAGTGCTCAGTGGTTGTTTGCATTATCTAAAAGTACAGTTTCCCTCATGTGATGCCAAAGAATCCTTACCCCAGTGGTGAGCTTTAGTAGATGTGTGTGGGTCTGGCAAGGGGGGGCATGGTGAACACTGGCACTTATTTAGGAAGGAAAATCCTGGGGCAGCTGAGCACATGGTGCCTTGTGGGAATCACACAGGCATAGTCCTAACTAAAGAAGAGCCATAAATGAATTCCCAGAGTGAAGGAAGTAAAAGTGATACCTCATCAGACAGCTGTTGACAAAACTGCTATGTGGTATCGAATGAGGAATTTCTGCATCCAGGCTGGAAAAGGCAGGGCTTGGAGTGGAGTTTGGAGGGATAACTTCTGCCATGAGAATGCATTCAGCTCAAGTTAACAATGCAACTCAGGTCCTGCAGGACTTTGACTAATACACTTTTGCTAATGATAGTAAATGCTTCATAAATATTTTTTGATAAACTAGTGAAGGTTAAGTAGTTATTGATGTCCAAAAGGCCTAGCAAGAATGCATCCATAAGGATCTGGTCACATGTCTTTAAGCTCTGGATTACGAGGTGGCTCTTTCTTTTTTTTTTTTTTTTTTTTTTTGAGACGGAGTCTCGCTCTGTGGCCCAGGCGGGAGTGCAGTGGCGCGATCTCGGCTCACTGCAAGCTCCGCCTCCAGGGTTCACGCCATTCTCCTGCCTCAGCCTCCCGAGTAGCTGGGACTACAGGCGCCCACCATCACGCCCGGCTAATTTTTTTTGTATTTTTAGTAGAGACGGGGTTTCACCGTGTTAGCCAGGATGGTCTCGATCTCCTGACCTCGTGATCCGCCCGCCTCGGCCTCCCAAAGTGCTGGGATTACAAGCGTGAGCCACCGCGCCCGGCCAGAGGTGGCTCTTTCTTAATGTCAGCAAGTGGAAGTATGAAGTTAGCATTTAATAAATACTTTAGAAATTATTATAACAAAGGCTTAAATTATTAGATTAAATAATTTTAATATAGAATGTTTGGCTGGATTGTACATATCAGTTTTTTGAGCTTCTTAGTTGTCTCTGCTGGGGAAGGAGCCAAATGTGAGGCCCACACTTCTCTCCTGGGCCCCACCACCACTTGGTTTCAGGTACCTAAGGTGTAGCACAAATTAGCTTCTCTGTGGTACGGTTTGCTAATGTAATCTAATCTAGCTCAGTGGAGAAAATGACGTATTCACAAAAAGTTCTGGAAGCGACTCTTAAACCCCAATACAGCTCAGTTTATATATATATATATGTATATATACTCTCATAAGAGTAAATATACTCTCATAAAGTATGAGAACTCAGGATATAGAACTCAGGAACATATTAGAGCAAATCACTGAAATCCACCAGAAACAATGCTCACATTCTCTCCAGAACATTGAACACTCGCCCTGATTAAATTCCAGAGCTAGCAGAGAAAGCAAGGGGACTGGAAATCAACTTGGCCTGCCCACTGACCCTGACTCATGTGATCACATTTGTGCTGTGCCAACTCCCTCACTCACCGCTGTTGCTGCGTTTCCTTAGGTCATACCCGCCTCCTGGCCCATTGGCTTCCTCAGGAACCTCCACAAGATCTGAAGTCTTGGAGGAAAGAAGAAAGAGCATGGGATGAACAATGTTATATCTGTGGTCAATTGAGCAGATACTTTGGTGTAAGAGAGCTTAGGTAGAATTTGCATGACACATAAGGACCCAGTGATTGCTGTCTTGGCTGTTTGGCTAACTTCAGAGAAGCTATGTCCACTCGTGGGCACTGTACCTCCCTTCAGGTGTCTATAGCAGGCTCAGGCTTGGTGATGGTAGGTATCCAGTGAGTATTGAATATTCATGAATGTCTAGAAGCAAAGGCCACAGCCAGGCTTCTTCCCAGGAATAGGCAACAAAGAGAAATCAGAATGCCTGTCCATATCCTGTCACTTAAAACTTTCAATAAAACGCTAGCTCTTTCTACAGGTGTTTTAAATATTAGTTTTAGAGAATGGGATGCACTATGGAGGGATGCACTACTTAGGTACAAGTTAAATACTGTTTCCACTGCTGCAAAATTAATTGTTTTTATAATATGTATCCTGACTCTCTTTTTAAAGTGAGTCACAATCATTCTTCCACTTAGGTTACAGAAATAACAAGAACAAAAACAACAATAATAACAATAACACACTCTAAATAGCTAATGCTTCCTGATCACTTACCATGTAATGTTTTTAAGGACTTTATAGATACCATCTCATTTATTCCCCAAATTAATCCTATGATAGACCAATTTTTCAGAGAGGAATCTGAAGCCCGGAGAGAATCAGTAGCTCTGTTTGAGGCCCCATAGTTAATACATGGTGGAGCTGGGGCTGTGAATCACAGGCGTTGCCTCCAGAGCTCGTGCTCTTAAGCATTGTGCTTTATTCATTGGTGTGCTAAAGCATCTTTGTGGGCTGGTGAGAGTCTCATGGTTATCACACTGGTGGCATGAAATGGATCACCACAGGAGTTTTACTCCATGGAACTGGCAAACGCTTCAAATCAGGGTCCAGTTCTGACTTGGTTGTTAAACATTTACTAGCATACCACACTGAATGCCTCTTTCAAAGGGCCACGTGACCCAGCTTCAGTCTAACTGGCTCTATCCTCTTCACAAGAGGAATTTAGGGGGCCTCTGAGGACAGTCACATATATATATATATATATATATATATATATATATATTTTTTTTTTTTTTTTTTTTTTTTTTTCTTGAGATGGAGTCTTGCTCTGTCACCCAGGCTGGAGTGCAGTGGTGCAATCTCAGCTCCATTTCCTGGGTTCAAGCGATTCTTGTGCCTCAGCTTCTCAAGTAGCCAGGATTACAGGCATGCACCACCATGCCTGGCTAATTTTTGTATTTTTGGTAGAGACAGGATTTCACTGTGTTGGCCAGGCTTATCTCGAACTCCTGACCTCAGGTGATCTGCCTGCCTCAGCCTCCCAAAGTGCTGGGATTATAGGCGTGAGCCACCAGACCTGGCCTGACAGTCATATTTTAAAAAATTATTTATTTACATCTTATCGGAGAGGGACAAATTATCTTCTTAGCTCTCCTAGCCAGCTCTAGAGCCCTTTAGCACCACCCTCCAGAGACTGATTTTTGTTACAATTTAGCTTTAAGATTTTTTTTCAAACACTGCTACTATCATGACACAGCAGAAAGAAGAAAAAAAAGTCACAGGGTCTCTAAGTCACTCATGTCCTGCTCCCTTTGAAGCTCACAATTTCTGTACAGAAGTTGGTTTGTACAGAATTTCATTTGTTAATTTAATCTTATGAAACTGAAGATTATTCATAAACTAGCCAACTAACTCCGAGAATGTTGTTTGAATTTGGTTTCTTTTAGCTTTCCCAAAGCCATCAAGCCTTTTATATTTTAGAACATTTGAAAGTACATTGAGGAAAACATAACAATTTGGAAACAGCCAGGCAGTGACTTCTCAACAATGTAAAACAAATGCCTCGGCAGCCTTGGAAGAAAATAAAGCTGTGGAACAAAGCTTTGCTATGCAGGCATATGTTAACTTTAGGACATAAGAATACTAAAAATAAAATAAAAAATGCAGGATGCTGAAGTTCATTATTACTGACCTGCTGGCAGGAAGCAAAATCACTTTAAAATACCAATCAATGTTTCTATTTTCTTCCTTTGAGGATGGTTGGACTTTGGGGAAAGAGTGAAGTGACAGATCTTTAAGTACAATTTGGTTTGTCTTTGTCTCCCTGCAGCTCTCAGAACAATGCCTTCACAGAGCTAAACTCCAACAAATATCTACTGGTGGAACCAGTGCCAGTATAAGTGGACGGTGATAAATGGACATCCCTTTGACATTCAGAAAACTATGCTTTTTGCTCCTAAAACCAGTCTGTAGGGTCCAGATGTTGCTAAAGACAAAGCTATATTAGAGATGAAAGCAAACTGGGACATCCCCAATTGTCCCTCTGGTGGTCTTGCTGCTTCTTAGCATCAGCCTCAAATGAGGAGGCTGACATGTTCATTGCCTACTATGGAATGTTTCCAAGGAGGTCTGTTTGTCATAGGTCAGCAAAGCTCAGAACCACAGGAGCAGCCATCTACTGCTCGTGCAGATAGATCAGAGCCATCTCTGTGGAGCCGTCTCTCTGCAATTGCCTCTATGTGCTGGCTTTTCAGTTGCCCTTCCACCAATGCCAGCCTCCCACAAGCATGGAAGAGGCTTGCACTGAAGTGAGATGACCTACTGGCTCTCATCAAAGATTTGAGAAAGGCTTGTTCAGAATGCTGGTCAAAGTGGACAGAGATCTCTCTACTCTGACCAGTTTTGTTTGTGCTTTTCCTTTGATTGCTGGGTGGCATCTACAAACAGTCTTGACTTGTAAGGGGAGATGGTTGCAAGCTGAGAGTGAGCTCTGTGTGGCTTTGGGGAAGCAACTCATTGACAGCAATGGCCCTCCTCACTCCCCTGAGAAAGGAGATGCAACGTGGTACGTGGGGTTAGGGAGATGATTAGCATTCTTGGATCTCTGTTTCAAACTTCAGATCCAGGCTTGTGGCCACTGTAAATGTGTCACTCAAATGCTGTTCACACAGAGAGGGAGTAAGAGCAAAGGTGAAGAGGAGAGAGACAGAGGGCTGATTTCTTTGGAAGCAAACTTTAGTTTTTAATTTAACTCAGTAATTCTCCAACTTTAATGTGCATCAGAATCACCTGGAGGGGTTTTTAAAATGGAAATCGTTCGGCTCCCCAAATCAGATTTTCAGATTTTGCAGTTCTGAGAGACAGAAACCCAAATTTGCATTTCTAACAAGTTTCCAGGTGATGCTGATGCTGCAGATCCGGAGACCACACACTGAGAACCACTGATTTAGCTCATTGCCAGCCCTCTATTACAGAAGTTTAGGCAGTTTTGACTGAGGAGGGTGCTCATTCATTCATTGATTCGTGCACTCACCACATATGTATTGACACTCTACAAAGGGCTGGCAGAACCTGGGCCTTTATAGTGTTACAGAATTCTCCAGGGGATTCTGATATGCCCCAGCATTTGAGAATCACTGGTATAAAGTAATGAAAACACAAAGCTGTGAATAAAAGAATCCTTGCATTTAAGGAGGTTAGTCTAATTGAGGAGAGGACTGGGAAAGTGAGAGAAAAATCAAACAAAAAAGTGAAAATTACTAAGCAATATATAACTAATGGATTAATGAACTGGATGCTCCGGGGCACCAGGGAAGAGGTGGGTGCCCAACCAGACCCAGAAGCTTGGACAGATGTTGTCTGACAGAGGTGGAGATAGTTTGAATGTCTGGACAGAGCATGGCTATGCAGAAAACGGCAAACTGTGCCCAGAGCTTAAGGTGTGAGAAATGAAGTGTTGTGCGGATCCCGGAGGATTCTGAGGTCAGTCTTCAAAAGTCCCTTGTTAATTCTTCCTCATTCTTCACACATTTCTTGAGTATTCACTATGTGCCAGGCACTCTATGAGTCCCTGATGTAATGAGATGAATAAGGAACGGGACCTAGATACTCACTAGATACTCAGTATTTATTCAGGGAATAGACACAAAAGCAGATGATTACAATGCAATCATATATATTCTATAAGAAAGGAATTCTTGAAGGCTTGTGGGAGGAGCAACTCACCATGCATGGGGGAGTCTGGGGACTCTTCATTGTTTGTATAAAAATAGAGTGGGTCTTAAAAAATTTCAACTCGGTGGAGCAACATGTTCTAAGGAATGGATATGTTATAGGGCTTGGGGAGTTCAGGGGAAAGTGGGTTTTTAGGGTAATGGCAGGACTCATATCCCATGCCTAAGAGTTTGGGCATCGTTGTTCTGACATAAGCAACTTAATAGAGGATTTTAATTAGGGAAGTGGCGCAAAGCCTTTCTTTAAGGGTCGATAAATCAGGGGGTACTGTCAAGGGTAGGCTGAAAAGGGTAGCACGGTTATTTCTTTATAATAATCTAGGTGAGAGATAATGAGGTTCAAACCTCTAGTACTGGTGATAAATACTAAGGGTATCTTTGATATTATTTCTCAGTTTTGAATTATAGGACCTAATCACTCGTGGAATATGAGTTTAGTCTGAATCTGCTGATTTGCAATATCTGTAGGACTGGTTTGGTGCTTGGGCAAGAGGAAATACCTAAGGGAGTCATCAATGTAGAGACGGTGCTTGAACTAAAGGAATGTGACAGAGATCAACCAAAGAGAGTAGAATAAGAAGACCAAGCAAAAGCAGACCCCTGGGAACACTCCAACTTAAGGAGTTACAGGAGGACACATCAGAGAAGGAGATGGGCTGAGCAGAACAGCGAAGTTACCCTCGAGTAAGTCAGGGGTTTCTAACACTGCCCAAGCATGAGTGGCTCTGGGAAATGCCCTTCTCAGGTAACATATTTGCCTTGTTAATGGATTACTTCCTTGTTTAACTTCACAATAATTCAGGTTCAAAGAAAACACTGTTAAGGCTAGATGCGTAATGAAAATGAAACAGCTGGGTGCAGTGGCATGCACCTGTAATCCCAGCTACTCAGTACACTCAGACAGGAGGATCATTTGACTCCAGGAGTTTGAGGCCAGCCTGGGCAATAGAGCAAGACCCCATCTCTCAAAAAATATTTTTAAATGAATTAAAATATAGAACAGTAACAATTTCCATTCATTGAGTGTCAATTATGTCAGGCCCTGTGCTAAACACTTTATGTATATTATTGTTACCCAACCTAAGCAGCCTTTATTTACATATAAATCCTACCCATGTATGCTTTGTATATTTTCATCACATTTAGCACCATTTTTATCCTTCTTTCAGTAAAAGAATTAGCATTATCTTGTGGATGCCAAATAACAATGATCTCCTCCCTAAGGAGGTCATCAGGTATCTTAAAATGACACACATTATCCCCTCACTGCTTTGAGGCAATGTCTACCGAAGTGAAACATTTTTCATCTTTACTATGAAATGCTTCAGTACTCATATGACACAGTCATTATAATATCCTTAACACGTGTATGTTACGTTCTCAATCTTAATAAAATGGGATAAGACATATAAAAGTGTATTTTTTTAAAAATGGTAAACAATGCCACCATTGTCAAATTTCTTCGCTATTGGTTTGGTCTTCAGAAATAAGTTGTGAATTCTAAGGGTAAAAGCTATGACTTCCTCTTCTTTTGTGTCCCCTACAGTGCTAGTAAACTGTAGGCCCTTCATTCATGTCTGCTAACTGAGTAGAAGAAAGAACTATCTGATGTCAATTTTATGTACAGTAAGGAAAAAGAGTAAAAATTATTTTTAGTTCTTTCCTCTTAGAAATCAGTGGATGCATGAAGAACAGGGCTTTCAGTGAGTTTAAAGATGGCTTTGAGGATAGCCACATGGCATCAGGCAGAGGACCTATAATCCTACCTACTTGCCTACCCGACCTATTCACCTACCTACAATCTTGTGGCTTAAACTGCACCCAATAGAGGACCTATAAACCCACCTACTTGCCTACCCGACCTACATTCCTATTCACCTACCTACAATCTTGTGGCTTAACCTGCACCCAATGAGGAAGCTGCTTCAACTCAGTCTCTGAGAACCCCTCCCAGGCATGTGCCCTGCCCCTCTTCCCACAATCCACCTAGTCACTTGATGTTGAGAGGACTCAGTGGGGCAGACCATTTGAAGGCTCATCTGTGTCTTGCCTAGAAGCTTCCAGTCCAGCAGGGGCTGCAACAATGGAAATGGAAACTAGGAGCTGGCTATCCTAAGTGGCCATGTGAACTGGAAGGTCCTTGCCTCTTTGCTGGAGGAATGGTGGCTTTCAGCATGGGCTGCAGAGTTGTATGGCATCTTGGAGCATTTATAGAAATTCTGATTGAAACAACCAGAGACAAGATGATGATAACAGGTCACAGAGATGCATGGAACACTCAGTTTAAGTCAGATAGAACTTAGGAGAGGTGCTTGGAAGAGTGAGTGTCCCACAGAGTCACAGTTCAAGTAACTTTGAGAGTGCAGTTTTTGTGTGCAATCAAGAGGTGTGCCCTCTCTTAGAGAGAAAAGACAAAAGATGTGAGAAATAGCTGTGTCTTTGAACTGGAATGTAGCTAAACGGAAAACTGGAAATAGCCAGGATTTCCAAGTTCCTGACCATTGTTTGAGCCAAACATTTCTGTATGTTGACTCATATGTTATCTAATGTTGGTGGGAGGGTAAAGGAGAGGGGGTCCATGGGAAGGGTCAAGGAGCATGAGGCCAAGGGGATGGTCTTTGGACAGGAAAGTAAAATAATCCCTTGGTGTTGACAACAGGAAGTTAATCCTTAGTGGCTCAAAGCACTTTGGGTTTCTCTTTGGCAGGTGCCTGACTCCCTGCAGACCTGCCCTCATGAGGCAGTCAGGTGGAATACCCCATACTGCAGTGCCTGAGGCCCGCTCTGCCCAAGACCACCACAGACAAACCGAGGAAGGAAGAGGATAATTACAGAGGTTCTGTGAGGTGAGTCAGAGCCACTGCCGGAGCTGCCCTTCTTTGTCCTCTGGGCCAGGGAGGTGCCGAAGCGGAGGGTCTCGTAGACAGGGTCCACCTTATTGCCACAGGCTGCAACAGAAGAGAAAGTTCATCTGAGGAAGCTCATCTGAGAGGACCCAGCCAACTGCCTACCACATCTCCTGGGTGAACAGCGCCTGAGAAGCAGGCTCTGTGCAGAGGAACTTAGCCTCTGGGTAGACAGGGCTTTCATGGCCAAGTGTTCCTCACAGATGCACCCCCACCCAGCATGCTCCCATTTGCAGGTCCTGCCATGTACCAGCTAGTACTCTGCTCCCGAATTCTTCCTGATTGAATTTCCTCTTTCGTTATTCCTCTCTGATTTCCAGGTTCTTGCAGGGATCAGCTTTATCTCCTCTACTGGGAGGCTGTGCTCACCAAGGTACAAAGACTTGAGACACAAAGTTTGCAGTAGGAGGCAACTGTTTTAGAAATAACTTGTCACTACTGGGCTTCATTAATTTCTAATTAAAAGCTTTCTAACTTATAAATTTCTAGTTTAAAACTTGCCCCCCCTAAAAAAAGCAAAAATAGATGTCGAGATTTTCAGAGAGAGAAAAAAAATAATAGAAGTAAACTGAAAGATATTGTTAGAGAAGAATCCAAGCCAAAGCTATCAATAAATAGAGGGCATCTTTTGATCTGCATTAGAGAATAATATATTCACTGAGCTCCTACTAAGCATGGGTGAATAACCTATATTTATTTTTTATAGCAATTATGAAAAGCAGCAATTGCTGTTCTCATTTTGTGGGGGTTGACAGGTCAAGTAACTTGTTCAAAGACACACAGTTGTCAATAGGGAGCTGGGCTTAGAGCCTGGTCTGGGGGAAGCCATTCTCCGTGTTCTTTCCACTCCACCATGCTGCTGATGGTGGAATTACTAATCAGTAGCCTTTGGGATTTAGGTGTTTTCTGAGCTTCATCAGGGAGAGGATGAAAATTCCTGGAGAATTTGGTCCACTTTATGTTTCCCTTCCAGCAAAACACACAGTCATACCCCAAATAGCCACCAAACAAACACACAGAGATACCCCACGGGTTTTGCAGCCATGGGAGGACAGTAGCCATTAATGTTAACTTTGCTGCTTCAAACTCAACTCAACCCATCAATGTCCCAACTCACCAATGGGCATAACTTCTTTAATGCAGCCAAACTGTTCATGAATGAGCAAGGGGGAGCTGTAGTAACGCCGAAACCCCTTTGGCTGGAGAGAGAATGAGGAAGGCAAGGGGTTAATGTCACTGGAGATGGAGAAAACCATACAAGAGCTCCCTAAATAAAACCAATTGGTTTCTCCAGGAGCACCCTCCTGTCTCCCATTAACATGCCGACTTATCCTATAATTCCACAATTTAATCCCAGCAGGGACACAGAGGCAGGGAGGAATAGTGGCAACTAGCAAGTTACACTCTATCCAGAAAACAAGGTCCTGGCCCTGGCCTCCCCAGTCGTGTCTGTCCTCCTCCTGCAGTGCACTGCAGCCTCCTTTGCATCCCAGATCCTCATTGCCTCCTGGATTACAAGTGGACTGCCACATATTATTTCACCACAGTTTGTTATTGTGGTTTGTTAAAATAATATAAATAAAAGGCCTGGGCATGGGTAAGTGGACCTCAGAGGGAGGCCTAAAAGCTCCTGTATATCTGAAGAGCTTTAGCCAGAATCATTTGCTCTGTAATCTGGATTCTATTCTCTGTTTTTCTGACCTCTCCTTCATGGTCTGTCTTGGCTTATGGGAATCACCACTGGAGAAGGAGAAGGGGAAGCAGGGGAGGCAGAGGTTTGAGAAAAGAGACATTGCAAATCAGAGTAAATAGATAAACTAAGAACCTGGACTTGACTGTACTCCATTACTGGATGGGAACTTGGTGGCCCAGTCCCTTCTAGAATTCCAGAATCCTGTCTAATGTTCCTGGAAAGTGGTGTCCCTTGTCGTTACACTGTCAGTGATGGGAGGGGGTGAAGGAGCATTCACTAACCCTGGAAGCAAGACATTATCTTTTATTGTTAAGACTTAGTATCCACTGATCTTAGGTCTTTCCCCAGGAGCCTCAAAGGACAATGGAGTTACTCTTCTAAATTTTAGGTCTAAAATTGTTGAAGACAGCTGTTGATGTCCTGTCTAATTATTCTCTAGGGTAGACATTCTTCGTCCTTTCTACAATTCTTTGGCCATCCTAGTTTCAAACACCCTCAAATGCGCTCTGGATTGCTTTTTGAAAAAAAATTTTTGAGACAGGTTCTCACTGTCACCCAAGCTAGAGTACAGTTGCGCAATAATGGCTTACTGAAACCTCTGCCTTCTGGGCTCAAGCGATCCTCTAATCTCAGCCTCCTGAGTAGCTGGAACTACAGGCACACACCACCACACTCAGCTAATTTTTAAATTTTTGTAGAGACAGGGTCATGCCATGTTGCCCAGGCTGGTCTCGAACTCCTGGGCTTAAGGGATCAACCCACCTTGGTGTCCAAAGTGTTGGGATTATAGGCGTGAGCCATTGTGCCTGGCTTGAATTGCCTCTTAATCAATATGTGGCACCAGGACTGAAGCCCATCCTCCTGAGATGGTATGATCAGCCATCTCAAGGGCCATTCAATCTCCCTTGGTTTGGGAGATTCTGTTAAAGTGGTGCAGATATTTATTACTCTCTCCTCTTTTGTGGGGGCTTAGCTCTTGTCCTCTCTTGCTACCCACTGAGCTGACCACCAAGGAAGCACTAGAGTGACCAACCATTAGTTTGCCTGGGACTTAGGGGGTTCCTGAGATGCATGACTTTCACTTTTAAAACCTGAACAGACCCAGGATGTGGGACTTTCAGTATTAAAACTGAGAAAGTGCCAACCTGGGAGAAGTTGGTCACTCTGTTAATGACCCTGACTCCCTTTCAAGGTGGGGCATTGTTGATTGGGTTGACAAAGCCCTTGTCCTTGTTTTCTGATTACGCCAATTAGGAAGCCAAGCTGGCAGCCAGTTCTGGGGTGCTTTGCTCAGGGTTTCAGGGAAGGATTTTGGAGGGGGTGATCTCACTGCAGCAGGCAAGTGCCCTAGCAGAGAGGTGTGGGCCTCACTCCTGGCACAAGCCCTTACCAGCTTGCCCATGCACCGCTGGGGTGCCAGGCCATCTGTGCACTTGTGGTGGATGCTCATCTTACAGGCTTTGCAGCGCAGTCCATGCTTAGCATTTGTTCCTGTCAGGTACATGGCAAACTTTGGTTAGGATACAACCTGCCATTTCCTGCTGATTAGTCTAAAATCACAGAAAATGAGGTTCCCCAGGTAATTCTTTCCTACAACTTTTTCATGAAGCTTTCAAAATAGAAAAAAAATATATATGGTAGATTCTTTTGCTTTCTCCTGCATTTTCTACCTAAGGTATACACTCTGGTTTATCTCCATCTTTCCTATTCACTACTCCAGGAACTCTAAGCCTCCTCCATGCCCTTTGTTCTCTCAATTCAAGCTAGTGAATTCCATTTTCTTTGCTTTTCATGTAGGTTACTCAATTCTACTTTTCTGTGTCTTACTGAGTAGTGCAAGTCCCGAAATTTGATGTATTTTCTTCTGTATTTCTATCACAGGAACTGAGCCGTTGGATAAATTCTCAGGAAAATGACTGATTAAGGGGGAAGGGCAGGTCTGTGTGAGAGTGGGGCTGACAGTCTTCTAAAGAAGGGGAGAGAGGACTCAATCAGATGCCAACCCCAGCCTGGGGAAAGAGGAAGAAGATGCGAATGATAATGAAATTGTGGCTGCGGTGAGTCACTTAGCTTCTTGGGACAGGGTGCTATCATGGAGTGAGAAGAAAGAAGGCTGAGAAGAAAAGGCAGAGAGCCATCCTGGTATCTTCATGCACAAAGGCCCAAGGCAGGAGCACTGGAGAGGAACTGGGAGGCCTAATAAGAGGGCAGGGTGTGGGGGCTTCAGGAAGATGGCAGGTGCTGCACACCGGTGTTCATTATTTCAGAAAGTGGCTGGATAAAGCTTAAGACGGATGTTAAAATGGGTGTGTTCTGCCTTCATCTAGTCACAGACAAGAGAATGCCATCTGCTCTGATATCCCAAAGTAAGATGGTAGGTTCCCAGGCAAGTCTCAAAAAGGTGCCAAAATGTATTTTTGCCACTCTTAGATGACCAAGCATCTCATGTATTAGAAAAGAGGAAGAAAGGTGAGGTAGTGGAGAGAGTATTTCTTTGCAGAGTTGTTGAGGCACTATCAGTCTTATCCCTCCTCCTTTACCATGATGAGAAGGATGGGGTGTGCTCTGTTGTCTCCTCAGTCCTGAGAGGGTTTCAAGGAGACTATTTTAACAGCTTGACCTATGTGAGTCTGTGGGACATATGGCTGTGGCCATACCCATTCTTGGAAAAAACTAAAAATAAGAGACGTGGGTGGCCAGGGGTCCTGTCAGCCTACTGAGGAGACAGCTGTGTGAACAAGGCCTGCACTCCAAAAGATTGTTAGGAAAAGGGTTGGTGAGTCCAACAAGTATGTGATTCTCATGGATCAGATATGGATTATGTAGAATGCTATGCAAGATGACAACCTGGAGAGACAACAGGATTTCAACAAAGTAAGTCTCTTTAGAGGGGAGATACAGGAATGAATATGTCCAGGTAGTATGAGACATGAAGTCAAGATACCCCACTGTACAGCACAGCCATCCACAGACCCAAAGTGAGGATGTCCCAAGATTACAAAATCCACCCTCTTCTCTACAATTGCTTCACCATCTAGCCAGTCTCACTGCTTCATCTCTTTTTGTCCTCCTCCAACTCAATGTGTGTGCAGTGGTGGGGTAATGTTTTAAAAATGTAATCAAATCATCTCTATTTCTTGCTTAAACATCTTTCAGCAGGTTCTCTCTGCCTTTCTGATGTATTATAAGGTGCTCATCATACTGGCGAGGCTCTGCAGGCTTTGGGAGCCCACCTTTAACTTAATCTCAGGCCAATCCCTCCATGCTTTAGCCATGTGGTCTTCTTATAGTTCCTTGAATACTCGAGCTCTTTAATTCCTCAGCTCTCTACACATGCTGCTTCATATGCTTGGAATGCTGTTTCCATCACTCTTCAGTTGGCTAGCAACCCCTCAGTCTGTGGATCTCTTGGCATTTCAATGAAGCTTTCTTGAAAACATTTCCCACCCCTGTCTAAATTATCCTTTTCCTCTTACTTTTTCTCCCAACACTCTGTGGTTATCTTTCACATCATTTATCACAATTATTATTTATTTGAAAGTTTGTTTTAGTCTGCCTTTCCCTCTGGACCATGAACTCAATGAGGCTAAGGACTGTGTCTGTTAATTTGCCTCGATATTCCCAGCTCTTGAGCATGATGCCTGATGAAAACATTTTTCATGGTCACTCATGAACTGAAGCAGTGGTGGCTGGTTTGAGATAATTCGTGGAAGTTGATTAATCAACGATGCATAAATAGTATTCAAGAGCTGAAAGGGGGAACTTGAAGATCTATTTGTATTATTTCATTTCAAAGATGAGATACCTAAGGGTCCAAGTGGTAGAAGATTTGCCCCAGGTTGGAGAAGGTCCTGCCTAGTTTCACTCTTTCATTGCTTGTCCTAAATATTTCCTCCTTTTATTTGGGTTGTTTAACCTACATGAAGATGACGTTGGGGCTAACTGGATGATAAAATAAGGGGGGGTAAGAACCTGGCATGCAACCTGGAAAAGCAACAGGCAAACCTCTGAATGAGAAAAGAGTTTAAAACCCTTCAGGAGGTATGTTACCTGAAAACTTTCTTCAGGATGGCATCATTTAACATGATGTGTGTCTGCTGTCATAATCACTTCACAGAAAGTTGAAGTGACACATAAACACACTATAAATTATTGGGCATGTATGCTTGTTTATAAATACTCATTGAAAAGTCCCTTTTCCTTTTTGAGAATAACTACTTAGCTGAAAGACTGCTATGTTTTTAAAAGACTGGACTTTGAAAGCAATTACTTACTTTTCGTTTTCAAATTAGAGAATGCTATTTGTGCTCTATGTGGGAATTTAAGTAAAAGCTTCAAAGAGGAAGTTATTTCATTGTGTGCTGGACTCTGAAATAGCATCATTATATGTTAAAATATATATATTTTATTCAGACCCAAACACCATGATTTCAGTTTCCTTGTCTGTTCTTATACATGTAGTACACTGTTTGTATGAACCAGACTACCAGCAATTATTTGGTTTCTGATGTTTCAATGTCCACTCTGGAATAACAAGAATGATTGAAGAGGAAAGCTTGTGTTCTGCAGCTCAGAGAATAGTTCAAAGGAATAATTCACATCACAGCAGTGGCATTAGTTTATTGTAGCAAGATATGGAGAAGCCATGGTCTGACTTGTTTTATCACTAGTGATCCCCATCACAAAGTCATTGCTGCAAGTGACCCTTATGCCTGAGTAGAGTAGGAAAAAACATAGTTTTAAATTTGAATCTGTCTCAGTCTGGCTCTTTAAATTTAAGAAAACTACTAGTATTTCTGGAACCTCAGCTAAATCATTAAATGGGACTAGTACTACCTACTCTCAGAGTTGCTAATAGAATAGTATGATAATTTATGCAAAAGGATTGCATGGGTTTAAATACCTGGAAACAAAGATGCCACTGAACTTTGGGTAAACAATGGTGGACTGTTCATATAAATTTCCCACTTAGTCCTACCAACACCCTACTAAAATTACAGTCCAGGAATTTAAAAACAAAGCATATACTCTGAAGAACAAAGTTATTGGGAGAAATAGCAAGAGTAGATGAGAGTTTAACATATATTTGGAAGATAAAAGGCAAGTGGAGATACGGTAAGCAACTTAATAGATGATAGGAAGATTGAATTTCTCAGTAGCAACTTGGAAACTAGAAGAAGATGAAATTTCAGAAGCTGTTAAAATTTTCTGAGAAAAAAAAAGATTTGCAACCCAGAATTTTATACCCAGCCAAATTATTAACATGTATGAAGGTAGAATAAAGATATTTTCCAATCTTGAGGGGTTCAGAATATTTACTTTACACATACGTTTTCTTAGGAAATTTCTAGAGAATATGACTCAGAAAAATGAGAGACTAAATCAAGACAGAGGAAAATATCAGATCCAGTACATAACAGAAGAACTGACAACTGACACTGAGGAAAGGTAAGCGGTATCCCACTATGATAACTCTGTAGTACCTGTACACTGGAGCGTCAAAAGAAGTAAGGCAGCAGACTTGGAAAAAAATAGCACTTAAAAGTTTATTGATAGCCAGACACAGTGGTTCATGTGTATAATCCCAGGACTTTGGGAGGCCAAGATGGGTGGAGGCCAGGAGTTTGAGGCCAGGAGTTAGAGACCAGTCTGGGCAACATGGTGAAACTCCATCTCTACTACAAATTCAAAAACTAGCCGGGTGCGGTGGTTCATGCCTGTAATCCCAGCACTTTGGGAAGCTGAGGTGGGCAGATCACTTGAGGTCAGGAGTTTGAAACCAGCCTGGCCAAAAAACCCATCTCTACTAAATATTCAAAAATTAGCCGGGCATCGTTACGTGTGCCTGTAGTCCCAGTTACTCGGGAGACTGAGGCATGAGAATCACTTGAACCCAGGAGACAGAGGCTGCAGTGAGCTGAGATTGTGCCACTGCACTCCTGCCTCAGTGACGGAGTGAGATTCCGTCTCAATAAAATAAGTAAATAAATAAATAAAAGTTTATTGATACCTTTGAGTATATGATATGTCATTTGACAAATCTGTGAAGGCATATGAAAAAAATAATTATAGATACATGAAATGTTTAGGAAGTAAAAAAGGCAATTTTTAATTTGAGGAAAAATAAAATATGTTTAAGATTGTAAGAAATGTACAATACTTGAATCAGAAGTTAACAATAGTCACAATAGGGCATAAATTGGCCATGTATCACAAAATTGTGATAAAACTCTTGGGAAGATGGAAGTAAGGGAGCAAAGATTGTGATATGACTCTTTGTGGAAGGTGACAACAAGGAAGAAAGAAACAAAGGGTGTTGCTGGAGATGTGAGAGCTCAACCCTCATCTTCTGTAGCAGGAGGCCAACAAAATCAATAAACAGCAGCAGAAGCACAGCATTTAGGAATGCTGAAATAAATGACAGAAGAAGCAATGAAAGAGGACAAAAGTGGTTGCCTTTCAGACGCGAATCTGGGACGAGACAGTTTCTGTTGTAGAACTTTCAGTACTATCTGCCTTTAAACTATTCTCATGAACTACTGTCACAAAAAGCAGATTAAAAAATGAAGTCTCTGGAAACAGGGTCAAGTCATCCCTTGGAATGATGTGGCTCTTTGGATACGGAGATGTTGCGAAAACATGGGGCTAGCTCATCACATAAGTCATCAGTTCTTCCCGGGGCATTTGAAGTTCTGGGCTAAATTAAAACAGTTTTATGAGTTACAGCTGAAAATTATTAAAAATTTTAGTCACGATGTTCAAATAGAGTTTGGAATGGATCAATGTAATCCAATACAACACTGATTAGGAGGTAGGCAGTGGGCTCTTTTATGAGCGTGGTATCATTTACCACTATGCTTAAGCAAGCTGTCCACAGAGAGCCAAATATTGGAGCACAAAGACATCTGTACATAAATGTTGGAAGAAAATATTGAAAAGCTTTTCTCAGTGCTGGTGGCTGAACCTACTACACTAAATAGCATGCATCAACTTTTTTTTTTTAAAAAATGAAATTAATTACATATATCTGTAAAATAATTGGCTGGACTCATTTTGATAAGATTTTGCCATTGAAGCATTGCTTAATCCTCAATCCAATTTCATAAATGTCAGAGTTAAAGATAAAACAGGATAAAATGGTGATTTACTATTGAGATTACTTAACTACAAAAATAATTTGGAGAATGAGTAAACATAAACTTGTATAAGAAAAGAAATGTAATCAGTACAGTACTTAGATCAACAATGAACAACAGTTAAAATTCTTGTTAATAATTAGTCTGCTTCCAGATTACACAAGTATAAAATTAGTCCTATAATTTATTTGATGAAATTAGTATAAATTAGAGAAAAAAGACTCTTTACTATGATTTAAGAAAAAATTTTTTAAAAATCTGTAACTACATATATAGAAATGTCCATAAATATTACTTAGATTATATAAAGTATCTATAAGTGATTCTAAGGTAAATACAGGCAAGATAGTCCAAAGAATTTCTAGGCCTCTGCTTTTCCAGGTTTAGCTATTGGACTCCTCTCAACGTCCACCAGTACAGGGGCATGGCTCGGAGAGGAGGCTGTGAGGGATGCCTGCATCAAAAGTTGTGCAGAGCCCAGAGAAGGTCAAATGATCATGTCACAGAAGGGTCTTAAAGCTGGAGAGAGGAGAGCAAAAGCAATGGATAATTTTCAGTGCCAAGGCAGACAAGAGGAATTTAAGGGCTAAGGATGATGCAAACAGTAATAATGATGACAGAGTCAGTACTTTTAAACTAAAGGCTATAACAAAACTGGTGCTAGACAATAAAAACAGGCCTAATAATGCAGTTAGCTCTATTCATCAGCGGTTTGTCCTTGAATATACACTAACACAAGGAAGAAACAGAATCACATGGAGATCACTGAAGCAGGTCTCCACCATGCAACCCCTCCCTACTTTCCTTGCTTCATTTTCAACATGAAACCTTGGGTTCCTCCTTTGCTTTATCAGATCATTTATGGTTTCTGGTAAGGGTGGCTGGGTCACGCCTCTTGAGGGCGGCTCATGCTGCCTTCCCTGCCTTTCTTGTTTGACTGGTAAACAGTCTTACTTTCTATGAACCACCTCTAAGTACTTTCCAAAGCCTCCTGCACACACACCCTCCTTCCCTCCACAGGGAACCCACCACTCTTCTCTGTCCCCTCATCGTTCTCAGAGCACCTATTACAACAGGACATCTCCTCTTCTATTATGTGGGACTTGACATGAAATGGTGGTTTCTTTACCTCTGGGTCCCTGTGGTCAGTGAAGTGCTTGGTACAAAGTACATCACTGTCCATCAGGAAAGATTAGCCTACCCAGGCCTGGGCAGGACAAATGTCCAGGCCAAGAGAATACTGGGGCTTCGCCCCTTTAATTCTATGGAAAGACATGGACTTCTTTACGTGGCCCCTGACTCCTGGAGGCCTGCATGACCACCAGGTTCAAGTCTGCCTACAGGTCTTTATGTATGGGCTTCCAGCTGGCTAGCCTTGCTTTTTATTCCAATGTTCTAATGTGACTGCATCTAGAACTCTCCAACCTCCCAGGTACCCTGAAGTGCAGGCCAGATACTGTTCCATCAGACTCCTGCCTGACCTAGGATGCTGGCTGAAAGCTGATTCTGGGAGCCACTCTCTCTGTCTCTGCTACTGGCTCTTCATATCCTCCTACTCTCCTCAAAGTAGATGTTGAAATCTATCTGGACAAGAACTAAGTTAGCTGTGCCTCTTGACCTTTATAATTTTGCTTGTGGACTTCTCTCCCTATTAATAGCTTGTGTTGGCCTCTGCCTCCTCCTTATAGAATGAGTTTTCACCATGCCTCCCCGGGTGACCCACGACAGCCTCTGTGAATGCTTAGTTATCCTGACAGATGCTTCAGATTTCTGTTACTGCTTTTACCTCACATATATAACCCAGAAATGCCTGCCATCATATACCTAAACACATGTAATAATAGGAGTGTGGAAGCATAACAATTTAGCCATAGTTTCATGTAGTGATTCAATGCAAAGGCAACTGACTAAACACATAAATAATGGCCTGAATGATCACATGTTTGGAATATTGAGTTCCACAATCAAAGGAATGCATAAATTATACATCCTTAGTGCCATTATTGAAATCTGTGGCTTCAAAATCTAAGAAATCACGATGATTTGAAGAAGTCAATGCTCCATAGTAGAATTAAAAAAAAAAATAACATGATGTATTTTCATTACTTTCACATGCTACTTCTCTTTGATGTGAAGTAATGATGTGGAGACAATTTCTAAGATTCTGAAATCACACAAAGCTAGCTAAACCAAATGAAGCCACTGAGCATGATTTTTCCCCTTCTCATATAGACAAAGGGTAATTTGAAAGAAAAAAAATGAATTGAGGAAAAAATCAAACTAAGTTTGAAAGAGTTTGTCAGTGGATATACAAACACACATGCGTGCGCGCGCGCACACACACACACACGAGAAAAGCCATTGTATGAGAAGTCAGAAACTTGAATTTTCATCCTGATTCTACTTTTTTACTTCTGTATTCTTACATTTGAATAGGAAGGAAAAAAGGTAGGAAGGGATTAAAAATGATTGAACTCTTATGCACCATTAGGCAATTTCCTGGATGCTTCCTCGCTTTATTAATAAAAGAACATTACCTTTTATAGTTAAAATATTATTATAACAGGGAAGTAGGGATAATAGATAACTTCATTGGAAAGAATGAATAAATGTTGAGTTGGGATGGGTATATAATTCACTGGCTGTGGAGCTCATATTGAAACTTTTCTCTCCTCTTATGATCTCAGCAGTCTGTGTGGCATTTCCATTGCTTTATTTTTATAGGTTGTGTATGAAGGCCCAACAATATGCAGCTAGTGAGGACAGGAACAGGACTAGGGTCTGGGTCTACACAACTCTGAAGCCCAGCTCACTTCCCTTCTCCTCATTGCCTCTGCCAGCCATCTGCACGCTGAGAGATCTCTACTCTGTTCTGGTCTAGATTTCTTCCACTGAAAGTGAAAGGGCATCTGTGGGTCTCTCAACACTGTCTATGATAAAGATAAAATTAAAATATGTATATGTAACCATGGTCAATGAGGATGAAGTTGAGAGAGAAGTAGCAAGAGTTTGCAGGTGCCAAAAGTTTACCTTAGAAGATTCTGGGGCTGCAACTATCCTGGCCCAATACCCTCTTTGGAAGGGACATTTGTCTCTTTGGAAGAGAAATGTGATTCTCATCACATTTGTGATGGGTTACATATGGGGTCTCATAGTTGACAAATGTGAACAGGAATTTTCAGGGTGGCCAGCTGCTGTAGGGATGTGGGTACCCATAATAGATTCCTATAAGGTTCTACAGCCCACTATATATACTACAGCCCAGTATAGGCCTTTGAAAATATGTAGCATGCACACGCTATTGCTAAGCCCTCCAAGCTGGTGATTACATACACTATCACTAACATATTAGAAGTTAAAGGTGCAGATGCAGTAGCCAATGTAAGTGTATGCTGCTCTTTCTAGTTTTGTCACACACCTACCTATTCAGGGGCTTATTTTTGTTTTTTAAAATGATATTGATGAAAGTCCTTATTTAATAAAAACAATGTTCTCGGCTTTGTTGATTCTTTTAAAAGCTTCGAAGAGTGAAGCCAGGGTGACGAAGTTCAAATGTAGGAATACAGAAGTAAAAAAAGTAGGATAACAGTTTTACCAATTTTTAAAACCTCTATGTATAAATTATATTATATTTGGGTGTTCATATGTGAATATGTATGTGTATGTACATACATATATAGTTTATAAAGACACCATGGCGGAGTGGTAAAAGTCATGCTTAAGGCATCAACAAACTTAGGTAATAGTATTCAGCTCTGAGACTTTGAACCAGGCACTTGATCTCTGAGCCTCAGTCTGTGCATCTGAGAAAGGCTGTCATGAGCACAAAATGGGAAAATGAAGGGGCCGTCTCTTTGGAAAACATACATCTCCATGCAAAAGTAAGTGGTGTGATGGCTAGAGGGTGTATCATCTGCAATTCCCCATAGTGATTTTCCTGAGGTCATGATTTCCAGATTCTTTAGGCTGAACTGCACATAGCTAACTCAGGTATGTCACCTGTGATCAGGCATGACCTCAGATAAAGCACAGGCTATATGGTTTGCCTGTGCCCCCACCCAAATCTCAACTTGAATTGTATCTCCCAGAATTCCCATGTGTTGTGGGAAGGACCCAGGGGGAGGTAATTGAATCATGCAGCCGGTCTTTCCTGTGCTATTCTTGTGATAGTGAATAAGTCTCATGAGATCTGATGGGTTTATCAGGGGTTTCTGCTTTGGCTTCCTCCTCATTTTCTCTTGTTGCTGCCATGTAAGAAGTGCCTTTTGCCTCCCGCCATGATTCTGAGGCTTCTCCAGCCATGTGGAACTATAAGTCCAATTAAATCTCTTTTTGTTTCCAGTTTCAGGTATGTCTTTATCAGCAGCATGAAAACAGACTAATACAGTAAATTGGTACCAGTAGAGTGGGGCATTGCTGAAAAGATACCTGAAAATGTGGGAGTGACTTTGGAACTGCATAATAGGCAGAGGCTGGAACAGTTTGGAGGGCTCAGAAGAAGACAAGAAAAGGTGGGAAAGTTTGGAACTTCCTAAAGACTTGTTGAATGGCTTTGCCCAAAATGCTGATAGCGATATGGATAATAAGATCCAGGCTGAGGTGGTCTCAGGTGGAGATGAGGAACTTGTTGGGAACTGGAGCAAAGGTGACTTTTGTTATGTTTTAGCAAAGAGACTGGGTGGCATTTTGCCCCTGCCCTAGAGATCTGTGGAACTTTGAGCTTGAGAAAGATGATTTAGGGTATCTGGTGGAAGAAGTTTCTAAGCAGCAAAGCATTCAAGAGGTGACTTGGGTGCTGTTAAAAGCATTCAGTTTTAAAAGGGAAACAGCATCAAAGTTCAGAAAATGTGCAGCCGCACTATGCTATAGAAAAGAAAAACCCATTTTCTGGGGAGAAATTCAAGCTGGCTGTTGAAATTTGCTTAAGTAGCAAGGATCCCAGTGTTAATTCCCAAGACCATGGGGAAAATGTCTCCAGGGCATATCAGAGGTCTTCATGGCAGCCCCTCCCATCACAGGCCTGGAGGCACAGGAAGAAGAAGTGGTTTCGTGGGCCGGGCCCAGGGCCCCCACGCTAGGGACTTGGTGCCCTGTGTCCCAGTCACTCCAGCCATGGCTGAAAGGGGCCAATGTAGAGCTTGGGCTGTGGTTTCAGAGGGTGGAAGCCCCAAGCCGTGGCAGCTTCTATGTGGTGTTGAGCCTGTGGGTGCACAGAAGTCAAGAACTGAGGTTTGGGAACCTCCGCCTAGATTTCAGAAGATGTAGGGAAACGCCTGGATGTGCAGGCAAAAGTTTGCTGCAGGGGCGGGGCCCTTATGGAGAACCTCAGCCAGGGCAATGCAGAAGGGAAATGTGGGGTGGGAGACCCCACACAGAGTCCCACACAGAGTCCCTACTGGGGCACTGCCTAGTGGAGCTGTGAGAAGAGGGCCACCATCCTCAAGACTCCAGAATGGTAGATCCACTGACAGCTTGCACCGTGTGCCTGGAAAAGTAGCAGACACTGAATGCCAGCCTATGAAAGCAGCTGGGAGGGAGGGTGTACTCTGCATACCCACAGGGGCAGAGCTGCCCAAGACCATGGGAACCCACCTCTTGCATCAGCATGGCCTGGATATGAGACTTGGAGTCAAAGGAGATCATTTTGGAGCTTTAAAATTTGACAGCCCCACTGAATTTTGGACTTGCATGGGCCCTTAACTCCTTTGTTTTGGCCAATTTCTCCCATCTGGAACAGCTATATTTACCTAACACCTGTACCCCCATTATAGGAAGTAACTAGCTCCCTTTTGATTTTACAGGCTCATAGGCGGAAGGGACTTGCCTTGTCTCAGATGAGACTTTGAACTGTGGACTTTTGGGTTAATGCTGAAATGAGTGAAGACTTTGGGGGACTGTTGGGAAAGCATGATTGGTTTTGAAATGTGAGGACATGAGATTTGGAAGGGGTTAGGGGTGGAATGATATGGTTTGGCTGTGCTCACATCCAAATCTCAACTTGAATTGTATCTCCCAGAATTCCCATGTGTTGTGGGAGGGACCAAGTGGGAGGTAATTGAAACATGGGGGCTGGTCTTTCTCTTGCTATTCTTGTGATAGTGAATAAGTCTCACGAGAACTGATAGGTTTATCAGGGGTTTCTGCTTTTTCTTCCTCCTCATTCTCTCTTGCTGCTGCCATGTAAGAAGTGCCTTTTGCCTCCTGCCATGATTCTGAGGCTTCCCCAGCCATGTGGAACTGTAAGTCCAATTAAACCTCTTTTTCTTCCCAGTTTCGGGTATGTCTTTATCAGCATCATGAAAATGGACTAATACAACAGGTCTATAGACAGCACTCTACTCTCCACTATAAACAACTTCCAAATTCCTCCCTTATATCTTAATTTATAAGCAATTAAGTTGATCCTTGCTTTATAAAAGTTCACTTTAAACATAAAAGTAGGTAACGTGAAAATTTTTGCACCAAATCAAGAATTCTGGCCATACTTCATGAACTTCAAAATCTGGCAAGATCAGCCTCTTGGGAGAAATCATTGGCAGTCATTTTTGATAGCATTTAAAATGGGAGATTTTGAAGATGGCAGACAGGAGGCAGGACTAGCTTGCAGATCCCACTTGGGGAGACAGCAGCTTGTGCAGACTCACATCATGAACTTTTGCTCTAAGAACTACCACAGGAGCATACCAGGAAAGCTGAGAGAATCAATAGACCTTTCGAAGAAACTGGATCACTGCTACAGACTCCCTGACACATGAAAAACTGATGAAAGCTGATGTGCTCTTGAAGGTGCCACCTCCTGGCTGGAGGCCAACCAACACAAAACCAGTGCAATAAACAGAAACATAACCAAGGACTCAGAGTCCGCTTCACTCCCCAGCTACCTCCACTGGAGCCGGTGCTGGAATCCATAGCTGAAAGACCGAAGATGGATCACGTCACAGGACTCTTTCCAGATACTCCCCAGTACCAGCTTGGAGCCTGGTAGCTCTGCTGGCTGACTAGACTCAGAAAAGCAAAAATGATCACTACTGTTTGGCTTTCAGGAAGCCCCATTCCTAGGGGAAACAGGAGAATACCACATCAAGGGAGCACCCCGTGGGACAAAAGAATCTCACAGCAGCCCTTGAATCCTAAATCTCCCCTCTGACATAGTCTACTCAAATGAGAAAGAACCAGAAAAACAATTCTGGTAATATGACAAAACAAGGTTCTTTAACACCTCCAAAAGATCATACCAGCTCACTGGTAATGAATCTAAACCAAGATGAAATCTCTGAATTGCCAGAAAAAAAATTCAGGTCAATTATTAAGCTAATCAAGGAGGCACCAGAGAAAGGTTCACTCCAACTTAAAGAAATAAAAAACATGATACAGGATATGAATGCAAAATTGTTCAGTGAAATAGGTAGCATAAATGAAAAACAATCACAACTTCTGAAAATCAAGGACACTTAAAAAAATGCAAAATGCACTGGAAAGTCTTGACAATAGAATCAAACAAGCACAAGAAAGAATTTCAGAGCTTGAAGACAAGGCTTTCGAATTAACCCAATCCATCAAAGAAAAATAAAAAAAAATAAAAAAAAAATGAACAAAGACTCCAAGAAGTTTGGGACATCCAAACCTGAAAGTAATTGGGCTTCCCGGGGAAGAAGAGAAATCTACAAGTTTAGAAAGCATATTTGAGGGAATAATCAAGGAAAACTTCCCTGGCCTTGCTAGAGATCTAGACATCTGAATACAAGAAGCTCAAAGAACACCTGGGAAATTCATCACAAAAGATCATTGCCTGGGCACATTGTCATCAGTTTATGTAAAGTCAAGACAAAGGAAAGAATCCTTGAGTCAAAAACATCAGATAACCTATAAATGAAAACCTATCAGATTAACAGCAGATTTCTCAGCCCAAATCTTATAAGCTGGAAGGGATTAAGGTCCTATTTGTAGCCTCCTTAAACAGAACAATTATCAGCCAGTAATTTTTTATCCAGCAAAACTAAGCTTCATAAATGAAGGAAAGATACAGTCTTTCCAGGCAAACAAATGCTGAGAATTAGCCACTACCAAGCCAGCACTGCAAGAACTGCTAAAAGGACCTCTCAATCCTGAAACAAATCATTGAAATACACCAAAATAGAACCTCCTTACATCATAAATCTCACAGGACCTATATAACAATAACACAATGAAAAAAAAGGTATTCAGTCAACAAATAGCACGATGAATAGAATAGAATCTCACATCTCAATACCAACATTGAATGTAAATGACCTAAATGCTCCACTTAAAATATACAGAATGGGAGAATGGATTAGAATTTACCAACCAAGTTTCTGCTGTCTTCAGGAGACTCAGCTAATACATAAGGACTCACATAAACTTAAGGTAAAGGGGTGGAAAAAGATTTTACATGCAATTGGACACCAAAAGTGAGCAAGAGTAGCTATTCTTACATAAGACAAAACAAACTTTAAAGCAAATGCAGTTAAAAAAGAAGAAGAGGAACATTATATAATGATAAAAGAACTAGTCCAACAGGAAAATATCACAATTCTAAATATAAACACACACAAACACACACACACACACACACACATATATGTATTTTATATATATATACATATATATGTATTTTATATATATAATGATAAAAGGACTAGTCCAACAGGAAAGTATCACAATCCTAAATATAACAGCAGGTGCATATAAATATATATGCACCTATAAATATATAAATATATATATAAATATATGTGCACCTAACACAGGAGCTCCCACATTTATAAAACAATTACTACTAGACCTAATAAATGAGATAGACAGCAACACAATAATAATGGGAGACTTTAATACTCCACTGACAACACTAGACAGGCCATTAAGACAGAAAGTCAACAAAGAAACAATGGACTTAAACTATATCCTACAACAAATGGCCTTAACAGATATTTACAGAACATTCTACCCAACAACTACAGAATATACATTCTGTTCATCAGCACATGGAACATTCTCCAGGATAGACCATATGATAGGCCACAAAACAAGTCTCAGTAAATTTAAGAAAATTAAAATTATATCAAGTACTCTCTCAGATCACAGTGCAATAAAATTAAAACTATATCAAGTACTCTCTCAGATCACAGTGGATCACAGTTGATTTTAGAAATCAACTCCAAAAGGAACCCTTGAAACCATGCAAATACAGGGAAATTAAATAACCTGCTCCTGAATGATTGTTGGGTCAACAATGAAATCAAGATGGAAATTAAAAAATTATTTGAACTTAATGACAATAGTGACACAACCTATCAAAACCTCTGGGATACAGCAAAAGTGGTGCTAAGAGGAAAGTTCATAGCATTTAAATACCTACATCAAAAAGTCTGATAGAGCCCAAATAGACAATCTGAGGTCACAACTCAAGGAACTGGAGAAACAAGAAAAATCTGAACCCAAACACAGCAAAAGAAAAGAAATAACAAAGATCAGAGCAGAACTAAATGAAACTGAAATAACAATATTAACAAAACAATACAAAAGGTAAATGAAACAAAAAGCTGGCTCTTTGAAAAAATAAATAAAATTGATAGAGCATTAGCGAGATTAGCCAAGAAAAAAGATCCAAATAAGCTCAATTGCCTATGATACAGGAGATATGACAACTGATACCACAGAAATACAAAAGATTATTCAAGGTTACTATGAATGCCTTTATGTGGATAATCTAGAAAACCTAGAGGAGATGGATAAATTCCTGGAAATATACAACCCTCTTAGATTAAACCAGGAAAATATAAAACCTCTGAACAGACCAATTAACAAGCAGTGAGACTGAAATGGCAACAAAAAAATTGCCAACAAAAAAAGTCCAGAACCGCACAGATTCATAGCTGAATTCTATCAGAGACATTCAAAGAATTGGTACCAATCCTATTGACACTATTCCAAAAGACGGAGAAACAGTAAATTCTCCCTAAATCATTCTATGAATCCAGAATCACCCCAATACCAAAACCAGGGAAGAATGTAACAAATAAAGAAAACTACAGACCAATATCCCTGATGAATATAGATGCAAAAATCTTCAACAAAATACTAGTGAACCAGATCCAACAGTATATTAAAAAGATAATTTACCATGATCAAGTAGGTTTCATACCAGGGATGCAGGGATGGTTTAACATATGTAAGTCAATAAATGTGATACACCACATAAACAGAATTAAAAATGAAAATTACACGATCATCTCAATAGACACAGAAAATGCATTTGACAAAATCCAGCATCACTTTATGATTAAAACCCTCAGCAAAGTAAGCATAGAAGGGACATACCTTAAGGTAATAAAAGCCATTTATGACACACAGCCCACATTTATATTGAACAAGGGAAAGTTGAAAGCATTCCCCCCGAGAACTGGAACAAGACTAGGATGCCCACTTTCAACATTTCTATTCAACATAGTAGTGGAAGACCTAGCCAGAGCAATCAGACAAGAGAAAGAAATAAAGGGCATCCAAATCAGTAAAAAGGAAGTCAAACTGTCGCTATTTGCTGATGATACAATCCTATACCTAGAAAACCCTAAAGAGTCATCCAAAAAGCTCCTAGAATTGATAAATGAATCCAGCAAAGTTTTAGGATACAAACCTAATGTACCCAAATCAATAGCTCTGCTATATACCAACAGTGACCAAGCTGAGAATCAAGTAAAGAACTCAATCCATTCCAGAATAGCTGCAAGAAAAACTACAAAGCACTGCTGAAAGAAATCATAGATGACACAAACAAATGGAAACACATCTCATGTTCATGAATGGGTTTAATCAATATTGGGAAAATGACCATATTGCCAAAAGCAATCTATAAATTCAATGCAATTCCCATTAAAATACCAACACCATTCTTCACAGAACTAGAAAAAAACAATCCTAGAATTCATATGAAACCAAAAAAGAGCCCACATAGACAAAGCAAGACTAAGCAAAAAGAACAAATCTGGAAGCATCATATTACCCAACTTCCAACTATACTATAAAGCCATAGTCACCAAAACAGCATGGTACTGGTATAAAAATAGGCACATAGACCAATGAAACAGAATATAGAACCCAGAAATAAAGCCATATACTTACAGCCACTTGATCTCTGTGACAAAGCAAAGAAAAACATACAGTGGAGAAAAGACATCCTATTCAACAAATGGTGCTGGGATAATTGCAAGTCACATGTAGAAGAATGAAATTGGATCCTCATCTCTCACCTTATACAAAAATCAACTTAAGATGGATCAAATATTTAAATCTAAGACCTGAAACCATAAATATTTATGATGATTAATACTGAATGTGAGTGTCAGCTTGATTGGATTGAGGGATACAAAGTATTAATCCTGGGTGTGTCTGGGTGGGTGTTGCCAAAAGAGATTAACATTTGAATCAGTGGGCGGGGGAAGGTAGATCCACCCTTAATCTGGTGGGCACAATCTAATCAGCTTCCAGTGAATATAAATCAGGCAGAAAAATTTGTAAAAGAGAGATGGGCCTAGCCTCCCAGCCTACCTCTTTCTCCCATGCTGGATGCTTCCTGCCCTCAAACATCGGTCTCCAAGTTCTTCAGTTTTGGGACTCAGAGTGGCTCTCCTTGCACCTCAGCTTGCAGACAGCCTGTTGTGGGACCTTGTGATCATGTAAGTTAATATTTAATAAATTCCCCTTTAGTACTGTTAGTTCTGTCCCTCTAAGAGAACCCTGAGTAATACAATATTCTAGAAAATAACATTGGAAAAACCCTTCTAGATATTGGCTTAGGCAAAGACTTCATGACCAAGAACCCAAAAGCAAATGCAGCAAAAACAAAGATAAATAGATGGGACTTAGTTAAACTAAAAAGCTTCTTCACAGCAACATAAATAATCATCAGAGTTAACACACAGCCCACAGAATGGGAGAAAATCTTCACAATGTATACCTCCAACAAAGGACTAATATCCAGAATCTACAAGGAACTCAAACAAATCAGGAAGAAAATAAACAATCTCATCAAAAAGTCGGTTAAGGACATGAATAGACAGCTCTCTAGAGAAGATATAGAAATGGCCAACAAACATATGAAAAAATGTTCAACATCACTAATTATCAGGGAAATGCAAATCAAAACCACAATGTGATACCACCTCACTCCTGCAAGAATGGTCATAATAAAAACATTTAAAAAATAGATGTTGGTATGGATGTAGTGAAAAGGGAACACTTTTACACTGTTGGTAGGAATGTAAATGAGTACAAACACTATGGAAAACTGTGGAGACTCTGTAAAGAACTAAAAGTAGATGTACTGCTTGATTCAGCAATCCCAGTACTGGCTATTTACCCTGAGGAAAAGTCATGATACGAAAAAGACACGTGCACATGCATGTTTACAGAAGCACAAGTCACAACTGCAAAAATGTGGGACCAGCCCAAATGCCCATCAATCAACTAGTGGATAAAGAAAATGTGTAAAAAAAAAAATACACACACACACACACACCATGGAATACTACTCAACCATAAAAAGGAACAAAATAATGTCATTCATAGCAACCTGGATGGAATCGGAGACTATTGTTCCAATAACTCAGGAATGGAAATAACTCAGGAATGGAAAACCAAACATCATATGATCTCACTAATATGTGGGAGCTAAGCTTTGAAAAGGCAAAGGCATAAGAAAGATACATTGGACTTCGGGGACTTGGGGGAAAGAGTTTGCAGGGGTGAGGGATAAAGGACGGCACATTGGTACAGTGTACACTGCTCAAGTAATAGGTACACCAAAATCTCAGAAATCACCACTAAAGAACTTATTATGTAACCAAAGCCACCTGTTCCCTGAAAATCTATTGAAATAAAAAAATAAATTAAAAATAATCTGACAAAGTGCTAATGTCCAGAATCTACAATGAACTCCAACAAGTTTACAAGAAAAAAACAAACAACCCCATCAAAAAGTGGGCAAATAATATGAACAGACACTTCTCAAAAGAAGACATTTATGCAGCCAAAAGACACATGAAAAAATGCTCATCATCACTGGCCATCAGAGAAATGCAAATCAAAACCACAATGAGATACCATCTCACACCAGTTAGAATGGCGATCATTAAAGAGTCAGGAAACAACAGGTGCTGGAGAGGATGTGCATAAATAGGAACACTTTTACACTGTTGGTGGGACTGTAAACTAGTTCAACCATTGTGCAAGTCAGTGTGGCGATTCCTCAGGGATCTAGAACTAGAAATACCATTTGACCCAGCAATCCCATTACTGGGTATATACCCAAAGGATTATAAATCATGCTGCTATAAAGACACATGCACACGTATGTTTACTGTGGCACTATTCACAATAGCAAAGACTTGGAACCAACCCAAATGTCCAACAATGATAGACTGGATTAAGAGAATGTGGCACATATACATCATGGAATACTATGCAGCCATAAAAAAGGATGAGTTCATGTCCTTTGTAGGGAGGGACATGGATGAAGCTGGAAACCATCATTCTCAGTAAACTATCGCAAGGACAAAAAACCAAACACCGCATGTTCTCACTCATAGGTGGGAATTGAACAATGAGATCACATGGACACAGGAAGGGGAACATCGCACACTGGGGCCTGTTGTGGGGTGGGGGGAGGGGGGAGGGATAGCATTTGGAGATATACCTAATGTTGAATGACGAGTTAATGGGTTCAGCACACCAACATGGCACATGTATATATATGTAACTAACCTGCACGATGTGCACATACATGTACCCGAAAACTTAAAGTATAATTAAAAAAAAAAAGAAAAACTACCAAAAAAAATTAAAAAAAATTAAAATGAGAGATTTTGTTATAGACACAGACGTATGCTTCTTGTGTTTCAGGATTTTGGATGGATTTTAGAGCCACACATTCCTGGATTCAAAGCCCGGCTCCAATATATTCCATCAAAGGTGCAAGGAGGACAGAGAGAAGACTTTACTAGCCTAATGACTGAGGATGAAATTAAAAGAAAAATTATTTCAGGAACCCCTGCCAAAAGGTACCTTGTCTACACAATTGTAAGAATAGCTTTTTATCAAATCATTGAGAGAATTCCCTTCTATGAAGTTGCACAATATAACAAAAAAGCTTCTTAATTAATTTTATAAGTTGCACTAAAAATGAAACCAAAATTTCTCGAAGCAAAGAAGAGAAACTACAGATCAATCTTACTTATAAGTGTAAAAATTTTAAATCCAATGTTAGCAAAACAAAGTCCACCTTGTACAGAAAGAAGAGTCACATGATCTTGTCAGGTTTTTTTTCCCAGGAATGCAAAGATCACTTATTATGAAAAATAGCTGTCAACCTAACAATCATATAAAATTGTTATATTATAACAATCATATAAATAGACTTCTCATTCTGACATAAACTGTGACTAAATATGGGACAGAAGGGTACTTCCCTATTATAATAAGGAATACACATGTGAAATAAATTTCTATGATATGTAATGTGGAAACATTAGAATCTCTTCCTTACCATCCACAAAAATTGCTCTCATCAAGGTTACTAGACACCATGATCCACTTGGCTAAGTGCCACAGTCAAAGTCTTTCCCATAATTGAGCTATCAACAACATTTGACAAGGCTGATCATTCTCTCCTCAATCTATTTTCCTTTTTGGCTTTGAAGACAACACATTTTCTTGGCTTACACCTACCACACTGGTCACTCCTTCCCAGTCCCTTTGCTAGTTCCTCCTCTTCTACCCAACTTTTTAACATTGGAGGGCTCCAGGGCTCAGTCATTGGTCCTCTTCTCTGTCTATACTTACTCCCTGGCTCATATCCAAAGGTCTTATGCCTTTAAATACTATTTATATGATGATTATTTCAAAATTATATCTCTAATCTAGACAAGACTCTCAAACTCCAGACCTACTTATACACCTGACTGCTTGACACTTATTTCTTTTGGCTTGGCTGTCAAATAAACATTTCAATTTTAACGTGACTAACACTGAATTTTCCCCCAATGCATACTCCAGAATCTACACAACTTCACGTACTCCAAAACTTATAGTAGACAGTTTCCCTATCTAAGTTGATGGAAACTCCATTTTTCAAGTTGCTTAGTCCAGAAACCTTGGAAGCATCCCCATCTCCTATTTTTCCCATACAGCCAACATGTAGAAAATCAATCCTGTTGGAGTCATTCAAAATATATGAACAATCTGACCCTGTCTCTATTCTTCCTGCTGTACCTTTATCTCTTACCTGAATTACTGTAATAGCCTCCTAACTGTTCTGCTTGCGTCAATCCTCGCCCCCACGCCATTGAAGTCTATTTTTCACATAACAGCAACACCAACCATTTGCAAGTATAATTAGATCCATGTCCTGTTAATTACCCTACAGAATAAAAGCCAAAGTCCTTGCAGTGGCCTACAGAGTTGCACAAGATCTCTCTGCTCCTTTACTCTGTATTCTTTATTCTCTCTGTTTTAGACCCACACTGGCCTGTGGCTGTTACTTAAAGACACCAAGTATGCTCTGCTTTGAGGTTTGCTCTAGCTGTTTCATTCACTTGGAATGCTTCTTCCCAGGAGTTCCTTCATTTTCTGCAAAATTTACTCATATTATCTTCTTGATGACTCTCATTCTGACCACCTCATGTGATACTGCAACCTGCCCCCTGCCTCTGCACTTCTTTCTCTTCTTGTTTGTTTTACATTTTCCTTCTTTCCATATCATTTATCACCTTAGAAAATTATCTATCTACCTATCATCAATCACCTTCTTACCTATCTATTCATCTCTATCCATCCATTCATCCATCATCCATCCATCGTCTCCCCAGTTAAAATGTCAACTCTTTGAGAGCGAAGATCTTTGCCTGGTTTGTTCATTGATGCATCCCAAGTGTTCAGAACAGGGTTTAGCACAAGAGGAGATACTCCATAAGTATTTGCTGAATGAATTCCTATTTAAGTTTGAAAAAATGCAAAGGTGTCTGATATTAATAATACTCAGCATGCTTATTAAATAAGAAAAACATTTCTTGAAGGGATGCCAATTTTCAAGTGGTTCTGCAGATTTACCAGAATTCGAGTTGAAATATCAATGGGATTTGGGTGGGGAACTTCATAAAATGATTCTAAAAATAAATATTGAAAAGTACATGCAAAATATTTAGAAAACTCTCATTCAAAATATGCATATACATACATGTAAAAAAGTCTAGCAGGGCACACACCAAGATGTTAATAATATGTCTATCTGGATTGTGGAATTGTAATTCCTCTTGTTCTTGTTTTTGCTTACTCATATTTCCTCATTTTCCATAGTGAGCATATTTTCTTATATTAAGAAATAAAACACTACATATTTTTGAAAGGAAATGTTATTATTTTTGAAGAATTGGCTATTCAGGATTTTTTTGTGGTTTCCTATGAATTTTAGAATTGTGTTTTATACATCTATGAGAAAGACATTTGAAAATTTTGATAGGGATTGCATTGAATCTGTAAATCGCTTTGGGTAGTATGGACTTTTAACCATATTAGTTAGTTTTCAATGCTTTATAAACTTCAAAGCATGTTTTTTAATCCACATTTTCTGACCGAGGTTTTCCAGCCTCTGCACTACTGACACTGAGGCCTGGTAATTCTTTGTTCTGTGTATGTGTGCAGGGCTGCCCTGTGCATAGTTAGCAGCATCCCTGGCCTCTACCCACTAATGCCGGCAGCACCCCTTCTCCTACAGTTGTAACAACCATAAATATCTCCAGAAATTGCCAAATGTCCCCTGGGGGTAGGGTTGCCAGATAAAATACAGAAAGTTCAATTAGATTTTAATTTCATATAATAAATTTTTTTGTGTGTTAGTGTTTCCCAAATATTGCATGGGACAAGTGTGTCCCAAATATTGCCAGTGACCTATTAAAAAAATTTGTCGTTTATCTGAATTTCAAATTTAACTGGGTGTTGTATCTTTTTATTTGCTAAAGTATGAGGCAAATTGCTCCAGTTGAAAACCAGCAATGTAGAGCAAAAGTTGTTTTCAGCTATTTTTTTTAATAGCTGAGGAACCTGGCTTGAGGTTCCTCAGGTTCTTCCAAGCTGAGGGAAGTGCTTGGTCTAAGGCTATAGGGCAAGAATGGGGCAGAGATGAGATCTGAACACAGGTATCCTGATTACAGATTCCCTCTTCTTTCCTTTGCATAGAAGAACTATTCATCTTTATTCCTGAAGGGTTGAAACTGAGAGATAATAAAGATCAAGGTCACTTGACACAGGACTGTGCTCAAGGTTGCCAAGTAGAGACTGCATACACTTTCTCTAACATGGTTCTTTGAAGTTAGCTATTATTCCTCACTTAACAGATGGAAAATTGAGGATCAGAGAGTTTAAACAATGTTACTAGATTAACTAGTTAGTGAGTGGTAGAGCTAGAATCCTAAAGGAGGTCTGACTTAATGCATACCTGACATTGCATTTCTGTCTGGTGTCCTTTACTTAGTTATTCTCCCCCTCTTTCATCAACTAGCCTTACCTGAAACCTTCTAGCTAGATTTTCTGGTTTTGCCAAGATACCAGTTCTTTGATCTATCATAATTTGGAAATCAGGAATAAAAGAATAAACTGGCCGAGAAGTCTTTTAAAATACTGTTTCTGACGAAAACCAAATCATGAAACCATTTGATTTTCCTTTTGGATATGGTGCCTCCTAAATGAGGAGTTCATTAAAAGAGAGACAATGGTTAAGCTAGAGCAATCTGTACACTATGTATTAACTTCTGGAAAATTAAAAATTGATTCTGTCATGCTTTTATTTTAAAGAAAATATGGGATGTTTTGATTCTTGGTACACAACAGGATATTGCTGCTAAGAACTGTAGATAGTTTGGTAGAGAGTCATTAACTCCTATTCATCCTTCAATACCCAACTCAAATACTACATTCTTCATGGAACTTTCATTGACCTCTTCCTCCTGAGGTAGAACTATTGTTTCCACTTGTGGCTTTCCCTAGTACTTTGTATATGCTTTGGTTCAGGTGTTTTTATGTGTATCCCCAATTATTTACCAGGATAATCTGTATATATGAAGCATCTGTGGGGAAAAAAAGAAATAATTAGATGAATATGTATGCAAGAAACTAAGTAAAGATGTTATTAAAAACTAAAATTAGTTCTTTTCTCAACTAATTTTGTATTTCCTTTTCTCTCTCCCCAGTACCTAATGCCTTTCACATAACTCTTATAAGTTACTTGCTGAATTTTAGTTTCAGAGAATTTTGTCAGGGAGATATGTTAAAGCCTTGCAACTAAAAGTGTAGTTCATGGACTAGCATCACTAGCATTACCTGAGACCCTGTTAGGAATGCAGAATCTCAGGGCCTAACCAGATCCACTAAATCAGAATTGTGTATTCTAACAAGACTTCCGGGTGACTTAGATACTCACTAAATTTCTGAGATGTCCTGGCTTATAGATCAGCAGCCTAGGAAATGCAAATACATACGTGTTGAAGTCCTTCATTTGGGGTACATGACAAACATCTCTAATCCATGACAATTTTTTCTCTAAATTGAGGTGCAGCTTTAGAAGCTTCTTTGGTGAGGCACTTTCAATCAATTAGTATGGAAGTTGGTTTGCCCTCCCAGATCTAGCCAACCCTCTCATTTTACCGATAAACTAGGGCTCAGAGAAGCAAAGTGATTTGGTAGATATCACACTGTTCCTTCACGCAGAGCTGGAATTAAAATACTAATCTCCAGCCTCATGGTCTTATGGTCTTCTTGTCACACCACGCTGGGAAGTTAAGCAGACATGGCTCGAACCAGGGCTTACAAATGCCCTCTTTCTCATCATCCCAACGGGAGACCTAGATTACTTGTCACTGTCTTCTCATTGTGATATTTTAGAAAGAGCTTGATATTTGGAGTTAGATCATTACAACTTAAACTGCCCCTAAACTTTAGATATCTCTCAATAGTTACAAAATTTTCTATTTAAGGGGAAGAAAGGGAGCATATTTTCTATCACAGTTGAACTCTAGTATGGGGCCTCAATGAAAAATAACCCATTCCATCTCTCCCCTAGTCCAAGTTCAGTTGAACAAGATGGTTTCCAAGTTTTCCAGGAAATTCAATAATATAGTAATTCAGCAGTGACTTTTGAAATGCCATCAAGCAAGCAGAAAGGACCCTTTAAAAATGTGAAGACCCCAGGGCCATCTTTCCCTGCCTATGTTCCCCACTCCTTGCTCTACTACATCTTTTCCAACCCTGTCTTAGCTTTAAAAAAATTAATGGCATTCATTGTTTATAAATGCCTCTGTTGATCTTTCCTATTTCGGTTCCTGACTACTAGTGGAAAAACTCTTTCTACTTCCCCCGCCCCTCACCCGCACTTGGCTTTAAAAATAGCAAATAGAGTTAGGTTGGCTGAGGGCCTTGTGGTTGGAGTCCACAGCCTTTGCCCTCTGGGTCACTGGTTCACATCCTAATACCATGGCTGGTAGGCTTTTCTTCTCTTTTGTGTGTTTTGCTTAAAGTTTTAGGAGGAGGTATCCTCCTGGATGATCATTTTCTCACGACCATCTGGGAAACATCTGGACTTGCCATCCCTGATCCCGGTATTAATAATATCTGCTATGCTGTCTTCTTCTCCTCTTTTCTGAAGTCTGCAGTGTTCACAATTTCATGTGCTTGCTTCAGAATTGCTCTTCTAGCTCAAGGCTGAAGAATTTGTATTGATCCTCAGGTCTCCAAAGAATGGACTGGCCAATTCATGCTCAACCCCTTTTCCCTATTTCCAGACTCCTTTCCTAGGAATTTGATATACGGTTAATATCAACCTGCTTTTCACACATAAAGATAGCTTTAATAATAGTGAACAGGTTTTAAGTCTTATAGTCCACAAAATGCTTTCACATGTATTACTGTAGTTGTCAGTAAATTCTATGATGTAGGTATTGTTATTTCTGCTCTCATTTTAAAGACACTTAGATTGAGAGAAGGTAAATCAGTTGTCCAAGACCACTTGATCCACCAACCCTCTGACTCCTTGGCATGATCCTGCCTCTCTCCTGTCTCTTGCAGGTCTATATTTTGAGTTTGTTTGTTTGTGATGATCCATTTGCTGATGATCACCTGTGGCACTGTTGATGACTGTTAGGGGCACTGAACAAAGTTTTACTTTCTATGAATCCAATGAGACAAAGTTTTTACTTAACCTTTGTTAGTTACCGGAGGTTTGAGCAAGTCAAACTAGGCAGCATGATCGTAATTCTTCGGGCAATGAGGTAGTGCAAATATTCTTGAGAAAAGCAGTAATGTGACGTCAGTTTGTTTCCAGAAGAGATATGTCAGCAGTATATTAAGTGGATGAGGAGATATAGACAGAGGGAAATAACATAATTTAGGAAGTTCTTGAAAGAGTTTGTATGAAATGTACTAAAGCTTGAATCAGGGTGGGAGCTGTGGGGAAGATAAGTGGGTGCCAATGAGAGAAAAGCCACAGAAGTAGCACTGACACTGTGGTCATGGAAGGGATTTATCAATAAAGGGGCCAGGTAGCTGAGGATGAGGTGCCATCTGCCCTCAGAGGAGAGAGAACATCAGTGAAGTGGCAAGTTTTACTGAGGGAGGAGATGCTTTGTCTCACTGTGGATGTATTTAAGCATTTTGGCACCAAGAAGGCATCTGGGCAGCAAACTTCTGGCAGTTGATGTAAGAGACTAGACCTCCAGACAGCAGGGAGGCCCACAGCAGCTTCGCATGGTCCCTATACAGCAGGGAGCAAGGCATTAAGACAGGGAAGAAGCAAAGTGCCTTGAAAGTTACTAATAACTGAGCACGACTGCATTTGGGTACTGGCTCATTTAAACTTGACAACACACCTATTAGATAGGTGTCTTTTTTCTATTTTTTAAAATAAGAAAATAGATACTCAGAAGGAATTCCTTGAAATCTCCGTACAAACAGAAATATTAGGATAACATCAGGCAAAGTGATATAGTTCTTTCAGGTCAACAGAGTCAGGCTCGTTCATCGTCCTTCATCAGTTTGAATTATATGTGATTCTTGGCACTTCTCTTTATGACATTATAAATGAAGGGATGGTGTCTGGATCTTAGATTGCAAAGGATCTGGTACAGGCTGAAGTGGATATGAACCCTTTAAACCACAGTCTTGCTATGACAACAGAAACATACTTCCCTGACTGGAGGCAGGAGTGTGTGTGTGTGTGTGCGCACGTGTGTGTATGTGATGCACATACATGTACATGTGTATGTATGGGCCTTCCTATGTTTATTTATTATAATGTTGTTGAGGCAGGGGCTGCAGGGTTGCCATATGCTTCTGCATTTTCTTCCCAAGCTATGCTTAACATGTGATAGAATGATACTTGCTTTGTTTCTGTGGTTGAACAATCAGATAGTGTTTGATAAGCTATGGAGAAAACACTTTAACAGGATTTAACCATATATTTCTCTTCCCTCTATCCTTAATAAGTGGGTCACAATGTAGACACACACACACACACACACACACACACCTGCCTGTTTCACTGAGTCCCAGACATTTACAAAGGACGGCCCTATTTTATACTACCGGCCCAGTTCTGTCATTTTATGATGTGGTATCCACTGTGGCTGCACAACAAAGAGGACCATTCTAAAGTAGGTCAGTGGAGCATTCCCTGTTATGGCAGCTGAATGATAGTGCAGGATGACATTTTCCAACTGGTCTCCATCTTCTTTGTGTTTATAGCTGCAGATGTCCTATTCCTGTGGATTCCTAGCCTTTACACACAGAAGTAAGAATGAGTCAAAAGGCAGGCAGCCTCTCAACTTTGTCTGTCATGGCTTGGTCTGAACCTTAGGCAGGAAGGCAGGAATCAGCAATATCACAGGCAGGAAAAGGCTTTGCAGCTTCAAGTAAAGAAAACTCTTAAGTGCATCCAGGATTCATTGCTGTGTCTACTTTCTGTCCACCTCAAACTTCACCAAAACTCCACCTCAGATAATTTCTCCTCCTGTCCTTCTGACCTGGGCAATATTTCTATTTCTTCCTGGATGGAACAGGGATAAAATATATGAAACACAACTTGTCTCAGAAGAACGTGAAAATATGTATTCAGAATATATGTGCTGTGATATTACTAAATAGTGTCAATTTGGTGAACTCTAGGGAATGACTAAAAATATAACAAAAGACCACCTTAAATGATCAGACACTCTCCCCTTTCTGGTCTATTATTTAGTCACTGAAAATATGTTTCTGTGGGTCACTTCTTTCTGCTAAGGTATGATCTGAAAAGGCTCCTACAATACAAGTCTCTTTTTAGGGGCAGGAAAAACATTACTTTCCTGAAAGATCATCTCTACACAGTGGTTCAAGAAATCACCAAAGCACTTGCAAACATCATGAGCTGTAATTTGAGAGAGACAGCCTCTTTCCTTTGGCTGACTTAAAAAATATTCCCCCCTCCCTGAATTTGATCATATAAGACTTCAGTCAATTACTATTAATAGTAAAATAAACAGTTTACAGGAAGGAAGTTCTGTATTTTTTTTTCTTACACTGATAAGATACAAGCAGTGTCTGACAACTTGGCAAATTTTTATTTTCTGGAAAGTTGTATGCATATGAAGATGTTCTCTTGCCACTTGGTCCCTTTCTCATTCTTAATAGTCATGAGATGTTTAAGGATGGAGTGGAGAGGGGAGATAGTATCCATGTCTTTCTAAGATTAGCATATATGTGTGTCTGGAATTGGTGGGTTCTTGGTCTCACTGACTTCAAGAATGAAGCCTCGGACCCTCGCGGTGAGTGTTACAGTTCTTAATGGTGGCGTGTCCGGAGTTTGTTCCTTCTGATGTTCGGATGTGTTCGGAGTTTCTTCCTTCTGGTGGGTTCGTGGTCTCGCTGGCTCAGGAGTGAAGCTGCAGACGTTCGTGGTGAGTGTTACAGCTCTTAAGGCGACGCGTCTGGAGTTGTTCCTTCCTCCCGGTGGGCTCGTGGTCTTGCTGGCTTCAAGAGAGAAGCTGCAGACCTTTGCAGTGAGTGTTACAGCTCATAAGGGCAGTGTGGACCCAAAGAGTTAGCTGTAGCAAGATTTATTGCAAAGAGCGAAAGAACAAAGCTTCCACAGCGTGGAAGAGGATCCGAGCGGGTTGCTACTGCTGGCTAGGGCAGCCTGCTTTTATTCTCTTATTTGGCCCCACCCACATCCTGCTGATTGGTAGAGCCCAGAGGGTCTGTTTTGACAGGGCGCTGATTGGTGTGTTTACAATCCCTGAGCTAGACACAAAGGTTCTCCACGTCCCCACCAGATTAGCTAGATAAAGAGTGTGGACACAAAGGTTCTCCAAGTCCCCACCAGAGTAGCTAGATACAGAGTGTCAATTGGTGCATTCACAAACCCTGAGCTAGACACAGGATGCTGATTGGTGTGTTTACAAACCTTGAGCTAGATGCAGAGTGCCGATCGGTGTGTTTACAATCCCCTAGCCAGACATAAAGGTTCTCCACGTCCCCACCAGACTCAGGAGCCCAGCTGGCTTCACCCAGTGGATCCCGCACCGGGGCTGCAGGTGGAGCTGCCTGCCAGTCCCGCGCCCTGCGCCAGCACTCCTCAGCCCTTGGGTGGTCGATGGGATTGGGCGCCGTGGAGCAGGGGGCGGCGCTCGTCAGGGAGGCTCCAGCCGCACAGGAACCCACGGAGGGGGTGGGAGGCTCAGGCATGGCGGGCTGCAGGTCCCCAGCCCTGCCCCGCGGGAAGGCAGCTAAGGCCCCGCGAGAAATTGAGCACAGCAGCTGCTGGCCCAGGTGCTAAGACCCTCACTGCCCGGGGCCGGTGGGGCCGGCCGGCCTCTCCGAGGGCGGGGTCTGCCAAGCCCACGCCCACCCGGAACTCACGCTGGCCCGCAAGCACCGCGCGCAGCCCCGGTTCCCGCCCACGCCTCTCCCTCCACACCTCGCCGCAAGCTGAGGGAGCTGGCTCCGGCCTTGGCCAGCCCAGAATGGGGCCCCCACAGTGCAGCGGCGGGCTGAAGGGCTCCTCAAGTGCCGCCAAAGTAGGAGCCCAGGCAGAGGAGGCGCCGGGAGCGAGCAAGGGCTGTGAGGACTGCCAGCACGCTGTCACCTCTCATATGCATAGTAAGAAAAACAGATTTAGAGAAATATGTGGTAGTACGATGACCAAAGTCATTGAGATAAACTAGACTCCAACAGTTCCTTTGGCTTCCCAACTTCCACAAACTGGTACCCAAAATGGGGTTCAGATATCCTCCCATTAGCAATTTGGCTTTAGGACATTCCGGTCTGATCACCTGGATAGGGGTCTGGGTGGGATGGCCTTGGAAGGCCAGGGAGAGCACCAGAAGGCTTGTTGAGCCCACCTTGCCCACCTACAACTGAAGAGTCAGTCATGGAAGGAGGCCCCACAGGCCTTCGGCTTATAGTGGCAGGGGCTCCTCCTTTCTGCCACTTTCTAGGTAATGTCTATTCCCCTTTCCTTTGCTACTTCCCAGTCTCTCACTTGAATTTATGATGATGTCAGACTTGGCGTTCCCAGATATCAGTATAGGGCCCCTCACACAGTTGGTGCTTAGTCCATGTGTGATGGATAAATGATTATTTGAGTTATCTGCAATTCTACCTTCTTAATTCTTGGTATTTTGCCTTATGTATCATAAAAATGATCATAACCATATTTCTAATGATAATATTTCTTGCTGGTTGAACACTCATTCACTCACTTAACAAATTCATATTGGCCAACTATTAAATAGGTCCCGGGCTTAGTGCTAAGGACACTCCAGAGAACACAGAGAACACAGCACACCATGGTGTCTGCCCTCTGGAATTTATGTTGTCACATTTGCGATGTGCCAGTCTATGTGACTGCATTACACAACCTGTCTCCTTTACCCCTTTAGACAATGCCATAAGGAAAGACATGCCTTGAAAGGTTATACTATATTAAACAAAAGGCAATTATAAATAGCATCTGCTTGTGGTTGGCAATAAAATACAAGAGAATCAGATAGTATGATAAAGGAATCAAAAGAAGAAATTTTAAAAATATGCTGAAATGATGTGTGGGGTATAGGGAAGCAAAAAATAAAATCTCACAATCCAAATCCTTCTTAGAGGCAGTGAAGGACAGACCTGATACTGCAGCTGATTTAATTGCTAACATAAAGCAGCAGTGCCCAGGTCTTTAGGTTTTATAGACTAATATAAAAGGCAAGAATGTGCTAGTAACTTCAGTGAGAGCAAAGCAGACAGGGAAACAATGCTAAAGAGTGGATCTGAGTAAAGCCAGCAGAAAGCCCTGAGTTAATCTCTGCTCACCAATCTGCCCCCACCTGCAAGAGACTCATTAGCTAAACAAGTGGGATCCATCACAATTTGCTCCCTTATGTATTTGCTACTCACGTTTTCTTCTTGATAAAATATTACTGAAAATAAACTTTGAACAACTGAGAAACAAAACAAAGAGCTTAAGAAAAGGGAAGTTAAGTACAGCTAGAAGAGAAGATTTGAAATATTCCCAACACAAAGAAATGATGAATGTTTGAAGTGATGGATAACTTAAATATCCTGATTTGATCATTAAACACTGTATGCATGTATCAAAATAACACATGTAACTCATAAATAGGTACAATTATTATGTATCAATGAAAAGGAAAGAAAAGAAGAAAAAGAATTGGGAAGTTATATAGTAATAGAATAGAATGGTGGTGAATATTGAAACTGGTTAAAGCTAGAAATATCTAACAAGATGTATAAATCTTGTTATAAAATTTGTATATATCTTAAGATTTATTCTCAATCAAAAGTATGAATTATAAAACACTGAAATAACAATAAAAATCTGAATTGATTTTTAAAATCTGGATTAATCTGCAAAAACAGGAAGGAGAAATACTGTTGCTAGGGAGGTGGGAGTTGAGATGAAAAGTTTGGTAAATTTATCTGAAATCATAGGGGAACAAAATACCATATTTATTTTTACTTTTTAATAATTTGAGAAATGTAGAATAAAGAATGTTTTTTGAAACTCTCAGAGGTAATTATTAGTAGAAGAACATATTATATATCTGCCGAAAGATGAGAAGCTATTAAAAAGAAAGAACACAGAAACCACATGTGAAACACAGTACACACACACAAAATGGAAGGAAACACAAGCTAGAAAGCATGTAAATCATAAGACAGAAGGAAAGCCAAATATTTCACTCATGGCAAGAAATGCAAATCCTCTTCTGTTTGAGAATAAAAATTCAGGTTGGGCAAAAAAGAAATCTAAAAACAAATTCTGTTTATTTTCAAAAGAAGCACTTACAGAACATGACAAAAAAGGCTGAGTGTAAATGTAGATAAAGGCCTATCAAACAAACATGAAAAAAACTAAGGTGGAAATCTTATTATTAAAGTAGAATTAATGACAGAAGCTTTAAATGGGATGAGATGCCACTGACCGGGTGCAGTGGCTCACACCTGTAATCCCGGGACTTTGGGAGGCCGAGGTAGGTGGATCACCCGAATTTGGGAGTTTGAAACCAGCCTGGCCAACATGGTGAAACCCATCTCTACTAAAAATATAAAAGTTAGCCAGGCATGGTGGCGGGCACCTGTAATCCCAGCTGCTCGGGAGGCTGAGGCAGGAGAATCGCTTGAACCTGGAAGGTGGAGGTTGCAGTGAGCCAAGATTGTGCCACTGCACTCCAGCCTGGGTGACAGAGCGAGACTCTGGATAGGATGCCATTTTATTTGGGTATGGATATAATTCACAGTGAAGATATCCTTATTATGACCTTTGTGCACCAAGTGTCTTTGCATTAAAATATGCAACACAAAGGAGAAATCAAGAGAAAGATGACAGATGAGGGAAGAGGGTATCTGTGTCAGGCTGCCTTTTGGGCAGGCTGGAGCCTTGATATACTTGGGAGTGACTTTTAGAAAAATCAGAAAATGTTTCCATGTTGTTCTTCTATTTTTGCTTAAGTTTGCTTCTATTTCTGTTGTTTTTATTTGAAGGCAAACTATTTTTTTTCCCATTTACTAATGACTGTTTTAAAAATAATCACTGTGTGCCAGGTGTATGCTGTGTAGCTTCAGTGGGAATAGGCACATAAATTAGAGCTGGCTGTGTCTTCAAGGAGCTTACCAAAGTCTACACTGTAAATAACATGGAAATTCAGAGAAAATAAGTGATCACCATAGAACTGCAGAAAGCATTTTAGTTGGGTCTTGATAGATGTAGGACTGGATTGATAGAAAGATAGAGTAGGAAGGAAGGGCATTCAGATGTTCCAGTAGGAAGAGCCAAATGGCTAAAAATGGGCCCAGAAAATACTATTAGGACATTCCATGGAGAAGTGAATACTTGTGGGAGAGCAGTGGGAAATATGGGAACAAGAGCAGGCCTCCTCACTTCCTCTTGTCCTGTCTTCTCTTTTGATGGCAGCTCAAGGATTTTTTAAGATGACACGCAATGCTCCAGAGCACAACAGTATCCCCTAAAGAGTGTCACTTCCATTTCTGTTTGAGACTCTAGGATACGTCCTCCTTGAAGTCTACCAGCATCAATTTTTGCTCAATCTTTGCTGGAAGGATTGTGGGTTACTGTTTCATTTAAGTAATTTTCAATGAGAGATTTCTTAAAATACACAGTACTTGGCAGCAGGCATAAAATTTCAGAAAAATAATAGCAGACACTAACTTAAAAGTATGTTGTGCTTTTTTTAGTTGAAAGGTGCTGTGTACAAGCCACATGTTCATGTGTGTCATTTATAATTAATAATCTCTGTGAGAACACTGGATGGACCTTATATTGAAGTCTTAACAACTCTTTAATGAATCTGCCCTTGCGAGTGTTAGAAATTCTCTCTGAATTATGTATATTAAGGAGATACACGCCAAATTGTGTTCAATAGCAGCCAAATGGAATTACGGAAAAGTAGCTGTTGATAGAGAACTCCTTAGTTACAATCCATTCGTCCCACTGCCTCTGTTCTCCACTGAGAACACCTGGGTTGTTTTCAGGATGGCAGGACTTCAAAATGCTAATGTGTGCTGTGAATATCCAAAGGGGGTAGGCTAGACAGCATTTTCCAAGCACATAGTTTATCCCCTCCTCTAATCCACAGAGCCTACATCTTCTTTCTTAATTTTTTTTTAAGAGATGAAGTCTCACTCCGTTGCCCAGGCTGGAGTGCAGTGGTGTGATCATAGCTCATCGTAGCCTCGAACTCCTGGGCTCAAGTGATCCTTCTGCCTTAGCCTCCTGAATAGCTGAGACTACAGGTGTGTGCTACTATGCCTGGCTAACTTTATTCTATTTAATTTTACTCATTTTATTTTTTTTTTAGAGACTGGGTCGGGAGTGGGGGGGGGGGTTCACTGTTTTGCCCAGGCTGGTCTTAAGCTCCTAGCCTCAAGCTATCCTCTTACCTTACCCTTCCCAGTAGCTGAGATTACAGGTGCAAGCTACTGTGCCAGTGGAGCTTACTTCTGAAACTGCTTTAAGAAACTCCTCTTTTTAGTGTTTTGAACTCTGCCTCACAGTATCATCTGTCATTTTGCACTTGGGACTCCAAGTGAGTTTAAACGTTCTTCCAGATGAGATCTTTTCAACTATTTGAAGATAACAGTTTTCAAAGTCTTTTCCAGGCCAAACATTGCCACCTCCTGCAAACATTCCTTATCTGCTGGGTCACCATCTCCTTAGCATGACTATGTTCCAGCTTTACTTATTTTCACTTAAAATTCCGTGACCAGGCTGGGTGCGGTGGCTCATGCCTGTAATTCAAGCACTGTGGGAGGCCGAGGTGGGCAGATCACTTGAGGTCAGGAGTTCAAGACCAGCCTGGCCAACATGCGAAACCCCGTCTCTACTAAAAATACAAAAATTAGCCAGGGACAGTGGCACCTGCCTGTAATCCCAGCTACTTGGGAGGCTGAGGCAGGAGAATTGCTTGAACCCAGGAGACGGAGGTTGCAGTGAGCTGAGATTGCACCATTGCACTCCAGCCTGGGCGACAGAGCAAGACTCCATCTCAAATAAATAAATAAAGTTAAATAAAGTAAAATAAAATAAAGTAAAATAAAGTAAAATAAAATAAAATAAAATAAAATAAAATTCTGTGACCATAATTAGTAGGATTCTTTCAAGTGGGCCGAATGTGCAAAGAAGAGAAAGGAACTATTTGCATCTGTTGGACCAGACATTACACTGCATTTTTTGTCCTGTAGTAGTAAAGTAGCAGCAAAGTTCTGGACACCAGAGATTAATAATTGCACTGGGCAAACTACTGAGTTCTGGGTGCTGCATTTTAAAATGGAAACACACTATGGCCCAAAGGAGAGGATCTATGTGAAACATTAAAAATAAAAGTTTTAGAGAGCATTTGTATTTTATTATTTACAAGCTGTACACCTCCTAAAACAACTTCAATTAAATGATGGACAGAACCTCAGAGATTCAATTTCATTCTAAGAATGCCCAGAGTTGACATTTACTTTTTAATATTCCCCTTGATCTTTGGCCTTTCTTGCCAAGAGACAACTTCACTGATGAGCAAACATTGCTTTGTCTTTTTAGTTCAATGTCTTTGTGTGTGTGTGTGTGTGTGTGTGTGTGTGTGTGTGGTGTGTATACATATATATAGTTTTTCCATTCAAGGTTTGATTAATGGCTTATGGCTTTGTTGAGCAATGGGATGAGGTCAGAATAGGTCAGAAAACAACCTAATGGTCAAACAACAGCCCAGCAGGAAGGTCTGGGACTCAGTGTAATGTAGTATTTTCTCATGATATATTATTCATTATAATGGCAATATAATGTTTTAGGTACAGCAATTGCAAGGTTCATCTGCATTTTAAATTTGTTCCTAGTGGGGAGTGTTTTATACTTCATCTTGTAGCATTAAAGTATGTTCACAGATATAGTGTACCCTTGTCTTGATCTTATTTACCATTCTAGTGCTGTGAGTGTTGGCAGCCAATGACTCACAGATGCCCCCCTTTTTTTTCCAGGGAGCTGTCCTTGGCCAAGAGGGATGCTCCTTGCCTGGAATGCTGCACTCTCACTACTTCCTGGGGGCAGACATAGCCAATGACTGAGGGACAGAAATGTACAAAGGCTAGTCCTTTGTCTGAAGGTAGGACCACTCGGTGGAATCAGTCGGAAGCAGATTCCAGCTGAGACCACACCCTTGCTTAGCTACTTAGCCTGCCTCTCCTGCTTCTTTGACTCTCCTTCTGCTGAGGGCACTCCCCACAACAAATCCCTTTCATAAGACACCCCATCTCAGGCCCTACTTCTAGGGATGCTTTCCTAAGACATTGTCATTATTATTTCCCCCAATGGATGCCGTTATGGAAGTGAATGATTCTTTGTGTAGCAACTGTATGAAGAAACTTGAAATTTTAGGCAATGAAATACATTTTTCGAAATATCTGTTTAGGAAATACGACTCCATTTAATATGCTGTGTCTTCTAAGTGAATTTCAATTAAAAACATTTAGTTAATTTAAAAATAGTTTTTGAAACAAGATATCTGGCAATAAACAGAATGGAGTCCCTTAGAAACATCTCCTTATTTGATGAAGTAGACTCATGCATTGAGTTAGTTATATTAATAGTACATGTTGACTTGTTGAAGTCTTTGAAATTTCAGTGAGATGCAGATTATCACACAGATTTAATGCTTTCCTGAAATGAGTCATTGTAGACAGTTAATTCAATGTAAGATAGAATGCCATAAATGGAATACATTTAGGTGATACACAGTGAAGCTGAGTTCTCCCACCCCTAACTGATTGTCAAGGCCTAAGAGTGGATCTGCTTGGTGGAGGAAGTATGTTCCTCTAGCCAAGTACAAGAGACAGCTCAGAAGTCTCTTAGACTAAGACTCAGTATGGAGTCCTGGTGACTCAAAGGCAGGGGCATTCAGCATTGAAGCTGACAGACACACCTAACTGCCTATTTCTCTCATGTCTCCATGAAGAGCTGGGTTGAGCATCTTTGGCTTGCTTAGGTGACCAAAGTTTCTGGGAAGGGATAGCTTAAGAGATGATCATAAAGGGTAGCAGTGTGTTGAAGGCAAGGTTAGGTTAGCTGGAGGGCATGCCACGGTGCCTGCTTAACACAACAGGTCTGAGAGCCTGGTAAGTAGCAGTTTCAGGCATCAAGTCCAAGGGCAAGGGCCTAGCTGGCAATAAGAAGCTAAGAAAATTAGAAATGGATGGGCACTGGATGAGACTGGGGTCCTGGTCTACTTTTATTGATCAGGGATCTTATGGCAAGGGTGTGGCCTTTCCATCTTCAAGGCACAGGTGTTGGGAAGGCGCAAATGTGAGTCCTTGTAAACTGAACTGTGAGTGTACACGGAGGGTGTCAGGTTCATTTTATTTTTAAAGAAGTATCTGTCAGCTGGAAAGTGCACAGATGAGGTTTGATTCTTCTTGGCTATCATTATACAGCCTTTGGTTCCCAGTAGAAAGGAAAAAACAAACAGCTTTAATATCTTTTCTGGGATGTCATTCTAAGGGGATAATAGCAGGTAGTCTTTCCCTAAAATCTAGAATATGAGGATAACGTGTGGCTTGAAGGAAAGAAATCTTTAGGTAATCTATATGGAGACAGAATGCTATGTCTGAAGGGTCAAGAAAGCGAGAGAGGCAGATCAATTGTGCTCCATTATCAGATAATTAAAATACCCTATTTATTGTTTTAGGAAGTTAGAGCATACACCAGCCCCTACTTCATCTCCATTTCTTTTCCTCTTCTCACCTCCTTCCTCCCGCCTTTTCTTTCTCTCCCCTTCCCTTCTGCTCCATATCCCCTTTCTAAACCCCTTTGTTCTTTCCTGAAAGGAGCCTAATATTTGGTTTATTTTGTTTCTGTCCTTGAAAAGAGCAGTGAGACTCGTTGATTCTTTTTTTTCTTTCTTTATAAAGATAAAATGGCAGCTGCAATGTAAATTTATTTCTGACAAGAGAAAAGTGCAGTGCAACTCTCTTTAGCATAGGACATTTTTTTTAGTGATATTCAAAATAGAGTCTTTCAAAATTGTTGTTGTACTTGAGATGTACCTAGAATCCTCTTTAGGGTAATGACTATGACATTCCTCAGAGGTGAACTCATTTCTGTTACTCATTTTTAAAAACACATCCTCTGTCTTTTCACACTCATCACAATGAGATCTAAAATAGAGGCTCATCATCACCTATTTAAGGGTTATTTATGAATAACACTGCCTTGAAAAGGCCTGGTGGAAATGTGTGTGGAAATTGAAAGTGACACAGATTCAGAAGCCAGGCAGGCACAGAAACTAAGTTAGAGGCTGAAGTGTCTGAAGTATTGTTGAGCATGAGACGTGATGAGACCCTCCATCGCCCCCGGCCCAGCAACCCCAAGCTGACAGTCAGATGCTAGGCATTAAGTCCGTATGGAGATGTGAAGTAGAAGGGTGGGAGCGCCAAGACTTAGCAGACTCTACCAAACAAAAAAAGATCAGTAATCCAGAGAGCATCCTAAATGGTAGATTACATATTGAGCCCATTTTCCACCCCTCCCTGTATCCAAGCCCTTTGTCAGGTGGCTTGCAGTCCTTGCTACTAGAGACGGCAGGTGGGGGCTAGGGGGTTGCCCCTGTCTTGACTATGGATTTGGCCACATAACTTAATTCGGCTAACGAAATGCCAGTAGACTAAGTCACAGTGTGCCACCTCCGGCCCAAGGCCTTAAGAGGCTTTGCATGCTCCCAGTTGTCCTCGCCATGAGAAGTGCATGATGTGACTAGCCCACTGGTTCAAGGAGAGAGCAGGAGATAAGGAGTAGAGAGAAGATGCAATAACAAAGCTGAGTCTGGATCAGCCAAATCTCAGCTGATCTGAAGATGCCTGAGTGAGAGTAAAACATGGCCATTTTTAAAGAACTTCTAAACTTTTCAGCACTTTAAAACTACTTTTTAGGGTGGCTTTTAGGCAACTTTCTGGTGGAAATCTTTGACCGATACAAGCACTGTTCCTAAATGTGGCCATTTAAAAGAAGAAAATGAGTCATAGGGACTAGACCATGAGAACATGAGTACATAAAGGTTTTCTGAAAACAAGAACAAGCCTTGTGTGTGATTGTAAGAAGGGTTAATATTGCCCACCATTTTGAATATCCTACCCCTTAACTGAGCCTTGGCAAAGGGTAAGGAGAACTGCAGAACCCTGACTTCCAGGCCATATTGGATGTCACTGATATGACCATGCACATATGACAGACATCGGCTTTTTTTTGGGGAAGCAACAAGCATTCCAGGTCTCACTTGTTGCCCATATACAGTGACAGGCTGATGCAGGTGTTCAAAGACCCAGACCTCGAGCCTCAATGCAAGAACACGCTAAAGGGCTTTAGGGATCTACAGGGGATCAGCTGAAGTCCTGATTACAACTATATCACAACCCAACTTCTCCCACTACCCAGTGCTGCTTCCCTTACCTTCTCACAAATATTGTTCCCCAAAGCACTCCTGAATGATCTTCCCACATGTAAATCTCTGAGGCCTAGCATCTGTCCGTAGGTACCTGGACCCGTGGCACACCACTCTCACTCAGCTTTCCGGGGGTGCTGGGATCTGGAGAAAGGGGTGGGAGGCCTTACCCACTATCATGTGGTTGCAGACATCACAGAAAGTGGGCTTCTTGAAGATGTATTCCTGAAAGGCATGAGCCTTGCCACCTGGATGCAGACCAGCCCTGGCGGGTGTGGACGTCAGGCTTCCTGGAGCAGGGAGTGGGCTGGAGCTGGGGCTGATCTCAGCCACCATGTGTGCTTGCAGTTTCATGTCTTCGCTGTTGGTTCGCTGGAAGAAGTTGTCAGCACTTTTGCTCCGTAAACTCTTGGTCTTGAAAGAAAGTGATCGTTTTAGTTTCTGGAGCTGCAATGCAATGACAGAACAGTCTCTCTTACGATCAATGGATCAAGCAGACCTAGGCTGTGGGGGTAAGGTCTGCTGTGTGCACTACACAGTCCCCACTGACACCCTCCGTCTTGAGGAGGCTCATAAATGTCCCTGTGTGGGTGGGGTGATGGCAGTGCCTAGTAAAGAGGGAATTTCCCCCGCCCCTGCCACTAAGCCAGATGAGCAGAAAGAGGTCCTATTTTGCCTTTGATTCTGCCCCTGCTCCTCCTCCCCTGCCTCCTTAAAGTCCTACCAGTGTGCTGTAAAAGTGTCCCACCACATTGGATTTTGATATAATTTGCCTTTTGAATTTGAATCATTGGAAATATTAAGTATACAAACTCATGGGCTCAAAGGCTACATGTGTAAAGCTGGCCTTTCTCTCTTATGATCACTTAACAGCCACTTGTCTCTGCACACAGCAAAGCAGAAGAGTCTATTGTCTGGCTCAAAATCCATCTCGCTAAACTATCCACAGGACACAAACCAGGAACTCTCAAGTCTGCTTGGGTCTGAAGCATATGGATAAGTAACCTCTGTGTGTGTGTGTGTGTGTGTGTGTGTGTGTGTGTGTGTGTGTGTGTGTGTGTGTGTGTGTGTAGGACATAGGACATATTGTATTATCCTTTTGACTTTATCTGCTCTTCCTGCTGCCCTCCCTCTTGTTTTGGCCATGACAAACTAGACCATTTCTCCTTTGCCTCTGGGACTTATAAAAAAGCACCAAAACAGGTTTGGAAAAGCACAAGATTCTGGCAGGACTGGGTTTGAGTTTAATCTACCCCTCTATTCTGGCTCCAGGAACTGGAAGATTCTGGACTCTGATGACAGCTTGCACCATGGTGCACCTTGCTCTGTCCATCCCCACAGTGGCCTTTTAAAAGTCTCTCCTGTTTACTCTGCTTTCTCATCCCTAGTCCTTAGTACATAGTTTTTCTTTTCACCCAGCAACAAGTCACTTCACCTTTAAGGTGGTTTCTTTTTGTAATTGAATATCCATGGGAGTTCTTTCTTTTGCCTGGAATAAACATGTATGGCCCAGAGCTGCAGAAAAAAGATGCTCAGATATCAAACTAAAAAGCTTCTACACAGCAAAGGAAACTGGAAGAAGCTGTCAGCACTTTTGCTCCATAAACTCTTGGTCTTGAAAGAAAGTGATCGTTTTAGTTTCTAGAACTGCAATGCAATGATGGACCAGTCTCTCTTATGATCAATGGATCATGCAGATCCAGGCTGTGGGGGTGAGATCTGCTGTGTGCATGGCACTATCCCCACTGACACAGAGTGAAGAGACAACCTATAGAATGGGAAAAAGTATTTGCACAATATGCATCAGACAGGAGATTAATATCTAGAATATACAAGAAACTCAAGCATCTCAATGGCAAAAAAAACACAAACCTCCAAACAATCCAATTTAAAAATGAGAAAATGATCTGAACAGACATTTCTCAAAAGAAGACATACAAATGGCTGACAAATATATTTTAAAAGTTCAACATCACTAATCATCAGGGAAATGCAAATCAAAACCACAGTGAAGTATCATCTCACTCCAGTTACAATGGCTGTTATCAAAAAGACAAAAATAACAAATGCAGAGAAAAGGGAACTCATAGACATTTTGTTTGTGGGAATGTAAACTAGTGCAACCACTATGAAGAACAGTATGGGGGTTCCTCTAAAAGCTACAAATAGAACTACCATGTGATTCAGCAATCCCACTGCTGGGAATTTATCTAAAGGAAAGGGAATCATTATACTGAGGAGACATCTGCACCCCCATGTTAATTGTAGCACTATTCACAATAGCCAAGATATGGAGTCAATCTATGGGTCCAACAACACAATGAATGGATAAAGGAAATATGGTACATGTACATGATGAAATACTATTCAGCCATAAAAAAGAATGAAACTCTGTCATTTGTGGCAACATGGATGGGACAGGAGGACATTATGTTAAATAAAATAAGCCAGGAAAAGAAAGTTAAATGCTGCATGTTCTCACTCATATGTGGAAGCTAAAAAAAGTTGATCTCGTAGAAGTTAAAAGTAGAACAGAGGATACTAGAGACTGGCAAGCACAGGGAGAAGGGAGGATAGGGAGAGATTTTTTACTAAAAAATGACAGCTAGATAGGAAGAATAAGTTCTAGTGCTCTATAGCACTGTAGGATAACTATAGTTAACAACAATACATTATATAGTTTCAAATAGCTAGAAGGAGGATACTTTTGAATGTTCCCAACACAAAAAAATGATAAATGTTTGATGTTATGGATATGCTAATTACCCTGATGTGATCACTATACTTTACATGTGTTACAAAATCACTATGTACTCCATAAATAGGTACAATTATTTTATGTCAATTAAAAATAAAATCATAAAAGTAATTTAAAAAGAGAAAAAGAAACAAATGGTGCTCAGTACTCTTGTCTAATAAGGGTCTCCATAAGTGTGGTCAGACTCCCCCTACACAATATATCAGGCAAGTTTACATGGCCTTGCCAAGCCCAGCCACCTCTGTCTTAACCCCCTAAGTTCCACTTCAAAAGTCCAGGAAGATATGGTGGTCATTAGTGTTTGGGGTAGACTACAAAAAGACTGCAGTTCTCTCCCCTTTCCCTTATCCAGGCACTTTGCAATGTGAATTTGCATCTCAATCTATCAAAAGTGGAGCCTAGTTTCCCACTCCTTGAATATTGTTGATTTCTGAAATTTAACCAATAGAAGGCAGCAGAAGTAATTTTAAGGCAGTTCCAAGCCCAGGCCTTAAGAGGCCTTGCATACTTCTGTCCTCCCTCTAGAAACCTACCAAACTGCCCAATGTAGCCTGAAGGATTATGAGACACATGGTCCAGTCAATTCCCTGCCACTCTAGGATAGAGTCCAGAAGCAGAGCCACCCTGCTGTCCTGCAGGCATAAGGGAGTCTAGATGGACCAGAAGTACTGTCCAGCTGAGTCCTTGTCAAATTGTCAACCCACACACTCTTCAACTAAAAAGATGACTGGTGTTCTAAGTCATTAAATTAGGTATCTATTGCGTGTACACAGCAATAGATAACTGGTACAATGCTGTTCTCCCCACCCTCCTGCATGCTATGCATGTGGTGGGATTGTACTTATTTGCCCTCCTGAAGTCAGGTGTGGTTGTGTGAAGCCAGCTGTCCACTTCAGGGAGCCATACAAAAAAGAGGCCCTGCAAAGCCCTCTGAAAAGCCCCACTAGGGCTGCTAATAGGGCAACATCAGCTAGAAAAGGCTAGCCAGAGACGCTGTAACAACCTGCAGAAAGGTCAGAAAGAGTGAGCCAGCTAAGACTTTTGTCCCTTTCCCTCTGCCCTACAGCTCAAACTAACAGAGGAGTCAGAACTGTCAAAGAAGGGGGAAGAAGGAGGTGTCCCTGAGTTATTGTGGAGTTGCTTGTTGCTGAGGCATAAGCTAGTGTATCTTGATGGATACAGGGCAGTGAGTCCTGTGTCCTTGGGAGCATAGCATTGGTTTTGAAGAGGACACCTCATCTCTGAAAAAGCTAAGTGAGAAGGGGCTATGAGACAATCATTCATTGAGATTGAGCCACTTTGAGGTGAGGACCTGGATGCAGCAAAGGAGCAGTACAGACCCTCTTCACTTCAAGTCCTTCAGGCTATAAACTGGACTGATGCTGGAGGAAGGGAGGCTTACACAGGAGGTAAGACTGGAGTTTTATTTTAGAAGGACATTTAATACATTAAAATGAACAGGAAGGTAAAGAATCTGCCAAGGTTTTGTCATGGGATGTGCAACTCAGGGAGAGGTTTATCAAAGTAAACACCATCACACAGAAAAATCAAAATCATTTACTGTTTGCTCCCTACTGAGTTCAGATGATTCAATAAATTGACTACTCATGTCTCAAAATCAGAATAACACCCACCCTGTCATGAAGGACACAGAGGATAATGTGTGGGAGAGCCCTCTGAGAACTCCACAGGATATAAGTGGATGGTGGATGATGGGGGACAAAAGTGGGGAACCAAGGAGCTAGGAATACGGAGCTGAGCTAAGTGCTTCACCAGGCGACCTATCTTAATCCTCCCAACCATTCAGTGAAGATGCAATTTTACCCCTGGAGAAATGGAAGCTGAGGGTGGTTAAGCAACTTGCCTAAGGTCACACAGATTCTGTGAATCAAGACCAGGGTTCAAATTGAATCTGCCTTCCTCCAATCCCCGTCCCCATGCTCTTTCCACTGCTGGTGGGTCTTTAGGGGATGGATGGAGGAGTGGAGGAGAGTCATCACCCACCTCCAGGGAGATGACAATACTTCTGGCCATCAGTGAGGATGTGGAGCAGGAAAGCAAATCTGCTTTTTGGGGAACTATTTCTTTCATTTTATATATTTCAAATTTCTAAAAAGTGATAAAAGAGCATGCATGCCCTGTTTATCAAAGGAAAGCATCAAATGTCACTGCTTGGCCTCTGCTGCCAGGACAGGGAAAGTGACGGGGAGGATGCTTACACACATCCAATCTTGTCTCCCTCCTGTGCTCATGTGCTTTACTTCTCCTTTCAAACCCTTCGTCATATGTGGTGTGGTGTTCTGTGTTCCCTGGAAGTTTATGTATGATGTTCAAGTATGATGCCAGGAAACCTGCCACATTTTTCTTGCTCTGGGGGATGTGGCTTGGAAATTGTATGAAGCCATCGGACCCTGCCTGCCTCTAGAGCTGGAGAATTTGTTTTGGAAGTTAATGTGACTTGTTCAAGTGGGAATCTTAAAAGAAATACCTACAAGTTAAATTAAGCCCCAGACATGAACTCAAAGGAACATGCTTTCTCTAATTATCCCTAAAAGAGCAGAGGCCAGATGAGAACATATGAAATGCAGAAATAGAAGCAAACCCTGATGTTACAAAATGTTACAGATGTTACAAAATGATTAGCTTCCATGTACCAGTGCCATGGCCCAGCTCCATTTTGTTTATAATAATAATGGTAAAAGAAACAGATATTCTTCAGAACCTTACCATGTACTTGAAACTACTCTATATCATTTACTTCATGTAATCATCCTAGCAACCTTGTGGATAGGGTATCATTCATTCATTAAATAATTCAATCAGGCCGGGTGCGGTGGCTCACGCCTGTCATCCCAGCACTTAGGGAGGTGGGCGGATCACCTGAGGTTGGGAGTTCGAGACCAGCCTGACCAACATGGAGAAACCCTGTCTCTACTAAAAATACAAAATTAGCTGGGTGTGGTGGCACATGCCTATAATCCCAGCTACTCAGGAGGCTGAGGCAGGAGAATTGCTTGAACCTGGGAGGCAAGGTTGCAGTGAACCAAGATCACACCATTGCACTCCAGCCCGGGCAAACTCATCTAAATAATAATAATAATAATAATAATAATAATAATAACTCAATGAATATCATGGGTACTGCTCTGAGCTAGGCATAGACCTTGATTTGGGGGCTACGGCAGTAAAAAGAGGATTAAAACCTTCCTTTTAAGGTTTTTTTTTTGTCTTTTAATAAGTGAGTTTTTTTATTTTTATTTTTTTATTGTATTATTATTATACCTTAAGTTTTAGGGTACATGTGCACAATGTGCAGGTTAGTTACATATGTATACATGTGCCATGCTGGGGTGCTGAACCCATTAACTCGTCATTTAGCATTAGGTATATCTCCTAATGCTATCCCTCCCCCCTCCCCCCACCCCACAACAGTCCCCAGAGTGTGATGTTCCCCTTCCTGTGTCCATGTGTTCTCATTGTTCAATTCCCACCTATGAGTGAGAACATGTGGTGTTTGGTTTTTTTGTCCTTGCGGTAGTTTACTGAGAATGATGATTTCCAATTTCATCCATGTCCCTACAAAGGACATGAACTCATCATTTTTTATGGCTGCATAGTATTCCATGGTGTATATGTGCCACATTTTCTTAATCCAGTCTAACATTGTTGGACATTTTGGTTGGTTCCAAGTCTTTGCTATTGTGAATAGTGCCGCAATAAACATACGTGTGCATGTGTCTTTATAGCAGCATGATTTATAATCCTTTGGGTATATACCCAGTAATGGGATGGCTGGGTCAAATGGTATTTCTAGTTCTAGATCCCTGAGGAATCGCCACACTGACTTCCACAATGGTTGAACTAGTTTACAGTCCCACCAACAGTGTAAAAGTGTTCCTGTTTCTCCACATCCTCTCCAGCACCTGTTGTTTCCTGACTTTTTAATGATCGCCATTCTCACTGGTGTGAGATGGTATCTCATTGTGGTTTTGATTTGCATTTCTCTGATGGCCAGTGATGGTGAGCATTTTTTCATGTGTTTTTTGGCTGCATAAATGTCTTCTTTTGAGAAGTGTCTGTTCATGTCCTTTGCCCACTTTTTGATGGGGTTGTTTGTTTTTTTCTTGTAAATTTGTTTGAGTTCATTGTAGATTCTGGATATTAGCCCTTTGTCAGATGAGTAGGTTGCGGAAATTTTCTTCCATTTTGTAGGTTGCCTGTTCACTCTGATGGTAGTTTGTTTTGCTGTGCAGAAGCTCTTTAGTTTAATTAGGTCCCATTTGTCAATTTTAAGGTCTAGTGGGTGGAGATAGATTATAGGTAGATAATCAGAGTGGTAAATAATATAAATTTGGACAGGGAGAGGAGGTACAAAGGAAAATAAGGCTAGAGCTGGGCATTAGAAGGTGACAAGGAAGGCTTCTCTAACCAGTGACAATGGAACAGAGACATGAAGTAAGCAGTGAGTGTTTGAGCTATGCTGGAGAAGAGCATTGTGGGCAGTGGCCCCAACAAGAGATCAAGGGCAGGGTATCTGAGAAGCACTGGGAGGTCGGTGCGTCTGGTTAAGAACGATGGGGGAGAGAAAGAGCAGAGATGTCAAGGGTAGCTTCTTGCTGGACCTTGTAGGTCATGGCATGGGCTTTGGAATTTATCCTAAGGGTGATGGTTTTGAACAGGGAAGTGACAGGCTCTGACTTTTATTTAAAAGGGTCACTCTAGCAGCTGTGTGGAATACTGACTGTAGGAAGGCAAGATGGAAACAGGGAGACAAGTTGGGAGAGGAGACTCTTGCGATAATCCTGATCAGAAGTAATTTTAGCTTGGCCTTGTATAGTTATGGTAAGATACGGCTGAATTTGGAGTTGAGTTTTGAATAAGTTTGAAATGCTTATTTGGAATTCAAGTGGCACTGCCAGTTAAGCAGCTGGATATATGATTCTGGGATTCCAGGGAAAGGTCCAAGCTGGAGTAATACCTTGGGAGTAATTAGCATATTGATGGTATTTAAAACCATGAGACTAGATGAAATCACTACACAGGCAGTGAAGTGCAGACATGGAGGAGAAGTGATCTGAGGACAGAACTCTGGGGCATTCCAGTATTTAGAGGACAAGAAGATTGGTAAGGACAAGCAAAGGGACTTGAGAAGGAAAGGCTGGTGAGGAAGGAGAAGACTCAAAGAGAGGAGTGTGTTAGAAGCTGAGGGAAGAAAATGATTCAAAGAAGAGAGAATAGCCAAAAGCATGAAATGAATCTTAAATAATAACGTCAAGTAAGGAGAGGTTTAGGAATTGGTTATTGTATTTGGTAATGGGAATGTCTTTGGAGGACCTTAATAATAGTAGATTCAGTGAAGTGGTGAGTGTGAAAACCTAACTGAGGAGGTTTCAGGAGAGGACGGCTGGAAGAAAAGTGAGCAGAGGTAATGAACATGGACAGTTGTTTTGAGAAGCTTTGCTATAAAGAAGATTAGTGAAAAGAGGCAATATCTGAAGGGAAATGTAGCATCCAGGGAGTTTTTTTTTTCTGTCATGTTTTGTTTAAATACAGGAGCTTACTCCAGCATGTATTAAATCTGACGATGCATAAGAGAGAAAGGGGCATGCTGGAGCCATGTCCGTGGGTAGTTGAGAAGAAGGGTTGCCTTTAAATTGGAGTGAGGCAGGCCACCATAAGGAGAAAGATGGAGAAGAGTTGGTGGAATTGGTATTGGCTGGATGTGGCTTTTCTCTTTTGATTGCTTCTTTATTCTCAGTGAATAAAGAGAAAAAGTCTGTCTCCTGAGTCAGAGACAGTGGGAGGTGGAGGGAGGAGATGTCCAGAGTTGAAAGAGGGAGATGTGGAATAACCATTTCAGAGACAGGGGAGGGTGAATGGACTAGAGTAATGTACCGTGGTAGGATGGGAAGGTAGCTCAGAGTGTTCATTTTAGGTTATTTCCTCATTTTACAGATGAGAAAACAGAAAAATGGCAACTTGCCCAAAGTTAAATGGCTAGCAAGTTACAGAATGAAGATCTGCATACAGATCTCTCTGTCTCCAAAGCTCTTAAAGCCAAATGGACTTTCATAAGGTATCCCACCCTTGATGTGCTCTTAGTAAAATTTCTCTGCTTAGTGTGTTTTGTTTTCTGGTGCCTGCTGGAATTTCAGCAATAATCCATGTGGTTGCCAGGTTGAGCAACACTACTTATATGGCAATTAGTCAGGGAATGCAGAAATTGGGAGTCATGAGAGCACTGGAACACAGAATTGCAGCCTGAAGGTGAATGTAATAGCAGGTGTATTGATTTACCAGTCTGTTCCACAGCGGCACATCAAGTTAATTAACCAGTGTGCCCCTGATCATTTCTGCCAGGATCTAAAGTCCATGCTATATGGGAAAGGGGTGGTTCTGATGCAAAGAGTCTGCCCACACAGGCGGTAAATTAGGAGGCACAGTCACCATATCAACTCAGTTTCCTGCCCGTTGACATTTAACCATAAAGTCAGTTGCCACTATACAGACATTTCCTTGGCTATTTAACACTGTACCAATAATGCACTGGCTTTTACTTCTGAGTTGAAATGAAGTCATCAGGGAACCTTTGACAAGCAAATGTTTCCTCCTTGCTACTCACATGTGGTCTACATCTTTGATTTTTAAATGGACATTTTTTCTTTTTTACCTTTTAACTTTTCTAAAATAGTTATGCCTTGTTCATTGAATAAAGAGCATTGAAATGCTCACTATTTTCGTTTTTCTGAGAAGATATTAAACCATTAAATGATGACATCTAAGAATTGAGGAAATACCTGTCATATTGTGGCCTAATAGCCCTCGTGCATTGACTCTCGAAGCCAGCTCCCTTCACACTCCAGCCGCCATGCAGATTCACCTCATCTATTCCAAGTTTGGCTGATGGTGTAGTTTGTCAAAGCACTTTCCACATTCACCTCTAACATTTTACATGTGAACTCAATGGGCAGAGAGTGAGCATTGGGGGTCTTTAGAAATGTAGTGTTTAGTATGAGGATTAAATTTCTCACCAACAGTTTTACCCCACTCACAGCTTGATTTCTTTTACATTAAGTACAATACATTCCAGGTACTGATTTGCTTTAGTTTGGATGGTAACTTCGAAGTTGAAATATTCTTCTTACATCTACCTGGCTCTGTCATAGCCAGCTCCAAAAACCAGTTATTAATGACTATATTGGTAAAGCAACAGTTATTAGATAAGATTGATTGCATGCTCTGCCACTGCTGAAATGTGTGGTCTTGGGCAAGTCTCTCAAGCTCCTTGGCTTAGGTTCTACCAGTAAATATAGAGGATGAGCTCAGTGGCTGCAAAGTTCCCTTCCAGCTCTGAGAAGTCAGCATGGTGAGAAAATACAAAAGACTTTAAATAGTCTCCACTTTTAGGAAGTCTAAGATCTAATTCTGGAGACAAATAGCAATGCATAAAACTTTCTGAGGGTGACACAAGCCCTATATTTATATTAACAAGTGAAGTTGAGTGTTTTAATCACTGCCTACTCTAATATGTCAGAAACAGGAGCTATCAATGGAGGCTGAAATAGTCAGAGGCATTCTTTCAAATCTTGAAGTATGAATCAATGTTAAAACATATAATTCAACTGTTTAAGTGCTCTGATGGCATCCCTCAGTTCTAGGTTATACCAGGTTCCTTACTGTGGGAAATGGGATCCTTCCTGCTGGATTACGGCCATCCACCTGTCCAGTATTATTTCTAGTCATCCCCTCCTGCACCCCATGCACCTAGATAAACTAAGAGCAGGCCCCAGTTTTCCAATGATACATAAACCTTAAGTGCCTTGGTTTGTTCTTCCTGGGAGGTCTGTGTCTCATTCGGTGTATCTGGAACATGCCTGGTTCACCTAACTTTAACTTCTCTGTGGAGTCTAGCCTGGTCCTCCTTGCAGGTGCTTCTGGATGGTCCCTCCTACGTGACCCCCAGTATGCAGCATGTGTAATATGTTATCACCCTTCCTACCTCCTGCCCTGGGGCTCTGCTGCAGACCATGAAGCCACTTCCAACAGGAAGCACAGTGACTGGTACATAGTAATTATATTAATTTACTACCAAGTAGTTATTGTACTCTTATTATACACCAGGCTCTATCCTAAGGACTTTACACGGGTTATCTTTTGATTGTCAAGCTAACCCTATGAGGCAGTACTATTATTGTCCCTATTTTATGGATAAGGAGAGGGTGGTAGAAAGAAGTTAAATAATGTGCCCAAATCTTATAGATTGAGAAAATGGGTCCGAAAGATGCCTGAAGTCCATAGAAGATGAGATGCTTTAAGATGCTTAATAAAGCGACAGTTTTTTTTTTTTTTTGAGACGGAGTCTCACTCTGTCACCCAGACTGGAGTGCAGTGGCACGATCTTGGCTCACTGCAACCTCCGCCTCCTGGGCTCAAGAAATTTGCCCTGCCTCGGCCTCCCGAGTAGCTGAGATTATAGGCACCCACTACCATACCCAGCTAATTTTTGTATTTTTAGTAGAGACGGAGTTTCACCATGTTGGCCAGGCTGGTCTTGAACTCCTGACCTCAGGTGATCCACCTGCCTCGGCCTCCGGAAGTGCTGAGATTACAGGTGTGAGCCACCACGCCAGGCCTAAAGCAAAAGTTTTAAGGCTCCCTTTGTGTGCAGAGATAGAGGAGCCTTTCATACCTGAGGAAGAGACACAGTGAAGACTTTGGGGTCAGAATGGCTTTGCTGCCCTTCCCAGCTCTGCTGGTCTCCAGCAGTGTGAGTGTAGGAAAGTTATTTAACTTCTCTGAGTCCCAAATTCCCCGTCCATAAAATAGGAGTAATAATAGGTTCCCTGCAGATTTGTTGTGAGGATTAAATAAAATAAAGCATCTAAAGTATCTGGCAAGGTGTCTGGCACTCAAGGGCTACTTCATAACTCTGACTTCTCAAAATCCCCACCACACCTCTGCCATATCTGGTGAGGCATGTGGATGCCGCTGTAACAATACAGGATGATTGTTATCACCTTCAGAGCTGATTCAAAGATTCCTCTTAGGAAACAGAACTGTATATATTCAGAAGAAATACTTTGAGTAGCTACCTGGCTAGGGAAGATGGTTCCAAGGACCAATCTCAATTTAAAAATAATAGCCCTTTTTTCTACTGAATACTGAGAGGAAGTGAAGTTTGCAGATGTAAGATCTGAACTACAAGATGACAAGCAGTAATAGAAAAGGAGTTGGGGGTGAGGGGAGGCTGCCATGAGGGAGTTGTGCCAGAAAGAGCAGGGAGGAAACAAATTCTGGGGTGGTATGGAGGCAGAGATTTTTGAGTAAGAGAACTACTGACGGAAGTGTGCTTTATAAACCTCTCTCCCTTTTTTTCCTCCTCAAATTCTTCAGTAAATTTAGTACATTGCTCATTGATGTTTTGGGCAAGAGGCCTCCTTTTCAGGGAGAATGAAGAAGTGAGTTCAGAGAGTTAGCACCTGCATTATAATGGATTGTATGGCAAGTTTCAGAGCACGCTCCTCAGATCTGGAATCCTGTCAGAGAGAGCCCCTGCCTGCCCAGGTGGCACTGAGGTTGCAACTGAGAGTATGGGTTCTGAGCCATCCAGCTCCTCAGGTAGGAGTCATGCCAAGCTGTCTGATGCCATGGCCATAAAGCCCAACACGGGCGGCAGTGGCCACTCCCCACTCTGCATTCTGAGTTGCTGCTCCTGTTGCTGTGTGACAGTGGGGAGAAAGTGTACAGTCCCAGGGACCACACTGGTGTTTTCCCCCGAGAACAAAGAGAGTGCTGGGCCCTAGGAAGGTCAATGAAAGAGAAGATGGAAATATGATGGCTGGCTGGCTGTCTAAAAGGTAGAAAAACTGTTGAGAGCAGTGAGGATTTTACAGTATAGAGCTCTCTAGATTCTGATTGATACATCAAGTAGTTCTAGAAATTAAGTGATGGACAGCAGAACAAAAGGATTTACATTCAGTACTATGCTAGGTTTCATTTATCAAGTACTGCTTCTCATAATACCGTGCAAATAGTGGGTATTTGCTACCGGGTGAATTGTATCCCTCCTCAAATTCTTATGTTGATGCCTTAATCCCCAGTACCTCAGAATATGATTTTATTTGGAGACAGGGCTTTTGCAGAGGTAGTTTAAAATGATGTCATTAGGGTGTACCCTAGTCCGATCTGACTGGTGTCCTTGTAAGAAGAGGAAATTTGGACACACAGAGGAAAAATCATGTGAGGACACAGTGAGAAGGTGATTATCTACAAGGCAAGGAGAAAGGCCCCAGAAGAAACCAATACCTTGATCTTGGACTTCTAGCCTCTAGAGCTGCAAGAAAATAAATTTCTGTTGTTTATGCCACCCAGTCTGTGGTACTCTGTTATGGCAGCTCTAGCAAATTAATATAGTGCTCCATAAAAGCCCTCTGAGGCAAATATTGTGCTCCTAAAACATCAATTGCAATAAGAAAGAGCTGCACTGAGGATATTTCTGTAGTATTTCTACTGTTGCACAGGCAAATGTATTTAGCATATGCTCCACTGGTTAATAAAGATGGAAACCTGGGCAGATTGTCTTGTCCGTGCTGTATTGTCTGGGACATCTTCTCTCAGATATGTTCCTGGAGACCTACTGCTCATTATCTAAGTCTCAGCTCCAATATTGCTTCTAATGCCCTGCCTCAGGCTCTCCCTGACTTCTCCACATAGAGCTCAATATTCTATGCATGCAGGTGCCCTATCATTCTACCATAACCTGCAGCAGTACGTCACCACAACTGACATTCTACATACTCTTATTCTATACGCTGAGGTCAAGGACTATTCTTTTCATCTTTGGATCTCCAACATGCAGGTACAGGCTTTGGCATAGGATAGGCATTCTATGTTGAGTAATTGAATGAATGGATTGCCTGCCTTACATGTTTGAATTCCCCAAATTTAGTGGGAAGAAAATGACAGATGAATCATCCCTTCAATCTTCTGGCCTAGAACAATGTTCTGGCCTAGAAGACTCTTTGAGTCCTCCCTTCTCTCATCTTGAACCCCATTTTCTACCAGTAACCAAGGCTAATCTCCCTTTCCTTAAAAATATCTCCTGTATTCATCTCTCCTCTCCAAGACTCCGACCCTTTTCACCTGTGTTATGACCTCCAGTTTTCCTTTATAATTTATTCTTGCAGTCTTATCTTCCAGCAGCCTGGGTCAGGCAGGGTAAGCTAGATTCAAGAAACCATGTGGGTACGTGAAGGTATCAAGCCAGTATAGTGTAAGGAGTTGGAGCAGAGTGAAACAGATAACAATGTTCCTGTGGACCCTGAGGCCTGAAACCAAAGGTAGAGTTATACAACTCAATTCCGAGGAGGCAAGGAGAAGTGGGGGCACATACTCAAGGCTGAAGAGCTACCATGGTGGCCAGGCAATACCGAAGAGTGTGTTCAATCCAGAAAACAAGTGTATAGGCTTGAGGTGGCCCAGGGACATGCAAGGGGAGGAAGCATCTTCCATGCTACATATGTCAGCCCTTATGGACAGAGAGAGAGAAATGTGAAGGCTCTGAGCAAGTTCCAACCTGTTCCCCACCACTCCCAGGTCTCCTCCTACAGTGGACAAGGCCTAGATGGGTGCAGAAACACATCGGCAGTCATAAGGAATATCTCTCTCTGCTCTGGCGCCCCTCATGTGTTCTCTGGGGCAGCACAAGGACCAGAGGTTCATAGTGGGATCTGAAAAGGTCAAATGAAACAGTTGGATTCTTACAGAGAAAGGCTCCTGAATTCCTGACTGGTGTGTCCTTGAGGGCCTCTAGGAAGCAGTCCTCCAGCTTACTTCCTCATTTCACAGACTCTAAGTTAGTAAAGGGCATAGCATTTTATCTAGTTAATAGACCTCAAACCTTGGAATCATCCTTGACTCCAATTTCTCCCTTCCTCTTCACATTCAGTCCATTAGCCAATACATTAGTCAATGAGACTTTCAAAATATATGCAGAATCCACCTACTTCATACTACCTCTGTTATCATTATCCCAATCTGACATCTGGTCTCACCTGTACAACCGCCATCCTCAAGGTCTCCCTAACTGAATATATTAACTATATTCTATTTCTTGCTGTATGCTCCATACTTCCTTCAAAGTGGCCAAGAGTGATTACTTAAGATGGAAGTCAGACCATTTTACTACTCTGCTCAAAACCTTAGCATAGTTTCTCTGTAGTTACAATAAAATCTAATATCCTTTCCGTGATCTGACCTCTGATCATTCTTACCATTCTCCTTCATCACTCACTCTGCACCAGTCCCTCTGGCCTCCTTGCTGATCACAAACACACCAGAAAACTGCTACGTCAGGGCCTTCACCCCTGTTGTTCTGACTTCCTGTAATGCTCTTCCCTTCCCATGGTCTTCTCACTTCTCACTTCCTTCAGGTCTCTACTCAAAGGTCATTCACACGAGACTTCCCCGATCCCTGTGCTCTATCCCCATTTCCTCTTCAGAGCACTTATTACTATTTGATTTTGTTTCTTAACTTTTTATTTTGAAGACTTGTAAGCATATTGAAAATTGGCAATAATAGTTCCATGAATGCTGGTATAGCCTTCACCCAGATTCAACAACTATTAATATTTTGGACTATTTGTTTTTTATTGTTCTTTCTGACATCCAGATATTATTGTGATTTGTTATTGTCATTGCTATTGTTATCATCACTGATCTGTTTGGGAATAAACTGCAAGCATCAGGATCTCTTATTCCCAAAAACTTCATTCAGTCTGTCTCTCTCAAGAATAACCATATTTTTATGTAAATACAACATAGTAAATTAACATTAATGTAACATGTTAATGCAACTCATACTCAAATTTTACAAAGAAGAGCTCTAGGGGGCCTCAATTACATCCCACTCTGGACAAGAGATGAGCAGAGCAGAACTTGAGCAGAACTAATAACACCTTTCATAGCATTAAAAAATCTGCTTCAGGGTCTAATCTAGGATTATGCATTGCTTTTAGTTTTCAGGTATTTTTATTCTCATTTAATTTGAAATAGTGTCAGCTTTTCATTGTTTTTTGTGACATTTTTAAAGAGTACAGAATAATTGTCTCGTAGAATGTTCCTCAGTGTGGGCTTGCTGATGTTTCTTCACAGTTCTGTCAGGTTACACATATTTTTGGTAGAAATATCATAGAAGTGATGCTGTGTCCCTCTGGGTACATCATTATTAGGAGGTATATGATTTCTTTATATTATATCCTCATTTATTTGTTTCTTTGTTGAATATCTGCTTTGCAAGCTAGAATGTAGTTTCCACAAGGGTAGGGAATTTTCACTGCTCTATTAACTTCTGTCTCTCAGAATCTCAAACTGAGCCTGGCACATGTTAGATGCTCAATAAATATTAGCTGAAAGACTGAATCTAGAATCTAGTGAATCTGGAAGTGAATCTGGTGAATCTAGAAGTGATTGACTCTAAAGCCCAGGTAGACTTAACTACTAGATGAACTGCTTACCACAGCATCTCCCAGAGAATTCCAGGAAAATGTCCCTATCTTACATATTCTTGAGCAGTTATAGCATGCCAGGCAGCCTGTAGACACTTTGGGGAGACAGAACAAAGCACATAAATGGCTCAGAGCTCTCTGGCACTTATTTCCAAGGCTGGCCCAGAGGGGACACTGCATTAGGGGCCTGTGGCAATCCTGGTTGGAGGAGAACTTGCAAAGATTTCACATACAAGAATTCATATATGATGCATATTGGGATGTGAAAGAAGGTCGAGGTGTTTCACAGGCTCACAGTGTTCTTCATGGAGTCACAATAGCCCCAAAAGCATGGAGAAAGTTCTGCTCTGCTCATCATTTATCCAGAGTGGGACATGATTGAGACCTCCTAGAGCTCTTGTTTGCAAAATTCCCTGTGGACTTGGAAGTGAGAAAGGTGGAGGCTAACTGAAAGAACAGACCACAGTTCATTTTCCCAACACAGGTTCTCAACCCAAGGGTTAGGCCTTAGCTGGGGTGTTTGTGGATGAGGCAAGAAGGAGGCTGTTGGTGGAGATGAGTTGAAGGGCAATGAATTAGCTGTCACACTTACATTTTGCTTTAGATGGGTTGGATTTTTAATACCTAAAAATGAGACCCTTATGACCAACAATGAAAGCCATGAGACCTTCACAAAATGTCGAGAGGTGATGAACAGAATTCCAACCAACCAACCATGTTAGAAGAGTGTGATGAGAGAAAAATAAAGCTAATAGCTGAGGGTAACCTTCTGAGTTCAGCCCACTTAATAAACTAGTGACCCTATCCTTATTTAAAAACTTGTTTTCATATACGTTATAGAATTTGATGTTAAAATTAGTAGGGGGTTAGAACTTGAACCCAAGCTTCTAAGTCACGTCTGGAGACCTTTCCTCTAGTCTGGTTCTGCTTTTCTGTATTGTATTGGCTTAAGAAAAATCTCTGGCTTGAAAAAAGTAGCTAACAGATTAAGACAACAATTTATATGCAGAATACTTTGTGTATTTCAAACAATGTGTATAATCCTTGACTTTTAATTTTCAAACCACTGCAGTATACTGCTAAAGCTACATGTTAGATTTATAGGAACTTAGTAAATGGTTTTTGATTAAATAGCTTGCAGCTTTAAAGGCTGCTTGGAGAATTAGAGCAGCAAGTACAATCCCAACTCTGTTTAGAGCCTCATCTGATGCTTTCCTTGATTTTTATAATCTATCTAGCAAGAGATAAGATAAGGGCAGTTTCCTTTGCCAAATGAACAGGGAGACTTTGCTTCCTCCTAATAATTAAGAAAAACCCTAGAGTTAGATTATATCAAGTGAGAAAAAGAAAACTATTGATGTTAAACATTAGCTGTCAGGTGTTGGAGAATTATTCTGAATTTTTCAATTCAGGAGGGCTCTGGATTCCTTTTATCTATGAAAGAGCAACCCAGTAATACATTATCTGAAATACTCTTTTTTTGTTTTGTTTTGTTTTGTTTTGTTTTTTGTTTTTTGAGAGAGAGGGTCTTGCTGTCACTCAGGCTGGAGTGCAGTGGTACAATCTCAGCTTACTGCAACCTCTGCCCCACCGGGCTCCAGTGATCCTGCCACCTCAGCTTCCTGAGTGGCTGGGACCACAAGCACACATCACCATTCCTTGCTATTTCGTTTTTGTATTTTTGGTAGAGACAGGGTCTCACCATGTTGCCCAGCCTAGTTTCAAACTCCTGAGCTCAAGCCATCCCCCCTGCGTTGGCCTCCCAAAGTGCTGGGATTACAGGGATGAGCCACCACTCCCAGCCAAGAATATTTCTTTTTCTAACATTTTCTTTTAAAATAATATTAGTCATAAAGAAAAGTTGCAGGATAGAGTTCATACACACCTTTCATCCAGCTTCCCCTGCTTAACACCTTGTATAACCACAGTAAATTGATTACAACCAGGAAATTAACACTGATATAAAACTATCAGCTTATTTACAGATCTTAGTAGAATTTTGCCTTATCAGAATTGGTTGTCTCATATTATCCTTTTCTGGTCCAGGATCCAATCCAGGATTCCATATTGCAATGAATTGTTCTTTCTTTAGTTTCCTCCAATCTGTATCAGGTCCTCGGTCAGTCTTACTTTGCCTTTCATAACCTTGAGCCTTTTGAAGACTACCGGCCAGTTATTTTCTAGATTATCTTTCATGTTGGGTTTGTCTGATGTTTTCTGATTATTATATCAAGGTTATGTATTTTTCATAAGACTAGGACAAAAGCGATATGCTCTTCTTGGTTCATCATATTAGGAAACACCTGATGTCAACGTCTTCCATTACTGGTGATTAACTTTTGTCACTGGGTCAAAGTAGTATTTTCTGGGTTGCTCCACTGTAAAGTTACCTCTTTCCCCTTCATAATAAATATCATGTGACTATAAGACTTTTTAAAAAATCATCCCATACGTCATTTCAAAATGTGACTATGAGACTTTGAGATGGCAAATATCCTGTACTTATCATATACTTGCCCTCTAATTTCATCATCCATTAATGAATTTTTGCCTTCAAACTTATTACCTGCTGTCTGCCTAATAGTGGTGTTCTATTTCTATTAGTCATTCTGTATTTATTAGAATCCTATTGCATAATTACCCTTCATTTATTTATTTATTTATTCATTAAGTTATTCATTTCTATCAGTATGGAATGATAGATACTTGCTTTATTCTATGGGTTACAATTCCTCATTATCATTATTTATTTTGTTGCTCAAATTGTCCCAGGTTTGCTCATTCAGAGCTCCTTTTAGTTGGTACCTACATCGTTTTTGGCATGCCCCTTTCCCCAGTCAGTTTTGAACACTTCCCTACTTTTTAACACTACAAGATTTTTCCAGGCTTATCTTGTATTTTTCCTGTCCTGTTCTTGCAACCATCTATTTCTTCAAGGAAGCTGGTTAGTTTTATTGGGGAATGGCATTTAGAAACTGAGATGTCTGCGCACTAGATGCACTTATTGCTACTGGGGTGGCATTAATTTTGGGCTCTGAAATTCCAGATCTCTTAGTGGACAGAGCTAGGGAATATATAAATGACTACACATACACCTATATGTATGTATCTATATTTTTATATCAATCTATCTGTAGAAATATTAAAAACCAAGGGTTCATATCAATGCATTCTCTTCTTTATTAAAATAAACTTCATTGCTCTCTGATTGATATTTACATGGCTGGACTCTAAAACAAGTGTCCTTTAAACTATACTAGAGGAAGAGAGAACAGTTTTGTTTTTTTTTTTCGGAGAAAATACACAGGGCAAAAGAGAGAAATTGGAAAAAAACATGAAGAACAGAGAATCTACTTAAAAGAGCAGCCATATAGTCACTTGATAAATGTTTGTTAAATTAAGTGAGTGGGGGGATCTTTTCATTTCCACAAATACTTATCAGCTACATGCTGCCTGTCATCCATTTTGCTGGGGACAAGGAGAAGCAACAACATGCCCCTTGTCCTCAAGTTTTCACTCATTTGGGGAGAGGATACATGAACAGATCCATTATATTCATTATATGGCATTAAACTCAGTCTTGTGAGAAAAAAATTAAAATATAGGGCAGCATCATTTTTGGAGGCACATTTTAGGACAATAGATTATTTATGAGCAAAAGAAGAAAGATGAGGAGGAAGGGAGCTTCAAGTTCAAAGCCTAAGACAGGAAAAGAGCTCGATAATGTGTTAATAAGCCTGAAAACATCTTGTAGCAACAGATAATTGCTGAATGTGTTAAGCAAGGGAAGAATTTGCTCATACTTATATATTTACATCCTATAATATTAATAATGATACACACATGGTAAACAAAATACAGTACAAAAAAAGAAACTTATCGAAAAGTAAGTCTTCTCACATCAGGTCTCTAGTTCAACTGAGGATAAAACCTCTATGAATAGTTTCTTCTTCCAGCACTGTTCTGTCTGTATGCCTGTGTATAAGTGTATAGATTGCCTCTTTTAAAAAACACGCATCTAATATACAATGTATATTTTTCTGTATCATGATTTTACATTTCATAATATATACTGGGGATCTTTTTATTATATGTATCTAGTAGCACGGGAGATTTAATTTATTTCTTATTGAAGCCTAATATTTCATTGAATGGAGGCAGCAGAATAATTAATTATTCCATTTTCTTAAGGCAGAGACCTGTAGTTCTTCACCAAAATCCATTTTAATTTTCTTCCTCGGTATGTGGTTAGATTATATGTTTCTAAGCTTCTGGCTGATAAAGGCAGAAACAAGACTGTGTTTTTGCTAATGGAATACAGTGAAATGCTGTGTATCACTTCTGAAATTCGGCCTTAAGCCTGTGTATATGCCTACTTCATTCTCTCTTCCTTTTTCACACTGGCTGCACTATGGCTATGGTGGAGACCCCATTCAACCATGGAGATTATGAGATGTCCCAGGGAAACAGATGAACGGTATCTTGGGTCTTCAGATAACCAAAAGGAGTACAACTACTCCTTTTGCTAACCTAAACAGTTTGCCTTGAAACCTATGTGAGAGAGGAATAAATATCTATATTTTTTGAGCCAGTGAACATTCATTTGGTTTCTTTGTTATAGCAGCTTATCCTTTCCCTCACTAGTATATTTTCTATTACAAACAATACTGGAATGAACATTTTGTACCTACATATTTGCATACACAAATACCATTGGCTGGTATAAGGAGTGTCTTTTTTGATATACCTTAACTAGTGCTTGTTACAATTAATTTTTAAAATATTTGCTGATTACATAGGTAAAAATGACACAGCAACTTAAAAAAACTTTTAATTTCTTATCAGTGGGGCTAAATATGTTTTTATATGTTTATAAATAAGTTTATGTGGCCTCTGTTGGCAGAGACTAATGCTCAAAACATAATCATTTTTTGTAGTAGGTTATAGATATTTTTATATACGTAAATGTTTTACATATTTATTAAAAAATTGTCATTTTGTGGAATATTTTTCTGTTTGTCATTCATCTTTGACATTAGTCATTGAATATGTTTAGTGGATGAGTTTATAATAAAATTTTTATGAAGTTATATTTATTAATGGTGATGCTAAGGCTGACAATGGCCAGCATTTATTGAAGGCTTATAATTTGCTTATTCTTTTGATCTCTGAGGTTGTTTCATCACCCAACTGGTGATATGTACTTACACTGACATCTCTTATAGCTTAAAAAATAATATGACTCCTTTGAAATTTATTTTTTAATTTTGATTAAAAAATTTTTTTCCTAGACCTGGAAAGTAAGATCAAGAATAACATGACTCTTAAAACATCCATATGAATACTAAAGTCATCATAGGAGACTTTTCTCACTATATTTAGGCACAAAGTGTAGATCTTGGGAAACTCTTTTTTCATTTAGAAATAAATTAACATAAAAAGCAATCAATGCTCTAGTGCCAGTGAAAACTTCTGAAACATAAAATGAAGTCAGGATCATAACACTCAGGTAGTAAAGAGGAACATAACTATGAAAATGCTTACTATTGGAATAAAAAGTAAATTTTATATACTCTCTACTTTTTTTCTCTCAATAAATATGAATAAACATAATCTTCAAAATAAGGTATGAAAGCTGAGATGACCAAACTAGATTAGAAAAGTAGGGGTCTTGAAGAGTTCAGGAAAGAATTTGTAGCAACCAGTAATATAATGGCATAGTAAAATTTGAAACAGTAGGAAAGGTGAAAGTGAGACTGTCTGCAGAAAGGTAATCTGGTTATGTGTGGGTATGTTTGGGAAGCTTTCATGGAATGCACAGTAAAGGTACAATAAGTTGAAAATCATTAAAGAAATTCAGGAAGATATAAATGAATAATTGGATCCCGAAGAAGACTTCAGAATGACTATGGCATAAGCACTGTTCAAAAACAAGATAAGAGAGAGCTTCTGGGTTAAATGAAGAAAGAAGACCCAAATCTGTCGGTGGGGGAATCATCATGTGTCAGGTCGTGTGGTGAAAAGAGACATCTCTTTTCCTACCAGCATGTTAAAGTATCCTGTCAGAAGTTTACAGTACCAAAAATTATTGAATTCTCATAGTATGACTACAACTATTGTAATTCTTCAAAAGAGACTCTCCTCACCTTAAATAATCATAGATGATTATTTAGGAAATAAGCATGTTACATGTTAGTTATTTTAAAAGGTACAATATGTAAGAGTTACAAATATATACAATTAAATAAGTTCATATTCTTCACATGAATGTAGACATATGGAGGCATGTCTTGTAAACAGTTGAATGTATCCAAGTTTTCTGTATGTGAAAATGTAGTTAATGTACTCATTGTGGAGGTAATAAGAAAACTACTTTTAAAAAATAAGTGGAACTGAATTATAATATTACTTCCAGAATCAGAGAGGAAAAAAGGAAGGAGGGATATCAAAGCATATAGACAGGAAAATGGGTAAACTACAAAGAAAGAAATCTTAGATCTCTTCAAATTTCCCTTCCACAATATGAAACAATGTAAGACAAAGTTATAACCTACATATTTTTAAAGCAGACAAATTACCATTTATGATCAGAGAAAACAAAAGCATTGGGAAATATGGGAAATATGAGGCACAAAAATACTTGTGCTTGGAATAATTTAAACATGGCTGAGTTAAAATGACTAGTATAGATATAGTTTACAAAGAAAATTAACTCATCACAAATACTTAATGAAACAGATGACATATTGTTTAGAAAGGTTTTAACAATCACAAAAGTACCAAAAATTGTAGTAACAAAACACAAGTGGTATAGGGAAACAGTCCCCAGTCTTTTTGGCACCAGGGACCAGTTTCATGGAAGACAGTTTTTCCGTGGATTGAGGTAGAGGGGGGATGGTTTGAGGATGAAAGTGTTCCACCTCAGATTATCAGGTATTAGATTCTCATAAGGAGTGCACAACCTAGCGTCCTCGCATGCACAGTTCACAATACGGTTTGTGCTCCTTTGAGAATCTAATGCCACTGCTGATCTAGCAGGAGGCAGAGCTCAGGCGGTAATGCTCACTAGCCCGCCACTCACCTCCTGCTGTGTAGCCCGGTTCCTAACAGGCTACAGACCGGTACTAGTCCGTGGCCCAGGGGTTGGGGACCCCTGGTGAAAATGCTTACTATTAGAAAAGCAAGGGACTGAAAAAGGAAGTCAGGTTATGTGAATTTGCTCATTTTATATGGAGAAAAAGTAACAATGACTACAGCAATGGTATCAGTTACACTAGCATTTGAGTCTTTCTATGTGCCAGATACAGTTCATAGAACTTTACAGTTCTTTTAATCTTCTGATCCACACTATCTGGTAGGTCCTATCATTATTCTTACTTAGGATAGAAGAGGAAAAGGATGTGTTATTCTATTCTCAGTGCTAACTAATACTGTAGAGGTACATAGTTACAATAGTGTTAAATAGAATTTTAAAAGTAGCCATTAGTATATTTTACAAATTAGATTGTCTTCAGTTTATCAGGAAAAAAGTTCATATGGCAAAGAATAATTTAAAAAGAAAGCAAAAAAATAGCAAGGAGTATGATAATCTCCAGAAATAGAAAATAAAATGACAGAGGCAAAATCAAACATATGGCAGTTGTTGGGGCACAGAAACCTATGCCCCAAATATGGTGCTTTGACAGGCTGAGCTGAAGAAGCAGCCTTATGGTGTCTCGGGCCTTCCCCTGCTCCTGTCTCTCAATCCTCTGTGTTTTCCAAAGCACAGGATGAGGTTGTTTTCTGAAGTCCTCTTATCTGCCTAAAGTCTGGACCTGCCAAAGAAGAAAACAGTTCTTCTTCCCTGACCTGAACAGACTTTTGTTATAAACCATTGTCTGCTCTGAGGGTGGTCCAAAAAACTTTCTGTCAGGCCATTGTATGTTCTTCAAGCCCGTTGAATTCCCCTAAAAATCATGTGCTGCCCCCTTATGTCATCCACACTTCCTCATCTCCCTTTCTCCTAAGAAGAAGGGTGTATAACCATCTTTACCCCATTGTGTGGTGGTACAATCACTCTGTGATTCTCCCACACACACACTAACAAATTTGTATGCCATTTCTTCTACTCATTTGCCTTTTGTGTGTTGATTTTTCAGTGAACCTTTAGGGGGTGAAGGAGAGGTTTTTCCCTTTGCCTCTGCATAGTAAACGTTAATGGGTTATGTTCCAATTAAATAAATTTACAATGCAGTTTCAAAGAGCCACACTAAAGCCAAAATAACTCCTAAAGAACAAATAAGAGAATTAGGAAGGAGAATGACAAATGCTGAGAAAGAGGAGGGCTTTGCAGTATTAATATTAGATAGAATTGAATTTAAGTTAAAAGAAGTTAGTGAGACAGAGTCAAACTTAGTGGTGAATGGTACAATCCAAAATGAAGTTTAAACAATTATGTTATTGTGCACCAAATAACATGACATTAGACTATTGAAGATAATTTCTTTTTTTTTTTTTTTTTGAGTCGGAGTTTCACTCTCGTTGCCCAGGCTGGAGTGCAATGGCGCGATCTCGGCTCACTGCAACCTCCGCCTCTCAGGTTCAAGCCATTCTCCTGCCTCAGCCTCCCGGGTAGCTGGGAGTACAGGCATGCACCACCATGTCTGGCTAATTTTGTATTTTTAGTAGAGACAGGGTTTCTCCATGTTGGTCAGGGTGGCCTCCATCTCCCGACCTCAGGTGATCTGCCCGCCTCGGCCTCCCAAAGTGCTGGGATTACAGGCGTGAGCCACCACATCAGGTCAAAGATAAATATTTTAAACTATAAGAAGAAATAGAAAGAAATGAATCAGTAGTAAAATACTTTGATATCCTTCAATCCATGGTTAATCTCACACTGTAAAAGAAAGTATAAAATATATGAACAATTGAACTTATAATATTGATTTAATCGAGAGTATTAAGATTTTTACACTTCAGTAAATAAATTTTATTTTCAAGTGCCTAGGAAACACTCACCAAAAATTACCTTATGAGAAACCACAAAGGAATTCTCAATGAGTTCCTCAGAATAGATGATTAAACAAGCCACATTCTATTAGCACAGAACTGTGGAATCATTTAATAACCCAAAGGCAAACATTAAAACACCTAAACAACTGGAAATTAATCCTCACCTCTCATTAGCATGTATGCATGCACACACACATCCTCTTCTGTTTCAGGGTATTAAAAAATAGTTATGAAAATAATAAGTGTAAAAACTTTAAGAGATACAATCATAGTTGTATTTAAGAGTAACTTCAAAGCCATTAAAGAGTTCATTGTTACAAAGGAAATAGTGCATATTGATGAAGCAAGAAGCAACTAAAAAATTATAAAAAGAAAAACAAAGGAAGGCCTAAGAAATCAGGAGAGATACCGAAAAATCATAAAATAGATAAATCAAAGAACTAGTTTATTGAAAAAAATGTTAAAATAGAAAAATTTACTTAGTCTAATCAATAGGAAAAGAAAATATCCCACTAAAACAAAATTTAGAATAAGAAAGGTGGTATAACCACAAATGCAAATGATTTGAGAACCTTCACTCATATACTTGAATATTTGGCCTTAAAAAATAACCTCTCTAGGAAAATGTAAATTGCTAAAATTAATTTAAAAATGAAAGAATAGCTGATTAGCTTAAACATCAAAGAAAATATGGAAAATGATTTTTAAATAATTATCTGCAAAGGAATGGCTGGACTGGTTTTTTATGGGCAAGTTTCTCCAAAATGTTAAGGAACACATAAATTCTATAATACATAATCTGTCCCATAGCATAGATCCAATTCATCTTTTTTCAAACCTATACTATTCCCTTGCTGGAACCCGGTGAAGAGAATGTGAACAGAAATATAGAAACATCCACATTCTACAAACCAATTTCCTTTCTAAATACAAAGAGAAACTTTAAGTAAAATACTAGGAAACCAAATAAATATGTTTTTCAATTATATTCTGTGGTCAAATAGGGTTTATTCTAGGAACAAAGACTATTATTTACATTGTTCTGAGAACTCTGGCTGTAAACCGTAAAGCAAACAATAGAAAAATTTATATACGTGTGTGTGTGTTTGTGTGAGTGTTTGTGTGTGTATAAGTACACTGGACTGTAAGAAGAGTGAACATAAACTATGCTGATTCCCCTGAATCCATTCCTGGATGTGCTACATAGACAGGAAGAAGGTTGAAGGCTCCAAGGACACAGGAAAAGAGAGACACTACTAGGCCTTTGGGTTCCATTTATATGGGAAAAACATCTTAAACTTAGAAGAGAGCTGAGCACCATGGCATACACAGGGTATCATGTTTTAAGGAGGGCCCTTCCCTCTCCTACATGGCTTTAGGAAGTTCATTGCCTCCTACACTCTTGTCCATGCAGAGCATTTATGCAGCAATGCCAGTTTGGGGCACACTGGAGGCTGTGGGGCCGCAGAGAATCTTTGGATGCCTGGTGCCATGGGGGGCAGATATATCAGGAGTAGGCCAAAGACCTGCCCCAAAGTTCTCCCTGGCCAAAAAAAAGTGCCTAATGTGAAAATGCAGGGAAGTTTCCTGAAAAGCAGCATTACTTGGTTGGGTGATGGGGGTTATAAACAGGGAGTGGTTGAATCCAGGTAACAGTACCAGAGGAAGCCTGCTCTTTGGTGCATTACTCACTCCTCAAATAAGAGCAAGGGACATGCTCAATGGCTTGTGCTTTTGCTTCCCTGACCACATACAAATTACCAGCCAAGGCAGCAAATACTCCCAGGGGAATATAGCCCTCAGGAAAAAATAACATGGCATAGAGAAGACAATGATTGGGCCAGAATAGAATATAAACTTAATATATGCATAATACATATCCTAAAGAATTAAGGGGCAATGTCAGAGGCATGATGCAAGAATAAGCAATCTTTCACAGGGAACCGACTGGAGATGATGGGCATAAAAAATACAAGACTTGATATAAAGAGCCCAAGAGAAGGACTGAATAGCAGCAAGGATAACTTTGTGCAGATGATTAAAATGTTTTATTAAAGTGTATATAAAGAGACCTGAATAATAGGAAGGTATACCATGTTTATGAATGATATACCAGAGTGCAGTGGCAAGCTCATGGCTCACTGAAGCCTCAAACTCATGGGCTCAAGCAATCCTCCCACCTCAGCCTCCTAAGTAGCTGGGACTACAGGCATGTGCCACCATGGTTGGCTAATTTTAAGAAAAATTTTGGAGATACCATGTCTCACTATGTTTCCCAGGCTGGTCTTGAAGTCCTGGGCTCAAGTGATCCTCCCACACCAGCTTCCAGAGTAGCTAAGATTATAGGCATGAGCCACCATGCTTGGCCTGACTAACATTTTTAGTAAGTCAATTCTTTCCAAGTTACTATAAAAATTAAAAGTAATTCCCAAAGGATACTGAACAAATTAACATCTGCAATAAAAATTATATTACAGAATAAAGGAACCAGAATAAAGAGCCAACGTCCTATTTAGAAAGAGGAGCAAAGAGAGTAATAGCCCAACTAGATTTTAAGACATACTAGAAAGCCACAAGAATGTTAAAAATACATGATACTTATTTTTAATAAATAGATATTTATAAAATACCATATACAACCATATATATCAATGGAATTGAATGTAAACATAGAACTCCGAAACAGATGGGTGAGTGCATGTAGAATTTTGTGAATATCAGAATGGTTTAGGACAAATTGGATTCCTTCTTCTCCTTGTGTCACACACAAATTTACAGTTGAGTTAAATATCTAGGGCGGTTCCAAGATGGCCAAATAGGAACAGCTCCAATCTACAGCTCCCAACGTGAGCGACGCAGAAGATGGGTGATTTCTGCATTTCCAACTGAGGTACCGGGTTCCTCTCACTGGGGCTTGTCAGACAGTGGGTGCCGGACAGTGGGTGCAGTGCACCAACGGTGAGCCGAAGCAGGGGGTCAGGGAATTCCCTTTCATAGCCAAGCAAAGCTGTGACAGATGGCACCTGGAAAACTGGGTCACTCCCACCCCAATACTGTGCTTTTCCAATGGTCTTAGCAAACAGCACACCAGGAGATTATATCCCACGCCCACGGAGCCTTGCTCATTGCTAGCACAGCAGTCTGAGATTGAACTGCAAGGTGGCAACGAGGCTGGGGGAGGGGCGCCTGCCATTGCTGAGGCTTGAGTAGGTAAACATAGTGGCTGGGAAGCTGGAATGGGTGGAGCCCACCGCAGCTCAAGGAGGCCTGCCTGCCTCTGTAGACTCCACCTCTGGGGGCAGGGCATAGCTGAAAAAAAGGCAGCAGAAACCTCTGCAGACTTAAATGTCCCTGTCTGACAGCTTTGAAGAGAGTAGTGGTTCTCCCAGTACGCAGCTTGAGATCCGAGAACCGACAGACTGCCTCCTCAAGTGGGTCCCTGATCACCGAGTAGCCTATCTGGGAGGCACTCCCCAGTAGGGGCAGACTGACACCTCACACGGCTGGGCACCCCTGTGAGATGAAACCTCCAGAGGAATGATCAGACAGCAACATTTGCTGTTCAGCAATATTCGCTGTTCTGCAGCCTCCACTGCTGATACCTAGGCAAACAGGGTCTGGAGTGGACCTCTAGCAAACTCCAACAGACCTGCAGCTGAGGGTCCTGAGTGTTAAAAGGAAAACTAACAAACAGAAAGGACATCCACTCCAAAGCCCCATCTGTATGTCACCATCATCAAAGACCAAAGGTAGATAAAACCACAAAGATGGGGAAAAAACAGAACAGAAAAACTGAAAATTCTAAAAATCAGAGCACCTCTCCTCCTCCAAAGGAACGCAGCTCCTTACCAGCAACAGAACAAAGCTGGACAGAGAATGACGAGTTGAGAGAAGAGGGCTTCAGACGATCAAACTTCTCCGAGCTAAAGGAGAAAGTTCGAACCCATCGCAAAGAAGTTAAAAACCTTGAAAAAAGATTAGATGAATGGCTAACTAGAATAACCAATGCAGAGGAGTCCTTAAAGGACCTGATGGAGCTGAAAACCATGGCACGAGAACTACGTGATGCATGCACAAGCTTCAGTAGCCCATTCGATCAACTGGAAGAAAGGGTATCAGTGATGGAAGATCAAATGAATGAAATGAAGCGAGAAGATAAGTTTAGAGAAAAAAGAATAAAAAGAAACAAACAAATCCTCCGAGAAATATGGGACTATGTGAAAAGACCAAATCTACGTCTGATTGGTGTACCTGAAAGTGATGGGGAGAATTGAACCCAGTTGGAAAACACTCTGCAGGATATTATCCAGGAGAACTTCCCCAACCTAGCAAGGCAGGTCAACATTCAAATTCAGGAAATACAGAGAATGCCACAAAGATACTCCTTGAGAAGAGAAACTCCAAGACACATAATTGTCAGATTTACCAAAGTTGAAATGAAGGAAAAAATGTTAAGGGCAGCCAGAGAGAAAGGTCGGGTTACCCACAAAGGGTAGCCCATCAGACTAACAGCTGATCTCCTGGCAGAAACTCTACAAGCCAGAAGAGAGTGGGGGCCAATATTCAACATTCTTAAAGAAAAGAATTTTCAACCCAGAATTTCATATCCAGTCAAACTAAGCTTCATAAGTGAAAAAGAAATAAAATCCTTTACAGACAAGCAAATGCTGAGAGATTTTGTCACCACCAGCCCTGCCCTAAAAGAGCTCCTGAAGGAAGCATTAAACATGGAAAGGAGCAACTGGTACCAGCCACTGCAAAAGCATGCCAAATTGTAAAGACTATTGATGCTAGGAAGAAACTGCATCAACTAATGAGCAAAATAACCAGCTAACATCATAATGACAGGATCAAATTCACACATAACAATATTAACCTTAAATGTAAATGGGCTAAATGCTCCAATTAAAAGACACAGACTGGCAAATTGGATAAAGAGTCAAGACCCATCAGTGTGCTGTATTCGGGAAACCCATCTCACATGCAGAGACATACATAGGCTCAAAATAAAAGGATGCAGGAAGATCTACCAAGCAAATGGAAAACAAAAAAAAGCAGGGGTTGTAATCCTAGTCTCTGATAAAACAGACTTTAAACCAACAAAGATCAAAAGAGACAAAGAAGGCCATTACATAATGGTAAAGGGATCAATTCAACAGCAAGAGCTAACTATCCTAAATATATATGCACCCAATACAGGAACACCCAGATTCATAAAGTAAGTCCTTAGAGACCTACAAAGAGACCTAGACTCCCACACAATAATAATGGGAGACTTAACACCTCACTGTCAACATTAGACAGATCAATGAGACAGAAAGTTAACAAGGATATCCAGGAATTGAACTCAGCTCTGCACCAAGTGGACCTAATAGACATCTATAGAACCGTCCACCCCAAATCAACAGAATATACATTCGTCTCAGCACCACACTGCACCTATTCCAAAATTGACCACATAGTTGGAAGTAAAGCACTCCTCAGCAAATGTAAAAGAACAGAAATTATAACAAACTGTCTCTCAGACCACAGTGCAATCAAACTAGAACTCAGGATTAAGAAACTCACTCAAAACTGCTCAACTACATGGAAACTGAACAACCTGCTCCTGAATGACTACTGGGTACATAACGAAATGTATGCCTCACCACCCCAAATTTGTAAATTCCTTGTAGATTGGATTAAGTCTATTTAGAAAGAGGAGCAAAGATAGTGATATCCCAACCAGATTTTAAGACATACTGCAAAACCATAGGAATTAAAAAAATACGTAATATTTTAGGTAAAACCATATATATCAATGGAATTGAATCAAACATAGAGCCCTGAAACAGGTGAGTGAGTGTGTGTAGAATTTTGTGAGTATAAGAATGGTTTAGGATAATTGGATTCCTTTGTCTCTTCATGCCACACAGAAATTTACAGTTGAATTAAAAATCTAAATGTGAAAGAATAAAACTGACAAATGACAATGTAGAAGAATATCTTTGGCACTTTGTATGTTTCTTAAAGCAGTTCTCAGTCTTTTTTTCCCCCGAAAGGCTTTCTTTCCTCCCACTGCAGACTCTTTTAGTTGTATACCCAATTTCCAATTCCTACTTCTCTTTCCCTTTAAAAAAAAAACCTCTATTTTTCTTGGAACAGCAATGTATCCAGCTTTCCTTACAGCTAGAAATGGCCATGTGACAGTTTTGGCCAATGAAATGTACATCCAATGTAGATTTCTCGAGAGTTTTGCTTTCCTAATAAAAGAGAGAACATGATTGTCCCTCCCTTTCTTTCTTTCCTTCTTGTCCAGAACATAGGCGTAATGTCAAAAGCTACAGCAGCCCTCCTGCCATTTCAATGCAATAAGCAAGAGTACATAAACCAACCAGACAAGGTGGCTGAGCAAAGGAAGATCTTCATGACTTTGCTGAGTAGTTGAACTAAGACAGCCACTTCCCACCTCCAGACTTCTTGCTATGTAAGAAAAACAGACCCATATTTGCTTAAATTATTGTAAGTTAGGTTTTTCTGTCTGTTACTTTTAGTCAAAATTATCTTTAACTTGTACAGTTAATATATTTAACTGGTATAGCACATATATGCTATACTCCCATGGGCATATGTAGATTTTTGATAAATCCAAAATATTATTGTGAGAAGTTAAATCTGCAAAATTTTGAAATATCAGGAGACTGAGACTCAGAAAGGCCAAGTGACTGCCCCCAGTTACATGCTGATAGGAAGTGGTGGAGTCAGGAATTTAGGTTTCCTAAGACCTCAAAAGCCATGCTCGTGACCCACTCATATTGTCTCATGACAGGACATATGTGCTGCCTTCACAGCCTACAACCCTTGGTCTAATCTCCATTAGGGGACCTACAACCTGGGGACCTCTCATCATTGTCTCTTGAAGACCTCATCATGGAAGAACAGTCTCTCCTGGGCTTAGATGCTATGGTCTTAATTCCTATGGTGCAATTTGTTGGCAAAATACTCCCTGCCTTTCCTGAGCACTTCTTTTAAGAGTCAGTTTGGAACTTCTCCCACCAGCACTCTTTGATCCTGGTCATTTTCTCAAGCTGAGATGCAAATATATTCTGTGTGTTTGAGGAACATCAAGGAGTTGAGCTTCAATGACTGGAGCAGACTAGGAGAGGGAGAGGAGGAGGCAGAAGATACAGATAAAGTTACATATGCAGATTCTTGATAAGGACTCTAGATTTATTCTCAGTGTTATAGAACATCATTACTTGACTCTAAGAGACCTGACTATTAAAAAGATTTGTACTGACTTATGACTTATAGAAAGAACCAGCATTTCTATAGACAGAAGATGGCTTAGGCCAGGGGTATGGCAGTGGACATGGTAAGAAGTGGTATGTTCTGGAAATATTTTGAAGTTGTAGTCTACAGGATTTCTTAGTGGGTTGGATGTGGGGTTTGAGGAAAAGAGAGTAGCCAAGGATGAGTCCAGGTTTTTTGGTTTCTATAGTTGCCATTGGAGGGAGTGGCCATTTACTTAGATGATAGACAGTGTGAAGAAGCATGTCTGATACATGAAGGGGATAGATATTGGGCAGTTGCTTTTTATGGGTTAACTTTGTGTTGACTATTAGACATCCATGTGAAGATCTGGTATAAAGAGAGTTCAAATCCCGTAAATGTATAGTCCCAAACATCACACAAACTGATTGTATGAGCCAGAGGCCAGATGGCAAGGCACCAGATTGAACTAAGTGGATTATGAGACATATAATATTTGAAGATAAAGACAAAGATCAATCAGGAATTACAAACACCCTCAGATGTTAGTTTTTCAATTTCAATTTGCTGCTGAATACATCAATATGTTACCAAGAATATGGGTGTGTGTGTTTGGTTAATTGTCTCAGCCTGAGTAAATGTACTTATTTAATATAGACAGCAAAAAGAACGGATATCCTTTAAGCTTTTCTCCAAAACAAACAGAAAATATCCAAACACGCATATAAATACAGTCAGCATGTAGCACGGCAACCTGATCAATGGCAGTGGGCCCTGGGGAGCTGTTTGCCCAAAATGGTCAAGCTGCTGGGATCCAAATTTTGGTTCTGATTCTAATAGTTCTATTAGCCTCTTTGTTGAATGGAAAACGTAGGCTGTTGAGATAATTTAAAGAAAGAATCCTCATAAAGCTCTTAGCACAGAGTCTAGGCACAGTATCAACCCAATAAACATTAGTTAGCTATTATTACTTACATTCACAGAGCATGGGATATAGACACACATACCCACGAAACACATAACTTAACACTCGTGCACTGATAAGCATATGAGCAGGCGAACACACACTAGTAAATCTATATATATAGTAATATGTACACAAATACACAGAAAATGCGTTACATTTTCTTATTCCCTCACTTCCTGTCTCACCTGCCTTTGTAATGATAACATTTCTTTTTAATGCTTTTCAAGAATGGAAAGATTTTTCTTGTAAGAGCTGGCTGTTACTACTGATGCCTGCCATGGCTCACAGTGGGATGAATGACAAATTCAGCAAATCACTTTCTCTAAAAATAGGCCACTCCAGATGATCTTTGGCTTAGATTCTCATTTCCATACACCTTTAAAAGAAAATAAAAACTCCATTCTTGTAGAGACCTACTGCTAACCTATTCCAAGCAATATGACTTGATGAACATGAACAAATCTCCTCTCAAGGTCTGCAAAATGCCCTAGCTTTCCCTCATCTGTTTATTGGATTTACATAAATAGAAATATAAGGCTGACGGATTTCTCTAGACACTGCCAGTAGAATGTTCATTCTGTTTGGCTTTATGGAGCCACTTACCTGAAATATATTACCTTGATAATTTAATGCATGACTTGCCTCCTCTATTTTTCCCCAAGATGCACGTGGATGGATGGAGTGGATACAAGATATCTTCAAGTCAGTGTCACTGTGCAGAATCATTTGTGTTGCTCTCAGCACTACAGGCCAACTAAACTTTTGATGGACATGATTCCTCAAGAGTTCATTTGGTTTTCTGGGTCAAGAACCACTCAGTTCACGTCATCCATAGGGCTGGGATGCATGGTTATGGCAAAAATAAAACAACAACGAAAACAAGCAAACCTCACTGAGAATGCATTTTTATATTGGGAATATCGACTGTTGACCCAATGCTAATGGAGCCTGAGCATGAATTCTATTTACCTCCTTACAACCTTGTTAAGCATAAATCAACAAAATTCTGATTTGGACTACTCTGCTCCACTGATTTGGATTGGAAAGGGGCATTCAATCAAGCTTTTAATATCAACTCATTAACAGCTTCTCTCAAGTCTGTCACTGGCACACTTACTCTGTGTTTTCAAACTGGATAATGCTAAATCTGGAAGACTATAGAAAATATGTCAAACCCACGTTTATATACTTCTAGATGCTGTTCAGGAAAATCAGGGGCAATTGATTTTGCAAATTTCATGTTTGTGACCTTGACTTCAATCCTTTACCAGAGGCAGCTTCTGTCTACTTTGTTGCTGGTGTTATCATTATCATCATCATCATTAATGTTTCCCACTATATTATGTGAAGTAAGGGTACCACAATATTTTGCATAATTTTGCTGTGCTCTGTGGAGGGTATCACAATTAAAAATTGATACACCATCCACCCAATCATTTAGGTGTTTACAACTGGAGGTATATGAAACCAAGTTTCAACCTGGTCTAAACAATATTGTTTGATACAACAAGAGGTCTTAATGCAGAGAGACTCTAGGGACAGTTAGTTCAGCAGCAGAATGACATCACTAAGGACTCAGGTTCTCTCCATTCTTTTACTTTGCCTTCCTCATTCCAGCCTTAAATCTGGCTTCTCTCATGGTCAAACAATGGCTGCCTGTTTGCAACTATTCAGAAGCAGAAGAATGATGGCATTTTCTCTTGTATGTGTTCTAATCAGTCTAGAAAACCTTTTCCAGGAGCCTCACCATTAGATTTCCTTCAGGTCTCATCGGCCAGAATTGTAACAACCATGATTGCTTAAACCAATCAGGATTTGCATCTTTGATGTTTGGACTGAGAATATGGTAATATGGAGTAGAGTGGATATCAGAGCAATACTAGCATTTTATTAGAAAGGAAAAAGAGGAATAAGTGGCTTTGGGGTAGGCAAACAATAGGGTCTCCTAAACATACAGAGACCCCTGGTGGAGAATGACAATAACTGGGCTAGTGGTAGGAGTAGGAGGAGATGAGCAGAAAGAAGGGTATAAGAAGAGGAGGAAGAAGACAACAAAGACTTAAGGGAGCAGGAGTACATAGTCCCCTCCCCTAAAGTGTGGGCAGGGCCTATGGAGAGGATGGGATAGTAACTCCCTTGATTAGCTTACATCGTATGGGAAAAGTGATGGGATAGTCACTGTGATGATTGCTACGTTGTTATTGTATACAAGAGTCCACCCTGGCTGACTGGAGTGAGACTATCCTGTTGTCCTTGAAGAAGTAAGCTTCTAGGTTGTGAGAGGAGGGGGGCCATGTGGCAAGGGCCTACAGTGGCCTCTAGTTACTGAGCACATTCCTGGACTGTGGTTAACATGAAAACTGGGACCTCAGACATACAGCTGCAAGGAAGTGAATTCTTCCAACAAGCAGTGAACTTGGAAGAGGACTCCAAGCCTCAGATGAGATTGAAATCCTGACACCTCAATTCCCACCTCATAAGATACTAAGGGAGAATCCAGCTAACCTATACCCAGACTTGTAACAAACAAAAACTGTGAGATAACAACTTTGTGTTGCTTTAAGCTGCTAAATTGGTGGTGTTTTTGTTATATGGCAATAGAAAATTAATACACCCACTTTGGACTGTTGGATGAATGAGAAATAAACTTCTTCTTTGTGCTAAACCACTGAACTTTGGAGGTTAATAGCGTCTAGTGTTACCTTAGCTAAATACAATGTCATTAACAAAGTGGCTCATATAAAAGCATTAAAAGCCCCATCAAATGTGCAGTGACTGGTGCCTCTGGAAATCTTGCTTTGGAGACAATCTTCTGGGGCTGGCCCAAAGCATGGCTCTACCTGCTAATGAAATGGAATTCTGAATGGCTATGACAAATTAGTCATCATCCTTAAATTTTGGCACTTCTCATTTATGGGATCTGGCTTCTACCAATTAATTAGGATCTGGGCCAGAAATATAAAGCATGATACCTCTGAGATCCACCAGGATTGTCTGTCATATTTACGCAGCAGGAAAGGCCTTGTGTTTCTGGCAGGTGCTAAAGGTTTATCTATTTTTTTTTGGTTTGTTTGTTTCTTGTTTTGTTTTGATAAGACAAGCACTACTAACATCTGGCCTACTCATAAAGGGAAGACGGACATAATTCAGCCTTTTTCAGCCTTAAAGTAAAACATAACTTTTTGAATAGACCTACTGGCTCCCACTTAAGTGAACATATAGTATGTGCCAGGTAATGTGCTATTAGTCTACATACGCTTTTCCATTTAATGTTTACTACAACCCTAGAAAGGAAGTAATAGGTCTCATTTTGTTGATGAGGAACGTGAATTTAGAGCGGTTAATCCATTTGCCCAAGATCATACCTTTTGAGTGGCAGAGCCAAGAATGAAACCCAAGTCCATGTGATTCATTCATCCATACATTAATTCATTGATTATTCCTCTAAAACTTAATTTCCAGGCAATAGTGAATATTGTGTAAGATAATAGAGCAGGAGTTGGTAAACTTTTTCTGTAAAGTGCTAGCCAGTAACTGTTTCAGGCTTTCAGGTCAACATAGTCTGTCACTACTACTCAACTCTGCATTATAATATGAAAATAACCATAAACAATGTGTGAATGAATGAACATGGCTGTGTTTCAATGAAAGTTTATTTACAAAACAGGCAGTGGGCTGGATTTCTCCTGCAGACTGTAGCTTGCTCAGCTCTGGTCTAGAGGGAAGACTGACACATTATAACACATGCTGGTAAGTGCAGAGAACGGTCACGCAGCGGGAGCTGTGGTGCACAGCCCAGATCACCAGCCTTATTCCCTTGCTGTTGAAGCATTGTTGGCTGCAGGTTCGCAGTGAATGGGGCAGCCTCAATCAAGACCATGTCCTTTCCTTGGAGGCACAGCTGGTAGATGTGAGAGTATAGGCCCCATGCTCTTTTGCCAATTTGGAACAACTCTGATGGACCACTCCAGCTTCAGAGCTCCTCATGCAATAGACCAAGGCCTTTGCTGTAACTGCACTGCAGTTTAACATCTCCCTTAGCCCATTCTCACTTTCCCTGGTGTCTTCCAGGGCCTGTTCCCAAAAGTGCCTCTCAGAAACTACCTGCATGTGATTCTCCATCTCAGAGTCTGTGCAGCGAAGCAGACCTAAGCAGGCCATTTAACCCAGGCTGCTGGGTGGGGAGGGGGCTGAGGGTTGAAGAGAAAGGTTTCCTGATCAAAGTTGTGTCTTAAAGCACTACTGGGACCATGCTAATAGAGGGGGCAAGAAGTAGGGGAAATACGAAACAGTCTTCTGGTCAGAAGGAAGAGATCTGCTAGTTGTTGTGGCTCATGCGTATAATCCCAGAACTTTGGGAGGCTGAGGCATGAGAATTGCTTGAATCCAGGAGTTCAAGACCATCCTGGGCAACAAAGTGAGACCCCATCTCTACAAAATAAAAACTAAAAAGCAGTCGGGCATGGTGGCATGCGCCTGTAGTCCCAGCTACTTGGGAGGCTGAAGCAGTAATTGCTTGAGCCCAGGCATTTGGAGGCTGCAGTGCGCTATAATCATGTTACTGCACTCCAACCTGGATGACAGAGCAAAACTCTTGTCTCTAAAAGAAGAAAGAAGAGATCTGGTTAGAAGGGCAAAGAAATGGAAGCAAGAAACACATGATGGATTCAGTAGTTCACAGTTGCTGAACTGTCATGTGTGGCTGGGGATTTAGCTATATCATATATGGAGCTGACGGGGAGGCAAGGGTTAGATCATGCAGGGTCTTTAAATAGCGATCAGTTGTGTATCTGGGGATGGAGTAACTGCCAAGCGACAGCCCTAGATGATGAAGGAGATCCTTCTCCACCTTCCTACCATAAAATTGGAGGTACAGTGCTGGGAGAAGCTTTCACTGGGGAGGGCTGCAGGAAGCTGTGTGTCTTCGGGAACTCCTGGCCTCAGTGACTCATCAGACAGAGAAGCTGTGAACACCCTCATAATACAAGGGAGCATGATTATCACAGCTCAAGGTTTCAGAGCACATGGTGGAGGGTTGGAACACTTGGGGAGTGTGGCACAGTAAGTCAGGGGTAGCAAGCTCAGGTAGGAATGGAGATAAAGCTGAAGAGAGAATTGGTGGCTGAGGGGTTTGCATTCGGGTTTAAGCATGGGTGGCCCCAAGGTGAGGCCAGCAGCTTGGTGCAAGCCTCCTTCTTCATTGAGGGCGACCCTGCTGGCACAGGGATCTCCTGAAGCTCAACTACAACCTGAAAACACTGTCCTTTCCTATTTCATAGTTTTAAAGTAAACAAGAATCGTATGATATTTTAAATTTTTCAGATAATATATTAGGATGGCACAAAAGTAATGTGGTTTTGCCATTTAAAGTGATGACAAAAACTACAATTACTTTTGCACCAACCTAATAGATGCATTTATAATAAAGAATATATAATAGCTGTATATTATATAATTTATAATATCATCAATCTTTGTATTCTATACACAAACAATTGGTAACAGTTTGGTGCGTATAATTCCAGAAACATTTCTGTGAACTTACTAACATATATTTACTTTTATTTAAAAACATCTATCATCTATTTACCAATTTTTATATATTTTTTACATGAATGTGTACACATGTTGTTTTGTGACTTTCTTTGTTCATGTCAGATTATAGGCATATTCATAACAAATTTTAATAATATTTTTCCATGCTGTGGGATATAGTATATTGTACTTAATCATTATAATTATGATACTGATAGAAATTTGAGGCCTTACTAATTTTTGCTGTTATAAATACTGCTGCATGAACATTATCATACATATGAGTATTTATATACATGAGCATAATATGATGTAAACTAAGATTTGTGGGTGCTATTATCAGCTGGTAATTGTGCTAAGTGCTTTGCATGTATTATCTCATTTAATTCTCACAATTACCCTTTGAAATAGGTTTCATTATGATCCCAATACTACACGGGAAGAGAATGTGCCTTAGAAAGTTTAAGTAATCTGCCATTAATTTCCTCAGAAGAATGGTAGACTGAATTTGTCAATTTGCATTTTAAAAAAGACTTGTTGGTATATGATTGGAATCAACTTGAGCTTACATATTTATTTAGGGTGATTGACATCTTTACAATATTGAGTCTTCTCATCTAAATGTCATGTTTTTCCATTTGTTTAGATCTCCTTATTTGTTTTTCCATAATGCTTGCATGTTTTTTCACATAGGACCTACATATTTCTTGTTAGAGATATTCATAGGTGTGTCATAGGTATTGTTGGTGTAAAGGAATTTAATGGAATTTGTGTTTTGTATTTTGAGCTTGTAGCATACAGAGTTGTGTTACAAGATAAAATATAAAATACCTTTCAAGTCAGAGTCACTGTGCAAAATTGCTTTGTTAGTGCTTTATCCAGGATTTAATTTCTATCTATGCTCTTTTGGGAGACATGTTGATGACTTGTTTTTTTCAGAGTCATTCAAATGACTCAGTATTGGATTCCAGATTCCAGAATGAATAGACTTTCTGCTCAGAATCTGAAACCATGGCACCCTTGACTTTTACTCTCAGTTTGATGCCCCTCTGAGTTTCATCATGATAAGGTCACCTGTTTCTTAATTTCTGGAAATATTAAGGATTTTATCTATTTTTGTAGTTTATAAATGTCACATGATTTTACTAATTGTGTATGCAGAATTCTTTCCATTTTATTTTTCATTTTTTCACATATCATTTTTACATTTTTTGCTTTTACTGTGTGGCACTTCTATTTTACTTTCATTGCTCATTCCTTATTGAGTCCTTTCAATTTGAACATATAACTTTTTTTCTACTGAATTTTTAAAATTTTTTTCTATTAAAAAATTTTCCACTAAAATGGAGGTGAAGAGATAATTAAAAATAAAAATAGAAGAAAATTGAGAATTAAAAAAAAACAAACTGTTTTTTTCCCAGTGGAGATGACTGACTGGTTGACCTGTGTCAACTTTCAATATTTCAAGACCTTTCTTTTATTAATTATCTGTCGTTTGTTCTATGTATTGGGAGATTTTCCAACTTTATCTTTCATTTATCTGATTCAGTCTTCAGAATTGTTCATTCTATTTTTCAGGCCTTGCATTGATTGTTTTTAAATTACTTATTGTAACTGACAAAAAAATTAGACAGAAATCTGATTTTTCCAAAAAATTCATTCCTAGGCATTGATTGTACCTTTTTAAAAGAAATAAAAAACAGTTCCTTTGAAATGGTCACAATACTTCTTGAATCTCTCTGAAGATATCAATTAGAAAGTTTTCAAGGCTAGCCATAATCCTTGTGTTACGTCTTATTTCTCTGGGTTAGCTGTTTGGTTTGTGCACAGTGGTCCTTTTGGTTTATGCTTTAGTTGTCTGTTCATATTTAAGGGTGAATAACTAGCTTGATCATATGGGTAGCTAGAATGAGTTTCCTCTGCAGATAAGACTCTGAGTAGATAATTCCCCTGAATCCATCTGAGGTGGGAAGACGGACAGGCCAACTTTGCTTTAGGATACGTGGGTGGGATCAAGCAGGCAGGATGGAGACTCCCACAAATGCCAATGTATGGAGGCTTTTACTCTGGAATTTGAATGTTTTCATTTATACTCCTTCTTATTATTCCTGTATAGAGCTGCCTTCTGTTTATTATTATTATTTTCTTGCAGTTTACAACTTTTGAAGTCTAGAATTATCTTGGACTCTGTTCCCTTGCCTAGCCCTTAAATCCATTTTGGGTGACTTCCTAGGCTAATGTTAGATGTTGTTTAGACAGAAATCTTGAGCCTTTAGCATTGAGCAAGTTAACTAAGTGCTGTAAGCTTCTAGCTCTGCATCTGTAGAGTGGGCACAAAACCAAGGCTTCTTTGAGAGGGTTGTTGTGATGATTAAACAGAATAATGCATACAAGATCGTATGTAGTAACTGTCCAGCACATGCTCACCTTCCTTCTTCCTCACCGCCCTCTTTCTCCCCATCTTCTTCCTCGCTCTTCCCTTCCCTTTTCCCTTCCTTCCTTCTTCTTCCCCTCCATGTCTTGTTTCTACTTTTATTATTATCATTATACCAGGATTTGGACCATTTTCTAATTATCTTATTCATTACATTATTCACTCTTTCTTTGGCTTTGTAGGGAATAGAAGTTAAAAACATATGTAAGAGCTTTTCCTACAAGCCAATACTGCTTCAGGAATATGAATGTGGAAAAGTTTAAAACAAAAACAAACAAACAAACAAACAGGGACTTAGAGTCAGAAATGAATCTCAGTGTAGACATATCAGGCATGTGACCATGGGCAAGCGGCTTTACTTTTCTCAGCCTCCACCTCTATAGTTTTGTCATCTGTGAAATGAGACTAAATAAAATGATGTACCTAAATCACCTTGCACAGCAAGTCCAAGTGAAATGTCCATCCCCTTTCCCCTTCCCTTTCTCTTGTTCTGCCAAACTGTGCCATGATGATCATGCTGCAGACCTGCTTCGTGGATGAGATCTGTGTGTGGGTACATGGGGCCCAGCACTTAGATGGACCCCAAGTTTGGTTTAGTGCTTTTTGCTATTGCTGTCTTGAATTTCTTCAAAATGTTTGAGCAAGGAGCTCCGATTTCCCTTTGCACTGGGCCCCGCAAATTATATATCTGGCTCTGCCTTCTGTGATTCAATTCATTAAACAATTCATATTTCTGTCTTGCTAGTAGACAGGGAGGAAGCAGGTTCCCAGGTGCCCAAGGACAGCAGCTGGGGAATCCTGTCTATGGCTGCAGCTCTTCCAGTGTGATTTCTACCCAAGTTCCTAAAGCAGCCAGTGCGGGCTTCCTTGGGTTCCCTGCAGCATTTCTAACTATAGTTCCAATTTGACACACTGGTTATTTTCTATCGAGGTCCTTAAGGTAGCTTTCTGCAAGGTTTTGGAAATAAAGCAACTCATTGCCTTTTTGTTAATGACTTTTAAAAGAATGAGCATTTTACTGAGCATAAGAAACCCTCTAAGAATATACTGGAAAAGGCAGGCTCATGCTGTGGATGAACAAGAGTGTGTCCTTCAATGTGAAATCCCTGCCAAGGAAATGCATAGCTGGGAGGTTCCCTTTGCCTCTTTCATGACCTGGCTGACCATCTGTTCCTTTATTTCCAGAAGGAATGGAGACTCTTTTCCACAAAAAGTGACTCCAAAATGTAAACATAGGTACATTTTTAGAGGCTTGACTCCTGAGTAGTTTCAAAATAAACACAAAACATTATAGGGAGGTTTCAGTGAGCTAATCTCAGCCATATGAAGCCGACATCCTTTGCCTTCTTTAACCAAGTCCACAGCTGGGGAAGAAGGGATGGTGTATGAAAGGTTGGACTAACCCATTATGGTCCTGGCACTTTCCTCCTTGCTACATGAATTAATTCTGGCCATCCATGGAGTGACAGAGGCTATAATCGGAGCCCTTTCATATGAAGGGAATATCTACAGACAAGCCTGGGTCAAGAGAACACTTGCACGTAATTATGGTCAAAGCAATAAACAAATAGGATGGATATCACAGGCACTCAGAGTAGGTATTTACTTCTATGGCAGTGGTGCTCAAAGTCTGGTCTCTGTATTACTAGCACGAGCATCAGCAGAAACTTGTCAGAACTGCAAAATCTCAGCTCTCTCCCAGTACCTACCAGATCAGAAACTCTGGGGATGAAGTCCAATAATCTGTGTTTCAATTGGCCCTCTAGGTGATTCTGATGCACTTCAGTTTGCAGCCAACTGCTCTATAACATTCTTGAAGGTCATTATAGAATGTCCCAACCCAGCGTATAGGTCTAAATATTCTGTCTTGTGGATTTTGCTTGTAGTATGTGTGTGTTATTGCGAGAATAATTCAAGCTCTGTGAGCCTCAGTTCCCTCAACCCTAAAATCATGGGGTTATCTGTGATGATTTCAAATGTTCCTTTACATTATATTTTCAGTGAAATGAGATTCAGAATGCTCCATTAAGGCTCTCGAATAGTTATATAACACGTGGACAAATGACCATTTGACAGTAGCTGAGCAGCAAGTGCTGTGTGTCTATTTATATATTTCTATCTCTGTATCTATCCATTTATCTCTCTATTATCTATCTGAATCTGAAACATAGTAGCCCAGGTTTGGGAGTCAGGTGACCTGAATTTGACAACGAACTACTTATCCTGTGTGAAACTGAGAAACTCGCAGGGGATGAGACATTGAAAGCAAAGTGTTTAGTGCTGGGTCTTGAGCAGGAAAGCTTCCACAGGTCACTCACTATTACTTTACTGCTTGTACCTCTTTCGACCGGGGCATCAACCCACCCCCTTTTAAGTACTTTAATCCTTTCTTTCCATTTATTAATTTCCTTCAGTGTTTTCCAAAGCACTTGCACATGAGTGCCTCCATTTTGCCTGGGGCTGCCTAAGTCGTAGAATTAGCAGTGGCTGGTCAAAGCTGGCTTAACCTTGAGGCACAATCCAGGTTGACTCCAGATCTGGGCTTTGATTTATCTATGACTTCAGTGTCAGTTGGGAGACCATTTTAAAAAACTGAATGTATATGAGTCAATTTAATTGAAATTTTTCCAAGATTCTCGAGTAAGTTACCCTAGAGCCATGGTTTTTTAATAAATTGAGTTATTTTAGATTGAAGGATGGCCATATGAGGGGACAAGATCACTAAGGCTGTCTTAGGAGAGCAGGGCAGCTGGGCCACCTGTCCTCCATCACTCAGCACTTTAAATTGGCCAAATGAAATCTTGCCAAGTGCTATCCCTCCCCTCCAAATGGTGTTTTCTGAGAGGAAACACCCTCCCTGAAAATCTATAGTTCACACTTTCTGCTATGTTACTCAGTGTCGTGCTAGGGGTAACCACCCAGTTCCTAGGGCCAAAAGCCCTTATAGACTTATGTCAGGTGTCTATCAACCCATTGTCAAATGCAGCACTCTTCTTTTGAAGCAAAAATTGTAATAAAATTCCGAATATTGGAGCATGGAAAAGGGAAACGACTGCTCTGGCTAAAGAGGCACAGACAGGAACCCACTGTAGAGGGTGCTGTGGGTGCCCAATCCAGACCCTCCCTGTTGGGGCCCTTGCCCTGTCTCCCAGTGGCTTTGGCAGGCAGATCTCTCTTCCTTTAGAGAATCACCCTCAACTAATGGGAACTGTCCCCTTTGGGAGATTGTACTCCCCTCCCTCTTCCATTTCTAGAGCCAAAGACTAGCTGACACAAAGTTAAAAAAAAAGTCCTGCCATATTTCCTTAAGGGAGGGGCAACTCTGGTGCACTCTGTACCCCATGTGGGTCAGGCCAAGGTAAGACTTCACGTGAGACCACATTCTTGTTCAGCCCTCTCTCCTGCTGTATCCTACCTAGGGTTTTCTCCTGACAGCACACCTTCCATGAATTATATGCTTCTGAACCTCAGGCTCTGCTTTTTAGAGACCTCAACTAGAGGTGAGGAATAAGGGATGATAGAAAATCTGAACTCAATACCTTCCACAGCAACAGCAACCTGTATGTCAGAAGGAGGCTCCTTCAAGTCAGATGATATGATCTGATGGGTGACTGTTTTCTTCCCTCCCTCCCTTCCTTCTCTCTTTTCTTTCTTTCTCTCTTTCTTTCTTTCTTTCTTTTCTTTCTTTCTTTCTTTCCTTCCTTCCTTCCTTTCTTTCTCTTTCTTTCTTTCTTTCTCTCTCTTTTTCTCTTCCTTCCCTCCTTCCTTTCTTCCTTCCTTCCTTCCTTCCTTCCTTCCTTCCTTCCTTCCCTCTCTCTTTCTCTTTACCTCTCTTTCTTTCTTTCTCTCTCTTTCTTTTTCTCTTCCTTCCCTCCTTCCTTTCTTCCTTCCCTCCTTCCTTCCTTCCTTCCTTCCTTCCTTCCTTCCTTCCTTCCTTCCTTCCTTCCTTCCTTCCCTCTCTCTTTCTCTTTACCTCTCTTTCTTTCTTTCTCTCTTTCTTTTCTTTCTTTCTTTCTTTCTTTCTTTCTTTCTTTCTTTCTTTCTTTCTTGCTTTCTTTCTTTCTTTCTTTCTTTTTTAACATACCTTCATAGATGGCAGTAAAATAGTCTTACTACAAAGCTCATAAACTGGCAGGTAACATTTTAGTCTGACCATCAGGGGATGAGGTCAAATTGCTGCTCTCTTCATGAGCTTCCTTCTGTTTCACAGCTGCTGCCCAGAGTCTGGGAACCAGATGCACGGGCTCAGAGAGCTAGATTCAGGCTCTTCATTTAGCTGTCCAACCAGGCTATGGACAAACTTACCAGTGAAGGTCCAATTGAGAGCCAGGAAAGATCCTGCCATGGAGCTAGATGGCTTGGCATTTTGCTCTTGGCTCCTCAGACACAAGTTTTAAATATCTCCCATCATCAACACTATAATGTATTACAAATTGAGCTTAGGTTTTTTTTTTTTTGCTGCCTGCTGCATGCAAAAGTCATCCTATCGGCAATCTATGAAATAAACTTTGCCAAAATAATCCTAACCACAAGAACGAACAAAGAAATAACATATGAAACAACTTATATTGCTTTTTCAGACAAGCTCATAAAATCCTTGAAATTCTAAGAGCACTTGGGTGATCCAAAGTGGATTGAAGTTATTCCTCCTGGAAGGAAGATTTTTCACAATGATTAAATATCTGCACAATTTGGAGGCTTCAGTAGTCTGAGTGGTGGTCTGACATGAGGCCTCTTGATTTTACATCATGTTCTTTCTTGTATTCATGGGAAGAAGCATAAACTGTATGCTTTATTTTTGTAAACTGGATTTTTCTTCTTTTGCTATTTTTTTGGTCTCATGCAACATATTCATGACACATTTATTTTGATCATTTTCACTTACAGTATATATAACTGAATAGAAGAGATAGTGCCCAATATGGCAGCTTAAAAAGATCCACTCAGATATTTACAATAATGAAATCTTATATTTGAGAATTTATTTCTTCAATGTTAATTAGAAGGTCAGATCCATCGAAAATAATGACCAGTAAACTGATCAACACATTAAGCAACCAGCAAAAATGTATTAATTAAATAAGTCAGTACCAGCAACTTTAGCTTAATTGATTTGTCTTCTAAACAAGAGTTAAGAAATTTCAAATCTATCAGGAACTCAGTATCTGACAAAAAGACTTATAGGAAACATAACCAAGAATCAGAAAATATAAACAAAAAGTCTGAACTACCAGATTAATCACTAAATAAAAAACAAAAACAAAACACAAAACACTAAAAGACAAAACCGTGTTTACTTTTCTGATAGTCCATTAGGCTCAGTGTCCATTTTGTTTTGAGGAACAAAAAACTCCAACTAGTTTGGTGATTTATTTTCCACTACAAACGCAAATTAGCAGAAGCAAATTAGAAGCCTTAGAGTAGACTAGAGAGAGGGATAGACTCTGTGTGGGAGGAGATAGTAAAATGTAAGAATCAGACACAAGAACTAGGAGAGAACAGCAGTATAGAGTCATTAGTGCGAGGAAAAAACTACCCTACATATAATAAGTTCAATAACTGGCATTCAGAAGAGTGATTCTGAGTAACTAGGAGAAGGAAATTATAAAAACGATAAAATTGCTTTGAAATTTACAAAGCATTTGCAACGCTGTTATTATATGGGAATGAAATTACATTTGGTATATTCTGCTTTTAAAAGCAGGGAAATGTAAGCCAGAAAGATTTACAAGCAAAATTATCAACAGGAAAAATGCTTGGAACATTTTCTTGCCCCCCATTATTAGTATGGCTTGATTCTCCCGGATGACTCCTTTCCTGAGCATTCCAATGAAGCATCCCTGTACTTCTGTGAGATGGAAAGCACTAATTTCCCCTAAAATATGGAACTCTGGAAAAAAGTAGTGACTAACTTTGTATAGTAGTAATAATGTGTTATCAGAAAATTATCCCTAGCATTTTTCAACCATAAATCTGATGTAAAAGATTTATTGCATTTGTATCCTGTGATTTTTATTATTTTTTATAATATTATTTTTCCAAGAAACTTCATCTCAAATTTTTTAATGAAACTAGTAGAAAAATATTGTTCAATAAACAGAGATCCAATTTATAATTAATTTTTCATATGTATATCTAAGTCATGTATACTCTGCCTGATAAAACTTTGGTTCAATATCTGCTAAAACAAAATATAAAAAAAGAAATCAATATGAAAATCTCTAAGCTTGTTGAATTCCAGGGTGGGGCTCCCATTGTGTTTTTAGAATAAGATTAACTGGAGGAGGAGGAAATAAATTTCTATGATGAAAACTATGACCAGAGAGTTTTCTCTATCGCAGAGGTAAATATTATGTACCAGAAAGACTCTAGGACTGAAGTAAATTATTCTAATCCAATGTCTTTCTACTTGACTCTCACCTTTGTTTTTTTTTTTTAAACTTTGTGGAGAGATGCTTATAGAAGCCAAAAATCAATGTGTTTTCTTGTTGGATGATTCTGGCCCTTGCTGCTATCTTCTTGCTACATGAGGAGATTTAAATGTAGATTACTGGGACTGACAGTCAGTCCCTATGACTGAAGGTTGACTGATAACCTACATGGACCAAGCAACATAGAAGAGAAGAGCTTCCATAAGCAGTGAGACTAACACTTTTAATTCTTGATGACTTTGTTTGTACCTCATTCCATCCTGCTTCTTATCTTCTAACTGCTAACATTAGCCCCTTTTGCTCTGTTGGTTCTCACCCCACCATTGGAATTTTCCTTGTCTCCTCATTTCTGGCTCGGATCTTAGAATCTCTATTCATGTATTCTGGTCATTCACTCTGACCAAGTAGTCTCTAGCCAGATAAGGGACCTCCTGATCCCAACTTCCACCTCTTGTGCAGGCTCTGTGAAGATGGCTCCCTGAGGAGGAAACAGACACTTCTACTTGTCATCGAAATTCCTCTCATGTCTGCTCTTTTCTCTTTCTTCTCATTTGCTCTCTGTCATCTTTTAAAGACTGGACTACTCACCTCCCTGGCTTTAGGTGCTCCCCATGCCAATCCATCTTTCACTTCACTATTACAACCTTAGTGACTTCTCTTATCCTCACCTTTCAAATCTAAATCCCTGTGCCCAGTTTCCAAGACCTTCATCTGACCTCTTCAACTTTCTTGTCTGTTTCTTCCCAGTATGCAATTTCAGTCAAGTCAGTTACATTGTTTCTATCTTTGCAAAGTTATCCATAAGATTAAGTTCACATCCAATCTTTTTGAAGGTTACTGTGACTGCTACCAACTTACATTTGCACAGGGCTTCTTGGATCATAAAATATTTTGATATATATATATATATATCTATATATCTTTTGATTCTCCTATTAACCTTTTAAAAGTCATTCCTGAGTTATCTCTCTCCCTCACACCTCACAGTATACATTCATAGGAACTCTTGTTGATTTTATTTCTAAAATATAATGCAAATATATTCCTTTTTTTTTTTTGACAGAATTTTACTCTGTTGCCCATGCCGGAGTGTAGTGGCATGCAACCTCCGCCTCCCAGGTTCAAGCGATTCTCCTGCCTCAGCCTCCTGAGTAGCTGGGACTACAGGTGTGCACCACCGCACCCGGCTAATTTTTGTATTTTTAGTAGATACAGAGTTTTGCCATGTTGGCCAGGCTGGTCCCTAACTCCTGACTTCAGGTGATCCACATGCCTCAGCCTCCCAAAGTGCTGGGATTACAGGTGTGAGCCACTGTGCCGGGCCTATATCACTTCTTAAATTGTCCACTATGTGCTACCAGATTCTCCCTAATCTGGACTACCATAGCTTTCTAACTGGCCCCCTTACTTTTACTCTTGCTATGCTGTAGTCCCACTGCATACAGCAGCCACAGTAATCTTTGTAAAATGTGAGTAATGTACTGTCCAGATCCTCCTCCTCCCTGGCTTTCCCCAGTGGTTTTCTTTCAAACTTGGATAAAAATCTAAATTCCTTAGCACAGACAATGAAGTCCATAGGACAAAGCCAGCACTGTACACTAGAACCTTGTGCAATCATGAAAATGTTCTCTAATCTGTGGTGTTTAATACAGTAGCCCCTAGCCACATGTGCTTACCAAGTACTTGAAATATGGCTAGTGTTACTAAGGAACTGATTTTTAAATTTCAATTAATTTCAATATAAACTTAACTAGCCACATGTGGTTAATGGCTACCATATTGGACAATGAAGATCCAGCCACTGGACTCACCTCTCCGTAGGTGAGTTTAGGTGTCTGTACTCACCTCCTGTTATTTTTCCTGTTGTTTACTCAACAAGAAGCACCCAAGATTTGTAGCTGCTCTTCACAAATGCAAGCCTGTTCCACCTCTGAGGCTTTGCTCAGATCTCTCCCCCACCGCCAGCTTCTTCTCTTCCCCTAGATCTTCACACAACTCATGCCCTTACTCCATTCTGGTTTCTGAAACAAAACTTACTTTTTCACAGAATCCTTTTCTGGTCACTGTCTTAGAGAGTTTGAGCTGTTGTAATAAGAATACCACAGACTGGGTGGCTTAAGCAATCAACATTTATTTCTCACAGCTCTGGAAGCTGGAAGTCTGAGATCAGGGTGCCAGTATGATCAATTTCCTGCTGAGGGCCTTCCTCCTGGTTCATGGATGGCTGCTTTCTGCTACACGCTCACATGAGGGAGAGCAGAGAGAAGAAGGAAGCTCTCTCTTGTCTGTTTTTATAAGGCCACCAATTGCATCATGAAGCTTTCACCCTCATAACCTAATTATCTCCCAAAGGCTGATGTCCAAACACTATCACATTGGAGATTAGAGTTTCAACATAATTTTGGAGGGCACACATATTCAGCCCATAGCAGTCAGTCTACGTAAAATAGCTTCCTATGCTACCCTATTCCACAAGTACTCTTCTATTTAGCTTTATCACTGCCTAAAATAATGTTATGCATTTTTTTTACCTTGTTTATCATCTGTGTTCTCTGCTTTCTCCAGAAGCACCGGTTCAGAGTAGGTGGAAAATGAGCTTTAGGTAGATTGAATTTTCTAGGTGATGCTGAACAAAGGGACACAGGAGCAAGGGAGTTGAGGGTGTTTGCAAAGAAGTAATTACAATGAAGGAAAAGTAGAATCTAAGAACCTAAAATGGGTGAGGAATAATGAAAGGAGGGTAAATTCACTGATTTAATGGATTTTATGCTCTGGTGTGGCTGAAATACTATTGGAATAGAAAGGCTAAAGAGAATTAGATGGTAGCCACAGAGTGGGAAGCTTGAAAGGGAGATTCTAGAGAGGGTGTAATGCTTGTTTGAATGAAGTCTTGGGAATGCTCATGGAAGTGGGTGGCTGATATGGAAGAGGGTGGAAGACAAGATCATAGGAGGAGAAAAGTTTAAGGACTCAGGAGGTCAGGGTATTTGGAAGAGTCATCTTCAGTGTGTGAAAAATCATAAAGGATTATGTACAACAGGAATAGTGCTGGAGTGAATTAGAGTAGGCCTGGCTCTAGCAGATGAGACCTCCCTGGGATTGGGAGGTGACTGCTGATAACAGCAGGAAATGGAAGAATCTGAGAGCATGGATTTTAAAGCTGTGAGTTTTAAGGGAAGAGAGACAATAAACTGGAGGCAGCAGTAAGGCTGCCTCTCTGGCCACCAGGCATGATGAAGGAAAAAACAACCATCACCTGAAAGCTCTGCAGGGGCCGGGCATGGGGCTCATGACTATAATTCCAGCACTTTGGGAAGCTGAGGTGAGAGAATTGCTTGAGCCTAGGAGTTCAAGACTAGGCTGGGCAACATAGGGAGACCTCATCTCTACTAAATAAATAAATAAGTAAGTAAATAAATAAATAAATAAAAATTAGCTGGGCATGATTGTATGTGCCTGTAGTCCCAACTACTTGGGAGGCTGAAGTGGGAGGATTGCTTGAGCCTGGGAGGCTGAGGCTGCAGTGAGCCATGACTGTACCACTGCACTCCAGCCTAGGTGACACAGTAAGACCCTGTCTCAAAAAAAGAAAGAAAGGAAAGGACTAGATATTAGCATAAGAAGTGAAGGACTCATCAGAGAGGAACTTGAGGATAAAGAAGATTTTGCTAAAAAGTGAATTCTAGAGAGTAGAGTGGAGGGTATCGACCTGTAGGGAGGTTGGACGATGGGCTGGATTAGCAGATGTACAGATATGTTCAGAGAGGAAACTATGAGAGGAAGGGGCCTTGCAGCCTTGTGCTTCTAGTGATTGACATCACTGGGAAAGTGGTGTGATGGGAATCTTTTCCAAGGTCTCCAAGTCACCTTGTTCTGATAAAACAGAGTGTTAGAGGGGAGGGGAGGGAATGTGGGATCTTATCAAGGCATACAGAACTCTGGTGCTGCTTTTCACTCCCCTGATATCAGTTTGGAGGGCAAGGGAGCAGTGGCATTCCTGGGAGCCTTGGGGTGTTCTGGGTCTTCCTTCTTTATTCCTTTCTTTGTGTCTGACCTCAGTCCTTCAATTGCTTCCAGACCTGAGAAAAACATGCTGGCTGTAACTTCAGCTATGAGGGCCATTAGAAACAGGCAACAGGTATATGTTTCATTTTCAGACAAATGAAGCATGCTCTGGGAGCTGCAAGACATCTTGTCTTCTCTCTACCTGCTGCCAAACAGCTTCTTCCCTGCTTAGCCCGCCCCGCTCAGGATCATCAAGGGCTTCTGGTTTTCCGGATTGGTTGACACCATGGATGATGCTTCTCTATGGAGGAGCTCATCAGCAGAAGAGCACATGAGAAAAAACAAATTAACAACAAAGAGAGCACAGAAGAAGAAACGGGGTGACAGCTGAATCAAGAATGATAAATTCCATTGAGGGTAGCTTGAATTTAAGATGTGGGCATCAACAGAGACTGTCCAAAGGGCAGCAGGATATATTGGTCTGGCGATCACTAGAGTGATGTCTGGGTTGGATGCAGATTTAGGAGTTTTCAGCTGGTGGATGAAATGATAAGAAGTAAGATTTAGCCCAGAGAGATTATGAAGCATGAGAAGGGCTGCGGGTGAAAAACAGAATGCTGGGGAAGAACAATATTTGAAAGATGGGCAGAGGACAGATTGCCAGTGGGATCAAAGAGCAACTTCTATAGCAGTAAAAGGGGAACCAAGTAAGAGTGAGAGATTGAAAGAGGGAGCAAGGGATCCTTTCTTTTGGTAAGGTGGAGATGTGAGCACTTGTGCTTAATGCTTCTGATTTCAAATCCAGATCTAAGGAATCAGTGTTACACAGAAATAGAGAAGTATAAAAGAGGGTATGAACATGATGGAATTCATGGGAATCCTGCCAGAGAGAGGGAAGATGGGACGAGACTGAAGGAAGTTCCCAGGGCTGTCCTCCTATAACCCATCTGGAGATCTTATGAAGATTTAAGTAAAATGGATAATTTTCTGGTAAAATACAAGTTAACAAATCTGACTCAAGCCAATTTAGGAAAAAAGGAATAGAATTTAATAATGGAAAAAAATTTTCAAATTTTGTTTTAAGATAGGTGACAGGTTTAGATATTATTGGCATTTTTTTAAACATTCAAAGAGAGTATTATTTGTGGGTTCCATAAAATGTTCCATACATAAAAATACAAAAACAAAATAAAAACATTCATGGACATGTTCCCAATTCATTTTCTGAAACTTGGCATAGCCTTAAAAATAAAATCTGACCAAGAACACAAAAGTGACAGTTATCGAACAATCTCCCTTATGTATGTGGATGTAAAAATAATAAAGCATTGGCAATCAAAACCCGGGAGTTTATTAAAAGAAAATCCCCATGGCCAAGCAGGACTTGTTCCAGGACTGTAATAAGAGTTTAATATTAGGATATCTATTAATATAATCCATCAGATAAAGAGACCAAAGGACAAAAAAAAAAAAAAAAAAAAAGAAAAGAAAAATCACATGATTACTTCCATACTTGCCAAAAAGTCATCTGAAACAATTTCACATCTATTCCTGATGGAAATTCTTCATAAGCTAGGAACACGACCTATCTTTAAAATGAGAAAGACTGTCTTAGTTTAATTGTGAACATGAGTGGGATGTCTGGAATTTGTGTAGAAGGGGATCTTAAGGAATGACTTAGTTGGAAATGGATTTGTCTTTAAGTTGAATTTGCAGTGCACCACATGATTTTTCTCAGGCTGTATAAGTACTTTTGGTGGCTTCTAGAGTGGCTAGTGGTTTACAGGAGAGCTAAGGCCACCTGTCAGCACCAATACTGTACAATACTACATGTATAGTAAAACACTAGTGGCATTTAAAGTTAAGTCATGTGCCAGCCTGGTATCTCTCTAATATTTACCATACTTTTGGAAGTTCTCCAGCAATAAACCCCTGTCCCTACCCACTGCACTCCCTTCCCCCCCAAATGAAAGAGAATTATAGTTACAGAGGCAAAATTATTATTTCACATATTATGATAATCTGAATTTGCTTGCTATATGCCAGGCTCTGTGTTAAGCACTTTACATACACTAATTAACTTGAATGGCAATGCTGCAGAGGACATTATTATGCTCACTTTATGGAAAGCACAGTGAATCTCTGGGAAGTGAGGGACAGGAAAGCTTGTTAAGTGGCATCCTAAACTGGCACAATGGGATTTGAACATGGCTGTGTCTGTGCCCATGCTCTGAACTAGTAAGCAACATTGTATTTCTTTACTAATGGATAAGAAATGGAATATAAATGATTTTAGATTATAAAATTAATATAAAAATGAATTTCTTATGTGCCAGCTATCACCAGTTAAAAAATATAAAAATGGTAATTCATAATAGTAAGTCAGAGTATAAAATACTGTGTGCTATGTTCTTAATGTTTGTGTTCCCCTGAAATTCATTTGTTGAAAATTAATCCACCAGTATGACGGTATTAAAAGGCGAGGGCTTTGGGAGGTGATTAGGACATGAGGGCAGAGCCTTCATGATTCGGATTAGTGCCCTTATAAAGAGGCCTCAGAGCACTACCTTGCCCCTTCCACCATGAGACAACACAGCTACAGGATTCCATCTATAAACCAGGAAACAGGCCCTCTGCTGATGCCTTGATCTTGGATTTTCCAGCTTCTACAACTGTGACAGATACATTTCTGTTGTTTATAAACCCAGTTTATGACATTTTGTTTTAGCAGCCTGAATGGACCAAGACAGTTGGAAAATAGCTAACAAAGAATTTTGGCAGGAAATATTTGAGGACAATTTCAAGCATTTATGAGAGGCATAAAAGACAGGCGTTTCAATAACTACAGATATACTATGTTTTTGGATAAGAAATCTCATAATTGTAAAGATTTCACTGAAATAATATTAGGAGTTTCATGAAATTGCTTTCAAAATATTGTTTTTATAATTTGGTAGAAAACGAAAAGTTGAGTGCAGATAAATATAAAACTTCCAAGAGGGTACTTGTATTATTAATTATCAAACTCTATTATTAAGCTACAAAAATTGAAGCATAATAGTCATGCAAGAGTACAGTACAATAATAAGTGCAAAAATAAAGTTACAAAACATTAGAATATGACAGATAACTCTAAAAGAGAATCTAATACATATTACCATTTATTACATAAAAAACGTAAAATTTCAAATCAGTGAAAAAAGAATAAATTATTCAACAAATGGTTTTAGAAATACTGATTCATCATTTGGGAAAAAATAGATTTCTTCATACTACATAATGATATAAATTCCAGATGGATGAAAATGATAAAAGCAAAAAGTACATATTGAGGATCTAGAGAAATGATACAGGTTATTTTATTTTTCTGTTCTCAGGGTTGGGAAGTCCTTTCTAAATATAATTGAAAAGAAGAAAACATAGCTAAATAAATTTGAGACATTTAAAACCATAAAAAAGGAAACTTCTACATTGAAAATGTAATAGAATTGAAAAAAGACAAATTTCAATCTGGGAAAATGTTAGCAATGTATCTGAAAGGTTGAATTTAATATTTATAAATAATTTTTTAAAACCAATAGGAAATGAAAAAACAGTATTAAAATGGACAAGGACATGAACAGATAATTCACATACCAAAAAAGACAAGTAATAAAAAGGCATGAAAAATAACCCTTTCGATGAATAAATGTAAGTAAAATGATAATAAAATTCAATACTTCTGCATCATTCAAATTTGCTGGTTAGAAAGCTATAATACTACAATCCAACAACAAAAACCAAACAATCTAATTTTAAAATGGACGAAGGCCTTGACTAGATATTTCTCCAAAGAAGATATACAAATAACCTATAAGCACATAAAAACATGATCTACATCACTAAACATGAGATACCATCTTGTACCCATCAGGATCAACAAAACCCAGAAAATAACAAGTATTGGTGAGGATGCAGAGAAACTGGAATCCTTGTGCATTACTCGTCAGAATCCAAAACTGTGCGACCACTGTGGAAAATAGGATGGCAATTTCTCAAAAAATTAAACATAGAATCACCAGATGATCCAGCAATTGCACTTCTGGTTATATACCCATAAGAAATGAAAGAGGGGACTTCAACAAGTATTTGCACACCCACTTCATAGCAGCATTATTCAGAGTAGCTAAAAGGTAGAAACAGCCCAAGTATTCACTGATGCATTAATGGATAAACAAAATGTAGTATATATATACAATGGGATATTATTCAGCTTAAAAAAGAAGGGAATTCTGATACATGCCACAACATAGATGAGCTGTGAAGACATTATGCTAACTGAAATAATTCAATCACAAAAGGACAAATATTATATGATTTCTCTTATATGGTAAACCCGGAATAGTCAAATTCATATAGATAAAAAGGAAAATGGTAGTTGCCAGAGACTGGGGAAAGAAGGGGATGGGGAATTAGTAATTAATGTTGAATGGGTACAGAGTTACAGTTGGAGATGATAAAGATGTTCTGGAGATGAGTGGTGGTTATGGCTGCACAACAGTGTGAATGTACTTAATGCCGTAGAACTGTACACTTAAAAATGGTTAAAATGGTAAACTTTACATTACGCATATTTTACCACAGTCAAGAAAAACCTAGGTTGGTTTTGATGTCTACGTGGAGTAGAATCTAAAAAAGAAGGAAAAAAATGAACTAGAAACAAAATTCTTACCAACTCAGGTTGATGATAAAGAAATCTTAGTTTAGTCTTAAGGTGGACAAAAATAAATAAGTAAATATAAAATATTTATCTTGGAATTCTTATTCATGGATCTGCCCTCACATAGATTTGAGGCTTGAATTTAGACAGCAAAAGTTGGTTTGGTAAACCCCAAACTGAAAAAGTAACAAAATTTGGTTCCTCTCAATGATGTCTTAGGGGACTTGACAAAAGCAAATACTCTGGAGTGAGAACATGCCCATTCTCTCCACATGGATTTATAGATTCAATGCAGTTCCATTCAGAATCCCAGCAGGTGTTTTTGTGCAAATTGATCAGGTGATTCCAAAGTGCACGTGGAAATGCAAGGAATCAAAAATAACTCAAATCTGTTTTGAAAAAGAAGAGCAAAGCTCCAGGGCTTACGCTACCAGATATCAAGACCTTTTAAATAAAATCATTACATTTAAGACAGTGCTGTACTGGTAGAAGGTTAGACAAAGAGGCCAATGGGCAGAATAGAAACTTGCACATATACAGTCAAATTATTTATGGATAGCAAAAGTGGCATAGTCAAAATGAATCTTGACCCTTACCTCACACCATACCAAAAAAGCAATTCCAAATGAATTGTAAATCCACCTGTGAAAGGCAAATAATAACAATTCTAGAAAATAATAATAGAATATCTAAATGACTTTGGAATAGGCAAAGATTTCATAAGCAGTACACAAAAAGCACAACCATAGAAGAGAAAAATGTAAGAATTAGACTACATTAAATTAGGAATTTCAGTGAAGAAGAAAAAAGGTAAGCCTTTTTTTTTTCAGTGTAGAAGAGAATATCTGCAATACATTTTTTCTCTCAACGTTCTCATATCCAGAATATGAGAAGAACCCCTACAAATTAATAAGAAGCAAATAACCCAATAGAAAAATGGCAAAAGACTTGAACAACTACATAAGAAGACATCAAATGCCATAAACATGTAAAAACTGCTAAGCTTATTAGTCATTGGGGAAATACAAGTTAAAACCACATTGCAATACCATTAATTGCTTATTAGATGGCCAAAATGAGAAAGATAATATGAAACGATGGTAGCACAAAGAGTGGATTGAAGTCTTATACATTGCTGGCAGGAATATGAAGTGGTACAGCCATTTTGAAAAGTATGTTAAAGCTGAACATGTGTATACCCTATAAGCCAGAAATGCCACTTCTAGGTATATACCCAATAGAAGAGCTTCATATGTGCCACAAAGAATATATATAAGGAATGTTCATAGCAGTATGGCTTATAGCAGCCCAAAACAAGAAACAATCCAAATGTCCATCATCAGTAGAGTAGGTAAATAAACTGTGTTCCATTCATACAATGGAATGTTATATGGTAATAAAAATGAAAACTATTGCTACCTACAATGGCACAGATAATTTCAACATAATGTTGAGTGAAAGAAGTCAGGCATAAAATATTGTATGATTCAATTTATCAAAAGTTCAGAAATGAGCAAATAATTTATGTTGTTAGAGTGAGGATACTATTTACCTTTAGGAGGTTAGTGATTAGAAAGGGGTATGAGAGAGATTCTGGGGTGTCAGTAATATTCTTTTTGTGATTTATGAGGTGGTCACACAAAGGTCAAGAGTTTATCTTTTTGAAAATTCATCAAGCTATAAACTTTTAATATGTGCAGTTTTGGGGATGATGTTGTACTTTGATGAAAAGTTTACTAAAAAAAAGACTATAATACAACTTTTTCTGAGGTCACTGTGGTTATGAGAATAAAATACCTTAGAAGTGTTTATACTCAGACCTAGTTAATTCTATTTGTCATGAAACTGATCAGAAACATATACAAATATTTATGCATTGGAATGTATATTTTAATATTTTTTAAATGTATGAAATCTGGGAAAGAACCTAAATATGAAATCAGAAGGGACTGCTGAAATTGATGTGGTAGAACAATGAAATGGAATATTAGGCTATCTTCAATATTTGTGTGGTTGGTTACTTAAAAGTATAGGAAGACTACGTATAACATTAGGTGGAAGAAAAAGCAAAACTTGGGTTTATGTATACACTATTCTAATTCTGTTTTCAGTGGGCATCTGTATAGAAAATACTGATGCTTGAGATCTCTCTCAGAGATTTCAACTTAGTGGTTCTAGCCTATGGCCTGGGTTCCCTTGGTGATTTCAATGCAAAGCCAAGGTTTCGTTTTCTTTCATCTTCTTCCCTGAATAGAAGTTAAATTCCTTATTAATAACAGCTTCACATATATGTATGAGATATGCTGGGCACAAAGTAGGCACTCAATAAATAATTGCTGATAGATGGACACAGAAATCTTTCTGGGAGATTCAGGGCACGTCTTCATGGTTAGAGATTTCTTTTTCATAGGTTGGATTGTGGTCCAGGTTCAGAAATAATCCTCCAGGAATGAGGGTCACTTTGGTCCGTGGCTCCACTAGGGCACTGGGTGGCTTATAGCACCATTTCAAAATCTAAATCACATGCTGGTGAGTCTATGTCTTATCTTCTTGGGGATGCAAAATAGCTGAAGTGAAGTCTCATTGTAATCAATTAGCATAACTAAAAGCCCAAAGAGGTAAACTCAGTTACATTATGGTAATGTCAGTTGTGGTTATTGAAATTATTCCAATGATGACATTTGGGGTTGGCTGGTGGTAGCAGTCATCTGATTTGAAACAAATAGAGAAAATAAATAATGGTTTATGTTTGTGTATGCTTATAACAAACATATTAGGTGTATTACATATTCTTAGGCCTTACAAAAAGCACACCAATTGGGTAGTAGCAGCCCCATCAGCATCCCCATGAGGAAGCTGAGGCTTTGAGGTATTAGGCATGTTCACAGAGGTGTGTCAATCTCACCTTTGATATTGATGATATTGAGGTGTGATTCCTCAATATCATCAAAATGTGACCTTGTGTCATATAAGTGATGACAAAGAGATTTATAGCAAACCTTCACATTAGACACTAGCAAGCTTTCTATGTTGTCAATAAGTCAGTAGGAGAAAAGATATTCATTGAAATAAGGGATAATGGGACATGAAATTTTTGTTTATATTCAATGGTCTCTGTCAAGCCCTTAAAAAATAAATTAGGCTGTCATCTTTCTGAAATAGTTAGTGGGAAGATAGAAGGGTATGATACATCAGTGGCTTTCAAACTTATTCAACTCAACTAATTTCATAAAGAAGAAAACCCACAATTACATTAAACTATATTATGACTTGTGCTTACAGAAATTTGCTCTGAGGAAACTGTACTGGGATACCAAAGTCCAAGACGGGGTTTGTAGGTAAGGGTATTGCCAGTAACTATCTGTGTGATCTCAGGCAAGTCACTGCCCCTTTTTGGGCCTCAATTTCCTCAAGAAAGAGAAAAAGGACATTAAGATAACCTTTGAAGCTATAGACCCTTTGTGAACCTGAGATAAGCTATAAATTCTTTCCCTAGATGATGCATATATGCATGTACATGGACAACTTTGAATGCTGGTTCGGGTTGTTCACAGATTTTCCAAAGACTATTTGTGGGCTTCTAAAGAATATAGTGGCCCTTAGCTTAAAACACCTGAAATATGTGCTAATTGGGATTATAGTCATGTTTATGAAAATAAAATGAAAATAACCCTTATCCTTGAGAGATGTAACCTGATAGCATATTTACGGGTGAAGTTATTTCATGTCTGGAATTTGCTTTAAAATGATCCAGTATGTGTAGGGTGGTGGTGGTGGTGGTAATACATAAAACAATACTGTCCATGAATTAATTGTGAAGCCACATGATTAGGTCCATGACAGTTCTTTATACTGTTTTCTCTACTTTTGTGTATATTAAAATTTTCCATAATAAATTTTCACAGTGAAAATGATCTAACCTTTCTTGGCTTCCACTTCCCCATCCATAAAATAGAAATATTAACAGAATCTTCTATTGTGAAGATTAAGGTTGTATCTGACTTACAGTAAACATTCAGTAGATGCTCACTATTGTTCTCGCTCAACTATGTAAATATATAAACAGATTTAAAAAGACATGAGATATAGATCAAAGTTTTATTAGTAGATGCTTCTGGATGGTAAACCAAGAGCTAATTTATTTTTCTTTTCATCATTTATGTCTGGACTGTTCAAATATCTACAAAGAGTATTTGTTACTCTTATAATAAGACAAAAAAACCTAACTCTTTAAAAAAAGTAACTTTAAGTCTTCCTTGAGAGAGTTTAATGCCAAGGGGGCCTGAACCATGTTTGTCCCACAAGATATTTTACAAACAAGACCACTTCATGGAAGAGTAAGATGGAATGCATATTACTGTCTTGTTCACATTTTCCTCACCAAGCTCTCATGCTCAGGGTCAAAGATCCTTGTAAACGCCAGTAAGCTTTAACATGTGGCCTTCCTAGAATAGAATGAATTGAGCCTTCCTCTCCTCCAGTGTCATGCCATCCTACTCCCTTACCTTACCACACGTTCCTCCCTACTAGCAGTTTAGCCTTTTTTAAGGGGCATGGATCACTTTGAGAATATCATGAATGCTATGCCAAGAAAAATTCACATGTAGGCATACAATATTGCATTCAATTTCCTAGGGTTCATGGGCTGCCATAGTTCATCTCCACTAATTAAGCTTACTGAGGCCATGACATCAAATTTAGGAATGTAGAAACACACATCCGGTGTATAGACCACTTTGAGAAAAACTAATTTGTACAAAACCATAAGCCAGATAAATTGGTGGATAATTATGGGCATTACATATGTGGCTTTTGCTCTGCCAAATAATTTCCATTAGGACATCTATAAATAGCAAATCCATATAATGCATTTGAACCATGCCACTGTTTGCCCAAATGCTAAGCCCTTTCCAGAACACGCCTACTGCAGAGCAACAGGCCAATTCAAAAAGTTCAATACTAGTTTTACTCTTGAGTTCAGCTACATTCATTTATAGAATTCTAGCTTTCCTCTAAAATGGCCACTAACCTATATCACTCTGGGGACTGATGTTCAATGGGAGGCAATGATACCCAGAAACTTTTTGACTGAGGAGAGGTAGTGCATGTGTATGGGTTATCAGATTGCTTTGGAGTGGATCATTTGAGATGAGATAGATTCCATCTCTTTATCTCAGGAAGGAAAAGGATAAACATGATTGAGTCCTTACAGTATACCAGGTGGACATTAGGGCCTCTCATGTACTCCTCACAATGTCTCTGGAAGTTGGGGCTTTTTCCCTCATTTCCAACCGAGTTTTAGAAAAGTTGACACACATACCCCAGGTCTGGCAGCCAGTAAGTAACAGGAAAAAAATAAAAATAAATAAGATGTAAAGCTTTCGGGCTTAGATTACCATCATTGATGGTTAACTTCAGGGGGCTGGGAAATGTACAGTGCCCAGTATCACACCAAATCCCCAGAGCCACTCAGGCTGTGATTTTCATCCTCCTGATCATATCAATGGCTTCCAGGGATGCATGTGAAGAGAGACAGGATCGCAGTCTTCCTTGCCCCATCTGGCCTGTCCCTATCCTATAAACTGGCAACCCCTTTCCTTTGCTGGTATACACGGACTGCCTCACATTCCCCAAATGCCTGGGGATCGCACAATGAAATCAGAATAAAGAGCCAGGAGCTCTACACTTAAAAGAATCCACATAACTACAAACTCCATCTTAGGATTTCCACCACCAGCTGAGTTGCCATTTGGCATTGCACTGCTAGCAGCCACATTTTACTCTATCCTCTTCCAAGATTTTCAAACATGTGCCTGGCACCCACGGGAGTTTCAGAGGAAGTGTAACAGTGACAGGAGAACTGCTGCGGGCTTGGTTTTTTGTATACGTGTTAGTGTAACTTTCATAAAAGCAAGTATAGGTTCTTAGAGTATTAACTTTCACAAGAGGAACATCAACTTTCAGACAAACGCAGGCAAACCCTTTCTTTTTCTTTTTCTTTTTTAGTGAGTAGTATCTGAAGGTAGGGGTGATCCCTGTTAAGCAAAAGGTCTCTGAGACCCTTGGGATACATACATGCTTTTCTGGCCCAGTACTCAAGCTTTTCTGGAAGAGTATCCCTCGGCTGTCTCCATCCCTCAGCCTTCAGAAGCCACCTAATACCTACCTACACGTGCTTTGGACACAAGCAGGTTCAAAGCACAAAAAAAACCAAGCTACCACCCCGCAAGAAATCGATCTCTGAACCCGGAGCCACCATGAATTGCGTGTGTGAATGTGTGGGCGGGAAGGCTGGGTCCACAGGGACGTGGTCCAGCATCGTGAGCAGCGGGTCCTACCGGACGTTCAAGTCCTACAGCCCTGGGCTAACTAGCAAGTCTCAGACCCCCACGCCCGTGCTAGATAGGAGGAGAGACAAAGCTGGACCGACAGGAGAGGAGAGTGAGTTTGTGTTCTCTTGGGGGCAAGCGTGCTCGGTACCTTGGATTCCTGGCTGCTGGTGGATGCAGGAGAGGGCGGTTGCTCGGCGCCCACCGCCTCCTTGGGCAGCCCGTCCACGCCGTCCTCGCGGGGGCTGCTCGGAGGGATCATCGTGGCCGCGCGGGAACGGTGTTGGGCTCCCGGAGGAACAGCGAGGCTTCTGTCCTGCGCGCCCTGCCCGCCGCGCGCCAGGCTGCTCAGCTCCGGGTCCTGGGGACTCCCATCCTCGCCGAGGCGCCGACGTGCCCTCCTCCAGCCTCGCTCCCTCTCCCTCCCCGCCCTGCCCACCTCCCCGGCACTTCCGCGGGCGTGGAGGAGAGTGCGCCCTGCCCCGCCCCGCCGCGCCCGCGGCCACCTCGCCGGCGACCTCACAGTCGTGACTGCCACTCGGCAGCGGGCGAGCGGGCTTCTGCTCGCCCGCAGGAGGAGGAAGGAGGCGGGGAGGCAGCTCCAGGGCGGGGCTGCGCGGCCAGCGCCTGGAGTAGTGAGGGCAGGCAGGGGGCAGCGCCCTGGAAAGGGCTGGGGGAAGGCTGGGCGCACGCCGGCACTGGGTGGGGGTGATTCTTCAGAGAGGATGCTGAAAATTCAGACCCAAACCCCAAAGAATAGAAAATCTGTGAATGATATAGCCAGAAAGAGCCACTTGCAACAACTCCCTCATTCCTCACCCCAACGAATAGTGACTGAGACAGTGACTTAGCTAAGCTATTTATAGGGTTCAGTGACAGAGAGCAGGGGTCGGAGTGGGGGTCCCCTGACTCACGGGCACTGCGTTTTCTCCATTCAGCTTTGATCTAAAGCAGAGAGATAATGCAGTGTGTATATGGACACCTGTTCCTCGTTTGTTGTGCACTTATTGTACTAAACCCTTTCTTTTTACCTTATTTAATCCTCCCAGCTACTCTATGCGTCTAGGGATTATCACTTCCATTTTATAGATGAGGAAGTTGAGGCTGTAGGAAGACTGAGTAATTTGCTTTAAGTCACTAAACTATAATTGGTGAAACTGGAATTCGAACACATTTGGGCTTCAAAATCCATGCATTTCCGACTGTGGAGCCTCAAATCTAGGCCAGGTCTTGGCTGAAGAGCAATTGGATGTTGCAGTATAGCAAGAGTTGAGGACTGTTCACAGAGGGGCAAACCAGCCTGCCTTACTAAATCTTTTGGAAACATAGGAATAGCCCCACTGAATAAAGATACAGAGGGTCCAGTTTCTTTTGAAGACAACCTCAGTGTGCAGGGAAAAGAAACACACCTAGATATTTAAAAGCCTCTTTTCCCCCATTAATACAAAATACCCTCAATTTTTTAAAACAAAATTGCAAACTTCTGTTCAGATTTTTAAAATTAGCTGTAGATGTTTGCAAGAACAGCTTCATGGATGTGCAACCTGTGCAGTCACACAGGGCCCCGCGCTGATGCTGCCATCTTGAAATTCGGTAAAAATATTTAACAAGAGATCACATTTTCATTTTGTACTTGACCCTGCAAATTATGTGTTTGGTCCTGCATCCATGCCCTAGCTCATGTCTTTTAGAATAAACTTGCTCTTACTCTTTCCATCCCAGATGTCAATTGAAAGCTACTGTTCAATGTGTCAGCCTCTTACTCAGCATTTAGCTTTCAAAATGCTCTAAATTTTCTGGTGACCCTCAGTACGGGGCCAGATTGGCTAGCCCAAATGGCTTCAGCTTTTTCCTTCTCACAACACAATGCCTGAGTGTTCGATAGAGACAGAATTCTAGTAGCCAAAGTCACAAACACAATGACAGGAGCAGCCATATCAACACATTTTTATCAAGCATCTATTCTGTATCAGAATTGTGCCAGAAACTAATGATACAGCAGAGAGAAAACACAGATTAAGTCTGTTTTCCTGGAATTTAAGTCTAGTGGGAGAGACAGCAATTAATTAAATCACACACACATTTAAAAAAAAACTATGATAAGGGAAAGTACAAGACTTTGATGAGTGTGTACAAATGAAGCCTGAGCTAGCATGGGGCCAGACGAGGGTTTTCTTAGGAAACAAAACTCCCAGGGTCTACTGGCAATTCCAGTCTTGGTGAGCAAGCATGTCATGGCTTAGAACAATAAATTTTTCATCCTTTTTTTCTTTTGGATTTTCTTTTTTTAAGAATTGAAGATGTCATCCTTACTTTTAGTAAGTGCTTAGCTCAAGTTAGCAACAGTATTAGCCAATAGTATATGTTTAAATGTTGTCCCTTGAAGGAAATTTAGAGAAGCTAGTACCTCCTTCCTTTCCACCCCACCCTGATCCAGCAGCAGAAATCCTTAGTCTGATAAATAATACCTACCATAGGAATTAGCCATGGTGTCCCAAACTAAATCACGCCTTTGTTTATGTGTTAGTTTCACATTATTTTCTATCCGATCTTTTGTTATCTAGCTAACTTATCTTATTCTTCAAATCACATATCCAAGTATTTACTACTCTTGACATCTCCTTCCTTGACCCATTTATCTGATTTAGATTCCCAAATCAATGCCATGTTCCCATGACTTCCTTTCCTAAGTAATCAATGACAAGGTTGCCTGCTCTTCTGTTGGGCTATGATCTCCCCTAGGGCAGGGGCAATGCCATGTTCATCTTGTTTCTCTAGCTCCTGGTATAATGCTTGTTAACAAGGTGGTGAAAAGAGGCTACCCTTGTAGCCCCTGAGCTCTAGAAATGGTCTAGGCATTAATTATTGCATGTGTCCTCCACAAACTGAATGGAAGAAGACTCTGAATGCTTCTGTAAAACAATGGGATTTGTCAGTGCTTTGAGTCAGTAGATGGTAGACCAGCAAAGTGATCCCCAGAGTACCCCTCATGAAGCATTGATATCCCTGAGCAGAAGTGTACATTTTCATGGCTATGTGTGAGATACCCCATCTGACACCCAGGAATGCTTAGGTGAGACCTCACAGAAGACTGGAAATTCTGCCTTAGAAGCTTTATGACATTTTAGCTATGGTTGTCAAGATTTCTCATTTCTACTGCAGTCTGGTAAAGCCTGAGGAAAAAAGGTTGTGAATAATTATTCTAAGTCTCAAGTCTGTAGCTTTGTGATTTTTGTAGATCCCCTTCATGGTCTATTTCACTCTGGTTTCTGGGTAAATATCAAGCCAGCAGAAGTGTGAGGTGTACAGAAATTTATCTGCACAAACTCGAACTGGAAGCTCCCACTTCTGGTTCATTTACTTGTTCATTAATTTGTAAAGAGGGCAAAGGCCTCCTCCTGATTGCATCCAAGGGCCTTTCACAGTAAACACCGTTAAGCAGAAGACTGTGTAATGCTGCTAACCTTCTCTCATTTCTTTGTTCTGAGTTTGTATAAAGAGACTGGATTTCATCCTATGGACCTTGGCTTCTTATAGAGCCATTTGGTAAAAAGATACTAGTAAGACTTCTTAAATAGAACAGATATACTTATGAAGGGTACAGAAAAGAACAACAAGAAAAAAGAAGAGGGAAGATAATATGGAGAACTGTTGAGGATAAAGGAGAGGATCTCAAGGAAGGGATGGCTCTCCATGCGTGATGCATCAGAGTCATGATGGATACACAATATAACACAGTATACGAGAAAGGCGTAGGTTGCTGATAACAATAATAGCTAACATGTATTGGGTTTCTAATACATCATAGACATTGTATATTTGTTCTTTCATTTAATCCCTATGAAACCTTAGCAAGATAAAGAAAATTATCCTAGGTTCTACAGTTTAGGAAGGACTCAGTTATATCCTGCTCCTGGGCCAAGTTTTGGCCGCTCTGGTTTGCTGCCACCTAGGCAACAGCAGAACCCGGATGTCCTGAAAAGGCAGCAGGCCTTAAAGATTAGGAGCAATGCAAATTGAGAGCCAGAGGCATAATAGAAGGCACAGGGCAAGTTCCCAAATAATGAAGAGTGGTCCATTCCATTCTTTTGTCTTAAAAGTAAATAATGAGCATCTCTACACTTTGGAGATGATAGCCAAGAAGTCTAGACAAATGTAAGCAAGAGGCATCCACTTTTTTTTATTTTTTATTTTATTTTATTTTATTTTGAGACGGAGTCTTGCTCTGTCACCTAGGCTGGAGTGCAGTGGCGCGATCTCGGCTCACTGCAACCTCTCCCTCCCAGGTTCAAGTGATTCTCCTACCTCAGCCTCCCGAGTAGCTGGGACTACAGGCATGTGCCACCAAGCCCAGCTAATTTTTGTATTTTTAGTAGAGATGGAGTTTCACCATGTTGACCAGGATGGTTTCCATCTCTTGACCTCGTGATCCGCCTGCCTCGGCCTCCCAAAGTACTGGGATTACAGGCGTGAGCCACTGGGCCCAGCTGGCATCCACTATTAGCATCACTTGTCACCCTCTAGATCCAGCCTAATGGATCTGCCTTCAAGCTTAGAGAAACCAAATGCTTTGCCCAAAGTCTAACCACTGACACTACCGCAACCACCACCACCTCTTACTTTGAACAGCTGCTAATGCTAGGCTTCGTTATGGTCTCATAGCAATTCATGATTGGTCTCTTCTCAGAATCAAAGCTAATAATTTAATTGGGAGACTCATTTTTGTGAGGGCAAATCAGATACAGCTTAAGCATCCTTAACTTGTTTTTCTAAGCACCAATTAGTAATAATAACAACAATAATAGTTGATCACATTGTAAAGCACTGTTTGTCTGCATTCGAGTTATGTCCACTGGAGGTTCCCAGAAAAAGGTAAGGTAACAAGGCCCAATCCTCATATAGCTGTTTACCTTATGGGTTAAGACTTATCCCTTTTCTCTAAAATGTATGGCTACTTCTAACTGGTTATAGCCTCTGTGAGAAAGAGGATGGCTTGAATCTTTATTCTATATTTAGTGGAAAAGGCCAGGAACCTAAAATCCAAACATCCCAGCTCTTCCACTTAAAAGCAGTGAGATCTTAGACAATTGATTTAATCTCTCTCAGCTTCAATTTCCTTAAGTCAAAAATGGGATAATAGTCCCTATTTCGTAGAGTTTCTGTAAGAATGAATGCCTAATCAAAATAGGATCTGATACTACTGTTATCATCGTCATCAATACCATCCATATGATTTTGGGCAAATGTATTTGATTTGAGTTGGATTTACTATTTATTATAGTCAAATACATATACAATGTCAAAATTAGATGTATTCTACATTGCTAAAACTGGTAATAGCTTTTGTTTAGAATTTAGAAGTAGCAAATATCTAAAATTTCTTGGAAATGCATATAAAGTAAATTCATCCTATATATTTTGGTCCTTTGACCAGTAATTAACATTTAGCTTTATATTTTCTTATTCTATGAGTTTAGGGTAATAGTTTAAGAGGTGTATGATCCAGCCAACCCTGGTCTTATTGCTCCTCAAAAATGCCTGGTCTCTCACCAAGTTTTAGTGCTTGAGTTCTCTGTATCTGAGGGATCCCCACTATTCCCTATGACCAGCTCTTCGCATGTTTTGGACCTCAGTGCCCACCATCTGAAAGCACTGTTTCTTTCTTTCCTTATTTGATGTCATCTAGAGTGTAAGCTTCATGAGGTCAAAGGCCTCATCTTTCCTCTTCACCATATATCCCTGATGCTTAGGTGCTCATATAATAAGTGAATATTTGTTAAATTAATGAATTGATGAATGACAAAATGTCAGTGTTGTAGAGGAGCTTGTAGATCTAATAAAAAACTATTTTGGAGATGGGAAAATCAAAACATAAATAGATTAAGTACTTGCCCAAAGTCAATTAATATGTGACACAATGAACTAATGTCAGTTTACTTGCTCACCAATCCCATTGGTCATTGTTTTATTCAGCTTTGAAATATTTGACCAAACTACTAGCTGCACAGCTTTCTTTTCCAAGTTTTCAAATTAATTTTGATATTATGCATAGTATCTCTAAAATTCTTTTGCAAATAGCTTTACCATTAGTCAAGCAGTATTCAAGAATACTGAAGAAATTTAAAGTCTTCTAAAATTCCACCACTTATTGGTAAAATAGCATTTTAGTGAACTTCCTTCTAGATGTGCATGCATATATGGGTACATTTTACATTTGTATTTATTCGTATTTACATAAAATGATCTCAGGACATTAAGCATTTTTGTAACATCCTTTCCCTTTAGTAATATATCATAGAGATAGTTCTGTGTCAAAAAATATAAGTATATATCATCCTTTTCTAATGACTGTGTGTTTTCCCCTGAATAGATGCACAGTAATTTATTTATGAGGGATCATTTATGCTTTTTTCCAGGAACTGTTAGAGAGCAATTAGAAACTCATTGTCTCTTTCTAAATAGCAACCTGGCAAGGTAAGTACTATTAGACCCATTCTGTAGATGAGGTAATCAGAAGCCTGAGAGGGTTTATGACTTCCCTAATGGAATATGGTAAGTGCAGAGTGGGGAGTCTAGCCCGCATCTTCAGACTCTAAACCTCAGGCTTCTCACAGTACCTAAGCAAACAGTAAAACTCAGTGTGATCACTGTTGTGCAAGAGGTCTGCACAACATGATTTGAGAGCATGTGCAGGGAAAGGATAAGGTTCACCAAACGGAAAGGATGCTGGAGAAGGTTCCAGTGGAATTTGAAGGGTGACTATGATTTTTCTGGAAGGATAAGGGGAAGCAAAGAATCTTGAGCGAAATGCATGGTGTCAGTACAAACATGGAGGTGTGCATGTGCAGGCTTTGTTCAGTTCTGGTTCCACAGTTTTATTTTTTTTTCCTTTGGGAGTAACATTTACTGATCATATGGGCAATGCTTGAAAAAAGGGAAAGATTAGAGCCAGAAAAATGCTTTGAATAATAGTTTTAAGTACTTTTACAAATGGCCCTTGAGGAAACTTGGATCTCAGTCAGCCTGGGAGGAATGCTACTGTTTTAACTAGTAATAGCGGGGGGGAGGGGGGAAAAAGCATCATAGGGATTGCTGGAGGGTTAAATGGGTCACAGAGTAAAAAGGAGCCAAAATTCAGAGCTCTGAGAGACACACATAGAATCTCCATTCCGGGAAGCCAGACACAGAGAACTCTGGTTCTCTTTGACACAGAAACCCGTTGTGTATATGGGGCCCTAAAATTTAAACACACATATAGCTTGCACATTTACAACCTCTAAAGGATTATGAATATCCCACTTAATCATTATGTATCTTAAATGAAGTTCCTAAAAGTGAGCAGTAGAATTGCCTTTCAAAACAAAGAACAGGAATTCCAGCAAAAATGGATAATAGTTGATGCTCTTTATACATAATGCTTTGTACTTACTTTGAAATATGTTCCAAAAGTTTGTAGAGCCATGCTGGCAGCAAATGAATCTCAAAAATTCTTTCTACTATATTTTTCAGGATGGGGGTTATATGACTGCTTTGTCTTTCTGCCTCCTATAACCCTCTATGTTTCTCCAATTGCTCCCTTGGCAGCCATGAACCATCCATCAGGCACTTGACAATTGGCCTGGAAAAGATGACTCAAGCTTTAAGCCTTAAATACCAAGTTTCTTCCCTCCATAGCTGAGGCAAACTTACCCATAAAGCCCAGACTTAAGAAACATACCTATGTTTAATCTACCTTTGTTCTTGCAGAACTGGCCAAAAAAATATTGGAGATTTTTGTCTCTTCAAACAATAATAATAGTTAAAAATAGTTCATAATGATAGCTTATCAGATAGAGGGTACAGTGGGAGATAGTATGAATGCAGTTGTTATTCAGGCAGACCTTCTGAGGAGGTTTTTGACTGCATCTTGGTCCTGTTTCATCCCTAAAATGTAAGCTGCCAAAATGCCAAAGTCTACCAAGCAAATGGCTCAGTAATTTGAGGAAGCCCAGCCTGGATACCAACTCTGTATTGCACAGAATTGCTGAGTTCCCTAGAATGCAATTACAGTGCTAATGGATGAAATGAGATAAATACCCATATTTTAAATAAAAAAATATGCCCTATTTTTCCATTCACTTTTCCTCAACCACTTATGTAGTGAGTCACCATGTCCTGTTGTTTCTACCTCTTGTGTGGTCATGAGGTCAAGGAGTTAGTATTCAGCTTAAGATATTTGAGATTGTTATGAAATAAGGTGTAGATGTCTAATGAATGAAGTCCTTGTTTTATTCACCAATTTATTCATCAAAATTTGCCAAGGGCTGCTGTATACTAGGTGCTTTATTAGTTTTAGGAATATAGGCAAGTATATGCAGATTCCCTGACCCAAAGGAAAATTCAGCTTCATTAGAAAGGCAGAATTTAGGACAAATAACCACAGGTAGGCTGGGCTCAGTGACTCATGCCTATAATCCTAGCACTTTGGGAGGCCGAGGCGGGTGGATCACCTGAGATCAGGAGTTTGAGACCAGCCTGGCCAACATGGTGAAACCCTGTCTCTACTAAAAATAAAAAAAATTAGCTGGGCATGATAGCACATGGCTGTAATCCCAGCTACCCAGGAGGCTGAGGCAGGAGAATCGCTGGAATCTGGGAGGTAGGGGCTGCAGTGAGCTGAGACCACGCCACTGCAATTTGGCCTTGGCGACAGAGCGAGACTCCATCTCAAAATAGTAATAATAATAATCATCACAGGTATGAAGAGACAGCTGTGGGAATCTGGAAAAGAAAGGGCTAATTGAACTGAGGGGTCCAGGGAGGATTTACCAAAGAAAGAAGTTAATAGTGAAAGGTAATGGCAGTTTTTCAGAAAGAGAAGAGGTAGGTCATTCCTGGCATCTTAAGATTGGTATATATCCAGCTTATGTTTTCTTGTGGTATGCTGTGTTGGCTATTTATTTATATTTAGTGTTATTACGTTGGAGATATTGAAAGGACCCAGAATTGAGTTATTCATTGCACTGTCAAAATTAGTCCTTGCAATCCCATTTCTCCTTTTAACTTATTTAATTAGCAGTTCCAAATTTACTCTCATCCTCACTCAAAATCCCCTTCCTTCAAATGATACTCACTATAATGTTTTAAAAATGTATATCGTAGACATTCATGCATATTTTAAAAATATGTGGAATTAAAAGTGTTTTAAATTGCATTCAACATATTGCACTATGGCATATTTCCTCTTTCTTTCTTTCTTTTTTTTTTTAAGATGGAGTCTTGCTCTGTCACCCAGGCTGGAGTGCAGTGGCGTGATTTCGGCTCACTGCACCCTCTGCTTCCCAGGTTCAAGTGATTACCCTGCCTCAGCCTCCCGAGTAGCTGAGATTATAAGCACCTGCCATCATGCCTGGCTAATTTTTGTATTTTTAGTAGAGATGGGGTTTCACCATGTTGGTCAGGCTGATCTTGAACTCCTGACCTTAGGTGATCCACCCGCCTTGGCCTCCCATAGTGCTGGGATTACAGGCGTAAGCCACTGATCCCAGCCTATATTTCCTCTTTCAGGAAACATAGTTTGATTTTTAAAACTACATTAAAAGTAAAATGTGCAACAGTATTTAAAAATCATTGAATACTCATGTTGTTGAATGTTTTCTCTTTCATTGTTGTGTAGAATTCTATTGTTTGGATCTGCCATGATTTCTTTCATCCACTGTGTGTTGATGAACAGCTGAATTGTTTCTATTTTCAGCTTATCATGAATAGTGCTACTATGAACATTCTTGTACATGACTTTTGATGCTAACATGTAAGTGTAAATTAAGGATTCCAGTTGTTTTCTTCAACACTTATACAGTCATTATTTTTAATTTTATCACTGCGACTTTATTTGCATTTTGCTGATGATTAATGAAGTTTAACACTTTGTCACGTGGTCATCGGTCATTCAGTTACTCTCACAAACATAGTTAAAAAAGTCAACACAGAAGAGTTCATATTGTATTATATAATATACATAACGTTCAAAAATATCCCCACTAATCCCTAGCATTAGATGTGATGACAATGATTATCTTTGGGGAAGAGGGATAGATAATTTATAACTGGGAAGAAACACTATAGCTTTCTAGGGTGCTAGTAAACTGCCATCACCTCACTTTTGGTGGTGGTAATTCATTTGTGAGCTTTTCTGCAGATATATTTCAATAAAACCTAAACATTTACCTAAAAATTTGATAAGATGTAGATAACCCAAATAAAAGTGAGTAGACCCCTGCTTGTTAGTAGAAGGGGCAGACATATTTTTCCCTAGCTCTTTAATTGTCTAAGGACAATTAAAATCCCTTGACGTTATGTATAAAACTGACATAACAAGACTCTAAAAGGCAGACTGAAGAAAGTGGAGAGAAGAAGAATGCACTCATATGTGCTTTCAGGACCCAAGGGATGACACATTGGTGAGTTCCCTGGATTTTCTTTTTGCCTTATATATCCCAGACTTGGAGATGAAGAAGCTTGCAACCCAGAAATGCCAGTGGGAACAGACAAAAAAAGCACTAGCAAAAGCCTGCTCTCTTTAGCCAATGGACCAAAAAAGGGAGCAGGCAAGCAAGAGAGAAACTTACAGACAACAATTGCTGTATTCCAGCCAAACATGCAGAAAACACCATGGTTCTACCCCGACCTATACCAGTATAGGCTAAATGGGGAACCCAAATTTTCACACTCATTAGGGTATAAAGAGGCACCTCAAAAAAAGTAGGGAATCAGGTCTTTAATCCCCACCAGCTTATAATAAGGCCCACCTATAGTGTCAGTGGAGACCAGTGAGGAGTGAGACTTTCATCTTTACCCAACAGTAATAAAGGCCATCCTCCCCTAGAGGATCTGGACTTCAGCCTCCACCTGGCTGTAACAAGGTGGTACCTGCCCCACTTCCTCTGCAAGAGCAGTGTCAGAGAAAGCCAGCTAAAAGTAAAGATAAGATTCAGAGTCTCGTGACATAATACAAAATTGTCCATGTTTCAATAAAAGTATTCATTATATAAAGAAACTGGAAGATAGCAAATGGAATGAAAAAAAAAGCAATAAATAGATACCAACAGAAATGACAGAGTTGTTAGAATTACCTGACAAAGCTTTTTAGCCAGATGTGGTGGCTCATGCCTGTAATCTGAGCTACTTGGGAGGCTGAGACAGGAGAATTGCTTGTACCTGGGAGGTGGAGGTTGCAGTGCACCAAGATTGAGCCATTGCACTCCAGCCTGGGCAACAAGAGCGAAACTCTGTCTTGAAAAACCAACCAACCAAACAAACAAAAAACCGAATTACCTGACAAAGCTTTTAAAGCAGCATGATAAAAATGCTTCAGTCACCAATAAAAACATTCTTAAAACAAGTGAATAAACAGAAAACCTCAGCATAGAAATAGTAAGTATCAGAAAACAGATAGAAGACATAAAGAAGAACCAAATAGAAATTTTAGATCTGCGTTCTGTAGTGGGCAAGTCTATGTGAAACTACCTTCAAAGGCCAAGGAAGCTAAGAGGTCCAAGAAGTCTGACAAATCCAGTTTCTCAGAAAGAAACTTTTAATAGGGACTTCTGAACAGAAGCCATTATCTCAGGCTGCGGCCAGATGACATGGTGGACCCCTGCACCACTAACCCTCAGACCAAGGGCTTATATACCATAGGGAAGCCATATGTAGGACAATTAAAGTTGACATCCCCAGGGAAAGGCAAGAGTGCTATATCAACCTGCCTAAGGACAACATTTACAGAAACAGTAGATAAAGGAGAAATCTCAGAGGCACTCCTGGATCAGGCGTTAATCAGAAGTCAACGTGGCAGATTGGCATCCAAAATGAAGTTTATGTTCCACACTCCATTTCCCTAACCCAGCTCTTACGATCTCATGCACGCTTCTCTTCCACAATGGTCCCAGAGCCTTTAGGGAGAATGCTTGATATTGTACAACATTTAATGTGGTGCATTGCCAATGGCAGACAGATTGGGCCCTGTGGGATTCCAAATGAAGAAGATTCATAGGCTTTGTTGAATAATCTTCTAGTCTTTGGGATACCATGACTTTGGTTTTCTCAGAAGAAGAAAAACGAGATAAATAACATTAATATGCACACAAGGATTACCAGAAAAAAAAAAAGAGCGTGAAGAAAAATAAAACTTGGTTCTTAATTTAGAGAATTGTTGTAGCCAGGAAATAATTCAGGGTTCAGTTCAAATTGTGGGCAAATAATAACAAGTCAAAAACAATGATAAGGGCTAGAAACAAATGAAGGATTTACTATAGTTTTCTTTTGAATATTTTTTTCCCCAATTACTCCATTTCTAGCAAGGATAAATCATATGTTGACCAAAAAAGTCACAAGTTTATTAATTTAGAAAGGAAGACTTTATTTTTAAAAGAGGCCACCACAATGTGCAGGTGGGAAGTGAAGCCTGCAGCTGAAATTGAAAAGCGAGTGCTTCAAGTAGCGGCAGAGGGAATAAGAATTTATGTTGAGCAGGGTGGCCAAGTGTACATATTCAACAGGTTATAGGAGCTATGAATATTCATGAAGGAGTTGCATGGGCAAGCATAATAGGCTAACATGTATGCAACATGCATCCCATGTTCACCTTGGGGTGGAGACTCAACATTTAAGTGTATAACAATTAGGCCCTTTACATCAAAATATGAAGCAGAGAACATGAAGGCCTTTTGTGACAGCCTCTGTAGACTAGCCAGAGCCACTTGGTGGTCCTTGGTCTCTTATCGGGAAGGAATACTGGTCATCTGTTGCACTGAAACCAAAAAAAGGGAGGGGCAGCATCAGGCAATTAGTTCATATCAGCAGTGGAGCCAACATTTTAGGGCTGGTTTCTGTTTACCCCTTAGGGGAAAAAATATTAAGGGAGGTTAGTGAGGGAAGGGGTATGATAAGGTGTGTCTGACCTCACTTCCCATCATGGCCAGGAATTTAGTTTTCATTTTTTTTGTTTTTTGTTTTTGAGGTGGAGGGTCTTGCTCTGTTGCCTGGGCTGGAGTGCAGTGGTGCGATCTTGGCTCACTGCAACCTCCATCTCCCAGATTCAAGCTATTCTCCTGTCTCAGCTTCCCGAGTAGCTGGGATTACAGGCACACATAACCACGCCTGGCAAGTTTTTTTTTGTATTTTTAGTAGAGACAGGTTTCACCATGTTGGCCAGGCTGGTCTCAAACTCCTGACCTCAAGTGATCCACCCACCTCGGCCTCTCAAAGTGCCGGCGTTACAGGTGTGAGCCACCGTGCCCGGCCAGAAACTTAGTTTTTTAAGATTTCTGTGTTGTTCCCTTGGCCAAGAGGGGGTTATTTCAGTTGGTTGGGGGGACTTGACAATTTTGTTTTTATTTCTCACATAGTAGGACCAATTTATTTGAAAAATAAATGTTAGCCTCATTATATTTGGCCTGATTATTTGCATAAAGTGCAGCAAGAATAGTGGCTGGCCATACTGGCACTTTTAAAGATGGCTTTGCCAGAAAGTTTTTATAAGCAATCTCAGATTAGACTTTTACAAGCCTCGATTCTAACCAAGCCAATGATTCTCCATCAGACTGTGCCTGTAATACCTGTATGAATGGTTGTATTCCTCTCTTCTCAAGGTCCCAAAATAACTTGAGGTTCCTGAGACTATCAGAAAGTCACATTCTTTTCTTACCACAGGTCACAAGGTGCAAGACCAGTCTTTCCAAGAGGCTTTTTATTGGCTCTATAAAGCCAACTTCAGTTCCTCAAAGCAGTATAGTCATATTGGAAAATATGGCACTCTAGTCAAGGCCTTGGTAAAATAACCAGTGTCTCTAATTGTGTCCTTTTACAAAAGAAAACAGCTTCTTACTGAAATTATGCAAATAAATTATATTGCCATGACAGAAGAATACTCATGAATAGTTTCCAAATTTTGGAGAACTCAGGTCGAGAGAAAGGTAAATTTTGCTCACAAAAGTATCCTTCACTCAATCATTGTAAACTCTAAATAGCTCAAAAGAAAACAAGGTTTTCTTGACTCCTCTTTAATCAGAGTAGTAGCCTTCCAATTAGGATGTTGTCTGTTCATCTTGGTACTAGACACAAGCAGGGAGAAAAAGAGGCTCCCTGTTTGTGAGTATCTCTTCTTTGCTCTTGCCAGGTAGCATTGATATAGGAGTTAAGAAGAAATCACTTAGGCAGATAGTAAGGGTATGGGAGCACTCAGTAAGGCTTTTCTTTTTAATGAAAAGCAGCCCCAAATCATTTTCTAGCAAAGAGGAGCCTGTAAAGTCAAGCTGCAGACATAGACAAGCAAGCTGAGAGCTTGCACAGGTGAATGCCAGCAGGAACTAGGGACTAGACATGTTCAAGATGGTGGCTCCATCTTCCCTTCTCTTTGCCAGCCACGTGTACTGTAAAGAACAGACAACATGGCAGCAATCAACCGGAAAGCCCATTTGCATAATAAGTTCAGGGTAGGGCAACCCACCTTCACCGTGCTATGTAAACGTCATACCTGATTGAACCAATCTATAAGCCCTATGTAAATTAGACACCACCTCCTCAAACTATGCTATAAAATTCCAGGCATTTGCCACCAGCTGGTCTTTTCCACTTGAAGATCCCTCTCTCTGTGGAGAGAGCTGTTTCTCATTCTCTTCTCTTCTTCCTATTAAACCTCCACTCCTAAACTCCTCATGTGTGTCTGTGTTCTAACTTTTCTGGTGCATGACAACGAACCCCAGGTTTATACCTGAGACAACATAGCCTCTTCAGCGTGATCCTATATAAATCATTTCCATTTTATTATGAAACTCTTCTGGGTACTGCTATCCCCATTAGAGGTTTCTATGACATCATCTGAGATAACATGGGTATTTCAGGTGTCAGGATCTTTTATATCTTCAGTCACGGGGTAGCTTTAATTAACATCTCATAACAAGGCAGTTAATTCCCCTCAAGTGGAAATTCTCTAGTCCAAAGTGCCAGTAGTCATTGTTGAAAAGGGCTTACAAGTTTTTCTCATAAGCCCCAATAAACACTGCACAAAGGGCTATCAGGTGGAGAATTTGTTCCTACCAGCACTGCAGCTTCTACTCTATGCTTTGTGGGCTTGGGAAATCTTACAGGTTCCCATTTAGCAGTACAATTAATATTGCTCAAAAGAAGGGTTTACATGCCCTCTGTTCTGCAGTACTAGGTAGGAGAAATATTTCCCAGTTAGACACAATGTTCATTCTCATAAAATATTTAGATAAAAGAGACAAAACTACTATACATAAAGCCTGCTTAAATATTCCAACTTCCATAAGCCTATCAGCTCTTCAGCTCTTACTTTTTTTTTTTTTTTTGGGACGGAGTCTCGCTGTCTCCCAGGCTGGAGTGCAGTGGCGCAATCTCAACTCACTGCAAGCTCCGCCTCCCGGGTTCACGCCATTCTCCTGCCTCAGCCTCCCGAGTAGCTGGGACTACAGGCGCCCGCCACCACGCCCGGCTAATTTTTTGCATTTTTAGTACAGACGGGGTTTCACCGTGTTCGCCAGGCTGGTCTTGATCTCCTGACCTCGTGATCCACCCGCCTCGGCCTCCCAAAGTGCTGGGATTACAGGCGTGAGCCACTGCGCCCGGCAGCTCTTACATTTTTATATTCTAGTCTTAGGAACTTCACTTCTTCACTACCAGACCATTTACTGGCGCTTGTAAAAAAGTCTTTGGGTTCCCAGATGTGGTTCAGCCAGGGAACTCGGGCTCTTTTGTCAATTTTTACCTTGATTAATCTACGTCAACATTTGCCCCCAAGCAATTGTTGGTCAGCTTTCTCATTGTATTCTTTGCCTTCTGATTTTTTTTTTTTTTTTTTAATTCTCCAGTCTGGGGTAAATACAGAAAACTAGTTTGGGGCCCTATAGTGTTAGGGGATGAGCAGGGGCTTCCTGTGGTCCACCCAACCTTCCATAATGTTGTATTAAGACCTTTGTTTTAAACCCATCAACTCCTATTTTATTTGTTCCATTTTGTAACAACCATCTAAAGATTTCCACCTTGCTGTGATGAGTTATTTGACTTTCCCTTTTGCCTTTCCTAATTCTCTTGTTAATTAACCTAATGTATTTATTAGGATCTGTAACATCCACAAGAGGAAGCTGAGACAAAAAATTTGACAAGGCTTTTCTGATAGTCTTTTGGTTTTGTAGTAACAAGATTATATGAAGTGCTCGTGAAAATAGGGCCCCCTTAACCATAGCATTTACCGTGACTTGGGTAATGGGCATATTCAGTAGGCGAATATCCCAGTCATCATGAAGGCAGTCTCACATGAATTGCATAGGAAGCATTTCAGCTACTTCATCTGGGGTTTTCCGCTTGGCATTTATAGGTGGAGTCAGGCAGACCCTTCTCAGGGTAAACAAACCTTACAGTGGCATTTATCCAGTCCTGCAGGCTGGCTATTCCCTTGGGAATAGCCTCCTGTGTCTGTACCACATTAAGCTGTCTTTGATTGTTCAACAGTGAGCTGCTGGTCCTGCATCAACCCAAACATGCTCTTCCGCTCTGAAGGATTTAAAAGCAAAGATACTACCCCTAAATTAGTTACTCTCATAATTGATTTTAGTAAAGGTTCTTCAGGAAGCTGATGATACCAATCTACAAAGTGGAACAATTCATTTGCTCTAGCACTATACCCTCTGGCTTCAATAGTTACTTGGTTTTGTTCTTCCACTACACTGGCTGCCTTCTTGGTAACTGCAGGTCTCAGAGGTACTTTCTGTTGTTCCCGCATAATTTTGCTCTGGGGGGATCAGCTTTGAGGCTAGTAAAGGAAGCTCAAACTCACTGAAATCCCACCTTGGTTTAGCAACAAGGTCAAACCCAGCACTCTCTCATTTAATTTCATTTTAGCTATTATAGATAACAATAAAAAAGAGATTGAATATTTCAGTTTTTCTTATTAGTTTGCATTCCTTATGGATCCAAGGAAACAATTCCCTAAGAGTTGGATCCATCTCTAAATTCCACTGGTAACTTTTACCTTTAGCAACTGAGCAAAGCACAATTGCAGCTCCATACCTTGGGTGACTATGTAGCCACTAAGGAATCAAAGGTCCTCATTCCCCACCATTTTATAAACTGGACAAAATTACTTTTCCTTTAGCAAAAACCGCATCCTCATTTTTTTCATAACCTTCTTCACCAAAAAAAAATCTTACTTTCTTTGTAGAGTCTGTATGTAGAATGGTGTCTCTTAGATCTAGTAGTTTAAATTACATATATTAATTGCAATTTTATTTTACAAATAATTTTAAAACTATCTTTAATTACCAAAGATTAGTAAAGGCGTGTGAACTAAAAGGCATTTGAGTTAGGTTCAATTTTTCTGATAAAATATGTGATTTAAGCATTTACTTTTTCTTTAAGGTAATTAATTAGAGCTCTTTCACATATTTTGGTAATGATGTATCACATGCATATAACATATATAAACATGTCAGAACACTTAGATGCCCCTCAATCAAGGAGCCCATTTTTACACTGAATCTTGATTCTCCAAAAGGAAAATGCCAAGAGACTTGACAGTGCAATGCTTCCATGGCATCCTCACTGCAATGGCATTCACCTGAGGCTGGTGGGCAGCCTGACAGCAATCAGCTCACTCTGTGATCAGCCCATCCCCCATGGACTCCTATCCCTCAGTGGGACATGTTTCCATAGCCTCTGGATGCCCAAACCATACTTTTCTTATCTAAATGTGCAAATAAATGAGCAGCCCCCCTGTAGTAATAACTATTTACTGTAAACAACTGCCATCAGCCGCCTCTAACACTGCAGTTCTCTCCGGTGACTCATCAGTCATTACTCACACACCAAGGTCAAGTCCTCTCAGGGTACAAAGTAACCTCTAATACCTCCAAAAGCCAAAGAGATTAGTAATGCAAAACAAAAGAAAGCAGAGTTTTAGACCTGAGAGGAATCTCTTTGCTTCTAACTCTTGGGATTCCAAGAGGGAAAGCAGAGAATCCTTCCGAAAGAGGATTCTGTGGTATCTTTTCTGTTTTCCTTAAAGGATCCCAGGCTATTAGAAATTTTTGTAGGTTCTTTTATGTGGATGGAGGGTGTCAAGAGGAAGGAGGGACAGACAGAAGTAAATAGAGAAACAGAATTTGGTCAAGTGAATTGTTTTACTTGACATATATGTTTTGTTTTAAGGGCTCTGTTCTCACTCTCTCATATATATACACACACGTACATATACATATACAGCCTAAATATTACTAATTAAGTCAACTTTGGACTATAGAGCTCTTAAAAATATTTTTCCTAATTGTACTTTCTACTTAAGCTGTTTTACTTTTGCTTCTGCTGCTAGCTGGGTTTTTGTCAACAAATGGGCAGCCTTCAGAAGCAGCCAACTCACTGCAGCAGCCGCTCTCTGCCCTTCTTCACCACAGTGCGATAAGATGTCTGATAGATGGCTATCAGTTAATAATCACTCTAAATCTGCCAGCATTTTCTGGGCATCCCTGTAGTCATGTACAAGTGTCTAAAAGGCGAGTCACACCACTCCACATAGAAGTGGCTGGCCACCCTGGGATTTCCCACACAGATACTTCATTTCCTTTCCCCATTTCTTGGTCTCTCAGCTCCTAGAGAGTTCGCCACATGTTATGCAGTGGGCAGGTCTATGCAAACCTATCCCTAAATGCCAAGGAAGGTGAGGGGCACAAGAAAGAGGCTGAGAAATTCAGTTTCTGAGAAAGAAACATTTGATGGGGATTTAGGAACAGAAGTCATAGTCGTGGGCAATGGTGAGACAAGATGGTGGGTCCCCATGCCATTATCCCACAGAACTAGGGCTTATATTTTGTATGGAAGGAATGTGTAGGATAGTTAAAGCTGACCTCCAGGGAAAGACAACAGTGCTATGTGGATCTGCCTAAGGGCAGGATTTATTGCCAAGATTGTTTTGACCTGAAGGCAGGATTTATGGCAACTAGATAAAGTAGAAATCTTAGGGGCATTTCCAGAACAGGGATTGATTGGAAGTCAACATGGCAGGTTAGCATTTAAGATAGAGTTGCTTTGTCTTCCACAATCTGAAAAAATACAAAACCTGAAATAAAAAGCTCCATGGATGGTTTAAATAGCAGATGGAAAATGCCAGGGAAGAATCGGTGTACTGAAAGTTATAATAATAGAAATTACCCAACCTGAAGAGTAAAGAGAAAGTAGATGGAATAAAATGGACAGAGCCTCAGAGACCTGTGGGGTTATAACAAAAGATTAACATTCACATCATCAGAATCCTGAAAGGAGTGGATAAATAGGATGGGGCTAACAAAGTACTCAAGAAAACTATGGCTGATAACTTACCAAATTTATCAAGAGACATAAACCTTCAGGTTTGAGAAACTGAGAGAACCCCAAGAAGAAATTCAACAAAATCCATTTCAAGATATATTATAATTAAACTTATGAAAACTAAAGACAAATAAAGTATTGAAGAAGCCAGACACAAATGAAACCTTTACCTATAGAAAAAAAAAAAGGAGAAACAATTCAAAGGACAAAGGATTTCTCATCAGAAACCACGGAGGCCAGAAGAAAGTGGCATATTTTTCTTTTTTATTATTTATGTATTCATTTTTCCTTTAACTTTTGTTTTAGGTTTAGGGGTGCATATGCAGGTTTGTTATATAGGTAAACTCGTGTCACAGGGGTTTGGTGTACAGATTATTTCATCACCCAGGTACTAAGCATAGTACCAGATAGGTATTTTTCCTGGTCCTCTTTCTCCTCCCACCCTCTACCCTAAAGTAGGCCCCAGTGTCTGTTGTTCCCCTCTTTGTATCCATGTGTTCTTGTTATTTAGCTCCCACTTATAAGTGAGAACACGCGGTATTTGGTTTTCTGTTTCTGCGTTAGTTTGCTAAGGATAATGGTCTCCAGCTCCAACCATATTGCTGCAAAGGACAATGATTTCATTCTTTTCTTTTCTTTTCTTTTTTCTTTCCTTTTCTTTTCTTTCCTTTTCTTTTCTGTTTTTTTTTGAGATGGAGTCTCGCTCTGTCACCCAGGCTGGAGTGCAGTGGCACGATCTTGGCTCACTGCAACCTCTCTCCCAGGTTCAAGTGATTCTCCTGCCTCAGCCTCCTGAGTAGCTGGGATTACAGGTGCCCGCTACCACACCCAGCTAAGTTTTGTATTTTCAGTAGAGACGGGGTTTCACCATGTTGGCCAGGCTGATCTTGAACTCCTGACCTCAGGCAGTTTGCCCGCCTTGGCCTCCCAAAGTGCTGGGATTACAGGCATGAGCCACTGCGCCCGGCCCCGATCTCATTCTTTTCTATGGCTTCAGAGTATTCCATGGTGTATGTGTACCACATTTTCTTTATCCAGTCTACCATTGATGGGCATTTATGTTTATTCCATTTCTTTGCTGCTGTGAAGAGTGCTTCAGTGAACATACACATGTATTTTTCTTTATGGTAGAATGGTTTATATTCCTCTGGGTAAATACCCAGTAATGAGACGCTGGGATTCTGTTTTACGTTCTTTGCAGAATTGCCACACTGCTTTCTACAATGGCTGAACTACATTACACTCCCACCAGCAGTGTTTAAACATTCCCTTTTCTCTTCAACCTCCAGCATCTGTTACTTTTTGATTTTTTTTTTTTAAAGAGCCATACTTACGGGTGTAAGATGGTATCTCATTGTGGTTTTGCCTAAGCGTTAGTGGTGCTGAACATTTTTTAATATGCTTGTTGGCCAATTTATGTCTTCTTTTTAAAAGTGTCTGTTCATATTATTTGCCCACTTTTTAATGGGGTTATTTTGTTTTTGCCTCTAAATTTGTTTAAGTTCCTTGTAGATTCTGGATATTAGACCTTTGTCAGAAGCATAGTTTGCAAAAATTTTCTTCCATTCCATAGGTTGTCTGTTTACTCTTTTGATAGTTTCCTTTGCTGTGCAGAAGATCTTTAGTTTAATTAGATCCCATTTGTTAATTTTTGCTTTTATTGCAACTGCTTTTGGCATCTTTGTCATGAAATCTTTGCCTGTGCCTATGTCTGGAATGATATTGCCTAGATTTTCTTCCACTGGGTTTTACATTTAAGTCTTTAATCCATCTTGAGTTAATTTTTGTGTATGGTGTAAGAAAGTTGTCTAGTTTTGATGTTCTGCATATGGCTAGCCAGTTAACCAAGCACCATTTACTGAATAAGGAGTCCTTTCCTTATTGCTTGTTTTTGTCAGCTTTGCCAAAGATCAGCTAGTGATAGGTGTGTGACATTATTTCTGGACTCTCTATTTTGTTCCATTTGTCTATGTGTCTGTTTTTGTATCAGTACCATGCTGTTTTGGTTACTATAGCCCTGTAGTATAGTTTGAAGTCGGGTAACATGATGCCTTCAGCTTTTTGATTAGTATTGCCTTGGCTATTTGGGCTGTTTTTTGGTTCCATATGAACTTTAGTTTTTTTTTAGTTCTGTGAGAATGCTTTTGGTAGTGTGATAAATAGCATTGAATCTGCAAATTGCTTTGGGTAGTATGGCCATTTTAATGATATTGATTCTCCCTATCCATGAGCATGGAATGTTCTTCCATTTGTTTGTGTCATCTCTGATTTCTTTCAGCAGTGTTTTGTAATTCTCATTGTAGAGGTCTTTAACATCCCTGGTTAGCTGTATTCCTAGGTATTTTATTCTTTTTGTGGCAATTGTAAATGGAATTGTGTCCCTGATTTTTCTCTTGGCTTGGATGTTGTTGTTATGCAGGAATGCTACTGATTTTTGTACATTATTTTGTATCCTGAGACTTTGCTGAATTTGTTTATCAGCTCAAGGAGCTTTTGGGCAAAGACTGTGGCATTTTGTAGATATAGAATCACATTGTCTGCAAACAGGGAGAGGCTGACTTCCTCTCTTCCTGTTGGGATGCCTTTTATTGCTTTCTCTTGCCTGATTGCTTTGGCCAGAACTTCCAATCTTTGTTGAATAGGAGTGGTGAGAGAGGGCATCCTTGTCTTGTGTAAAGTTGCATATTTTTTAAGTGATAAAAGAATAGAAATATCAACACAGAATCTGTATTCAGCAAAACCTACATGTCATCCTTCAACAATTGAGTGTTTAAATAAACTAGAACATCCATACCATGGGATATGATTCAGTAATAAAAAGGAATGAACTATTGATAATAATTTTGTTGAGTGAAAAAAGGCAATTTCAAAAGGTTACATACTATATATTTCCACTTATATAGCACTCTTAAAATCATAAAATTATAGAAATGAAAGATGATTAGTGGCTGCCAGGGATAAGAAGGGGGTAGGAGGAGGGAATAGTGAGTGTGGCTATAAATGGACAACATGCAGGATCCTTGCAGTGTTGAAAACATCCTGTGTCTTGACTGTATCAAGGACAATTTCCTGTTTGCCATATTGTACTGTGGTTCTGCAAGATGTTACCTTTGGAGAACTACATGGTATCTCTATATTATTTCTTACAGCTGTATATGAATCTGCAAATGTCTCAAAATCAGAATTATAGTAAAAAACACAAAATGTGAGTAAAATACATGAATAAGAATATCCAATTTATAGATCAGGATACCTAAAAAGGTAAAGAAAATATTAAATTATGCTCAATGTTCATTTAGATTATAAAAATGAAAAGTGAAGCAAATTATATTTCTACTGTCACCCATTAGCTCCATAAAAGTAAAAAAAAGAATCATAGGCCAGGTACAGTGGCTCTTGCCTGTAATACCAACACTTTGGGAGGCTGAGGGAGGAGGATCATTTGTGGCCAGGAGTTCAAGACCAGCCTGGGCAAAATAGCAAGACCCTGTCTCTCCAAAGATAAAAAAAATTATCCCGGTGTGGTCATGTGTTCCTGTAGTCCTAGCTACTAGGAAGGCTGAGGCAGGAGGATCACTTGAACTTGAAAGTTCAAGGTTACAGTGAGCTATGATTCTGCCTCCTCACTCCAGCCTAGAGAACAGAGCAAAATGCTGTCTCAAAAAATATATATAAATAAAAGAATAATAGCATTTCTCCAGAGGGAGAATGTGAGGAAATCCACACTCTCTTGCTAATCACCCCAATCTCTTGGAAAATTACATGTTGCAGTAGCTACTCAAATGAATAATTCAGTTGTATCTGCAGTCTTATTTCTAGAGATTAATCACATAAAAATCAAAGCTCTAGTGTATAAGGAAGTGAGAAGGGCAATGATAAGAGAGACATTTATTTTTTTCTTTATAATCTTTATAGTTACAACCTGTAATTGACTTGTCTTGATGTTGAACTATGAAAAATAAATATCATGACAGAGGTTTAAAAAACTGATTTCTGGTTTCAGCTCTGACATGTAAAAAGCTAGGAAGTCATCACCCCATTTGGATTGGAATACTTAATATTGTCATGATGTCAGTTCTTCCCAACTTGATCTATAGATTCAATAAAATTTCTATCAAAACCTCAGCAAATAATTTTGTGGATATTGACAAATTGATTCTAAAATGTATATGGGAAAAGCAAAAGATCCCGAATAGCCAACTCAATACTGAAAGACAACAAAGTTGGAGGACTGACATTACCTGACTTTACAACATACAATAAAGCTACAGTGATCAAAATAGCATGATACTGGCAAAATGATAGGTGCATATTCAATGGAAAAGAATAAAGAGCCCAGAAATAGATCCACACAAATATATTCAACCTAGCTTTGACAATGGAGCAAAGGCAGTTCAATGGAAAAAACATTTGTCTTTTCAACAAATAGTACTGAAACAGTTGGACATTCATATGCAAAACATAAATCTAGTCAAGTCCTTACACTTTTTATGAAAATCAACTCAAAATGGGCCATAGACCTAAATGTAAAACACAAAAATAGAAGACTTCCAGAAGAAAATGTAGGAGAAAACCTAGGTGACCTTGAATTTGGTGTTGAGTTTTTAAGATATAATACCAAAAGCATGACTCATAGAAGAAAATGTTGAAAACTTTGTCTTTATTAAAATTAAAAACTTCTGCTCTGCAAAAGACACTGTTAAAAGGATGAAAAGACAAGTCACAGACTAGAAGATATTTGCAGACAGTTGGTAAAAGACATATGTAAAATATTTAAGAAACTGTTAAAACTCAATAATAAGAAAACAAACAGACCAATTAAAAATCAAAAGAAAAATGTGAAAAGACATCTCACAAAAATCATATACACATGGAAAGTAAGCATTTGAAAAGATGCTCAACGTCCTTTCTCATTATCAGATTGCAAATTAAAACAAAAATGAAATACAACTATACTTTCATTAGAATGACTGAAATCTAAACAATTTTACAATTGCAAATGTTGATGAGGAGGATGTGGAGCACCATGAACTCTCGCTCATTGCTTTGTGAATGCAAAAAGGTACAGCCACTTTGGAAGACAACATGGCAGTTTCTTACAAAGCTAACCATAGTTTTACTGGATGATCTAGAAATCACACTCAGCTGATTTGAAAATATATGGTCACACACAGAAAACCCCGCATGTGTCTATTTAAAACAACTTTGTCCGTAATCACCAAAATCTGTAATCAAGATACTCTTCAATGCGTGAATGGATAAACAAACTGTGGTACATTCATTCAATAGCCCATTATTCATTTATAAAATAAAATGAGCTATCTGGCCATGAAAAGATGTAGAGAAACATTAAATGCATATTATTAAGTGAAAGAAGACACTAAAAGCCCACGTACTGTATGACTCCAATTATGTAACATTCTGGAAAATGCAAAACAATATAGAATAGTAAAAAGGTTAGTATTCGCCAAGGGCTATGAGGTTGGGGAGAGGGATGAATAAGTAAAACATAGGGAATTTTTAGGGTGATGAAAATATTTGGTATGATTCTGTAATAATAGGTATGTGAGGTTATGCATTTGTTAAAACCCTTTGAACTTTACAGCACAGAAAGTGAACCTGAAGGTATGCAAAAATTTTAAAATTATTTAGGAGTTTGGGGACCTCAGGAAAGGATGTAGACTGTGATAAGAGACACAAGTACCCATATCTTGGTTTTTAATACCATTCTCATTAAAAGGAACCAGTGTTTCTTGGAAAAATGGCTGTTTCTAGGACTGGGACAGGAAACACATAAGATGAGCCTGGAGTATTGTGTAATGTCAGAAGTTAAGGAAGTGCACAAACAAACAAATCAGCATACAAAAAAAAACACAAAAATATATTGGTAGGTGTGTGTCGTCAAAGAGACACAGGAGCCAACTGAACGAGCTTTCACTTACCAAAGCTGAAATAATTTGAGCAACAAAGTAAATAAATCAGTATATTGAATTATAATCAAATGTATAAAACAAATATTAATGAGTTCAAACTCATGATATAAATAAATAATTGAACAAATAAATAAATTGGGAGAAGAGACAAATTTTCCTTGCAGAAATCCAAATAATTTCTGTAGATAGGTTGACCTTAAGAAAGTAGAACATAAGTCTCTACTCACACTGTGAGTTTCAGAGTGATTTCCTTTCAAATAGTTCAGCATGGAAAGGGGGAAGAAAGTGTAAATTTACAGTAAAGAAACCTGACAAATACTGTCTTAGCCAGATGATCAAAGTCAACATTAATAGTCATAAATCACATTGAGGGCCTGTGTCCTTGATATAATGCTCTGAAAATGGCATTTGACCTCTGTGATCTTCCTCCCTAAAACCTATAAACAAAGTCTAATGGGAAGAATATCAGACAGATTAAAATTGAGGAGCATCAAAATATACCTGATCAGTATTCCTCAAAACCGTCAAGGACATCAAAAACAAAGAAAGACTGAGAAACTGTCACAGCCAAGAGGAGCCTAGGGAGATGTGACAAGTAAATGTAATGTGGTATCCTAGATGAGATTCTAGGACAGAAAAGGACATGCATTAGTCAGGGTTCTTCAGAAAAACAGAACCAATAGGATATTATATATATGTGTGTGTGATATGATATATATATGTAGATATATATGAGAAAGATTTCGTATATGGATGTACATATATAAGATTTCATATATAGATATATATGAAATATTTTATTTTGGGAATTGGCTCACTTTCAAAATAATTCCAGTGTGGATAATATAGCATATAGTCACTTTAGTGTTGGCACCATTATCATATTCAATGCACTGTGTGTTCCCTCTACAAAAGGAACAGGTAGAACTGAGCCCAAAGGAGCTTTCTTAGTCGTTCTCAGGGAAAAACATTATCCCCATATTCTTTTGAAGTGTTCTTAGATAGCTTTAGTTCTTCCAGCTGATGTTACTGTGTGTTGCATGACTGAGGTTGCAAAGGCTAGCCTATATTTTTAATATCTGTCCAGGTTGTCATCTAGTTAACCTACTTCTATCTGATGTATAGTATTCTATTGCATGAACTCACTTATATTTATTATATTCCCTTTTTTTTGTGCGTGTTATGACACTACCTTAGGTTAGGCTGGGTTCTGCTACTATAGTAAATAAACTCCCAATTTAGTAAACCCCCACATTAGCGGATTAGCCCCAAAAGACTTACACCTTTTTCATTTAAGTCCAAAGTAGACTGATAAAGGCTTTCACCAGGCATTGATTTGGACATCCAGGAGCACTACATTTTGTAGCTCTGCAATTTAAATATGTGGTTCTCGCAGTAACTGCTGAAGGGAAAGTGACTCTTAGTTGCCTCACTCCAGAAGTGATAAAAATAATATCCATTCATAGCGTATTGGCCAGAACTTGTAGACAGAGATTGGGAAATATGGGGGAAGATCATATAGATGATCTGGTATACATTAAGGGTCTTTGCCCTGAGAATTGATTTTGACTTCCTGTAACACAAACGTTTCTGGCCTTAAATATTCCCTTGCATTTAGCAGGAATTGATTATCAAATCATTGTTACATGAATATTTAATTTGATTAAGTACAATCAGATTTCTCTCCAAAGTGATTACACCATTTGCTTTCCCATTAGTAGTTCAAGAGATATTCTATTAGCCTGCTTTTTTTAATTTATCAAAAATTTTAATGAAAAATTTCTTGTGCATATTGGAATTCCAACCTTATTACACATGATAATATTTGCATTTTGTCATTAAAACACTGATATCTGTTTATTTTATGTTTCAGATTTCTATTTGGAAAAGTACTATTGTAAGCGTCTTATATACAAGAGCATTTTGTCACCTTTGAAAATAATTTATTACATTCAACTGCTTTTATATTTTAATTTTTCCATATTTTATATCATAAATATGACTGTTTACAAATTGTTTATAAATGCTCTCCTATTTTCCTATTGTAAAAAACCCTTTTTCTCATTGATATTTAGAATTTTTACAATGAGTAAGCACTTTTGGGGGGATCTCCATCTCATTTTATTTTATTTTATTATTTATTTATTTTTGCTTCAATAGGTTTTTGGGGAACAGGTGGTGTTTGGTTAGACGGTTAAGTCCTTTAGTGGTGATTTCTGAGATTTTGGTGCACCCGTCACCCAAGCAGTGTACACTCTATGCAAAGTGTAGCCTTTTTATTCCTCACCCCCTCCCACTCTTCCCCTGACCCAGTCCCCAAATTATATTGTATCATTCTTATGTCTTTCTATCCTTGTAGCTTAGCTCCCGCTAATGAGTAAGAACATGTGATGTTTGGTTTTCAGTTTCCATCCAGGTTGCTACAATGGCCATTATTTCATTCCTTTTTATAGCTGAGAATGGTCATTTTCACGATATTGATTCTACCCATCCATGAGCATAGGATGTGTTTCCATTTGTTTGTGTCATCTATGATTTCTTTCAGCAATGTTTATAGTTTTCCTTGTAGAGGTCTGTAACCTCCTTAGTTAGGTATACACTTAAGTATTTTACTTTATTTTATTTTCTGCAGCTATTGTAATAGGGGTCTAAGCTCTTGATTTGATTCTCAGCTTGGTCATTGTTGGTGTATGGCAGTGCTACTGATTTGTCTACATTGATTTTGTATCCTGAGACTTTTCTGAATTCATTTACTAGTTCTAGGAGCTTTTTGGATGAATCTTTAGGGTTTTCTAAGTAAGTGATCATATTATTAGCAAACAGTGAGAGTTTGACTTCCTCTTTACCAATTTGGATGCCCTTGATTTGTTTCTGTTGTCTGATTGCTCTGGCTAGGACTTCCAGTAATACATTGAATAGAAGTGGTGAAAGTGGGCATCCTTGTCTTGTTCCAATTCTCAAGGGGAATACTTTCAACTTTTCCCTGTTCAGTGTAAAATTGGCTGTGGGTTTGTCATAGATGGCATACATGTCATACATGGCTTTTATTACCTTAAGGTATGTTCCATCTATGCCAATTTTGCTTAGGGTATTAATAATAAAGAATACTAGATTTTGTCAAATCCTTTTTTTGCATCTATTGAAATGATCATGTGATTTTTGTTTTTAATCCCGTTTAAAACAAAACACATACATGTGGTGTATCACATTTATTAACTTGTGTAAATTAAACCATCCCTGCATCCTTGGTATGAAACTCACTTGATCATGGTGGATTATATTTTTGATATGCCGTCAGATTCAGTTAGCTAGTATTTTGGTGAGGATTTTTGCATCTATGTTCATCAGGGATATTGGTCTGTAGTTTTCTTTTTTTGTTATGTCCTTTCCTGGTTTTGTTATTAGGGTGATACTGGCTTCACGGAATGATTCAGGGAAGATCCTCTTTCTCTATGTTTTGAAATAATGTGAATAGGATTGGTACCAATTCTTTTTTGAATGTCTGATATAATTCAGCTGTGAATTTATCTGGTCCTGGATTTTTTTTTTTGTTGGCAATTTTTAAAATTACCATTTCAATCTTGCCCCTTTTTATTGGTCTGTTCAGAGTTTCAGTTTCTTCCCAGTTTAATCTAGGAGGGTTGTATATTTCCAGAAACTTATCCATCTCCTCTAGGTTTTCTAGTTTGTGTGTGTAAAGGTGTTCATAATAGCCTTGAATAATCTTTCTTATTTCTGTGGTATCAGTTGTAATATCTCCAGTTTTGTTTATAATTGAGCTTATTCAGATCTTCTCTCTTCTTTTCTTGGTTAATGTCACTAAGGTCTATCAATTTTATTTATCCTTTCAAAGAAGCACCTTTTTGTTTCATTTATCTTTTGTAATTTTTTGTTACCATTTTATTTAGTTCTGCTCGGATTTTTGTTATTTCTTTTCTCTGGGTTTGGGTTTGGTTTGTTCTTGTTTCTCTAGTTCCTTGAGGTGTGACCTTAGATTGTTTATTTTTGATCTTTCAGACTTTTTGATGTAGGTTTTAATGCTAACTTTCCTGTTAGCACCACTTTTGCTGTATCTCAGAGATTTTGATAGGTTGTGTTATTGTTATTGTTCACTTCAAAGAATTTTTACATTTCTATCTTAATTTCATTATTGACCCAACAATCAATCAGAAGGAGGTTATTTAATTTCCATGTATTGCATGGTTTGAGTATCCCTTTTGGAGTTGATTTTCAATTTTATTCCACTGTGGTCTGAGGGAGTACTTGATATAATTTCAATTTTCTTAAATTTATTGAGACTTGTTTTGTGGCCTATCATTCTATCTTGAAGAATGTTCCATGTGTGATGAATAGAAAGAATATTCTGCAGTTGTTGGGTGGAATGTTCTGTAACTGCCTGTTAAGTTCATTTGTTCTAGGGTATAGTTTAAGTCCATTGTTTCTTTGTTGACTTTGTGTCTTGATGACTTATCTAGTGCTGTCAGTGGAGTATTGAATTCCCCCACTAGTATTGTGCTGCTGTCTATCTCATTTCTTCGGTCTAGTACTAATTGTTTTGTAAATTTGGGAGTTCCAGTGTTAGGTGCATATATATTTAGGACCATGACGTTTTCCTGTTGGGCTAGTCATTTTATCATTTTATTGTGTCCCTCTTTGTCTTTTTAAAATGCTATTGCTTTAAAGTCTGTTTTGTCTGCTATAAGAATAGCTACTCCTGCTTGCTTATAATGTCCATTTGCATGGAATATCTTTTTCCACCCCTTTAAGTTTATGTGAGTTCTTATGTGTTAGGTGAGTCTCTTGAAGACAGCAGATTCTTGGTTAATGAATTCTTTTTTTTTTTTTTTTTTTTTTTGAGACAGAGTCTCACTCCATCACCCAGGATGGTGGAGTGCAGTGGCACAATCTCAGCTCACTGCAACCACCACCTCCTGGATTCAAGCGATTCTCGTGCCTCAGCCTCCTGAGTAGCTGGGATTACAGGCATGTGCCACCACCTCCAGCTAATTTTTGTATTTTTAGTGGAGTGGGGATTCACCACATTGGCCAGGCTGGTCTTGAACCCCTAACCTCAAGTGATCCTCCCGCCTCAGCCTCCCAAAGTACTTGGATTATGGGTGTGAGCCATCATACCCACCTGGTTGGTGGATTCTTATCTCTTCTGCCATTCTGTGTCTTTTAATGGAGCATTTAGGCTATTTACATTCCATGTTATATTGAGATGTGCAGTACTGTTCTATTCATCATGCTAGTTGTTGCCTGAATACCTTGGTTTTTTTTTTCATTGTTTAATTGTTTTATAGGTCCTGTGAGATTTGTGCTTTAAGGATGTTCTATTTTGGTTTATTTTGAGGATTTGTTTCAAGATTTAGAGCTCCTTTTAGCAGTTCTTGAGTGCTGGATGGGTATTGGCAAATTCTGTCAGCATTTGTTTGTCTGAAGAAGACTGTATCTTTCCTTCATATATGAAGTTTAGTTTCGCTGGATAAAAATTCTTGGCTGATAATTGTTTTGTCTAATGAGGCTAAAAATAGGACGCCAAATCCCTTCTAGCTTGTGGGGTTTCTGCTGAGAAATCTGCAGTTAATCTAATAGGTTTTTTTCTTTATAGGTTGCCTGATGCTTTTACCTTGCAGCTCTTAAGATTCTTTCCTTGTCTTGAGTTTAGATGACCTGATGACTATGTACCTTGTTGTTGATCATTTTGTGATATATTTCCTGAGTGTTCTTTGAACTGCTTGTATTTTGATGTCTAGATCTAGCAAGGCCAGGGAAGTTTTCCATGATTATTCCATTAAATATGCTTTCCAAACTTTTAGATTTCCCTTCTTCTTTTGGAAGACCAATTATTCTTAGGTTTGATTGTTTAACGTAATCCCAAACTTCTTGGAGGCTTTGTTCATTTTTTGGATTCTTTTTTCTTTGTCTTTGTCAGATTGGGTTAATTCAAAAGCCTTGCAAGGAAGGCTTGAATCTCTTGAAGGGGCCCTCAAGTTCTTTCTTCTATTTGTTCAATTCTGTTGTTGAGACTTTCCAGTGCAGTTTGCATTTCTTTAAGTGTGTCCTTCATTACCAGAAGTTGTGATTGTTTTTTATTTATACGATCTATTTCTCTGGAGATTTTTCCATTCATATCCTGTATCATTTTTGTGTATTCTTTAAGTTGGTATTCACCATTCTCAGGTGCCTCTTTGAGTAGCTTAACAATTGACCTTCTGCATTATTTTTTCTGGCAATTCGGAGATTACATCTTGGTTTGGATCCATTGCTCGTGAGCTAGTGTATCTTTTGGGGGCGTTAAAGAACCTTGTTTTGTCCTATTACTGGGATTGTTTTTCTGGTTCCTTCTCATTTGGGTAGACTATGTGAGAGGGAATATCTAGGGCTCAAGGGCTGCTGTTTAGATTCTTTTGTCCCACAGGGTGCTCTCTTGATGTAGTGCTCTCCACCATCCCCTAGGAATGGGCCTTCCTGAGAGCCAAACTGCAGTGATTGTTATTTCTCTTTGGGGTCTAGCCACCCAGCAGAGCTACTGGGCTCTGTACTGGTACTGGGGAGTGTCTGAAAAAGGTCCTGTGATGTGATCTGTGTTCAGGTCTCTCAGCCATGGATACCAGCACCTGCTCCAGTGGCTTTAGCAGGACAGTGAAGTGGACTCTGTGAGGGTCTTTGGTTGTAGTTTTGTCTATTGTGCTGGTTTTTTGTTGATTGCCCTCCAGTCAGGAGGTACCACTTTTAAGAGAACATCAGCTGCAGAAGTATATGGAGGATACATGCTTGCCCTAGGGTCACCTGGATAAGCATTCAAGTTTCTCAGGTGGTGGGCTAGGCCATGGAGCTCCCAAGAGATTATGTCCTTTATCTTTGGAGTTTTTCGGCTGTCTCTGGTAGCCTACAGAGGCAAGCTGCTTCCTTCAAAAGGTCTGTGGATTCTCTCCTGTTACCCTGCTCTTTATGTACATTTGTTACCTTTTGATGTCCTAATTTATGCTAATCTGATAAAGTAATATCTTTATTGATGATATTCTTTATCCCAATATTTGATATAGCAAAATTGTTTTTCCTGATGTCTTTTGAATCCTTGCATCTCAGTGGTAGATTCCATCTCTCTTAAATTCCTAGCATGGAAGAGCTGTTCTGTGTACATTTAGCAGCTGGTGAACAGGTGAACATTGGCAGATCCCATCGTCCCTGGCCTGGATTGCAGAAGAATTATACCAGGCAGTGGTGGTGGGTGGGCAGTGGCTCCTGGGCAGTGATAGCAATTCATGGCTCTCCTTGTACCCTTTCCCACAGTTTCTGCTCAGTTGGGAAAATATGGGTAGGATATCCAGCCCTCCTCCTCCCCTTCAAGCTTCTGTTCCATATCATAGAGCATCTGTCTGGGGGATGGTCAGAGCAAGCCTCAAAACTGACAAAATACTGTCTCTTGCCACAGAGCCTGACTTTATCTGTATTAGACTATTGGGCAATTTATATCCCAGGGTTTTCCAGAGCATGATAGAGCAGTCAAGTAGCAATTAGTAGAGATTATGAGATGAGTGTAATACCAATAGAAGCAGAAGCCTGAAGTCTTCTGCAGAGATCAGAGAAAGAGATGGTCAAAGAGAATCTAGGGTGACTCACACCCACCTGTGCTCATGCCATGAGTGACTGGTGAGGGAGCATCTGAGTTTCAAGTCCCTGACTGAATGCTGTGCAAACTCAAACTCCCTGAATGGTGAAAGCAATCCCCAAGCCATACATAGATCCAAAGGTAAAAGGTGAAAATCTTCCTGGTTCAGAAGAGTTAAGCAAAATCACTGAACAATCAATGGTTAACCACTAAATGGTGATGACCCCTAAGAAGCCAGGCTTAAAGATAAAAATAAGGGGGGAAAATAGAACAGTGCTGTCAGAGGCTCAAGTAAGTGGGAAATAGACTTCACTGAACTGGTATAGACAAGTCACTAACAAATAAGCAAGCAAATAAACAAACAATGACCACAGCCTTGAAGGAAAGGATCAGTATCAGGAGTTACTACAGTATGTTAACTAACATTTTTGGCTTTCAGATGAGATTGGGCATGTTTGGGATGATATGGCCACAGGCAAATTTTGGTGTTCACCAAAAAATTATGATACATGCAAAGAGACATTAAAATGTGACCTATACATAGGAAAAATAAAGCAAACAATAGAAATTGTCTTTGTGGGAGCCCAGGTGTTGGAATTAGACTTCAAAGCAGCCATTATAAATGTGCTCAAAGGACTAAAGGAAAGCATGTTTAAAGAATTAAAATAAGGTATGATGACAATGTCACATCAAATAGAGAATATCAGTAAAAGTAAGTTTTAAGAAAGAAACACAAAGAAATCTATAACTGAAAAGTACAATAGCCAAAATGAAAAGTTACCAAAAGGGCTTAACAGTAGTTCTTACCTGGAAAAAGAATCAGCAAACCTAAAGATAAATCAATAGAGACCATGAATCTCAAGGAAGTCTTTTTACTCCCACTATTTTACTAAATATTCATAAGATGAATGAGTGAGCAGACACCTTAAGGTTTGTTTTCCTACATTATTATAAGGACATTTTAAAAAGTCACATTCCTTTGCTTGAGAAACTATTGACTATCTACCTATTATGTATCTATCTATCTATCTATCTATCTATCTATCTATCTATTATCTATCTATCTATCTATCATCTATCTCCATTTTATGCATCTGTTTTTTCTTCTTCTATATCTCTGTCTACCTAGCTATCTTTCAGTTAGAGCTTCTAGGTCAACTTGTCTTCCTACTTCAGGTGATTTCACAACTACTAAAAGAAGAAATCTAGTTTTGAAGATAATCTGACTGGTAGCTTATCCCTAAGTAAATGCACAATTTTTACTCCATTCACTTTCTTGTATATTGAAAATAAACCCTCAACTCTTGTATCTACTCTAAGAATTCTTAGGAGGCTGAAGAAACTATAATCTTTCTTTGCTTTCTTCTTTTGTTTCTTTTTTCCTCTTGGGGCTTCCTTCCCCCGATTTTACATTACATAGTCCCAGACTATTGGGGATAGAAGAGATCTTGGGGAGTTAAAGCAGTGCATTCTCCTTATTTCACCAATAAGAAAGCTGAGCAAGTGATTAGCCTACTCAAAGTCATCCAACCTTGTTACCCAGTCATTCCACCAAGTGACATCTCCTGTCTTTTATTATACTTTTTTTTTTTTTTTAACTTTTTCTTCTCAACACTCAGCCTTTAATTCTTCAGCCTTTCTGGCCTTTCTTGTAAAAAATAAAAGAAATAAAAAATAAAAGAATGAAACTTAATACCTGTTGAGAGGGGAGAAAAATTAAGAAAGACTCTGCTTTGTGTAAATGTTTGGAGAAAACCTTTATCTTTTTTTAAAAAAATGTGTAATCATCTTGCTTCATAAAATACCAACTCAGAGACAACATTTCTATTTCTCTCTGTGTTGTGCACATACATGGGACATGCTATTAGGGGTGTTCAGCTAGTCACAGTATATTTATTCAGGGATGTAAATGATTGGATAGATTATTCTTAATTATTATGACATATAACAAAATAATTGTGAACCTAAAAGAGGAATTATTGTATAATTAGGAATACATACTGGGGAATTTTAAGGCTCTAGGACTTTAATAATATAAAAACAAAATCTTTTAAAGAAAATTTGTATTGTTTTAAATTTAAAGTTATTTTGTTGAGCATCTCTTCACTGTGGACCAATTACAATTCACACACTTGGGAAATCAGACCATTTATAGAAGAATTACTGACAATGGACAGTGACAAACCTTGAAATTCAAAGTTATTTTCATCGCAGTATCTAAGAGAAGGAAATTAAAACTGCCTGTACTTCCTCAGCAGGCCAAATGCCAGTAAAGTTGTCTGGAGATGATGTGAGATGGTCATGTGGCTACTTTTTTTTTTCTGGAAAGTGAACCCTTGAAAGTAGGATCAATAAAAATATCAATGAGAGAATAGCATTATCTCACACAAAAAATTGCAATTGTGAAAATTACATACAATAGGAAAGGGCAGAATATTTATCTCGTCATATAGGGAATATTTGACTAATGCCACAAATCTATTTAGTAAAAGAAAAAAACCAAGCATTTCAGAAAAGTGGGATAATTTATAAACTTCACTCATTAGAAATTATAATATGACAGTACTGTGAAGCTAGCATGCATTAACTAAGACACGACTCCATTGTTTAAAAATCCATGTGACAATTAACAACCACAGCAACACATTATAGAGTTTTTCCAAAATGCTCTAATGTAATTTCTAAATGCCATTCCTCTTTTATAATAAATCATCTTTGTGATCAATATTTTCCAGTCAATATTCTCCTCCCTAAAAGCAATCTGGACTATTGGGCAGATATTGGGCAGAAACAGAAGCAGTCAGTAATTTGAACGGTTTGTGTTTCTTGGTTTCTCTAATAATAACCTGACACTGTTTCCGCAATAGGCACCACCACACTCCAATTCCCATGTCTTCAATGTTCCTTTCATCATCAGTCACCTTTACTTCCATTTTGTTAGTAATCAGATGTGGGGTTGACCTATGCAAAGGAACCACTTCTATACGTAGTGTCTTATACCCTGGATAGAAGACACTCGCATGCTGCATTTTGCAGGCATGTTCAGGCTTCTGCATTAGCCATGTGTCCCTGGGAATTGTGCTCAAATCCAGGCTGCATCTTACCTCAGCAATTCCTTCTTCTTGGGACTTACATATCCGTGATTCCACATCACACAGCCCAAGACTGTATATAGTGCCATATAATAGTTGTTTTAGTCTGTTTTCTTTTATTATAACTGAGTAACTGGTCCTGGGCAATTTATAAAGAAAAGGAACTTATTTTTTACAGTTATGAAGGCTGAGAAGTCCAAGGTGAGGGGCTGCATTTAGTGAAGACCTTCTTGCTGGTGGGGACTCTCTGCAGAGTTTCCAGGCGGTGCAGAGTATCATCTAGTGATGGGGTTGAGCATACTTGCTCAGGTCTCTCTTTGTCCTCTTGCAAAGCCACTAATAATCACTCTTGTGATAACCCATTAACACATTAACCTATTAATCCATTAATCTGTACATGAGGGCTAAGACCTCATAACACAATCACCTCTTAAAGGTTCCACCTTTCAGTACTGCCACATTGGGGATAAAGTTTCAATATGAATTTTGGAGGGGAGAAACGTTTAAACCACTTCAATAGCATTTGGTCACTGACAACTTGACATGAGATCCCTCAGTACTGTCAACCTGTAACAAATGAGGTTCCCACTGCAGTGATTGTTACAGCTGTCCACAAACATGATCTGGACCATTGCATTTTAGTCACAGGAAACATTCAGCAAGGGTCAAGCTTACTATACAACAGCAGTGAGTATGTATTGAGTGGCGATTATGTGCCAGTTGTGGAGTCTTGATAAGTAAGCAACAAAGAGGAAGGGACCCCAGGTAGGGGAGGGACCCAGGTGGGGAAGAACAATGAACAATTGTTCTGAGAAATGAGAAATCACAAACAATGACCTTGTTTAGCACATAGCCCCCTCCAGTACAACCCCATTAAACTTCCCTCCAGGACCCCCCAACCTTTGCACAACCCTATTAAACTTCCCTGCAGCTCCTCCCATCCACCTCGTGGCAGATAGCCCCTTATCTGCTGTGCTGCCTGTTGCAACCTAACAATGCATTTTCATACTTTCTCTAAAAAATATGCCTTTCTTTACTTACAACTGTCCTGGCGAATTCCTTTACCACCCGTGACACCGGCCCCAACTAGTCACACCTGTAACATTTTGGTGGCCTGTATGGGGCCTTCTTGGGGACCTCTCTACTACTCTATCCCTTCCCTCTCCTCCAATTCCAGACTCTTGGTGGTCAGTGTTCAAGTCCAGAGACAACTGAAGGTCCCTGGCAAGGGCCACTCCCAGGCAGACCAGAGGTCCTGGTGGGAAGACGTCTGATTGCCATCGCCTGATCAGATGAGAGTTCAGAGTGTTCTTTCCTTTTCAGTCGTCTAGTGGACAAACTCTAGTATCCCTCTGGAAATTGATGGCCACTCCCTGGTACAGCCTGAAGGCCTGGGGTGAACAGGTTTGCCTGCCTTGCAAGGAAGGTAGGCAGGCTTTCTGTTATCTTTTCTGGTCAAGAGACTCCAATCCCTTATGTGTAGTGCAATTGGCAGCAGAAGTTCAACCAGGGTGAACCTACACCCATTTTGGAGAACATAAACTCCCTCTTTCTCACTCTAAACTCTCCTGTGAAGACAGCCAGCCATCCTGCTCCAGATGTCTTAAGCCAGGTGATCCCAAACAGCACCAGGATGATAAGTCTTCCCTCAACGTTTTTCTGGCATACCTGGATTGAGCAAACAGTGTAATTTGTACCTGGACTGACCTTGGGTCTCTTACCCAGTGTTCATCCAATGTAAGGCTCTATCACTGAGAGATCCTTTCCAATAGATGGAATATCTCTTTGGAAAGTGCATTTTGAAGTCCTTAAGTAAAGACTAGTGGAGCCCTCTTCCTTTGCAGGAAGCTTCAAAAGAAATTGCAGTTCATGTTCCCAGGGGATTTTTTTTTTTCCCCAGTCCCATCATGGGACAAAGCCCCATCCATTCTCTCAGACTTAACCCTGCACTGCATTTTAAAGCATTGGGATAAATTTGACACTCAGACTCTTAAAAAGAAATGTCTAATTTTCTTGTGTAATACAGTATGGCCACTTTATAAACTTCCAGATCAGGAATCCTCCCGGTCTCCAGGCTGGACCCTTGCCCCAATACCATTTTACAGCTTGATCTTTTCTGTCACAACTCTTCTAAATGGTCTGAAATTCTTAATGTCCAGGTTTTCATGACTTTCAGGATGCTAATCTCCACAAAACCTGTTGAATGTGCATGGCTAGATTCTCTGGTCCCCCTGACTCGTCTTACATTTCGATGATCCTTCTTTTACTCTCTACCATTCTCCATACCCGGCTGGACAAGTTGAGATCACGCCTTCTTTCCCTAACAAGCCACCTTCACATCCAATTACACTGTCTGCATTTGCTCCTTCTCCCTCACCTTCCCCCTGACACCCAAACCTTGGATGTTATTTTCTGTTGCCTCCTCCTTATCAGGACACTTCTCCCCTTCACATACAAGTCAGGGGCCACCTAGGATCCCATTTCAGGCCCAGAAAAAGTTCTGCCACTCCAGGAGGTGGCAAATGGGAATCTAGGAACCATCAGAGTCCATATTCCCTTCCCAATATCTGATCTTTTCCAAATAGAAACTAAGCTCAGCTCTTTCAGCCAAGACCTTTCTCACTTCATGAAGGAATTTAAAGACTTTGCTGTTTCCTTCTACCTCACTTGGTAGGACATCTATATTATTTTCACCACTTGTTGCACCCACAAGGAAAAATCCTGCATTTGGTCTCTGGCCCAAAGATGGGCAGATGAGGTACATTCCCCAAATCCCCAGGAGTCTGGCCCTGGGAGAACCACAGTGCATGACACTGATCTAGGTGGTGATGTCAAGAGGGAGACCACAGCAAGGAACATCATAATCACATGACCACTTGCCTGATTGAGGGCATGAAGAAGGCCACCATAAAACCTGTAAATTATGTCACACTAAGGGAAATAACACAGGCATCAAATAAAAACCTAGCCCTATTCCATTTCAGGCCGGCTGAGGCTATGAGAAAATATACTATTTGAACCCTGAAAGCCCAGAAGGCCCACCATCTGGGCTATTCATTTCATCAGCCAGGCGTCATCAGACATTAGACATCAACTCCAAAAACTAGATAAGGAACCACAAACTCCTTTCCTCAAATTGCTGGACATGGCCTTCAAGGTCTTCAATAATTGAGAGGAGGTCTCAAGAACTGAACAGGATCGGAAGGAATGAGAAAGAGATAAGCAGCAGGCCCATTATATGGGCACAACTGTTGCTAACTCCCTGCCTACCTCAAAGGCCCTGGGTCAGCCATCAGGATACAGCCCAGCAGCCAATAAGGGAGGCCCCCATTTGCTATCATTGTACCAGTCAGGGAATATTAGCCAACACTGACAAAACTCTCTCCAGCCATTATCTGGTCCCCAGCAACTGCCACCTGGCCCCTACCCACACTGCAAACAAGTGGGGCACTGGAAATGGGACTTCCTTTCTCTCTCTCATGCAGGAGGTCACCCTTTACTAGCAACTTCAATTGCAGGCCAACTTGAGAGAATGGCAAAGAATGCTTGACTCTGCTCCTCAACTATGAGGAAACCAATAGGAACAAAAGGGAAGAAGGGATGAGTCCCAGGAAGGGCCATTCCCTCTCTTTCCCAGATTGACAGGTCCCCAAAACCATTTAGGCTCCTGTGTTTTCCATCACTATGGCTGAGCGTTTGGTAACCCTAGACGTGGCAGGAAGAAGAACTGAGTTATTGATTGATACAGGAGAAGATTACTCTGCCCTAATTAATTTTCCTGGACCTACTTTTCAGTCCTCAATCCTCCTTACCAGCAGAGATGGCCAGCTAAAACAGGGGTAATTTACTTCTCCTTTAGTATGTACCTTTGCAAAAAATATTTTCACCCATTCTTTCCTTGCTTTGCCAGTTGCCCAATCCCGCTACTTGGGAGGGACATAATGACAAAGATCCAAACCAAACTTCAATTGTCTGAGCTTTCCTGCCCATTATTAAGCTTACTAGCCCCTGACACCGAAAGCCCAAAGATAATAAAGCCTTCTATTCTACAATACGTTCCTTCAGAGGTATAGGATACTTCCACTTCAGGAAGGATTTTTATAGGATCTGTTCATTGTTCACAGATCCTATAAAAATCCACCTTAAAAGTCCCAAATCCTTCTCTAGGATGCCCCAATAACCTTTAAAGCCAAAACTCAAATAAGCTTACACCTCCTAATAGAGAAATTTTTGGCCATGGGGTTACTCTGCCCTTGTAACTCATTACATAATACACCCATCTGGGCAGTCAAAAAGACAGTTTGGGAGGCTGCAGCAGCTTGAACCTGGGAGATGGAAGTTAGAGTAAGCTGAGATTGCACCACTGCACTCCATCCTGGGCAACAAAGTGAGACTGTGGCTCAAAAAATAAAATAAAATAAAATAAAAAAATAAAAAAGTCAGACGGCACCTATACAATACTACAAGACCTGAGGGCCATCAGTGAAGCAGTAATCCCAATACATCTAATTGTTCCCAATCCTTACAGCCTGCTAGGGCAAAATTCCTTCTGGCACTTCTTGGTTCACAGTAATAGATCTAAAAGATGCTTTCTTTTGCATTTCAGTACACCTGGACTCTGAATTTTTATTTGTCTTTGAATGATGACCCTTCTAATCATGTTTCCTAACAATTAACCTGGAGAGACCTCCCCCAGGGATTTAGAGATAGCCCACACCTATTTTGATAAGCTCTTGACAAAGATCTCTTCACCCTTCAACTCTCCCTGATAGTGTCCTGCTTCAAAATGTTGATGACCTGCTTATTTTCAGCCCAACCAAACACGTCTCAGACCTAAATACTACTAAAACTCTTCAGAGATTGGCCTCCTGTGGTTATAAAGTCTCTGCTTCCAAAGCTCAAATCTCCTCTCAGGAGGTCCAATTCTTGGGACAAACATTAACCCCAGGGTCCAAGGGTCTCTCAAAGTGCTGCAAATATCTTATCCTAAACATGAGCATTCTATTCACTAGACAGCAACTGTGGTCCTTTTGGAGAATGGCAGGCTTCTGTCACACTTGGATAGCCCAGTTTGGGATTATAGCAAAACCTCTGTATAAGGCACTGTGAAGACCAGAGGAGGAACACTTAAATTGGAGCCTTGAAATAAATAATGTCCCTAAAACCCTGAAACAAGCACTCACCTCCACCCCAGCCCTGCCTTGCCAGATCTTAGAAAGCCTTTTTACTTGTTTGTACTTGAAAGAAGGGGTATCGCCCTTGGAATCCTCACTATCCATTGTGACTTTCTCAACGGCCAATTGCTTACTTATCAAAAACCCTTGACCTAGTAGCATAGGGATGGCCTCTATGCCTCTGAATGCTAGCATCTGTGGCTCTCCTAGTTAAGAAGGCCTTCAAGCTAACTCTGGGTCAAGGAATAACTCTATACACCCCACATCAGGTAATGGATGTCCTAAACTCAAAGGCCTTTCACTGGATCTCAGACAGCTGTATTAGCAAATATCAAACACTCCTTCCACAGGTACCAGAATTGAGTATTAGGCCCTGTCAAACTCTTAATCCTGCCACCCTTGTTACCTGACCCAAATGTAGAGAGACCACTTGAACATTCTTGCTTGGAAACCATAGATTTAACTTGTAATGCTAGACTAGACCTCCTGGATATATCTCTTATAGATCCTGAGGCCACAGATGGAAATAACTTTATGACAGGTGGAACCCGATTGTTAGGCTATGCTATTGTTAGCCTAGCTGAAGTCATAAAATCTAGACCCCTTTCAGGAGACACTACCTCAGCCCAAAAGGCTGAGCTCATTGCTCTTACCTGAGCCTTACAATTAGGGACAAGCATGAGGCTTAACATCTAAACAGACTTGTCCTATGTCTTTCATGTAGTGCATGCCCATGCAGCCATTTGGCGGGAAAGAGGGCTTTTAATGGCCCCAAATATTCGAATTAAACATGCTCTTGAAATAATGGCCAAGTTGGAGGCAATTATGCTTCCCTCACATTAGCTATCATTCACTGCAAAGCCTATTAGAGGAACAATGATGAAATCTCTATTGGGAACAACCAGGCTGACAAACAAGCAAAACTGGCAGCCAGGCTGCCCCTTTAGTCTGTCCTAGTTCCCACCCTAACTCCCTTGTCTCCACACTATACACAGGAGGAAACCCAGAAGCTCTAGAAAGGGGTTTCTCCCATACCTCAGAAGGCTGACTTAAAAGGTCCTGATGGGAAACTCTTGCTTCCAGGAGCCTCACAATGGCAGCTTCTAAACAGCTTACACCAATCAACTCATCTAGGGGCTAAGGCCCTCCAGAGAGTAATAAAGCTGCTGTTTACCAGCAAGAGGGTAGCCCAAACTATGGGCCATCTCACAGGCCTGTCTCACCTGCTCCCAAATAAACCCAGAGGGAGTCCACAAACCTTCCCTACTCCTTCAACCAATTCAAAAATGAGGGACCTTACCTGGAGAAGACTGACAAATAGAGTTTACGTACATGCCACTATGCAAGGGACTCAGGTACTAGTTAGTTTTTGTAGACACCTTCACTGGATGGGTAGAGGCCTTTGCCACTAAAACCAAGTGGACCTTAGAAGTCGCTTCGGCCCTTTTAGGTCACATTCCTCTTCATTTTGGGCTCCCTTATACCCTATAGTCAGACAATGGCCCCACTTTTATTTCTCAAATAATGCAGGGAATCAGTGCTTTCCAGACCATGCATGTGGCTTGGCATCACAATCTTCTGGGAACGTGGAGAGAGCCAACCAAACCATAAAAAAGTACCTCATGAAGGTAATTTATGGAATCCAACAGTCATGGCCAACTTTACTCCTCATTGCACTCTGAAAAGTCCATATCACTCCAAAATATGAAACTCAGCCCCTTTGAGATTCTCTATGGAAGATCTTTCCTCCAATAGATCTTTTGGTAGAACCAAAGAGTCATTATCTCATGCAATATGTTATACCCCTGGGACAAACCATCAAGGCCATTAATCATTATCAGAATTTTCATAGCCCAAAACCTAAACCCTGTTTTTCAGGAGACACTCACCCTAATCTTATGCCTGGAGACTGGGTATGTCGTCCCAAAGGACAAAAAGCCACTGGAGCCTCTTTGGATTAGATCATACCAAGTTCTCCTTATGACCCCAACAGCTGTAAATCTCCAAGGCCTCTCTGTGGATTTACCTCTTCAGGGTCAAGGTGGCACCAGCACCCAACAAAGAACACTTAAACCTGTGAACCAGTTGGAGACTTTCATCTGTTGTTCAGGTGGGACCTGAACTCCAGTGATATCCACCCTAATATGTAGAGGGCTTACTTCATCCTCTTACAGTCCTTAAGCCAGTACTCAGAAGTTTTCCATGGTCAGCTTTGTCTTCTGCTATAAATGCTTTTATGAACAACTCACCCAAACTTGCTGTCTTCAGGGTAATTTCCAGGAGTTCCACCTGGACTAAATTTCCTTATATGTATCTTAGCTATATCATTCACCCCCACCCCACAACACAGGTTTGCAGAAGTTCTAGGACTCTGTCCAGTTGTTTTCTTATATTTGTGGCTCTTCTCTCTTGTCTCCCTGAATTCATTATATCTTGTTACTTTTAACATGGCAGGCTTCATCCCAGTTATTTGGATGTCTCTCCACTTAGCGTTAACACTTACAGTGAACCTTACTCTGCCTAGCTTCATGGATTGTACCCTACTTGAAGGGGCCCATAAGCTATTAAGGGAAAAACATTCTCTGCATGGAAAGGATTTTTGGCTTTGCTTACCACTAACCCCTGAAAGGTATGCTTCTGCATTCCCTATTTCTATTCAGGATTGGATCCATTTTAACACCACCTGGTACCCTAAATTCCTGTTCCCCCAACTCCCATGGGACCTTAAAAAGCATGCATGAGGCATAATATCTGCATTCTCTGCCTATTTAAGCCAATACACAACCAAGCTAAAAACAGCAACCCTCTGGAAGGACTGGTACTGAGCCGAGAGACAATGGTAGACTCCAAACCCTGTTGTAAGCCCCCTTTCTAAACAAGTCCAACCCAAACATCAAGCTCCTATTTGTCTTAAAACAACAGATAATGAACATTGCTCCAATCCTGAGGGTAATATTCCTAACTCCCTTCAAAACTACACTGTAACTATAAGTATCACCAATAGAAAAACATATCAGAGGGAAAACGCAATTCAGTACCAGTTAGAATATCAGGCCCAGCTGCCCTCAATTCCCCAAATCTCCAAAACATAAAGTCTCACTACTGCACAAGGTGCCCTTCTCCAGACACTTGTTCTGACCCAGTCCCATGGCAAAATTGCAAGGTTTCAAATTCCCCAAATAATTGCCTACACATTCCCGTGCTCAGCAGCCCCAAATCTCAGATGTTTCTAGATGCTCAATGCTTTCATTTATTCTGGGAAAATGAAACCCACCAAATGCAAACTGTAATATCCAAGCCTTACAGCCTCTTACAACTATGCACTAGCTATTCAGTATTTCTTCAGGTCAGAAGGCCAAAATACACTGTTTCTTCACTTTAAGTCTAACATCTTCCCCTAAATCTAAGGGAGCTTTCTTCCTCTGAGAATCAAATGCATATATTTGTCTTCCAGCCAACTGGACTGGGACTTGTACACTACTTTACTTAGCTCCAGACATCCAAATTGCTCCTTCTGATCAATCCCTCCCAATTCCACTTTACAGTTCTAGTGGGGAAAAATGGGCCATCCATCTGATTCCCTTACTCATTGGCCTAGGAATTGCCACTGGATTAGGTACAAGAATAACACGTATGAGCCTTGCAGTCCCTACTTATCATGCCCTCTCAATCGAACTCACCCCTGAGCTCAAATGCATCTCTGACACTCTGGAAGTCCTCCAAGATCAGGTAGACCCCCTAGCAGCAGTTATTTAAAACAACCATGGCCTAAATCTACTTATGGCAGCCCATGGGGGGCATTTGTTTAGCCCTTAAAGAAGATTGTTATGTTTATATTAATCAAGCAGGAATAGTGTGGGACCCTATCAAAAAACACTGAAATTGAGGAAAAGGCATCACAAGGATGGTCTTCATGGACATCCACCTGGGGATGGTTCTTCTGGTTGCTCCTTGTGTCACTAACAGGCATTTTATTATTCCTTCTTTTTGGCCCTTGCATCTTCAACTTACTTGTTAAATTTGTGTCTTCTAGAATTCAGCAGTTTCACCTTCGAATAATGCTGCAAATGGAATATCAGTCTCTCCCCAGTGATGCTCACTAACTGAACAAATCTCCCTTGGATTCAGCTGGACACCAGTTTCACCTTGACATGCTCCCCATCTCTGATGAGTCGCTTCCTCCAGCAAGATCCAATATCCTAAGTCCCACAGTCCAGGACAATGACCCACAGGATCTCCCGACAGACCAACAGCCATAGTTAGGGTCAACTCTACACCCAAGGCCAGCAGGAAGTAGTTGGAGGATAAGACCACTGCCCTAGTGCCAAAGACTTGTCATTGTTGTTCTGTCAGAGGGGAAAAGGGGAGTCTGAGGAAGGATTCCCAGGTGGGGGAGGGTCCCCTGTGGGGAGAAACAATAAACAGTTATTCTGAGAGATGGCTAATCACAAACAACCCATGGTCACAGTGACCTTGTTCCACACATAGCCCCCTCCAGCATGACCCTATAAATCTTCCCTCCAGTCCCTCATCTCTTGGCAGATAGCCCCTTCTCTATTGTACTGTCTGTTGTAACCTTGCAATGTATTTCATACTTTCTCTAGTAAATCTGCCTTGCTTTACATACAACTCTCTTGGCAAATTCCCTTACCACCTGCGACACCAGCCCCAGGTAGTCACACCCGTGACAACAGTCACTGTTTTAAGTGCTTTTATGTGCATTATCTTGCTTAAGTCTAAGAGGTAATATTATTATATTATTATTTTCACTTTGCAGATGAGAATCCTGTGGCTCGGAGAGGCGATACAACTTGCCTGAAAGCACAAAGCTATGAAGCAAAGGCATTCTGATTATAGAGTCACGCTATTGTACATTATATGGCCTCCAAATTGAGCACCCTGCTAGGATTCAAAATATGAGTGGGAGATGCAGACATCTTCTTGTGATTTAAGCACCTTATCTTTCATTTAGAGGCACACATGATTAGACTCTGTGGTGTAAATTAATTCAAACAAATTGGAGGAACTGATGTTACAAACGTAAACAAGGTTCTCATTAAAATCTCCCTCATTAATTGTTTTTATGGTGGCTGTTTGGTTTTTGTAGCCCTTACACATGTTCTTGCATTTATATTTCAGGTTCAGATGAAGCTCAGACTGAAGCTGTAATAATGCTCTTGCCTACTAGGAAACAGCAGTTGGTAATGCATTCCTGGATGTTCTTTTGATAGTTCTTTCATGGAGGATAAACATGTTACCTGGAGCAAGGATTTGCATCTCAAGATTTCTACCACTGAGGGGAGCATTGAGGGTAGATGGAGCTCAGTTCAAAGATAGCTGTAAAATATTAGCATATAACTAATTTTAAGAAGCTAAAATTTCTTTATTACAGTGTATTTGCTGCTAGCTTAAATTTATGTCCATTTCTGACTTTAGTTGGATATAAACACTCATAGCTATTAGATATTAGTTGAAGTTACTTGAAATAAATTAAAGCTACACTATTGAAGAGAAAGTTTGAATGTTTTTCTAATTGTATTCCATTAGGACAGAATTTTAATTTTTAGAAAATTAATTCTGTTAGACTTGATGTTCAAGATAGAGAAGTGGAAAGAATCGAACCACTTAGCACTTAATTTTTTTTCAGAGTCATTAGCAAATCCACATATTCTTCCTGTGATCTAATTCAATATTTTTCCCATGCTTGCCCCATGGGAGATGAATTGGGAACACGTACATGCTGCTGAAGTCACAGAAAGTAGAAAATTCACCTGCTAACACTCTGCTGTGTCAAAGCGATGGTTAAAGAAAAAAAGTTGAATTTAGGGAAAAAACACCCCACAAAAACAGAGCACATCACCAAATAACATTTTTCAATTTTTTAAACCTATTAACTAATGTATGAAACACTGAGATAAGCTTAAACATCAAACAAACAAAAAAATCCCCAATGTTTCCTTTTAAAATCTGTTCCAGGCAATTGTGTGGCTCTAGTAGTTACTGAGCATACACATCCTTTAGAGTCAACACTGACCTCTGGCTGAATGAAATTCTGGGTATAAGAACATAATCATACTATTAGCCACTATTTATCTGGTGTTTTCCGTGTACTAAGCACTATACTAAATAATTCATATGCATTATTTTAGTTAATACTAGGAGACAATTACTATTATTTTCATGTTACAGATGAGGACACTCAAGTTTAAAGAGGTGAAGCAAATTATCCAAAGTCACTGAGGATACCAATTAACTTTTGTTCTATAACAAAACACCTCAAAATTTACACTAGAACAGCAATTATTTACTCCACTCAGTAGTCTGTGAGTAAGCCATTAGCACAGGCTTAGCTGGACTATTCTATTTCTACTCTCAGTGGGCTCACTCACATGTTGGAAGTCGTCTGCCAGGCCTGACAGTCTCTTTCCCTTCAGCAGGCTAGCTCGGGCTTTTTCACATGGTGGTCTCAAGGATCCAGGAACCCAAGGAGAGGACAAGCCCTAGTGCTCAAGTGCTTGCCAAACCTCTGCTTCTGTCACAAAGCAAGAGACATGGCAAAGGCTAGATGCAAGAGGTAAATAAACAGAACCAACCTTTTGATTAGAGGGGCTGAAAAGTCCTCTAACCAAAAGTTTGAGTCAGTTTCTTTACCTCTTTTCCTCTAGTCTTCTTATAGAGAAGAGTAGAAGGATTTTGGCTATGTTTTCAAATTCACCATAGACAGCAAGAGACAGAGCCAGAGCCAGGCTTGAGCACTGATTCCAAAGCTCATGTCCCTAAACTTATCTTACAGTGTCTCTCAAAAACTGATCCCTTCATAGTTTTCAAGAATTCTGTCCCACTTTTTGGAGGGATGTTTGCTTTCTTTTTATTTTACAAGCTGCTACTCTTTTTTTTTTTTTAACTCTCATCAAACATTAGTTGTCTCTGTGTACCAATGTTCTGTACATTCATCCACTAGAGCATTTATCACATTATAAGGAAGCACCTATCATCACTGAATGTTTACTCTCTAGACTAGGGCAAGGATTATGTCTAATTACTCTCTACAGTCCTGATGCTTGGCCCAGTCTTGGGGTATAGGGATTGTGCTCAAAAATTGTTATTGAAGAAGGTCATGATAATTTTCCAACTGAAAATCAGCTGGTTTTTGCATAGGTAGCAATGCTTATAACCATCAACTTCAGTAAAACATCCTCAAATCCTTTGAACAAAGCAATAATAGGTATTTTATTTTTGACCTCCAAATTGTAGAAAAGTTTTCCATTTCTTTGTTATTTTAGATATGTCCAATAATAGCAACACCAGTTTCAAAAACAAGACAGAAGAAAAAGCAAATGAGATGCACAGAATAAGAAAGGACCTTAGAGCTGACTTTACTTTCAGTTTAGTAACACTGGAGATGGGATGTGGTTGAGGCTCCCCAGTCTGCCTATCTATGTGTTTTAAGAAGGGTGCTTTCTGTGCCCTCCTTCTTTCCTGGAAAGTTAGCTGTGCTTTGTGAAATAGTGTCTGAGGGGCCCATGGCTATGTTTAGAGCCATTGCTTTATTTGTATTTTCCTTTTTTCAGTAACTGATGACAGGTGCCTCCATGGCCATTTCAGTTATTTCCTCCACCCAGACTTGGTGAACTCCTCCATATCTCTCTAGGCCTTACTCCTCGTCTGTAGGCTGAGGGTTGAATTGTCTTTGAGTACTCTTTTAAGTTCAAGTTCTGTTGTTGAATTTACAGGCAAAAGAGCGAGCATACAGGTAAGCACAAAAAAATGGGAAGTTGGTGAGACTCATACTAGGGGCAGGAGCAAATGAGATGGAAGTGAAAATACTCAGATCAGTGACTTAATATTTTTCTTTAATTTTTCCAAAACCACTAAAGAGCTGGAAGAATGCTAATCCACTTATTTTTCCCAGATTAAATAAGCCAATATTTTCATAGGCTGTTACACACAAAGCACTTTTGTACTCTACAGTTGCCAACTGGAAACTGGCAAGTTACTTAGTTGGTGAGTTTTATTTTCTTCATGTGTTCCTGTGTGTGCATGGTGTTGGTGTGATGATTAGACAGATCCATGTATGTAAAACACTCAACACCATGCCTAATCCATAGAAATTACTCAATAAATTAAACTACTGTTATTATCATTATTACTATATATAGGGCATCAGTGTACTCCCAATGTAAATCTCAATTCTTAGCTTAACTTTCTGTATTTTATTATTTTTACATTGAAGCTGTTTTTTATTTAAAGAACAGATTAAAATACATAGACATAAAAATGAATAACCCTCATTTCTACTACCATTAGCAAATCCAATTATTTTCATCTTTTCATGTTTCCATCCTGTCTTTGTCTGTATACATAAGTAATTTCTTTTCCTAGTTGCAGTCATTATGAAGGAAAGGATTTTGATGTGTGTTTTAAAATTTCCACTTAGTGTTGTACCCTGGAAAATATTTAAATCATCTGAATTTTAAAGGCTCAGAGAACTATAGCCAGGTAGAATACTGGTGTTGTCATCTACAATAAGCTACAGGGCTCCTTATGTTTACATAATGCTTTGCAACTTATAAGGGCTTTCAGATATGCATTTTTATTCAACACAATAATCTTAGAAGATTATATTAATAAAATACTAATTATGGCAAATAATACTTTTGAGTGCTTACTGTGTGTCAACCTATTCTGACCATTATTATCCCTATTTGAGTCTCAGGGAAGGCAAGTGTCTTACTCAGTCTCACAAATCCAGTGAAATACTGATATGAGTCAAAAATCAGGATCTTCTGGGTATTTGTTCAGTCTTCTTTCCACTTTACTGTGCCCTTCTAGAGAACCACAATTGGTGGATTCAGTTCCTTCATGGCATACATTTTCATTGAGGTGGCCACACGTGAGCTGCCATGTAATTTTCTGTTTCATTTTCCTTCACTTGGATGTTTAAAAAGCTTCCTTTGGCAACATGTCTTGGGCACAGCATCTTCTCTTGGCAGGATCAGTTGGTGTCACCTGTTGTAGGCATTTATTGTCCCCAATCTTTGATATAGGCCCAACTCTAGTGACTAAACCAAGGGCTGGAGAAAGAGCATGTCAGCAGAAAGTCAAAGAGTTCTCTACTCTTCATTTTTAAGATGAATGTTCATTCCATGGGTGTCATTTCCATAATGAGTTTTTCTTTTTCCTGGAGAACCAGGAAAGACCAGGCATCACAAGGTCACCCTTCTTTCTCATGCAATCTTTTCCTCTGACATTATTAAAGCTTTACAAATCAGAGCATTCATCGCCCTCATTTAAGAGGTTCTAGATATAGACTTAGAGCTGTGATAGCTACTGATATAAAACTAAAGATCATTTGGCATGGCAACAACAACGTAAGAAATCTATTCACTGCCCTAGGTCTCTGTTTTCTTTTTGGCCATATCAGGCCTTCGGTGAAAAATTTATTTTTTAACCATTCTTCCAGCATCCTTCCTGCACTGTGAGTCTACTCCTGTTTACTGATGTATTCACCCACCCACAACTAGCTACTTTATTGTCTAGTTGGTAGTTTTAAAAATTACATAAGTATCACAAAAAATTCCCATGTGAATATTCTATTTGCCCATTTTCTTATTAATATAACCGAATTAAAGTGCTATTGAAATTCTTTGGACTTTTTTCCGTGTGGGTGCCTGAATTATGCTATTCATTTACTGAACACATAAATTAAATATTAACGTTGTTAAAACTATAGACATAATGACTAATGCCTAGAGGAAGATATGTAAAACAGCATAAATTAAAAATGAGACATAAGTTCTAAAACAAACCAAAATGATAACAAGCATTTGGTCTTGTAAGCTCTACTTTATGATCCTTGAAAACTGACAATTTTAGAATTTATATTTTGTTTGCAAGAACCACGGAATCAAGAGAGACTTTACTAGCAAACTCATCAGACTTAAAGCTTATTAATTTGAAAAAAAAAATACATGTGGTTTAACTGTGTTACAGCAATAGAACATGACATATTATAATAACACATAGTTAGGTAAAAACTCTCTCTCTTTTTTTTTTTTTTTTTTTGAGACAGAGTCTCACTCTGTCACCGTGCTGGAGTGCAGTGGTGTGATCTCAGCTCACTGCAACCTCTACCTCCTGAGTTAAAGTGATTCTCCTGCCTCAGCCTCCCAAGTAGCTGGGACTACGGGCGTGTGCTACCACGCCCAGTTAATTTTTGTATTTTTAGTAGAGATGGGGTTTCACCATGTTGGCCAGGATGGTCTTGATCTATTGACCTCCTGATCCACCTGGCTCGGCCTTCCAAAGTGTTGGGATTACAGGCGTGAGCCACCGCGCCAGGCCAAAAACTCTCTTAATATTGCTAATAAGCAATAATTCTGTGCTTAAACATATATTAGTTTCTTTATATTCTTTTTTTCTAGACTCTCTAACATTCTGCAATCCAGTACTACAAATCCCATTTTAAAGTTTGGGAATTGAGATTTAGCGAGTGATGAAAATAGTGCCCTCCAAATTGATATTGAATAGTAAGTCAATTTTCTGTTACTAACAAGTGTACGGAAAATCACCACTTGCTTAATTAACTGGTCATATTTTACTTTTTTCTTGGACATCTTTTGCATAATTTCCTCCCTCCCTTCCTTCCTTCCTTCCTTCCTTCCTTCCTTCCTTCCTTCCCTCCCTCCTTGCTCCCTCCCTCCCTTACTCCCTCCCTTCTTTCTTCCCTGTCTCCCTCCCTTTCTCCCTTCCTTCCTTCCCTTCTTCTTTCTTTTGAATAAATACAAACAAGATATATAGCATGGAAATTATAAAAGAAAATATCAATAATGATCACTCATGTAAAAATAATTTGCTTTAAAAATAGAGCACTATCAACACCTTCATTTACTTTTCCTCAATCCACACCTATGGCTACATGGGGAGTTTCTGAAGGCCAGAAACTTATTCTCAGTGGAGAGGAAGAATGGTGGAATCTGCAAAGTATGCCAGTTCCAATCTAATAAGAATCTGTTATCAACCCTCCTTCCTCAAAAGATAGTGGTGAAGGACAATCCTCCTGGGGGAAAAACTCTGGATAGTATATCTTGTTTTCCTCTTCTTGTAGGTGAGAAGGGTTTTCTGGACAGAGGCTGGTGGGTAGGAATTGCAAAGAATGAAACTGGAATACATTTTGACAAGTTCTGTTAGCGTTTATGGATGGACCTCTTGGAATAAGCACAGACTGTAAAGACATTGTGTCCCTGGTCAACTCAAACCAGGGTCAGGTGACAAGATGACTTATCTTGTGAATGTTGATCAGTCTCTTTTACTCAGCTGCCTAGTTCATGCTCAAAGAGCTCATGGACAAAGTGGTCATGGCAGCAGGGATGGAGGCCATTCAAGAGGTCAACATGTTCTTCCTGTCACCATGGCTGACTTGGTTTCTGTCACTGGGGAGTGAACAATTAGCCAACAGTTGGGGCCAAATCTGAGACATTTGATGGAGGGAAGTTGACTATCTGGTGGTAGGTAGCTAACACTGAAACCCTCCTGTCATGCTAGGGACAGTTTTTGGTTCCTACAGGGATAGACACAAATTCTAGGTATACATTTAGCTTCTCTGCTCAAAGTGCATCTCCCAACACCACCATTTGTGAACTTATGGAATGCCTTATCCAAATACCATAGTATCCCCCATGATATTGCTTCTGACCAAGGGACACATTTTATGGAAAAACAAGAAAGGCAATGTGTTTATGGTCTTACCATGTGCTTTGTCATCCAGGAGCTTAGTTAAATTAAGGAATCAGCAAAGAAAAAAACAATGCCTGAGTTTGGGTGCTGTCCGGTGAATGCTAACCATGCTGAAAAACAACTGCCAAAATATGGAATCATCTCTCCCATAACCAGAATGCATGTGTCCGGGAACTAGGGGGGCAAGTGGCTTTTCACATCACTAAACCTAATAATCCACTTGTGGAAATTTGCTTACTATTTCTGTAGATTTAAGTTCAGTGGGTTTGCAGTCTGTAGTGCCCAAGGAGAAATACTTCCATTAGAGACTGTTGTCATTGTTTTGAGAAAATAGAAGCTGAGGTCTATCTGACTCTTTAGATCTCCTTATGCTATTGAACCAATTTGCATAAAGTGTACCTGAAGGCTGGGTGATTAATTCTCATCACAAGGAGAAATGAAGTGTTCTGTTGTACAAGGGATGGGGAAGCAGTGAACTCTATGTTTGCAACCCAAATAATTCACTGGGGCACCTCTCAGAACTCCCTTGCTCCATAGAATTGGGCAATGAAAAACTTTGAATTTTCCCCTGAATCCCAACTACTCCCATTCCTAGCAACATAGGACAGTTCATTTAAGGAAGGCAGTTAGGAGAGACAAAAAGAGAAGGATGTAATGGGGAGAGATGTAGGGAAATTTACTTTCAATGGCAAAATAGCAATTACTTTTGCACCAACCTGATTACATAAAAGATGATTCAAACTCATTTGAGAGTTCATTTGAGTGGTTGGTTAGGAAATTAAAGTAGAAATGGCAATAGCTTTCCTCTCTACCTCTAATAAATGACAAACATAATACAAAAAGGCCCCGTTCACACAGTAAGTACAATTTTTTTTATTTGCTTAGCTTATTCTTTTTTTTTAAATGTTATTATTATTATACTTTAAGTTTTAGGGTACATGTGCACAACGTGCAGGTTTGTTACATATGTATACATGTGCCATGTTGGTGTGCTGCACCCATTAACTCATCATTTAACATTAGGTATATCTCCTAATGCTTTCCCTCCCCCCTCTCCCCACCCCACAACAGTCCCCAGTGTATGATGTTCCCTTTCCTGTGTCCGTGTGTTCTCATTGTTCAATTCCCACCTATGAGTGAGAACATGTGGTGTTTGGTTTTTTGTCCTTGCGATAGTTTGCTGAGAATGATGGTTTCCAGCTTCATCCATGTCCCTACAAATTACATGAACTCATCATTTTTTATGGCTGCATGGTATTCCATGGTGTATATGTGCCACATTTTCTTAATCCAGTCTATTATTGTTGGACATTTGGGTTGGTTCCAAGTCCTTGCTATTGTGAATAGTGCTGCAATAAACATACGTGTGCATGTGTCTTTGTAGCAGCATGATTTATAATCCTTTGGGTATATATCCAGTAATGGGATGGCTGGGTCAAATGGTATTTCTAGTTCTAGATCCCTGAGGAATCGCCACACCGACATCCACAATGGTTGAACTAGTTTACACTTCCACCAACAGTGTACAAGTGTTTCTATTTCTCCACATCCTCTCCAGCACCTGTTGTTTCCTGACTTTTTAATGATCACCATTCTAACTGGTGTGAGATAGTATCTCATTGTGGTTTTGATTTGCATTTCTCTGATGGCCAGTGATGATGAGCATTTTTTTTATGTGTTTTTTGGCTGCATGAATGTCTTCTTTTGAGAAGTGTCTGTTCATATCCTTCACCCACTTTTTGATGAGGTTGGTTTTTTCTTGTAAATTTGTTTGAGTTCATTGTAGATTCTGGATATTAGCCCTTTGTCAGATGAGTAGGTTGCAAAAATTTTCTCCCATTCTGTAGGTTACTTGTTCACTCTGATGGTAGTTTCTTTTGCTGTGCAGAAGCTCTTTAATTAGATCCCATTTGTCAATTTTGGCTTTTGTTGCCATTGTTTTTGGTGTTTTAGACATGAAGTCCTTGCCCATGCCTATGTCCTGAATGGTATTGCCTAGGTTTTCTGCTAGGGTTTTTATGGTTTTAGGTCTAACATTTAAGTCTTTAATCCATCTTGAATTAATTTTTGTATAAGGTGTAAGGAAGGGATCCAGTTTCAGCTTTCTACATGTGGCTAGCCAGTTTTCCCAGCACCATTTATTAAATAGGGAATCCTTTCCCCATTGCTTGTTTTTGTCAGGTTTGTCAAAGATCAGATAATTGTAGATATGCGGCATTGTTTCTGAGGGCTCTGTTCCATTCCATTGATCTATATCTCTGTTTTGGTACCAGTACCATGCTGTTTTGGTTACTGTAGCCTTGTAGTATAGTTTGAAGTCAGGTAGCGTGATGCCTCCAGCTTTGTTCTTTTGGCTTAGGATTGACTTAGCAATGCGGGCTCTTTTTTGGTTCCATATGAACTTTAAAGTAGTTTTTTCCAATTCTGTGAAGAAAGTCATTGGTAGCTTGATGGGGATGGCATTGAATAAATTACCTTGGGCAGTGTGGCCATTTTCACAATATTGATTCTTCCTACCCATGAGCATGGAATGTTCTTCCATTTGTTTGTATCCTCTTTTATTTCCTTGAGCAGTGGTTTGTAGTTCTCCTTGAAGAAGTCCTTCACATCCCTTGTAAGTTGGATTCCTAGGTATTTTATTCTCTTTGAAGCAATTGTGAATGGGAGTTCACTCATGATTTGGCTCTCTGTTTGTCTGTTATTGGTGTATAAGAATGCTTGTGATTTTTGCAGATTGATTTTGTATCCTGAGACTTTGCTGAAGTTGCTTATCAGCTTGAGGAGATTTTGGGCTGAGTCGATGGGGTTTTCTAAATATACAATCATGTCATCTGCAAACAGGGACAATTTGACTTCCTCTTTTCCTAATTGAATGCCCTTTATTTCTTTCTCCTGCCTGATTGCCCTGGCCAGAACTTCCAACACTGTTGAATAGGAGTGGTGAGAGAGGGCATCCCTGTCTTTTGCCAGTTTTCAAAGGCAATGCTTCCAGTTTTTGTACATTCAGTATGATATTGGCTGTGGGTTTGTCATAGATAGCTCTTATTATTTTGAGATACCTCCCATCAATACCTAATTTATTGAGAGTTTTTAGCATGCAGGGTTGTTGAATTTTGTCAAAGGCCTTTTCTGCATCTATTGAGATAATCATGTGGTTTTTGTCTTTGGTTCTGTTTATATGCTGGATTACGTTTATTGATTTGTGTATGTTGAACCAGCCTTGCATCCCAGGGATGAAGCCCACTTGATCATGGTGGGTAAGCTTTTTGATGTGCTGCTGGATTCGGTTTGCCAGTATTTTATTGAGGATTTTTGCATCGATGTTCATCAAGGATATTGATCTAAAATTCTCTTTTTTGGTTGTGTCTCTGCCAGGCTTTGGTATCAGGATGAGGCTGGCCTCATAAAATGAGTTAGGGAGGATTCCCTCCTTTTCTATTGATTGGAATAGTTTCAGAAGGAATGGTACCAGCTCCTCCTTGTACCTCTGGTAGAATTCGGCTGTGAATCCATCTGGTCCTGGACTTTTTTTGGTTGGTAAGCTATTAATTATTGCCTCAATTTCAAAGCCTGTTATTGGTCTATTCAGAGATTCAACTTCTTCCTGCTTTAGTCTTGGGAGGGTTTATGTGTCGAGGAATTTATCCATTTCTTCTAGATTTTCTAGTTTATTTGCGTAGAGGTGTTTGTAGTATTCTCTGATGGTAGTTTGTATTTCTGTGGGATCGGTGGTGATATCCCCTTTATCATTTTTTATTGTGTCTATTTGAATCTTCTCTCTTTTCTTCTTTATTAGTCTTGCTAGAGGTCTATCAATTTTGTTGATCTTTTCAAAACACCAGCTCCTGGATTCTTTGATTTTTTGAAGGGTTTTTTGTGTCTCTATTTCCTTCAGTTCTGCTCTGATCTTAGTTATTTCTTGCCTTCTGCTAGCTTTTGAATATGTTTGCTCTTGCTTCTCTAGTTCTTTTAATTGTGATGTTAGGGTGTCAATTTTAGATCTTTCCTGCTTTCTCTTGTGGGCATTTAGTGATATAAATTTCTCTCTACATATTGCTTTGAATGTGTCCCAGAGATTCTGGTATGTTGTGTCTTTGTTCTCACTCGTTTCCAAGAACATCTTTATTTCTGCCTTCATTTCGTTGTGTACCCAGTTGTCATTCAGGAGCATGTTGTTCAGTTTCCATGTAGTTGAGTGGTTTTGAGTGAGTTTCTTAATCCTGAGTTCTAGTTTGATTGCACTGTGGTCCGAGAGACAGTTTGTTATAATTTCTGTTCTTTTACATTTACTGAGGAGTGCTTTACTTCCAACTATGTGGTCAATTTTGGAATAGGTGTGGTGTGGTGCTGAAAAGAGTGTGTATTCTGTTGATTTGGGGTGGAGAGTTCTGTAGATGTCTATTAGGTCCACTTGGTGCAGAGCTGAGTTCAATTCCTGGATATCCTTGTTAACTTTCTGTCTCATTGATCTGTCTAATGTTGACAGTGGGTTGTTAAAATCTCCCATTATTATTTTGTGTGAGTCTAAGTCTCTTTGTAGGTCACTAAGGACTTGCTTTATGAATCTGGGTGCTCCTGTATTGGGTGCATATATATTTAGAATAGTTAGCTCTTCTTGTTGCATTGATCCCTTTACCATTATGTAATGGCCTTCTTTGTCTCTTTTGATCTTTGTTGGCTTAAAGTCTATTTTACCCGAGACTAGGATTGCAACCCCTGCCTTTTTTTGTTTTCCATTTGCTTGGTAGATTTTCCTCCATCCCTTTATTTTGAGCCTATGTGTGTCTCTGCACGTGAGATGGGTTTCCTGAATACAGCACACTGATGGGTCTTGACTCTTTATCCAATTTGCCAGTCTGTATCTTTTAATTGGAGCGTTTAGCCCATTTACATTTAAGGTTAATATTGTTATGTGTGAATTTGATCCTGTCATTATGATGTTAGCTGGTTATTTTGCTCATTAGTTGATGCAGTTTCTTCCTAGCCTTGAAGGTCTTTACAATTTGGCATGTTTTTGCAGTGGCTGGTACCAGTTTTTCCTTTCCATGTTAATGCTTCCTTCAGGAGGTCTTGTAGGACAGGCCTGGTGGTGACAAAATCTCTCAGCATTTGCTTGTCTGTAAAGTATTTTATTTCTCCTTCACTTATGAAGCTTAGTTTGGCTGGATATGAAATTCTGGGTTGAAAATTCTTTTCTTTAAGAATGTTGAATATTGGCCCCCACTCTCTTCTGGCTTGTAGAGTTTCTGCCGAGATATCAGCGTTAGTCTGATGGGCTTCCCTTTGTGGGTAACCCGACCTTTCTCTCTGGCTGCCCTTAACATTTTTTCCTTCATTTCAACTTTGGTGAATCTGACAATTATGTGTCTTGGAGTTGCTCTTCTCAAGGAGTATCTTTGTGGCATTCTCTGTATTTCCTGAATTTGAATGTTGGCCTGCCTTGCTAGATTGGGGAAGTTCTCCAGGATAATATCCTGCAGAGTGTTTTCCAACTTGGTTCCATTCTCCCTGTCACTTTCAGGTACACCAATCAGATGTAGATTTGGTCTTTTCACGTATCCTTATTTCTTGGAGGCTTTGTTTGTTTCTTTTTATTCTTTTTTCTCTAAACTTCTCTTCTTGCTTCATTTCATTCATTTCGTCTTCCATCACTGATACCCTTTCTTCCAGTGGATCGCATTGGCTACTGAGGCTTGTGCATTCGTCATGTAGTTCTCATGCTGTGGATTTCAGCTCCATCAGGCCCTTTAAGGACTTCTCTGCATTGGTTATTCTAGTTAGCCATTCATCTAATTTTTTTCAAGGTTTTTAACTTCTTTGCCATTGGTTTGAACTTCCTCCTTTAGCTCGAAGTAGTTTGATCTTCTGAAGCCTTTTTCTCTCTACTTGTCAAAGTCATTCTCCATCCAGCTTTGTTCCGTTGCTGGTGAGGAGCTGCGTTCCTTTGGAGAAGTAGAGGCGCTCTGATTTTTAGAGTTTCCGGTCTTTCTGCTCTGTTTTTTCCCCATCTTTGTGGTTTTATCTATCTTTGGTCTTTGATGATGGTGACCTACAGATGGGTTTTTGGTGTGGATGTCCTTTCTGTTTGTTAGTTTTCCTTCTAATAGTCAGGACCCTCAGCTGCAGGTCTGTTGGAGTTCACAGGAGGTCCACTCCAGACCCTGTTTGTCTGGGTATCAGCAGCGGAGGCTGCAGAACAGCGGATATTGGTGAACAGCAAATGTTGCTGCCTGATCGTTCCTCTGGAAGTTTTGTCTCAGAGGAGTACCTGGCCATGTGAGGTGTCAGTCTGCCCTTACTGGGGGTAGCCTAACTCCCAGTTAGGCTACTCGGGGGTCAGGGACCCACTTGAGGAGGCAGTCTGCCCATTCTCAGATCTCAAGCTGCATGCTGGGAGAACCACTACGCTCTTCAAAGCTGTCAGACAGGGACATTTAATTCTGCAGAGGTTATGCTGCCTTTTGTTTGTCTGTGCCCTGCCCCCAGAGGTGGAGCCTACAGAGGCAGGCAGGCCTCCTTGAGCTGTGGTGGGCTCCACCCAGTTCGAGCTTCCTGGCTGCTTTGTTTACCTACTCAAGCCTCAGCAATGGCAGGCGCCCTTACCCCAGCCTCGCTGCCGCCTTGCAGTTTGATCTCAGACTGCTGTGCTAGCAATGAGTGAGGCTCCGTGGGCATAGGACCCTCCGAGCCAGGTGCGGGATATAACCTCCTGGTGTGCCATTTGTTAAGCCCATTGGAAAAGCACAGTATTAGGGTGGGAGTGGCCCGGTTTTCCAGGTGCTGTCTGTCACCCCTTTCTTTGACTAGGAAAGGGAATTCCCTGACCCCTTGTGCTTCCTGGGTGAGGCGATGCCTTGCCCTGCTTCAGCTCACGCACAGTGTGCTGCACCCACTGTCCTGCACCCACTGTCCAGCACTCCCCAGTGAGATGAACCCGGTACCTCAGTTGGAAATGCAGAAATCACCCGTCTTCTGCATCACTCATGCTGGGAGCTGTAGACTGGAGCTGTTCCTATTTGGCCATCTTAGTATAATTTTTTAAAATTAAGAAATAGTCTTTATAAGATTGTGTAGGAATTTATATACAATGAATAAACCAAAACCGAACACCAGCAAAAGCTATGAGTTACCTGATGCATATCCTAGTCATTTAGTCTGTAACTGTTGCATCAGTAAATGGTGAACAACACTTGAGATTTTAATGGTCAGAGGTATCTTGTTTATGGATGGGAAGACATAGTATCAAATAAATGTTGAGTTTCACTAAAATAATGATCAGTTTTATTTCCAGTACTGTGATGCTTGAAATTTGGGCAAATTTTGACTCAAGTCAATTTACTTTGCTGAGTTTTCATTTCTTCATCTGTAAAATTTGTCATCCCACACGGTTGTCAAAATGACTAACTAATAAAATTGTCTTTAAAAGCTCTTTTGATAACGTGACAGGTTTTACACATGCCCTTTGGCAATAGAAGTTGGACTTGTTGGTACAGTCATGCCTCTGAAGGGGGCATTTGGTCAAGGACAACTCTGACAACGTATTATTTACCAATGAGGCTTAGGCACGTCATGTACAGGGCTTCCAGTCTCCACAACTGGGCAAGCAGTGGTAAAGCTAGATTTCAGGCTCAAGGTATCTGACACTGCCCAGAACAATCTGACTGTGACATGCTACTCAATTTGAACACTGCTTTGGGGATCCTGGTGCTCTGATGTGGGTGCTCTTTCAGTCTCAACAGTGACAATTGCAGAGCATTCTGCAACTGACTCGTCCCTCCAAGTGTTATAAAAGTGAATTAATTGTGACCTCACAGAGTTGACTAGATTTAGTAGAAAGCTTACAGGAGTATAAATTTGTAGGCGGATATTTTTAACCTTAACATAGGAGAAAAAATGGGCAGAAGAGTTTGATAGCTCTGTGCAGAGAATCTGATTGGAACTTACAGGTACTTAAACCATGCTAGCCCCACCCCCTCAGTCACATCCTAATTCCTGGTTCAAGATCTGAGATCTCTGTAGTGAGCAATTCCTTAAGGTCTATTGTGAAAAAAGCAGATTCCAGAAAAAAAAAAAAGGCGGGGAGCACATCAAATGCAGGAATGTTCCAAATTAGTCTTGCAGCTTGGAGCTGATAATGTAAATTGCCTTGGTAAGACCACCTAAAGGGAGCTTTCTTTGGAAAGTCTATTTTTAGCTCAGAGCCTGACAGCAACAAAGACCCAGCAAAAAGACTGCTTGTGCTTGACAAATGATGAAATGCACACACCCTAGAGAGGGGTTTCCTTCTCAATGCTCCAACATTACACTCATAGGATTAAGGTAGAGTCTTAAGTGTCAAGGTGGATTCCAGGAAAAGACTGCACAGCCTCAATCCTGACACTCTTGAGATCCTAATTTTTCTTAATTTTAGTGGCATATTTCTCTATTTAAAGGGATTAGAAAGGAGTGGGAGAACTTCTTAGGTGAATGCCTTCTAGGCACAGCGCACTCATTCATTTGATATTTATCTGCATGGCAGCTGCCTTTTCTGAGCCTTAGCTACTTTCTTCATCAGCAGGTGAGGGACCATTGAGTTCTTTATTAAATAGTTGTGCTTCTTCACCTTTCCCATTACCACTCCTCTCTCTACCGTCTCTTCTCCTTCAAGGAAAGAAAGAAAGAAAAAGTTGTGAAGGAAAAAATATAGGGCACTATCTCTTGCCTGGACTACTAAAATCAACTCCCAGATGGTTTTTCTTCCTCTTGTCTTGCCCGTTTTTCCAAAAACTGCTAAAGGGGTATTTCCAAAACAAACTGACCTTGAATCCCTTGCAAGTCTATGATCTCCTCCAAGGAAGCAATCGAAGCACTCATCTTTGATTCCTTGGCTCTGGACACATGTCTGGTACATAGTAGATGCTGAACAAATGTTTGCTTAATTAGGGTAGCACTGGAGGTCTGTCATTTATTAACATGCATGACAAAACTTCCTCATAAGCCTGAGTGGAGGTCTGTGTGTGAGCTCTCCTCTCCTCTGAATCTCCCCAGGCTGCATGACCTCAGAGTTAGTCCATAAAACATTTTGCTCTACAAGTGTTTCCCTGGCAAGGATTTAAATTACCTAACAAAGCTTAGTACCAGTTGAAAGAAGTAAGTTGAAAAACAGCTGAGTTCTATGTAGTAGCTTTCCACTAACCTATCTGAGACGGTCTGCTAAACAACTTGTTTGCCAAAGATTTGTCTTAAAGGTTGTTTTTTGAAATTGCTAATATTAGACATTTTATGACCAACAAAATAGCAGTTTCACAATGCTCAGTGTAATATTTACTGAGATCCTACTTGCCAAGGGATGTAGCGGGGAATAGTTACACCCAGTCCCTGCCTTCAGAGACTTTACAAGTCTAACATAAAACATGTGCATTGAGCTTTGTGACAGAGAAATGTCAGGTGGTATAGAAATATATAATGGAGGAGGAGGAGGAGGAAGGGGGCCTTGTGGCAGATTCTGTTGCCTTTTTGCCAAAATCCAAATTCTCTGCTTTTTCCTGGGACTGCAGCTAGATTACATTTCCCAGTCTCCCTTGCAGTTAGGCATGGCCATATGACTGACATCTAGCCATTAGGATGTGAGAAAATGTGATACCTGCCAATTTCAGGTTTGCTCATAAAACCTCCTATATGTGCTCCTCTATGCTCTTATCCTGATCCAGCTGACTAGCATTGAGATAATCTTCTAAATCATGTGTTAAAAAAGTTTCAGATAATATCATCGGTGTCCTCAAATTATCCTGCCTTGGACGCTGTATGAGTGAGACACAATAGTTTGAGTCATTTTTGTGTTGAAGCCCATTTGTTACAGAAGGCAACTTTATCGTAATTCAGGGGACTACATAGTTTAGGGAAGTGAGAAGAGGCCTAAGTAGAAGTGAGAAGTGAGATTTGAGTTGAGACCTAAAACATGAGTTAAGGTTATCTAAGCAATGCCTGAAGAGGAAAGTTTGCAGGGTACATGGCCATTTGGATAGAGGTGCTGAGGAACCATTTGAAGAACTCAATGGAGCCCAGCAAGGTTGGGGAGCAGTTTGCTTAATCCACACTTAGAGGGAAAGGCTGAAGCCAGATCCTACAGGATCTTTTAATCATGTAAGTATCTGAGTCTTTTTCCTGAAATAACTAGGGGTATCTTTGAAGAAATTTTAGCAGAGGAGTGATCTGATTGAGTAGAGATTGCATAGAGTCATAGGTAAATATTTTGAAAGTTACATGTAAACTTTTCTCCTGAGTGGCTGTGGTCCTTTATACTTGTCTTTGTACACATTTCCCTAACCCTAAAAATGAGCGTGCTTACAAAACTTAAACATACTCAAAATCCTTTCTCTTACTGTACCAGTGCCTTCTCTCTCTTGCCTTGCAGCTTGGGATTTGAGAGATTTTAGAACAAAGTAATAAGGCAGATAAACCTTTTCAGTAGAAGTTACTTCCTCAGATACACAGAGGCATAAGCCCAAGAAGGCAAAGGTGGGAAGTTTGCCTTTGGTGTCTCAGCATCCTTGTTCTTCTCATCCTTAGTCTTCTTCCCGGAGCATACTCTCCCCCACTTTTAATGCCTAATATAAGGAGACAGCATTCATTCCTTCATTTTCTCATTCATTTACATAGCAACATTTGGTGAGTGCCTACTATGTGCCAAGACCTGTTTTAGACTCTAGGAATGGTATAACAGTGAATGTGGCAGGCAAGGCCCATGCTTTGTGAATCACATTCTAGTGTATGAGATGGATAATAATAATGAAGGTGATAATAATAATAATAATAATAATAATAAATTACATGTTATTATGTCATTAGTATAAGTGTTGTGGGAAAAAATAAAACCAGGAAAGAAACCCAACAGGGACTGCTATTTTAGATAGATTTGGCAGAGAAGAGCTTTCTGTGGAAGTAATATTTGACCAAAGATCACAATGAAATGAGAAAGTAAGTCATGATAATATCTGGGAGAAGTCTTTCAGATGAGGGAGAAGCAAAGGGAAATGCCCTAATATGAGACTGTGTTTTGCATACTTAAGGTACACGGGTATGGTTCAGAGAAAGAGACAGTCAAAGGCAGCCTAGCCAAAACCACACTTATTCTGGAATGACTGTGGGCATATCCAATGTTGTGCCAATTGAGGACAAAAATCAGAGGCTTAAAAAGGATGGGAGATAGACTTCACTAAAATAATCCAACCAGTCACTAAACAAATAAACAAACAAAGAACAATAACAATCCCTGTAAGGGGCATATTAGTACACAGAGTTGTGATAATATATTACCTAAAGTGTCCAGTTACCTACAAAAAATTATGAGAAATGAAAATGAATAAGAATGTATGACCTATATGCCATAAAGAAAAGCAGGCAACAGAAACAGACTGTGAGAGGGACAAGATGTCAGATATACCAGAAAAGACTTCAAAGTAACTGTTAAATATGTGTTAATGAATGAAATAAAACTATGATTAAAGAATTAAAGTAAGGCCAGGAGCGGTGGCTCACACCTGTAGTGTGGTGGCTCACACTTGTAATCCCAACACTTTGGGAGGCCGAGGTGGGCAGATCACTGGGTCAGGAGTTTGAGACTAGCCTGGCCAATGTGATGAAACCCTGTCTCTACTGAAAATACAAAAACTAGCTGGGTGTGGTGGCATGCACCTGTAATCTCAGCTACTCAGGAGGCTGAGGCAGGTGAATTGCTTGAACCTAGGAGGCGGAGGCTGCAGTGAGCCAAGATCACCCCACTGCACTCCAGCCTGGGTGACAGAGTGAGACTCAGTCTCAAAAAAACAGAAATAAATAAACAAAGAATTAAAGTAAGATGTGATGACAATGTCACATCAAATGGAAAATACCAATAAAGAGATAAAAATCCTATTAGAAATTAAAATGTAAATTTTTGATTTGAAAAGTAGAATAAGTAAAATAAAATATTTACTAGAGGTGCTTAAGTAGATTTAAACTAGCAAAAGAAAAAATTAATAAACTTGAAGATAGGACAATAGAAATGATGCAATCTGAAGAGGAAGAAGAAAAATAAATGAAGGAAAGTGAAGAGAGCTTCAGAGAAATGTGGGACACAAGTGAACCAACATACATGTGATAGGAGTACCAGGAAGAGAGGAGAAGTACAAAGAAGCAGAAAAAATATTAAAGAAATAATGGATGAAAAGTTCTCAAATTTGTTGAATAATACTAACCTATGTATCCAGGAAGCTCAACAAACTTCAAGTAGGTTAAATACGCAAAAAGATCCACAAATAGATTCATCATAGCAAAAGTGCTTAAAGCGAAAGACAAGGAGAAAATCTAGAAAGTAGCAAGAGAAAAATAACTTGTCATTTACAAGAAAAGCCCCAAAGATTAGCATATGACTTCTCAGCAGAGAAAAATTGGAGGCCAGAGGCACTGGAATAAGATATTCAAAGTGCTGAAGTAAAAAAACCAGAAAGTCAACTAAGAATCTTATATCCAGCAAAGTTATCTTTCATAAATGAAGGCGAAATAAGGACATATTCAAATAAACACAAACTGAACCAGTTCGTTTCTAGTAGGCCCACCTTACAAGGAATACTGATGGAAATTCTGGCTGAAAGCAAGTGACCCCAGATGGTAAATCTAAATACACATGACTAAACAAACAAAAAAAACCACTGGCAAATGTGCTTATAATTACATAGTTATGTAATTATAAAGGTCAGTATAAATGCATACTTTTCTCTGTTTTATCTAAACTGATTTGAAAAGTTATTATATAAAAATATGTATATATTGTATTATAATGTATTTGCAAATAAATGAAATAGGTGAGAACAACCTGTATTTGGCAAAGATAATAACTTCAGATGGTAACACAAATCAATAGAAACAAATGAAGAGAATCAGAAAGGATAAATAAGAACGTTAATATGACAATAGCTACACACATACACTTTCTCTTTTCTCAGCTTCTTTAAAAATCATAAAATTATATAATGTAGTAATTTTAACAATGTATTATTGAGTTAGTAATATTTATAGATGTAATTTGTATAACAATAGTACTACAAAAAGGGGAAAAACAGAATAGAGCTTTATGGGAATAATGTTTCTACATCTAACCAGAATTAAGTTAGTATAAATCTGAGATAAGGTAAGATGTATATGGTATGTCCTAGAGTAATCATTAAGGATATAACTAAAAAGTGCTACAAATTATTAAAGAAATTAAAGTGCTATTTAATAAAATGCAAAACAAAGCAGTAAAGGAGAAACATAGGAACAAGAAAATGAGACATAGAAGACAAAAAGTAAAATGGCAGACATAGATCCAACTATATCAGTAATAACATTAATATGAATGGATTAAACAATCCAATAAAAAGACAGAAATCATCAGACTGGATAAAACACTAAGATCCGACTATATGTGGTTAATGGACAGAACACTTTAGATTAAAAGATTTAATTAAAAGTAAAAGGGGAAAGACACATTATGCAAACAATACCTACAAGAAAGCTTGATATACTATCAGACAAAGTAGACCTTAGAACAAAAAAGGGATATTTTATAATGATAAAAGGGTCAATCCATTGGCAAGATAGAACAGTTATAAACATATATTCACCTAATAACAGAGCTCCAATATACATGAAGCAAAAACTGACAGAAATGAAGGGACAAATCGGTAACTCAACAGTGGTGGAGATTTCAGTACTCTACTTTCAACAACAAATAAAACAACATGAAAGGAAAACAATAAGGTATGTTTAATAGAACTGTTTTAAAAAATAAGAAATGGTCTCTTTTCTCACTAGGTGCCATGTTTACACTTGTTGCTTTGAACTACTGCAGTCGTGTTGTGAAAATGGAGATGTGAATGAAGTTGACACTGGATAATGGAACAAAAAGGCAGAAAGATCAGTATTTCTTTAAGATATTGTATGCCCATGTTCTTATTATACCAGGGACCTGGCTTCCCTAAGTGATACATTTGCTATTGTTTAAGCCACTTCAAATGCAGATTCCTTTCATGTGCTTCTGAAGCCTTCCTTATCAATAGCTATGTGCTATTAAAGTAAATATTTACTAAAGTAAAATTTATATGCAAAATATTAGTAGAGGAGAGACAGGTAGTATAATGAAACAAAAATGAACATACAGCCAAAAGTCATTGATTCAAATCCTGCTTTTTTCACAAATTAGGTGTTTGATCTTGGGCAAGTTACTTGACCTCTCTAAGTCTTAGTTTTATCTATAAAAGTGTTATCAAATGCTCACATGATTTTCTAAGGATTAAATATGGTAATGTAAATGAAATGGAAATGTAAAGAATTATCATTAATACTTTTACTACTCATTGAATTATTCAATTTATTCATGAGCTGGGGAAATTTTTATGTTACATTTAGTGCATCCAATTTGGCATAAATACGTAAATTGATTATGCCTAATACAGGTATAGAAAAGTCAAAGATAAAAATATTGCATTATTTAAAGAAGTGTCTAATAGATCATGGTTTGTTTTTGTTTTGAAGAACCATGAAGGAGATTTTCCTGTTTTCAATGTCATCTTCTCTTGAGTACTTTATTTCTCTTTCTTTAAACTTATGAACACTGTGGATCTTGTAATTGATCATTTATTTTTTTCCTCTATCACTAAGGAGTTCTATACCAAATTTGCATCCCATCTACTTCTAGCAAGAGCACAGGACCTTATGGCATCAATTCGAATACAAACTTTCCATGGTCATATTTTATGGTTTTTCTTTTGCCCTACATTCTTTATTTTTATCCTGTTGTTTATATTTCTGTAACTTGCCTCAAATAAATAAGGATGAGATAAGACTAGCTTACATAAATGTGCACTCATTTGACTTTCTGTTTTATTTTTCTTGCCCTTTCTGGACCAGACCAACACTATCATTTACAAGAGGAAGAGAAAATAAATAACCTAATAGCATACTGTTCTTATTACTCTGATCTTGTTCCACTTAAACTTAAGTACAATATTTTGTTTTTCCCATAAAGATCTTTCTCTGCCAGCAATGCTGATAATATTGCAGGCAGAACAATGTGGATATGAAACTACATTATTGTCATTGAATTAGACTGAGGTTGCTGGTACCAACTATAGCAGTAGTAGTATTCAACCAAAGGTAATATTGCTCCAAAGGGAGCATTTGGCAATATTTAGAGACAGTTTGGTGTCAAAGCTGTGGGGCAAGGAGAAGGTTAAGGGGGAAGATTTGTAATTACAGCTGGGGGTCAGGGTAAACCTTGAGCAAAGACTTAAAGGGGACAAGAGAATAATCCTTGTGGAGGTCTGGAGCAAGTATTCCTAGCAGATGAAACAATCAGAGCATAGGCCCTGGTTAGGGTAGGAACATGGCCAGCCTGTTGGTGAAACAGTGAGGAGGCTAATGTGGCTGAAGCAGAGAGATGGAAGGGAAGGAAGTTCTACTGGCATCTGCTGGATAAGTGCTGGGAATGCTGCCAATAACCTACAGTGCACATGACTGTCCCCTACAACAAAGAATTATCCTGCCCAAAATGTTAGGAGTGTCAAGGTTGAGAAATCCTTGACTACAGGTATGTGCTATATCTAGAAGGTCTAACAGGAATGTGGCATGAAGTGAATTAATTCTACCTGTAAGCCAAGTGTTCTCTCTGAGACCTCATTCTTTGTTGGAAAACTCTTTTCTTCTATATTATGAGGTTGTACCTTTAATTAGTACTTATGAAATTTACTAGTTGTATCAGTCTGCTTGGGCCGCCTTAACAAAATAACATAGCCTGTGTGGCTTAAACAATAGAACTTTATTTCTCACAGTTCTTAAGTCTAGGAAGTCTAAGATCAAGGTGCCAATTTGGTTTCTAGTGAGGGCTGTCTTCCTGGCCCGCAGAGAGCTGCCATCTCACTGTGTTCACAGGGCCTTTCCTTGGTACCTGTGTGTGGAGAGAAAGAGAGTGATCTCTCTCTCCTCCTCTTTTTATAAAGCTACAAATCCTATTGGATTAGGATGTCACCCTTATGACTTCCTAAAAGCCCTATGATATAGTTTGGATCTGTGTCCCCACACAAATTTTATGTTCAATTGTAATCCCTAGTGTTGGTGGTGGGGTCTGGTGGGAGGTATTGGACCATGGGATAGAGTTCTCAAGAATGATTTAGTACCATCCCTCTTCCTACTGTATAGTGAGTGAGTTCTCACAAGATTTGGTTGTTTAAAGGTGTTTAGCACCTCCTCTCTCTCTTTTGGCCCTGCTCCTGCCATGTAAGATGCCTGCTCCCACTTTGCCTTCGCCATGAGTAAATGTTCCCTGAGGCCTTCCCAGAAGCCGAAACTACTATGCTTCCTGTACAGCCTGTGGAACTGTGAGCCAGTTAAACGTCTTTCTTTATAAATTACCCAGTCTCAGGCATTTCTTTATAGCAATGTGAGAATGGACTAATATACCTTATCTCCAAATATAGTCGTATTGGAGGTCAGGGCTTCAACATGTGAATTTTGGGAGTGGGGAGAAACACAATTTAATCCAGACAACTAATGTTCCCTTCCTTATTATATGATCATTAGCATGGAGAGGGTGCTCATTGCCATGGAACAGTAGTGCTGTGTCCTAGATTTTGCTTCAGTTTAACCCTCTGATTCAATTTGTCAAACCCAGACTGTTCTTGGCATGCTTCACTTTTATGTTCACAAGAATAAAAACATTTTTCAGAACCCCTTTTTTATGTTGTTTATTTCTAATGACGCCTTGTTGATCTGTACACGTTCTTTTGAATTCATTGACCTATTTCCTTGAACTAAATTTTTACTAAATGATCTTAACTTTGTTCCCTCTAATTAATTTCCCTTCTGATGATCATGGCCCTTTCACCAGCATTCATCTTTTCTATATGTTTTTCTAAATTTATATTTCCCTATTAAAGGGGTTCACTTATGATTGTCTTTGACAGAGTTCAGTTAGCAGTAAATAGTTTCTGTCATAAAAGTGGAGTATGTTAACATTATATTATATAGGAAAATAATAACAAAGAGTGAAAACAGTAAGAATAAAGAAGAAACCAGGCTCTAGTTAAAATGATAAGGACAGATTTTAATCAGTAGCACACTATTACAATAGGAAAATAATTCAATGTAAACTGAATTCAACTTTGATTTATACTAAAGTGTCTTGGTTTATTTATGCTGCTATAACAACATACCTGAGACTCAGTAATTTATGAAAATGAGAAATTTATTTTCTCACTGTTCTAGAGGCTGGGGCATCCAAAATAAATGCACCAGCAGATTCAGTGTCTGGGGAAGCCCATTCCTCATAGATGGTACCACCTAGGTGTTATCCTATGGCAGAAGGGATGACAGAAGGGCAAGAGAGTGTTCTCTTCAACCCCAATCCTTTTCCTAAGGGTGCTAATCCAAATCATGAGGGTTGGGCCTTTATGACTTAATCACCTCCCAAAGACCACATCTCTTAATACTGTTGCATTATGAACTAAGTTTTAATATGAACGTTGGAGTGAACACCATCATTCAAATGATACCAAAAAGCGACCAGGTGTTTTAAACAGAGAATATGGGAATAGGGAGGGAAGTGAGCAGGGGCTAAGCAGGGTCATGAAACTGAAAAAATTATAAAAAGTGGGAAGGGGGAGTAGGTCCATGTGAAGCTCACCTGGGTTTATTAAATGGTAACTTTTAAAAATTAAGCTCTTACACTCCAACAGAGGCTGAGAGACAGGGGCCTTAGCTTCAAATATTGGCTGGAACAAATAATAAGGTATTTTGGTAACCTTGAACTTTTTCAGGCAGGCACTTTAAGGGAGTCTAGGGTTAACCTAGGGAGGTTGCCTTTGCTGTTAAAAACGATGTTAGCATTTTATTCAAGTAGTGGGTCAAGATTGAGGCCTAGTTGAGAAGAGAGCTCAGAGGAGCCTGGCTAGGGTTTGGCCAAGGAAAGAATCTTTGTCACTCCCAGTATCCATTTTCTTCTTCTTTTTAATACTAGAATATACTACATTTTAGCTGATCCCATGGCTCCCTAGTTACAGACTAGCATTACTCACACCACTTGCTGCCTGGTGTGGACATGTTACTAATTTCTGGCCAATGAGCTGTAGAGGAAGTAATAAGTCCAGCTTTCAGATTATATTCTTAGGGATGTAACAACTTGTCATAGTCTTCATCTTGACCTCTTCTTGTTAACTAGAATGCAGTTGTGGTACATATCTGGCTTGAAAGTCAGGAGAATAACCTAGGAGATGGAAGAGCAAAAAGTTAGAAAGTACCTGTGCCTCCAGATGACACTGGCAAGCAGAGACAACCCATCAGCTTGGATCACTTGCCTCTGGACTCTCATCTGATAGATGAAAAAAATTACTTCTGTATTTCTTAAGGGATTGTGTTTTGAAGTATTCTGTTGTGGCTTTTAAACTCATACCCTAACTAATATAACAGTATAATAATATTATAATTTCCTGTAATAAATTATACAAAACATCGAATTGTTTTAAGTTTGTTTCTTAAGAGTGGTATGATTAACTAAGCATAGTTGTTGCATCCCAAAGTTATGTCTTTTGACCACTCCAAATAGCTTTGGACTAATTCTTATTTTACTTTTCTGTTTACATGATCCCTTTGCCGTTCTCATTACATTCTTTATGGTTATGTATTTCTTCTAATTTAATCTTCCTTGCCACTAGTATCTGGGGATGAGTCAAATTTCTGTGATTAAATTACATTTTAGTCCATTCTAGAATGTTAATAATAAAGTTCTGACCAGGTTTAACATAATAATGAGCAAAGTAATATTTGTCTCCTGGACACTTGTGATGGGCATTACATACCTTGTTGTTTCTCATTTATCATGCCCAATATTTCTTTTACTAGTAGGTGCTTTATTCACCTACCCCACACTGATTGACAATTTCAATTGATAAACTGGTTTTAGATCAATACTCCATCATAGAAGGAAGTGTATTAATGCTTTTAGTTTATTTTTAAAAGCATAAAAAAATTCACGGGCATTGTTATGGGCTGAATTTGTCTCCCCAAAATTCACATGCTTAAGTTCTAACTCCCAGTATCTTGAATGTGACTGCATTTGGAGACAGGGCCTCTGAAGAGGTGATTAAGGTAAAATGTGATCATAGGGATGGGCCCTAATCCATAATGACTGGTGCCCTTATGAGAAGAGATTAGAAGATTAGGTCAGAGACAGAGCACAGAAGAATATCATGTGAAGATGCAGAGCAAAGACAGCTATCTGCAAGCCAAGGAGGGGAGCCTCAGAAGAAAGTAACCCTGCTGACACCTTGATCATGGTCTTCACTTCTATTATCCAGGATCCAGAGAAAATAAATTTATGCTGTTTTAGCCACCTGGTCTGTGGTACCTTGTACAGCAGTTCTGACAAATCAATGCAGATGTATACAGGATTAAAGGATAGGTGTATAATAAAGTAAGTATAGTAAGATGTTAATGATAGAATCTAGGTGGTGGGTGTTCAGATGTTCATTGTAAAATTTTTATAAGTTTTTGGGATGTTTGAAATTTTTTATAGTACATCTTTTTTGGGAGAAAACTCTATTATAGAACTCATAATTTGATTTTACTCGTTCATAGCATATTTAATAGACAATACAGAAATTTATAACTTATAATTATTGTTTTACTCATTTTGAACTAACCCCTCCCTTTTTTTAGTGTCATTACGGACACACACCTCCATAAAATTCAATTTATTCCATCTGACTATAATGATTACTTATTTTACTATAATCATACTGTGACTATTTGACTTCTATGGATCTTCTCTTCTGGTTTGGCCCTCATTTCTCTGAACAGGTCCTTACTTTCTTGTAATATGTCCGCGATAATTTTTCCTGCCCCAGGTTTCTGTTTTTATTTTAAATCTACTTGCTTAAAAAATGACTTTCTTTAGGTAATTTGAACTTTTTTTTCCTAGCCAGTTGACCCAAAGACTTGTGAATTAATGCCAAAATGATAAAACTAATGTTATTACTTTTGAATTTACTCAAAACTAATCGGATCTGCTTCCTCTTTTTCCTGGAGGTCGGGAGGTCAGAGCCAGGGGTTGATGGGAAGTAATCTGCAATTAAGAGAACCCAGGTGTTCAGCTTTTTGCTAATTTATTTCCTCAGCAATACTTGCTTAGATACTGTCTTAAGGACAGTTGAATCCCATATGGTAAGTCACGATTGATAGATCATTTCACTGATTGCTGGAGAGATTTACAGAATTGTGGGGGTCTGTTCTGATTTTGTTCAGTTTGTTCAGAAACCAGAATGCATGTGTCTTTGCTGATGGAACATGATCCAGGCTCCTTTACGTTGTTTTCATTTGTTTCTTCTTGTGCAAAGAGGTAAATTAGTAGGCATACTCAACCCTATTTTTCATGAGGTGCTAGGGTTACTGCTACATATTAATAGTTGTGTTGGGTGGACTATGTCTGGGACCCAGGGCATTCACTGGTGTATGGCAAGTGGGAAATTGGGTAGCCACCGATTGACAAGAGTAAGGCAACCAAATACACAAACTACATGAGGAGTAAGTTCTGGTTCACTCTACTATGCAAGTAAGTTAGACTAGCTGAAGTGCTGAGTTGTGGTTAAATATATCTTAAATGGATGGTGAAGAAATGAAGCGATAAATATCAGACTGGGCCTTGGGACCTGCTGTAGCAACAGAGACTGTAGCTTTCTTTCCCAATAAGCCTATTGTCTTAGGTTATTGAAGCTGTCTACAAGCTTAAAGCAAACCTCAAGTCTGCACAAGTGTACTTTTTCAGGGAATATGTAATGGTATTATCTCTCAACAACAGAGACCCTAAATGTTGTAGCAAAGGAGCCAAATATGCTGGTGGAGCACAAGCAGATCTAGATGGCGTAAAGACTAGACACTGCTTAATATGTCACTAGAGATGCTCTTGGCCTCACCTGATTCCAGGCTCTTGAGCACTGCTGTGGTGCCTACTGACATGGAGGCTGTGCTGTGCTTCCCTGATACCCTCTGCCTCATTCTGCTTCTTTCACTCCCTTTCTAGGGTTGTTACCAAGAGCATTCCCCAAGAAGCCACTGTATGCAAATCTCCATCTCAGAGTTTGTTTCCCAGGAGCCCAACCTGCGACAGCTATGCTGTGGGCTCTGAGAAGCTTTCTCCAGGCACACTTGACCACATATCTTCTTATGCCAGTGCTGCAGGTTCCCTCACCTGCTGCCTGCTGTGACTTGAGACTCAATGGGCCCTCACTGGCATGCACATACATAACCAGGAAGTGTAAAGAAGCTAATGCTCCATGGGTTATACTTTTGATCAAAGGGAGATGGGAATTGGAAGATAAACTTTTCTACTCTCTTATTATTATGCACTGTCAGGGAAATATAGCTGATATTTAAATTAGAGGACTTTTACTGATAATATTTTTATAATATAGCTCTTTGTGACCTTGACAATGTTGACTGTACAGTGTTCTGCTAAAAACATCTTGCCAAAGTTGTAAGGACAAGTAGGTTACAGCACATGTTAGTTCTGTTTTACATTTACCTATCATCTGGATATTCCCCAGTACCATTACTTGTAATTCTCAGCCATCTTGGGTATATCTCTGAAGTTTTTGTTTCCCTTGTCTCCACTGGTGATGAGTAATGTTATGTGTCAGCATGACTGGACCATGCTATTGAGATGTTTGGTCAAACATTATTCTTAATGCTGTGAAAGTATTTTAAGATGAGATTAACATTTAACTCAGTGGACACATATTCTTAATGCTGTGAAAGTATTTTTAAGATGAGATTAACATTTATCTCAGTGGACTTTGGGTAAAGTAGATTATCTCCATAATGTGGGTGGGCCTCATCTAATCAGTTGAAGGCCCGAATAGAAAAAGATGAGCTCCCCTGAGCAAGATGGCATTCTGCCAGCAGACCCTTTCTGAACTTGAACTGTGACTCTTTTCTGGGTCTCCAGCCTGCAGGCCTACACTACAGATTTTTGAACTTGCCAAGCCTCCATAACTGTGTGAGCCAATTCTTTAAAATAAGTCCCTGTCTCTATGTATACATCCTGTTGGTTCTGTTTCTCTGGAGAACCCTTGCTAATACACTATCTTAGAACAAAAACACTTTCAATTAAAAATGGAGTAAACTTTCAGGCACTCTAATGTTATATTCTATAGTTACTTTTAACAGTTTAATGCCCTCAGAAATGGATAACATGCCAAAAAATATTTTTCCATTCTAATTTGGAGCATAAGATACTTTATTAATATGAAATCTCCAAGTTTTATTGTACACATATTGTCAACATCTTTTAATTTGTTGGTTTTCATGAAGATGTTTTAACATTAAGCCTCCAAAGAGAAAACATTTTCTATTTGTATTTGTAAACCTTTTGATATTAAAAAAATCACCTTTCACTAGATAAGCCACAGAATCTGTGACTTCAATATGTGGTTCTAAAGCAGGCCAGAAAATGGAAAAATTTTCTTCCAAAATTCAGCTAGGGGAAATAGTGTTGACAGCCATTGTTTTAAACATACTGACATTGATTAATGCCTGATCTATATCCTCTTCTCATTTTGTAAGCTATGGCCCAACATATCCCTTTTAAAAAAATGCCTGAAATATAAAAAATAATTATTGAAACACACAAGAGTCATAATTCAAAAATACAATGCGAATAATAATGATCCTCTAATTAATTCCATTTTACTCATGAGGACTGTAAGCCATCCTGGAAGTAATAAAAAGAATAGCATTTTGAAATTCTTACATATCTAGTTCAAACATTGCAACTAGTTTCTTCAGCCAGGTCACATATACATATACAAAGAAGTTTCAGAAAAAAGTTAGCTTACTGCTAAAAAATAGAAATGTGCCATTTTCACCCAAGTAAACTCTGATATCTTTGAAAATTATATATTTTTTAATGAGGTCTCACTACGTTGCCCAGGCTGGTCTTGAATTCCTGGACTAGGCAAATTCTACCTTGCTGGGATTATAGGTGTGAGACACTGCACCTAGCCAAAAATTATCTTTTAAAAGTCAATTAGTTATCAATGCAATTTTTTCAAATTTGTAGACTTGAGGCCAAAGAGAGGGATTTAACCTATACTGTGAGTAGTTGATTAGTTTATTAAACTTTTAGGTAAAATAATTTTTTATTATTACATAGGCATTATATCTTCATTCTATATGTTTTACCAAAGAATGGTGGGTGTTTGATGTAGCTACAATACAATTCACATATTTTAAGTGCACAGGTTGATGATGCTGACAAACAAGCCTTAAATAACAAGTGACACAATGAAGATATAAAATATTTCTACCTTCCTAGAAAGTTCTTTCATGCTCCTTTGCAGTCCATTGTATAAATGTGTTACATGGAATTATTTTACAAATTTAAAGAGTAACCAACATAGTACCCAATTCTAAACCAAGTTCCACAATTTTTCTGGTAAGGACCCTCTTCCTCAGTTCCTCTTCTATCAGCGAAGTCAGAGGACCCCTTGAAATTACTTGTTCCCCTTGTCTCATCTAAATAGTCATTTATTCAGTTTCCATTACCATATAATCCCTGCATATTTCACAGAAATATCTCCTACTTGCATTTGAAGGTGTAATTCCTTTTATTATGACAGAATATTTCCTTCTCTTCTCTTTCATCTTCTTTAAACATCCTCTATTCCCTGACTGCTTGCTCAGTCTTAAGCCACTGAAGCAAAGCCCACTTAATCCAGCACAGAGTCTCACCTTCAGGCTTATTACTTACCTTGCTGGCCTAGGTGGCCGCCACCTTTCCTGACCCATCGGGGGCTGGTGATTGAACACACATGGCATTGACCTGTGCATGACCCAGCACCAACCTCCCAGTCATGGTGGTCTCTATGCTGTTCACAGTCATTTTCCCCTGATGAATGGGGGGTGTGAGGAGAATGCCTTCTCTTCCACCCTCTCAAGCTCCCTGTGTGTTTGGTACAGCTCCCCACTAATCAGGCTATTGCAGCTCTTTCACTTTTTCAGGTTGAATAGCATCATGGGCAGAGAGGCAGTCTGCTACTATGTCTCTGTAAGCATTGATCTCTGCTCAGGACTGTTTTAAACTTCCTGCTATCCTGACCCTCATTTTGGTCTAACCCTACAAAAGAGCCATGTTTCCCTTTATGCCAGCTTTGAAGCTATTATCATTCCATTTTGGAATTAAACCCAAGACTATAATTTCAAGGAGTAACTTTTGAATTGCCTCTCTCCAGGCTCCCTTGTTTTTCTCCACCCCTGTATGCACAACTGGCCCTGTAGTTGGTCAAATGTATGCTGACTGTTAAGAGAGGCATCCCTCTGAGTAACTTTATCTTGGGTGGAAGTGGAGGCTCTTCGGGTGGTGCCAGTGCTAGATATTCGTCCTGGGCAGCTACATTCCTTGTGGCTTGGATTAGTCAAGCTGTGTAGCCAGTGTCCCTGTGGACATGGGCTCTCTCCCCGCTGACAAGGCTCTCCATTGGCTCTCTCCCTCATTTGGGTTGGTTAAGCCATTATCTCCATTAGAATAACCAGCAGCCATGTTTAACTCAGAGGAGCAACATGCCCCTTTCTGACCTCATACCGGCCTGTGCTCTTTAGGTGACTCAGAGTGTCATAGGTTGAGGTTCTTAGAAGTAAAGTTCTATACAAAGATTTGTGATTTAATGACGTAGTGTTTTTCAGTTCAAGAAACTATGAGGAACAGACCAAAGCCAAGAGCTAGGGAAGGGAAAGGAGGTGAGCAAGGATGTAGTGTCAGGATAAATCTAGCCTTGGTCTCACCTCCTGGGGGCAACAGAAGAAGGATCTCTAGCTCAAAGGGCAATATGGAGTTGTCTTGTCTTGAGGCAAGGTGGTGGCAAGCATTTGTACACCTGTCACAGATGCATTCATTGGCTCTGGCTGCTCCTGAGTGAGGAGAGTAGGACACACAAAGTTTTGGTTGGCCAAAGGCAGTTCTAAACAGATACACCTGTGCCCCATAGCAGCTGCCATCACTGGCAGAAGTTGGGGGATGTGTGGATCAGGCTGACAAAGAGGATCTGGGTGAGCACCACAGCATCTGCCTCTCATAGGTTTCTGAACCTGCAGTAATACAACCATGAATCATGCAACTGGTGAGGGCATAAGAATAGTTGAGCTGAGTGACCAGGAAAAGCCTGCTGGCTTGGGTTCATTGCATTTACAGCACTGTGCAAGGTGCGGGGAGGGGCAGTGTGGTAATCTCATCATTGTAGTTGTTTAAGCAGTTAGATAGGAGGCAAATTCTCCAGGTATGCCCAGCCTTTGCCTTCTTCCCCATGGATAGAGATGCTGTGCCAATGTTCTCCAGGGTTCTTAGAGCAGGCATGTTGGAGGGTGCTGGCTGGAGGTCTAGCATTTAAGCACATTTTCAGTGAGAAGCACACACTGGTAGATAATTGTTTACAAGAAGAAAAGGCTAAACCAAATGATCTGTCGGAAATGTATTATTTTCCAGTCAGCCAGACCTGAGAAGTGCTGTCAGTCAGCTGCAGGAAGCAGGCTGGGGGCTTGTCTGCACTTTACTTTTCAATTGTTTGGTGGTTGCAGGCTGCAAAATGAATTGCAGGAGCCCATTTGTAATGCATTCCCCATGCTCTTTGCTGGGATGCTGAGGAAGGAAACTGATATTTATCAGAAGACTGCTTTGACATAGGCACTGGGCTAAAATCATATGAATCTGATTATTATATTAGTCTAACATCATATGAGTCAGATAAGGAAGATGAGAATGAGAATGTTCAAATGGTTTATCCAGAGACAGCTAATACAACTAGAGGTAAGATTCACTTCCAGGCCCAAAGTCCTAAGATTTCTACTAAACACATTGCTTTCTAGTATAAGAAAAATTAAAAGGAGAACTAAGCTTACTCTCAAAAATCTGTCCCCAGATGTCTGCTGTGGAGTGGAGTAACTATATTTTCTCATACAATACACTTGTCTAAAAAACATGAGCATAAGGCAGAGGTTGACAAACTTTTTTTGGTAAAGGGTCAGGTAGTGAGTATTTTGGACTTTGAGAGCCATACAGTCTCTGTTGCGGCTACCCAACTCTATTGCTACAATGTGAAAGCAGCCATAGACAATATGTAAACAAATAGGTGTGGCAATGTTCCAATGAAACTTAAGGACACTAACATTTGAATTTCATATAATTTTCACTTGTCATAAATTATTTCTCCCACTCCTACCCCTGCAACCATTAAAAAGTGTAAAAACTATTCTTATCTTGCAGGCCATACAAAAACAGAAGAACAAGAGTTGGCGCACCTGCCACAGTTTCCTGATACACATACACACACACACACACACACACACACACACACACACATGATAACTTTTGGTGTTACTTTGAACATTAAACTCCTTGAAGCTAGAGAGAGATTTTTTTAATGCTGATTTATATATTTATCTCAGTTTTTACTCTTAATTTGTCTGAGGAGACAAATTACTTGTTTTTGTCACTACTGTTGCCATGTTTTATAGTTTATATATATATATGTGTGTGTGTGTATACGTGTATATATATGTGCGCATGTGTATATATGTACGTGTATATTTGTATATATGTACATGTATATATGTATATGTGTATATATACACATATATGTATATATGTGTGTTATTTATATATATATAAATGTGTATATATGTGTATATATGTGTATAATAAACATATACATATACACACACATATATATGTATATATGTGTATGTACATATACATATACACACACATATATATGTATATATGTGTATGTACATATACATATACACACACATATATATGTATATATGTGTATGTACATATACATATACACACACACATATGTATATATGTGTATGTACATATACATACACACACACATATATGTATATATGTGTATGTACATATACACACACACACACATATATGTATATATGTGTATGTACATATACACACACACATATATGTATATATGTGTATGTACATATACACACACACATATATGTATATATGTGTATGTACACACACGTATATGTATATATGTGTATGTACACACATGTATACATGTGCATGTACACACACATATGTATATATGTGCATGTACACATATATGTATATATGTGCATGTACACACATATGTATATATGTGCATGTACACACACACATGTATATATGTGCATGTACACACACATATGTATATATGTGCGTGTACACACACATATATGTATATATGTGCATGTACATATACATACACACATATATGTATATATGTGTATGTACATATACATACACACACATATATGTATATATGTGTATGTACATATACATACACACACATATATGTATATATGTGTATGTACATATACATACACACATATATGTATATATGTGTATGTACATATACATACACACACATATATGTATATATGTGTATGTACATATACATACACACACATATATGTATATGTGTGTGTGTACATATACATACACACATATATGTATATGTGTGTGTGTACATATACATACACACATATATGTATATGTGTGTGTACATATACATACACACATATATGTATATGTGTGTGTGTACATATACATACACACATATATGTATATGTGTGTGTGTACATATACATACACACACATATATACATGTATACACACATGTAGATATATATACATATATAAACATAGAAACAGTAGGAAAAAAACCAGTAATTTGTCTTAGACAAATTAAGAGTAAAAAATGAGACATACTGAACTGATAGAACACCATGTACCACATGCAGGTACATATGTATATCTATTTGTTGAAACAATAGCAGGCTTATGGACATGTTTAACTCAAATTTTAGTCTCAAATAGCACTTATGGGATTTATAGAATTAGGTTTTTGGCCAATTCCTTAAAATATCAAGATTGAGTAGTGGTTTATGTCATGTCAACACAATGGAAAAAGCCTTTAATGGGTTTCCATTATTTTGCTGTTTGGATAGTGCTTTGGAGTGAGCTAAATGGTAGGGGAAAAAAGTGACAAGTGTGGCCTATAGTTGGGAAACCATTTCTCACATTTCATGTTCAAAGAACTGACTGAAATAATGATATTAACAACTAACATTTAGGTAATGTTTCATTATTTACAAAATCTTTCCCATAAAGTATCTTATTTAATTCACACAAAGCTTTGCTAAGGGAGGCATTTCACTAATTTAACAGTGAAAATTGAGGCTTATAAAATTTAAATGTTTTGCCAGTGACCCATTTAGTAACTTATGTTTAGGACTGAAACTCAAATATTATCTGATTCTTAGTCTAGTATTCTTTCCTTTACACTTTGGGATGTTGCTAGGTGTTATATGAAAAAGAAAGTTCCATGACCAAACTATCTGAACAATGCTCGGGTAAACCACTGTGTTTACCCCAAGACTCCTCAAAACCTTTCATGAGCTAATGTAATATGTAGATTGACAAAATAATACTGACTGCAGTGTTTCCCAATTTATTTGGCCTCAGAATCCTTTCTTTTTCCACATAGAGTATTTTCTAGGCCACAGTTCCATAAAATAGGCTTTAGGAAGTATTGGTCCACACAGGAACTTGTAATAAACTTCTGATCTATGAACGGAACCACAAAGGACATGAACTCTCCTGTTACGGCATTCCAAAATAATAACATTTATTTTCAAGAAAGATACTTAAAATCCCATCTGAGGACAGAGTGATTTAAGGCAAAATTCTACCCACCAAATAATAGTTTAATTACTTTTAGGGCAGTATTTTTAATTGTGTATTATTAGGACTTGAGCAGTACTCGATTTCCAGTGACTGCCATTTCCCCTGCCTTCATTCCTTCCCAGCCATCCATAAATATGCATCCACCATGGCTCCAGTCTTCACAAAGTGCTCTTCAATGTTGACTCAAAGTTTTGGCTGGACTCAAAGTTCTAGCAGAATCTAAGTTCTAGAAGTCAGAATTTATAGGAGCTTGTGATGGTTAATACTGAGTGTCAATTTGATTGGATTGAAGGATGAAAATTATTGATCCTGGCGTGTCTGTGAGGGTGTTGCCAAGAGGAGATTAACATTTGAATCAGTGGGCTGGGAAAGACAGACCCACCCTTAATCTGGGTGAACACCATTTAATCAGTTGCCAGAGTGGTCAGAATACAAAAACAGAAGTGAATAGACTAGACTGGCTTAGCCTGCCAGCCTGCATCTTTTTCCCATGCTGGATGCTTCCTGCCCTAGAACATCAGACTTCAGCTTCGAGACTCAGACTGGCTTCATTGCTCCTCAGCTTGCAGACAGCCGTTTGTGGGATCTTGTTATCATGTGAGTTAATAGTCCTTAATAAACTTCCCTTTATATATCTATCTATCCTATTTGTTCTGTTTCTCTAGAGAACCCTGACTATTACAGAGCTCTTAAAGCAATCTCAATTGGAATTGGCAGTTTCCTTTCTCTGCCTAGAATTGTGTCCTATTGCCATTCATTGGAATAAGTAGATGTTCATGTTACAAATGTTCATTGAGGCATTACCATGTGCCAGGCACTGTCCTGGGTACTGATTATATAGTAATGGACCAGACGAAGTCTCTGCTGCATTCTATGCCCTTGCCACTTCAGACATAATCTTGATATTATCCCCTCTCCTTTGCAGGAATGCAGCTGCCTTACTCCCCATTTGGCTTAGTAGGTCCTTCTTTGGCCCTCTCTTTGTTCTGCCTTGCTGCCTATTGTGCCACTGAACTCACTGGAATGGTAAATGAGCTTATTCTCTTTTGCCTGTTCTAGGCAACTGATAGCAGCTTCTTAGAGCATGAGCTATTAAAGGTCTTCAAGGTGATATCAGGTCTCAGCAGCAGACAGTGTCATGATTGGTCATGGGTTATGGTGCAGAGGACTGGCAGTAGTACCCATGCCATTTATTTGATCCATCTGGAAGCAACAACTGTATTAGTCAGGGTTCTAAAGAGAAACAGCAACAATAAGATAGATTAGGGTGCACTGGTGTAAGTCCTGGAGGCAGAAGGTCTGAAAACCAGGACACTGATGCTCAAGGGTAAAAAGACAGATGTTCCAGCTCAAGAAGAGAGAGAGTAAATTTATGCTCCTCCACCTTTTTGTTCTATTCAGGCCTTCAGTGGATTGGATGATACCTGCTGACGTTGGTGAGGGAAGAACTTCTTTACTCAATCTACCGATGCTCATTTCTTCTGGAAACACCCTCACAGAAGCACACAGAAATAATGTTTTACCACCTATGTGGGCATCCCTTAGCCTACTTAAGTTGACCTACAAAATCAGCTATCACATGAAACCTCTGTTAATCATGTTAATCCACCTTCTGTTAATACTAATTATGACTACTATTGTTTGACCGAGGAAAGACCTTCCAGTTCTTTACTCAGGAAAAGAAAACTCTAAAAACCTTGTAAGTGACTTAACATATTGATAGCCTTCATTTTCTAGCTAGATAAAACATTTGGGTAGGAAGGACAGGGGATGTTAGAGGTGTTCCTCAAGGAAATAACAGCTAATTATAGTCAAAGGATGAGTCACATCAACATCGAAGCTATTGTTTAGAACTAGAAGGCAGCTTAAGAGACAATTCTAGGAATACAGTGATCGAGAGCTTGTGTTTCACATAGCCCTGGATAAGATTTAAGATTGGGCAAAGATCTCAAAACTCTCTAAGCCCCTGTGTCCTCATCTATAAACTAGAATAATAATGATATCTTTTTCACTGGGTGGATGTGAGAGTTAGATGAGTTGATGCACTTGGACTAGGGTCTGCCATACGAAATTGCTGAATTACATATTATTGCTTTATAGCCGTGTATTTATCAAGCACACACACTGGAAAATCCAACTCTTTTCAAAGGTGAAGAAACAATTCAGAGAAGTGAAAGGATTTTCTCAAGGTCATGCAGTCAGCAGGAAAGAGAGCTGGAATGCAGACTTAGGTTTTCTAAACCCAAGGGCACAGTTCTATTTATGGAAACAAAAATGAAACCAAATATCCATTTTGAAATTAAGGTCTGAATGAAAACTGGAAGATCCTGATCCTTACCCAGATCTTACAAAGAGATAAAATAAACATCTGACTATTTGGCGATAGCTGGATTAATGGCTGGTATTTTTGCTCACCTGTCTGAGGGATGCATTGTTGTCTTCGATGAGATTGATTTGTAAGTCCCTGCATTGCTAAACCACTCATCTCAATTTAACTATGCGATTTGGGAGTGTTGGAACTATGCCATTTTGCAAGAAAATGATTAAGACAAACTCTAAGAATATTGTGAACTTTATCAGGAAAATCAATTTGTCTAACAAGAAAGTGAATCACTATTGATTTTTTTCCCTCTAATTAGGCTCAGAGGCTTGATAGCTTTAACTAAGTGGTGGCAGTTTGCTTTCAGCAAATGTATTTTTCACTTTGCAGTGGAGCATAACATGCTCTCAAAAGCCTGTGCCACTCTTTGTCTCTTTTTCATTTGCCCAGTTCTTGAAGATTAGCGTGGAAACTTTTAGAAATTTCCTATCTGCAGTGACAAGTTGTTCATTATGCCTTTTGTTGCCCTGAGTGGGCAGTCTCTATGTTCCTGCAATATGTAGATACATGGGCTTGGAAAGAGACTGGACTCACAGAATAGGTGATACACAATAAGAAAATGTCTGAGACAACCAAGGTAATTAATGAAACAGCAAACTGTATGCTTTTGATTCAAGATGCCTGAATGGATGTGCTACATAATTTACAAGCATGACAGAAGCCAACACCTTCCTAGTTGAAAATGGGCATCTGAGCATATAAAAGCACAGGGCTGATTGCTGGCTGAAGCTTGTGGAAGATGATGGTTTTTTGGACCAGGTAGGATCCTTCTTGATAGGTTCTAGAAGGACTAAGGGCATTGCTAGGCATGTGTAGCTGGAGAGAGGCAAAGACAAGGATTCAGAGTGTCACTGAGTCCTTCTTCTCCAACACAAACCTTCTGTTTCTATTTCCTACAGCTAACATTTCTCATTTCTTTCTCTTCTTTTGTTTCCTTGTATTGTTTTCTCCAATTCAGAATATTGGCATTGATGTAATAGTTTCAATTACAGTAATATCTGTTGATTTTTTTGGATTTATTATTTAATTCTTCTTTCTGTTCTTAGATTTTTAGTCTTTTTGCTTCATTTCCATTTTCTTGTATTTTTTTTTCTTTTCTCTTCTATTCTACCAAGAAAGAAAGAGTTGACTCAGCAGGTCCGGGTTGCTCAAACCCTGGACATTCCCCAGGAAGGCCTGTTTTCAGAATTAGCACCTGGCTGGTTACTAAAGGAATGCATTCTGAGCCCTTGGATTAGTCTACTTGATAAGAAAATAGTATTGTATGTCTGAGACCTTGTGCCATGTGATCCAGTGTTAACAATATGATTTATAGTGAATGCCTGTTTTTGTATGCCTGAGGTCTTGCTATCACTGAGTAGCTGAAGTTAGTCAGGCAGCTGCTGCATGATGAGCTCCAGTGAAAACCCTAGACTCAAGCCTTGGGTGAGTTTCCCTGCTTGGCAAACCTTTGCATGTATTGTCATACATCCTTTCTGGGAAAATTAAGCACATTCATATGACTCCACTGGGAGAGGGCAACTGACAGCTGCTGCTTAGTCTCTTCTGGACTTCACCTCATGTACTTTTTCCTTTTGCTGATTTTGATCCATTTCCTTTCACTATAAAAAATCACAATGTGGTGATTCCTCAGGGATCTAGAACCCCAAATACCATTTGACCCATCAATCCCATTACTGGGTATATACCCAAAGGATTATAAATCATTCTAGTATAAAGACACATACACATGTATGTTTATTGCGGCACTGTTCACAATAGCAAAAACTTGGAACCAACCCAAATTCCCATCAATGATAGACTGGATAAAGAAAATGTGGCACATATACACTGTGGAATATTATGCAGACATAAAAAAGGATGAATTCATGTTCTTTGCAGGGACATGGATGAAGCTAGAAACCATTATTCTCAGCAAACTAACACAAGAAAAGAAAAGCAAACACCACCTCACTCATAAGTGGGAGTTGAACAACGAGAACACATGGACACAGGGAGGGGAACATCACACACCAGGGCCTGTCAGGGGGTTGGGGGGGTAGGAGAGGGATAGCATTAGGAGAAATACCTAATGTAGATGATGGGTTGACAGGTGCAGCAAACCACCATGTCACGTGTATACTTATGTAACAAATCTGCCTGTTCTGCACATGTACCTCAGAACTTAAAGTATATTAAAAAAATCACAACTGTGAGTACAATAGCTTCTTTGAGTCCTATGAGTCTTTGTAGTGAATTATCTAGCCTGAGGGTAGTCTTGGGGATACCTGACATACCTACATTTTAATGTTAATTTTTAAAATTTAAAATTTCCCCTTATTTCAAAAATTTTAATTTTTAATTATATATTTCTTAACTAATATTCTGGTACCACTTTTGATCTCTTATTGAGTTTACTTTCATATTATATATTTTTACTTGATTAACTTTTAATCTCTTTTTCTAAGTTTATTTTTTTAATATCAAGATTACACATTTTTGTTTTTAAATTATCTTCTAATTTATTTTAATTTCTATTTATTTTAAGCTTATTGTATTGTTTCTTCTTAATTTCCTATCTTCTTGTTATTATTTTGTGATATTTGTTCTCTCTTTCATTTTTACCTATATTTTATATTATTTAGGACTCATTTTTATACTGAGTGGCAGAAAATACAAGGCTTCAGATAAGGTACTAGAGAATAAGACAAAAATCACTTGGAGGGCACTGGGGACTATTTTTCTTTTCAATTTTTCTTAAAGCTCCTCCTGTATCACCTTGTTTTATATTCAACCTTTATTTTTAAAGTTTTAAAAAAATTCCTCAACATGAAAAACTTGTGAGGCCACTCGTTAACAAACCTAAAAAACATTCCAAATGGAATCTTCAGAGTACCTTAAGAAGATACAATCTCCACCTGTCAAGTCAAAGTAGGCTACTATGAAAATGATTAATGACCACAGGCATTAAAGTCAAACAAACAAACCCAATTCACTCAAAAGCCTAAATGGATAAGATGGAAAACTGATTTATTGACCTAAAAGCAGATTGCTTTTAAACAGGGTTGGGATATGCTTATGGTGTTCCATGAGTATTATTATCTTAAGGGCGAATACTTAATACTCGAGTTTCTTTTTAACCTTAAAAGGCGAATACTTAATACTCAAGTTTAAGAAATACTATCTGAGAATATAGAGCAAGACAACAAAAGCACAGAATAGAAGAGATAAATATTAAACACTTGGAGACAAATCCAGAAGCTCTAGTGTCCATGAAAAAAAGATATATGGGAGGAGAGAGCAGCAACTGAGGGATGGAAATAAAAAGCATGAAGACGAAAGGGGAAGAGACAGAGGAAAAGAAGGAAGACAAAAAAGGGAGAGGAGGAGAGACAGGAGCAGCAACAGGAGGAGAAGATATTGCTAAATTCAAGGAAGACTCAGTTTTTCAGATTAAAAGGGCCTACCAAGGGCCCAATAGCGAATGTGCAGAAACCATGTTCAGAATACTAAGCATGCTTTAGAAAGTTACCAAAGTGGAACTTTTTTTTTGTTCTTACCCAAGAACCTGATAAAGAACAAAAAGCAAATCAAAAAAGAACACAAGGAAGACGTTAACAAATATACAGGCACCAAATTAATGAAACACACACACGCAGAAAAAGCCGCACAGAATAGATCAATAGAGCCTAAATATATTCTTTTGGAAAGACTTAAAACTTCAGTAGTCTAATTAAGAAATTTTAAAAAATTGATACCAATTATACAAGAAACAACAACCAAAAATTGAAACTAAATATAGACAGAACTAAATTGAAAACAAGAAAAGAATAATATGCCCAATGTTAAAAAAGCAAAAGGGACATAGCCATAGTTATGGAGGATATTTTTTAAAAAATAGTTAATCATACGCTTAGCTTTATCCCAATACACTTGAAAATCTGGATCTTTTCTATCCAATATTGCAGCCACTAGCAGCACGTAGCTATAGAACACTTGAAATATGGTGAGTCTGAATTGAGCAATGCTATATGTAAGTTACAAACCGGATTTAATAAAAAAAGTAAAATATCTCAGTAATGTTAATACTGACTATATGCTGAATATATCCAACATTTTAGATATATTGGGTTAAATAAAGTATGCTATTAAAATTAATTTCACCTATTTCGGTTTTACTTTTTAAAGATGGGTAATAGAAAATTTGAAATAACATATATGACTTGTTTTTGTTGCTCATAATATATTTCTGTTGAGTAGTGCTGGAGAAGTATCCATTTGTGATCTAGCAGGAAACACGCTTATTCAAAAAGGGGGCTGAAGAGAATATATGCAGCCTAGAGTTAAGAGGAAACAATACTAGATGGTTATTAAGAGTGGGAAGCCCAAAGCGGGCAAGAAAAGGCAATAATTATGGAACCTAGAAAGAACTATAGATAGAGGATAGGCCTGCAATGGGAGTTGTGGCCATAATCAGAACACAAGCTCTGTCCAACTGCAGCCTGGTAGTAAAGTTGCCCTATTCCACTTCGTTTCTCTTCCTCCATGCTAGATAAACATTTACAATTACAAGCTAAATATCTTTTAGTATGTTCAGAAGCCATTGTATTTCTTTTTCGTTGCAAATTTGCTGTTTAGGCCACCTGTTCATGTTTCTAATGAATAGCTTTCCTTTTCTTGTTGATTTATAAGAGTTCCTAATAATTAAGGCAGGTTAACTTTGTCTATTATAAAAGTGGCATATCTTTTGTTTGTTGTTTGTCTTTTCACTTTAAGTATTTTTTCTTATCCTGGCAAAGATTTTTGCTTTTACATAATAAAATGGCATTCAGATGTGACTTCTGGATTTTGTGTTAGGTTTTGATAGGGCTTTCCCATTCCTATTTTTTGGAAAAAAATGCTTATTTAAAAATTCTAGTATTGCTATAGTTCTTTTCTTCCTTCTTTGAATGGTGGTTTTAACTGAAATTTATTTTGGTGCAAAAATGAGAAAGGGGTCTAATTTTTTTTTATTCTTATTTTGGGGAGGGGCAAATGGTTAACCCATTGTACCAGCCTATCTTTCAATACCTATGTTTCTACTACTATTTTTCACTACTTATTTTAAATGTACTTTCTTGCATAATAAATCCATAGTCATTTCAGACTCCTCTGCTCCACCTACCCACTTCTCTGTACTTGTGCCAGTATCATATAGTTAATAAAAGTTATCCTAAAAGTATTACATCAATCTAGTCCAGGCTGACCCCAGCCTTGTGCCAGCACTTTTGCTGTCCCTCCATTCTGTTCTTTCAGGCTGTGCACCTGTGAGGATCAGGAAGCATCAGGAAGGCCCAGAAGAAAGGGGTGGGATGGGTGTTCAGTGGTAACTGTTTCTGAATCTGAGTCGCATATCTGTCTATTGGCTGAACATTAGTTTTGTGTGTGTATGTTTAATCAAGTTTAGATCAGTTAGGGTTCAACGAGAGAAAAAAGCCCAATAAGATGTGTACCTATTAAGAGAGTTATTGTAAGAGGTTGGCTTACATGATTGAGGGGGCTGGCTGTCAGGCTGGAATTTCTGGGCAGGAGCGAAAGCCGCTGCCACAGATGAAATTTCCTCTTCTATCACGGAAGCCTCAGTTTTGCTCGTAGGGCTTTTCAACTGAATGAATCAAGCCCCCTCATATTATATTGGATGGTCTTCCAACTAAAACCTAGATTAGTGTTTGATTGAATAACTAGAAGCAATAATCTAGCCAAGTTGACACATAAAGGTGACCATAGCAGTAGTTTATCATCAAGGTATAATTGACATACAATAAAGTGTACAATTTGGCAAGTTTAGCAGATGTATATAACTGTGAAAGCATCAATCAAGATAATGAATATATCTATCACCCCAAAATTACACTTGAGTCCCTTCCCTTCTGTCCCTCCTCCATTCTCAAGAAATATTCTCAAGATATGCTTTCAGCCACTGCAGAATAGTTTGCATATTCTACTTAAATTGAATCATACAGTAAGTTATATTCATGGCTTGTCATGATTATTTCTAAGCAATGTATCTTTTAAAATTGTTATTGCAAATAGAAACTTTAGTTTCTTTTATTATATTGTGTAACATGTTGTTTTATCTGCTTATAAAAATATACTTTGTATGTGAGTTTCATGACTTATAGACTTTTCATATGCATGTCTAAGAGCTTTTTATTTGATTCTCCTTGTTTTTTCTAGGCATAATGATTATAATCTTCAGGTTGTAATTGTGTCTTTCCCCTCAACATTTATACATCTTATTTGATATTCCTTAATCGCATTGATTAAAATGTCTAGGGCATGCATTCTCAGTAGTGGGCTACCAACCCCAAGGGGGTGAAAAATGGTTCTTGATGGAGGGGTGCAAAACAAATCTTACACTTTTTAATGTATACAGAATGGATATAAATGCACCACATATACAGTATATCTGTGGTATTAAAATTAAATGTGGCACCTAGCACCAAGACCTTGGTTTCTAATACTATCCTTCAATAGAAGGACCCCGCGTTGCCTAGAGAAATGGCTACCTCTAGAGCTGGAGCAGAAAATGTACATAAGCCTGGAGCACCTTGTAGTGCCAAGAAAGTAAAGATGTATTCAAAAACATTAATAAACCCCACAAAATCCACATGATGAGCAAATGTCAGAGGGACACAAGTGCCAACTGAAAGAGCTCCCAATAACCAAAGCTGGAACAATTTGAGCAATAAAATAAAGTAGCATTTGATTTGTTACCAAAGTATTAAACAAATATACATGAATATATATTGATATAAATCAATAACTGAATAAATAAATCAGTGGGGGTTAATACATAAACCCGTTGTGAAAAAGAATTCCAAATGAATTATGTAGATAGACACTCTGCCACCATGAAAGTGGAACAGAACTTCCTACCTTTTATGTTTGTAATGCACACAGTATCTACCCTGCAAAGAGCATAGTGTGGAAAGGAAAAAAACAAAGGGCAATTTTACAGTGGAGAAACCTGACAAACACTACCACAGCCAAGTGATCAAGGTCAACTTTAATAAATAAGGCATACTGATAGTATGTACTCCTAATATGATAGAACAAGAACGGCATTCTTTGATCTTCCTCCTCAAAACTCATAAACTCAGTCTAATTATGAGAAAAACATAAGATAAATTACAAAACAGGATCATCCTGCAATACACTTGACCTCAAAACTGTCAATGTCACCAAAAAAAGGAAAGCCTGGCCAAACGCGATGGTTCACGCCTGTAATCCCAGCACTTTGGGAGGCCAAGGCGAGCGGATCACGAGGTCAGGAGTTCGAGAACAGCCTGGCCAACATGGTGAAACTTGTCTCTACTAAAAATATAAAAATTAGCCGGGTGTGGTGGCACGCACCTGTAATCCCAGCTACTCAGGAGGCTTAGGCAGGAGAATCACTGGAACCCGGGAGCCAGAGGTTGCAGTGAGCCAAGACTGTGCCACTGCACTCCAGCCTGGGAGATAGAGCGAGACTACTCCGTCTCCAAAAAAAAAAAAAAAAAAAAAGCCTGAGAAACTGTCACAGCCATGAGGAGCCTAAGTAAACATGTCAATTAAATGTAAAATGGTATATGCAGGATAGGAATCTGGAATAGAAAAAAAAGGTACTAGGTGAAAAATAAGGGAATCTGAATAAAATGTGACCTTTAGTTAATAGTAATGCTTGAGGATTGGTTAATAATTGTGAAAAGTGTACTATACTAGTGTAAGATGTTAATAATAGAGGAAACTGTGTATGGAGTATATAGAAACTGTATTACATTCACAACTTTCCTGTAAATCTAAAATTATTCTAAAAGAAAGAGTTTATTTAAAGGCAATTAAATGAGGGACGATTAGGGAAAACAAACATCTATAAGGGATCCTTGCAAGAGGGTATGCCATAATAAAAAAAAATTGGAAAAAACTGATCTAGAATTATGTTAAGTATCGTGAGGTTGGACAAACTAGTCCTGTTTCTTATGAGAATAATGTAACTATTTCAACATTAGGCTTTTAATTTTTTCACTTCTTTCATTAAGGAAATATATACTTATTCACAATTTTTGTCAATTTTCATTTTTATTCTAATTAATTTTTATTGAATGACTTTTCATCACTTCTGAATATAATCATATTTTTCTCATTTGACTTACTAATCTGATGACACAGATTAATAGAGTACCTAATATTTAGCCAGCTTTTCATTATAGGGAAAAAATTGCTATTGGAGTAAAATGTTATTGGATTCTGTTTGCTAATATTTTAATGAATATTTCTGTACCAATATTTATAAGTTTGGTTGTGTTTCTACATTATTATGTTTTATGTTATCTTTTACAGGTTAGTATTTATATGAAGCTGGTAGAAATATTTTGGAGATGTTCTGTCCTTCTTTACACTCTGGAAAAGTTTTAATTGTTTCCTTTGTCTTTTCCTTTAAGGGTTGAGTGTATTTAAATTATTAAATTCTCTGTGCCTCCTAAATGTAGGTAGCCTTGTATTTTTTTTCAAAATTCCTATTGTGGTAAATTTTCTTGATAATAATAAGATAAACATCTATGCACTCACTGCCCAAATAAAAAAAATAGAATATTATTAGGCTTTAGAAACTTAATGTATGTCCCATCTGAACTTTATCCTCCTCCCTCACTTTCAGGTTAACAATTTGTTAAATTTTGTTTTAATCATTCTTTTGTTTACTTTAGGTTTTTTATCATATATATTTGTATCCTTAAGCTAAGTATTGCCCAGGTTTTTTCTGTTTTTGTACTTTATATACATGAAATGACACTGAATATATTCTTCTGTGATATGAAGTTATTTACTATAAGTTTCATCTGTATTGATGTGTGCAGCTGTAGTTCATTCATTTTTATGTATACCACATTTGCTAACTTATTTTGCCCTTGATGGATATTTGGGTGATTTCTCACTTTTTTACTTCTTTGAATATTCTTGTAGGTGTCTCACAATGCATGGTTTAAATAATTTTAGTGACATATATATACGTGCATATATATATATATATGTATAGCTAGTACTGTAATTGTGTTGTAGTACATATTTATGTAAGTAGGGTGATGTCAATAGTTTTTGTGAAACTGGTGTACAATTTGCACTTTTTCTGCAGTAAATGAACATTACCTTTGCTCTGTATTCTCACCATTTACTATCATGCTGCTTTGAATTTTTCCTGTGAGATAGAGTAACATGGTATCTCATTGTGGTTTTAATTTACATTTCCTGGAGAACTAATGAGGTTAAACCTTTTTGTTTGTTTAACCATCTATTTATTGGCCACTTGGATTTACTCATATGAGAAGTACCGGTTTTCATGTTTTGCACAGTTTTCCTATTAAGTTGTTAGATTTCTTCTTACAATATTTTTTCTAATACGATTAGAATTATGATTTTTTAGGTTTTAGTTTTTAGGTTTTAGTTGACATTTTAAATTATATAGAATTCATATTTTTCCTTTTCAATTTTATTTTTTAATTGAAAAATAATACTTTTACGTGTTCATGGAGTACATAGTGATGTTGTGATACATATAATGTATAGCGATCAAATAAGGGTAATTAGCATATCCATTATCTCAAACAGTTATCATTTCTTTGTGCTGGGAATGTTGAATGTCCTCTTTCTAGCTTTTTGAAACCGTATTATTGTTAACTATAGTCATCTGATAGTGCTATAGAACACGGGAACTTATTCTTCCCATTAGCTGTAATTTTGTATCTTGTAACAAACCTCTTCCTATTGCTCCCTTCTCTATACCCTTCCCAGCCTCTATTGTCCTCTGTTACACTTTTTACTTCTACCAGACCAACTTTTTTTAGCTTCCACATATGAATGAGAACATGCGGTGTTTAACATTCTATTCCTGGCTTACTTCATTTAACATAATGTCCTCCAGAATTTTTATTTTTAATGTAGTTGACTGTATCATTATTTTCCATTTTCATTTGCTCCTTTTAATATTTTAAATCCATTTCTACCCTGAGACCTATACAGATTTCACACATTTTCCTTTCATATTAATCTACTTAACCCATTTGTGTTTGTTTCTTAAGTTATGAGACTATAATTCATTTCCTAATTTTTATGTAAATATGTAATCATTAAAGGACCATTAGTAAGTAATCGATCATTTTTTCCACTGATCAGAAATGCCTATATCAACAAGTGAAACTTCCACATATATGAGATTCTGTGTCTGTTCTCTCAATTCTCTTTTGTTGTTTTCTGTCATTCTATTTTATTTGTCTATCCTTGTACTTTTAGCACATTATTTTAATCATTATAGCTTTAAAACTCATCTGGATGTCGAATAGGAAAGGTCTTCCATCTTGTTCTTTTGCAGAATGTCTTGGTTGTTCTTGCTCTTCTTTCTTCCTTATAAATTTTACAATGGCTTATTGAGCACCCATGGTGGGGGTTGGGGTGCTTTGAGATTTTGATAAAAGTCATAACAGCTCCATTAGTCAGTTTGGAGAATTGACACCTTTATGAATTTGATTTTTCTTATTTAGAAAAAAGAGTGTTTATTTAGGTCTTCTTTAATTACTTTCATTAAGATTTTATACTCTTCTCTGAAAATTATTTAAAGAACTTTAGTGATATTTTCCCTAAGTACATTGTATTTTTATATATTTGTAAACATTTTAAAATTACATTTTCTAATTGTTAATGACATATGAAATGTGATAAAAATTTTGCATATTGTTTTCATAGGTAACAATCTTGCCAAAATCTGTTATTTATTCTAGCTACTTATCTTACATATGAATTTTTCACATATACAACACATATTATCTGCAAGTGTCAGCATTGTGTCTCTTCTTCCAATCATTACCTGTTCCTTTTCCTCTTACGGCATTGACTAAGACTTTGAGTAAAATATTGAGTAAAAGAGATGATGGCAGCTATCTTTGTTTTGTTTCTCATCCTACTGAAAATGTTTTGACATTTCAACATAAAATAAGTATTTGTTCTATGTTTTTAATGGACAATGTGTTAGTTTGATAGGACTGCTGTAACAAAATACCACAGACTAGGTTGCTTGAATGACAAAAATTTATTTTCTCTTAGATCTGGAGGTTGGAAGTCTGAGATCAAGGTGTTAGCAGGGTTGTTTCTAAGGAGGTCTTTCTCTTTGGCTTGCAGACAGCTGCCTTCTTGCTGTGTCCTCTCACATGATCTTTCTCTGGGTGTATACAGCCTTGGTGTTTCCTTTTGTGTACAAATTTCTTCTTATGTCTTATTCTGTTTAGTGTTGCTGTAATAGGCTATATGAGACTTGGTAATTTGTAAAAAGAGGTATTTTGGTTCATGATTCTCATGGCTGGAAAGTCCAAGATCAAGCAGCCAATCTGGGGAGGGGGTGCATGTGGCTTCAACTCACGGTGGAAAAGCAAGGGGTGGTGTGTGTGTGCAAAGAGATCACATGGAATAAGATGAAGCAACAGAGCATCTAGGAAGCCAAACAAACTTGCTTTTATAACACTGTCTGGTAACTAATCATGTCCTGAGAGCAAGAACTCACTTAGTCTCACAGGAGGGCATTAATCTATTTGTGAGGGATCCACCTCTATTACTTAAGTACCTCCCAATAGGCTCCACCTCCCAACACTGTTACATTGGCAATCAAATTTCAACACGAGTTTTGGTGGGGACAATGACATCTAAACCATAGCATCTTATAAGGACACCAGTCAGTTTGGATTAGGATCCACCCTAACAGCTTCATTTTAATTTAATTATCTCTTCCTCTGCAAATCAGTCATATTGTGAGACACTGGGGCTTAGGGCTTCAAGATGAATTTTGAAGGGACACAATTCAGCTCCATAACATGGTTTTATTTTATTCTGATTAATTTTTTAAAAAATTATGCATGCATGTTAAATTTTAGAAATGCTTATTCTGCATCTATTGAAATAGTCTATATTTTCTTTTATTTATTGAAATGGTCTATATTTTTCTTCACTAGGTCACTAACTATACCAGTTTCTAATTTGTACAGTTTTTTTTTCTAATGTAAGCTTTATGTCTATTCCACATGTTTTGATAAGTAGTATTTGAACTATATTTTGCAACTAAACATTTTCTAATTCTTATATTGATTTCTTTAGACGATTATTTATAAATGTTTTATAATTTTAAAAAGTATACTTTTCCTCTTTACAAAAATTATTTTCTAGCCTAATTGTTTCATGATCATAGAACACACCAGTTCCAATGGTATACAATTTTTGTTGATGTTCATTTGTGGTATAAAGCATAGCCACTTACTGTAAATGATTCATGTGTGCATGAAAACAGTGGGCAATATTCAGTTTTATATATGTGTATTTGATCAATCTTATTAACATGTTAATGTTAATCTTGATTAACATCTTATTAACATCGGTATTCAAATTGTCTACTTAAGTTTTTAAAATTTGATTTTCCTAATTTATTATTTATTGAGAAATTTATGTTAAAATCTGCCATTTGGATGGTAGATTTATTAGGTTTTTCTGTAGAGCTGTTAATTTTCACTATATATATTTTGAGCCTATGCCATTAGATAAAGTTTACTTTTGACTAGCGAAATAAATAAATAAATAAATAAATAAATAAATAAATAAAATATCTAAAACTTCTATATGAAAGTTTGGAAGACAAAAATTAAGCAAGATTTTCTTTAGGTATTTTCCATATAAATACATTAATCATTAGATTTTGCCTTTTCAACCTTAGTCAAATTAGAATTTTATTTTCAAACCTGCACTTTCATATATAGCTCAAATAATCAAATATACAATAATATTAAAGACCTCTATGTATAATTATAATATATAAACTTATAAAACAAAAATTATTACTATCAAAATGGTAAATTAACAAAACCATCATTGCAATAATTGACACTAGCACAATTCTCTATGATAGAAAGTCAAAAAGGACAATAAGGCTTATTTAATGTTTTAAAAAAGAAAAATTCACACATATAATACAAACACAAAATTCTGCTATCCACTGACAAGATCAAATTTTCTAATCGTTAATAGAACATTCATAAAAATGGTTTATGAACTAAAGAACAAAAAACCCAATTAATTTCAAAATCCAGAAGTTATATGGGTATACCATAATGCGACTTTACAATCATATGCTAACTGTAGCAAAATATATCAAAGTACTAAGATTAAATATGTTTTTTCTATAAATAATTGTAAAAGGATTAAGCAGTTGGAATTTAAACAGCATATTCATAAATAATATTTTGTCTAATATGTAATTAAAATTTCAATTACATAGGTCTAAGAAAATGATAGCAGCATCAAAATGAAATAGCTAAACTTTAAAAACAAAGTTAAAATGATTATACGTGTTAACCCCAAAGCACAAATAGTGGTGCATTTCAGTTGCTGCCCTTAGGCATTTACCTATGTAATTATAAACATTGATCTTGCTTTATCTGCTGTATCTTCTCAGTGCTCTCCATCTTGAATAGAAGGGAGATGAGACTTGAGACCGTGGAGGCAGTGAGGTGGATGTGACCACAGTACTTCTTCTGGGAGACCAGGTGAGGAAAGGCAATGAGGGCATTTGAGAATCAGCAAAGGACCAGAATGCCTCTTCAAAACTCATTTCCTTTCTCACCACCACAACCTGAATCCAAGATGTTAGCCTAAATATGTGTGGCCTTAGTTAAAAGTTTGAAAACAACACCATTTTCTTCGTTGCCCTTAATTAGCCACAGGAAGAATTTCATGTACAGCACCACTTTATCATTTTATATTTTTAGATTTAAATTTCTTGCTTACAACACCCTCTGTGACACTTGGACATCAACTGTGTTGGTTTTGTCTGTGTTTACAGAGCTGATAAAGCACGTTCTCTTTGATTTAGCACAGCTGTGTGGCAAGCAAGCTCTTGCAGAGCCAAAACAAGAAAATAAACTATCCATAAAGCTTTAAAAAAGTCCAGTTAGAGTGACAGGATTTTCTACGTTGCCTGCTGAATGTGAGATCACCTAGTTACAGAGATTATGGGGAAAATGTTGCTTTTTGCAAAAATGACCCACTTGTCTGTATAGCATGAAAGACACAAAATCTGTTGCCTTATGCTTGAAAGAATGAAAACTTCAGCACAATAGAACAGAGAAAAATCTGAAACTGAAAAAGGAATTGGATCTATGCCACTTAAAAAATTATTGAACACATACATATGTTCAGAAAAATGTAACTATGTATGCTAAGTATGAAGCTTGTAAATTTTTTACAAAATGAACATGCTCAGGCATCCAGCACCCAGATAAGGAAATACCATATTGCCAGCATCCCGAAACACGTCTTGTCTTTTCTTTCAGGCAATTCCCCATGTTTCTTAAGAGTAATTACTTTCCTGACTTTTAACAGAACAGATTAGTTTTGGCTGTTCTTGGACTTTCTGTAAATTGCACCATGCCACATACACTTTTTTGTGTATGTTTCTTTGCACAACCTTTTGTTATGGTAATTATTCATATTGTTACATGTGTTGTATACCCTCCGTTTTCATTGCTCTATAATGTTTCATTATATGAATATATTGCAATTATTAATGGTTGATTACCATTTGTGTAGTTTCTAGTTTGGGGTTATTAAGAATGATGCCTTTATCAACATTCTTGTATGTGTCTTCTAATATACATTTTAGGCATTTCTGTTGGAAATAGACCTAAGAATGGAATTTCTGGTCACAGATATGCATTTATTCAGGTTTCAGAAATAAGTGGCAAATAATTTTTCAAAATGGTTTTATTAATTAATACTCTTAACAGTGTCTGAGAATTCTAGATGTTTAACATCATTGCAAATACTTGGTATTCTCAATCATTTTTATTTTAACCATTGTAATATGTATGTGTGTGTAACAACATTTTTTGTGATTTTAATTTGCATTTTCTTTATTACTAATGAAATTCAGCAGCTTTTTAATGTGGTTCTTGGTCACGCGCATATTTTCTTTTGAGAAACACCTAAATGTTTGCCTGTTTTTTATTTGGTTGTCTTTCTTTTTCTTTTTGAATTCTTTATTTTGGACACACATTGTTTAGTGTATGCATATGTGGTAAGTGCTTTTCTCACTCCCTTTCTCTTTTTTAATCTCCCATTATGGGTTGCCCTTTCAGTTTCTTGTGATCTTTCACATTTTGATTGATTACCTGTATTCAATCTGAGTTTTATCTGAGTGGAGTATGATGTAATAAAAGATTCTCTATTGCATTAGAGTGTCATCTTTAACATAAATCAGATGACTATATATTTTTGGGCCTTCTTATGTAATTTTGATTTTAGTTCTATTTGTCAAATTTTCTATCCTTGGGTCAATATCATACTGTTCTAATTACTATGGCTTGTCATGATATATTTTTCTTTAATATTATTGGATATAGTCAATATTGGATATATTTAGAGTTTTGCATTTCCATTTCCACTTTAGAAGCTGTGAAAATTAGTGCAAAAAAAGCTTAGAATTTGATTGGGATTGCATTTTCATTTTAGATCGATTTAGGGAACATTTGAAATTTTGTAATACTGAGCCTTTCAATCCATAAATATAGCATATCACTCCATTTACTTTGGTCTTCTGTAAGTTCTCTCAATAATGTTTCATAGTCTTAATGTAGAGATCTTTCAAATCTTTTACTAAATTATATTTGATAGTTTTGGGACTATTTTAAATGGTATCAGTTTTAAAATTTAAAATTTGTTATTGGTGTATGGTAGTAATACACTTTCTTTTTTTACAGTAACTTCTATCCAGCAATTATAATAGATTGTAGAGTTTTTTAGCTCTTTTAGTAGGTTATTATGTCTGTGAATAATAATAGTTTATCTCTTATTTTGTAATTTTTATGCTTTTTTTCTTGTGTTATACAATGCTGGTGCTTCCAGCATTTTGAATAGAAGTCACAATGTGAACACATATTTACCTTGTTCCCAATCTGAGGTAGAAAATTTTCAGTGTTTTACCAGTGAGTGTGCTGCTTTCAACAAGCATCCTGATGCTCCATGTTCTCACCAGCAATTAGTACTGTCAGTTAAAAAAAAATTAGCTATTTTAATAGCATGTGCTGATATGCTGTATCACTATTGTGGTTTTAATTTGCAGTCCCCTAATGACACTTTACGCTGTTGTGAATTATTTCTTGTGCCTGTTGGCCATCTGCATGTTCTCTTTGGTAAGGTGTCTGTTAATATTTTCTCAGCTCTTTATTGGGTTGTTTGTTTTCTCATTATTTAATTTATAGAGTACTTTATATCTTCTGGATACAAGTCTTTTTAATTAGATGTATGTTTTGAAAATATTTTTCTCTAATCTTCTGTAGGTTGGCTTTTCTTCCCCTAGCAGTATAATTAAAGCAACAAAAGTTTGTAATTTTGATGAAGTTCAATTAATCAGTTTTTTTCTTTTATGGATTGTTTGGTGTCATGTCTAAGAAGTCTTTGCTTAACTTAAGGACACAAAGATTTTGTCCAACATTTTCTTCCAGATTGTTAGAGTTTTAGCTCTTACATTTTAAGTCTATCATGTATTTTGTGTTAACCTTTGTGTATGGTGTGAAGTATGTGCTGAGCTTTGTTTTCCTTTCTTTTTCTTTTGCATGTGAACGTCCAATTGTTCCAGCATCATTTATTAACAAAATTATCTTTTTTTTTCTAAATTGCCATTGTAACTTTGTCAAAAATTAGTGGTCTGGGTATGTGTGGATCTGTTTCTGGACTTTCTATTTTATGTCATTGATCAATTTCTCTACATGTATGTCTATGCCATGTTGTTTTGACAACTGTAGTTTTATAATTATTCTTGAAATCAGGTATTTGGGTTATCTTTGTTACATCTTTTCAAAGTGCTTTGCCCATTCTGGATTATTTTTAATTTCCATATACATTTTGAATACATTTTTCAGTTTCTTAAACAAAAATGCAACTGAAATTTTGATTGGGTACTGAATTCTACATTGAAAATTTTCCCTTCTTTATTACTTTAAAGGTAATTCTCCCTTGTCTTATCACTTGCATTGTTTCTGCATCAGTTCTTAATTGCTGCCATAACAAATTATTGCAAACTCAGGGTTTTAAACGACACAAATTCATTATTTCACACTTCTGTGAGTTGTTAAGTCTAATATGGGTCTCGGTGGGCTAAAATCAGCAGGTTGGTTTACTTTCTGGAGGCTACAGTAGAGAGTTTCCTGCCCAGTTGGGTTGTTTTTAGAATTCAGCTTCTTTGGAGTAGGATCAATGTTGCTGTTTTATTGCCAGCTGTAAACTGATGGCTGTTTTCTGAGCTTCTAGAAGGCACAGCATTCCTTGGTTTGTGGCCTCCTTCTCCCCATCTTCAAAGTCAGTAATAGCAAGTAAAGTCCTTCTTGCTTCACACTCTGATTACAGTCAGCAAAGATTGTCTGCTTTTAAGGACTTGTGGTTATATTGTGCTCACCTGGATAAGCTGCTTTTAAGGACTTGTGATTATACTGGGCCCACCTGGATAAGCCAGGCTATACTCTTCATCACAAGGTTTTAACCTTACTGACATCTGCAAGGTCTCTTATAACTATAAGGTAATATATTAATAGGTTCAGAAAATAAGGGCATGAAAACATTTGGAGAATGATGTGGTTTGGATTTGTTTCGCCACCCAAATCACGTGTCCAATTGTAATCCCAATGTTGGAGGAGGGGCCTGGTGGGAGGTGATTGGATCGTGAGGGCAGACTTCCCTCTTGCTGTTCTCCTGACAGTGAGTGAGTTCTCACGAGATCTGGTTGTTTAAAAGTACGTGGCAACTCCTAACTCTCTCTCTTCCTCCTGATCCAGCCAGGTAAGATGTGCCTGCTTCCCCTTCACCTTCTGCCATGATTGTAAGTTTCCTGAGGCCTCCTCAGCCATGCTTTCTGTAGAGCCTGCTGAATGGTGAGCCAATTTCTTTTCTTTATAAATTACCCAGTCTCAGGTAGTTCTTTATAGCAATATGAGAAGGGACTAATACAGAGAGCTATTAGTCTTCTTACCAGTTTCTAACAAGAAATCCACTGCATTCTTACCTTTGTTCTCTGTATAATGTGTCTTTTTGTTCTGGCTTCTTTTAAGATTTTTCTTATCACTGGTTTTGATCAATTTAATTATAATATGTTTTGGTGCAGTTTTCTTCATGTTTCTTGTGCTTGGAATTTTCATTGATCTTCTTGAGTCTGTGATTTAGTAGTTTTCATCATGTTTGGAAAAATCAGTTATTATTTCTTCAATTTTTTGTTTTCCCCTTCCATGTATATAATATTAATATATTATATTATATATAATCATATATAATATAACATACATAACCATATAAAAATACTTATGTTACATATATTTTATATAATATCATATGTTATTCATATAATTAATACATAATATTATATATTGTATATAATAATAATACTTGAAGTGGCCAGAATTTACTGAGGTATTTTTGGTAGTTTATTTCTCTGTTTCCTTTTGGATTTCTATTGCTATCTGTTGGAATTCATTAATCTTTTTTTTTCCCTGTAACATCTAATCTTCCATTAAATGTATATAACATATTTTTCACCCCAGTCATCATACTTTTCATCTCTAGTTTCATCTCTATAAGTCTGATTTGGATATTTTTATATATTTCTTGTACTTTCTTTTCTTTTTGAACATCTGGAATTCAGTTATAATAAATGTTTTAATGTTCTCATCTGCTATTTCCAATATCTTTGTCAGTTCCAGTTCAGGTGTGATTGGTTTTTTCTCTTCATTATGAGTGATGTTTTCTTATTTCTTTGCATGCCTGGTAGTCTTAGAATCTCAGAATAGATGCAAGTCATTCTGAATTTTACCTCACTGAGTGCTGGAAATTTTTGTATTTCTATAAATATTCTTAAGCTTTGTACTGGAACACAATTATCTTACTCAGAAACAGTTTGATTCTTTTGTGTCTTGTTTTTATGATTTGTTAGATGGGACTAAAACAGCATTTAGTCTAGGACTAATTATTCCCTACCACCGCGGCAAGTACCTTCTGAGGACTCTACCCAGTTCTCTGTAAATTATGAGCTTTTCCATTCTGGGTGGTGGCAGACTCTTCTCCGTCTTGGGTAGGAACCTGGATCTCGTCCTCTCTGGATGATTCTCCCCCAGCCTCTGGTAGTTTCCTCACAGGATCTCTGTTGAATAGGTGGCAGGGATTCTCTGAAGATTTCTTAGTTCTTTCTGAGAAGCTCTCTTTCCAGGACCCTATCCTACAAACTCCAGCAGCCTTGGTATCCCAGAACATCAGGTCCACCTCCTCACCTCAGGGAGTTTGCTGGGCCCACTTGGATTCCCCTCTACCATGGATGGGAAACTTTCTCAAGGTGGTAAACTGGGGCAATGGTTGGTCTCTACTAGTTTGTTTCTCATCTTTCAAGAATCAGTTTCATGTTGCCTGAAAAGTGTTTTAAAAGCTATTTGTTTTATTTATTTTGTCTGTTTATTCTTAATAATTTTTAGTTGTTTCAGGGATGTGTGTATATCTTATTCCTGTTATTACACCTTTCTCAAAATTGGTATTATACTAAATTTAAAAATTACCATTGTCCACACTTTTCATTCATAGAGCCCTTTGATCCATTCCCAGTTAGTATATCTACACAGTCATCAATCTATGCATCTTTATGGAATGGAATAAAGCTTTATGTTTTAAATGTAATGTATGTGCAACATGGAGATGAAATTGACTTGCCAATCATATAAAGTAGTTAGACTGTCAGAGGTTGGAATTGATCAAAGATGGTTGGAGAGTTAATGATCTTTCAGGAATTTTAATGAAGATAGTCCACAGAAGGGTTTTCTATTGGAGAAGTAATATCACTTTCAGCATCATGATAATAGGACACATTATTGTCTTTATTGAAATAACTCACACCCTGGCTAGCATTGACATCTTCTTATCAATAAATATGTTTGACATTTTAGAGGACATTATACAGGGAAATATGCTCTGCATTCTGATCTAAATACCATACAAGGAAAAAAAAGCCCAATTCTTTAAATATTCTAGAAGCATGAGAATGTCCTTTCTCCCAATCTTTAGTTTCCACATTATACTGTCTCTCAATTTATATTGATTCTTAAATCCAAATAGTGTTCTTCATCACTCTCCTGCTCCATAAGTAGTTATTATCAATTGACAGGATTACTGACACAGACTCTTAATGGTTCATTACTTTAAGTACATTCTTAATGTGCCTCTTTATGAATGCTCTTAAAATGCAAACTTGAACACATGACTCTTGTTTAACCTTTGATGGGCTTCTTGTTTGAAAATGTTGGTGTGAAGTTGGTACTTTCTCTTTCTGGGTTTTGTAGTCTTAAAAACTGAGACAACAAGACCTGGAAAGACAGCCTTAATCTTTAGTGAAACTAAGATAAATCTGAAAACTCACACCACAAATCGACAAAACAATTACTGTACAATATAAAAGAGATGAAAAGACGGCACTCAGAAAAAGCCAAATGAAAGCACTTCCCTCAGTATGTGTCATGGCTCCGAGTAAAACACTAACAGTTCTTGTTTGGAATGGGAGGCATTGGGTGCAGGACCTGGCAGCAAGAGCTTCCTAGAATTCCGATGATACAGAGTCTGAAATAATAGAGCATTTATGTAGAAAATAGTCTGTTAATAAGGCAATTTTAAAAAGAGACATTCACAATGTGAGGAGGAAATAGGGGCCATCTTGGTTGTTGGGAAGATGTTAAGGCTGAAAATATGTAATAACGTATATAAAACTCTGTCTCACAAGAATTCCTGAAAGTCTTTTCCATGAACTGCCTGCTTCCAGCTGATCCAGGAAGAATGAATCTTATTCAAATGTGAGCAATAAACAAAAAGGATCAAAAACAGGTCTTTCACAAAATATAACCAATGAAATCAACAACAATGACAACAACAGATGACTGAAGGAATAAGGAAAAAATTGCCAATAGAAATATTTACATCACAGTGGAGAAGGTCAAATTGTCACTAAATATCTCCATGGGTTAAAAAAAACATAAATGAAGCAATTGCTCAAAAACAAAGGCTCAGAACAAAAGATATGAAGAACAGAGTGAACAGGAAAAGATATGAACAGGCCGAGTGAACAGGAAAAGATAAAATGTAAGTTAAATAGATCTGATAAAAAAATAAATAAGAAAGAGACAGACAATTTAATTTAAAAATGATCAAATGATCTGAAAAGGTACTTTAAAAAACAGGACATCCAAATGACTAATATTCGTATTTAAAAAGGTCTACCTCAGGAGTAGTCTGGAAAAAAAATTTAAAACAACTTGAATGACTAAAATGAGAAACAACTTCACAATACCAAGTCTTGTTGAGGATGTATAGAATGAGGTGAATTTCCATATAGTACAGATGGGAATGTAAATTGGTAGCCTTCTTTGGAAATAAGTGGGATATTATATAATAAAATTGAAAATATGTATACTCTAATAGTCAATAGTGTTATTTACCAATATTTTTAGTTTTCCTTTTTTGGGACACTTGATGGAATTCTTGTTTCTACCCCCTTTAACTTAGGTATGACCATGTAATTTGCTGTGTCCAGTGAAATGTGAGCAAAAGCAAAATATATCACTCATTTCTGCATGGATGCCTTTAGGTCCAATGCATGATTTGCCATCTTCTATTTTCTCCAGCACAGCTGCCAGTTATTTTTTAGATGGTGGAAATTCTAGCACCCTAACTCACTGAGTGAGCTCCCTGATTCCCCCAATGCACCCAAGGTAGACATAGGGAAATGTAGAATATGTGAGAAATAAATATTTGTTGTTTTGAACCATTGAGATTTGGGAGCTGTTTGTTACTGTGGTGTAGCCTGATTCATCCCTGACTGACTCGCAGACTTTAATCCCCTCCTAGTTATATGCCCTGGAATACCAAACCTTTTTTGTGTCATGTATCTTTGGCCATCATGCAAAGCCTAAGAATCTCTTCTCATAAGAACTTAAGCTTTTAAAAAATACATAAAATACATACAATTTGTGAGAAGAAACAACTCTATCAGAATATGGCTATCAAATACTAAAACAATAAATTTGTGCTATAGTAAAAATTATTCATTTTTATTAACGTATTAAATAACAGCAGCAAGTAGGGGGTCTAATAACTACAATAATTTCAAAATAGTAATGAGCACAAATGATATTTCTAGATATTTACAGCCATAATGAGATATAAAATTTTGTTATTTTTATCAGTGACAAAAAATACAAAGCATACAGAGCTACTTATGACAAGGTTACAGGCACAGGTATTGTGTTTCTCTCTTGTCTGCATTTGTAATGAAAAGAAATGCTGCATTTCAGTTAGAAGGTAATAAAGAGACAGATTTAGTTTTTTTTTTTCCCATTCACGTTCATGGACTCTGTGAAATCTATCCATGGATCCAAGGGTTAAGGACCTTTGCCTGGAGAAAGATGTGCATGTGTACATCAGGGTACACTTCACAACATTGTTTGTAATAGTAAAATATTGGAAAGATTATCAATCATATTAAAAGAAAAAGTGAATAAGCAACAGTGCATTCATACAATGGGAAATTATTTAGCAGCAAATTTAACAGTCTTCAGTTTTACACAGCTACACAAAATTAAGCATACACAGTATGTAATTCCATCTATATAAAATTCAAAAAATAGGCAAAGCCAAATTATAATGTTTACGTTGCCTACAGAGGTGCTAAAATTATAAAGAAAAGCAAAGAGTGGCCATTACAAAAGTCAGTATGTTTAGCTCTAAGGGAGAGGAATAATGTTAAAATTGGAAAGGATCATGTGTAGGGGCTCTGGGTTACTACAAAGGGTCTATCTGAGGACTTGAGCAGTGGTTATGTAAGTTTTAAGTACATAATAATTCATTAAGTATGTTTATATTTCATTCCCCTTTCACCTTTATGTATGAGTGTTATATTTTAGAATTAAATGTTTATTAAATAGAAAAAATTGTATTAGAGCATAGAAATATGGCAAAGCTAATACATAAGTGCAAGATTTGATTCTTTTGGAAAAAATAAAGTTGAGAACCATTAGCTAATTAACTTTGAGATAAAAATGAGAGAAAATGTATAAATACTTCAAATTAGGAATAATAATGGGGAAATCAACACAAATACAGGAAAATTAAATTAAAAGACTCATTGGAGACTACTTACTCAGATTTATATAATACATGTAAGCACCTGCAGGAAAGAAGTGATTGTTTAGGGAAATTATTGAAGCTAACCCCCGTAGGGGCAGAAAATTTAAACAAGTTCATTAGTATAAACAAATGCAGAAAGCTGTCAAAGATTACCTCCCTATAAAGGTATGGATTGTTTCAGAATTTTAAGGAAAAAATAATTCCGATGGTATTTAAGTTATTTAAATATCATGGCATAAAAAATTAAGGAAAGTTTCCAAATTATTTTTATAAAGCAGGTATACATTGTTTAAAAAGTCTGCTGAAGATGGCCTAATAGAATAAAAACAACAAACCAAACTCAGTTATAAATATCAATGCAAATGTCTTAAAGTACAGCATATCTATTCCAGTGTGCTTGCCTTGCTTGATGCTTCAGGAGATGTAGTGATTGACAAGTTGCTGTGCCTGCCCTCATGTAGCTAAATTTAGAAAAAGGGATCAAACTATAACCATGACTTTGCTATATAGTAGAGTAATATAAGAACTATCACAGATGACCCATGTATTGCTGTGGGGGCTCAAAGGAAGGCACTTTGATATATTTGGTCTGGGTATACGAAGAACAACTGGGAAGAGCTGTTCTTTGAGTTGTGTGGTGAAGAATCACAGCTAAGAGCTGGCCTTGTTATAAGTCCAAGTCCCATCTCTAGGACTCAATTCATAAGTTGTTTAATTACTCATCCTTATGTTCAGGCTCATCTTTAGACTCTGGGTGCCCTGAAAAGCACAGGGACATAGTAGGTTGCTCTTGTAGGTACTGATTGCTTTCCTTGTATAAAACTAGCAGATCTCAAATATGGCCACAATTCTTTGCAGCTCCTTCTATCAACAGGTAGAGTCTATTTTCCTGTCCCTTAAAGCTAGGCTGGCCTTGTGATTTGCTCTAACAGAATATTGTTAAAATGGTGGTGTGCCAGTTCCATGCTCAGTCCTCAAGGAATCTTGCAGTTTCCACTTGCTTTTCTTGGAGCAAAGCGAACAAGCCTGGATTATCTGGTGGGAGGATGAGGAACTTTGCAGGGAGAGAATCGAGTCATCCTAATCATCTCAGCCAAACCCCAGACTTGTGAGCCAATCAAGCCAAGCCTAGCTTATACCAAAAATTTCTTACAAACTTCTGCCCTTACTAGACTGCATTTAGAAATTATTCGGTATTCTTCAGTGTTTAGCTGTTTGTAAGACGTGAAGTTGATGAATTTAGGTGAGCATTTCTAAGACTGTAATGCACGTGAAAGCTATTCAAGCATAAGTTAGAAATCTAGTTACTACACTGATGAATGGTAGGGTTTAGAACAGATATTTGGCTTCTAGGCTTTAGCTCCTGCACCACTAAGTGAGGGAATAGAGTTGGGTCTCCATGGTCCCACTGAGTCTGATGTGCTCTAATTTGAGCACTTCCTGTTATGTTGACTCACTTCCCTGGTCTGCTGGACACTTAGAGTCAGTAGCAATTCTTTTTATAACAGAAAATAATTTCTATCTTTAAATTTATATTATTTTATTTAGTTTTAATTATGCTAGCTATTAATATACCAGAAACTCACATTCAGTGTACAAAACTAGAGTATCCAGATGTGAATAAAGGATTTATATTCCCATTAGTTAGTTATAAACAATGCTGAGAGTGTTAACAGTTCATCTTTAATTCTATTCCTACATGTACTCAAAAATAGGATTATAATTTAATGTGCATATTGTCCTACCAATTGATATTTCTGTCAAAATATATATTTATAGGTCTATATGTTGAATAGCATGGTGCAATATTCTATAGATGCCCATAATTTATTGAACTGCCCAACTACAATTATACATTTGAGCTATTGCCAATTTTTACACTTATCAATATGTTGTGATAGACAGAACTAAATTCCCTAAATTTGGGAAGTGAATGTTTGCAAAGCAGAGTAGCAAGCAGAGCTTTAGTGAGGACATTATACCAATGATAAACAATAGACCTATATTTTTATATTCTTCATTTTGGAGTCACGTGTTAGTCACAGTTTCCTAAATTCATGTCTGAAGTGGGACATCGAAAAATTCTAAAGAAAATGAAAGTGTCTAGACCCCTACTGAATCTAATTAAAGTCTGGGTCTCTGGGGCAATCTTTGGATGTACAGCTAGCAAAAGCTTGCAAAGATAGCATTTGTCTAGTGTATTTGTTTATTGACCTAATTAGAAAAGTGCAAGAGAATAAACTACTTTTAAAACCTTGTTCCGATTAGCTATAGATGATAAGAGGTCCCCAAACTCTAAAACACATTCTGAGATCAATAAAAAAAAAGCATCTAGAAAAATAACCTCTTATTTCATTTCCAGACAGGCAGCAGAATTTCATTTTAGCCACAAAGCAAGATTTAGAAGTCCATAAGAAATGATATAAGCAGGAGCTATCCTGGGCAAGAAACTACAAAATCTGAACATGCAAAGACTGGATAATAAACATGTATTGTATGCTTGCTTCCTAGATTGTTACAAATGGCCCCCTCCATACCCTGCAGATCTTTTTCCCTCTTCTACTAATTTTTCTTGACTCCCCCCAAATTTTGTCCATCTTACATATACCATGTTAGATAAAGTTTTAATACTTTGAATCAGGTCTAACTTAAAACATACATACTCTTTTCTTGTCTGTCTTTCTCACTAGAGTGTGAGGTCATTGAGGGCAGGATCCATGTGTTATTTTGCGTTGACTGCTTCTGGCACACAGGAATGATAATTGTTCCTGTTTGTTAAGTATTGTGCCTTGTGCTAAACAATTTACATAAATGGCAAGTTAATTGGTTAAACTCTTTTTCTCCTTGTAGTTTCACCTCCTTTCTTGGTTTTCAGTGGGTAATCAGGCTTTGTGTTTCTTTGCCTCAGAAATCTTTGCAGGGCAGAAAGTAGAAGTTGTAGATATCATTAGCTCTTCCTAATGTTTAAGACTAGAAAGCACGTACTTGTTCGCTTAGGATGGTGAGGTAGAAGAATGGAGTGATTGTGAGGTGAGAGAAAGGAAGAGAGACAGCAATAAACAATCTTCCCAGCCTGCAAATATTGAAGATAAGTTAGAGGTCTGGGCTTCTGGAATGTAATATGCCTAGTTTTAAAACCAGGAAAATCTGTATCAAACTTGCATGAGTTAGTCACCATAGATGGAGTGATGATGCTATCAAGGAAGGCAAGACCTTTAATGGGAGAGTCTGTGATATTCATCTGGAGGGAGGGGTGATTCCAGATATAGGTGCCTTTAAACTTGCTAAAGATTCTCTTGCCCCAGGTAAAACTCAGAAATAACAGAACTGCTGTATCTGAAGACACAATTAAGTCTATGACAACAGACATTTCAGTAGAAACCAGTGTAGATGATTAGAGTTCTTGGATGTCTTGGTGTCACCACTATTTATTGATCTGTGCCAGGTATTGTGTGATGAACTGGGAATACATTTGTCTAACTAGTATCATGGGGGTAGAGGATGGCTAACAAGTCACTGCCCTTGAAAAACTGAGTAATACAAAATAAAATATACCTTTTTATTATTTTTAAAGACAGGATCTCATTCTGTTACCCAGGCTAGAGTGCAGTGTCATGATCATGGTTCCTGGCCTCCTGGGCTTAAGTTATCCTTCCCCTTTAACCTCCTGAGTAGCTGAGATTACAGGCATGGACCACCACACCCGGCCAAATAAATTTACTTTTGTTCCAAAAGAGGGAAGTATGAGGGAATGTTCAATGGGAGACAGAGGTACTGGATGCCATCCTGGATATGATGATGCCATTGGGTAAGTGGTCAGTCACTACATCTGTGAGTTTATGTGTAGGAAAATAAAGAAATCTAGGGCACATTTAAGACTTCCTCAAGGAGCTTGCAACTTAATGGGAATTAGATTACACATACACCTCAACAACTTAGGGCAATTCCAAGGTAGCAGATGCAGGGCAAATTAATGTAACAAGAGAAGAACTGAAGTCCTCAGAGTCCCAGACAGAACCACTGTAACAATGTGGAATGAGTATATCTCCGTGGAGGAAAGTTTTGAATCCTAAGGGTATACATGTATAGAGAGAGACTGGAAAATAAAGTGAAAGTAGAGTAGACTTTGAAACTTTCAGAGTGAAAGTAAACCGAATGGACAGCTTTCACATGGTTGAGCTGCCTCCCTTTTCTGGAGGTGTGCTAGAACAGAAGAGACAATATCTGGAGAAAGGGTTGTAGGGGGATGAGACTGAGAGTGACTTGACTATTTTATGTCAATAGAACAATCTGGCTGCCATGCTGAGAGCTCTTCAAATTTTTTTCCAAACTTCAAGTAACATATTCACTTTCACTCACCAGCCTTGTTTCCTTTGAAACTTTGCCCTTAAGAAGGTAGCTCTGGGTCATAATTCCTTTCTTCAATCAGAACCAGTATTCTTTGTCTTGTTTTATAGATTTTCATTAGTTTTATTGAGGTTCCAGGTAAGATGTTTGAAATCTGCTGAAAATGTTTGAAATTTGCCACACTGGACAATGACTATGTAGTCCTTGAGGATGGAAATAGTTTTTGGCCACCGTCTGTGGTGAACACAGAGCTTGTCCAAGGGAGAGGCACAATAACCATCCTAGGAGTGAACTGGGCAGGCCTAAGCACACTGAACGTTGCCAGAAGTCAGGCAAATAGAAAGACAGGAGGTTTGTGCAATCACTTTAAAAGCACTGGTCGGTCAGGCGCGGTGGCTCATGCCTGTAATCCCAGCACTTTGGGAGGTTAAGGTGGGTGGATTACGAGGTCTGGAGAGTGAGACCATCCTGACTAACACGGTAAAACCCCGTCTCTACTAAAAATGCAAAAAATTGGCCGGGCGTGGTGGCATGTGCTTGTAGTCTCAGCTACTCAGGCAGCTGAGGCAGGAGAATCGCTTGAACCCAGGAAGTGGAGGTTGCAGTGAGCCGAGATCGTAGCACTCTACTCCAGCCTGGGTGACAGAGTGAGACTCCATCTCAAAAAAAAAAAAAAAAAAAGAAAGCACTGGTTACGCTTTTCAAAATGTTTAATAAAGTATAGTCATACTGTCCTCTGTCACACAGAAAGAACCCTTCATAAATGAGGCTTCCAGTTAAATGCATTTTTTCCTCGCGAATTATCAGCAGGAATGGCCTTCCTGCAGGGTAGCTCTCAGGATCTGAGAGGGACTAACAGTTGCGTCAGGAGAACTCTTCCCCTAATAATAAACTACCATAATTGTGTTATATTTGTACTAGGAAAATATGCTGAGACTCACTGAATCATAGAAAAACTTCCCAAAAATCTTGGAAATGCAGCCTTTTCTTCTGTCTCCCCAAATTTTCTCTGAAACCCAAACAAATCAACTGTGCATATGTATAATCATTTGGGGATGTAAAAGTAAAAATACGTAATCAAACATCCACCAGTGGTGCACTCACGTGGCTGCCCTGGGCAGAGTGAATTACTCCCTTCTCTGAGTTCCCGTTGCTTTGTGTTCATACCTCTTTGATGCCCTTCCCACATTGTAGGTGGTTGCTTGGTTAGTTCTATCTTCCACATTGACTTGTTGGTTCCTCTAGAGAAAAGAAAGGGTAAAAATATTTAATAATTACCTGTGGTGATAAGCAATTCCCTATGTCTAATTTAACTTCTTGTATTCAAGTGCCCTAAGAAGTAAGCATTATCTCTGATCGTTCTCCAGTTCAAAGTTGATAAGAAGATTTAGCAAGGCAAACAGTAGCACACAGACAGACCCCATGCCTATTTCACTGCAAGACCCCACCTCCTTTCATACTCCCAAGGCCTGTTTTACTTCCTTTTATTCTCAGTGCCCAGTTCTGAGAGCTTAAATGCTTTGTTTCTGAATGTCTGTGAGGAGTAGGTGAATAGTGAGAAGGTCAGCATTGAAGTGGAGATTTCTTAGCAGAGAAAGGTAGAGGCACTGCCATTGAGAAAGGGAGATGGAGTGGAGTAGGGCATCACAGAAAGAGAAACCAGTGTCTTTGATTTTGAAAACTTTGAGTTTGGGAACCTCAATCTGAGTGGTTGCGTGATTTTCTGTAACAGCACTCCACAGCCCATTGGCAGGTGTCCATGTGGAGACAAGGGTTATAGACTTAAGGCTTGAGGAGTTGGGGGTACTGTAAGATGGTGGTGGAAGTGGTGGTACCACTTGACAGGGACATAAGTGAAAGCAGACAGGGCTTAAGAGAAAGGGAGAAAATTAAGAGTTCTAAAAATGATTGGCAAATTGAATTCAAGGAACTCCTAAAGCTTTAGGAATCAAGTGATGGAGTTAGAAGACTGAGGCATCATATTTAAAGATTTTAAGATTGAGTTGAGATGATGAAGAGGTTCAGACTGTGGTCAAAGGGGTGTGTGACTGAAGAGGGATGGAGAGAGGAGATGGAGGGGAGGTCATTGAAACTGAGGCTTCAAGGAACTGAGGAGTCAGGCTTCTGCATGTGTTATCTAGGTGAACATCAAAGTCACCCATAATGATGTCAGGACATGCATAGAGAGAGGAGTCTCTAAACCAGGTGACAAACTCTTCACTGGATGAAAATGCTGACCATTTGTTTGTTCAGAAACAGGAGAGATGGAGGTAAATTGCTGAGTACCTGAAAACAAGGTTTTATGCAAAAATGGCATTGGAATGTAAGATGTGACTGATCACACTTCCTCTGACTTTAGGATGAAGAAGTATGAGAGAAATAGACAATATCCTCTTAAGAGTCATAAATAGATAAATGACTTCAGGTAAGAGATGATGAGGGTTTGAATTAATGGGGTGAAAGTGAGGAGGAAGAGGCAAAGCAAGACTGAGAGAGAGCATGAAGGGAGGCTTTGTGTCTGATTGAATGTGAAGGGAAGTAAAGAGGGTGACAACATTAACTGGGAAGAGAGTATTGCTGTTTCCTGAGATCAGGAACACTAGAGCAGAAACAGGTTGGAATCAATGTGTCCTTTGGGGTTTGGTTAGGAAAAGAGAGTCGCTAAAAACATTGCAGGAAAAAAAGCACTTCATAGAGGAATTAGAGCTTACTCAAATCTGGCAGAAGTAAGCGAAGGTCTAGATGCAGAGGTGGTAAGATGAGAGAGGGAGGCAACAAGTCAGCTGGAAGCACTAGTGCACATGGACCAGAGTTTTCTAGGAATTTTAAGAAACTGTGGGAGTGGGGTCATAAAGAGAGAGTTTGTGGAAAAGTCTGTGGAAGACTTGCCTTTATGGAAATAGCTTACCCCTGTGGAAGCATCACCTCTGTGGGCCTGAAGTCCAGGACTGAACAATGGGGTTAGGGTCTGTAGGGGCTGGTCTGTAGGGGCAGCTGCTGGTCTGTAGGGGCAGCATTGGGAAGATGAACTGGACACAGAGTAGAAGTAGAGCACTGATACACTGCAGACCACCAGGTCCCTCTTGGCATCTGTACATCTCCATGTCTTACCTTCTAAGTGTGGTACCCTCAGCTATGAACAATTAGTTATACATATGTGGAGCTTAGGAAAGAAATCTGCTGTTGTAAAACAGATAGCATCATGGATCAGCAGACAAACCATGAAAGAAAGGGAAAGCTGGCTGAGCGTGGTGGCTCACGCCTGTAATCCCAGCACTTTGGGAGGCCAAGACAGGTGGATCATGAGGTCAGGAGATCGAGACCATCCTAGCTAACACAGTGAAACCCCATCTCTACTAAAAAAAATACAAAAAATTTAGCCAGGCGTACGGGTGGGCGCCTGTAGTCCCAGTTACTCAGGAGGCTGAGGCAGGAGAATAGCTTGAACCCAGGAGGCAGAGCTTGCAGTGAGCCGAGACGGCGCCATTGCACTCCAGCCTGGGCGACAGAGTGAGACTCTGTCTCAAAAAAAAAAAAAAAAAAAAAAAAAAAAAGGAAAGCTGAGGATAAGAGAGAAGAGACAGTTTAGAGAAATCAAAAGAACCATCTTGATACTGCATAGCAGAAACCAACGAGAGAGCTTCAGGGAGGAGCCTGCCTTCAGCAGAGCCATGCTCAGAGATGTTAGTGAGACAAGAGTCTTGCGGACGTGAAAGGAAAGAATCAGCCAACAAACACTTCTGCCTGGTAATAACTGAATACCTAGTTATGGGTCAATGTTCCCAGCAGACCCCTTCCAGAATTCCAATGCAGCATAACCTTGCTAAGAAAAGGCAGCAATATGGTACTTTGAGTGTAGACCAACTGGATTCACTATAAATTTCTGTTTCTGATGAAAAAGCATTTGAAAACATGGCCTGATCTTGTGCTTTCTAGTAAAAGTTAAGTTTATCGCTGTTTGCTTTGCTGAAAATCCATGTTAAAATCTCTGAACCACATTTCTGACTTTAATAAATACATACACACTCACATATAAATGTAGATAATATGATTTCTTAATATCCATAATATTCCTCTGCTTCACTATGCTATTAAGATTATTTAGTTATAAAATGAGAAAAGGTGAAGTATCTGTTGGAATGGTTTTCACATAGACTTTGAAAATCTTGGTTTCCTGGCTAAGATAGCCAATTAGAAGCAGCTGTGGTCTGTGGCACTTATAAAGAGGAATGAAAAGGGTGAGTGAACACAGCACCTTCAACTGAAATGTCCAGGTACTTGCATTGGGACTGATTAGGGAAACAACTTGACCCACAGAGAATGAAGAAAAGCAGGGAAGGTTGATGGCCCATCTGGGAGCAACACAGAGACAAGGGAACCCCCAGCTCCAGCCAAGGTAAGCAGTGAATGAATTTGCAACCTTGGGAAACCACGTTTCTCACACAGATCTTTGCAACCTGTGGATCAGGGGATCTGCTTGTGAGCCCATGCCACCGGGGTCTTGGATCCAACACACAGAGCTGTGTGGAGTTTCGGCAGAGCAGCTACTCAGGCGTGCACAGAGAACAAGGAGCTTTGCATACTCTGGCCCTGCAATCCCCAACAAAGGTTTATGTAACTCAGGCAAGGCAGGAGTTCCACACATACCCCTAGGAAGGAGGCTGAATCTAGGGAGCTGAGCAGCCTTGGTCTTTGGGCCCCACTTCCATGGCACCACACAAGATAAGACCCACTAGCTTGGAATTCCAGCCAGCCACCGCCAACAGGGTGGAGCCTGCCTGAGATGGGACAGAGTCCCCGGGGGAGGGGCAGGTCACCATCTCTACTCTTTGGTCAATTTAGCCATTGAAGCCTGCGGGCTTTGGAGAGTCCAACCGGTCTAGATGAGGAATGGTCCCTGCAGCATAGCACAGCTGCTTTGCCAGAATGTGTCCAGACTACTTCTTTAAGCAGGACCCAGATTCATTCCTCCTCACTGGGGAGGTCTTCCAGCTGGGACCTGCAGCCACACCCACCTGCACCTATTCTAGCTCTGATCTTTCCATGGGACAAGGACAGAGTGCCTGGGGGAGGGGAAGGCAACCACTTTGGTTGTTTGAATAACTCAGCAATTGCAGCCTGTGGGCTTTGGAGAGTCCAAGCCAACAAGGGCAGAGATGGTTCATCAGCACTACATGGCTGTTTTGTCAAAGGCATGGCCAGACAGCTTCTTTAAGTGGGACCCAAATCCACTGCTCCTCATGAGGAGGTCCCTCCCGGTCAGAGACTCCAACTACCCCTGCCTGTGTTTTATGGCCAAGAGAATTCTAATTTCTCTTTTGGACAGAGTGCCTGTGAGGTGGGGCAGGTTGCCACCTTGACTGTCTGGGCATCTCAGCCGGTCCAGTCTGTGGGCTTTAGAGAGTCCAAACTAATCGGGGGCTGAATAGATTGCCAACACAGCACAGCTGCTCTACCAAAAAGCAGCTTCATCAGAAACACAATCCCATTCACAATTGCCACAAAAAGAATAAAATACCTAGTAATACAACTAACAAGGGAAGTGAAAGACCTCTTCAAGTAGAACTATGAATGACTGCTCAAAGAAATCAGAGATGAAACAAACAAATGGAAAAGCATTCCATGCTGATGGATAGGAAGAATCAATATTGTGAAAATGGCCATACTGCTCAAAGCAATTTATAGATTCAATGCTATTCCCATTAAACTACCATTGACATTCTTCACAGAATTAGTAAAAACTACTTTAAAATTCATATGGAACCAAAAAAGAGCCTGAATAGCCAAGACAATCCTAAGCAAAAAGAAGAAAGCTGAAGAAGGCATCATGCTATCCTACTTCAAACTATACTACAGGGCTGCAGGAACCAAAACAGCATGGTACTGGTACGAGAATACACACATAGACCAACGGAACAGAATAGAGAATCCAGTAATAAGACTGCCCACCTACAACCATCTGATCTTCAACAATCCTGACAGAAACAAGCAATGCAGAAAGGACTCCCTATTTAATAAATGGGACAACTGGCTGGACATATGCGGAAAATTGAAACTACCCCTTCCTTACACCATAGACAAAAATCAACTCAAGGTGTATTAAAGACTAAAATGTAAAACCTAAAGCTATAAAAACTCTAGAAGAAAACCTAGGCAATACCATTCAGGACATAAGTACAGGCAAAGATTTCATGATGAAAATGCCAAAAACAATTGCAACAAAAGCAAAAATTGACAAATGGGATCTAAATAAACTAAAGAGCTCCTGCACAGCAAAAGAAACAACAGAGTAAACAGACAACCACAGAATGAGAGAAAAATGTTGCCATCTATCCATCTGACAAAGGCCTAATATCCAGCATTTATAAGGAATTTAAACAAATTTATAAGAAAAAAACAACCCCCTTAAAAAGTGGGCAAAGCACATGAACAGACACTTCTCAAAATCAGACAAACATGCAGCCAACAATCACGTGAAAAAGAGCTCAAATCATGGATCAGTAGATAAATGCAAATCAAAACCACAATGAGATAACATCTCACACCAGTCAGAATGACTATTATTAAAAAGTCAAAAAAACACAACAGATTCTGGCGAGGTTGTGGAGAAAAAGGAACACTTTTACAATGTTGGTGGAAATGTAAATTAGTTCAAACATTGTGGAAGACAGTGTTGCTATTCTTCAAAGACCTAGAGGCAGAAATACCATTTGATCTAGCAATCCCATTACTGGGTATATACCCAAAGGAATAAAAATCATTCTGTTATAAAGATACCTGCATGCGTATGTTCATTGCAGCACTATTCACAATAGCAAAGACTTAGAATCAACTTACATGCCCATCAATGATAGACTGGATCAAGAAAATGTGGTAAATATACACCGTGGAATATTATGCAGCCATAAGAAGGAATGAGATCATGTTCATTGAAGGGACATGGATGGAGCTGGAGGCCCTTAGCCTTGGCAAATTAACCCAGGAACAGAAAACCAAATACAGCGTGTTCTCACTTATAAGAGGGAGCTGAATGATGAGAATACATGGACACATGGTGGGGGAACAGTACACACTGGGGCCTGTCGGAGGGTTGATGGTGGGAGGAGGAAGAGCATCAGGAAGAATAGCTAATGGATGCTGGGCTTAATACCTGGGAGATGGGAAGATCTGCGCAGCAAACCACCATGGCACACATTTACCTATGTAACAAACCTGCACATCCTGCACATATACCCCTGAACTTAAAATAAAAGTTGGAAATAAAAAAAAAAGAAATCTCATTTTGAGTATACTGTATTTTAAAATGTGTTCAATTGTGTAAGTAATTTCGCAAGTTACGTTTTTTCTTGCTTGACTCCAAGTTGAACTTCTGTGTTCCTATGTGTGTTCTTTCATATATATATTTTATCAAATACAGGCTCCGCAATTTAGTTTTTTTAGTTGTTTAAAAATTTTATAACTATAAATTACCTTAAAATAAAAAGAAAGTGTTTAGCTTCTGGTGCTACAAACAGCTTTTCTGTGCTTTATGTAAAGAAATGACAGAGATTTGTGCCTAATTCTGTACAGTAAGATTTCTTAATCTAGAACTACACCCTTTAAGATATTATGCTCTCCTCTCTTCTGCCTTCTGCATCAGGGCTCTCTGATCCAGAAGACTTCCTCTATTATGTTTACCACACCTAGTATAATCCCAGGAACATAGTAAGTTCTTTTTTTTTTTTTTTTTTTTTTTTTTGAGAGGGAGTCTTTCTCTGTCACCCAGGCTGGAGTGCAGTGGTGCAATCTTGGCTCACTGCAACCTCCACTTCCCAGGTTCAGGTGATTCTCCTGCCTCAGCCTCCTGAGTAGCTGGGACTACAGGTGTGCGCCACCACACCTGGCTAATTTTTGTATTTTTAGTAGAGACGAGATTTCACCATATTGGCCAGGCTGGTCTTGAACTCCTGACCTGGTGATCTGCCGGCCTCGGCCTCCCAAAGTGCTGGGATTACAGAAATGAACCCCCTTGCCCGGCCAGTAAGTTCTCAATAAGTTTTAGCTCTTCTACATAGTGTAACTCCAGTTTATTTATTCCATTTATTCAAATTTGGTTTATAGGGCTTCTTGTCTTCCTACTTTAATAGAGAATTGGACTGAAAATATTAACGTTTTTCAGATAAAAGTTTTTTATTTGAAAAAGTTAAGTATACAAATATACCTCTGCACCTGTTTAGAATTCATAATTCTAGCCTTTGTTTTTTTTATATATTTTTAAATATAATATACATAAACATGACTGAAAAAATGAAAGTCCTCTTTGTATTCCCTTAGGCCTACATCCCCCCAAATATGCCCATCATATACCAGATTTTCATACATGTGTTACTTCATTACTGGGCTATCCATTTTGACCTGTTGACCCAGATCCTTTTAATTATCCCTACATCAGTGCCACCATGTGTTAGTTATTATACCTTTATTATAAGTTTCAAGATTTTGATATTCCTGCTTTTTGTCACATTTCTTAGCATTGAATTGCTATTCTTCAACACTTCTGGCATATTACCTTTAGAATCAGTGATATTAAATATAGATGAATTTGGGAAGAATTTATATCTTTACAATATCAAGTCATTTCATTAATAAACACAGCATACCTCTCCATTTATTCATGCATTTCCATTTATCTCTTAGCTCTTACAATAATATTGGACAATTTCTCCATAAAGATCATGTTTATCTTTTATTAGGTTGTTCCCAAATATCTTATGCTTCTTGTTCTTCTTGTGAATGGGACCTTTAAAAAACTTACATCTGGTTACATTGGTGGATAGGAATGCTATTAATTTTTGTAAATCATCTTGTACCTGGAAACTCATTTGTTGGTTTTTACACTTTGTCTGTGTAGACAAACACAACATCTGTACATGATTATTTTCCCCTTTCTTTGCTAATCTTTGTATCTCCTGCTTTCCCCACCTCACTGTCCCTATCTTACTGGATTTATTAGTGCCTTTCAAATTGTCCTGTTTTCTAATCCTTAAGTTTGATTCCTCTCATGTTTTTGTACCCGATGACTATTGCTCATGCATGTGAGCAATAGTCTGTGAGCTAATTTTCATCAGAATCCTTTTCTGTACAGATTAAGTGGTTTTTAGCTTATAGAAATACCTCTATAGACAGTTTCTGAGTTTTTTTTTCTCCACTCTAGCCTTTGTGGTTTATAGGTTCTGGACAAGTTTTTGCAACAGTTTCTTACCTTATGTTTTCACATCATAAAGGTA